>NC_000003.12:33760000-35010000 GCF_000001405.40 Homo sapiens | reverse complement strand
CAAAGACCATGGCTTCATGGAGTTTAGATTGTAGAATAGCTTGACAAGCAGTAAACATAACAAATGAATAAATAAATTATATAGTATGTTAGAAGATAGTAATTACTATGGGAAAACAAATATAGAGAAAAGTTAGGAAAATCCAAAGTTTGGGATGATGATTGAAATTTAAACAGGATAAAAAGTAAATTTGATAATTGATTTGAAGGGTGCAAGGAGATCAGGAATCTCATGAATTCTTCTGAAAGCAAGGAAATGTGGATTATTAAGGAGTGATTTAAGCATTGTCTTTGGAAAGCTAGATAACCATTAACATTAAAACCACTAAAAACCATCACTTTTTTAAACATCGTCTTAATATTCATGATTAAAAATGAGATACAGGAGAAGCTAAATATCAGATTGCCTATAAAAGATTCCTTTGCAGGGGGCGAATTCAGAGGTACTATAAGAGTAACAAAACTCAAAAAGGAGTCCAAAGGTTAATTGAGGACTCTGTACTATCCCTGCTTATTATTATAAAATAATTAAGAACCATGTGTGTATTGTTTAAAATTCATTTTGGAAGGATATTTTTGAGAAGCTTCCTCTGGCTATGACTTCATTTCCTTTGCAGCACATGATGTGGATTACAGGGGGACTTGGCTGATATTAAAATGTGAATTAAAAACACCCAAATTTAGTTTCTAGGTAACACAGCTGCAATCTAAATATACCTACAAGTAACAAAAAATATTCCTCTAGGAGTTTTCTGGGTGTTAGCTCTAAGGTGAATCTATTGCCATATTGGCAGTAACATGGTAAATGCAGGGATAGGAAAAGATTTAAACTTTCAATGAGTTGTCAGAAGTAATGATTTTAGCTACAGAGAAGTCTGTATTCCCCCACTGAACAGTACCTTATGGAAAGCAGACTTGGGTGAGAATGCGATATCTGTTTCAGGTTCAAATGTGCTTTCCAGAATATTTTTTTTAAAGAACAACCAGCCTTCTCTGTGCCATTGGATCTCCATCATGTGGTGATTTTGGTGTTTCCTTTTCCAAAATGAAATTCACAGGAAAAAAAACAACAACTCTGTAGAAGGATATCTAAATATTTTCAAGGAAATATGTGAAGGATGACACAGATGGACTTAGTGAGCAAAGGAGATACTAACTACATAGAGCTTTATGAATCATGGTAAAGTGTAACATTTTATTACAAGTGCAGAAAGAAATTCTTGAGCCATTTTAAGCAGAGGACTTTTTCTGATTTACATAATTAAAAGTTTATTCTACATACCTTATAAAGAGTGGATGGGAAAAAAAGAAGAGTGGATGGGAGAAGAGGCAGGAGTAGAAGCAGGGGAACAAATGAGGTGGTGGTTGTTACAACCAAGAAGGGAAGCAATGGCAGCTTCTCACAGGATACTGGATGTGGAGAGACATGAGAAGTAGCAGGATCCTGGCTGTATGTCAGAGGTAGAAATCATGGGACTTGTTGATTGGATGTAGAGGGTGAAGAAAAGAGCACAGTTGGTGTGGGTGCCAGGTTTTTGCCAAGCATTTGAATGAGTGATAATACTGGGTGCCAGGTTTTTGCCAAGCGTTTGAATGAGTGATAATACTATTTCTTCTTATTTTGGTCCATGTGTTCCATGTCTTTTCATGTTATTTCCCTTCAATGCTCCTAATAGAGCCAGGTAGACCTGGAATTTATTAGCTGTGTGCTTTTAACAAAGTTATATGATCTCAGATGTACTTTTTTGGCAATATTCAAATATCAAGATATTAATTACAGAGTTTAAAAAATTTAAAGTCCTGTGTATGAGTGTGTGTGTGTGTGTGTGTGTGTGTGTGTGTGTGGCATACATCGTATAAAAAACATCCATTACCAGGTCCAATGACACAGTACAGGAACTCAGTAAATGACAGCTATAATTGTTATTTTATAAATTGTTGCTGTTATATTCTAATATACTTTGGTGGTGATTTATGGTTTGTATTATTGAATTATTGTTAGTCTTTTTCTTTTATTTCTGATCAAGTACACAAAAGTGTTTCTTTGTCCTAGAGTATCTTCCTGAATCCCAGCTGAATTCAAAGGGATTCTGCTAGGTTTGTTAATACCTACCATTGCCACATGTCCTAGAAGTTTTTATGTGCAGAATTGGAAAACAGCACTCAGCAGGGGCAGGATGCATCAATTGATATGGTTCAATTTCAGGTAAAGGTCGATAAACCTATGCAGGATGATTAAAACAAAACAAAACAAAACAAAAACAGTCTGTTGAGACTGCTGGGTAATTAGGAAAATATTTCAGTAAGAGAGGAGAAAAAAGAAATAAAAATACATTTACCTCAAATGATCCAAATCTCCAAGTGAGCAAACAATTTTTTAATTAAAATTAAGTCTGCACAAAATGTGCAAGCAATACACTTGAGTATGAAGTGAAAAGTTGTTTATCTTTGGCTCATCCTTAGAGGTAGTTAATTTTTAGAATTTCTGTTGTAATTCTTCTGGTGAGTTTCTGCATATGTTCATCACTTTATTTCTTAATGTTATCAAATTTAAGGTCTACTTAGGTAACTTTATATAAGATGAAGAATTTTGATAACTTCCCCTAGTCATTATTTTGTCTCCTCAGCGACCTCCCAGGTTCATTATAATTTTATTTTCATACATCTATTTATCACATTTATTTACTTTTTAATTCATTAAGCTTTTAGACAGTGTAATTGACTCCCCCTTTATTAAAGATCATTTAACATTCTTTTACTCTTTCAATTATCTTCTTCCATCTAATGCTTAAACTCTTTTAACTATATCATTACTTCCATTAAAAGTTTACATTTGTTTTCTATACTATAACTTTGCTTTAGGCACCAGTGTTTGTCTCTCATTTGATTTTTTATTTATTTATTTATTTTTATTTATTAATTTTTTTTGAGATGGAATCTCTCGCTCCATCACCCAGACTGGATGGAGTGCAATGGCGTGATTTCTGCTCACTGCAGCCTCTGCCTCCCGGATCCAAGCAATTCTCCTGCCTCAGCCCCCGAGTAGCTGGGACTATAGGCATGCACCACCATGCCTGGCTAATTTTTGTATTTTTGGTAGAGACATGGTTTCACCATGTTGGCCTGGCTGGTCTTGAACTCCTGACTTCAGGTGATCCACCTGCCTCAGCCTCCCAAAGTGCTGAGATTACAGACATGAGCCACTGCACCCAGCCTGATTTTTTAAATTGAAAATCCAAAAGTAATGTTTTGTTGCTATTACTACATAAATATCATTCACTCTAACACACTGGGATCTTAGAAAAAAGTAATTCTTTCACAGCAAGATTGTTCTCTAAGAAAATTTTTTCAAGTGTTGAGATCAGATGCATTCTCCTTTCTCCTATCCATCATTTGGTCAAAAATATTTCTCTCTCTCTCTCTCTCTCTTTAAAATTTTGTACATATCCAAGGGGATATTTCTCACTAGAACCCAAGCACTGGAACCCATCTTCCATTAGTGGTAAGACAACAGTTGGTTTGGGTTGAAAGTTGCCATGCAGAATATGTGGTTATATACTCAAAGGTATTTGGTTCTATAGCTCCCTGAGTCCCTTTATTGCTCCCCTAATGTCCTCAAATTGGTCACTACTACATATTTTTATCTTATGTCTTAATCTAATTAAATGTTTTTAGGCATAAAGAAGAAGTTTGAACTTCTTTTAGTGAAGCAAACTTTCCAGCCCAATGAAGTTTCCTTCAGAATGCAATTACAGTAGAACTCAGTTTCATATTGATTGCCCTTAACGTTGTGAAACTGCCCCTATAAACTTTATAAAATTAATCAGGAAAGAACGGACAGGGAGAAACAAAACTAAACCAAGCCTGCAGCATCATTAGCAATAATCATTAGTTCAGCTTATTCTCTGACCTGCTTACTCATAGTTGTTTGGTGCCTATTGCCCCAGAATTATGCAAATCTTCTCACAGATTACAGTTCCCCTTAATTGCTCTATAGATAAAAACATAGACAGTGTGAAAGATGTTTGCGATATTTTCTCTAGGTCCTACATACTAATAAAACTACTGACGTCAACTGATCTGAAGGACCCCACAAGAAGTAGACCCACCAAAGAATGCAGTTTCCACATTCTGATGATTTCATCCTTCTTACTCCCACCAATCAATAACTCCAATTTTCCAATCCCTTACCCTCCACAATCCCCTTAAAAGTCCCAACTCAGAACTCCTCAGGGAGATAGAGTTGAGGGTCTCCTCCCATATCTTCACTCAGTTGCCCTGCAACCATTATACTTTCTGTGACAAACTCTGCTGTGTCATTGTTTTGGTGTATTGCTGTGCACCCAGCATAAGATTCTGAGGGTCTTATAAGAGTAATAACATCTTAACATTTTGCCCTCTAACCTTAGAAAATCTTAAATGTCAGTTGATCTTATCCCTAGTTACAGATGAAAAAAACCCAAAGCACTCAGTTTCTCTTTAGGTCTCAAGGCATAACTGGGACTTGAAATCTAACTAAAATCTGAATCTACATCTGGTGTACCTTCTACTTTATCACAGGCTTTTTTGTTGGTAATGTGCTTTGGAAGTTGATGATGTCAGATGGATAAACTTTAGTTATGTGCCCTTAAATGAGTGGGCTGTCAACCAGTTGGAAAAAAACTTACCAAGCAATTTTTTGTATGAGAATTTGGGAGAAGCTGTTATATACAAAATGATGTCAGTGTTTGCTGTAGACCAAGATTTCATATGATGTTTGCATGCTCCTGGTTGTAAAATTTTTAAAATAACATTATCTAAATTGTGTTCCGAAGAATATTTCTTCAATAGGACATAAAAATGTATGACTTCAAACAGGGTCTATGTTTGAACAAATTTAGGGAACTTGAGGTTGAAGCAAGCTAAACAGGTTTATTACTATCAAAACTTCTTGATGTTACAAATGCAGTATGAATCTTCAATATGAGTGTGTGTATGAGGGTATAAATAGAATAATGTACTTCCCAACATATGTCACCATGCAACACTTCTTCATTAGAGCATCATGCTAGACTAGCGTACTGTGGAACCTACTTTGGGGCACATTGCATCATATCCCACACCAAGATAAGATGTCCTCTTCAATGCGTGCATAAAATGTCTCGTGAGATACTCAGGATTATAAAATACAGAATATTCTCTAGTCCATCACACAAAAATACAAGAAGGAAACATCCTCCAGGCCACTGAGATTCCATTGGTATCCAATAAGACTGAAAAATTTGCTAAATCACAGTATCTCCTACTTTAGATATTGACCATATCTAGGTTATATGAAATCATTTATATGTGTTTGTAAATGATTTTATTTTGTTTTGCTATAATTACCCAGCACTGACTCTCCTATGTGTTGGGTCTAGGAAATCATCATTATGCAAAATTGTCTGACTTCAGTAAACAGCTTTGAACTTAAAAGTGGAAATTAGCAATTAGAGTATATTTAAGAGGCTCAAATGGAGGGCAAAGCATTTGTCTTTCAGGTAGGGTGGTAATTAATCAAATAATCTACTCTAGTGCTAGGGCACTGTGGGAGATTAGTATCTGCTATCAGATTATTGTCATTTGGAAAATGAACAGTTTAGTTATATATTTACTTGCAGGATTTTGTGATATCAACTGGGGGTCATTTTTTTTTTCAGATACTTAGCTAAAGGAGGCTAATGTATGTCTTTTATATTAACAAATCTTTACAAAGAGATGCCATGTTTGTTTAGCAAGCAGAGCACATTCATTTTCTATTTCAGTCTTAATGAGCACCCCTAGTCCTCAAGGATTTCAGTGTTCAAGAAGAAAAACAAAGCAATAGATGCATTCTATTAAAAAAAAAACTTTCATAAGAAAGCCTTGTAACAGCTGGATAGATGGTATGCCTGCAATGGCAATGGCAAGGCAAATGGGAGAATTTCCAACATAAAAACTTTACAGAGTTAAAAGTATTTCCCTGCATATGAGATAGAAGTAGATAATTAAACATTCAAATGTAGCAGCTTCTTATGTCAAAGAGGATATTGCTTCTCCAATTCTGAAATGCTTAGTCTGGAAATAGCATACTGGTCAAGTGCTTAAAGAGCATTACGATCAGTGTCATATTGTGAGACTCAATTTTGCAAATAAAAGTGAAACGATATAAATAATATTCACAAAAAAACATTACACTTTAGAGAATATTATTTCATTTCTATTGAAACACTACTTTCCATTAATATGTTTTATTGCCAGAGAAATTAGTTTGTAGTTATGGTTGCTTTCTGATTATATAATATACACTCATAAAACAAATGCAAAGAACAGAAAATTATACATGAGAAAACAAAATTATTTATACTATTACTACCCAAACATATGAATCCATGCTTACAAATTTTATATATATATGCAATACATATATTATATTACATATTTGTATTCTATTATATATTTATATTAGATTTTTACTGAAACAAAAACTTGCCAGGAAAAGTAGTAGAAATAATTGTTGATATATTAAAGTTCTACTATATATTTAAGTACTTTATCAGTCAATAATATTTTTATTAACAGTCCTCTGAATAGCTACTTAGTCCTTCATATGAAATATGTAGAAAGTGTTTTATAATTCCCATTTAGCTTTGCATTTAAAATGTTTTTTGAGTTTTCATTATTATATAGAATAGTAAATTTTAAAAGCCATATATAAAATTATGTGTAAAATTTATTATTTTGACTTCTTTATAGATTTCACACTTTTTCTTATTAAAAAACTTGTGCATATATATGGTAAATATATAAATGAGCATGAAGAAAGAAACAAAAATAGTTATAATCCTTGATCCAAGACTGGCATTAAACTTTTGTGAATTTCCCTAAATAAATTTTGCATATTATAGGCATAGGAATTATCCGGTCACTAGCTTCCTTATTATTTTTTTTCATTTTGGAACATATTTCTGTATCATTTAATTTCTACAACCTTCTACCAACTTATTAGAGGAGGTTAACATTATAACCACTATATGCCAAATGGGACACCATGTGCAATTTTTTTTAAATATCTCTTGAACTCATTTTACTCATATATAAAAATAACACAATGGATCTTGTACCCTTTTCATAAAGTTGTTGAGAAAATTTATATACGTACACACACGCACACATATAGGCATACACTTAGCATTTAAGGAAACTTAGTAAACGTTAGGTAGTCATACTACATGCACCTTCCTTTGGGATGATGTTGTTTACCTCACTAGGTTTCTCAGCAAATTTTTGGTTGCTGTGCAAATTGGCATGGAAATATAATATTAATATATGTATTATACAAATAAATATGCAAATATATACTATTCATTTAACTATATACTTATTTCAATATAAATATATATCTATAAATATACTATATATTTAAATGTATGTAGGATACACACATTTACCAGCATACACACATTTAGTTTCTGAAAGTATAAACAAGAAACTATTAAGAGTGTTTATCTTCAGGGATGAAATTTTTGCTACTTAATACATTATGCGATTTTATTTTTGTCGTTTTAATGTCAAAGGTGTTTCTGAACTTTTGGATTATTAGTAAATTTAGGTTTTTCTTAAAAAATAAGTTTATTTCCGGGAGGCGGAGTTTGCAGTGAGCCGAGACCCGCGCCACTGCACTCCAGCCTGGGCGACAGAGACTCTGTCTCAGAAAAAAAAAAAAAAAAAAAAAAAAAAAAAAAAGTTTATTTGTGCTATTAGCAAATAAAATATTAATAAGTATATAGTTAAAATATAGAAGGAAGACCACAGTCTAACTCTGCTCCATATTCTAAGACTGTATCTTCCCTACGATGCTCAGTTATGGAGTCTCAGATTATCTGGGATATTGGCAAATTAGAGCACCTTCAAAAGAAAATACCATATTGCCTAATGGTATAAAAAATCTCTTGCATGTAGAGAATGACTGAAGTCCCAGGAGTTGAGAAAAAAATATTGAAAGGGAGGATGGAATGTTATGGTCATTGTCATTTGGAAGATTGTCATTTGAGGATTGTCATTTGGAAGTAGGAGTAAGCTGGCTCTGTCTAGCTCAGGAGATTTGCCTGTGTGATAATAGGACTCACTTTAATATCGTATAGACAGTAATTTCGTCATTAATCATTTCCTTAATTCAGTTACTCAACAAATGCATATAGGACTGTCATAGGCACTATATTAGAATGCAAGAATACTTTGAAGAACAAGGCTGAAAATATTCTGCTTTTTAGAGTGCATTTTCAGAGCGTATGCAGACAGAATATACATCTCTCCTCCAGAAACAAACAGGATAATATCCTGTCCCAGGATAAAAGAGGAGATTATGTCTCTATAAGATTTTTTAAATTAGACATTTTTTAAAGGATATAGATTCAAATGCAGTGGTAAGGAACAATACAAAGAGATCCCATGCACTGTTTGGCCTGTTTCCCCAGTGGCAACGTCTTATATATCTACAGTATAACATCCCAGCCATCACAACCAGAATATTCAAGATTCAGTGCAATGCCATCTTCTCATTGCCCTTTTTTTTTTTAGATGATGTCTTGCTCTGTCAGCCAGGCTGGAGTGCAGTGGTGTGATCCTCTGCTCACTGCAACCTCCGCCTTCCAGGTTCAAGCTATTCTCCTCCCTCAGCCGCCCGAATAGCTGAGATTACAGACACGTACCACCATGTAGAGCTAATTTTTGTATTTTTAGTGGAGACGGAGTTTCACCATGTTGGCCAGTCTGGTCTTGAACTCCTGACCTTGTGATCCGCCCGTCTCGGCCTCCCCAAGTGCTGGGATCAGAGGCATGAGCCACTGTGCCCGGCCCTCATTGTCTTTTTATAACCACCCCCACTTCCCTCTCACTCTCACTCCCTTCTCAACCTCAAACAAACACTAATTTGATCTCCATTTCTATAATGTGTCATTTCAAACATGTTACATAAACGGAAGTATACAGTATGTAACCTTTTCTTCATCTGAGAAAGACTCAATTTCCCCTTCATTTCTGAAGGATATTTTCACTCAATATAGAATTTTGGTTTGACTGTTTTTCTGTTAATTTTTTTTTATTTTAAAATATTTAACTAACAAAAATTGTATACATTTGAGGTTTATGACATGATGATCCAATATACATATACATTGTATAATGATTGCTACAATCAAATTAATAAACACATTCACCACCACCCATAGTCACCATTCGTGTGTATGTGTGGTATAGACTTTTAGTTATGAGATGAATACATTCTAGAGATCTAATGTACAGCATGATCTTTTCTTTCAGCACTTGAAAAATATTGTGTCACTTTCTTGTAGCTTCCTCTGTTTCTGTTGAGAAAACTGTGGTCATTCTATTTGTTTTACCATGAAGGTAACGTGAGTTCTCCTCAGGTAGGCAAAGGAGCACTACTACTTTACTGCCAGCTGGTGGTAGAGTCCAGTTTCCCCTCTCAGCCTCCTTTGATGCATAAGGGGCATAGCTGGGTTCCTTGCTTCTAGGCAGGTGTGGGAGTTTTGGCTTTCACTACCCTAGCAAAGAAAGACAGGAATACCTTTTGACTTCTCCCCACAAGGCTCCAACTTATACCACAAGTAGGTGGCCTTATTGCTGCTGCATGATAGTGAAAATTTTGATCTTCCACTTGGTCTTCTCTGACCTCTGCAATTTTCCTCATTCCTGCTGAGTAGAAGTAAAAGCCTAGATTCCTAGATGGTCTCTACTGATTCTTCTGTGGAGGGTGCTTGGTGTGGTCCAGGAGGGCTGGTGTCCCAGCTCCCTACAAGACCTACTGGCACCTCATCCCAGCCTGATGAAGGTGAGTGTAGAGGTCTAGGCTCTCACTTGGGCTTTGCTGGCCTGAGTGGGGGTGGGCTGCAGTTTTCCTGGAGTGTTTGACTAGAGTAGAGCAGTTATTATTTAAAAGCTTAAGGGTTTTATTGTTGCTGCTGTTTTTTGTTTTTTCTTGCTAGATTGCCCCTTTCCTGGCCCCATGACTACAGCAAGCAGGCTACTCTTAAGGCTGTTGAGGTTCCCACTCATAAATGTTTCCAGGTTGCTGGCTTCTGCAGTTTCTAGTCCAGGATATAAAAGGAAAAATTAAAGAAACGATCAAACAAAAGAGAAACACAGCACTGGGTTGTTCCTCAGTCCCAGGGCCCCTGACTGACCTGTCTTCTCTCTCTACCTTTCAGAATCTTCAAAGGTTTGTTTTACATAGAGTGTCCAGGGTTTTTGTTTGTACTAGATGGTAGGAATAGGAAAAGTATGTCTACCCCATCTTCCTGGAATAGAAGCTACATAAAGTTTTTAATTCACTCAACTCTCTCAGCACAGACCCTCCTAGTCAGGTGGCTGATTTCTTATATCTTCTTATGTAAAAATGTGTATGCTCATTAGGATATGTTGGTGGGAATCTGGTTTTTCTTAGTGGAATCAGCATTCCTAAAATAAAAAACCAAAACTTTTAGTGTAATTCTGACCAATGAAACAATTATACAATGAAATAAAGCAAGAGAAAACACATAACAGTAAAACTGTATCTGCTTTTAATTTTCAGACAGTCAACCCACTGATTGACTTCTTTCTTTAGTCATAGATCCTGTCAGGTCCCAGTTGTGTTGTGTATAAATAATCCATTGGCTTATATATCCAAAAATGCTACCCTAAGATCATGTTGTAGGAGAAAGGACTACATCCATATTTAGTCTTTTAAAGCTGAATAATTTGCATTTATTTGCCAAATTTTGCTAACACTTCAAAAAATCATCTGCAGTAATTTTCAAAATCCTCATTTCCTCTGTCCGGAAATATTTTATGACTAAGTATGGCATTCTTTGTTTGTTATTTCATAGCTCTACTAATGTAATTTGCCATAAAACAAACAGAACCGGAAGTGAAGCAATATAAGGTTTGTTATAATGAGCTTACTTTATCACTACTTTCTCCTAATGGGATTATAGTCTATAAATGATCATGTCACCATAGCAACCACCTTAAAAACCACACTGGTCTGTAATGCAATAACAACACCTGTGTACTATCATTTTGTTTTGTAGTTTATAGTATTTTTGGTCTAAAAAAATAAGAGGATACCAAAAGCACAACCTATTGTTTCAATCATGGTTCCTCATCACATTTATTTTATATTCAGCCATTCCCAATTTGAATTGGTATTTACATGCAGAAGATGGAAGGAATGGTGTCTTGATAACTTACTGAGTTAACTCTGAATAACTTCACATCAATGCTTCATAAGCAAAAGAAAAGATTAATTTATGGAAGAATTAAATTTCCAAATGGAATAAAGCAATATATAAGAAATATGTTCTTAAATATATTTTAGAAGTTCTTGCCTTATGAAAAATTATGTCATTTTTGCACCTATTTCTGCTCAGTATTCATATAAATATGATGCAGTGGGGGAAATTTTTTGCTATGATAAAAACCAGGTGCAATTTCCATTAGTTGTACCCTGGGTTTTGAGTCAGCAAACAAGTTCTGATTTTACTATTTCCCCTTGGATTACAATAAAAAAATTTGAAATCTTGCCCTCATTTCTGTCATTGAAAACATAAGGACAAGAAACTAGTGGTGGGGATAGAGGGTTAACAATATTTTCAGCAAAAGCAATCTCCTCTCTAGTTCACAGGCAGCATAGTTTGAATTCCTCCAAGTGTAAGTCAGGATGCTCTAGGTTAAATTGGGGATACTGACAACTCCCAGTTCTCAGTGAAGATTTATTTCTCTCTTCATTCCCTTATATGTTAATTGTTGCTTGCCTAGGGTAAGAGTGGTAGTGGGCTTATTTACTCTCCAGCATCAGACTGACAGAGGTTCCACTATTTGGAATAGAGACCACAAAGGAGAGTAGGAGATTCACATGAAGCTTTTAAATGCCACGTCCTAACACCAACACCTGTTATTCGTAGTTCATTAGCCAGTGCAGGTCATATGACCATGCCTAGCTTCAAGGGAATAGGAGTGCAGTGTTTTCATAAGCCCCAAAAAAAGAAGGGGTCCAGAGAGTGCTGAACATTTGCAAAATTTATCATACACAATTTAATATTTATGACAACATATTTTGTGAGTAAACTGTAATATTTTGAACTAACATTTTGAAGGTCAACTATATTTGAGACACTGTTAACATTTGTCACATTCTAAGTTAAATTGTCATGATTAGAAGCACTTCTTTAAAGATTCTCATATAAATTATGTTAATCAAAATCTAGGCTTTTTTCCTGTTGTAACAGAGACGTGTATAACAATAATAGTTTATTCAGGAGAGAAGTTTATTTTATGTCCATGTGACAATTCAGGTTGGTGGTTCGGGGATGGTATAATGACTTCTTAATCTTTAGAAACCCAAGATTACTCTATTTTCCTAAATATACTGTTTTGGTTTCATGGTCCAACAGGGATTCACCTGCATCCAAGCTACCAGAAGAAAAATAGAAGGGAGGGAGGACATGTTTTGTTTTTGTTTTGTTTTGTTTTGTTTTTGATGGATACAAAAATAAGTTATCCATATTACATCTATTTCCACCCTATTGTTTGGAGCTTAGCGCATGGCTACCACTAACTCCAATGGAAGTAAAAAAAAAATGCTGTCTTTTACTGCCCACCTCCACCTGCAATTAACAATTCTATGACTATATAAGAGGAAACATAGGTTGAACAACAGAATAAAGCACAAGCCTATGTTCAAGATTCCTCATTGAATGCTTTAGACTTGTCATTCCAAGAATTCTTGCTACAAGTTTCTTTCACTCATTCAAGGGAAACTGAAAGACTCATGACAGAGACAACTCTTGACATTTTCCAATTGTGTGATCTTTGTTGTTTCTTGTCTGATAGCCCTTTCTCATTTCCTTGGACCTTTCTGTAAAAGCCTATTCAAATGCTATATCTTCAATTAATTCTTCCCTTTTCCCCCAACACCTTATTAGCTTTATCCCTAGACTTCCCAACACCATATTTGCTTTTTTCACTTGGTCCTTGTTTATGTCTTCTTGGGAATATTTCTGCTGTTTTTATGACTTTTTGAACAGGTGATATAGCCTGGCAAAAAATCTGAAAGGAAAATTACCTCCTCCGTTTTTACTAAGGATAACTGAGACTCTTATCTATTTGGGTTAATGGGATCATGTGCCTCATGTGACAATACAATTTGTAGTAAATTTGGAAAGAAGGCAGCAAATCATGATGATAAATATAATAGGTAAATTTAATACGTGCTTATTCATACTAGTCATTTGGAAAGTATATCGCAGGCATTGTCATATTTACTCATTACAACTACATAAAATGCTGATAGTATTGTTATCTCTATAGCTGAGGAAACTGAGTCATAAAAAGGCAAAGAGACTTACTCCAAATCACACATCTGGTAAATGGTGGAGATACAGTTTGAATCCAGATATTTTATACTTCAGAACCCATGTTTTTATGTGTGTGCGATTTAGCCTTTTTATTTCACTAAGACGAGAAGGATTATTTGAGAACTGAATCATAGTAGGGAATGACTAAATGAATATCACTCATATTTAACATGTATTTATATTAATATAACTGTTAATTTAAATATAAACAAATATATAGCTTTAAGTACAAGAGTTATAACTATAGAATGGTTCTAGAATTAATTTATTCATCTCTTTTTCCTGGGACATTGTGAAATCCTGAGCAAGAGGTTTCTAAAGGACAAGTTTCAGCATGATCTTTTCTTTTCCTTTGCCATTATTCAGTAACATTCTCTAAACTCTCCATGCTTCCTGTTGTTCTATGTTGCATGCTGACCAAAGTAGTTTCAAAATGTAAAAAACGAAAAATCTCCTTCAGTCACAGCTGTTGTTCTAATTTCTTAGAATAGAATTGCTCAAAGAAAGATAAGAATCTTCGTAAAGAATTTCTACAGTACATGCTCTTTCTGATCACTTTTGTCACTGCACATATTTCTGCAAAAAATCATGGTTATGTTTACCTAATTATGTAAACATCTGATGTGATCACTTGTGAATTCCCAAAGCACAATTTCCTTGACCTTGTTGAATGACCACCTTGATTTTGCAGGAAAGAACTTTCAAACTCAGTTTTACTTCAAAGTGCCTTCAGAATTTTCTATTGCAACACTTTCTATGCCACAATGGCAATGCTTCCATAGCTGAAGCAGCTGTAGTGAAAGCACTAATTTGTATCCTTTTTGCAGGAAAAGTTTGTCCCACTGCATTCTTTAATGTCTATTTGCATTGGTTACCTCTTATCCCCTTATCCTGTTAAACTCCTTGAGGGCAAGGACTTTTTATATTTAATCTTAGTACTTGCTGTTTCTCTTTTCTTCTCACCACCAACATCTATTGTTCTTTTTACCACATGTACTTAATAGTTATTTTTTTTCAGGATATTGATTAAAGAAAGTTGGTGATGTTTCAGAAGGAGAAGCTGTAGAGCTATGTAGATGATTCTAGTGAAAGTTTATGGGCTAAACTGATTTTCAGCAGACCTGATGATATTTTAAGTCTGCTTGTGATAATTGCTTGCTGTCTTTTGTGGGACTATTATATGTACATGCCTGTGTATGTATCATGGTATATAGTATGTAGATACCCAGTAAATTACTCAAAGTACTCTTAATTTCTCTTACGGGACATATTCCATTGCAGCAGAGTTTTGTACCAATTCTTCTAAAATCCATGTATTTTTATCTACAAAAAAAATTCTGAAGGCACATTTATGGCAAAATGTAATCAAGAAAACTTTATTCAGGATTTCATAAGATATGTGTGTGTGTGCACATATGTATGGCCATATCATAAAATGTTTTCTGAAAAAATACTACATATAATTAATTTCAAAGAGTTAGAGCTTCAAAAGACTACAATAATTCAGGACTTTTTAAATTGCTTTCTATATTATAGGAGATTTTAGAATACATAAAAAAATTGGTTGTTGGATATTGTATTCAGGTTTTAAAAAAATTTCCTAACAATTAAGGCTGAAATTTTCAGATTCTTAAAGTCTTTGGATAATTCAGTAGAGAGATGAGACAGAAAGGAGCAAACTGAGAGTTCGCAGTATGTGACATTCCAAGATCATTAAGTTTTCATTGGAGAATTAAACATTAACCAACAAACCCAAAGATAAACTTTGAGAAATGGAGGAAGCCACTGTTTCTCTTCCATTTTAATAGAATTCTCTAACATGACATTGGGATTTAAAATGCTTTAATTTAGATGGTCTTGTTAGTCACTGGAGATATCAAATACCAAATGCTAATTAGATCATAAGGTATAATAACTAGCTAGATGGAAATGCCAAAATATTAAAGGTTATTTAGTTATCTGGAAATGAGAATTTTCTCCCAGAAGGCATAATATGTACTAGTTTTCCTCCCGAAGAAAAATGTAACTTAGGATGGTTTTATTTACAGTGAAGGACAGTTATCTTATATGTACAGTGAGAAAACTATTATATACAATCATAAATATGCAAGATAGAAAATTATTGTGGCAATGTTTGATATTTATCTCAAGGGAAGTTACCATTATTAGCATATGTATTGATTTATATATCACTTTAAATATAAAATTTATCTAAATATATATACATATATGTCCATAATTTGAGTGAATGAGGAATATTTTTGAAATATTATGTATTAATTCCAAGTAACTATTTTAATATCAATTGACTAGAAATAAATTTTATATAAACCAAGATTTCTCTATGCCTCTAATGAGTAATAGCTAAGTCATTTTAATAAGCATAACTTTTAAGCATATGTGAATTTAAATCATTCTTTAGAAGTCTGTTTTGCATTCTACAATATACATCTGTTATACTAAATTTCCCTAGTAAATATTTTTACTAATGAATCTGTAGATCCAATTTAAGATAGTCATCAAAGCCTTGCATGTAACTTTTTTTTTTTTGGCCAAATCCCAAATGAAATGTATGTGTGTGTGAGTGCGTGTGTGTGACTGCATGTGTGTGAGTGTTCATGCTGGGAAAAATAAAGCAGATGAAAATAAAGTAACATAGCTTATTAGATGCAAAACCTAGAATGCAAAAAATTTACTTTTCTATGCCTCATATTTCTCACTTCTTAAATAGAGACCATCATATTATTATGTCAAATTGTTGTTGTGAGAATTAATGGTAGTACATATTAAGAACAGAGGCTGAAACATAGTAATGATTCATAGCTAGTTGTTATTTTATTTTATTATCATCATTATTATTCATAGTCTAATTATTTACTGAGTGACCTTTTGCAAACTCTAATGGAAGAAAGAAGATTAAGGAAGGGATCAGTCTTTGTCACAAATTATGAAGGTCCAAGGAAAAAACAAAACCAAAAACGATACCTGGGCATTAAATAGGTGGGTTGTCCAGCAGAATCACATAGATACTCTAGTTCCTCACCTATAAAGTCAGTGCTTAAAGTAGGGGGTGTATTGTTCTGGTCTAGGTTTGGAGACAGAGAAAACCTCTAACATTATCCTCATTGTAGGATACAAAACTGATGCACACAGAATCACGATTTTTTTTCTGGACTTAACAATCAAGATGTAGGAAGCAATCCACATTATTTCCACCTAAGAAAACCATTGCCCTTCTGTCTCAGGGCTACCATATCAAAAACAGCATATAAACAAGTCAGCCCAGGTGAGAAGTCCCTATAGGACACCAGAAAAAGAAACAGATAAAAATCAATTTTAAAGATAATTAATCCAGAACGTCCCATCCCCTAAGAGTCTGGTTGGCACTGTAGGCAATTGAAAACTGTAAGAAAGTTGATGAGAGAAATGTTCTGATACAACTAATGAAATGTAAGGAGTATAATAGAGAGCTAAAAATAATACTTATCCTTAACTTGAAAATGCTATTAAAATAAGCAGGAGCATTGCTGCATTTGGCTTTTAGCAAGGGAAGTTGTTGATAATAATGAAGGAAGCAGAGTCTCAGTTAACATCTGATGAACACAGGAAACGTGGAAAAGACGTTTTATGAACAACGAGAATGAGAGCATTGACAAGTTTTGATGCCTGAATGTCTGATGTTTGATGTTTGCCCTTTTTTACTTTTGTTTTGTTTTTTCTTCCTATCTTTTTTAACCTTCATTCTTCCAGTATATCCAACAATCTGTCATGAATTCAACATACTAATTTTTTGTTTGAAATACCTGAAGTGGTTTCTGTCATATTAAACTGTGACAGAAACACTGCTTAGTATCAGGTACCAGGCTTTCAACAGCAGGATTTTGGATTAGATGCTGATATGATCGAGGATAAATTATGACCCAATTGCCAGGAGAAAATGGAATATTACACTAGTGCACAACATGCAATAGCAAAACAATTAAATTATCACTTGTATGTGCTTGAGATAAAGTGCACATCAATACAGGGTTTTGGAGTACCATGTTCGGTTATTCTCAACTGTTATAATATGCTGTCTACAAAGATTTTGTGATAATATGCTACATGTGGTTAACCAAAGAGCTTATAAAATCACAGTGAAAAAAATAAACTCAAGGCATGGTCAGAAAACTATAGCGCTTTTATGGAATCTTCAAAATTATACCATTATTACGCAGTGTGGACATAGCTGAAAATCAGACCACATGTTTAATACTGCATGTTTAAAATGTAAATTTAGGTTCATAAATCTTATATTTGAAAATTATGTCACTGAATGACAAGATTTGAAATCCTTAAAACTCCCCCCAACCCCCATAACCATGTCTGAGTAAAATAGCCTTGTCTTTTTACAAAAACTGTGATAACCTTATATGAGATAACTTTATAAAGAGATGCCTATTCTCCTCATGGTGGACCTTTAGCTCCCATTATTGTCTTGAGAGTATAACTACAGGCAGATTCTAGCATACCCCAAAGGGAGAATCACAAGTTTCCTACACCGTTTCTTTTGGTTCTTTTCATTGTTTCCCAACTCTTATTGTCAATATGAAAATTTTTGAACTTTTGGAGACTCATCAGCAACTACCGTAAAATGATTCCTTTTTGGACTCATTTTAATAAATCACTCAGCTCCTCTGCCTAAAACAAAACAAAAACTGATAAAGTATAAACCAAACTACATAGAGTATGTATAAATACATGTACAGGCATGTTTTGGAGACATTGTAGGTTTGGTTCCAGATCACTGCAATAAAATGAACATCATAATAAAATAAGTCACACCAATATCTTGGTTTCCTAGTGCATATAGAAGTTATGTTTACACTATATTAAATGTGCAAGAGCATTGTGTTTAAAATGTACATATATTAATTAAAAATACTTTATTGCTAAAAATGCTAATGATCATCTAAAATTTCAGTGAGTCATAATCTTTTTGCTGGTGGAGGGTCTTGCCTCAATGTTGATGGCTTCTGATTGATCAATTAGTGGATCAAGGTGGTGGTTGCTGAAGTATCGGGTAGCTGTGGCAATTTCTTAAAATAAGATAACAATAAAGTTTGCCATATCGATTGACTCTTTCTTTCATGCAAGATTTTTTCTGTAGCACAAGATGCTGTTAGATAGCATTTTAACCACAGTAGAAGTTCTTTCAAAATTAGACTCAATCCTCTCAAATCCTGCTACTGATTTACCAGCTAAGTTTATTCAATATTTTAAATCCTTTGTTGTCATTTCAACAATGTTCACAGAATCTTCATTAGGAGTAGATTCTATCTGAAGAAACTTTTTTTGCCTATCCATAAGAAACAACTAACCCATTCAAATTTCATAATGATATTGCAGCAATTCAGTCCACATCTCAGGCTCCACTTTTAATTCTAGTTCTCTTGCTATTTCTGACACATCTATAGTTAATTTTTCCACTGAAGTCTTAAACCCCTTAAAAGCATCCATGAAGGCTGAAATCAACTTCTTCCAAACTCCTGTTAATATTGATATTTTGGCTTCCTTTCATGAATCATGAATGTTCTAAATTACATCTAGAATAGTAAATTCTTTCCAGAAGATTTTCAGTTTACTTTGTCCAGATCCATCAGAGATATCACCATCTTTAAAAAAAATAGATTCAGGGGGATACATGTGCAGGTTTGTTACCTGGGTATATTGAGTGATGCTGAGATTTGGGCTTCTAATGTAGCCAAAGTAGTAAACATAGTACCTGATAGGTAGTTTTCCAACCCTTGCCCCCATCCTTGTCTCCTCACTTTTGGAATTCCCAATGTTTATTGGTCCTATCTTTGTGTCCATGTGTACCCAGTGCCTACTTATGAGTGACAACATGAAGTATTTGGTTTTCTGTTTTTGCATTAATGAGCTGAGGATAATGGCCTCCAGCTACATCCATGTTACTGTCACAGACACGAATAAATCACTATGTATAGCAGCTATTGCCTTACAATATGTATTAATAACAATGTCTTAAATAACAAAACTTGAAAGTCAAAATTACTCCTTGATCAATGGGCTGCAGAATAAATGATATGTTAGCATGCATAAATACAGCATTAATTTCCTTGTATATCTCCATCAAAGCTCTTGAGTGACCAGATATTTATGCCAGTGAGCAGTAATATTTTGAAAGGAATATTTTTTCAGCAGTAGGTCTCAACAGTGGGCTTAAAATCTTTAGTTAACCATGCTATAAACAAATGTACTGCCATCTAGGCTTTGTGGTTCTATTTATGGAGCAGAGGCAGAGTAGATTTAGTATAATTCTTAAGTGCCATAATATTTTCAGAATGATAAATGAGCATCAGCTTCAACTTAAAGTCACCAGCTGCATTAGCCCCAAACAAGAGAGTCAATTTGTTCTTTGAAGTTAGGCATTGACTTCTCTTTACCTAGGAAAGTCATAAATGGCATATTTTTCCAAAAGAAGGTTGTTTCATCTATACTGAAAATCTGCTGTTTAGTGTAGCTACCTTCATCAATTATCTTAGCTAGATTTTCTGGATAACTTGCTGCAGCTTCTGCATCAGAACCTGCTCCTTCACCTTGTATTTTATATTATAGAGATGGCTTCTTTCCTGAAACCTCACACAGCCACCTCTTCTAGTTTCAAATTTTTCTTTTAAAATTTCCTTACTTCTCCCAGTTTTCACAGAATTTAAGAGAGTTAGGGCCTTGCTCTGGATTAGGCTTTGGCTTAAAGGAATACTACTGCTAGTTTAATCTATCCAGACTGTTAAAGCTTTCTCCCTATTGTGTCCAGAATTGGTGGGTTCTTGGTCTCACTGACTGCAAGAATTAAGCTGTGGACCCACGCGGTGAGTGTTACAGTTCTTAAAGGAGGCGTGTCCGGAGTTTGTTCCTTCTGATGTTCAGATGTGTTCGGAGTTTCTTCCTTCTGGTGGGTTCGTGATCTCGCTAGCTCAGGAGTGAAGCTGCAGACCTTCGCGGTGAGTGTTACAGCTCTTAAGGCGGCAGGTCTGGAGTTGCTCGTTCCTCCCAGTGGGTTCGTGGTCTCGCTGGCTTCAGGAGTGAAGCTGCAGACCTTCGTGGTGAGTGTTACAGCTCATAAAAGCAGTGTGGACCCAAAGAGGGAGCAGTAGCAAAATTTATTGCAAGGAGCGAAAGAACAAAGCTTTCACAGTGTGGAAGAGGACCTGAGCAGGTTGCCACTGCTGTCTGGGGCAGCCTGCTTTTATTCTCTTACCTGGCCCCACACACATCCTGCTGATTGGTAGAGCCCAGTGGTCTGTTTTGACAGATTGGTGCGTTTACAATCCCTGAGCTAGACACAAAGGTTCTCCACGTCCCCATCAGATTAGCTAGATACAGAGTGTGGACACAAAGGTTCTCCAAGGCCCCACCAGAGTAGCTGGATACAGAGTGTTGATTGGTGCATTCACAAACCCTGAGCTAGACACAGGGTGCTGATTGGTGTGTTCACAAACCTTGAGCTAGATACAGAGTGCCGATTGGTGTATTTACAATCCCTGAGCTAGACATAAAGGTTCTCCAAGGCCCCACCAGAGTAGCTAGATACAGAGTGTCAATTGGTGCATTCACAAACCCTGAGCTAGACACAGGGTGCTGATTGGTGTGTTTACATACTTTGAGCTAGATACAGAGTGCTGATTGGTGTATTTACAATCCCTGAGCTAGACATAAAGGTTCTCCACGTCCCTACCAGACTCAAGAGCCCAGCTGGCTTCACCCAGTGGATCCCCCACTGGGGCTGCAGGTGGAGCTGCCTGCCAGTCCAGTGCCATGTGCCAGCACTCCTCAGCCCTTGGGTGGTGGATGGGACTGGGCGTCGTGGAGCAGGGGGCGGCGCTCATTGGGGAGGCTCTGGCCGCACAGGAGCCCAGGGAGGTGGTGGGAGGCTCAGGTATGGCGGGCTGCAGGGTCCCGAGCCCTGCCCTGCCGGAAGGCAGCTAAGGCCCGGTGAGAAATCAAGCGCAGTGCCGGTGGCCTGGCACTGCTGGGGGACCCCGTACACCCTCCGCAGCCGCTGGCCCGGGTGCTAAACCCCTCACTGCCTGGGGCCGGTAGGGCCGGCGGATGCTCTGGCAGGCTGCTCACAGTGCGGAGCCCGCCAAGCCCACGCCCACCTGGAACTCCAGCTGGTCCCCAAGCGCGGCGTGCAGCCCCGGTTGCTGCTGGCACCTCTCCCTCCCCACCTCCCTGCAAGCTGAGGGAGCTGGCTCCGGCCTTGGCCAGCCCAGAAAGGAGCTCCCACAGTGCAGTGGTGGGCTGAAGGGCTCCTCAAGTGCCGCCAAAGTGGGAGCCCAGGGAGAGGAGGCTCAGAGAGTGAACGAGGGCTGTGAGGACTGCCAGGACGCTGTCACCTCTCACTATCACTAATAAGGCTGTTCTTTCATTTTCTTATCATTTGTGTGTTCACTGGAGTAAAATGTTTTAATTAATACATACTATTTTTACGTACTTATGGGGTACATGTGATATTTTGATACATGCATACAATGTATAATGATCAAATCATAGTATTTAGGATATTCATCACCTCAAACATTTCTTTGAGTTGGGCACATTTCAAATCTTACAGTCACACTAGTGCTCTATCAAAATGCTATAACATATTCCTTATATCTAGCAGTATGTTTGTATCCATTAACCAACCTCTCTTCATCCGCCTTCTCCCCCCACACATCTTTCCCAGCTTCTGGTAATTATCATTCTACCTCGATTAGAGCAAATTTTAAAAGTGTCCTTCAAAACTTTTCCTTGACTAAGTTGACGAAGTCTTTGGTGCAAGTGGCTTGGCTTTCAACATGCTTTCTTCAACAAGCTTAATTATTTATAGCTTTTGATTTAAAATGAGAGAAGTGCAATTCTTCCTTTCTTTTGAACACCCAGGAGGCATTTTAGGGTTTTCAATTGGCATAATTTCAATATTGTTGTGTCTCAGCGAATAGGGAGGCTCAAGAAGAAAGAGCAAGATGGGGAAACAGCCAGTCAGTGGAGCAGTCAGATCACAAACAACATATATTGACTGAGTTTAATGTCTTATATAAGCACAATCTGTGGTGCCCCAAAACAATTGCAATAGTAACATCAAAGATCACTGACCACAGAACATCCTAACAGATATAATAATACATTTGAAATATTGTAAGAATTACCAAAATGTGACACAGAAACAAGAAGTGAACACATAGTCTTGAAAAAAATAGTGCCAATAGGTTTGCTGGCTGCAGGATTATCACACACCTTCCATTTGTAAAACACGCAATTTCTGCAAAGTACAATAAAGTGAATCACAATAATATGAGGTATGCCTGTAATACATGCTTTACAATACAGGTCCTTTTAGTGCAGGACATTTCTTTTCTACTCTGTCAATTCCTGATCCTTGAAAAGAATCAAAGAAAAATATACAATATATCAAAACAACCCAACACACAAACTTTCTGAGTCATCATCACCCAATTTATCATAGCAATAAAGTAAGAAGAAGAGCTCCTTTTCTCTTTTCCTCACACTTCTAATCATACTATATGTTAGCAAATATACAATATGTGTACATGTAGATGTATATATTTAAATATATGTAAAAACTGATATATGACTATGATTATGTGGGGAAACTATAAATTTTGTATTATAAATTAAATTATTAGGATGAATCACTCTGTGTAGCTTAAATCTGTGTGTCTTTACATGGGGAAAGAGAAAGTATATTTGTATAAATATGTACAGATAGTCCCCAACTTTCAATGGTTTAACTTATGATTTTTTAACTTTATGGTGGTGTGAAAATAATACACTTTCAGTACACTCCTTGACTTACAATGGGGTTGCATATGGATAAATCTATTGTAAATTGAGAATATCATCAGTCATAAACACACTTTCAACTTAGGATCTTCTAAGCTTATGGTGAATTTGTTGGTATGTAACCCCATCATAGGTCAAGGAGCACTTGCGCTGATCATACCTAGAAACAAATAGTTTTGAGTATACATATGGTCGAGGAAGTTAAGCAAGATAGAAGTGTTTACTATCACAATTTCATTCACTTTA
The DNA here is from genome assembly GCF_000001405.40 of Homo sapiens. Classification (NCBI taxonomy): domain Eukaryota; kingdom Metazoa; phylum Chordata; class Mammalia; order Primates; family Hominidae; genus Homo; species Homo sapiens. The sequence goes on along the minus strand of NC_000003.12, from coordinate 34,986,491 downwards.
TATATAGTTGATGTTACATGTGAATACCCATGTCTGTGTGTATATATGTGTATGAGTGTATCGATATTAAAAGCATATTTACTGAGCCCATAATACTCAGTATGAGACAGATCATTGCAAACCATTTTTGAAAGATAAAGAAGAATAAAGAATACCCTTTTCTCTTGCCATGAGAGTGCTCAGATTCAGTGAAAGGTGAGGGGATAGCGAAGATCAAACAAAAAAAATTACATTCCAGGCTTATGTGAACCATATAAATTGAGAGAATAGAGTGCTTGGGAGCACAATGAAAAGGCACATATCAAATTCTAAAGGGAACAGAAATAGCCTCCCATAGTAGGTGATACTGGAATTGTCTCAAAGGAATGTGTGTGTAGTGTGTCTAGTCTTGAATGGATATTTATATGTGTCTAGATCTGTGTGTGAATACACACATGCAAAGACTTCAGCTAGACAGAAAGATTTATCTTTATCATTTAACCTGTCCATTATGCCATCATGCAGGGCAGCTAAGCCTGTGCTTATACAAATGGCTTGGTAATATAAACAAGTTAATTGAAATGGCTGATCCCAAGAAACTCATCAGGATGATGCTTCCTGGTGGAGTTTAAGATGGCATAAAATGTATCAATGTTAAATCCTTGACGTATGCAACTCTGTTCCCTTTGGCTTACAGCTGTTTTAGGAGATGCAATACCCATATGCTTTTATCATTCCTCTGAAACTGCATTAGAGAAATTACAGGGTATTATCAAGATAAGAAAATAATTGCATTTTAATTTGACATGAGAGTTTCTTTAGAGAATAAAGTGGAAATTGAATCAGGAGAGCCAACTGAGAACATGTGTCTATGTATTTCTCACATAAAATCATAAGAAATGACAGAAAGTATATTTTAGAAAAGTTTAAATTTGTTATAAAGCTGGCTAACAGAAAAAAAGTACAATAGCAGGCCTTGTCATTCTAAGGAATTTAAGAATACTGACTTATACCTTTGGAGAAATAATTGAAAAAGATCTGATCTGAAACCATGAGCAGGAAACTGCTGTGCAAAGTATGATTGGTTTCAGGGAATCTTTAAATTCAGAATATGAATGAATTCAAGAAACAAAGTGGGGAACCTCTGCAGTACTCTAGGTGGTTTTATGTGCGGCAACATTCCAGAAAAGATGGACTTGCTGGACACTCCCAACTTGAGTTCACCTGTGGGACATAGGGGCCTTGAACTCTGATTAAAGCTAGGAGTGTTTATCTTAAACTTGGAGAGACTGGGCAGAGTCCCATGGATCCTTCCACCCCACTAACTCCATACTGCATCAAAAATCTCCAAAAACAAGTCACTGTAATCAGAACTAGCATCTAAAGAATGGATCAGGAATTCCAAAATGCAAATATGAGCAAGTAGTTGGGGGTAATTATGAAACTCACAAGGCCAACACTATGAAAAGGGGGCATCTAGGTAAATAGAAGAAATAACACCAAAAGCAACCATTTATGCAGCAACAGAATATTTAAAAGTGGGCTTACTGCATATGCATAGTGCAATAACACAGTGGGGGAATACCACATCCTGAAAAGGAAACTATTAGTGATCCTATAATACAAAAATGGAACCATTAAAATACAAAATTAAACAGATCGGTTTAGTGACAAAAAAAAAACACTAAAGAATGAATTAATAAGCTGGAACACTAAGCCAGTGTCATCTCTGAATGAAGTATAAAAGAAAAAAAAAATGAAAAACATGACAGAAAAGATGTAGGAACACGAAAGTTATATCTGGAAGTTCCAACATCTGTGTACTATGAATTTCCAAAGCACAACACAAAAAGAATAATGAAGAAAAATGTAATGAAATACAATTTCCCCCACTGTTTAAAAGATCATAAGAAAACCTTAAAAGTATCCATAGAGTAAAAAAAAAGAAAAATGAAAAAAATTTCAAATGTTTCTAAGTGGTATTTTTCTTTTTTTATCTTTATCTAAAAATAATTTTTTACTTTTATCTAAATTAGATTATGATGAGATTCAAGACAAATATGCTGCAATATTTTTAAAGTTTTGAGCACAAATCATTTGAAATAAGAAGCACAAAATAAGTTTTGAGCACAAATCATTTGAAATATGAACCTAGTATGAAGGTAAAATTAAGACAATATCATACATTCCACATCTCATAAACTTCCCTTCATATTTTTTCTAAAACATTTCTTAAATATGTTTCCTGATTATATTAAATTTACATTTAGAATTCAATAAAACATTTAATAAATAATAGTTCTATTGTTATAAAGTGAATATTCCTAAATCTACAAAAATTATAAACTTAAAACTTTACACTTAAGATAAAACATTTAAATGTTAACTCTGATGTGGGAGATATTAAGTATTATTTTTAAATGCTTTGATCGACAGACTAACAAAAGCATTATAAGAGTACTACCTTAGAGAGGACCAATTTCATGTAAATCAAATCCAGTTAAGTCCTATATTGTTCCTTCCACAGATTGTTTCTTCTACAGATACGTAAACTACCACCTCATTTTAGGATAGATAACGGGTTGGTATTTCTTTCTTCAGAGGTCTTGGAGAATGTGAGTGAAAATGAGTTTAAAATTAACCCTTATTTTGACGGGAAATGTGCAATGGCTTTAATCCAAAGATTCCATGTTGAGAACTGAAATGTGGAGAAAGCAGCAGCTGCTAGTTTAGAATACTTAGAGAATATTTAACGTACAGCATCCTAGAGTTTCATTTTCTTTGTCAGAATCATAAAAGTTGAATATGTTGAAAAGCTGTTAATGTATTTTCACCAAATGTCAGGAAGGCAACACCATCATCACCTTTTAGAGGTTAAATGTGCTTGCTATCACATTTTAATGATTACTGTGTGTAAGGGATTTGAATTTTCTGGAGAATACAAGCAAGTTCTGTGCACATTCACAACCTGTTTTTCCACTTTCTTAGCCTCCAAAAGATATGGGATTTGTTGTATTTCTGATTGTGACACTGGCCAAGTGTTCTGTATTCTTGCAGAACTCATACTGGTGGCTATAACTCTCTTGATGTTGCACTGACTTATTAACACATGTAGGTAGCATTCTTGGGTTTTGTGAACAGATTTTTCAGAGGCAAAAAAGACTATATTTTTCCCTGACTGAAATCTACACAAGGCCAAGAAAAATAGTCTTACCACGTAATCCAACAAGCACAGTCCTTGTGAAATGAATTGCAAACTTATGTCCACACAAAAACCTGCACATAGATGTTTACAGCAGCTTTATTTATAATTCCAAAACTTGAAAGCAACTAAATGTCCTTCAGTTGTTGAATAGATAAATAAGCTGTGGTACATCCCTACAATAGAATATTATTCAGCAATAAAAAGAAATGAGCCATCAAGCAACAAACATATGTGGGAGGACATTAAATGCATGCTGCTAAGTGAAAGAAGACAGTCTGATAAGGCTACATATTGTATGATTCCAATTATTCTGAAAAATGCAAAACTACAGAGAAAGTAAGAAGATCAGTAGTTGCTGGGAGCTTGGGGAGGAAATAAGAATAGGTACAGCACAGGGGATTTTTATGACAGTAAAACTGTTCTGTATGATACTGTAATGGTGGATAAGTGACATTGTGGATTTAGCAAAACCCATAGAACTGTACAACACAAAGAGTGAATATAAACTATGAACTTCCATTTATAACAATGTGTCGATATTGGTTCATCACTTGTAACAAATGTACCACAAAGCAAGATGTTATTAATACAGAAAACTGTGTGTGGGGTAAGGGAAGAGGGCGTTTGTGGGAACTCTCTGTACTTTCTGCTCTATTTCTCTGTAGACCTAAAACTGCTCTAAAAATCAATTTTATTGAAATAACTTTAAATTAATATAAAAGTTAATAGCCTTTATTTTTTAAAATGTTCATCTTCCTTTCAGAAAATCTGTTTCTGAAAGGATTTTCAGAAACAGATTTATTGTATTATATATAATACAGATATATATTGATATAACTGCTTCAAATTCATTCAGAAGTCAGCATATCTGCAGAAGATTCCATGAAAGTATCAGGACAAATAGCTAATGCTCACAGGGCTTAAGACCTAGATGACGGGTAGATAGGTGCAGCAAACCACATGGCACACATATACCTATGTAACAAACCTGCACGTTCAGCACATGTATTCCAGAACTTAAAATAAAATAAAATAAAATAAAAAGAAGATTTCATGGAAAATCAGTTGTACTTCCCAGTATCATCCTCTTTTCATTACATCTATATACATCAGATAACTTTGAGGTATTAAAAACATTACCTGCTTGGACTATGAACTCATAATAAGTTTTGTGCCACTGAATTGTTCAAAGGTAGAATGAATAACTTTGTTTACTACTTTTTCTAATGTATTTCCATGATTTTTTTCTATTTATCTTTAAATACTCTCTATATTACATATTTTACAGAATATATAGGAATAATGTATGTATTTAGATTCTAATATTTTATATTGGATAATTATATGTTTAGAATATACACATACAGAAAGAATATAGAATATATTTTCAACAGAATGCATATATATGTAGAACACATATCCACATAGTACATAAGGATACGTAGAGAGAGAAAGATTGTGTGCCCACGCAGAGAACTTACATCACATTGACAGAACATCTTAAAATAGTAAACATTTAAATTTTCTGCTCTAGAATTCAATGCAAGGAAAATGAAATTATGGCATATTACTCTAAAGAATGTTCAAAGGAATTTTGGAGACATTAGGTCAACTTATTTTCATAGTTGAAGGTTAGTATACCCATTCCTTCCTGGCTGAGAACCAGGAAGCTTGGACATGAGAACCATGAACTAACCCAAGCAGTTTCATGATACTTATGTCTATATGGGTTGTAGCACTATGCTGCCAGCTACTGAAATAGAGGTAGAATGATAGCGCTTCTCCTTGGCCATGCACCCAGTGTTGCAGCACTGTAGCAATAGCTGGTTATTATGAATCATGTTTTCTTTATTCTGGAACCAACTTCAATATGGGTATAGAGATTTGATGGGGTATTCTTGTCTCATGACATACCTGAATCCCATTTACAGAATCCCTGTGTGCTGAGTACATAAATTGGGAAGCCCTGATTTACAAAGGGAGCATCAGAAGTCAGCAAGGAAGGACAATGTTTATGTGATGCCCTATAGCACTGCAGATAATTCCAAATTAAAGCTGAAATAATTTTCTGGCTCTATTTTAGCAGCTAGTTGGAGTTCACACTTTAGGAACTCCAAATATACTTCCAACAAATGGAATTTTACTAAATGCCTTTGATAAAACTAACTTTTTAAGTAATAAAAAAGCATGATTTCAAAACGGCAAATATTCTTCTCTTGTTAGTTATTACATTACTAGACATCTAGTAAGTCTCTTATCACAGTCAATGGAGGTTCCTTACATTTTACTCTTCTCTACTTCTTTAGAGCTTTATGACACAGATGACTCAGCCTATTCCTCAAAGGTTTCCATTGCCCTATAATCTAGATCATCAAAATCTCTTTTGGTTTTTATTATTCTTTTTCTGCTTTTAGTCTGTCTTCTTCTATAGATTATCTTTCTCTGGCCCCTAAATATATATATGTCTTTTTAAAAATTTTATTTATTTATTTATTTATTTGAGATAGAGTTTTACTCTTGTTGCCCAGGCTGGAGTGCAATGGCAAAATCTCTGCTTGCCATAACCCCTGTCTGCCTCCCAGGTTCAATCGATTCTCCTGCCTCAGCCTCCCAAGTAGCTGGGATTACAGGCATGCACCAACAGGCCTGGCTAATTTTGTATTTTTAGTACAGACGGGGTTTCTCCATGTTGGTCAGGCTGGTCTTGAACTCCCGACCTCAGGTGATCCGCCCGCCTCAGCCTCCCAAAGTGCTGGGATTACAGACATGAGCCACCGCACCCGGCCTCCGGCCTACATATGCCTTGGATTTTTAAATGCTCCTTTGAACTTACAAAGCAACTTATTCATTCTTCATTAACATAGTTATTTTTTAAACATTGATGCATAATAGATGTACATAGTTTTAAGGCACACGTGATACTTTAATACACTCATATAATTTGTAAATAGCAAATCAGTGTACTTGGGATGTTCATCACCTTAAATATTTGTCTTTGTGCTAGAATCATTAAAATTCCTCTCTTTTTAGCTATTTTGAAATATACAATACACTATTGTAAACTACAGTCACCCCACTAATCTATCTAACACTAGGTCTTATTTCTTCTATCAGACTGTATGTTTTTACCAATTAATCAACCAATTAATTCATCTCTTCTCGCCCCTATTCTTTTTTTTTTTTTTTTTTTTTTTTTTGAGACGGAGTCTCGCTCTGTCGCCCAGGCTGGAGTGCAGTGGCGGGATCTCGGCTCACTGCAAGCTCCGCCTCCCGGGTTCACGCCATTCTCCTGCCTCAGCCTCCCAAGTAGCTGGGACTACAGGCGCCTGCCACTACGCCCGGCTAATTTTTTGTATTTTTAGTAGAGACGGGGTTTCACCGTTTTAGCCGGGATGGTCTCGATCTCCTGACCTCGTGATCCGCCCGCCTCGGCCTCCCAAAGTGCTGGGATTACAGGCGTGAGCCACCGCGCCCGGCCGCCCCTATTCTTTTCAGCTCCTGACAACTAATCTACTCTCTGTCTTCATGTGTTCCATGTTTTTTAGCTCTCACATGCGAGTGAGAACATGTAATATTTGCCTTTCTGTGCTAGGCTGATTTCATTTAACATAATGACCTCCAGTTCCATTTATGTTGCTGCAAATAACAGGATTTCATTATTTTTATGGCCAAATAATATTTCATTGTATACATTATATATGACACATTTAATTTATCGATTAATCTACTGATTGGCACTTAGGTTGATTTCATATTGTAGCTATTGTGAATAGTGCTGCAATAAATATGGAAGTCCAGATGTCTTTTTGATATATTCATTTTCTTTCTTTTGAATATATACCCTGTAGTAGAATTGGATCATATAGTAGTTGTACTTTTAGTTTCTTAAAGGAATCTCCATACTGTTCTATTTTTTTTTTTTTCTTGAGACGGAGTCTCGCTCTGTAGCCCAGGCTGGAGTGCAGTGGCGCGATCTCGGCTCACTGCAAGCTCCGCCTCCCGGGTTCACGCCATTCTCCTGCCTCAGCCTCCCGAGTACTGGGACTACAGGCGCCCGCCACTACACCCAGCTAATTTTTTGTATTTGTAGTAGAGACGGGGTTTCACCCTGTTAGGCAGGATGGTCTTGATCTCCTGACTTCGTGATCCGCCCGCCTTGGCCTCCCAAAGTGCTAGGATTACAGGCATGAACCACTGCGCTCGGCCTCCATACTGTTCTCCATAATGGCTATACTAATTTATATTCCCACCAACAGTGTGCGAGTGTTCCCTTTTCTCCTCATTTTCCCCAGCATCCACTGTTACCAATCTTTTTGACAAAAGCCATTTTAACTGGGGTGAGTTAATATATCATTGTAGTGTTCATTTGCATTTCTCTGATGATTAGTGATATTGAACACTTTTTCATATACCTATTGGTTGTTTTATGTCTTCTTTTGAGAAATGTCTACTTAGATATTTTACCCCTGTTTATATTGGATTACATGATGTTTCCCTGTTGAATTATTTGAGCTCTTTATATATTTAATCCCTTGTCAAATGGGTAGTGTGCAAATGTTTTCTCCCATTCTGTGGGTTATCTCTTCACTTTGTTGATTGTTTCCTTTGCTGTGCAGAAGCTTTTAAATTTGGTGTAATTCCATTTGTCTATTTTTGGTTTTGTTATCTGTACTTTTGAGGCCTGAACTTAATGAATTAAGTCTTCAATTCATTTTGATGTTTTTTGGTATGGTGAAATATCACAGTGTAGTTTCATTCTTCTGCATTTAGTTATCCAGTTTTTCCAGCACCATTTATTGAAGAGACTGTCCTTTCCTCATTGCACAACTGTATGTCAGCAAATTGAAAAATCTAGTAAGAAGTGGTTAAATTTCTGGACACATACAATCTACCAAGATTGAACCATGAAGAAATAGAAAACCTCAATGCATCAATAAGGGGTAATGAGATCTAAGCTATGATAAAAAGTCCATTATCAAAGAAAGACCTAGGGCCTGGTGGCTTCATTGCTGAATTCTTCCAAACATTTAAAGAAGAACTAATACCAACTCTACTCAAATTCCTCAACAAAATTGAAGAAGAGAGAATACTTTCAAACACATTCTGCAAGGCCAGCATTACCCTGTTACTAAAACCAGACAAGGATACAATGAAGGAAGGAAACTACAGGCCAGTATCTGATAAACATAAATGGAAAGAGTCTCAACAAAATACTAGCTAACTGAATTCAACAACATGCTAAAAAGATCATTTACCATGATCAAGTGGGATTCATCTTAGAGATGCATAACTGGTTCAATGATGTATCACATTAACAGAAGTGAGAATGTACAACCTCTTTGGAAATAAGTAAGGAGATTTCTTAAAGAACTGAAAATGGAACTACCATTTGGTTCAGCAACCCCACTACTGGATATATAACCAAAGGAAAACAAATAATTATATAAGAAAGATGTCTGTGTTCATATGTTATTGCAACAGTATTCATAACAGCAAAGTCATGGAATAAACCTAAGTGCTCATCAGTGGAGAATTTGATAAAGAAAATGCAGGTATACACACACACACCATGGAATACTACTCAGTTATTAGAAAAAATGAAAAAGAATGAAATCATGTTTTTTTGCAGCAACATGGATGAAACTGGAAGCAATTATCGTAAGTGAAATAACTCAGAAACAGAAAGTCAAATAAAGCATGTTCTCACTTGAAAGGGGAGCTAAACAATGGTACACATGGACATACAGATTAAAATGATAGACATTGTAGACTCCAAATGGTGGGAGTGTCAGGGGGAAGGGAGCTGAGCGTTGAAGAATTACCTATTGGATACAGTGTTCACTATTTGAGTGATGGGTATACCAAAAGCCCCAACTTCACCACTACACAATATACCCACATGACAAAACTGCACTTGTAGCCCCTAAATCTATAAATGGAAATAAAAGTAAAACAGCTTATGATAAATATTTAAGAAAAAGGACCTCTTCAATGAGAACTACTATCCACTGTTCAAGGAAATAAGAGAGGACAGAAACAAATGGAAAAACATTCCATGCTCATGGATAGGAAGAATCGATATCGTGAAAATGGCCACACTGCCCAAAGTAATTTATAGATTCAATGCTATCCTCATCAAGCTACCATCAACTTTCTCCACAGAATTAGAAAAAAACTAGTTTAAATTTCATATGGAACCAAAAAAGAGCCCATATAGCCAAGACAATTCTAAGCAAAAAGAACAAAGCTAAAGGCATCATGCTACCTGACTTTGAACTACACTACAAGGCTACAGTAACCAAAGCAGCATGGTACTGGTACCAAAACAGATAATAGACCAATGGAACAGAACAGATGCCTCAGAAATAATGCCACACATCTACAACCATCTGATCTTTGACAAACCTAATGAAAACAAACAATGGGGAAAGGATTCCCTATTTAATAAGTGGTGTTGGGAAAACTGGCTGGCCATATGCAGAAAACTGAAACTGGACCCCTTCCTTACACCTTATACAAAAATTAACTCAAGATGATCTAAAGACTTAAACATAAAACATAAAACCATAAAAACCCTAGAGGAAAACCTAGGCAATACCATTCAGGACATAGGCATGGGCAAAGTCTTCATGACTAAAACACCAAAAGCAATGGCAACAAAAGCCAAAATTGACAAACAGGATCTAATTAAACTAAAGAGCTTCTGCACAGCAAAGAAACTATCATCAGAGTGAACAGGCAACCTATAGAATGGGAGAAAATTGTTGCAATCTATCCATCTGACAAAGGGCTAATACCTAGAATCTACAAGGAACGTAAACAAATTTACAAGAAAAAAACAACCCCATCAAAAAGTGAGTGAAGGATATGAACAGACACTTCTCAAAAGAAGACATTTATGCATCCAACAAATGTGTGAAAAGAAGCTCATCATCGCTAGTCATTAGAGAAATGCAAATCAAAACCACAATGAGATACCATCTCACACCAGTAAGAATAGTTATCATTAAAAAGTCAGGTAACAACAGGTGCTGGAGAGGTTGTGGAGAAATAGGAATGCTTTTACACTGTTGGCAGGAGTGTGAATTAGTTCAACCATTGTGGAAGACAGTGTGGCAATTCCTCAAGGAGCTAGAACTGCAAATACCATTTGACCCAGCAATCCCATTACTGGGTATATACCCAAAAGATTATAAATCATCCTACTATAAAGACACATGCACACGTATATTTATTGTAGCACTATTCACAATAGAAAAGACTTGGAACTAACCCAAATGCCCATCAATGATAGACTGGATAAAGAAAATGTGGCACATATACAACCATGGAATACTATGCAGCCATAAAAAAGAATGAGTTCATGTCCTGTGTGGGGACATGGATGAAGCTGGAAACCATTATTCTCAGCAAAATAACACAGGAACAAAAAACCAAACACTACATGTTCTCACTCATAAGTGGGAGTTGAACAATTAGAACACATGGACATAGGGAGAACATCACACATTGGGGCATGTCAGGGGGTAGGGGGCAAAGGCAGAGATAGCATTAGGAGAAATACCTAATGTAGATGCAGGGTTGGTGGGTGCAGCAAACCACCATGGCACGTGTATAGCTATGTAATAAACCTGCACGTTCTGCATATGTATCCCAGAAAAAAAGTATAATAAAAAAAAGAAAAAAGAAAAACCAGAACCAAGTACAAAAACCATGTCATTATTTCAATAGATGCTGAAAGAGAATTCAATAAAATTTGACATCCCTTAATGAAAAAAAAATCCTTATCAAACTGGGTATAGAAAAAACATAACCCCAAAACTGCGAAGGTAATATATGACAAATTCACAGCTAAGAATCTACTGAATGGGGGAAATTGAAGTGTGTTCCTCTCAAACCTGGAAAAAGACAACGATTTCCACTTTTACCACTTTTATTCAATATAACACTGGAAACCCTGGCCAGAACAATTAGGCAAGAGAAAGAAATAAAGGGTTTCCAAATTAGAAAGGATGAAGTCAAATTAGCCTTGGTGATAGTGGACATGATTTTATACTTTATATTTAGACCCCACCAAACAACTGTTAAAACTAATAAATGAATTCAGTAAAGTTGCAGAATACAAAACTAACATACAAAAACTTGTAATATTTATATATGCTAACAATGAACAATTGGCAAAATATATCAAGAAAGCAATCTAATTTGTAATAGCTACAAAAAATATGAAATACTGATGATTCAATTAACCAAATAAGTGAAAGATCTATACATGGGGGATTATAAAACACTGACAAAAGAAACTAAAGTGGACAACAAGAAAATGGAAAGATATTTTTTGTTCATGGATTGGAAGAATTAGAAGAATTAATATGGTTAAAATGGCAAAGCTACCTGAAGCAATTTACAGATTCAATGCAACCCCTATCAAAAAACTAATGACATTCTTTACAGAAATAGAAAAAATCCCAAACTATAATAGGAATGCTTTTACAATGTTGGTGGGACTGTAAACTAGTTCAATCATTGTGGAAGACAGTGTGGTGATTCCTCAAGGATCTAGAACTAGAAATGCCATTTGACCCAGCCATCCCATTACTGTGCATATACCCAAACGATTATAAATCATGCCGCTATAAAGACACATGCACACGTATGTTTATTTTGGCACTATTCACAATAGCAAAGACTTGGAACCAACCCAAATGTCCATCAATTATAGACTGGATTAAGAAAATATGGTACATATACACCATGGAATACTATGCAGCCATAAAAAAGGATGAGTTCATGTCCTTTGTAGGGACATGGATGAAGCTGGAAACCATCATTCTGAGCAAACTATTGCAAGGACAGAAAACCAAACACGGCATGTTCTCACTCATAGGTGGGAAGTGAACAATGAGAACACTTGGACACAGGGTGGGGAACATCACACACCAGGGCCTGTTGTGGAGTGGGGGAAGGGAGGAGGGATAGCATTACGAGATATACCTAATGTAAATGACCAGTTAATGGGTGCAGCACACCAACGTGGCACGTGTATACATATGTAACAAACCTTCACGTTGTGCACACGTACCCTAGAACTTAAAGTATAATAATAATTTTTTTAAAAAAACTATATATGGAATGAAAAAGACCCTGAGTAAGCAAAGCAGTCCTGAGCAAAAAGAACAAATCTGGAGGCATCACTTTACCTGACTTCAAGAATTGCTACAAAGCTATAGTAACCAAATCAGCATGGTGTTGGCATAAAAAATAGTCGTATGCACCAGTGGAACAGAAGAGAGAGCACATATAAATCCATGCATTTACATTCAGCTTGTCTTTGACAAATCCATCTTCATTTTCGACACTCATCAAGTTTGTCCTTGTGCAATGTATCTTGTGTATGTTTTTCTTCCAAGACTAAAATTTTTGAGATCTTAAACTGTGGTTGTTTTATAATCACTGTGACCTCCAGAAAAACTGTCCTGGAGCTAATAGAGATTTAATAAATATTTTTAGATAAGTAAATTGAATTATAAATCACTAAAAGCAACTCTCTACAGTAAATTTAATAATACAATTGTAACACACATTACTTTGTCTCTTAAAAGCAGGTCAATCCTTTCCCTAGCTCATATAATTTGAAGCAGGCACAGAGGACCTACATTTTAGGAACCTCTCTGTGAGCATAATATTGAACTCCCCACTGTGCAAGACCTTTAAAAAGCTTATCTGGGAAGAGATTTTAGGGAGGATGAGGCTAATAGAAGCATACCAATCCATTCTCCCAATTGTTCTGCAATATATCCCTAGGTAACATAGACAGTATTACATCAAACTATTGAAGAAATTGTGTTTTTCAAAATGTGAATCGATGCCATGCCAACTATCCATATTTAGGAAAATCAAAACAACAGTGCTTTGCAAATTACAGTCAGGTTTTACACGTGGATATTGTTGAGGATGGGCGTTGATTCCACACAGTGTTCTTTTCATGGTAAACCAGAGAAGAACACTTATTTATGGTCTCAAAACAAGGAAATATCTGTGCTTTCCCTGAGCAAGGTTTAAATTCAAGTGTGTGACATCTTCAACAAGTATATAAGCTTTGAAGTAGTTGCTATTAGCTGGTTCTGCCTTACTTTCTACATTTTCCCCTTTATTACACCTTTTTCACGTTTTTCTCCATGTTTTTTATTCTGCTTAAAGATATATATCTTTATAAAACATCTTGAATTATTTTTTGAACAAGTCAAGTTATGAATAAATAAAAACAATAAACATAGACAAGCAAATTGGACCAAAATTGAATTTCTTATGTTGGAAAATATTGTATCCCTGGGAACTCTTTTAAAGCTAGTTAAGAAAGTTTACATTTATAAAACTCTGAGCACCCTTCTCGCATTTTTTAAAGCACCAATAACCAAGAGATTAATGTGCCAGTCATCCCTGCATTATCTCAGTATCTTAAAATAAGCAGTGTTATTCCCTTTCCACATTTGTATTTTAAGAAATGAAATCCATGACTAACATCTTGAAAAGAATTTAATTGTTTAAAATAGTTCAGCAATGAGTTGGAAGTATTTTTAATATATATCTTGAGGTTCACACTGCAAATATTTTTCCTTTTGGAAAATAGCACTTTTACTATTCCCAGCAGTCAGAGCTATGTGTCTTTGTGAATCTCCTCCCTCTCAGTACACTCCAGCTGCAATTCTAGGTCTAAGTTCTCAAGTGGCAACAACTCCACCATTTGAGCTTGGAAAACAGTTCATTAGCAAAAGACATTTGGCAAATATATTGTAATTAATGTTATGGGACATGATGCAAATTTGCCAATGGATGGAGAAAATGAGAAGTTCAAAGAAGTCAGTTAATGGCTAGTATTACTGAGTTATTCCTCTCTGAAAAACAATTTGTCATCCCTTTTTTTAGCTAGCACCCTAAGATTTTCAGGAAGAAAAATAGCTTCCAGACTGAGATAACTCTTGTAAATGGAGAATCTATTTTAAGAAAAGTTATCTATTTTGAGAAAAGATAGTTAATCCATCCTCTTCTGGAGGCAGGAAATCCTATGTGGGGAAACAGCTGTGATCACATGTCGGGAGAGCTAGTTCTAGCTATGCTTTTTGCCTCTAATTAGCTGGAGAAATTGTTGAAATAAAGATGATTATATCCTATCTTAATTTAGTGCTCCCCAGCACATTGATACAAGATTTGCACGAGTCACCTCATCTAATTATACAATAATCTTTAAAAATGCATATTTATCATCTAATTTAATCCTTGTTACAGCCTTAAGAATTAGGCATTACAATACTCATTTTCAGATAAGACCACTGGGGCACGGAGTGAGCTGATATCTCGGTACAGTTTACCACACAGACTATGCTCTTAGTAATAAAAATGCATCTCTGCATTTTCTGTCCTACTTATCCACTTTATCATCTACTGAGACTAGTTAGAAACATTTCAGCTCTTCTTTCTTTCACCACTCCTTACTTCCTTAAATCTCACATCTCCATGCCCATGCAATGATCCAAAATTATTTTCTAAAAAATTGCATAGCTATCTGACTCATTCACAGCATAGTTTTCTTTCACTAAGTTCTGATCTCATTCCTTCTCTTTTTAAAATTCTTCAATAGTTTCCCATTGTTAACAAAATAATAATAAAAGTCTTCTCCTATATATGTCTTGTCATTTGAAATTGTCCCTTCTACCCACTGTTCTACCCAGACTAAAATGATCTCCTTTGTAGATCCAGAGCCTGCTGTACACATTCTGCTCACAGTTTTATTGTACTGGTTTTCTATTTCTGTGTAACAAATTATGAGAAACTAATGAGCTTTAAAAAAATCTCATTATTAGCTTGTAGTTCTGTGGGTCAGAAGTCCAGGCAGGCTCAGCCTAGTGTCTCCAGGGCAAAACCAAGGTGTTGAGAGGGCTGTGTGTTGCTTTCTGGAGGCTGTGGGAAAATATCCACTTCCAAGCTTATTCAAATTGTTGACAGAATTCAGTTCTTTGTGGTTGTAGGACTGAAGTCCTTGGCCACCTCCATTTTAAAACCAGCAATGGCATGTGGAATCTTTCCTGTGCTTTAAATCTCTCTGCCTTTCTTTTCCCCTGAATCTCTCTGGGTTTAGCCAGGAGAAAAGTCTCCATTTTTAAAGACTCCATGTGATTAGGTTATCCAGAATAATCTAGTATAATCTCCCTATTTTAAGATCCATAACTTTTATGTCATCTGCAAAGACTTCTTTGCTATGTAATATAATATATTTGCAGGTTCCAGATATGGGGGCATGAACATCTTTAGGGAATCATTCTGCCATCAGTGCTTATGCAGTTATATTTATGTGGCTGGCTCTTCCCTCCTTTAAACTTCCTCTGTAGTTAAAAAAAAAAAAAACAGAACTTCTCTTCCAAAATAATCTCAATGAATATGAAGACTTTCTATGCTTCTCAGGTAATTTCTTCAGGTAATGTCTGTTGTATAAGAAAAAAAAAGAGTGCATTTAAGAGCATTTAGCTTTTCCAGGTCTTTATTGTCTTCAATAGTTAGGGCCACATTTATCACCTTATATCCACAATTGTACCAGAAAAATCATCTGTATAACCTTAATTAATATATTTTCTTTTAGAATTTCCACAGTTTCCTGATAATTTATGTGCTGCAGTGTATATACTATCTACTTGAATTTTTATAATGAATCTATTAGATAAGTATCATTATCATCATTTTACAGATGAGGAAATCAGAAGCTCAGTCAGGTTAAGTGATTTGCTAAGGTCAAATAGCAAATAAGAAATAAATCCCAGACATGAAGACACATAAGAAGTCACAGCTTGTTTTATGCATTATCTTTACATATTTCTCTTGCACAGAGTATAAATCTTATCTGTAATTTCTGACTAAATGGCAATAATTTATGTATCTGTAAACAATGTGACAATATTGAAAAATGAAAGGAGACATCATCAAACTCCTTTTCTTGAATAAATAAGACATGGGAGCAAAAATTAATGGCAATTATAATTTGTAAGAATTTATTTAAAGAAAATTAAAACTTAGGGTTTAAGACGGAGGATAGAGTACATAATATTTACCTCTTTCCCACAGCCGGATTCAAACAAAATAAAAGTTTAGAATTCCTAAAAGGCATAAACCCATAATGGTAAAGAGAACTGGAATCAATAGATGAGACCATTCAAGAAATCTCTGGACTTTAGAGAGAGAATGGAATGTATGAATACTGACCCATGGAAGAGCACAACTATGAGGAGGCTGCAAAAGAAGCCTAGGATGTGTTCATCTGGGACCAAGATAGTCTCTGGATGCAGCATGAGAGGAGGTATGATGAGGAGTAGGAGTAAGAAATAGGCTGGAATGTTTTTTAATTAAAAGTGAGCAATATACATCTTTTCCATTTGTACAGAGTATGAACAGCATAGTTTTTACACCCAAGTGAAAAAGAAAATAGGAAGTATCTTCATGGTAGCATCTATGTAAAGCCAAAGCATCTAGTGTTTCTACTGGTAACGCTTGCTGTTATCCTTTTAATTCCACCAGACTTTTGATCTTCCTCTAGCACCCCTATTGGCAGAATCTGACATAAACCTAATCAAATGGAGAAAAGTGGTTAGCAAAATCTTAGCCTTTGCATCATGGTGTAGAGAAGGGTGTTTATAGCTAAAAGAAAATGGTTTAACGACCAGCATAGACCATAGAGATGCATTCTTCTTTTCCACTTTAGTGCAGGATAGGGCTCTTCTGCAAAACTATGGCATTATTACCTAATAACTTCAAATATGAATTCTGTTTGAAAATATCCTGGCCTTCTTTTTCTCAGGATAGGTCTTCATTGGACACCTCCCAAAGTCCAACACAACTATGTCTCTCTGGATACTGCGTTTGGCTTCATGGTCACACAATTTCAGGGCAAGTCCTTCAACCAAGTCTCCTTCCCCAAACCAAGGCTACCTCATCAGAGCTCCCTGGCTTGTCTAGTACCTATAATTAGCTCACTCAGCACACCACTCAGCACACCAAAACAAAATTTTGTTGACTGAAGGTCATAAAAAGCTACAGTTAAAGTTATGAAGAGCTGCATTTAACAAGAAATAAATATCTTTCACTACATTCAGACAGATCTGCCATCACTCAATCAAAATACATTCCTTGCTTACTGCAGAGTGATAATTTCCTAAATTTTCTGAAAAGCAATTATTTTCTTTACAAAATTATTCCCTTTTAGTATTTTTTCTTTCCCCTCTACTCATATTCAAGGACTTCTAATTATAAAACTAGAAAACCAAATTGAATAGAATAATAGAATGAAAAGAAAACAAAAGAATACTGACAGATAGTGGAAATTATTGATTTGTAAAATGGGATCATTAAACACTTTCACTTCCATTGGCCTCAGAAAACCAAAGACTTATTCTATTATTACAAGCCTATCGTGGACATTGGTTGTTTCTTCTTGGAGCCCATCCATCATTCACACTGGCATAGGGCATGTATTATGGTCCATTCACTTCATTTGTAATGTATTTTTTTCATTAGAAAATGTGAATCAAACAAAACAGTTGCAGAATAGTCTACAAAAAAGTACTTTTTTTCTTAAATACATTAAGGAATTTCCTCCCAATTGCATTAAAAACTAATTTAATCAGCATCTTCTTACTGGGAACATTTTTCCCCTAAAATCACTTCTTATTTTAGTTTAGATTAATGATTATATATGCACAAATGGATAACTCTGACAAAGTGGTCCTTGTAAGCTAAAACACCTTTGAATTGTCAAGGAGAGTAGAAATCATCTATTGTAGTTATAGTGTTATCTTATTATATTCTTATTTAAAAATTAATTATCTGTTTATGACCAATATGGCTGACTCTATTTGACAAACACTAAATGAATCACAATAGTTTTAAATGTTTGTGCAGTAGGCAGCCCCTCCCCTCAACTGTCATCTACTCTATTATTGTACAAATGAAGAACCTAGTCCCCCAAATATGATTGACTTGTCCAATCTCAGGTAATAGTAGTAACTGAATGTTTGTTTTCATTTGCATTGTTTTGTTTTCCACAATGTAGTGGAAAGAGCCATGATCTTGAAATCAGAAAACTCAGTTCCAGGCATATTTTTCTCATTGGCTCTCTAGTTTAAGTTGCACGGATATTTACTGAGAATAGTAGTTGGAATAAAAGCTCCAGTGTCCATAATATCATCCAGTGTTCTTTCCAACATGGTGCACTAAACCACACATATCATTCCCAGGACACATTCGACAGCATTGTTGAGTACTTCATACTGTTCTAGGATAACTTCCTGTCACTCTCAATTTGTCATCCTAATGTGTATTTGGCAATGCAGACAATATATGAATACCTAAATCAATGTAGGAGATGAAAGAGAATGAATAATTGAAGGCCATGTATTTTGAGATTCTACTTTTGGCAGTATTCAAACATCTTCTCAAATAAAACTTGCTTCAGAGTTTCTAATATTTCTTAAGCCAAAATAGACTATGCCTACAAAATAATAAAAATGGAAACAAACATTTATTGTTTTTGGTGTGCCACATGTTTTACATATGCTATTATCTTTAATTTGTAAAAAACCCTATAAGGTAATTATCATTATTTTTTACTATACTCTCTCTCACTGGCTATAAAACACCCAAACACAAGCACAGAAAAATGAAGCAAGAGGGACAAAATGATCTGGAAGACTTGACAGTTTGAATGCTATACTTCTGAGCACTGGTAGTTGAATGTCCCTTCTAAGTGACTGTAGATGCCTCTATCCTCCAGGTAGGTTAACACAATGTAGTAAAAAGAGACATGATCTTGAAATCAGAAAACTTGGTTGAAGACATGTCTCCCCCTCCCCTTATCTAGTTTAAATTGCACAAATATTTAATGAGAACTCATTATGTGCTATATATTAGGATAAAGGGCTTGAAATAGAATGAATGATGCATAAAATTCAGAAACTTCCCTCTCAATAAGCTTACAATCTAGTAAGAAAAAGGAAATGCAAACAATAATAAAAATAATGTAAAAGACTAATACAAGCTTATGCACATGAACATATAGAGAGTGCATAGTAGAGAGGAATTAAAAATATGTTAAGGGTGAGGGTTATAAAAATGATCCTTTCATCTTTTGTCTTTCTCCCAAAGCAGAAACTGGCATTAGGACTGAAATATATGTAGTGTGTTAGATAATTCCAGGAGGCAGAAGTGATGAGGTAGAAAAATGAGTCAAGAAAAGTCGAGAGAGTCAATACACTTGTTTGTTATTAATGCTGTGCTCTGGGCAATGGAAACTTCATTCCATAAAGGCCCCCTCGATATCTACCAGAACTTTCCTTCTAAAGCACAGGAAGCTGTAGAGTTACCCACTAGTTCCTAAGCCCTGTTAGTTAAGGGTTGTCCAGTGTTAATTTTTCTTTTTTCTTAGTCTGTGCACACTCAGAACAAGAAGCAGCCTTGTATGACACCGTAAAATGTCCTGACTCAGAAAATAGAAAGATGTTTGAGTGGGAACACTGCTATCTGGAGGAAAACCTCAACTCACAAGGAATTGTCTACCACAACCATGTTTAAAATCGTGAATGAGCTTGGAGGGGATAATGCAGAACACCAAAAGGTCTACTACAGAATTCCAAAAATAGATAATGTCTAGGATATGAGATTAAGGATAAATGTGGGTTTCCTAGGTGAGCAATGTTGTGAGAAAGACAGAGGAGCATTTTTGGAAGCATGGGTATGTGAATGGCCATGGCATATTTTAAAAAAACTTCTAGTAAGTCGAAAGATACACAAGCCCAGAGACAAGAAAAGGGTCTGGATATATTGAGAGGTAGGACAAAATAATGAAAAATCACGCTAAAAAATGGCTTTATTTTTGAGGAGTGAAGGCACAAGATCATTCTTGGTGCAATGCATGGGATGGACTGAATGGAAACAGTTTTGGATGAAGAGAGACTACTAAGAAGTTACTAAATTAACCCATGTAATACAGGAGTAAGTGGGAGTAAACCAAGGTTAAGTAAGTGGAGATTGAGAAGAGAAAATATATGTAAGAAAAACTTGCAGAGAATGTTGTCAGGGGCTAATAAAGTATTTTACAAAAAAATATGATCACATAGAAAGATGATTCAGGCGAAACATGGGTTCCTTTGGATCTTCATAATGGAGATATTCACGAAGGACATGGATAGATGTTTGTGAAACCTAGAGAAGAGGTTTTGACTGAAGCCCTGGCTCTGTTTTAATTGCTGGCTTTCATTTAGTAATCAAAATCATGGGCATGCATGATATCATATACTATTTTACCTCTCTGAGTCTCTTTCTTGAAAGATGTGGAGCTCATTCTATTCAATTTCTGAGATTGTTATCCAGCTCCAGAACTGAATGATTTTATGAATGACTACAAATGACTACAAAATGTCATTTTCTTTTCTTTGAATTGTTTAACTTCTCACTAGGAAAGTCATTTATGCAGACTACTGTTACTCTGATTATATGTGTGTGTATATAGTGGTAGAATAAATGCATAAAATGTTACTTACTTTGAAATAGATAAATCTACTCCATAATAAGTCATATTTTTTCTTTTAAAAGTAATCTATCAATTGAATTAGCATTGAATTATTTCTAGTTCTACTGGGTATTAGTTATTTTGCAAGGCATAAAAATACAAAATATATGAGACTTGGAAGCTGTTAAAAAGCAGACATCATGAATTTTATACTAACTTCTCAAAGTAAGCATTATGTCAGTAGTTTAAGCCTAGTGTTGTTGGGTCAGTATTGCTGAAACAGAATAGAATAGAACTGCCTCACATAAATGGAGGGAGGCTTTACAGAGATGTCAAAGGAGCTGGACCTTCATGTACAAAAAAACAGAAAGAGTGACACTTATTCAAAGTAGAGGAACAACATGAACAAAAAATGTAGAGAAATAAAAAATGTGGTTTAAATTTTTAATGGCAAGTTTTCATCCACAAAAAATTAGGAAAAGTATACCACCTTGGGTTCATTTGTAAATCATAGCTGGAAATATACATGAAGAAAAGATTGTTAAGAGCCTTATGCACTCTTGCTTTGATTGTGGCTTTAATCATCATTGAGAAAGCTACACTAATCCCCAAATTAAAGATGGGAATATGCTCAAAGTCCCTCTGATTAATATTTCTCCCATTGTTCTCATAGCTCAATTAAATATACAGTCTTTTGTTTTTCTGCATTTCATAGAAGACTTGACACTGTGCAGCCCTAAATATATCTGGTAGCATAAGAAGTAGGCCTGGGAAATTGCACTCCTACAAGATAATGAAAACATATCTGATGTTGTTATTATCCAGGATAATAACAGGAATGATCAGAGATAGTAAGAAAAAATATTTTGTAGCAAGTTATAAAATTCAGTAGAACCTATGGACCCCACATCAAGATTACTTTACTTTAAATATTCAACTGTATGTGTTTTATATTCCTAATATATGGAAAATAATGATTTTTTTAAAGTCACTTTAACTTGATATAAATAATAGTTTTATTTGTCAAATTTTCCACTGCAAAGCATACAATTGTGAATTCTTTTCCCAGGCTCAACTCTGACATGACTATTTCTAACTCATATTCTCCATAGACACTCTATATGGTGAAGCAATTGCATCCATCCTCGCACAGCATCAACAATTTTGGACACCACCATTTGGACACCTTGGAACTCTGTGTTATCAAATTGTACTAGAGACATACATATAAAAGAAGGTGGCTAATTAGAAAGAAAAGAGCCCTCAGATAACCTCCACCCAAAGTAGCTAATCTGTTTATATCTTAAGCTAATAGCATATAGTCAACTGAGGAAATACAGGCATAAAACCTCCTCAGGGAGAGGACAAATATCCAAAAACTCCTATAAAGAGTTATACCATTTGCTAATGACTTATGCTTAACAGAAGTAAGCAATGAGATAGTATGGAGGGAAGCACGTTAATGTGTGAGTTTTAAAGTAGAAATAATTCTTAGCATGAATAAAAATTCTGTACTATATGTGCAAATAATTTTATACTATACATGCAAAATAATTTTAGTAACAATTATTAATCAATACTTTGGGACTTTGGAATGATAAGAATGTAGAGAAAGAGTAAACTAAATTTGGATAAAGACCACCTTTGCTGAATTTGTTGAACTAAAGATGTTGTTTTACAGATTGGAATTGTAAACAGTTCTTTAAACAAAAGGGTATTGGATCATCGGACTTCATGAAGAAAGTCTGGAGTCCCTCACTCCTTCCCTGGTCTCTGGCAATGGAATCATAGAACTGATTCTGGCATCACTGCCTGCTTTGTGCTAGTCTTAGCCAAACATGAAGAATGATAAGCTCACCAGAAGCTAGGAACATCTGAAATGCTGAGTCAGAGATCGACAAACCCTCCAATGCTGGCACATGAGTGACTTTTATTTTAAACCATTTTCCCTAATACATTGTGTGATAAAGGGCCTGGTGCCCTCCGGATGCATCATCTAGGATCCATCTCTATTTTGGTCTGTCTTCCATTAGTGCTTTGGTTAGACCTTGTTCTTATAATGTGTTTGGTGCTCTAATTATATATCTATGTATTTGTCTCCTGCACTAGACTGTGCTCTCCTTGAGGGCAGGGGCCAAGTCCTCTTCCTGCTTGTATCATCCCACAGGACATTGATGATATAAAGAATGTCTGCTAAATTTTATTGAATTGCATAATGGAAGTTCATTAGAAGCTTTCCCAGTGATCTCAAGAACGTGTGTTTGATAAGGCCCTGAGGAACACTGGGGGTTTATACCAATCTGGAGGCTCTCAAGCTCATTAGAGACCCAAGCAGGAATCTTTGTAGTAACCAGGATAACTTATCATAATTATTTAATTTATTATGTAATTTATAATTTATTATAATCTAATGAATTACCTAATGTTCAATACACTGGGACTCTTTCAAGTCGTACTCTAAAAAATAATGTTGGCTAAAAGCAGTTTTCCTGAACATGGAGGCTGATCTTTCCGGATTCAGGATCACTTGTTTGGGTAGTGGTGGGGGTGGGGGTGGGGGACATCTCCCATATTATTTAATTACCAAAAGCGTTTGGAATAATATATGACTTTGAAGTCCTATCTGAGCTTTACCAATAAACCCAATAATTTCTTCATCTTCATCTCATCTGAAATTATATAAAAAAGGACACATATTGAATTCATGAAATTCAAAGCATAGAAGTAAAATTAAAAGTTATAGTAAAAAGGCCCCAAAATAAATAAAAGGAACAATGAGGTGGTGACTTTTGATTGGGAATTCAGGGAAAGTATCACTAAGAAGGCATTGAAGCTAAAATCTGAATGAAAGGAACAAGTCAGATGTGAAAATGTCATAAGAAAGAACATTTATAAGTAGTGGGAACAGAGTCTACAAAAGTCTTGATGTAAGAACCATCTTGGTAAGGTGTAGAGACAAAAAAAAAATCTATGTGACTGGTGTGGGCAGGGAAATTGGAGGCACAAGAAGAGTTGAGAAAAGTAGATGAGGCCATGCCACAGAACAAAATCACATTAGATTCTACAAACCAAATTGTCCTCTTTTTCCTTTATAGAATACCTCAGGCTTCCAAATGCCACAGCCCTTGAAAACTGGGTTCTGGCATTAGTAACACCTTACCAGATTGAAGTGTGGCCATTAAGTAAGACCTATTTTGGAGTAGTGTGAGGAATTAACTAGAATGGGGATTTAGGCAAGAGGATAATGGAGACAATTGAGCCAATCTCCCTCTAGAGCAGCCTACAGAGGCTTTCTGAGCCCAGAATTTGCTATCAGTTGAGGAAGCAACAGAAGCTGTCCTGAGAAGTTTGTAGGCCCTGGCAGAGTCACTGCTGATCAATTGGCCATCTGCTTGCCCAATCAATTCTGACCTGACACAGCATGAATAGACTGCACAAGATGTGATTTCTTCCCTGCAGATACTGCTATTCTGTTGGATGGGAAATAAATCTTACAGATATTATGATCTGAAGACACAAACTCCAACCCCATGAATTCTACATTCAATGTGAACAGTCTTTTAGAATAAACACATGGCTCTCTGTTCCTTCTTGACAAACTCAGAATCAGGAAAATTGAAAGCTTACCTACACCCTCAGAAAATTACATTCTGGTTTAGTTAATGTTCTCCTCGTGGCTGCAGTGGCTACTTAAGAAAAGATAATGACAGTGTTAGGATCTTTAATTACTATTTAATCAGTATCTCTATAGCTCCTGCTGGAAAGAATGGGGGAAGAAATTGTTAAATTAGAAACTGAACGAAATACCACTATATCAACCCTAGAGAAACATCTCACCTGTTTGTGAGTAATATTCAGAGACTTGAGTGGGTTTTTCATTGGCATCTGTGAGTCTGCTATGTTGGCCACTTAGAGAGCAGACAGAATAGAGCCACTATGGCCTAGGCAAGTAGCAGATCTCATCAGTTTGGTGGAACCTGGTTCAAAGCATCAAAGATAAGCCCAAATCTGTAATTGCTATCCTGCACTTAACCCCCATCTTTCTAAACAGAAGAACAAGTTTTTCATAAAGTAGGAAAACATCCTAATGGTATGGCAGCTCTAAATTCAGCCTAACAGTGGCATTAACAGAGAGCTGGCCAGGAATCAGATCATGGTTTGGGGATGAGAAAGGATTCCTCTCCTTATGCTGCTGTAACTGGCCAATAAAGGTGTTAGAACTAGGACTATTAGGAGCATTGTACACTGCTAAATTTAAAGCTAGCTTCATCATCACATATTATTAAACATTGTGTTCTTGTTCACTATCAAATCCTCATTGTCTAACAGTGTCTAGCACATAAGTAGACACTTGGCAATTAGCTGTTGAATTAATTGTGCCCATCTAGTCATCTTTTACGTATTGAGAACAGTTATATCCTGCTAAAGTTTTTTTCATAATTCCTGGTTTGTGATTAAACAAGAGAAAGCCTTGGTAGCAAATCTACCTCCAGCGAACCGCATGGTCTCCTTGCTATATCAGTACAGTGCGAATATAAATAGGACACTCGCAGTTTCCTCATAGTTTGGGCACTCTGGAATAAAAAGGAAAAAGACCAAGAGTAGCCAAGGAACCATCTCAGATATGTAGCTTAGTGATTAAGAGTGGAAGTTAGATATTTTCTGGAAAATTAAAGTGTAGCACTAGCAGTCAAATCTAAGACAAGCCAAGAACTCATGAATTCAGCCTGTTGGTGAAGATGTTTAGCTGTTTAAGGCCGCTTTGTTCATCCTAAAATTTAGAGTTAGAGTAAAGAATAATTTTTGGGTAAAGACAAACAGTCAAATTCACAGCATTACATCATGATAAGGATGAGCAAATAAGAAACAAATATAATTTACATGTTTACAGTAAGCAGGAATCAAATATAGGCCACATTTTCATAGGAAGCATTTTTTGAAGGCCATTTTGGTACAGAGCTCTAGACTCCTCTTTGTCAAAGTGTGGTCCTTAGATGAGCAGCAGAAGCATGATCTGGGAGTTTGTTAGAAATGCAGAATCTTAGACCCTACCTTAGACAAAATCAGAATCTGCATCTGACTGAGATGCCCAGGTGCTTCATGTATCTATTAAAATTTCAGAAGCACTGCTCTGGGTTCCAATTTTCGCCATTAGCCGGGTGACTTTCAGAAAGTTGACTAATGTTCCCATGCCTCAATTCCTTCACCTAGAAACTAGGGATAATAAATTAACATTATATGCTGAAACTGAAGATAAAATGAGATAACACAAATATATTGCTCAGAACAAAGTCTACAATCTTGTAAGCACTCAATATATATCAGCTATTGTTATGATTTGGTAAGGAAAATCTTTTAATCCAAATTACTAGATCCAAGCAGATTTTTTTTTTTAATGTGAAAGTCAGGAAAGAGTTACAAAGAAAATGATGTCTGAATTATAGAAGAGAGTTTTCCTAGAAGCATTCAGCTGAGAGATTTCCTTTGTCTTTTTTAACTGTACATATAACAGAAGGGTCTATGTGTTTTCCTGCTGCAGCACTGTAATGTTTCTTGGGCCTGTGAGGATAGTTGGAGAATTTTCTAAAGCATGAGTTATCTTCTATTCTTGCTTTGTACAGCCTTGCTCTCTAGACATTAGGAAGCTACAACTTTGACATAATGTGGCCATGGTTGCTATATTGGAATGGCTGATGTAGGTGCTGTATGTATAGTTGAGGCTGTTTGTGCCCTGCCTACATCACCTTTACCAGGCTGTCACACCCACCTCCAAGCTGCTGTTACTCAAGTCTACCACTTTTCCTGGAAAATTGGCTCATCCAGCAGTTTATTTCCTACAACCATCCCAAGGAGTAGCCCATGGAAATTGAGTGAGTCAGCCAGGGGTAACATGGTGACGTTATTCTGTGATTTAATTCCATCCCCCCTTGTTCCCTTTGGATCAGGCAAACTGAGTTTTCAGAAAACCCTCCGACTGCCCTATCCTGCTTTTCTCACACCCTATTCACATGAAAGCACCCCCACAATAAAGCACATCAGCCAAAATTCGCATCTTAGATTCTCCTTTTAGGAAATACAATCTAAGACAATGTCAAAGAATAACAATTCAGAAGAAGCAAAGACAGGACCAATGTAATGAAGAAGTGTAAATTATTGACCTCTTTCAGAGAAACCTCTTGACCAGATATCTCAGCATAACTTGATAAAGACTGTTTGTTATTCAACCTTGATATATGTTCTAATATTTCCTCTAAGTCTATGTGCCTTCCTGTTAGAAAACTGAAAATGTTTCACTTGATATTTAAGTTAAAATCAATGTATTTGTTTTCTTTACAATTCCTGTATTGAACTTACATGGAGATTTCTGGCTGGCCAGCTTTAAATATTCTGATATTCTGATGAGCTATGTCTAGTGACATGGATTTTAAGCTATGATGCCTTTTCAGAGGGGTTCTGTATCAAAACAAGCATTCCTTATTAAACAACTAAAAACAGAACTATCACTCGATCCAGCAATCCCACTATTGGGTATTTATCCAAAGGGAAAGAAATAATTATGTCAAAAAGATACCTGCACTCATGTATTTATCACAGCACTATTCCCAATAGCAAAGATATGGAACCAATCTAAGTGCCCATCAATGGAGGACTAAATAAACTATGGTGTGTGTGTGTGTGTGTGTGTGTGTGTGTGTGTATGATAAATATCACATATATGATATATCATCATATGTCATCAGTATGATATATCAATAGCGCTCATCCATAAAAACGAATATTGTCTTTTGCAGCAACATGGATGGAACTCGGAACTGGAGGCCATTATCCTAAGTGAAATAACTCAGAAACAGAAATTCAAATACTGCATGCTCTTACTTATAAGTAGGAGCAAAACAAAAGATGCACATGGACATACAGAGTGGAATGATAGGCATTGGAGACTCTAAAAGGTGCAAGGCTTAGAGGGGGAATGAGGGTTAAAAAATTGCCTACTGGGTACAATGTTCACTACTTGGGTGATGGATACAATAAAGGCCCTGACTTCATCAATATACAATACATGCACGTAAGAACTTTGCATTTGTACCACCTAAATATATAAAAAATATTTAAAAATGAAAAAAGACATTGCCCAAAGAGTTATTTCTTCTTGTTGAGTTATAACAATATTTTATTATTTGAATTATTTGAAAAAGTATGAATAATTGGCAGTTTTCAAAAATAATATCTAATTACCTTTTGACTATGAGTACTTTGAGAAGAGAAACTTTATTTCCTTAATTCCTATATACAAATACCAAGATTAATTCACAGTATATTGAAATTACTAAAAAAAATGGAAGACAAAGTAGAACTCAAGAAACTTAATATATTTTCTAATATAAAGTTCAAGTCAAAAACTCTGTTTAGCAAATTTCTGTTTGTTGATGATATGTTTTTGTGAGCTTTCATAATGATGCTTATCTAGTGACCACTAGGAGAATTTCACAGAGATTGCTCAAAGGAAGCCTTGCTATTCTTCAATGAAAGAATTTAGATAGAACATCTACAAAAATAAGTTCTGCAATTGGCAAAACTTATACAAACCTGGTTAACTTATCCAAACCTGAGCTAGTATAATACAAATAATTTGAATAATGTCATTAAAATTCCTCACACAAGACTTCGTAAAGGAAGAATATATTTGAAGAGTCATGTTCCCATATCATACTGGATTGACTTGAGAAATTACTCAGAAAAGGTCAAAGCCACATTGTAGATTTCCCAGCAATAGGAACAGATGCACAGGAGCTAGGCGATGTGATTTCAAATGAATTCTTTCTGGTTGCCCACTGGAGCTGATAGCTCAGTGACTAATGTTGTTGAGTGAAATATGAACAACTTTGAAAGAACTTGGCATATGATTCTTAATCTTCACCCAGGAACTTGTGGTTTCTTACATTTTGAGGGAAAAGAAGCTTGTGGCTTTGACAACTATTTTTGTCTTTTTACTTTCTTATTTTGTGGGGTGGGGAGAGAGATCTGGGGGGAAGATAAATTGTATGAAAAAAATCAAAAGAGAAAGAAAAATGTAATAATGCTTAGCACTAATTTCTTTTGACAAATTTAGGATTCAAAATCCCCTGTGGGCACTTTTACTCTTTTAACTTGGAGAGTCTGTATGAATTCTGCTTCATAGAGGGATTTATAGCTAGTAAGACCTTACATTCTTAAATGTTCTACCAGAGCACGATTAAGGTATGGGATTAATTGTGCTAAAAAAAAAAAAAAAAAAAAAAAAAAAAAGGCATTTTTTTTCTAAATGGGCTCGATGATCTATTTGTGCCTATTGTGTTATTGTGGAATTTTTTTGCAAAGTTATGATGGCAAAAAAAAAAAATCTGTGTGGCGAAAGTAAAAATTTTGTGTTCACTTTTGCGTGCCAGATTTTCTCTGTTCCAAGAAGTTCAATAGCATCTTTAAACAATTCTTTCTAGATAAATACTGAAGTGAATATGCAAAATGACTTCAGGAATTTTAGATGCAACAGAAACCTTCAGATCTTCAGCTCTCTGAGCTTATTCAGTGTCACTTCCGTCTGTTCATCTCTTAAGGTCAGGAATTGCTCTTATTTGTGTAAAAAAAATCATTTGCTGTACTCCAAGGCCAAAATGTATCATTTGAGTTACCTGATAGCTCCTTCAGATAGTTCAATAAATGCTAAACCAGCAAGGAACAGCAAGGTGAATGGAAGCAGTAGTGTTCTAAGAACTGACTGTGATTTCTTTTGAACAAAGAAATGTGTGATGACAGAAAACCAACAGTTATTGAGTGAGCTCTGCCAAGCATTCTACTTATCTTGTTAACTTGATAATTCCAAATTTTCTGTTAGTTAGGCACTATTTGCCATTTATAGGTATAAAAATCATCAGAATCAAAATGGAGTCACTTGTGTTAAAAACAAAACTAAACTAAACTGCAATACAGCCAGGGAAGGCCATGAAGAGAAGGTTCTTACGCATAAATGTCTAATAACAAAAACTGTCACAGAAGACAAAACCACAACCTTGCACAATGGTCTTTGCAATCTTATGCAAAAAAATACTTTTGCAAGGACATCTGTCCAGCAACTGCCTGTTCAACCTTGAATTAGTGTCACTCTGTTTATTGATCTCTATAGCCAAGAATAATTATCTCAAAGAGATCATGTAATTCTCTTCATTTTTTTTCCTTTAACACTCTTTGTCTTCCTTACCTCCCTGAATATTCACATAGTCTACTATAGCATATATATTCAATACCATTGCAATGCCTAATCCCAAATAAATATCATTTTCTCTTAGAGAGCCTGCCTCTGTTATTTAGTTTGACACAGGTTATGGTGCTACGAAATAGTGAAGGCATTGTCTCCACATTAAAAATGAAATAAAATTTGCCCAACCAAAAACACATTTTCTACTCTTCACTATCAATTTGAAACAGAATATATAATAGTTAAAAGTGGAATATTCCCCTACATACAGGTTGCTACCACAAAGTAGACGATGAAGCATTGATTTTGGTAGGTTATCGTGGGCCTTGCTTCAGAAAAAGCTGTGAGTCAAATGATGTTTATCTTCATGTATTTGGATTTTGCCACTTTCCTACTTTCTAGTTATCATTTCCTTTCTTTCCCCTTCAAGGAAAGGATTGTTCATCATTGTTTACTGCTGAGGGCTTTACCACTTTAAGCTTTTCTCATATGTGCCAACCAATTATTTTGGTTTAAGCACTTGGAGATTTTTAGGCATCCTGGGGAGATACTTGAGGAGGGTAATTGCCTTTGTAATGATACAAAATAACATCCTGAGGCCAGGTGTGGGGTGCTGCAAGCAAACCGTAGCAGAGTGGCAGCAGACACAGAGAAGGCAGCAAGGAAGAAGGCTGTTCAAACCTCACCCTCTCACTGCAGTGGTTTCATTGATCTTTTCTTCCCTCAATCTTTCATCAGTGTCAATGCTACCACCTTTCAACTGTTTGGACTGAAACTCTCATGGTGTGCTTGATTTTTCTAGAAAGCAGTCAATCTATTTTCAATATATACCCCAAATCTGATCACTTTTCTGCCGCCTCTACCTTATCATCTAGCCCAAGCTTCTCTTTCTCCCCTGGAGGCTATAAGAGCCTCCTAACTGACCTCTTGATCTCCATTTTTCCTTTCTATCATCAGTTTTCCACATCATCAGAGTGGTATTTTTAGAACTTTAACCAATCATCTAACACTATTGGTTGAGGCCTTCAAATGGCTTTCTTCAATGTCCTTAGAATACAATCCTTTCTCATTTTCCTAAATATCCCAACATAAGCAGGATCCTAGCTACCTTTCTTGTCATGATCTAATCATCCCAATCTAGCCTCTGACTTCTTCCTTGTCCTTGAACATACCAGCATATTATTTTCTCGGAGCCTATTTACTTGCTACTCCCTCTACCTGGGATGTTGTTCTTCTTAATTTTAGCATCACACACTTACTTTATTAGGTGGTTGTTCAAACATCATCTGTTCAGAAAAATAATCTTGCTCATATTCAATTGTAGATAGTTTATTGCCATAAGTCCTTCTCTAATTCTGTTTTATAAGACCTCCATTTTATATTTCTTCATAATACTTATATTTACCTCAAATATATCAATGCCTTTACTTATTTTTCCTTGTCTGTTTTCCCCAGTGAATATATCCAAAATACATCCCAAAATGGATTTTGTGTTAGTTACAGAGTTTCTAGTATATTGTACACATGCGTGCACACACACACATATTTGTGTATACACACTTATATATACCCCATATATACACACACATACATATACACATACATATATTTGAATTAATACAAGACTTTTATACAGCATTCAGAGAAAACAATTCTTATTTATTAAACATTTTTTAAAACTAAAGAAATGATTAGTCAACTTAAGTGAATTCCATCTAACAATTCTTCATAAATTAGATTGCTTTTGTCTTTAAATTTCTACATTCTCACTTCAGCTAATCTAAACTACTTGGGGAACACTTTTAAAGTTTGTCCTCCTTTATCTTAAATGATGCCCTCAAGACTGTAAAAAGAACCTGTGGTTTCAGCAGCACCTTCCTTTGTCTGTTAGGAGACTTCATGCCCCAGAATATGTAGCTCACTCAATGCTTTATTTCTTTAGGCTTCTTAAACATCTTCATTTCTATTAGTTTTAATTTTAATAGTACATAAATAAAAATAGAAACTTGACATCATGTAATCAAACTTCTTCAGCAAGTAACTGCTGATATCACTTCTGAGCTTATGGAAAGAGGAGACTAACTTTGGTTATCTAGTGGCCTTGGCTTCATCAGTGCTAAAATAGTTTTCTACTTCAGTTGAAAGACATCTAAGAGAAAGATAGCAATTAACATATTTTGAGCTTTAATTTATGCTAGGCACGGTAATAAGTTCTTTGTACATATTAACTAAAACCTGAAACCATCTACCTTCCTATCTCCTTCCCCATACACAGCTTATTGTCTGTATTAGTGTGGCTTTACTATTTCAGGATACTCTTCCCCAAGAAAAAAACTTGATTGTTAATTACAGAAACTCCCACAATGACCCACCTACTTTCAATGAGAAGCATCATCAGGGGGTTTATTTTTCAAAATCCTACACTTTCTTATTCCACTCATTCTAAACAGTCTTATCATGACCCTTACCCCATCTTTATCAAATGCCTGCCTTAAACCAAACTCAAAATTATCCATAAATCTGACCTTGTCTTCCCTGTGATGAGACACTACCAAAGTTCTGTAGAGATAGTCTCCTTCCTTCCATGTTGCAGGATCAATAAACTAAGTTTTTTTTAATTAAATTTTTAAAAATTCTTCATTTTTTATTTTCTTTGAGACAAAGTCTTGCTCTGTCGCCCAGGCTGGAGTGCTGTGGCACGATCTTGGCTCACTGCAACCTCTGCCTCCCGGGTTCAAGCAATTTTCCCGCCTCAGCCTCCCAAGTAGCTGGGATAACAGGCATGTGCCACCATGCCAGGCTGATTCTTTTGTATTTTTACTAGAGACAGAGTTTCACCATTTTGACCAGTCTGGTCTCGAACTCCCCACCTCGGGTGATCCACCCACTTCAGCCTCCCAAAGTGCTGGGATTACAGGCATGAGCCACCGCACCCTGCCTAAACTCAGTTTTGTCTTATCAACTAGTTTTGTTGATGTTATTTGAGGAACTGGTATTGGACAAACTCATTACATTCTCATAAAAACCCAAGATAGGCATTATTGAAATTATTCAATTTCAAGCTGAAAATATTATCCTAAGTGAACTAATGCATGAACAGAAAACTAAATGTTCTTACTTATAAGTGGAATCTAAACATTGAGTACACATGAATATAAAGATGGGAACAATATACTGGGAACCACTAGACGGGGGCAGGAGGGAGCAGGGAGTGGGCTGAAGAACCATCTGTTGAGTATTATGTACACTGCTTCGGTGGTGGGATCATTGGGACCCCAAGCCTCAGCATCATGCAATGTACCCATGTAGCAAACCTGCGTGTGTGCCCCTTAATCTACAATAAATGTTAAAATAATGTAAAAAGAAAAGAAATTTGCCTGAGGACATGGCACTAGTAAGTGACGTAGCCACAATTTAAACCCAGGTAATCTGGCCCTAGAATGTACCCTCCTAACCACTGTTAGGTTCCCCGTCACCGTGCAACACAGCAAATCTGGAAGCAGCTAATTCCGCTCAGCTAAAGCCAGCCAGTATTTTAGTATTTTAGAATCTTTGTTTCAAATTTCATTCTAATTCTTAAAATCTATTTTCCACTGCGTTGACCACAGAACTAGCAGAAAGACATTAAGTCTAAATCCTGACAGTTAACTGTTGTGTCCAAATATTAATGCCATATGCTTTTCTTTGGCTGGAGAGGTCTGAAGATGTTTAACATCAGAGATGAAGGACTTTACCCACTCTCAGGCCTCCTCTGACGGCCCCTCCATTTGCTGGATCAACATTTCTATTTGTATCCACCTGCATCAATATCTTCATCACCAACATCCATTATCTCATTTTCCCTTAAAAATCTATGTGACTAGCATGAGGGCAGGGGTGTCCAGTAAAATCAGTTTTTTTGGCCATTTGGCTTAGTGTCCTGGATAACCTCAAGCGTGGCATCTTTGTGGCCCATACTGAAGAAGATTCAGGGGATTGTCAAGGATTTGGGTTGCAGGGGAGGGGTCTGTGCCCTTAACTTGCTATGAGCAAACACACATAGAAAACTTTAGGAAGAAGGCTATATCTATTATTTAGGAACACAGCAGCAAATTATGAGCTACGCAGAATCATGGTGCGTCTGCAGTGTTGATATGCTACATGGTATACATGACATTTAGCAACTTGGTTTTTAACTATAAAAAATATAAAGCCTGTTTTTATGTATGTGGATATTGATGAAGCTTTTTCTTTGAAGTCAAGGTATGATGTGTCATATAGCATGAGTTATTAGGATCTGTTCTGGCATAGTTGTATGAGTGTATTTCATTAGTGTTTTTTCTGTGGGTACTTATATAATTAAGAAATGTATATCGCCCGGGTGTGTTGGCTCATGCCTGTAATCCCAGCACTTTGGGAGGCCTAGGCGGGCAGATCACGAGTCAGGAGATCGAGGCCATCCTCACCAACATGGTGAAACCCCGTTTCTACTAAAAATACAAAAAAATTAGCCGGGCGTGGTGGCAGGTGCCTGTAGTCCCAGCTACTCGGGAGGCTGAGGCAGGAGAATCGCTTGAACCCGGGAGGTGCAGGTTGCAGTGAGCCAAGATCGTGCCACTGGACTCCAGCCTGGTGACAGAGTGAGACTCCATATTAAAAAAAGAAAAGAAAAAATAAAACAGAAATGTATATTGTAAGATTTAGGAAGAGATACTGGAAGTTTATTCCGTGAACTTGGAAGAATACTGGTCTTGAGAGGACAATTTCTGATTTAGGGCTAATAACTTTCTACTGGAGAGAAAACGCTGATCTAAGGAATGGATCTGATTCTTAATGTGATTTAATCTGAAATTTAGAATGATTATCTTTAATTCTTTTTTTCTGTTCTCATAATGGAATGTTTATCTTCATATTATTTTCTAGGTAGAATTCTTATTCTCAGTTCTTAATTTCTGAAGCTGAGTACCGAAGCATTCTATAGGTTTTGAAATTGTCCCTATATAAATAAAAAAGTAAACACATTTACTTATTTAAGCTTCAAAAATTTATCAAATAACATTGTTTTCTGTTGTAAATGTGAAATTGTTATTAACTGTGTACAATTCATTGTGAATATATTGATGAATGTTATTTAAACACAAACTAACTACTGGTCATTTGCCCTATAGAAATTGCTGCCCAAGATTACAAACAGGCATATAAAAGGAGATTCTTCCTAGAAGCATTAGATGTAAGATACATGGGACAATGAAGAGAATGGATAAGTTAGACAAGGTTGGTGCACAGTATGGAATGCTCCACAGCAGTGGGAAGCAATATTCTAAAAGCATATGAAGCAACATAAATAAATTCTTAAGAACATACTGAGGAGACAAGAGCCAAATAAAAAAAACAAATCTGTAGGATTGATGGACCAGCTCTTCTTTGTATATCTGGTAGAATTCAGCTGTGAATCTCTCTGGTCCTGGGCTTTCTTTGGTTGGTAGGTGGTTAATTACTGCCTCAATTTCAGAATTCATTATCGGTCTGTTCAGGGATTCAATTTCTTCCTGATCCAGTCTTGGGAGGGTGTATGTGTCCAGAAATTTATCTATTTCTTCTAGATTTTCTAGCTTATGTGCATAGAGGTGTTTATAACATTCTCTGATGGATAGTTGTATCTTTGTGGGGTCAGTGGTAATGTCCCCCTTATCATTTCTGATGTGTTTATTTAAATCTTCTATCTTTTTTTCTTTATTAGTCTAGCTAGTGGTCTATGTATTTTATTAATGTTTTTTAAAAAGCCAGCTTCTGAATTTGTTGATCTTTTGAATGAATTTTTGTGTCTCTATCTCCTTCAGCTCAGCTCTGATTTTGGTTATTTCTTGTCTTCTGCTAGTTTTGGGATTTGTTTGCTCTTGGTTCTCTAGTTCTTTTAGCTTTGATGTTAGGTTGTTAACTTGAGATCTTTTAACTTTTTGATGTGGGCATTCAGTGCTATAAATTTCCCTCTTAACACTGCATTAGCCGTATCCCAGAGATTCTCATATGTTGTAGATTTGTTCTCATTAGTTTCAAAGAACTTCTTGATTTATGCCTTTGTGGAAAAGTTTAAGCATAGATTTACAAATGCTACCACAGATTTTTCAAAGATAAATATACAAGAAAAAAATCAGATTTATTGTTTTGGGTACTATAGAGAAAAGGTGAAAAGGAGAATAGGGATCACAGATTAAAAGGCTAGAAAATTAAATTAAATAACTAAGTTAAATAGGGCTTGCCTGCCTTAGTGATAATGATGTTCCAGGAACAAAAGTATATAATTATTTCAATTATCTAGACCTAAGATCCTAAAACATTAAAATAAAATAATATAAAAGTAAAATTTAAAAAAAAGTTCAAGTCAAATAAAAACTCAAGTAAATAGAAAAAAACTAAACACAGTATATATCTTAGGACAAACACTTCTCTGTAGAGTGATACGGTGTGGGTTGGGAAAGTCATTTCAGATTATTCACTTATAAGTTTTATAGGCAATGATGTAAGTTCACCACTTACATTGTAAGTACTTTCATGGCCCACAGTGCAGTCTTTTAGGAGATAATATCGGCTCTGCCTCCAGAATATATTCTGATTACTTTTTTTTGTCACTATCTTTGCCACTATTTTCATCATCTGTTTTTGGTCCTTTTACCTATAATTGTTTTGATCCTTGCCCCTTTGAAGTCTCTTCTCTACAAGATAGATGGAGAGATTATTGTCAGATAATGTCATTCCTCTGCTCAAAAATTCTCCAATGCTTCACATCTCTCCAGAATAAAATTCCAACTCTTTAATGTGGCCATAAGCTCTTATGTCATCCTGCTTCTGGCTAACTTTTTGACCTTATCTTCTACCAAGTTACAGCTACTTATCTTGCTCCATATACAGTGAATTCCTTGTTCTTCCTGAAACCTGCAAACATGCCCCTGACTCAGTGCCTTTGTGCTTGTTATTCCCTCTGCTGTCAAACTCTTCCATTAGTTGGCTCACTCCCTCTCTTATTTGTGATGTCTTTGCAAATGGAGAGGTCTTTCCTGTCTATCCAATGCAAAATGGCATCCTCCTTTATTATTCATTCTTTTCTTACTTTTTTCCTTTATTTTTAACAGTTGAAGGTACTTCACATATTATGTCAAGTATTGGAGCTGAATGAAAGATTATTGCTGTTTCTCTAGAACCTATAACAATGTTGGGTTCAAGTTTGTGGTCATAATCATAGGATGTGTGAATCACTTTGACATTTCGACTTCAATAAAGCACAAGGAATAACAATTGGACAAGATAAAGCAATAATAATGATAATTCAACAATTTATAGTATTTTGAAATTTTAATCATAACCTCATTTGATATAAACAGCTTTTACGCACTAAGTTGTGCTCCCTCCCCCAAGTTCATATGTTGAATCCTTAACCTCCAACATGATGGTATTTGGAGATGAGACTTTGGGAGATAACTAGGTTTCGATAAAGTCGTGAGGGTAGAGACATAATGATGAGATTAGTACCTCATAAGAGGACAAAAACACCAGTGCTCTCTCTACCCTGTGAGGACACAGCAAGAAGCAGCCATCTGCAATCCTGGAAGAAAGCACTCACCAGGGAGTCAAATTAGCTGGCACCTTAATCTTGGACTTTCCAGCCTCCAGAACTGTGCGAAAATTAGTTCCTGTTGTTTAAGCCACCCAGTATAGGGTATTTCATTGTAGCAGCTTGAGCTTTGAGCTGACTAATACAACATCCATGCCTCTTTTTTTTTTCTTTCCAGTAAAGGGAAATGAGTGTCAGCAAACTTCCCTTGCCTAAAATTCCATAACTAGGAAAAGCCAAGTTTGTTCCCAGGACTGGAGCTGTTGGACTCCTTGTCTTTGACCCTTTGCATTGACTGGCTATTCTCCAATATATTTTCAAGGATTTCTCATCTCCAGTGCAGTTCATTATTTAGTTCCAGGCTAAGATTCTCTGAAAGGTTCATCTGTGAAAGTGGAAAATGTGTGAAATTCCAGGCATGTGGTCTCACTTCCAATAAAAGATTCAGGTTAAATAAATACAAGAATACATAATTATTTACACCTTCTTGATCACTTTTAATTTGATGGATTTAAAAAGCTGAGAAAGGTTGATCAGGAAAAAAATACTAAGTTTAGCAGTATTTTATTCAAACAGCTACAAATTAGTCATAAAACATGAGGCTTGATGTAATGCTATAACCTCATGCAGAAAATAAAATAAGACAGTTTTATCAATAGGAATGAATCAAGCACTTTCTTTAGGAGCTGTTCCATAGGGGAATTATCTCTTCATAAAAAATATTTTCATAAACAAAAACATAGTGAGATAATTATGTCCCCCAACTCCATAGAATAAGCTACTCCCAGGCTTGTTCTGCAAGGAGCAGGGAATTCTTTCATTGCAATGTGTCACACAGTTTATGCAGCCACAAATAGATTGCATTGTTCTCCCTTTGGAATGCAAGGAGAATCAGGCTGATGGAAGGAACATTTCAGTGTGACCTCATCTATGAAAGCATTGCTAAACTACTGGGACTAATTTTCTTTAGCTTCTGTCAGAATGCCAGGTATATAGTAATGAGGTTCCATGATACATAGCAAATAAAAGACTGAAGCTAATTTTTTCCTGCAGATTTTAAGGAAGGCTTAAAGTAGTACATAAAAGCAAGCACATTTACAGTGAAAAAAAGGTCTGACATGGGTTTCAAAAAATGAAAACAAGTTAGGCATCCAATTCTTTTTACTTAAGTCTCCAAATAGCTGCATTCTTTGTTACCAACTCTGCTTATCTATTTAGTTAAATAATCGTATTAAGTATTTATCAAGTTGCATTTTCACTTTCAGCTGTGTGATTCAAGAGCATGTCTCTTTTGAAATCATAACCCCAGACTCTTTAATTAATTGGCCACCACTTTTTTTTTCAAAGGTTTTATTTAGGTGGATACAGTAAGAGATTGTATCAAATCAATATTAAATTTGAAACAATATGATGTGTGAATAACATAACCGTAATTTTCAGTTGCACAAACTTTATTTCTGAATTCTTATGTCTGATTTTAAAAGCTTGTTTTTATTTTGTTTTTGATAATCAGCCACCTCCCATACCTCACAGCATGTCTGAATCCAAGAAGCTACAAAAGGAGCTAGCTGGGATCTAGCAAATTGTCTCTACACCCCAAAGTAGTGAAATCTTCCAAAATACTTTTACCAGTAAAAGCCTGAATTTCTATACCTATTGGGCTAGAGGATCTCACAGGATCCTCCTGCCTCCTACCTCTGAATTGTTACAGCTGGCCTATGCTCAAAAAGTCTCATTTGCCGTGAGTTGGTATCTTCCACTCTTTATAATATTTACATAAATTCTGCACCTGTTCCTCTCCCTTCTTTTCTTTAGGAGTCAGTTCTCTTAAAATTCCCAAATACAGATTTCTGGTTCCTGTCATCTGCCACCATCCACCAAATGCTGGGGGTGAACTAGGGTAACCTTTCTACTGTTATAGTTAGAAATAGGGACACTAGATTCAGATTGTCATGTGCAAATCATGGATCCCTTACTTGCTTGTTTAACTTCTCCATGCCTCAGTTTTCTCATCTCTAAAATCATGATAATAAATGTTTCAATTTACAGTGTTATGACAACTAAATAGAATGATAATGACAAAGAACATAGGAAAATACCTGCCATAGAGTAATTGCTTGATAAAATAATAATGCTTTTAATCTATTCCCAAATGCCTTTGATTTGGGAAATTGTTTATCCTGAAATGTATGAATCCTTGATACTATGTCCCCTCAAAAGTAAAATATCTATTGCATCATTTGTTAAACAAATATCAAAAGAAAGAAAAACATTATCAAAAATCTCATAACTCATAAAATGATTTCACGTATCTTGTACTTCCATATTTGCTTGTGTTTTTTGTTTCTAGGTTGTCAAAAGTTTGCGTCAATTTACCACTCACTATCAAAATTTGAGACATTTGAGCATTTTTCAATACAGTTCAAACTTTGTTTCTGTTCGGTCCATGGAACTTTACTTCTAACATCATTTCAAGGGTATATTCCTTGTTCTTTCCACTAGGTCATAAACTCATCTAAAATAAATGCTACGTTCTTCAACTTTTCTAATATCTCTCTCCAGTGAGTTAGGTATCAATTATTCTTATGAGCTTTTCAAATTGGATTGTGGGAAAAGTTCAGTGAAGTAGAACTGACTACTGCCAACATTACATTTAATGAGGATATATAGCTGCATACTTGAAATCTGTAAACGACTTCTTTCTGAGAATCCTGTTATGCAGCCTTGTAGAGTTCTTCCTTCTTGGGTGAGCCATCCTAAGGCAATATATATGTTTCATAACAAGTAATTCTGTCTACAGAGATAACACATTGTTAAAGAAATAAAGACCCATTTCACTACCAAACAAATATGAGAGTTGCATTTTTTTTTCATTGGTGATGAATCTAGAATACCATCCTGGCTTAAATATTGGAGCAACCATTTTTTGGCACATAAAAGGTGTATAAGTCGAAGAAACTTGTCAAAAGAGACTGTTTCCAAAAAGCAACATTTATTAAGTATCAATAATTTTCTAGATGTAATATTAAACATTGAATAAGAATAATGAATAAGACAGATCTCTGCCTTCATGAATATTTCAGAAGGGATGATGAGGCAAACATGATTGAGCATGAGAATCATTTATTGTTTGTGTAATGCAGTTAACCAATATTTATCCTTGGCTTACTATGTACAAGGCATTGGCTTGGAATTTTGGATGCAAAAGTAATTAAGATTCAGTCTCTTTTTATCAAGGAGTTAGAGATCTAATAGAGGAGAAAGCCATAACAGGCAAAGACAACTGCCATCCTGATAATACTACTCTCTAGTAATCTCCAAAACCTCAGCATGTGCTAGACATTCTGTTATGTCTTTACAGTAGGATTCTCATCTGTTGTGTGAGTCTGTCTTCTTGCTGCCTTGTGTGTACAGTTGGACTCTGAACCCCAGGGGTACACAGCTACTGAAGATGTAACTTACTGGATTCAAAGGCCAAGAAGGGAGATACAGAAGCCTTCTAGTTTTTAATAACTTGAATTTTGGACTTATGCCCATATCATAAAAGTATCAAGATTCTGTGATTCTCCAAAGAATTCCTTTATAAAGTTGGATCACATAGAGTGCATAAATTAACCTTTCTTACCCATTCTCTCAGCTCTCTCCCTTCAAAGAGGAGATATCTTGATGGAGAATCCATGCTGGTTGAAAAGAGATGACATAAAATCCATGTGTTATCATATACTATTTTTGTACCAGGTGACCCTCAAATGATTATAATTCAGTTAATTAGAAATCACTTCTTACCTAAACTCTATCAGAAAGTTAACATTCAAAGAATATGAGGAACTTATAGTTTATACTTAGGGGTGTAGAGTAGTAAAAAGACAATGCTCCCACCTTTAAAACAATGGAAATGCTGGATAAACTACAAGTTTATAACTTTTCTTATAACTATCAGATAGCTGAGGTTACAGGGCAGTCAAGATCTAGGGAAAGACTGGTGCTTACCAGAGACCCAAACAATGTCTTATGTAAGGTCAGTGTAAGCAGATAGTGGTGAGAAGAATTTTGCTAAAGTGGTTGGTTAATTATTACAAGCAAAGTTTGCAGAAGCCAGGGGGACATCTGGTGACCACAACATTTGGGGAGTCTGCACCGTTTTGTAGGCTCTTTCTTCATGAATCCCAGCTGATGTTTAGAGAAAAGACTGGATAGAGTCTTAATAAATCACCTTTTGTAGTACATATCTGGGGGATGGGAACCTCCACTTAACCCTCAACTGAAATTGGTTTTCCTTATTTCTCTTATAAAAAGAATACCTTAATCTAAGTACTATAATCTTTGTCATGCTTATAAAAACTCATTGTAGTTAGGGCAGGAAAAAGATAAACCTATCTCCGGTGGAGAGTCAGAAATGAGAACTGAACTCAGAAGGACAGCCAGAGGAGAAGGAGAAATACAGAAATGGACCACACCTCCATGCCCAAAGGACACTATATCTGTCCAAGAACAAAAAGAAAGGGGTCTCTATTCTCTTAAACAGAAAAAGAGAAAACACTTTCCCATCATTACCTTTCAACTCTCACATAGCAAGCATGCAGTAACAAATAACATCAGAATACAGATGGGACAGAGAGAGGAAGGTGAAGGCTAAGAGCTTGGGAAAAGATGCTCTCTGAGGAACAGCACAGAGAAGACCTGTAGCTGAGATTGGAGCTGACATTTGTCAAACCAGCCCCAACATTAAACATGAGTTATTACTAAAGGGAGTTGAATCTGGTGGTTAACAGTTTGCAAACGTAAAAGCAGCCTACCAAAAACTAGCTCAATTCCTAACCAGATTTACTTGAAATCTCATACTAAAAAGTATGCCTATTTTCAGAGCTGATAACCCTTTCTCTCAGTCTCTACTATTCTACATAAGATTTTATTTCTGCTATTCAACGATATTTATGAGGCATACAAAAAGACAAGAAAAGAACAACAGTCTCAGGTGTGAATTAGATTTAGATTCAAACACAGGCTGGAACTATTCATGAGGGAATTTAAAATTATGATGATCCATATGTTAAATGCTTTAATATAAATGTTGGCAAACTGGGATATCTGTACAAACTGAACCAACTGTGATATATCCACACAATGGTATACTATCCATCACTAAAAAGGAATAAAATATTCATTCATATAACAACATGGATGAATCCTAGATGCTTTTTGCTAAATGAAAGAAGACAGACCCAAAATGTTACATATTATATCATTCTATTTATATAACATTCTGGAAAATGAAACAAAACCATAAGGATGAGAAACAGGTCAGTGTTGCCAGTTGTTTCTAATTGTTGGATTGACTAGGAAGGAAGTACTTAAGGAAATTCTGCAGGATATGGAACTTTATTTTTATAGGACAGTTATGGTGCTTTTGTTGAAACTCATAAACATTTACATCACAAATATTGAATTTTAATATATGTACATTAAAAAATCAACCTATATGTGAGGGGGAAACTAAGATGGACTGTGACAAATAAATCTTGACATATACAGAACTATTGCATGACCATACCAAAAAACCATACAGAAACTATTGCATAACCATAACCATGAAGAAGAAAGATGGTCTAATTAACTTTAGAAAACAGTGTTTTGACTGGATGCTGTAAAGCTTAAGAGAAAAAAAGAACTGCATGTCAACACTGAGCACTACACGGTGAATTTCTTTTCACGGGTGTGTGAGTTAGCAATTCTGAGCTATACTAGAATTGAGTGAGCATAGGAGCAAATATACTGTAGATAATGAGACCTAGGCTTCTCATTGTCAGAAAAAAGAAGTTATAAGAAAGGGGAACGGCTAGAATGGATCTTCTGGCACTACATAAGAATCAGATGTATGAGTATAAACTAATATTTTCTTAAAAACATATAAAAGCACATAGATTTATAAATAAATATAGCTCTTTGTGTATACTTAGTATGCATATGTGTGTGTGTGTGTGTGTGTATATATATATATATATATATATATATATATATATATATATATATATATATATTTCTGTGTCCAATGAGTGAGTTTGGAAGCAGTGACACCCCATTATTGAAGAGTATACTTAGTAACTGGATCTTGGATTATACATATCATTCTTTAACAACGGAGCAAGAGATTATTTCAGAAGTAATTGATTCTAGGATTGGGGTGGGAAAAAGCCAAGATGAGTTTAGAGCATCTTTAGATGCCAGGAAACAATTATGAAGGAAAAAAAGAAAGAAGACAAGGAGGAGAGAGGTTGGGAGGGAGGCAGAGAGAGAGGAAGGAAGGAGGAAGGAAGGAAAGAGGGAAGGAAGGAAGGAGGGAAGGAAAGAAGGAAGGAGGGAGGGAGGAAAGGAAGAAAGGAAGGAAAGAAGGAGGGAGGGAAGGAAAAAGGGAAGGAAGAAGGAAGGAAGGAAGTAGGAAGGGAGGGAAGGAGGAAATGGGGTATGTCAAACAAAACCAAGCACAAGAGTAAGCCTGAAAGAGTTTCCAATGGCCAAACTTGAAGTCATTTGAGGGGAACATATATGATAGAATGAGATTATAGCCAAAGGAAAAAAATCCATCAGCTTATACTTTTGTAAATGAATACATAAATAAGAAGGAACAGCTCATCCTGAGGTATAATTTCAAGTATTAAATGTAGACAAAATGTGAAAAAAGAAAATCAACATTAACCATTAGAACACTATAATGATAACTACTAATTGCTTCAGTCAAGATCCACCAATGAATACTAAAATTAAATACATAAAAGTGTAAGAAAAAAGAGGATATTTGTAGTCTCAAAATATCTCATCCCAATATTTATTTATTACAATGGGAAAAATTGGAGCTCAGTCATGAATTATGTCAGATTTTACCTTAACCAAGTAATCAAGGTTAACATTACCAGGAGTGAGACATACCAACACAACGTAGCCACTGATACAATGCACTCAGAAAAGCCTATCATGTCTGTGGTATTCATCATAATAATGCATACCCTCAATCTAATCATGACAACACTAAACTGAGGGTAATTCAGTAAAATAACTTATCTGTTCTCTGTAAAAGT
This sequence comes from Homo sapiens, assembly GCF_000001405.40. Taxonomy (NCBI): domain Eukaryota; kingdom Metazoa; phylum Chordata; class Mammalia; order Primates; family Hominidae; genus Homo; species Homo sapiens. Next base: position 34,941,866 of record NC_000003.12, on the reverse strand, counting down.
GTCAGTCATAAAAGACAAGACTGAGAAATGGTCACAGTTTGGAGAACGCTAAGAAGACATAACAAGTAAACACAGTGCAACTTCTAAGAAAGATTATTGTTAATAATATTCCAATGTTTTTTCAGTTTGCATAACTATACTATGGCTATGCAAGATACGAACATGATAGGAAAGTGGGTGAAGGGTACACAAAAGCGCTATATTATTTTTGGAACTTTTCTGTAAGTATAAATTTATCTCAAAATAACAAGTTTAAAGAAAAAGAATGTTAGACCAAACCCAGCTCATGTGGGAGTTTACCCTTTTAACTTTACTCAAAAGTAAGTGCTGGACTTAATATCAGAGTTTTCTGACTTTTCATTTCACATCCATTATCTCATGTAATCCCGAAAATAATTATATGAGGTAAGCACTATCGTAAATCCTATTATATAGACATAAAACTGAAGTCATGAAATAATAAATTAACTGCCCATAGTTCACAACTAATAAGAAACAGAGTGGTAGAATTAACCCAATAGTCCGACTCGAGAGCCTTACAACTATACCACTCTCACAGTCATTGTAATAATTAGGTATGAGCTGTCACTAATGGGATCTCTTCATTACTAAGCATTTTGATTAGCCAGAGACACCCTGGTTATTTGGAGGTAACTGGGGATATGAGGCTTATACAGAGATTCATAAATTAGCCATTATATAGTCCAATAACTCCATAGTTCTCACAGGAATCATAATGTTAAGAAGAGACTAAGTTTGGTTTAATGTGCCTTTGCTGTCTACCCAAAACAAGACAAAACTTTTGAAACATATAATTAGCTTCATTGAGGCTAAGAGGCTATCCCAATTTTGCAATATATACTAACACTATCCCTTGCCTCATTTAAAAATAAAATTAAGATTATATATATATATATATATACAAGATTTTTTGTAGTATTTATTTTTAAGGCTTCTATTTTTTTATTTGTTTCTGAATATATATTAGTTGACACAATTATGGATTCAAATAAAAAGACTTTGGTTCTAGTTAAATATAGAAGTAAAAACATGTATGTTAAGAACGTATATATTTGCAAGTCAGTTCTCTATGAAATTGTAATAATATTTGTGCTACCTTTCACAAAGAAGTATCAAACAACCTTTCAAAATGTATATGAGGCTCCAAGTATACATCAACTTGTAAGTTTTATTCAAATGGAAAACCACAAAAAAGCTGATGTGATTCACCTACAGGGCAAATTGAAAATGGCATTTTTAAGTTATGCCTTAATAATGGCTTGTATCTCCAAATGAAATTTGAATTGTGATTTAACACAAAATCAATGCTTAAAAATATTCGTTGATTAAATCAATCAATCAATAAATGGCTTTTGCCACGTTAACCCATCATTATTTAGAAATGTCCCTGAAGGTAAGAGTCAATGCATGAGGTTAACATGCAAAAAAGAGCAAACTTTTCTTGGAACTGAAGATTTTGATCCAAACAAATTCATGAAGTTTTTGCTCGTTTATAGATCAATGCTAATCCATGAATTAAGTTGATACATTAATGTGGGTCTGTGAATCAAATTGATATTCTCGGCCAGGACTTCTTAATCTGTTCAATCTTGTAGCCAAGCCCTCCCTTTTGCCTCCTGATTGGCTACTGCTGAACAGATTGGCAGTAATTTACTGGAAAATGAAATAAATCTATTGATTTATTGAACGATGTATTGAACTTTGTTTTCTCAGGCCAGACGCCTTTTAGAATCTCCACATTTTTTCACATGGCGGAATAGTGAGAGCACTTTTATTTCCTTACGTGAGATATACCTAGCATTCCTTCCCATAGCTATCAGTGTACTTTTGCGATAGCATGTTAAAAGTTGAGAGGGGAAGGAATTACTTTGATTAAATTTATTAAAGTCCCACTCATTGGAAGGCCTTTGTTATGCAGAATTCCGTTAAATCCTGTGACAAAATCTTGGATAGTGATAATAAATTCCATTTTAAAATTCATTTTAAGAGAGGTAAACAAGATTCTTAGAGTTAAATAACTTTATACCAAGTCCAAAGATGCTAACTCAGAATTGAAAATCTTGCTCTTTCTCTCTCTCTCTCTTTTTTTTTTTTTTGAGTTAGTGGTGTTTGAACATTAAAAATATATATATATGATGTTCATAGGGAAGGTACACAAAATAACTGTTCAGCAGAATGGATTATCCACAATGTGAATACCCTTTGTAACCACAACCTAGGTGATAAAAGGGAATATAGCCAGTACTCCAGACGATGCCTCCTACCTGTGTCATCTCCACATCATCATTTCCCTTCTCTTTTCCCCAAAGTAGTTTTATATATTGACTTCAAACATAATTTCTTTGTGCCTGCCGATATAAATTGTACTACAAGAATACACATATGCACGCATATAACCTCATGTATGAAATACAGCCGTCCATTGGTATTTGTGAGAAATCGGTTTCAGGAACCCCTGCAGATACGAAAATCTACAGATGCTCAAGTATCTTATGTAAAATTGCATTGTATTTGCATATAAGCTATATACAATCTTCCATATACTTTATCTCTAGATTACTTATAATGTGTAATGCAATGTAAATACTATGTAAATAGTTGTTATGCTGTATTTTTTAATAAATAATGACAAGAAAAACAAGTATGTACATGTTCAGTACAGATGCAACCATTCTTATTTTTTTAATATTTTTGATCTGCAGTTGTTTAATCCACAGATGTGAAAACCTTGGATAGGAAAGGCCAACTGTATATTTGTGTGTGAGTTAATTTATTATAGCCTATGAAATTTGTCCATATTTTTACATGTATTTGTAGTTCATTCATTTTCATTGTTCTGTAATATTCCAATGCATAGATATACCACAATTTATTTATCTATTACACCACTAATAGGAATTTGGGTAGTTTCTAAGTTTTAGCTGTTAAAATCATACTGCTGTGCTCAATTTTGTAAATGCCTCTTTCTGAATATAAAAGTGTATGATTTTTAATTACACCATGATTGCTTAGGTTTTGGACAATCACGGATTTTTTAAATAAATGTATATAGTTGTTGTTTTATCACCTTCCCCACACTCAATTTGTAATACAGATGATGCTGTTAGTTTTTGGTCTCTGAGCAAAAACACAAGCTGAATAGGGGAAAGTAGGTCCTTAGCTTCTTTTAACTTTTCATTATTCCATGAAAAGCATTCAGGAAGAATTTTTTCTCCTTGTAAGTAAGCTCATCTTTAGATGAGCTAGAATTACACAGTCTAGAATTCCACAAAAACTGTTTTGGAAAAATTATATGCTATTTAAATATAAATTATTATCATCTAACAAGTCAAATTTAAAAGGATTTGCTTTCAACTTGATCTTGCTTCTCTTCAAATGTGTTGCTCAGTTGGGTCATATTTGATGTAGACGTGAATAAACTGACAATTAAAAGCCTGTGTCTTTATCAAGAAAATTATAAATATAAGGTAAAAGTTTTTTAATACTAATTTATTATTGACAATTATTGGGACCCTCTCTCTTAATATTACTGTAAAGAGCTGGAATAAGAAGAAAAAACACTTTTACTGATAAGAAAACCTCAGCTTCTATCCCTGAATTGTACTTAACACAAAATGACTCTACATCCTACAGAGGGAATCAGAGTGAATAACATGCTTCTGTAAGAGCTAATTGAGCAAATTACCAGTGAATTGTATACAATCAAATATTATTGATTTCTAATTAGCCAAGTGGCAACATCAGTCTCTTCAACTGTATCTGGAAAAAAACTAGAAAATATAATTGTTTCCTCATTGAAAGTATACAATACAAGAAAGACACTACAGACAACGACTGTTTTCAAGGCTTGTATAAAATCCTGGGTGATCAAATAATTTATGTGTGGCTCAGTTTCTGAGTTGAGGTTAGTGGTACAATGACAATTTCTGAGGAAAAGCAATTCCATAGTTTTAGAATGTCTTATACTGGAATTCTCAAAATAGTATTTTATAATATACTCCAAGAAAAAAAAATTTGAGGACAAATACATTTGTTAAATTTTGTCTATAGAATCCCTTGCAAATCTACACATCTTCTTTAACATAATAAACAGTATTGGAAGTACTGAAGCAAAGAAGCCAGGTTCACATCTGTGCTTGGCTGATACGTGAAGACATTAATTTGTGCCGGGTTCTGTTAGCTATAAGGTATTTCCATATAAAATGATGATATTCTTCCTCTTATTCCACCCCACTCTTTCCTTTCTCAAAGGTGAATTGGGGTTTTCTTTTACGTCGTTCAGATTCTTAATAATTCCAAGATTTAGTTTCATCTGTATTTGTCCTGGTCCACCCTGGAAGAAGAATTAATAAATGTTGGTTGGGAGATTGAAAATAGAGAAGTACCCAACTATATGAAAGAGCCTAACCTTATGGAGAAGCAGGTGTTGGTAATGACTACTTTAAGAACTACTGACAGTAATAGGGAGAACTACTGAAAGCAGATGTCTCTGCCTATTTATCTAGAAGAGCAGTAGTAACAAGAAAAATTAAAGTCTAGCTCTTGACAGAGGGGTGGGAAGCTAGAGGATCAGTGACCATGTCAAGGTAAAGTCCAGAAACTTTGTTGGGTCATAGAAGCATATGGGGTTCTGGTAAATCCACAGTAACAAGAATGACAGCTTTAAAAATGACTGAAATTAGATTCCCTGCCAGTTTTAGCAGGTGAAAGCCAAGGCAAACTTAATTTGATCTGGGATGGATAAGACTCAAGGTAGATGTGATATCAATGAACTTCCCTGTACATATCTCAGGTATTCTTTCATCTGAGAAGATATTTCTTGTTTTGCCACATTTCCTTTGTTGCTTTATTGCATTTTCTTCCCCATTCTGAGGCTCCTCTAATTTTTTTTAATTTATGTCATAGGTATTTGGTATAAATGTTTGCTTATGCATGTGTCTTTGAAAACCATACCGTGCTGTTTTAAATATGAGTGTGTGTATTGTAATTTCATGTATATGTTTTTGCACTATAAATCTTGTTCATATTCATACTTTTTACTCAAAAATATGCTTTTAGAATTCATTCTTATTATTATGTATACCTATAATTTGCTTTTGACTATTGCAGAGAATTCCATAAATTCATCTATCATAATTTATATTTCCATTGCCCTAGGCAGATTCCACCTCCCTGCCCACCAATATACAAAGCAATGTATATTATTTTTAATATATATTACAAATAATGTAATGAGGAAAATCTTTATGCCTGTCCCTAAAGGGGACAAAATCAACATGTTTGATTTTGTGTGGAGTGAAATCTCAGGTGACAGGTCAAATAAGTACTTAATGTTACTAAGTACTTGCAACGTCACTAAGGGACTAACATCAGAAGTCAACCAAAAGTTCCTATTTCCCACTATCTTATAAATATTTGCAATAATTGAAGTTTAATATTTATAATCTGATGTTTAATTGTTTCATTACTATTCTTTTGATTAATATTGAAAGAGAGAAAGCCTTTACTTGCCATTTAGAGTTCCACCTCTCTAAATTGTCTAGTACCATCTGTGGATGGGGTTGTTGAGGTGAGGGGATTAAGGTGAGGATGTCAGTCTGTGTGTATTCCCCTTTTCTCGTCACAATTTTTAATATTTCCCTGAATATTCTATGTATTAATCAATTGTTCCTGTATGTTTTCTGTGTTGGATTTCTTTAAGAACTCATTCTCCACTCTAAGGTCCTACAGATAATTCCTAACATTTTTATTCTATTAACTCTGTCGTTTTAGCCCTGTGTTTTTATTGTGTGAGGTCGGAATGAGAGCATACTTTTATTAGTATATTTACTCAGTTTTCTTAATATCTCTATTAAATCTATTGTTTAGCCACAGTTTGTGCAGTGAACTCTCTCATATATCCATTTCACCGTATGCATATTTTAGGGGTTCTCTATTTTTTTCCATTGGTCTATTTTTTGTTACTATACTAATACCATCCATTTTAAGTATTTTGGCCTATAGAATGCCTTTAATGTTGAAATAATGAGTTCCCTCTTCATGTTTCATTACTCCTTGAATATTTGATAGAAAAAATTTTTGTCATATCTGTGACATATGGGGACTTTGTAAGTGTATGTGAGGAAAAGATTGTAATTTTTAATATTTAATTTTCTATTGAAATTATCTATTATCAGAACATTTTATATTTTTCATTTAGATTTTAAAACATTAGCATATAGGTATTGATAGTGATATTTTACTATTTTTCAAATACTTGCATTTTACCATTTTCATTCTCTCATCTTTTTTGTTTGCTCAGTCTCTTCAGAGATGTGTACATCTTATGATATTTTTAAAAAACCAGCATATAGCACTGACTTGTTTTCTTTAACATTCAAGAGTATTCTTTTTTGTCCCTTAAAAATGTTGCCATTAAAATCTATTTAGTTTCATATTAAAACTGCTCAGCCAAAATTTGTAGTTATATTTTTCTGACACAACTTTTTCTTATTTTAACTTTTCTGTACTATTATTTTAAATATATGTCTGTGGATCTGATTTTATTGGATCATTTTATATTTATCTTTTGATTAGTGAGTTAGTCCCATTTACATCTATAATAACTAATTAACTTGAATCTATTTTAGACATTTTATTTTGTTTTGGATTTGCTCATAATAACTTTTATGGGTCACTTTTTCTCCTGTTTTTCCTTCCATTGTCAGGGTTGAATTCATTCTTGTGATTTAGACCCATACTTCATACTTTTATACATACTTATATACATTTTATACATACTTATATACATTTATCAAGACTCTCAATACTTATTTCTTTTTCCAACATAGAATTCAAAGTTCAAAATAATTATTTCCAAATTTCCTCATATCATACCCACTAGGACATCTTACTTACACCCTGGCATAAATGTGTAAAGTTATTCCCAGACAGAACTGAAGATAAAACAGTGAGGAACACTGGCTACAACAGGCCCTGCCCCCTCTGCTGTCAGGCAGAAAATATGAATGTCTCAGGCAAATGCCAACCATTCAGGCATACCAATGGGCCACTCACTATTTTAACATGCTCTCACATCTACAGGAAATCTTTAAAGACCCTATGTTCTTTTTGCTTCATGAATCTCTATTCTTCCTAATATATCACTAAAAATGTATGCCCAGTAAAGGCTTATTTGTTGGCTGAATTTTCTCCTTGGGTATTTTATTCCCATCAGAACAACAGCTGTGTAGAAATAATAGCTAGACCATCAGCTTCTCCTATGGAAGTCATGAAAGTCAGACCTTTGGCATAGAGATTTGGGGAGACTTCAGAGAGCTACAATGTAAAACATGTTATTTGAGGCACATAGTATGAAACCAATTCATTTATCATGCAATCCACCTACTTGTATTCCTTTTAGCACCTTGAAAGACCATAAACATGAGAGTGTCTAATAAACAGTTATTGAAAAAGTAATTTCCCCTTGACTATTCATGTCAAACCCATCCTTTAGAAAAGATCAAATAAACTGAATCTCTTTCTAATGTCATATGTCAACTTTGAGACTCTGCCTTCACCACTTTCCCAAAGGGGCAAATTGTAGTATTTTAAAACTATCATTCCTTCACTATTAAAAAAGAAAACACTGCCATTGATGTGACAAATGAAAAATAATGATTAGTCAGCTCCTTCCTTCCTTTGGATGTTCTAGCTATTATAGTCAATGACCTTCACTGGATCACGCTTCACCAAAGTTGGTGTCTTTATTATAACTTAGGGGCTGGGCACAGTGGCTCATGCCTGTAATCCCAGCATTTTGGGAGGCCAAGTCAGGCGGATTACTTGAGGTCAGGAATTTGAGACCAGCCTGGCCAACATGTAGAAATACCATCTGTACTAACAATACAAAAAATTAGCCAAGTGTGGTGGTGCACATCTGTAGTCCCAGCTACTTGAGAGGCTGAGGCAGGAGAATCACTTGAACCCAGGAGGCAGAAGTTGCAGTGAGCTGAGATCACACCACTGCATTCCAGCTTGGGCAACAGAGTAAGACTCCATCTCAACAAAAATAAAAATAAATATATAACTTAGGTTATATTTTCCTTTCATTAAAAAAAATTCTACAAGACCTACTCCAGATGAAACCGGAGATAATATATATATTATCTCGTCTTCCTTTTCTGTCAAAGAAGATGCTTGGCAGAAAAATTACACTCAGTGTAGAATAACACAAATAAATAATTCCAGATGTCTATTCACAGATCATGGGTGGACTTATATGTAAGTGCTAAACTACGTGTATAAGCGTATCCATTCTCACAGAAAGACACATGCTGTTAATGCATATTGTTAAGTGAAAAAATAAGGTTTCAAAAAAAGGATAGAAAGTCTTAACACATTTTTATTGTGAGTATATAATTGTGAAAAGATTTAATCATACCAAAACAGAGTTGAACTAAGTGGAATGTATTAGTCTGTTCTCACACTGCTAATAAAGACATACCCAAGACTGGGTAATTTATAAAGAAAAAGAGGTTTAATGGACTCACAGTTCCACATGGCTGGGGAGGCCTCATAATCATGATGGAAGGTGAAGGGGGAGTAAAGGCACATATTACATGGTGGCAGGCAAGAGAGCTTGTGCAGGAGAACTCCCATCTATAAACCCATCAGATCTCCTGAGACTTACTCACTACCACAAGAACATTATGGAGGAAACATCCCCTTTGATTCAATTATCTCTACCTGGCCCCACCCTGGACGTGTGGGGATTATTATAATTCAAGGTGAGATTTGGGTGGGGAAACAGCCAAATCATGTTGTTTTGCTCCTGGCCCCTCCCAAATCTCATGTCCTCACATTTCAAAACCAATCATGCCTTTCCAACAGTCCCCCAAAGTCTTAACTCATTTCAGCATGAACTCAAAAGTCCACAGTCCAAAGTCTCACTAGAGACAAACCAGGTCCCTTCCACCTATAAGCCTGAATAATCAAAAGCAAGTTACTTACTTCCCAGATACAATGGAGGCACAGGCATTGGGTAAATACACCCATTCCAAATGGGAAAAATTGGCCAAAACAGAGGGGCTACAGGCCTCATACAAGTCTAAAATCCAATAGAAAGCCATTAAACCTTAAAGATCCAAAATGATCTCCTTTGACTCCATGTCTCACATGCAGGTCATGTTGATACAAGAGGTGGGGCCCCAAGCCTCAGAAAGCTCTGCCCTTGTGGCTTTGCAGGATACAGCTCCCCTCCTGGCTATTTTCATGGGCTAGTGTTAAGTGTCTGTGGCTTTTCCAGGCACACGTTGCAAGCCGTCAGTGAGTCTACCATTCTGGGATGTGCAGGATTGTGGCCTTCTTCTCAGAGCTCCACCAGGCAGTGCCCCAGTGGGGGCTGTGTGTGAAGAGTCCAACCCCACATTTCCCTTCTACACTGCCCTAGCAAAGGTTCTCCATGAAGGCCCTGCCCCTGCAGCAAACTTCTCCCTGGACATCCAGGCATTTCCATACATTCTCTGAAATCTAGTCAGGGGGTCCCAAACCTCAGTTCTTAACTTCTATGCACCCATAGGCCCAACACCATGTGAAAGCCACCAAGGTTTGGAACTTGCATCCTCTTAAGCAATGGCCTGAGCTGTACCTTGGCCCTTTTAAGCCACTGCTAGAGCTGAAACAGCTGGGATGCAGGGCACCATGTCCTGAGGCTGCATAGAGCAGAGGAGCCATGGGCCCAGCCGTGAAACTGTTTTTCCCTCCTACACCTCCAGACCTGTGATGGGAGGGGCTGCCATAAAGGTCTCTGACATGCCCTGGAGACATTTTCTCCATTGTCTTGATGATTAGCATTTGGTTCCTCATTACTTGTTCAAATTTCTGCAGCCCGCTTGAATTTCTCCTCAAAGAATGGATTTTTCTTTTCTACTGCATCATCAGGCTGCAAATTTTCCAATATTTTATGTTCTGTCACCTCTTGAATGCTTTGCCACTTAGAAGTTTCTTCCGCCAGGTACCCTAAATCATCTCTCTCAAGTTCCAAGTTCCACAGATCTCTAGGACAGGGGCAAAATGCCACCAGTCTCTTTGCATAGCAAGAGTGACTTTTACTCCAGTTCCCAACAAGTTCCTTATGTCCATCAGAGATCACGTCAGCCTGGATTTTATTGTCCATATCACTATCAGCATTTGAGGGCATTCAACAAGTCTCTAGGAAGTTCCAAACTTTCCCACATCTTCCTGCCTTCTGAGCCCTCCAAGTCTCTATGAAGTTTCAAACTTTCTCACATTTTCCTGTCTTGTTCTGAGCCCTCCAAACTGTCCCAATGTCTGCCTGTTACCCAGTTCCAAAGTTGCTTCCACATTTTCAGGTATCTTTGCAGCAGTGCCCCACTACCTGGTACTAACTTACGGTATTAGTCTGCTCTCATGCTGCTAATAAAGACATACGGAAGACTAGGTAATTTATAAAGAAAAAGAGGTTTAATGGACTCACAGTTCCACATAGTGGGGGAGGCCTCACAATCATGGCACTTCAAAGGTGAAGGAGGAGTAACAGCACATCTTACATGGCAGCAGGCAAGAGAGCTTGTGCAGGGGAACTCCCATTTATAAAACCATGAGATCTCCTGAGACTTATTCACTACCATGGGAACAGTGTGGGGGAAACAGCCAAGCCCCCATAATTCATTTGTCTCTACCTGGCCCTACCCTTGACGTGTGGGGATTATTACAATTCAAGGTAAGATTTGGGTGGGGACACAGCCAAACCATATAATGGGAACATGTATGATTTTAATTATCTTTTCTCTTTTAAGCAATTTCAAAATTTTTCTACACTATTAATATGTATCATAGTGTATTAGTTATCTATTGCTGTGTAACAACCATCCCCAAACTGAGTTACCTAAAACAGTAATTATATTGCTCACAATTCTATGTGTCAGCTGGGCAATTCTGGTTATCTAGGCAGGCTTGGATGATCGTGACTGGAACCACCAATTGTATGCTGTCTGCTGACAGATTGATTGAGCCTACCTGGTCTAAGACAGCTTCATGCACGTGCTGCATGGTTGGATGGGCACCAGGTACACCTGGTCAACACATCTCTCATTGTGCAGCAGGTGGCCCAGGCTTTTTTCACATGGCTGATGGAGAATTTTGAGAGAGAGTAAAGCCTAGTATCAAAATTGGTACAAAGTTATTTCCCCCACATTCTATTGGTCAAAGCAAATCACAGCCAGCCCAAACTCAAGAGATAGAGAGATACATTCTACCTCTTTATAAGAGGAACTTTAGTCACATTTCAAAGGATTATGCATATTGGGAATTATATAAATGTAGTCACTTTTGCAAATAATTGGCCACACTCACCTAAATTTATACAAATTGAAAATGATAAAAATAGTAAAACAAGCAGTGTTTCTTGCATCTCAGTCCCCTACTGACCTGCAGAAAATGGCTGCTGTGCCATGTTGCAGGTCCATAAATATTCTCTAATGGTGAGGTGAAGATGAGGGTGAACATTAATAGTACCCTTGCTTTGCTAGGATGTTCATCCTACTCTCATATACAGCAAATTCAGGCAATATTTATGTGTTTTTGACATGCAAATTTTAGATTAAATATAACAGATGTTTCCCTATCTGTTAAAGACATTACTATCAACTAAGACATTCAGGGGTTCAAAAGCCTAGATTCATTCCCTCCCTTGACCCATCATCCTGTTATTAATCCCATAGTTACTACATTTGTAATTACTCTAATACCCATATTCTCATTTTTCTCCTGACTGTCATTACTTTGGCAGAGACCTTTATCACCTCTCCTACTGACTTACTGAAAAAACCACTTGACTTGCCTTTTCAAGTCCAATGTAACCCATTCAATCTACCACATTTTTCTCTGCCTTATTTATTTTCCCATGGCACACTCTGATCATATTATTGTTCTACTTGAAACTTTTAATTGCTCCCTGGGTAGTACTGAATGCAGTTCAAATTCCTCAACATAGGTGTACAATTCTTTTAGAGCTTTGTTGAAAACCTGAGTGAATTATATAAATTTTATTAATCTTAGTTATCTCCTCTGTAAAGTACAGTTATAATATTACCTACCCACTTACGTTTCTCTAAAGGCTAAATAGGATAATATATATAAAATATAGTATCTGAGGATTATAACGTGCTCTTTATAAATGTCATGTATTATTTTTGTTTATACACTTTTTACTCCAGCCCCTAATGCATATTTTGAATATGTTTTTCTACATATGTCAATGATCATAGAGCCCTTCTCTCTGAAATGTCATCCTCCCACCTCTTTTTGTCAATCAAGGTGGTAGCTATTTTATTTCATGTTTTACAGTTAATGCAAGTGTGATTAATTCTCCCTGTGTTTGTGTAATATATACACCTTTCTTAGAACTCTTGTTACTGTGAATGGTATTTAATAAGTCTGTTAAACTGCTATGTAACTAAGGATAGATTAATCAGCTGGAATAAACTAACTGAAAGAAACCTACAATTAATTAGCCTTTTCCTTTAGCATGGACTCACTTGTATAGAGAAGTTTTACATGCCTGTGTAGCCCTAGCTTTTTTTTCTCACACATTAGATGACTCATCCTTCTGGAAAGCAATGATCCCCATCTCTGCTGGGTTCCTGAGTGTGTCCAAGGTCTTTTATTTTACAGTCTTTCTAACTATATAAACCTATTTACTCCTGTGAGCCTACCACACATTACCAGTGATTGATCAAGAATATATATCCTAGGTCATATGTTAGTTTTGTTTGTTTTTTGTTTTGTTTTGTTTTGTTTTTTTTTTTTTGAGACAGAGTCTAGCTCTGTCTCCCAGGCTGGAGTGCAGTGGTGCGATCTCAGCTCACTGTAACTCCCACCTCCGTGGTTCAAGCAATTCTCGCACCTCAGCATCTTGAGTAGCTGGGACTACAGACGAGCACCACCACACTAGGCTAATTTTTGTACTTTTAGTAGAGATAGGGTTTCACCATTTTAGCCATGCTGGTCTTGAACTCCTGGCCTCAAATGATCCGCCTGCCTCGGCCTCCCAAATTGCGGGATTATAGGCATAAGGCACCACAACCAGCCTATTTTTAATTTATTTAGGAAACTTCGTACAGGTTTCCATAAGGGCTACACAAACCTACATTCTTACAAACAGTGTACTAGGTTTCCCTTTTCTTCAAATCTTCATCAACATTTGTTGTCTCTTGTCTTTCTGATAATAGCCAACCTAAAAGCTGCGTGATGCTATCTCAGTAGCTTTAATTTGCATCTCCCTGATGATTACTGATGTTGAGCGTCTTTTTATATATCTATTGATCCGTTTTTATGTCTTCATTATAAACTTCAAATATACACAGTAAAATGTTTATTTTAAGTTTTATTTCAATAGTTTTCAGAGTTACAAGTGTTTTTTTGTTGCGTGAATGAATTTTATAGTGGTGAATTCTGAAATTTTAGTGCACCCATCACCTGAGTAGTGCATATTGTGCCTAATATGTAGTCTAGCCTTCCTCCCACCCTCCCACTTCTATGTCTCTAAATTCTATTATATCACTCTATGTGCCTTTGGGTACTCAAAGCTTAGCTCCTACTTGTGAGGGAGAACATACAGATTTTTGGTTTTCCACTCCTGAGTTACTTCACTTAGAATAATGACCTCCACCTCCATCCAAGTTGCTGCAAAAGACATTATTTCATTTCTTTTTGTGGCTGAGTAGTATTCCATGGTGTATTTATACACAATTGTATTTATCCACTTATTAGACAATGGGCACTTAGGTTGGTTTCACATCTTTAAAATTGTAAATTGTGCTACTATAAACACACACGTGCAGGTGTCTGTTTCGTATAATGACTTATTTTCCTTTAGGGAGATACCCAGTAATGGAGTTGCTGGATTGAATGGCAGATCTATTTTTAGTTCTTTAAGGATTCTCTATACTGTTTTTCATGGAGGTTGTACTAATTGACATTCCCACCACACCAGCAATGTATAAGCATCCCCTTTTCCCCACATCCATGCCAACACCTATTGTTTTTTGACTTTTTTAAAATGACCATTCTTGCAGGAGTAAGAGGAGGTTTTAATTTGCATTTCCCTGATTAGTGATGTTGAGCATTTTTTCATACGTTTCTTGATCATTTGTTTATCTTATTTTGATAAATGTCTCTTCATGTCCTTTCCCCACTCTTTGATGGGATGATTTGTTTTTTTTTCTTGCTGATTTCTTTAAGTTCCTCGTGGATTCTGGACACTATTCCTTTGTCAGGTGCATAGTCTGCAAAATTTTCTCCCATACTGTGGGTTTTCTGTTTACTATGATTATTATTTATTTTGCTGTGTAGAAGCTTTCTAGTATAATTAGGTCCCATTTGTTTATTTTTGTTTTTGTTACATTTGCTTTTGGGGTCTTACTCATGAATTCTTTGCCTAGGCTGATGTCTAGAAGAGTTTTTCCAATGTTGTGTTCCAGAATTTTTATGGTTTCAGGTATTAGATTTAAGTCTTTGATCCATCTTGAGTTGATTTTTGCATCAGGTAAAAGACATGCATCCAGTTTCATTCTTCTATATGTGGCTTGCCAGTTTTCCCAGCACCTTTATTAAATAGAGTGTCTATTCCCCAATTTATATTTTTGTATGCTTTGTCAAAGATCAGTTGGCGATATGTATTTGGTTTTATTTCTGGGTTCTCTATTCTGTCCCATGGTCTATATGCCTACTTTTATACTATTTTCTAAATAAAAGAAAATAATAAATGCCCTGAAGAACCAGAGAAAGCAACTGAAAAAATTACCCATCTGATGATGGGTTGATAGGTGCAGCAAACCACCATGGCAATGTATACCTGTGTAACAAACCTGCATGTTCTGCCCTTAAAGAATAATTTGAATCTATATGAAAAAATAAGGAGAACTGGAAAAGGTAAATATAAAAGACATAGAAATTTATTTTTTATTTGTTACTCTTTTTAAAAATCCTATCTGATTTTAACAACAACTGCAAAAGCAGTAACTATAAATCTGTGTTGATGGCCATATAACGTATAAAGATGTAATTTGTGTACAACAGTATCACAAAGGAGTAGAGTTGGCGTGGACCTATACAGATTTCATATACTATTAAGTTGGTGTTAATCCAAAATAGAGTATTTAAAATTAGATATAAATTGTAATCACCATGGAACTAATAATATAATAATGTAAAAATATAGTAAAAGAAACAAGAAAATACATAAATAAGTTGATTATTGATGATAAAATAAGAAATTACCCATCTGAGTTAGACAGATACCTTGTCTCAGTTGAAAAAAAAAATATTACCCAAACTATTTACAACTTTATTTCTCAAATCAAAACAATAGTGATTTGCATATTTCCATCTTCCCTAGAGAGGCTGGAATTTCCTTGAGGACAGGAAGTTGTATTTTTCTCAAATGAATTCTGCAGATAACCAACTACAGGCTTCATACAAAGCAGATGTTCAAGGAATGGTGAAGTGTACATATTTAAACAGCTCATCGTTTGCTCTTGGCCCTTCTATGTGACTAGGCTTCTCATGGAAGATTTTTCTACAGTTTTAACTGGGCAGCCCCCTCACAAACATCACCACAAGACAGTAAGTATGTCATGAATATGTGCGAAATTAAAAAGTTATTTAAAAATTAAATTAACCTATTAACCTGCTTCCATAAAACTCTTCAATGGCTTGCAAAATGCTTTTAGAACAACTACAAACAATATGGCTATGTCTGACATGGCTGACCCTATCTTTCATCATTCTCCATCTTCTCCATTTCAGATACATTATTCTCACTTCTATTCCTTGAGCATATCCAGCTGAATCATGTTTCTTTTATGTCTGCCCTCACTGGAGCTGTCTTCCCTCAGCTCTTCACATGGCTTTTTATTCTCATTATTTAGATCTTCTATAAAAAGGCTCTCATCCAGTATTCTCTTCCTAGAGAATCTATTATAATTGTATTTACTCAATGGATTACTTGCCAATTCTTCACTCCTCAACTCCCATATCCCTCTGAGACACTTCAGAAAGTTATCTTCATAATGACATGAACCATGTTTCCAGGAATCACCATAATGCTCAGCGCATAGTAGGTACTAAACAAATATTGTTTGAATGAATAAGTAGATGAATATATAAATGGCCTCTGAAGCCTAAATAAATTGATTTTCTTCTTTTGTCATAATAACTATGATGCATTTTTTGGTTGTTCAAAAGTGAAAATGAGGAAAAAAATACTAGCAACCTAAATATGGAAATGGAAAGACCATTTAAACAAGAAGCGTGGCCCTTTACATTGATGACACATTGAGCTATCTTTTATGCTCTGTTCAGATTGCAGCTGCTGACATAAACTGCAGGAGTTTTAAACCCCTCTCTATTCACTGCCACTCACAAAGAAAAATCCTCATAAACCATTTCTCTTACTATAAACCATTTCTTAGTATGTGGTCATTCACAAGGTAAGACATGGGTGAAGGCCAAAGGCAGCCCCTTAGGGTAACTAAGATTCACATTGCACATGTACCCGTATATTTACATCTTCATTCTTGTGTTTATATTTTGTTCATCCTTCAGATCAAACAACATGAGTCACAAAAATAAAGCATGGTTTCATTTGCAATTAGCATACGTAGATGTATTAATTTGCTGATGCTGCTATAATGACATACTACAGAATTGGCAGCTTAAAAAACAGGAATTTATTTCTCACATGTCTGAAGGCTAAAGAGCCAAGATCAAGATGTTGCTAGGTTTGGTTTCTTCTGAGGCCTCTGTCCTGGGCTTGCAGATAGCTGCTTCTCACTGTGTTCTCACATGGTCTTTCCTCTCTGCAAGCAGAGTATCTCCTTGTGTCATAATCTCCTCTTCTAAAAATTAATTAATTAACAGTTACTGTCCATATTTAAGGTGTACAATATGTTTTGATATACATATGCACAGTGAAATGATTACTCCACTCCAATAATAACATCCTTTTACTAGGACACCAGTTACATCAGATGAGGGCACATCCTAAGTTCTTCACTTTAATTACCTATTTAAGTCTTTGCTATTGTCAACAGTGCTGCAATAAACTTACGTGTGCACGTGTCTTTATAGTAGAATGTTTTATAATTTGTGGGGTATATATCCAGTAATGGAATTGCTGGGTCAAATGGTATTTCTGGTTCTGGATCCTTGAAGAATTGCCACACTTTCTTCCACAATGGTTGAACTAATTTACACTACTACCAGCAGTGCAAAAGTGTTCCTATTTCTCCACATCCTCTCCAGCATCTGTTGTTTCCTGACTTTTTAATGATCGCCATTCTAACTGGTGTGAGATGGTATCTCATTGTGGTTTTGATTTGCATTTCTCTAATGACCAGTGATGATGAGCTTTTTTTCATATGTTTGTTGGCCGCATAAATGTCTTCTTTTGAGAAGTGTCTGTTTATATCCTTCACCAACTTTTTGATGGGGTTGTTTGGTTTTTTTTCTTGTAAATTTGTTTAAGTTCTTACACCATGGAATATTATGAAACCATAAAAAAGGATGAATATTTTGCAGGGACATGGATGAAGCCAGAAACCACCATTCTCAGCAAATTAACACAGGAACAGAAAAACAAACACTGCACGTTCTCACTCATAAGTGGGAGTGGAAAAATGAGAACCGATGGACACAGGGAGGGGAACATCACACACCAGGGCATATCAGGGGTTGGGGGGCTAGGGGAGGGATAGCATTAGGAGAAATACCGAATGTAGATAATGGGTTGATGGGTGCAACAAACCACCATGGCACATGTATACCTATGTAACAAACCTGCACATTCTGCACATTTATCCCAGAACTTAAAGTATAATAAAAAATAATAATTGCCTATTTAAAGTTCCCATCTCCAAATAGAATCACATTATGAGGCACTGAGGATTAGGGCTTCAACACATAAATTTTGGGCAGACACAAGTCAGTCCATATTAGTGGGAAAAGCATGGAGAACAGTATTGTGTTGGTTTTATTACCTACTTGCTATTTTCTGATGATATCCTATCTTTTATATTGTCCTACACCCCATTCAGCTGATCGTATAGGAGAACTTTCACAAATTTCAAAGGGGTCTTCCCCTTTGAAGATCTCTACAGGATGGGGAGAAGATAGGAATGGGATGGTTGTACCTTGAACTTCAAACAGCCACTCCAGCACAATCATGGCTGAAGTACAATCTTCAACCACCTTCCTTCAACTGACACTCTCGTTAAGTCTTGTTAGAAAAGTGCTGACTTCTCTGGGTGAAACACTCCACATTCAGGCTGAAAAATGGTCATCCTACATGGTCTTGTGCAACAGACTTATTTGTGAGGCACCCTTGTGTGAATTCAATGAGGACTGTGAGGTTCCACTCCTAATAGATCAGCAGGGAGTGTTGGTTTGAAATCCCAGAGGTTCCTAGGGGTCTCAGGCTCTCTGCACCCCCTATATGACAAAGCTTTGGCAGGCCCTCAGACACCTTTGATGGCAGATGAGTGGAGCAGCCTCTGGGGACACTATCACCCAAAGAAGCGAGCTGCTAATGGCAGATTTTTCTGCAGTTTTAACCAGGCAACTCCCCTCATTGGCATCATCACAGAGACAATGTGTCATGGGTATCAGCAAGGATTTTGTTACTTTGTCAGGAAGTGTGGAAGATATTTTTTATTAAAATGTAGCATCATTATGGCTTATAGGCTGTGGTGTAATGTCACTTCAAGGTCAGGTATACTTTGTGAGAAGAAAATGGCTTTTAAATAACTATTCTCTTTATGTAAAATTATTTAAAACAAGAAAATTAAGTAGTCTTTGTTAAGTGAATATATGAAATGTGATTAAAGCTAAGATCATATTAGAGGACGCACTTTTACCTTTGGCCTTGCATGGAAATAAATCATTATTCTGAATGAGTATGAGCTTGTGCCATGAAAATGTGAAGTTCTGGAAAATATACTTTTGTTTCCTAAACTTCAAATTAATCAAGACAATTTTAGAACAATGCTTTTCAGACTAATGTGATGAAGGTAGTTTTTGTTCATATTATCATTGCTTTGTTTTGTTTTATCCCCAGTCCACCATGGACTGATATTTTAGTAAAATAAAATATAAATTAATAATTAGAAAAATTAAATAAAAATAAAGATAAATTAAATGCAAACCCCAGTCAGTTTTATTACTAGGTTAAATGAACATTAAATTACTTTGCCACCAAAATTTCCAACTGTTATTCTTAATTTCTGCATTTATCTCCTTGTGTACTGGTAATAAATAATTCACATCATTGAAAAAGTATGAAAATTATGATTTTAAGAATAGGTAACTTTATTCCAGCTGGCCTAACATCACTGTTTCAAGGGAACAGTTCGACAACCACTGTTAAGTATTGAATACATGACGCATACATACACAATTCCCAAAACAATACTCTTTAAAATGTACTTAGTTTTGTAATGGTTGGTTTTGGTTTAGTTTGGTTTTTGCATTTCATTGCAAATATATTTTAAGATACCATTTTTGTTTTATTTTTAAAATTCAGTTCTGTCAGCTGGGAACGGTGGCTCACACCTGTAATCCCAGCACTTTGGGAGGCCGAGGTGGGTAGATCATCTGAGGTCAGGAGTTCAAGACCAGCCTGGCCAACATGGTGAAACCCCCTTTCTACTAAAAATGGAAAAATCAGCCAGGCATGGTAGCATGCATCTGTAATCCTAGCTACTCAGGAGGCTGAGGCAGGAGAATTGCTTGAACCTGGGAGGCGGAGGCTGCAGTGACCCAAGATCACACCACTGCACTCCAGCTTGGGTGACAGAGGGAGACTCTGTCTCAAAATAAAATAAAATAAAATAAATCAGTTCTATCAATTTTTAGTGATTTTACAGATTTTACTTTTGCTTAAAAAAAAGTTTAGACACCTAAAAGGTCTTCATGTCTGTGGTTCTTAAAGTCAGGAATTAGCCTGGAAAGTTGTTTATATTATGTGAGAGAGAAGGAGTAATTTTTTCTGGCCTCAATAAACTGTTTAATATGAAAAAATAAATTAATGGAATCATGGATGGATGGAAGAATGTATGGTTGAATGGATAGTTGCGTACATGTTGTATCTAGATGTTCCAACTTCTCTGCAAAATAAGTTGCTCCTCATTCCTCAACCTGATGCAACCTTTAAATTTGAGAACCAGGAACAAAGAGAGAAAATTTTCCTAGCATGACCGAGAATTCTCTGTAGCCTATCTAGTTTTGATACCAAATGCTTATCACGCTCAAGGTTAGAAAGAGAATTACGAGGACTTCACAACTTATAATCATCACAACACGACAATACACATTTCCCTCAGCACACTGAGACATTACCTATTTTCTGCCATAACTAATAAAAAATTAACTGTGTTAAATTATCATCATTTTTAGTTTTGAAAAATGTCAGGCAGTTTTTATAAGCTAGATGTAACTGAAATAGATGAGTATGCACTATAGTACTGTGAATAATTTTCTGTGAGGAATATTTGCAGTATTGCATTTCCAGGATATAGACACTGAGCGAAGGTTATACAATGACAAAGAATAAGCATTGCATTGCTTGAGCAAATCATTCCAGTCCTTCTGATCACATTAAATCCTGTGCATACACATCAGCACACCAATACTGAAAAGCCACTGAAAAGTGGAACTTTTAAAACAGATGAATGGCATTAGTACAATTGAAGCCAACTTACTTTCTGGCTCTTGTTCAAATGACAAAAGAGCTTTCTGCCCATGTCTGTGCTTGGAAACTGATTCAGACAAGTAGCAGCAGCTCCAGGGCTTCAGATAATTTCTGTGTTTCAGTTCTTTTCATTCCATCCCTCTCAAGTAGTGCTTTGTCTCAGGGGTTGTTGTTTAAATTCAAGCTCCATCATTGTGACTGCTGTACTAGGAGAAAAGTCAGAAGAGTGGAAAATTTTGAAGAAGTATCTCTGGCAAGAATCTAGAAAGGTAATGTAATCTATTTTGTATTTTAGTTTTGTAAGATGCCAGTAAAATGTCCTTCTCTGCAAAGAAAAGGTTTTCTTTTCCTCTAAGCCTGTTGGAATTCCTTTACAAGACTTCTTGAGCCAGAATGCATGCCTCCAGGAGATACACAACATTATGCTGCAGATGGATAGTAGCAAGGGAAGGCCACATATAAAGTACAGGATAAACACAGCATATTTTTCTATCTGTTAGAAGCACCAATTTTATCCCATTATAAGTAAATTAAAATGTTATTTCATGTAAAAACAAGATGCAGACATATTAAGAAGGAGAATGAGAATGGCATATGCATTAAAATAAACAAGCTAGGATTTTAGCTTCCACCTCACATAAGCTACTTACACATCTAGCTTTTTGCCTAGAACTATTGGGATGTGGCTTCATTTTCCACTACTAGTAGGAGTATGTATTGAAAATATCTGAGTATTCCTGGTATACAAAGGGCCACTTCAGTGCTACTAAGATGAACATGATTAAGATAAAGGGAACTATCTCCTTACAAACAAGGATTTGTAAATTTTAGTTCCCGAATAAACTTTATTTTTAGCATAGTCCTTTATTTTTTATTTTTATTTTTTTGAGATGGAGTCTCGGCCTGTCACCCAGGCCAGTAGTGCAATAACGTGATCTCGGCTCACTGCAACCTCTGCCTCCCAGGTTCAAGCTATTCTCCTGCCTCATCCTCTCGAGTAGCTAAGACTACAGGCACGTGCCACCACACCCAGCTAATTTTTGTATTTTTAGTAAAGACAGGGTTTCTCCATGTTGGCCAGGCTGGTCTTGAACTCCTGACCTCAGGTATCTGCCCACCCCGGCTTCCCAAAGTGCTGGATTACAGGTGTGAGCCACCATAGCAAAGCACTTTTTTAACTTCTTGCCTCATTATTGCAACTTCATTGTACATACCACCAATAATTTTCATAAGGCCATAGCCTTAGGGCCCCACTGTTATAATCTCCTCTTACTTTATTTGCTTCCTGAATACTTTATCTACAGACACAGTTACATTTAGGCCTTCAACATATAAACTTGAGGCAGGAGACACAATTCAACTCGTAGCTTTCTGCTTCTGCATTCCAGTCCAAATTCATGTCCTTCTTGGATGCAAAATGCATTAATTCTACCCCAACTGCTTGCAAAATCTTAACTGATTTCAACATCAACTCTAAGTTCAAAAGGTTTAATCCAACTATCATTGAATTAGATAAAGGTGAGCCGCAGGTATAATTATTCTTGAGGCAGAATTCCTCTCCAGCTACAAAACTGTGAAACCAGACAAGTTATATGCTTCCAAAATACAGTGGTAGGACAGGTATAGGAAAGACATTCCTATTCCAAAAGGGAGAAATTAAAATAAAAAAAGGACTGGTGGGTCACAAGCAAGTCTAAAACCAATAAAGGCAAATTTTAGATCTTAGACTCAAGAATAATCCCCTCTGGTTTGATATTCTGCTCTCCAGGACCATGGGTGGCAACACCAACCACAGAGCTTTTTGGGGACAAGCTTACCCATTCAGCTCTCTGAAAGGGCCCTAGCCACATGGCTCTTTGCAAAGATACTCTGCCCCTGAGGCACTAAGTATAGTAATTCTAGCTTGCTGAATTCAGAGAGGCAGCCTTACCCTTTGAAACTGAGGAAGAAACAGCCTTGCCTCCTGGGGTGAGAATGATGATGATCTCCAAATTGCTTTCTGGGTCATTCTTCCCTCTCCTTGAAGAATAGTTCAGGCTTAAAGCCAAATAGTTCTATGTCCCAGTTTTGTAGAATCCAAAAAGTATGGCAGCCTTCCTTCATTCCGATCTATTTTCTCTGTTCTCTTTATTTTAGAGTGGTAACATATTTGCTGGTATAATCCCATCTATATTCCTGGCTTCAGCTGAGATGGCTGATTAATTCATTAATCATATCCATCATCTCTGTCAAATGATTTTTCCAGCCACACCCTTGTTTTTTCTTCTGAATAAACTTTCTCACTCTTTGGAATATGGATAGGCTGGTAATTTTCCAAATTTCCAACTTTGGGCTCCTTTTTGAATAATATATATTTTTTTCAACTCATCACTCTCCTTTCACATTTTACTCTAAGTAGTCAGGAAAAATAAAGGCACTCATCAACACTTTATTTAGAATTTCTAATTTCGTTGCTCACAAGTTGTACTTTCCACGAAATATTAGAACACAGTTAAGCCAAGTTCTTTACTGCTTTATAACTAGGATCACCTTTACTTCAGTTTCCAATAACATGTTTTTCATTTTCATCTGGGACCTCACCAGAATTACTCTTAACATTCGAATTTCCTGTATATGCCTCAAAAGTCTTCTAGCTTCTACCTATTACCCAGTTCTAAAACCATTTCCACATTTCTAAGTATTTGTTACAGCAGCAACCCAGTCCCCAGTCAGCTTAGGCTGCCATAAGAAAATATCATAGACTAAGTGAGTGAAACAACAAATATTTATTTTTTCACAGTTCTACAAGATAGAAGTTGAAGATCAAAGTGACATTCAATCAATTTCCTATTGTGGGATCTGTTCTGGCATGTAGTTGGCTACCTTCTTGCTGTATTTTCAGAGAAAGAGAGAGGTGTTCTTATGAGGCCACAGTCCTATTGACTGAAGACCCCACTTTTATTAGCTCATTGAAATGTAATTGCTTCCTAAAGACCCTATCTTTAGATAGAGTCATATTGGAGATTAAGGCTTCAACACATGGTTTTTGGAGGAACACAAATCAGTCCATAGCATCTAGTAATGGCTTCTTTGCCCAAGGACCCTTAGACATATTAAACAATTGGGACAAGAAATATGAAATTTACCACTGAAGGACTAAGGAAAAAACCCTCCCCTGGGATATAAAGTACACACAGATGACTCTACAAACACATGGTACCACGGATGCAGTAGGGGCCATATTAGGGCGAACTCATCCTTGATCCCCAGAGTGAAAAGTCTTAGAAATAACCTACAAATAACAACATTAGATGATTCTGCAGAAAACAATAAGGAGGACCAAGGCCAGAGCAAGTCAAGCCATAATGGTGATTTGATACTGACCTCACAAACCACGGCCCAGTATGAAACTGTCTTCAAAATATATTAATTGAAAGAAATAAGGTAAAAAACAGCATGCAATATATGGCCTCTTTTATAAAAATAACATGTAATAAGTACATTCATGCTAAGCACACACAGACACATACACATTCACACACGTGATAAAAATGCAGTCAGGCTCTGACTAACAAAGACAGGTTGCATATACAGTGGTAGTCCCATAAGATTATGATAGAATTGAAAAAATTCTATTTCCTAGTGACAGTTGTAGCTTTCATAATGTTGTAGCACAAGGCATTACTCACATGTTTTTGGTGATGCTGGTGTAACAAACCTACTGTCCTGCCAGTCATATAAAAGGGTAACACATACAATTATGTCCAGTACATAATATTTGATAATGATAATAAATGACTGTGCTACTGATTTAGGTATTTAGTACACTACGCCTTTATTGTTACGTTGGAATATATTTCTTTTACTTATAAAATACAAGTTAAATGTAAAACAGTCTCAGGCAGATCCTAAAGAAAGTATTCCAGAAGAAGTCATTGTTATCATAGGAGATGACAGCTCCATGTGTGTTACTGATCCTGAAGACCACTCAGTGGGAAAACATGTGGAGGTGGAAGACAGTGATATTGATGATAGTGACCCAGTATATGCATAGGCTAATCTGCGTGTTTCTGTCTTAATTTTTAATGCAGTAAAAAAAGATAAAATAGAAGACGGCTTATAGAATAAGGATATAAAGAAAGAAAATATTTTTGTACAGCATTGTAATGTCTGTTTTAAGCTAAATATTATTTTAAAAGAATCAAAAATTTCGAAAATGTTAAAAGCTTATAAAGCAAAATAGTTATAGTAAGCAAAAGTTAATTTATTATTGAAAAAATAAAAATTTTTATAAATTTAGTATAGCCTACATTTATAAAACTTTATAAACACTAATTTATAAAGTCCACAGTTGTATAGAGTAATGTCTGAGGATTTCACATTCACTAACCAGTCACTCTGACTCACCTTGAGTCCTCCAAGCTCCATTCATAGTACGTACCTAACAGGCATACCATTTTTTTTCTTTCATACTATATATTTACTGTACTTTTCTATGTTTAGATATGCTTGAATGCACAAATGCAATTGTTTTATGATGGTCTACAGTATTCAGTATATAATATTCAGTACACAGTGTTCTGTAGAGGTTTGTAGTCTAGAAGCAATAGGCTATACCATAGAGCCAAGGGTGTAGTAGGTTTTACCATACAAATTGTGTAAATACACTCTATGATGTTCACACAACAACAAGATTGCCTAATGATGCATTTCTAAGAACATGTCCTCATTAAGTAATTACTGCATTTAAAAAATAGATTGATAGGTCAGGCACAGTGGCTCACACCTGTAATCCCAACACTTTTG
Organism: Homo sapiens; assembly: GCF_000001405.40. Taxonomy (NCBI): domain Eukaryota; kingdom Metazoa; phylum Chordata; class Mammalia; order Primates; family Hominidae; genus Homo; species Homo sapiens. Next base: position 34,916,311 of record NC_000003.12, on the reverse strand, counting down.
GAGGCTGAGCTGGGTGGATTACCTGAGCTCAGGAATTCAAGACCATCCTAGGCAACATGGTGAAACCCCATCTCTACCAAAAATACAAAAAAATTAGCCAGGCATGGTGATGCATGCTTGTGGTCCCAGTTACTCAGGTGGCTGAGGTGGGAGGATCACTTGAGCCTGGGAGGCAGAGATTGCAGTGAGCCGGGATTGTGCTACTGCCCTCCAACCTGGGTGACAAGAGTGAGACCCTGTCTCAAAAATAAATAAATAAATAAATAAATAAATGAACGATTGATTGATAAATTAAATTTCTAGAAAGATACACCAGAAGTTTCTACCCATGATTAAATTAGAGAGGAAAGAATGATTGGTGTGAAGACCAAGATCTTTATTTTCCAGGCATTCACGTTCTGTTTAAATGGTCTTAGAATGTACATATATTTCTTAAAATTGTTTTAACAGTTTAAGTCTCTTGGTTTCTCTAAACCAAGAAAGAACTTTAAAGCCCTAAAATACATTATGTAACATAAAGGTTCATCTGGAAACATCACTGAGGGCATGACAGAAGCCTCCAATAAACATTGCTTCCACCCTGGGCCCAAGGTCCCTTACATGAAAAATAATGTATTATGCGTAAAACGCAGGACCTAGATTGCAACCCTGGGGCTTGAGTCCTACTTCTACTACTGAAAACAATATAAATGTGTACATTTTAAAGCATGGAAAATTAATGTTCTCATTTGTGATAGAGATATGTATCTGCCTCACAACACTGAATTGAAATGATAAAGTACATGAAAAAACATTTTTTAAATTATAAAACAATACATAATATCACTTTAAATGAGTGAAATTACATTAAAACAGGGCCTTATAAACTTTAGTAATTAAATGTATCTTCCTGGCAGTATTTGATATGAAACTTCTTTATATTCAGTTTTCCTCTGTAATAAATGACAGTGTTAGGTTATCTATGCTTTGAAAAACCTGCAAAGAAGAAATAAATAAGGAAAGAAGGAAGGAAGAAAGGAAGGACACTGAAGTTTTAAAAAAAATAATAATAAACTTTGTTCTGGCCAAAGAAAAATTAGATTAGTCTCCTTGTGTCAAATATCATACAGGAAACACTGACAAACGGTTTAGCAGTGTCAGACATGTAATAACCATTCTGTACTTTTTTTTCAATGAATAGATGTAAACAACATCAGATGATAATAATTTAATTAACAATGACACCCCCACATGGCATGAATTAACCCTAATTTTTCACAGTAATATAAGAAAGAAAATTTATAATTGAAATCAAGAAAAGTGACCTGGGACTAGAATTGAGTCTCCCTTATTTGAGCTGCTTCAACTGGGGTCAGGAGAATGGAGATAAACTGACTGTACAGTATAGTATATTAGAACAGAATGGATAATTAGTCATCAAACCAGTCAGAAAAGCAGTTTGTGGTAAACAATGCAATCTTCCAAATTAAAAAAATATATGTATTTTTCCTCAACAAAGACAAAAAGGAATAGAGTGACAAAGTTATTATTTTTCATTACATAAAGAAAACTAATTTAAATTATATTATTCTGTCAGATACTCTTTCTCATGTTTCTGTCTAACCTCATACAGAAACACTCCTTTCATTGAGGATAGCATACCTGAGGTTTCCATTATTTTCTTAATTCTTTAATTTGTTAAAAATAAAGAAAGAAGAACAGGAAAAATATTTACGCTGTCTCCCTTTTCTCACTTAAAAATTACAGTTATAAAACATATCAAATGTAAAAATATGAAAAAAAATGAACTGACATTCATGTACCAAACATACATATTAAACATATGCCAATATTTTACTATTTTTTATTCTTATGTTTTTAAGAAAAAAAAGACAACTTTTGATTTTCTTAATATTCTCAATTTTTTTAATGTTTTTTAAAATGTCAATAGTTTTAGTGGTACAAGCGGTTTTTGGCGATACAAATTAATTCTATAATTGTGAAGTCTGGGATTTTAGTGTACCCATCACCAGAATAGTGTACACTGAACCCCAATAGCTAGTTCTTTTATCTTTATTATCCTTTCATCTGCATCGTTTGCCTTTATTCTGTTGTTCACTTTCAAACTTCTTGATTAGTGATTTAGCTCATCAAATTATTATCTTCAGTTTTCCTCCAGTATATATATTTAGCAATATAGATTTCCATAAAGCATTTTATGGAATATGTTTTATGCTTGCATATTTGATGTATGTTGTTTTCATTGTGATTTTGCTCTGAGTGTGAAGAGATATGAACAGAAAAGGCAAAGCAGTATTTTAATTTAAATTACTAATTTAAGTTAGTAATTTAATTACTTCCTAATTCCAGGAGACTCAAATTGTCACTGTGGGTCACCAGTCAGAGAAGGAGCTTATGGAGGTCAGGTGATCAATAGAGTATTAGCTCAGGAGCATCTCACAGTAGGCACAGTGGGTCTCTAAATATATCCTGTGTTCATTTCCTCAGTTCCAGAATACAAAATTGGAATTGACATACTCAGCAATTGGCAGAATCCCCACATTAGTTTTCTAACCTCTGAAGTGAGTACTATTATAGTGGGACAAGCTAAGTGGAAGTCACTAGAACAGCTTCTCTCTATAAAAATAGTAAACTAAAACGAAAGCAATACCGTTATGTCTGAAGGGCTTGCATACATTATTACTACTATCAAGTACTTGAAGATGTTAATGTGGTGATTTCCACCACGTCCCCATTCAGTTGACCCACTTGACTTGTGCAGAAACTAGATGTATGTTGGACAATGACAGTAGATTATCATAGTTAATTTGGTGGTGACTCGAATTGCAGCTGCTGGTACAAATGTGGATTTGTTGCTTCCACAAATTATCACATTGCTTGGTACCTGATATGCTATTTATCTGGAAAATGCTTTTTTTTTTTTTTTTTTTTGAGACGGAGTCTCGCTCTGTCGCCCAGGCTGGAGTGCAGTGGCGGGATCTCGGCTCACTGCAAGCTCCGCCTCCCGGGTTCACGCCATTCTCCTGCCTCAGCCTCCCAAGTAGCTAGGACTACAGGCGCCCGCCACTACGCCCGGCTATTTTTTGTAGTTTTAGTAGAGACGGGGTTTCACCGTTTTAGCCGGGATGGTCTCGATCTCCTGACCTCGTGATCCGCCCGCCTCGGCCTCCCAAAGTGCTGGGATTACAGGCGTGAGCCACCGCGCCCGGCCTGGAAAATGCTTTTTAAAAATCGATATTTGTTTTAAAGACCATCATGGGCATGGAAAGGCCATCAATACATTTTGATTCTCCCATCTCAGGGGTATATCAAATTCCCAGCCCTATGTCGTAATCTAGCCCACAGGAGCCTTGATTATCTTTTGCTCCTATGAGGGACTATACCTAGTGAAAAAGATGTAGCAACTACTCTAGAAATGTTGGTAAAAAATATTTGCCAGATGTTGGGAAATAAATACTACTAAAATTTAAGGAAACTTTTACCTCAGTGAAATTTCTAGGATTCCAGGTATGTGGAGACGTGTTAAGATATGTTTTCTTAAGGTTGTTGCATCTGGCCCCTACTGACCCCAAAAGAGGCACAATATCTAGCGAACCCCCTTGGACACTGCAGGCACCATATTCTTCCTTTTGTGCGCTATCTTTTATGGATAATTACTCTCATTTTGAGAAACAACTTTTAAATTGCTATTGGTCCTTAGTAGAGATCAAATGCTTAACCATGAGACAAGTTATCTTTTGAACTTAGCTGTTACATCATGAACAGGGTGTCGTGAGACTCCCTACGCTAAAGTTGGGTGGGCACAGCAGCACTCCCTTACCAAATGGAAAAGCTCAAGCAGTACCTGAAGACACAAGTAAGATACATGAGGAACTGGCCTAATGCACATAGTCCCTGCTCCTGGTAAATTACATTATCTCTCCCAGCCTGCACCTATGGCCTCATGAGGAGTTCTCTATTACCAATTGACTACGAGAGATACAATTTGGAACTTATTTACAGATGGTTATGCACAGTACGCAGGCACCACCTAGAAGCAGACAGTTGTAGCAGTAGAGCCTTTTTCTGGGACAACCCTGAAGGACAGAGGAAAAGGGAAACCTACCCAGTGAGCAGAACTTCAAGAAGTATATCTGGCTGTTAATTTTGTCTAGAAGAAGAAATGGCCAGAGGTACCTATCTATGCTGATTCACTGGCTGTGGTCAATGGTTTGACTGGAAGGCCAAAAAAATTGTGAGAAACACAATTGGAAAATTGGTGCCCAGGAGGTCAGAGGAAGAGATATGCAGAAAGACATCCATCAAGGGGCAAATAATACAAAGATATTTGTATCCTATGTCAATGCTTGCTACAGGTGACTTTAACATAGGAGGAATTTGATAATCAAGTGAATATGATGATTTGTACTAAAGATATCACTCAGTTTTTTACCCCAGCCATTCTATCATTGCCTAATAAGTTTATAAGCAAACTAACCATGGTGGCAAGGATGGAGATTATGCATGGGTTCAGCAGCATGGACTTTCACTTACCAAGATTTGCCTGGCTACAGCCACTGTTGAGTGTCCGATCTGCCAACAGCAGAGGCCAACAATGAGTCACTAATAGGGCATCATTTCTTAGAGAAATAGCTAGCTATTTGATGGAAAGTTGATTACATTGGACCATTTCCATCATAAAACGGGAAGCTCTTCTTTCTTGTTAGAGTAGATATTCAATCTGAATATAGATTTTTCATGCAATGCTTCTGCCAAAATTTGCATCCATGGGATTACAGAATGCCTAATCCATCATCATGGTATTCCACACAGCATTGTTTCTAATCAAATAATTCACTTCACAACAAATGAAGTGCAGCAATGAATCCATACTCAGGGAATTCACTATTCCTATTATGTTTCCATCACCCTGAAGCAGCTGCTTCAGCTGTCTTGATATAACAGGATCGCCTTTTGAAGAGTCAATTACACAGTCAACTATGTGGCAAGAGTTCAGGGCTGGAGCTGTGTCTATCAGTATGTTGCATATCCTTTGAATCAGCATCTAATACATTGTGCTGTTTCTCCCATAGTCAGGATTCATGGGTCCAGGAATCAAGCAAGAAGTGGATATGAGATTGCCTCCACTAGCAGATACCCCTAAAGACTGAATAGTGAAATTTGTTGATTCCTGTTTTTTAGTTCTGCTGGTCTATAAGTTTTAGCTCCAAAAAAGGAAATGCTTCCACTAGGAGACACAACCACCACTGAACTGGAAGTTGAGACTACCATCTGGCCGCTTTGGGCTCCTTATGTCTCTAAATTAACTGGTAAAGAAGTGGATGAATGTACTCTCTGGGGTAATTGATCCTGATTACCAAGGGGATATTGGACTGCAAAGAGTATGTCTAGAATACAGGAGCTCTCTTAGATGTCTCTTAATATTACCATATCTTGTGATTAAAGCTAATGGAAAACTATAATATCCCAATTTAAACAGGACACCTAATGGCTCAGAATCTTTAGAATGAAGGTTTGGTTTACCCCACCAGGCCAAAAAGCAAGACCAGTTGAGGAGCTTCCTGCAGAAAAAGAGAATATAAAGTACGTAATTACAGTAACAGTTACACACACTATCACCATGCAGTTAGTTGAAATAAGGACTATAATAATTATAAATATTTCCTTTTTATTTTGTTATGGATATGTGTATGTATGCATATAATATTTTCTTCCTTCTTATACCCTTATCATGTAACATAAAATGTATTAAAAATAGCTAACTTTATTTTACAGTATTTATTTAATAGGGTATCATAGGAGAAGGGTGAAAAATTACCTAAAAACTTTACATCCTCTTTAGAGGAAAAAGAATAACGTGTTTTCAGTTGTAAACAGGAAACTTATGTCACGTTAGGTGGAAGAACAACTTTGGTATTGTCTTTAATGGGAGATTATGTATGGTTTAACGAGATGTATATGGGTGCAAAGTTGACCAAGGATAGGCAGTGATGATCAGTTTATGTTTAACTTGACTGGGCTGCAGTCCTCAGTTATCCAATCAAATGCTAATCAAAATGTTCCCATGCATGTTTTTATTATTATTATACTTTAAGTTCTATGGTACATGTGCACAACGCACAGGTTTGTTATATATGTATACATGTGCCATGTTGGTGTGCTATGCTCGTTAACTCGTCATTTACATTAAGTATATCTCCTAATGCTATCCCTCCCCACCCTACCCCACTACAGGCCCCAGTGTGTGATGTTCCCCAACCTGTGTCCAAGTGTTCTCATTGTTCAATTCCCACCTATGAGTGAGAACATGCGCTGTTTGGTTTTCTGTCCTTGCGATAGTTTGCTGAGAATGATGGTTTCCCTACAAAGGACATGAACTCATAATTTTTTATGGCTGCATAGTATTCCATGGTATATATGTACCACATTTTCTTAATCCAGTCTATCATTGATGGAAATTTGGCTGGGTTCCAAGTCCTTGCTATTGTGAATAGTGCCACAATAAACATACGTGTGCATGTGTCTTTATAGCAGCATGATTTATAATCCTTTGGGTATATGCGCAGTAATGGGATGGCTGGGTCAAATGGTATTTCTAGTTCTAGATCCTTGAGGAATTGCCACACTGTCTTCCACAATGCTTGAACTAGTTAACAGTCCCACCAATAGTGTAAAAGTGTTCCTATTTCTCCACATCCTCTACAGCACCTGTTGTTTCCTGACTTTTTAATGATCGCCTTTCTAACTGGTATGAGATGGTATCTCATTGTGGTTTTAATTTGCATTTCTCTGATGGCCAGTGATGATGAACATTTTTTCCTGTGTCTGTTGGCTGCATAAATGTCTTCTTTTGAGAAGTGTCTGTTCATATCCTTTGCCCACTTTTTGATGGGGTTGTTTGATTTTTTCCTGTAAATTTCTGTAAGATCTTTGTAGATTCTGGATATTAGCCCTTTGTCAGATGGGTAGATAGCAAAAATTTTCTCCTATTCTGTAGGTTTCCTGTTCACTCTGATGGTAGTTTCTTTTGCTGTTCAGAAGCTCTTTAGTTTAATTAGATCCTATTTGTCAATTTTGGCTTTTGTTGCCATTGCTTTTGGTGTTTTAGTCATGAAGTCCTTGCCCATGCTTATGTCCTCAATGGTATTGCCTAGGTCTTCTTCTAGTGTTTTTATGGTTTTAGGTCTAACATTTAAGTCTTTAATCCATCTTGAATTAATTTTTGTATAAGGTGTAAGGAAGGGATCCAGTTTCAGTTTTCTATATATGGCTAGCCAGTTTTCCCAGCATCATTTATTAAATAGGGAATCCTTTCCCCATTTCTTGTTTCTGTCAGGTTTCTCAAAGATCAGATGGTTGTAGATGTGTGGTATTATTTCTGAGGGCTCTGTTCTCTTCCATTGGTCTATATCTCAGTTTTGGTACAAGTACCATGCTGTTTTGGTTACTGTAGTCTAGTAGCATAGTTTGAAGTCAGGTAGCGTGATGCCTCCAGCTTTGTTCTTTTGGCTTAGGATTGTCTTGGCAATGTGGGCTCTTTTTTGGTTCCATACGGACTTTAAAGTAGTTTTTTCCAATTCTGTGAAGAAAGTCATTGGTAGCTTGATGGGGATGGCATTGAATCTATAAATTACCTTGGGCAGTATGGCCATTTTCATGATATTGATTCTTCCTATCCATAAGCATGGAATTTTCTTCCATTTGTTTCTGTCCTCTTTTATTTCGTTGAGCTGTGGTTTGTAGTTCTCCTTGAAGAGGTCCTTCACATCCCTTGTGAGTTGGATTCCTAGGTATTTTATTCTCTTTGAAGCAATTGTGAATGGGAGTTCACTCATGCTTTGGCTCTCTGTTTGTCTGTTATTGGTGTATAGGAATGCTTGTGATTTTTGCACATTGATTTTGTATCCTGAGACTTTGCTGAAGTTGCTTATCAGCTTAAGGAGATTTTGGGCTGAGGTGATGGGGTTTTCTAGATATCCAATCATGTCATCTGCAAATAGGGACAATTTGACTTCCTCTTTTCCTAATTGAATGCCCTTTATTTCCTTCTCTTGCCTGATTGCCCTGGCCAGAACTTCCAACATTATGTTGAATAGGAGTGGTGAGAGAAGGCATCCCTGTGCTTGTGCCAGTTTTCAAAGGGAATGCTTCCAGTTTTTGCCTATTCAATATGATATTGGCTGTGGGTTTGTCATAAATAGCTCTTATTATTTCGAGATATATCCCATCAATACCTAGTTTATTGAGAGTTTTTAGCATGAAAGGCTGTTGATTTTTGTCAAAGGCCTTTTCTGCTTTTATTGAGGTAATCATGTGGTTTTTGTCTTTGGTTCTGTTTATATGATGGATTACGTTTATTGATTTGCATATATTGAACCAGCCTTGCATCCCAGGGATGAAGCCAACTTGATTGTGGTGGATAAGCTTTTTGATGTGCTGCTGGATTCACTTTGCCAGTATTTTATTGAGGAGTTTTGCGTTGATGTTCATCAGGGATATTCTCTTTTTTTGTTGTGTCTCCACCAGGCTTTGGTATCAGGATGATGTTGGCCTCATAAAACGAATTAGGAAGGACTCCCTCTTTTTCTGTTGATTGGAATAGTTTCAGAAGGAATGGTCCCAGCTCCTCTTTGTACCTCTGGTAGAATTCAGCTGTGAATCCATCTGGTCCTGGACTTTTTTTGGTTGGTAGGCTATTAATTATTGCCTCAATTTCAGAACCTGTTATTGGTCTATTCAGGTCTTCAACTTCTTCCTGGTTTAGTCATGGGAGGGTGTATGTATCCAGGAATTTATCCATTTCTTCTAGACTTTCTAGTTTATTTGCATAGAGGTGTTTAGAGTATTCTCTGATGGTAGTTTGTATTTCTGTGGGATCGGTGGGATCCTCTTTATCTTTTTTTATTGCATCTATTTGATTCTTCTTTCTTTTCTTCTTTATTAGTCTTGCTAGTGGTCTATCAATTTTGTTGATCTTTTCAAAAAACCAGTTCCTGGATTCATTGATTTTTTGAAGGTTTTTTTTGTGTCTCCATCTCTTTCAGTTTTGCTCTGATCTTAGTTATTTCTTGCCTTCTGCTAGCTTTTGAATGTGTTTGTTCTTGCTTCTCTAGTTCTTTTAATTGTGAAGTTAGGGTGTCAATTTTGGATCTTTCCTGCTTTCTCTTGTGGGCATTTAGTGCTATAAAATTCCCTGTACACACTGCTTTAAATGTGTCCCAGAGATTCTGGTATGTTGTGTCTTTTTTCTCACTGGTTTCAAAGAACATCTTTATTTCTGCCTTCATTTTGTTATGTACCCAGTAGTCATTCAGGAGCAGGTTGTTCAGTTTCCATGTAGTTAAGCGGTTTTGAGTGAGTTTCTCAATCCTGAGTTCTAGTTTGATTGCACTGTGATCTGAGAGAGAGTTTGTTATAATTTCTGTTCTTTTACATTTGCTGAGGAGTGCTTTACTTCCAACTATTTGGTCAATTTTGGAATAAGTGTGATGTGGTGCTGAGAAGAATGTATATTCTGTTGATTTGGGGTGGAGAGTTCTGTAGATGTCTATTAGGTCTGCTTGGTGCAGAGCTGAGTTCAATTCCTGGACATCCTTATAAGCTTTCTGTGTCATTGATCTGTCTAATGTTGACAGTAGGGTGTTAAAGTCTCCCACTATTATTGTGTGGGAGTTTAAGTCTCTTTGTAGGTCTCTAAGGACTTGCTTTATGAATCTGGGTGCTCCTGTATTGGGTGCATATATATTCAGGATAGTTAGCTCTTCTTGTTGAATTGATCCCTTTACCACTATGTAATGGCCTTCTTTGTCTCTTTTGATCTTTGTTTGTTTAACGTCTGTTTTATCAGAGACTAGGATTGCAACCCCTGCTATTTTTGTTTTCCACTTGCTTGGTAGATCTTCCTCCATCCCTTTATTTTGAGCCCATGTGTGTCTCTGCATGTGAGATGGGTCTCCTGAGTACAGTACACTGATGGGTCTTGACTCTGTATCCAATTTGCCAGTCTGTCTTTTAATTGGAGCATTTAACCCATTTACATTTAAGGTTAATATTGTTATGTGTGAATTTGATCCTGTCATTATGATGTTAGCTGGTTATTTTGCTCATTAGTTGATGTAGTTTCTTTGTAGCATCAATGGTCTTTACAATTTGGCATGTTTTTGCAGTGGCTGGTACCAGTTGTTCCTTTCCATGTTTAGTGCTTCCTTCAGGAGCTCTTGTAAGACAGGCCTGGTGGTGACAAAATATCTCAGCATTTGTTTGTCTGCAAAGGATTTTATTTCTCCTTCATTTATGAAGCTTAGTTTGGCTGGATATGAAATTCTGGGTTGAAAATTCTTTTCTTAAGAATGTTGAATATTGGCCCCCACTCTCTTCTGGCTTGTAGAGTTTCTGCCAGGAGATCCGCTGTTAGTCTGATGGGCTTCCCTTTTTGGGTAACTTGACATTTCTCTCTGGCTGCCCTTAACATTTTTTCCTTCATTTCAACTTTGGTGAATCTGACAGTTATGTGTCTTGCAGTTGCTCTTCTCGAGGATTATCTTTGTGACGTTCTCTGTATTTCCTGAATTTGAATGTTGGCCTGCCTCCCTAAGTTGGGGAAGTTCTCCTGGATAATATCCTGAGGAGTGTTTTCCAACTTGGTTCCATTCTCCCAGTCACTTTCAGGTACACCAGTCACACGTAGATTTGGTCTTTTCACATAGCCCCATATTTCTTGGAGGATTTGTTCCTTTCTTTTTACTCTTTTTTCTGTAAACTTCTCTTCTTGCTTCATTTCATTCATTTGATCTTCAATCACTGATACCCTTTCTTCCACTTGATCAAATCAGCTACGGAAGCTTATGCATGCATCACGTGGTTCTCATGCCATAGTTTTCAGCTCCATCAGGTCATTTAAAGACTTCTCTACACTGTTTATTCTAGTTAGCCATTCGTCTAATCTTTTTTCAAGGTTTTTAGCTTCTTTGCGGTGGGTTCAAACATCCTCCTTTAACTTGGAGAAGTTTGTTATTACCGATCATCTGAAGCCTACTTCTCTCAACTCATCAAAGTCATTCCCCATCCAGCTTTGTTCCATTGCTGGCGAGGAGCTATGTTCCTTTGGAGGAGAAGAGGCACTCTGCTTTTTAGAATTTTCAGCTTTCTGCTCTGGTTTCTCCCCATGTTTGTGGTTTTATCTACCTTTGGTCTTTGATGATGGCAATGTACAGATGGATTTTTGGTGTGGATGTCCTTTCTGTTTGTTAGTTTTCCTTCTAACAGGCAGGAGCCTCAGCTGCAGGTCTGTTGGAGTTTGCTGGAAGTCCACTCCAGACCCTGTTTGCCTGGGTATCACCAGCAGGGGCTGCAGAACAGCAAATACTGCAGAACAGTAAATGTTGCTGCCTGATCCTTCCTCTGGAACCTTTGTCTCAGAGGGGCACCTGGCTGTATGAGGTGTCAGTTGGCCCCTACTGGGAGGTGTCTCCCAATTAGGCTATTCGGGGGTCAGGGACCCACTTGAGGAGGCAGTCTGTCCGTTCTCAGATCTCAAACTCCATGCTGGGAGAACCACTACTTACTTCAAAGGATGTTTAAGTCTGCAGAAGTTTCTGCTGCTTTTTGTTCAGCTATGCCCTGCCCCTAGAGGTGGAGTCCACAAAGGCAGGCAGGCCTCCTGGAGCTGCAGTGGGCTCCACCCAGTTCAAGCTTCCTGGCCACTTTGTTTACCTACTCAAGCCTCAGCAATGGTGGATGTCCCTCCCCGAGGCTCACTGCTACCTGCCTTGCAGTTGGATCTCAGACTGCTGTGCTAGCAGTAAGCGAGGCTCCGTGGGCGTGGGACCCTCGGAGCCAGGCATGGGATATAATCTCCTGGTGTGCCGTTTGCTAAGGCCATTGGAAAAGTGCAGAATTAGGGTGGGAGTGTCCCAATTTTCAGTTACCGTCTGTCACAGCTTTCCTTTGCTAGGAAAGGGAATTCTCCAACCCCTTGCACTTCCCCAGTGAGGCAATGCCCCGCCCTGCTCCATGGGCTGCACCCACTGTCTGACAAGCCCCAGTGAGATGAACCCAGTACCTCAGTTGGAAATGCAGAAATTACCCATCTTCTGCATCACTCACGCTGGGAGCTATAGACTGGAGCTGTTCCTATTCGGCCATCTTGGAACTCCCATGCATTTTTGTATTAATTAAAGTCCAGAATCAATTGACTTTAAATAAGGGAGAGTACTCTAGACATTCTGGGCCTGATTCAATCAGTGGAAAATCTTTAAGAACAGACCTGAGGTGTCCCCAAAAAAGAATAAAATCCCCCCATGGACAGAAGCTTCAGTTTATGCCTAAGGCTACAGTCTGTCTTTCCTTGTGGCCTAAGAATATTGAAATTTCCTGGTCCCCACAATCACATAAAAGAATTCCTAACAATACATCTCTTAATATGTATAGTCTGCTGCATCTGTTTCTCTGATTGAACTCAGACTGATTTAATTGACAAAAGACAAATAGAAACCTTTTACAGTCTTGTATTTGTCAAAGATATTAATTCAAATTAAAAACTTTCCACAAAAAATATGACTCTTTTCTTCAAGACTAAGTTTTATCAATCAGTTAAGAAAGAGATAATGATACCTTTACACACAATTGTTCAAAGAATTAAAGAAGTTAGGACTATTTTCCAAATTTTTATGATGCCAGAATAGTCCCAATAGCAAAACAAGACTAACACATTACAAGAAAAATATTGCACATCTATAGCCTTTATAAACATAAATTCAAACATTCTACATAAAATACAGTAATAACGAGAATGGACAATACATAAAAATTGAACTGTTTATCTCAGGTAAGCAAGTTGATTTAACATTTGAAAATCAATCAGTATAATTCACTCAACGCTTATTCAAAATAATGGTAACTCTGCAAGTTTTCTGTGACTCATTTTATAGGACACATCTGCACTGTCAGTGTGTAGAAATTCATTCGCTAGTGCCTGCCATTGTGAACTGATGAATATCCTATTGTCCTGAAAAGATACAGATTTCACACTTTGTACTGGAAAGGCAATGTAACACAGTGGAAAGACTATGGTTGTGGAGTCACACAGGCCTTGGCTGGCATTATTGCTCCGTCACTAACCAGCTTTATGACGCTACAGTCAACTCATCTCTCTTGGCCAGTTATTTTTTTTTTTTATAAAAGTAAAATAATAGCATTTCATAGAGAAAGAGTAAGAATGAGAGAGGATAAATGTTAATTATCAATGCTATAATTGGTTAAAACACCTCGTCTAGAGAGTATCTTCATATAGTGGAAGGAGGACCTGACTTTGGCAGCACTATCCTGGTACCCAGCTGTACAAAAAAGGCTCAGTCATAAAATAGCCAAGAGACATTCTTTAGAAAGTAACTTTACTTTTCTGAGTCCTGGCACCACCATCTTTAGGATGAGATTCATAATTGTTATCTCTACTATTCACTGAAATATCTAGAATACAGAATGAAGACAGAAACCAAAATATACTAAAATAGGCTGGGTGCAGTGGCTCATGCCCATAATCCCATCACTTTGGGAGGCTGATGTGAGAGGATAACTTGAGTCTAGGAGTTCAAGAGCAGTCTGGGTAACATGGAAAAAGCCAGTCTCTACTAAAAGAAAAAAAGAGACATAAAATAAATTCTAATTATTATTAATGTTATTATTGTTATTGTCATTTTCATATCCATATTACCTATATTGTTTTAGGTCTAACACATCATTCTGCTGGGCATATTGTAGACTTCATTATTGATTAATTGACTGTAGACTCGTTCACACTGAACAACAACAAAAAAATTGCTTCCATTTCTAGAATTTAGTTCCATGAGGAGGGAACTGGTTTCTAGCTATCAGAAAGTGTTTCAAGTGGATGTTCAGTAAACATTTGTTCTGTGAGTGGATTTGCTAATTAATGTAAGAAGCTAGATCATCAGAGTTGTTTATCATGCAAGTTACACTTCCAGCATCATTTCTGGCACAGTGCCCACAACACCTGGAAAGCCTGTCTTTAACTCAAGGTATGTCTCAGGACATGGGAGAAATATAACTTATTTCTACATGGAAGTTACCCAATAAATGTAAATGCTTACATCCTGCTGACTCTACTGCCTGGAATATGTTTCATGTACTTTATAAAATCTGGTGGAATCATGGCCAAGACATTACTCCTTACTGAGTCTCAACTTGCTAACAAATAAACGAGGAAATCAATGTAACAGCTCCAAAGCTATTGAAAAGTAATACAGTATAGTCGTTTAAGGCCATATGCTTTGGAATCGGGAAGATGTAGATTTCAATTCTGGCTCTAACATTTGCTATATTTGTGATGTTGGGCAAGTTACAGTCCCTTAGTACTCAGTAGTCTTCGGTTGATTTATTTATGAACTGAAAAATTAATTAATGTCAAAGGATTATTGCAAGTATTAAGTAAGAAAATGAACATTACACTCAGAGTAAACACTAGCATTTAGAAAATGTACAATAAATGATAGCAGCTCAGTTCATTATAATTATCATAGCCTTAAAGAAATAGTAGAAAGAAGAAAAACACTGAACTTGGGCCAAGCTGTGCTGAAAGCTCATCTCTGCTACTTGTGAGTTGTGTGATTTTGGGTGATTTATAATCTTCGAGGGCTTTTTTTTTCTTTGTCTGTAAAATGGCGTTAGTTTCACCTAATATCTACAAGTTATTAGGAAAATTAAATGATATGCTAATCTAAAAACTTGCCATTCAATGAATGTTAATTAATTTTCTCTTTGAAGATGCTGGTGGTTAGGTGCTCTAGTATTCTCTATTTTTTTCTACTGTTTTTCCCCCTCTACTGTGCTGTTACTCATTTATTCATTCACTCATCAAAAGGCACCATGAAAGAAAATCAGAGTGCAATGATGGATGGACAAGCCAGACTTTTTATCTACAACCTTAGAATGTAAAGTTAGCTAGGAAGACAGTCACAGAAAATATAATTAAAGGTCTATGAATATTATGAAGAGGAATTACAGAATGCTTTGAAAGCTTATAAATGAGAACCTAATCTAGTTTTGGTGCTCAGAGAATATATTCCAATAAATAGTTTAGGCAGGAAGAATAAGTAGGTGTTGGCAAGAAAGGGATCCAGGATATTCCAGGCACATGAAACACAGATGCAGAGGTCCAGCAGATGGAGGTGGCCTGGGGATTTCAAGGATAAAGAGGAAGGTCACTGTAACTGAACCATAGTGAGTAACGGAGAAATGGCCATGTTCAGCCATTTTGGAAGTTGGCAGGGGCCAGATTAAGCACCATCATTTAAGCTTAAGATTCTGGCCTTTATTCTAAGAGAAGTAAAAAAAAAAAAAAAAAAAAAAAAAAAAAAAAAAAAAAAAATTGATATTTTATGAGGTCAGGATAAATTGATTATTAATTGAAATATCTGTTTTCAGAATGGGAAGTGAAGGTTTAGATAGGCTAAATGCCATTTCCTGAATCACACACACCTGCATTGGTACAATTGTGAATTGAACGAAAGTGCTGATACTAATGGTAAAAGAAAAAAGCACAAATGTATTACCTCATTTTTTCATGCTCCCGTGATACTTGTGCTGTCATCTCAGGACAGAACATAATGAGGCAAGTCACTTACAGTTTTGCCTGATGCAGCAAATCATATAACTCACATACTGGGAGAGTAGGGAAATTGTAGAATGGCAGCTTCATTTATTAATGGTGTGCTTTTGGACAAAGAAAAAGAAAAGGTCCCCTATTTTGAAAAATTATGTACTCGTTGTCTGAAGTCCTCCAGGTAGATGGGCATGATTGAAATTTGTGCAACTGAATAAATAAATAACCAAAGATAAATGCAGACACATAAGAATATCCAATTGTTCAATAAGAATGTAATGTATCATATACACACTAAGCAAGATACATTTCAGAGAACTAAGGATTTGAAGCACAAAAATTTAATTTCCAACTATATCTCTGGTACTTTCTATCTGTGTGACTATGGGCAAATTACCTGGGTTTTTAGTTTTATCAGTGTCCTGTTAAAAATGCGCATAATTGTATATATGCAAATATATTCTTGTATATGTTTATAAAAACTTACAGCTGGAAAGGTCCTAGGAAATAATAAACTCACTCAATCCCAATTCCCCCTGTATAAGGATGGAAAAATTAGGCCAGGAAGAGTGAAAAGATTGACCCAGAATATGCCTACAATTTTTGACCTTGAGCTTCTTCCTGTTTCTAATGTATCCCACACCTATTATATAAAAATAAGATAGTATGATTGTCCTGGGTGTTTTACCTACCTTATATCATTTAATCCTCACAGTAAACCAATAACATAAGAATTGTGATTCTCATATTGCAGATAAAGAAATGGAGGATTATAATGTTTAGGAAAATTGCCCCAAATTATTTAGCTAGTCAATGCAGTTTTAATTTGAACCCAGGTCTTTATTTTAATTACTCCTTACCCCTTAGGCTCCAACACACTAGATTACTTTGTAAAGCTCTTGCATGCAAATTGCCATTGAGGAAAACTGACTTAGGAAAATTTTCTACCTTCTTTCACCTGGATAAGCCATTATGCCGTATCTTTCTGTACACATGTAAAAGTATTTTAGAAGAAGTGCGTGACTATTCCTTAGCCCACACTTCACTCAGTAAGTCTTAGGGCTGGCTACATGTGGAACTTACTAGAACTAAAGTTTTAAGTTTGAATTAGTCAGCTTCCTGCCTTTATTAAGGTGTAGAACAATCTCTATGAAATAAACTAGTAGGAGTTTGGTTTACGCACACACTCTGAAATTTCATGGACAGTTTAGAAGTACAAAAGAAAATGACTAAAATCGACACCTGGTTAGGACTTCTTAACACTTCCACTGTGTTAAACTGCCATGAGTCCCCACATATTTTGTACCATTTGGAGACTCATGATGGAATTGATGAGTTTGAAATGTCAACCAGCTAGTAGTACCTGGAGCAACCTCATCTGGCATCCTGCTAATGTACCATAAAGGCATGTCGCCAAAGCAAAATTCATAAGAGTAAACACTAAAATCAGAAAATCATCTACTACCAAATACCAGGAAAAAATTTTACTAATGCCAACAATAGAACAGGATTGAGAGGAAAAGAAATGGCAATGTAAACATACATTTGGCACCAGAGATAAAACTACGTCAACCAGCTGGAAGAAGGTAGGAAGATTTTTCCTAAGTCAGGTTTCCCTCAATGGAAATTTGCATGCAGGAGCTTTAGACAGAAGAATTTTTAGAAGAACACCAGCAAGGGAGTGAGGGAAATAGGTTCAGATAAGGAGATGAGTTTAATTGTAATTTAGTTATCAGCTTTGGAGCTTGGATGGCTCCACAGAGACGTCCTGAACTGGGAACAGGGCTTTTGTACCCCCATAC
Source organism: Homo sapiens (assembly GCF_000001405.40). NCBI lineage: Eukaryota > Metazoa > Chordata > Mammalia > Primates > Hominidae > Homo > Homo sapiens. Next base: position 34,898,890 of record NC_000003.12, on the reverse strand, counting down.
TCATCAGTCATTGTACCCTGGCTGTCTCCAGGAAGGGTGCTTATTCTTTAATGAATCAGCTCCCTTCAGTGATGGACAAGTTACCATGAGGGACTTGGCGTTATCAGCAGTCACTATACCAAATGGAAAAATTAAGCAGGGATATTATTTTGGGGGGCTGAAAAGATACTTCTCCTCTTTTATCTCATCTTTATCAGATATATTTAGAGAAAGTAACTCCTTGAAAATAAATGTTAAGACACTTTCAGAGAAGTTGAAGCTGTGTGTTAAATCCTTAAAGCCGTAATCCCCTGGGGGGCAGGGTGGTGAGGGAATTATGAGCACATGGAGATTGGAAGATTCCTGGCAGCAATGCGTGATGACTGCTGATTTATTTAAATGTGCCCACTGGTTCAAAGTTTAATCAACATCAGGATAGGAGACAATTCTTCAAATGGCCAGAGCCTTATGGAAAGAATCCTGCTAGACACTGGGAGTTGGGCTAGAAACTATGCAAATTAACACCCTTCAAACTATAGACTAGAAAGTGAAATAGCCAGAGTCCAAAAGACCCTGGAAGTATGATCCATATCCCTACCTGCATGCTGAAAAAATTATACCTGCCAAGATGAATTCTCATCTTAAAAAGGGGAAAAAAGTCACTATGGGTTGTACCAAAGAAGAGATTGGAACATGGAATTGGGAACTCTGACCTGGACACCGGAATAATGTATCTTAATACTATCTCCTGTAGTATAAGGAGAAAATTCTAAAAGAAAATGAGAAACCACCTCAAATTGGAATAAGTAAGTAGGTAGATAGACAGATAAAATAATGAATAAAGACATTGTGAACCACACAAAAACTTTAAATCTAAAACAGGCTAAGATTAAGGAAAAAAAATGGCAATATGACCTACACAACAGAATGAGAACCTAATGAGGCTGAGTTAAGGTATGCTTGCCGTAAGATAATTACAGTATGAGAATTAAAATTCATATCAGTACATTGGAATCTTTAAGCAGACATACATAGAAAAGTTAAGCCATACATCTGTAATTCAAATCTGAGAATTTTGTATGTGGATCAAAATTTAAAGAAATTTAAAGCATATGAATAATTGGTACAAAGTGCAGGTGGGAATCCAATGGAACAAATATGGTTGAACTGATGAAAAAGGGAAAAATTATAAAATGAACAAAAATTTGAAACAGTGCAGGAAAAATTTTCAGTTTTAGAATATAACTGTTTCTAAAGGGCTTAACCCTATTGTTGTGAGCTATGTCGTGTCTTCCCAATTCAAATTAGCATAACAAAATTCTAACCCTCAGAACGTCAGAATGTGACTGTATCTGACATTGGGTCCTTTAAAGAGGTAATTAAAGAAAAATAAGGTTATATGGGTGGATCTTATTCCAGTGTGGCTAGTGTCCTTATAAAAAAGAAAACAAGGACACAGGAGCACACAGAGGGACAGCCATGTGAAGACACAGGGAGAAAATGGCCTCCTCCAAGCCAAAGAGAGAGGGCTCAGAATTATCAGCTCTGTTGACTTCTTGATCTCAGACTTCTAGCCTCTCAAATTCTGAGAAAATAAATTTCTGGTGTTTAAGCCACCCAGTCTTTGGTATTTTGTTATGATAGCCATAGTAAACTAATACATCTACTCTGGCAAATTTAATAAAATAAAGAGAAATAAAAACAGACATACGGAAATTTTTTTGAATTGCAAGAATTATTTTAAATTCCCACAAATTTCCAGACAGAAAATTTTGGTTATCTATGAAGGAATAAATTATAGAATAAAATTAAATAAATAAATTAAATTATGCAACTACCACCTTTATCTAATTCTAAAATATTTTCATCACCCCAAAAGAAAATTGTGGTAGTACAACCCAGACTCTCCTAGTTTAAGTAAGCTAGTCTTTTCAAACTCCTATAGTAAAGAAACAGTGTCTTGTTTTGTTACTTATTGTTTTGTTGTTGCTCCTATTAGTCTATTGTAGATCATTACTTTTGGAAATACAATAAAAATATCTGGCAGTGTCAAGTTGTAATATAAGATTCTAAATGTTAACCTGGCTTCCTGTACGTATCTCATTTTAATGGGCAACAAACTAGCCCACACTTTGAGTAGCCCTGCTTTAGGCTATCACACGAATTGTCTGCCATCAACTGAGAGTCTAACAGGACCAATTCCACCACACTTCACACCCCCATTATGTTAATCAGTACCGCTAATCTAAGCCACCCAGGTCACCAACCATTATCCAGATCATTTAGTCCTATAAGGTTTTATATATTCAATGATCTGACTACCTCTCTCATTCTTTTCCATTTTACCCAACCTCTCCCGTGTGCTCTCTGAAATTCAGGGTGTAAGAGAACAATAAACTCCTCTAAAGTTTGCAGCACACCTTAAGGTCTCTATTCTATTTTCATTTCCATCTTTCCCTTGCTGTTAACTTCCCATTTTGTTTAGGGAAGCAAATGAATCATTGCTAGTCTAAGTCAGTCATGATAGTCACCTTCACCTTTGCCAGGACATATATAGAAAAGTACTTGATTTCCCTGCATTATTTGTAGCAGATGTAGAGTAGAATTGCATCAACTGCAATTATTGACATCGATGCAATTCTTGCAGTTATTGACATTGATGCAATTCTTGACATTGATTTAGTTCATGATGTCTTCTAAAAGACTTTTGAGAAATTTACTTAACTATCATAAAGCAAGAACTACTTGGAAAAGGCCACTTTCTAGCTGCCCCACACCCAACTCCAGCTTCCTGGATTCAATGTTGTTTTATTATAATATTGAGATCATGCAGTGAAAAGCTTAAGTGCCCCAAACAAACCTGCCAAGGATGGCAGAGAAGAATGCCAGAAAACATATTAGGTCATGATACTGGCAGATGGCTGAACTTGTGTCAGTAACTCTCTAGCTGTAGAGTTCGTTATACAGAGAAAACTCTAAGTGATAAAACTATAACTCTATACTCTGCACTCTATACCACCTCATTGAAGAAAAACTTGGAGGGATTCTGTGGACAATGCTTTCCCTGCAGTTCTCTCAAATAAATAGCGTTTTCCCCCTCCATGTATCTTGGACTTTAAATGTGTAGTAAGTGTCCTGATACTACTTTTTGATCAGAGGCCTGTGATGTTTTCTGTAATGATACGTATAGAAAATATTTGCAGCTATCTAACTTTGCCATTGTACCTCCAAAACAACAATAGACAATACATAAATGAATGGGCTTAGCTGTGTTCCAATAAGACTTTATTGCAAAAAAAAGTGTGAGAAGGATTTGGCTCACAGTTCATAGTTTGCCAGTCCCTATTCTAAGTCACTGTTTTACATTCTTCCTTGAAAACTTTATGCCTTTTGACACTTTAGTCATTCTGACAGCTAATCTGCTATTATTTACCATTCTCTGATTATTTCCCTTTAATCCTTTGATGGCATTACAAACTAGCTCACTAATTTGCTCTCCATTACTGGTCCTTCCACCATTTTTGATAACCACAGAACCCCTAGCATTTCAATTCCTCGACTACCTCAAGAGCCATGCTTTTTCTGCACTCCTACTTAAGTCACTCACACGAATGGTTCAAACTTAGACATTGTCATCAACAATAACATTGCTTCTTTCAAAGCCTTGAAAGCTAAAATTCTAGTTTTAGATCACTAACTCTGGTCTTTCCAGCTTGCTTACTCTAGTCTCCTATTCCAATAACTCTTTATCCTCATTGGAACTATTACTTTATCATGTCTGCACATGTTATGTCCTCTTTACTAACACAGAACTATAGAATGCATGGGCCAGAATTGTAACCAGCTCCTTGCAAATACTTTTAATACGTTTTCTTTAGTTTCCACTTTGACACACTCATGAGAAAACAACCAATCATGAATGAAATCCAAATGTATACTGATATGGTTTGGCTGTGTCCCCAGACAAATCTCATCTTGAATTGTAGCTCCCATAATTCCCATGTGTTGTGGGAGGGACCTGGTGGGAGATAATTGAATCATGAGGGTGATTTCCCTCATACTGTTCTCTTGGTAGTGAAGAAGTCTCACAAGATTTGTTGGTTTTATAAGGGGGAACCCCTTTTGCTTGGTTCTCATTCTCTGCTGCTGCCATGTAATATGTGACTTGCTCCTTATTGCCTTCTGCCATGATTGTGAGGCCTCCCCAGCCATGTGTAACTGTGAGTAAATTAAACCTCTTTCCTTTATAATTACCCGGTCTCAGGTATGTCTTTATTAGCAGTGTGAAAATAGACTAATACACCAACCTAGGACAAATAGATAAGAAAGGAGCTAAAGGTTGTTGAAGAAAAATCCTAAAATGGTGCTGATCTCTTTTTACATGTGTAGCCACAAACGTTAAACTAAACTACCCCAAAATCCCAATGTTTTCTTAGTAAATTCATTTTTTAATCCAAGATGACTACTTCATATTTCTTTTTGTCCCAATGTACTCAACTATTGACTTTGTGTTATCTTTAACTTACAAAATCAATATCATAACATGAAAGTATTATCCTCTTCCCAACTCCAAATCTCTGGATCCTCCTCATCTTTACTATTTTTAAAAATTTATTTTTCAAGACAAGGCCTCATTCTTTCACGCAGGTTATGGTGAAATCATAGCTCACTGCAGCCTCAAGCTCCACATTCCAAGTGATCCTCCTGTCTCAGCCTCCCAAAATGCTAAGATTACAGGTGTGAGCTACTATGCCCAGCCCTCATGTTTACTCTTATAATGTGCCTTCTCCTTAGTTACAGAGGGCAGTCTGTCATGATGGTTGAGGATATCGCCTGTACAGTAAGACATCTTGGCTTTCTGTCCTGGCTCCTCTATGTAATAGCTGAGATCTGTGAGAATAGGGGAGTGGCTTAACTACTCTGTATCCCTGTTTTTCCCCTGTAAAATGAAAACAGTGATAGAATCTACCTCTCAAATTACTTCTGGAAGTTAAGTGAGTTAATATTGTTCAGATCCTAAGAACAATTCCCATCACATGGTAAGTGATTACTAAATATTAGACATATTACTAATTCATTATTAAAATGAGGGAATTGTCCTTGCTGCTACAGAGAGCCAACTCTTCCTCTTGTGCTCCAGATTTAATTCCAAGTTTTGCATTCAACAGATCATGCTGAAATCCAAAATGCAAACAAGTTATAACAAGAACTGTATAGAAAATGTCGTATATATAGATTAACACAAATAGTAAGGTAAATGGAATAAATCACTATAATTTCTATTATGCTGTTAGGTTTCTAAATAAATTTCTTCCTACCTAAATACCTCATATGCTTTTATGTTATTTTAGAGTTGGTTAAAAATATAAGTATGTCATTTCTTGCCATAAGTTGTTGTCTTCCTCTTGCTAGTATCTGATATTAAATGTGTTTTAAAAAGAGAAAGATTCAAACAAGCATGGATTCAGATTTTTTTAGAACCTAAAATGTTTACATTTTTAGAAAATACACAATTTTAGTATAAAATGAGTTACAAGACCTATGCAAGTGAGAGGCCTTGAAGCTTAAGCTTCATTAGCATCTCCTTTAATAATCTCAACAATCCTAAAATGAGCTTGTTATTATCCCCCACATACTAATGAAGAAACATGGAATAACATGCTAATGGCTACATAGGCAGTTGAGCAATCTAGCTGGGATTTGTCCCAAATTTTCTGGATTTAAGGCCCGTGTCCTTTACCTTTATATTCCAGCTGCCTCTATCCTTATAGGCAGAAAGGAAGTCAGGATTCCAAAGATTACCTTATTTGTTCAGTTGCTTCTTTCTCAATATTTATACACATCATGAATATGATTTTTTCCCAGTTTCTTTTCAGGTTCTGCTGCTGCCACTAAAGGGCACATGGGGAAGCTTCTCATTCTCTTGAACCTGTTGAGAATTGAAATATCCCACCCCCATAAGAAGGTGATGACTATCTGACAAACACAGTTATCAAAGTTATAACAGCAGGTGACCTCATATTTCTAGATCCCCCCTCTATCTCATCTTCCCACCCATGTAGGCAAAGGTAAACAGTAAGTCTAAGAATTTAGTCTTAGAAGCCAGCATTGGGCATGTTAACATGCTAACCCATGTCAAAAATTTTCTGTCAACACAGAGAAGACTTTTGCTGTAGGACAGGAAGCAAAGAGCAATTACATTCAGACTTCTGAATGGTAGTGGTGGTGAAAAGTTTATGAGGCTGGAAATAACAAAATTGTAACACATAAATGCAGGGTAACAGAAGACCAAGAACAGGTCCTCTGGTGAATGGACATCAAGGTAGAATCATAGTAATATTGCCAGATTTTTGGAGGATGGGGTATAAATTCTTCACAGCAACTATAAGCATAGTTGGGATGTACTTCATGAGGTCTTGTGGCTGAGTACCTCCAAAGTGTGGGTACACTGTGCTGATCTGGGAAATGTCCCTTTCTCCAGACTTGATGAACTCCCTGTTTGCTGCAAACCAAGTGTGACTGTAATGAAAAAGTCAAAATGCATTCGTTATAATCTGTGGCGTCATGGTGAATACAGTTTAGTAGGATAGCGCTTATGCTCCAGCAGCTCACTGTCTGGTAGGAGAAATTTGAAAGAGCAGTATGGTTAATTTCAGAGATAATTTTGTGCCAGAATCCTCAAGTCACTAATGATTTGCATTACTCTTTGTTATTCTCTTATGTTAATGTAAATCCCTTGAGAGAAAAATAATGTCTATTCCTTAATATGTACCAAAATAGAATCTTAGGAAGTGAGTCTTACGGGATTCAGAATGATTTAATCCTCTCTAATCTGCATTTGGCTATGGGCTATAAGTTACTTAACTACTTAACTCCTTTGTTTTCTCACCTATAAATTTAAACTAAAGATGTGAAGTTTAAAGGAAGTATCCCATATGACAAGCCTCGTGTATGACTTTGCTGCATAGTATATTTCTCGAAAAGATTTTGCTCTTCCTCTTATCTCATAGGTACCATCATATTATCATTCACATTGTTTGCATCCTCTTCCATTTTCTTCACACTTTCCAGAAATGTTTGCCTAACACAAAATGTTTTCATCATAAACATCATGAGAAAGGTCCTTGCAGTGTACTTCTTTACACATTTCTGATTTTTAAAAGTATTCCAAATATTTGAGTGGCTACATTAGACCCTTATGCCACACCAGAGGGTACACATTTTAAAAGTACATTATTGTGTACTTATTATATGCTAGATAGTGTGCTAAAAATTGAGGAAGTAATTATAGTTAGAATCCCCGATTTCAAAAATGCATAATCAAGGAAGGGGATGCTACATATCATAAGTGAAAACAGGACCAAAATGAAGGATAGGCTGAAGTAGCAAAGAGGAAGAAGTCAGTGTTATGCTGAGCCATATTAAAGTCTGAGACAAAAAGAAAAATCAATAATATTGATCCTGCCTTTATTTAAAATTTTGATTTTTTATCATTGATTTTTTGCATTGATTTTTATTTTTAAAATATCGTATTAAAATATTATCTGTCTTGATTGCTGAGTTTTTTGCTCTCCTTAAGTTTCATACATCTAATTGAGAGTGTTATGGACTGAATTCCTTTTCCCTCAAATTAGGACACTGAAGTCCTAACCCCCAATGTGACTGTTTTTTGAGACAGGCCCTTTAAGAAGATAATCAAAGTTAAACAAGGTCATAAGGGTAGGGTCTTTAGAATAAGAGAGAGACTCCAGGCATGCACGCAGAAAGAGGAAAAGCCATGTGAGGACACAGCAAGATGGCAGCCATCTGCAAGCTAAGGAGAGAGGCCTCTGGAGAAACCAAACCTGCCAACAACTTGATCGTGGATTTCCAGCCTCCAGAACTGTGAAAAATACATTTCTGATCTTTAAGGCACCCTGTCTGTGTTATTATGTTATGACAGCCTCAGCTGAAAAGCTAATGGAAAGAAGAAAGATAAGAAGAGATTTCATGAAAAATAAATCACTTGAGTTTAGTGTTAAGGGTCAAAGGGTATGCAGAGTCAGAGAATAAAAGATAAGTCTGGGAATTTTGAGCATGGAGTAGAAATTGTGAAAGTGATCTTTTAGACAGAGGTAATGTCTTTGAGAGAAACATTAAATGCCAAATTTTAGCATATGGAACCAGGCAGACATCAGAGCTGAATTGGCCTCTGACCAGAGACCTACACTGATGCCTCTTTCTGTAAAGTCTGTGAGTTAAGATTTCTATTTTTTATATTTTTTAATTGTTAGAAACAATTCAAAAGGATGATATTTCTTGATACATAAAATTTGTATGAAATTCAAATACAATTTTATTAGGACACATAATACTCATAAATACAATTTTATTAGGACACATAATACACATAAATACAATTTTATTAGGACACAGCCACACTAATACCTACAAGTATGTCTATGGCTGCATTTATGTCACAAAAGCGTAGTTGAGTCATTGTGACAGAGATCACATGGCCCACAAAAGTAAACTATTTGCTGACACTTTATAGTTAAAGAGTACCAGTCCCTGGACCAGACCATGCTCTTTCCACACTTACTTCTAATATAAAACATATTTGTGAAAAGGAGAAGAAAGAAAAGAAAAATGAAAAGAAAAGAAAAAGAAAGAAAAAGAAGGAAGGAAGGGAGGGAGGAAGGAAGGAAGGGAGGGAGGGAGGGAGGGAGGAAGGAGGGAAGGAAGGAAGGAAGGAAGGAAGGAAGGAAGGAAGGAAGGGAGGAAGGAAGGGAGGGAGGGAGGGAGGGAGGGAGGGAAAGAGCAAGCATGAGAAAGGGTTTCGGTTTAGGTTGTGGGAAAAAAGGAAGTGAAGGAGGGGAGATGGAATGGAGAAAGGAAAGAAGAAAATAAGGTGTGTATCTTTTTATTTCCCTAACACTCAATAAAAATAAGAACAGTAGCCCTTAATTTAGCACTGGCAAAAGCAAATGTCTTGCCAGGCTATCCTGAGCCCTTGTGATATCACAGCACCACTGTGAAAGCTACTGAGGTTAGCCACCAGCTCTGATAGGGCTCTTTTCTAAGCCAAAAGTAGCCACATGCTCAGTGTATTATAATGCAGAGCTCATTACACCGAGCACATTTAGTAAACTGTCTTGGACAAAGCGCCTCATTTGCTCACTGTAATGGAGGAAATGGCATACCAGTGTTCACTAAAGCTTTGTGTCTCAGTTGACCCCCCACAGCTGAAAGCACCTATAAGCAAATCTGTGGGAGAATCATTAAGACTGAATGAGTTGTCAGTGTGGAGAGAAGTTTGAGGTAAATGAAAGCATTGCTACATCTACATTTGAAGTAATGGTAAGTGTTGTATCTAAGTAGATCCATTTTGCCTAACGAATAAATATGGCTCAAATATTAATGATGTGATTCTTTTAGATTAATAATTTGCATAACTCAAGCATCCTTAATTAGGTGGTAAATTCATGGCATTGTAGACCTTCAAGTCAATTGCTTCTGCTCTTCACACCATCCCCCCAATATTGTATTGATCAAAATGGCTTATTCTCAGCAATATCTTTCCAATCTCAAATAGAAACCACAGCATAATCATGCTATTCTCTGCCAGTTTTATTCCAATGAAGCATACTGTCATACTCATTTTCTGACATGTGATTATAAAAGAATCTCTAGTCCCTGTAATAAAAAAGTAAGGTTTAGAATGATGATGAAATAGGAAAACTCTTGATTAACTCTCATTTTTGCCATTGTTATTGACAGAATGTTTGTGTCCTCTCAAAATTTATGTGTTGAAATCCTAACCCCCAATGTGATGGTATTAGGAAGTGGGGCATTTGGGAAATGATTAGGTCATGAGTGTAGAGCCTTCCTGAATGGGATTAGTGCCCTTAATAAAAAAATCCTACAAAGTTCTCTTTCCCTTTTCCATCATGTGTGGATGAAGCAAGACAATGTCATTTATGAGGAATGGGCCCTAACACGACACCAAATCTGCCAGTGCTTTGACCTTGGACTTCCCAACCTCCAGAACTCTGATAAATAAATGTGCATTGCTCAAACCTCCCAGTTGATAATATTTTTATTACAGCAACACAAATGGACTAGTATATCTGTATACCAGCTTTGGGATTTCTGACAAGTTACCTAATATTCTAGGGCCTGCTTCCTCATAAATAAAATAAGTTGAAAATAGCAACTTGAAGTTGCTCTGAGGATCACATGAAATAATGTAAGTAATCCTCTTAGCTCAGTTTCTGGTACGTCACTAGCATGCATATGTTGGTTCCCTTTTACACAGTTTTGAAAAATTTAGGCACTGAAATAAAAATTGATAATCTCCAGATCTGATTTTATATTCTAGAAATGTAGTGCAGCTTCTCTGATTTTTAGAAAACATTTTTCTGTGACTATCATAGAAATTTAAACATTTTAAAAGTATAAAATGGAAAAAGAAGAAAAGCATTAGTAAGATTTTACTTATTTGCACAGATATTATTTGTGAAAAAGAATAAGGGAAAGGAATTGTGAAGTGTTTACAATTTATTGATTTGGTCCCAATTTCTGGATGGTAGAATGTTCTAAGGCATCTTACTGGTTATAAAGAAGAAAACAGAATGTTAGAATAACTGGGCACATTCACATTTTAAAAGCTGTGAGCCCCTCCAAACAGAACCACTATTTTTAGCCTGAGGAAGGAAAAATGGAACAACTTGTGGCTTGGGCATTCTACCACTGGGGAAAGAGTTTGGTTTATGTTTTATATGCTTGTTTGTTTGTTTGTTTGTTTCTAGCACCCCATGTCAAACCTGTCTAATTTATGTCTTCAAAATGTCAAGGATCTCCCACCACCTGTAATTTCCACATTCAGATTATTTCTATGCAGCCCTGTCAATGTTAAGCTATTTTAGAGGGAAGTGGGAGAGCTAGGACTGGTCTCCACATGGGAGCACGTATTTCCAAACACAGGGGTGAGCCAGGTGTCTTATTCCATTTGTGCTGCTGCAAGAGAATACCACAGACTGAGTAACTTATAAAGTACAGAGATTTATTTCTCACAGTTCTGGAGGCAGAGAAGTCCAAGATCAAGGCATTGGCATTTGGTGTCTGCTGAGGGCCTTCTGGCTGTGTCCTCACATGGCAGAAGACAAAAGGGCAAAAAGGACCTAGGATAGTCCCCTTGAGCCCTTTTATGAGGAACTAATCCATTCATGAGGGTGGATCCCTCATGACTTAATCATTCCCCAAAAGGCCCTACCTCTTACTACGATTACAACGGAGATTAAGTTTCAACACATAAATTTAGGGGGCCACTCATACCGTAGCATTCTGCCCTGGCCCCAACATTTATGTCTTTCCCACATGGAAAATATATTTTTATTTCATATCAACAACTCAAAGTTCTTAACTAATTCTAGCATTCACTCAAAAGTCGTCTCTCCAGACTCTCATTTAAATTAGATATGGATGAGACTAAAGGTACAATTTATCCTGAGGCAAATCGTTCTCCAGCTCTGAAACTGTGATATCATAGAAGTTATGTACTACATATACAGTGATGGGACAAACATAGTTTAGACATTCCCATTCCAAAAGGGAGCAATAAGAAAGAAGAAAGGAGTAAGTCCCAAATAAGTTAAAAATCCAATAAGGCAAAAAACATTAAATTTTAAGGCTTGAGAATAATATTCTTTGGCTGCATATCCCACCTTTTGGACACACTGGGTTGAGGGTTGGGCCTCTAAGGCCCTGAAGGGGCCCACCCTCACAGCTCTGTGGGGTGCATTCACACAGCAGCTCTTATTGATTGGAGTCAGGTGTCTGAAGATCTATGCGGCTGGGATCACATTCTTGTCTCTGCAGTTCTAAGATCTTGGGGGCAGCCCCACTCTCCCAACTCCACTAGACATTTCCCTAGTGGGGATACTCTCAGCCATCCTTTGCAATCTAGGTGGAGGTAGCTGTGCATCCAATGCTTGTTCACTCTGTGTGCCAGCAGATTTAGTATCAGGTGGACACCACCAAGCTTTACAACTCGTGCCCTCTGCAGTGGTGGCCCAAGCTGCACCTGAGCCCACCTGAGTCACATCTGGAGCAGCCAAAGAGTGCTACGCCAGAATGCAGCCAGCTGAGACTTGAGGCAGCCTGGGCAGTGATCCCTGCAGTCCCACAGGCACCCTGGAACTCTGTAGTGACCTGGGTCTCTCCCTTGAAACCATTCTGCACTCAGTGTTCTGACTCTGGGCCTGTGATGGCAAGGTAGCCTGGAAGATCTCCAAAATGCCCTCAGGGTCATTCTCCCATAGTCTTGATGAATAGCATCTGGCTTCCTTCAATCCGTACTAATCTTCTTATCAACGGGACCGTTGGCTACCTCCTTAGTTTTCTCTCCTAAATATGCTTTTTTATTCTTTACATAGTCAAGCTGAGAATTTCCCAGATCTTTCATGTTCTGCTTCTTCTTTGATTATTAATTCAGTCTTTCACTCATTTCTTTCTTCTTATATTTTACTAAAAGTAGTTTAAAATAAGCCATCTAGTATCCTAAACAAATGATTAGAGATTTCTTCAGCTAAATATCCTAGTTCATTGCTCTTAAATTCTGCCTTCCACAAAGTACTATGACACAAACATAATTCAGCCATGATCTTTGCCACTTTGAAACAAGGATGGCCTTTCCTTCAGTTTCCAGTAACACCTTCCTCATTTCCACCTAAGACCTCATTCAAATGGCCTTTACTGTCCATACATCTACAAACATTCTGTTCACAACCACTTAGATAATCTCTAAGACTGAGGCTTTCTCTATACCTATCCTTTTCTTCTAAGCCTCACCAGAGTCACCCTTAATGCTCCATGGCATTCTAAATGTTTTCAAACATGACCTTCAAAATTGCTTCAGCCTCTACCCATTACCCAGTTCAAAGCTGCTTCCACATTTTTAGGTATTTGTTATGGCAACACCCCACTTCTCAGCACCAATTTCTTAGTCCATTTGTGCTTCTATAACAGAATACACAGACTGGGTAATTTATAAAGGACAGAAATGTATTTCTCACAGTTCCGAAGGATGGGAAGTACAAGATGAAGGCACAAACATTTGCTGTCTGCTGAGAGCCTTCTTGCTGCGTCCTCTATATGACAAAGCAGAAGGTAAAAAGGATCTTTGCTAGTTCCCTCAAGCCCTTTTATGAGGCACGAATACATTCATAAGGGCAGAGCCCTCATGACTTAATCACTTCCCGAAAGGCCCCCTCCCCATAATACCACCACAACCGGGATTCGGTTTTAACACATGAATTTTGGGAGACATTGAGACCATCATATCAGCAGACCATCAAAAACACATTTCTTTATAGTTGGAAGGAAACTTTGACATCGTTATGTCCAGCACTAGATGCTATGAAAAAAGTAAAGCCCGTCTCCCAAGACCAATCTAGAAAGGTTCGAAAATTCTAGATTTGGTGCACAATTTTAAGCAACATATGAAACTCCCAATGTCCATCCATGAAACTCCAGTGCGGTCCATGGAACTTAGATAATGAATTTTTTTTCTATGAATAATGTTTAATAAGAATGGGAGGAGAAATAAAAATTTCTTTGACCAACAAATTTCTCAAAATATTTTGTCAGGGGAAAAAATATACTGTAAAATTTACTGTGTTCTCAGCAACTATTTTTGCTTGGCTAATATTTTCAGAGATCCAGGCAGATGAATAATTTACTTCCAGAAAAAATCTATCATTTCCACATACAATGCATTTGTTAGTGTATCCAGGGCTTTGGGCTATCTTTTTGGCATACTGCATTTACTCTAGCTGAGAAGTAATTCAAATATAGCATATTTTGAATACTAGGTACTTCACTAATCCCTTCATGCTGAAACGATGATAAACAAAAAAAAAAGTTCTGTGGCAAGGATGTGAATTAATATCACCCATACATAGTGTAATCAATAAACTTATTTTAATAGCTGCCTAAGAATAATTGTTACAAGCGTATTTTGCTTTAAAAATTTTCTTAAATTTTTAAATGAGGCAATTTAAAATAATTAAATACACTTTTCTTACATAAAGTTTTCTGTGGGTATTAAAATTTCATGGTTATGAAATAATATGAAAAACAGTACAAAAATGGAGTATGCCAAATTGTGTGTACAGAATGATTACCAAGACAAAAATGAAACACCATGAGATTAAAAAAGAAAAAAACTAGAAAAAGTACCCCAAAATTATATGTGTTATGGAAAATATAACTGGGAGCTATTTTTGTAATATTCTCCACTTACCAATTTTTCTGTCACAAGATTTTACCGCTTTTATAATAAAACAAAGACGTTTTAAGGAATAACCATTTTGGGCAGTGATACTGAATTTTTCTCTAGACATTAAATCAAATAGCAGCTACAAAAGTTACTCTGTGCCAGGGCCCAAACTAAATATGCTGAAATGTTTTACCTGCTGAATTTTCAAAACATTCATATCCCTCTTATGCAAAAGAGGAAATTTATGCTTGAGGTAAGCAAGAAATTCAGTAAGAGGGAGAACTGGCAAAAATGCATGTTCCTTTTCTCCATATTTTTCGTTTTTGGAAACTAACCCTATACTACTTTGCAGTCAAGATGAATGTTTTTTCCTAATCATGGGCTGTATTATCCATACAGCAACAAGGATCTCAGACAGTGTGGGGAAATGTTGAGGGAAAAGGTGGAGAGCAGCAATTGAGACTCCTGAATACTTTACCCTTCATACTGTTCTGTCTAATATGATTGATTAACTGCTGATGCATGCGTAAAACTTGCCATAAAAGCCACCATTCCAAAATATTATACAAATGTTAACATTATAATAATCATACAATTCTTATCTCCATGGATTCTTTTTGTATTTTTTTTTCTTTTCCTGTCTGCTGCCTGAGGTGGAAAGAGGAATAAGAAGAAACAAAGTCAATAGTATTGAGTAACTTTCATGTACCAGGCCGTTTAAGGGTTTCAATGTTTACATATATTTGTGGAGAAACAAAAAAGTTTGATAATATATGATAACTTTTACAAGGAATTTTTAAAATTTCTTTCTGAAGAATGGTCTACATTAGGTTTATAGCCACATTTACATAATATAATATAAGATGCATAATTGTATGCATAAATCAACATATTTACAGCATAATTGTGAGGAAGTGGCACACCCAGGTGGCATTCTGACTCAGTTAAAGGACAAAGCATATTTGTAATGGACAGTGAAGGCAAGCATATGTAACCTTAGAAAGGGAAAAAATATCAAAAGAAAAAATGTCATCATCTGGTTCATCCTTTATTTGTCCCTAGGGTTTTCTTTTTCCCTTGGTATTTTACATAGGAGAGTATTTTGAGACCAGGCTTGGGGGATTTAAAAGCACTTTTGCTCAGAATGGAGCAGATATCATCATGTGGAGCACTATTCCCTCTTGCCTTACTCTTCGTAGAAATAAAAAATAATAAAGGAAGCTTAAAATATCTGACATTCATCAGCAAGGCTACCTGGATCTATCTTGTGCTTTCTGAGAGAAAAAAAAAAGAAAAGGTATGCAAGAAAAGCATTAGTATTTTACCATAGGAGAGCTATTTACTTGAAAATTATAGCCTGTTTTTGTGGATTTCATGGAAAATCAACACACAAACTTAGCCTAAGCCTCATTGTTCTTTCATGACGGTGATACATTGAAGCACCATTGTCTGGCTGAAACATATACAACCACCATTTGCATTTATATTTGAGAAATGGTTTGTCTCCTACTACAGTTTCCCCTTTTTAATAATTGCACATGTGATTTTTTTTCAATTACTGTTCTGTTTGTCATTTTGGAAGTCCTCATTCTTTGTCCTTAGGTACCAGTTGGTGGTGTTTTCTGGCTGGCCTTGCTTACTTCTCCATCTGTCATCAGCATTAATCATTTTATCATGAATTTTAGGGTAGCTCTGTCTGCAATATTTTAACTTCTACTCCCCCTCCTGGCCCCTCATCTACTTTGCAGCTGCAAAGCAGAACTGTATGGAGTATGTGGGCCAACATCATATCTACGGATTGGCATCGTGGACAAAAACATAGAAAGGACAAAGTTAATTCAGCATTACCCTAGAATCTAAAATATTTTAAAAATGACTTCTGTCTTCTCTGTCAAGTTTCTTTTAATTATGTTATTCAGAATTATTTTGAGGGCCAGTGTGAAAGGGGTACAGTAGGCATTTTTGCACTTATTTCTAGACTGTTTTGCACACACAGCAAGAAAAATGTGATATTAACCTGCTTTCCTATAAAATAATTGGTGACCCACTCAGAGAAGAAATTTTGCATAAGTTTACCACAAGTCTAACTATATGTTTTCATTAAACTCTTAGTTCATAGTTGCAGGACACTATAGTTCAAATCATTGAAAGAAGATATCAGCCAAAAGTCATTTCCATTTAGTTTAAACAATTGTTTCATGATATTGTTGGTTTGTTTGTTTAAATAAAAAAAGGCTCTTCAACATTTGGCCAGAGAGGGTGGTCAACTGAACTCCACCTTATAGACCCACCAAGCACATCATATCCCCAAAACTTTCCCATGGAACACATGTTCCTCAAGATATTCTGCCAAAAGGACAACAACAACAACGACGACAACAACAACAAAAGTACTTCTTTATTAGTTATGCTGAACGTTATACATTTCTCTTGAAGATAAAAAGAACTTTGTTATATTAAATACATATATCATATTTTTGACCTAACACCTAGAGTGCCCTATAAAAGTAATGTTTAATGAAATATCTCTTGGTTAGGGCCAAAATCAAAATTCTTTTCTTTGGTATCAGAGAAACAAATCTTAGTGACAGTTATCAAACAAGTGTCTCCAGGGACTCATGTTTCCATTTTTATATCACCACACTGCATCTACCTTGCAGTTTTACTTAAGTAAATAATCATGAATGGATAAATGCATAAGCAACTGATTAGAACCTGAAAATACATATTTTATCTGAAAAAAGTCTTGAGTTATTGGCTCATCACATTGGAATTTTTGCATCATTAAAAAATCCAATAAAGTACACTGTAATAAAGAATTTAACAGAATATCATTGTTTATTCAAACTATTTATCACTTATTTTATTGGTAAGCCATACTAAATTCTAAAGCATGTTTCTGAAAGTTTATGCATCATCCCCCAAATACTTGTATCCTAACTGAGTACTTGGATCTGCCTTATATTTAGAGTTCACAGAGTTGCAAAACCTCTGAGTAGGGCAGGGGATGTTATGGCTAAGATAGGCGAATGTTTCATTGTACAGATGCAGTAAGTAAGCCTCAGATGGCACAAAGGATTTGTATGAGGTCACAAGGATAAATTTTCATAGAGGCGTTTCATACTTTTTTCAGTATATTCAGCAGTATCAAGAACATTTAATAAGAAATTTGATATATTAATTCATTATATTTATATCAACACCTCTCTTAAAAGCTAATTTTTAGATAGAACAGATTCAAAAACCTATTATCTTAAGACTTAATGGAAAGGAAATTTTTCTTACTCATTAATTGGCTAGACTCCTGTGCAATTTGCCAAGAAACGATACTCAGAAGGTCTAGTTTGCAAAAGAGAATCATTTAAAGTAATGAGTGGGTGTCAGTGAGAACTTGTGGGTGTAAAGGTGAAAGTGAGCCACCAGCCAATGACAGACTCCTCAGTACTGTGTGACCTAACTTCATCAGACAAATGTCACTATGCATTGCTTAAAAAGGACACATCTGACCCTCAAATTTTACCTTTAAAGGATTAGAAAATAGTAAGGTAAGAAAGTGGTTTCAATATGAATATCACAAAGTGTAAGCTTTAAATAAATATATTATGCAAAAGAAAGAGCAGCTGTTTACTTCAATAAAAAAGTAGACTGCATAGTTATATGACAATTAGGAAAAATATATAGGAAAAAATAAAAATATGGGACAAATTTATAATAATGATAGTTTTAAACTTGTAAATCTCAATCTTTCAAAAATGTTTAAAACAAAATAAATCTACTAAACTTTATAATAAGGTAGCCAATAATAATCATTTAGTGGTTGAATAGTGCTTTCTACATGTACCATAAAAATAATTTGAAATTTTATTAAAACATGAACCTACATCAACTATGTATGGAGTCTCAAAAAATTACAAGATCTGGGAAATGTGAAGGACATTTTCTTTGACTCAAAGCAATAAAATAGTAATAAAAACAGAAAAAAGTTAACAAGAGTTACAGAAGAAAAAGGGAGAAAACTAGAAAAATTTGTTCTCAGAATGTTAAAGAGAAAAGATTCATGTATTTATGAAGCCAAGTTGTTATAAATAAGCTGTGTCAGAAATATGTACGAAGTAAAGAAAACCTGAGAGCTGAATTTAAAATGAGAATGGGGATGTAGAATAGTAACTTGATACCGCAGAAAATTGTATCACTGCAATAGGAGACAAATGGGAGCAGTGTCCTAGAATTTGACAGAGAAAGCTAAAGAACAAGAATTAGAGAAGAGGTGTTATGGAACACAGATGACAGATCCAGATACCCAGTGTAGATTAGCTGAAATAACTAGCATCCATTCCCAATTAAAACTCTTCTGCGATGAGAATAGAGTCTCCCTTACAATAATATTCAATTCAAATTGACATCCAGTTCAGTTCAAGCTAACTGGCAAAAAGCTTAAAGCATTACCAATAAGTGCAGAAAAAAAATTGAAATGTCTGATTTCAGAACTATATTTGAGAAGTATTTAGGATATTTGGGAATTAAAAGGGAAAGTCAATATATGCTCAAAAGGAAAATATTAATTTTATGCATGAGAATTTGAGTCATTTAAATTACTGTAGTCCCATGAGTGGGAAGCTAAATGTATCAGACCTAAATGCCTCCAGCCCAGTTAAATAAACTGGGCCTCAGTTTATTTATATGTTAAAAAATGGGAATTAGCCAGGTGATCTTAAGTTCCCTTCTAGCTATCCTTGTCAATAAGTCTCAGACAAAATAGACACAGATATCAAAATCTACCCTAAGTGAAACAAGAAAGTTCTTTCTTTCTTTCTTCTAAATAATAGGTAATATTTATTGAATTCTTCTTACATGTCAGATATTATTGTCATAATTTAATCCTCACAACAATCTTTTGAATTGGGTATCAGATTCACCCCATTTTGGAGATCTGGAAACTGAGGCTCAAGGAAGTTAAATAACTTGGCAGAGGTCACAAATCTTGGGGATGTCAGCGACATGTCTTGCAGATTTTGCAACATGATCAAAAGAACCCGCCTCTGTGCCATTAAGTGGCACTGAGTCTCTATAGTGTTATTTTTTTCAGGATTTTAAAACAGCGTCTTGCCTCTCTCTGTATTTCCATGATCCCTAGATGCTCTCTTTGCATTGGACTCTTTTTCCTAATAATCATGGTTTTCTGTAGTTTTCTTCTAGGACTATCAAGGACTATGTGGATCTGACAGGCACTTCTGCTCAGGTAAATGGTGTGGAGGTGTGCACACATTTCCAGTAATTCTTTCACGACTTGGCCTTTTCCCGGATAGCTAGTGTTTGGTTCAGGAAAAGAAAAAAAAAATAGAACTCAGAATTTTCCAGTTGTGTTCTGCAGACCACCGAGTAATACAAACAATCACAATGATATTTTGTGGAAATAATAGAGCTCTATGTTCAAAAAACATATAAACATTCTAACATATAATATTTATCAGATTTCTTTAATAAGGAATTTCTTAAAACTTTTATTATGCCAATGTGTACTATACAGAAATTCTCAGGTTTTTCTAATGATAGAAACTTTATTTTGTTCATGGAGAGTATAATAAACAAATATAACACATTGGGAAGTGCTAAATTATTCAATTATTTGTTTATTCAAATAATAGCTTCATGAGTATCTTCATGAAAATTTATATGATGCTTAAATGAGAAGCTTTGACTATTTGAGCATAATATTATAGATATAAATTGTCAGAGAAATGGAGTTACTTTTCCTTCATTTCAGTTGTGACAGGAGATGAACTATTAAACAAGGAATCTACATCTTTATCTTTTAGAAGATAGGAGGAACTATTTTGGGCCATAGAGTTCAGTTCTATACATTTGTTTCATTCTTTCTGACACAAAGGGTTTAGAATAAACTAAGTTTAGCTTGTATGTGAACACGCAATATAAGCAACAGGAACTCCATTATGGTTAAATCACTGAAGCATGGGTATGAGTCTGACTCAGGTGTGTATGTCAGCTTCTTAATTCCATTTCAAAATTTGCCTTTTCATCAGAGCTAGAAAGCAAACTCTGTTTATCTAGAAAATCAGGCAAGGCCAGGGTCTCTCCATTTATATTGGATTGAAATGTTTCTTTCTCTTTTAGAGCACAGAGCTATTTATCATCATATTGGATGTCTAACAACACAGAACACATCATTCTGGGCTCAGTCATAATGCTTGAGTAATACCAGTGATCAAACTTCTGAAAGCAGTCTGCAATAGGTCACACCACCAACAAATCACAATGGAAAGTGGAATAAAGTAGACCAGTTGAAGGCTAGAAAAAAGTAATTGTACATTTCCCAAAATGAATTGTATTCAATTAAAGGGATATACACACATACACATATATATGTGTTATGCATATATTTGTATAGAAATAGATATATACATACACATACATATATACATACACATATTTATTAGTATGTTCTCACACTGCTATTAAGAAATATCCAAGACTGGGTAATTTATAAAGGAAAGAGGTTTAATTGACTCAGTTCCACATGGCTGGGGAGGCCTCAGGAAACTTACAATCATGGTGGAAGGGGAAGTAAAGAAATCCTTCACATGGTGGCAGAAGAGAGAGAAGTTTATAAGGAAAAGCCTCTTATAAAACCATCAGGTCTCATGAGAACTCATGCACTATCATGAGAACAGCGTGAGGGTAACCACCCCATGATTCAATTACCTCACACCAGGTCCCTCCCATGACACATGGGGATTATGGGTACTACAATTCAAGATGAGATTTGGGTGGGGACACAGCCAAACCATATCATTCCGCCCTGGCCCTCCCAAATCTCATGTCCTCACATTTCAAAACACAATCATGCCCTTCCAACCAACAGTCCCTTAAAGTCTTAACTCATTTCAGTATTAACTCAAAAGTCCAAAGTCTCATTTGAGACAAGGCAAGTCCCTGCCTTGTAAATAATTATTTACCTTTGGATTCTGCTCTTTTGAAAAAATGTCTTTTAGAAGGTAGGTTGACATTAAGAAAACTTTTACATGATTGGCTTTGGCATTTCTGTTGGGTTTCTGGGTCCGTTAAAGTTTGGGCATATGTGGACATGGCAATATGTCAGTGAGAAATTTAGGAAGATGTAGCCAAGGTGAAACATAGCACAACTTTACAGCCTATGAGCCTGTACAATCAAAAGCACTTTAGTTACTTCCTAGGTACAATGGAGTTACAGGCTTTAGGTAAATACACCCGTTCCAAATGGGAAAAAATGCCCAAAATACAGGGGCTACAGGCCCCATGCAATTCTGAAAACCAATAGGGCAGTCATTAAACCTTAAACTTCCAAAATGATCTCCTTTAACTCCATGTCTTACATCCAGGTCACACTGATGCAAGAGGTGGGCTCCCACAGCCTTGGGCAGCTCTGCTCCTGTGGCTTTGCAGGGTGCAGCCCCATTTCAGCTGCATTCACAGGCTGGCATTGAGAGTCTGTGGCTTTTCTGGGAACACAGTGCAGGGTTTTATATGTATATAACACATATACATATACATGTGGTATGCCTATATGTGTATATATGTTTAGAAAAAAATATACATACATATACATATATATACACACACATATATAATAAATGTGAAAGGAGATAACAGATTGCAACTTTTGGAGCAGTCTAATATTTTAAATTTCTAAATTCTTCAGTTAAATTCAGAGGCAATGAATCAAATTAAAAAAGCTTTTTCTTTCCTACTGACATTTTTTTTCCTCCTGGATACACTTGAACATTCTCCTCTCCCTTGAGTAGTTATATAGTTTCTTTTTTGATAAATAGTGCAAAATACAAGAACATAACTAATTCACAGTTTTAATACAGGTGATTTGGTGAAAAAATAAAAGACCAGAAGGACCAATGAGTTTTTATTTGTTGGTAATTTTAGCAAACTCTAGGACAATGTTCCAACATTTTGTACTTTATATTTTTTTATCCTTTATAGCCTATAAAAGTTATCATTGATTTTGAGCTCCTTATGTGTACTCTTTGTATCTGTTTCACTTCATTAGTTTCAATTATTTTATTTCTAGCTCTCCTCTAGAGACTCCTAGAACATCATCGTTTCCTGATTTCTTTGCTGGCTGCTTTTATAACCAAACTCCAAACATCAAAATTATCATCTTAGTCCTGGGTGTTCTGTCCTAATGTGTTAACTGCAAAAATGACCTCAATTCTTAGGAACTTCTGCCATCAGTAGCTGGAGTCTATTGGGTTTCAAGTCTGGGCCTCAAGAGGCATTGCAAACTTTCATCCTCTCTTTTGAGATTTCAGCACCATCACCAAATGAACAAGTCCCAGGTAGCCTGCTGGAGGATGTACAACCATGTGGAACGCCGATGAGCCATCACAGCTGAGTTGTTTTGGACCTGCTAGCTCTAAACCAATGTCGCAGCTGTCTGTAGAAGCACGAATGAGATATGGCCAAGCTCCATTGAGCCTGGCCCAGATAAGCAGAACTGTTTCACGGAGCCCAGGACAAATTGCCAAACCCCAGTATTGTGTATTCAATAATTTCTAGTTGTTCTAAGCCACTAAGTTTCAGGGTGACTTGTTAAGTGGTTATAACTACCTAATAAGTACATTTTGTATTTCCTTTTTATTATCATCTACCATAGCCTGTTATTATTTTCTTTGTTTGTTTATTTATTTATTAGCTGTTTCTCTGCAAATGTAGGACAATTGCATTGTCTTGTCCTCTGATGTATTCAAAACAGTTGGTGACTGGCACGTCAAAGACACTTATTGAAAAGTTACTGAATAAATGAACACATGATTGGATGAATAAATGTTTATAGGTAAAACTTCCAAAAGTATATTGATAAAAATGAATATTTCTATCAGTTATATTAATAACTTATTTGCTGTCTAGAATGACTCAGGAAATTTAATGTATATTATTAAAGCACAATTTCTATTTTTTGTTTTAGGTTGTTTTTCTGCCATTGCTATCTACTTTGATTATTTTGCTATGTTTTTGATTTGTACATCTCCATTACATTGAAACAGTTTTGAAAACGTCTTCTTCTCTTAAAAAGTTTTTAGCCACAGTGATGTATCCACTTTTTTTGTTTTTAAGACAGAATCTTGCTCTGTTGCCCAGGCTAGAGCACAGTGGTGACATCTCGGTTCACTGCAAACTCCACCTCCTCGGTTCAAGCAATCCTCTTGCCTCAGCCTCCTGAGTAGCTGAGATCACACCCAGCTAATTTTTTTTTTTTTGTATTTTTAATAGAGATTGGGTATCACCACGTTGGCCAGGCTCATTTTGAACTCCCGACCTCAAGTGATCCGCCCGCCTCCCCCACTCAAAGTGCTGGGATTACAGGCATGAGCCACGAGCCTAGCGATATCTCCACTTTCATATGTTTATTTATTGATTGGTGTCATAATATTTATTAACATAGCAAATTCTCAATATAGAAGATCTATGAATTCACAAATATTTCCACTTTGTAAGCTAGCTTATACAAAATCAAATAAGTGCTTTTTTGAAGAACAAAGTTTTAGGGCTTGGAGGAAAGAGAAAGTGATCATTAAAAATTCTTCATAGATCCATCAAGGATCTTTTAACCTACTTAAATCCAAATATAGAAGATCATATTCTGATATGACATTATTTTCACATTTTTATAACAACTTCTCACTCACAAATCCAAGGTGACAATGGCATTAAAAATATCTACAGGACAAGATTGGTATGAAAAGCAATAACATGATAATAGTGTTACATTAGAGCAGTTATTTTTATTTTCTGTATTTTTCACATGTCCTATTTGGCTATATAATTTTTATAACAAAAAATAGTAAATTAAGAAAGAATTCAACCTTACAAAGTATAGTTGACCATATAAAGTAATTCTTAAAACAAATGTACAGAAAGGAGACATTCAACTAAGAGAAACAAGATGCTGGATGCAAATGCTTGTGATGATCCCTGAAGGAGATGTAAGGATGAACACCATCCTTACCATTTCCCAGCAGTGCTGCCCTTGCAGATAGGAACCCCTTTCCTATGCAACCACAGACACCCACCAAAGCATGTATAACATTTATTAGCCTTGGGTGCCTAGGGAATTTCAGAGTACTTCTGAAATCTGTACTTGATTCAATTTTACACTGAGGAAAGTAAGAGACACACAAATATCAAATGACTAATGAATGGCGGCCTCGCTGGCAACAGCAGCCATTGTAGGTAGCCAAATTGCCTTACTGGCATTCTATAACCCACGGGCTTAGGGAAAGATTAACATTTCTTTTTTGAATTCATTTCAAATACTCAACTATGTTTATTTTAATAACTACAATTATATGCACAAGACTGAACAGATCCTGTTCACACTGAAAGCCCACAGAGGGGACTCTGCATCTTTTCAGGAGTTTTTTAGGCAATAAAACCAAAATCTATATTTAAAATAGGTGTGTGTCTCATAAGATAAATTTTTCCACTCATTTATTGACTGTCCTATTGAACATTACAAATTAGTAATTTATACCTAGAGAGAGGAAATATCAATGCCCACTGTATAGTTATATAAAAACAGAAATTCATCACAATAGTCCAATCCTCAAGAAAACACATAATTTGTGCCCAAAGACTACATATACTAAGATGACTTCCTTCCTTGATCTCTAAATAACATGCCTCTCCACATGGGCAGGAGCTAGAGGTTGGTCATGTGCCTAATCCCATGGAATCCACCTTGGGGGAGTCACAGCTGCCAGTTGGTGAAGAATCCGATCTCTCTGCAGACAATTTAGAATTGGTGAAGAATTTAATCTCCCTGCAGACAGGATTTACACTGAGCAGACAACTCAGAGTCAACTCTGTGGAGCACAGCTCGTTTAACTGGATAGGTGAGTGCACCAAGTAAGCCAGGGCCTTAGAGAACACTAGATTTTCATTAAGAGGCTGCTCTTCTGATGTTTTCAACTCCACACTCATTGTCTAAAACTTGAGCGTACTCGATATCCAGTTTCTACAGCATTTCGGTGTTATCGTTGGTAAATGCTATCAAAAGTGAGAGGATATTCTTCTTTCCCCTCTCAGAAAGCCCTCTGATAGATTTCATCTGTTTGAAGACCCATCCAGGGCACTGAACCAACCTTGGATCCTCACACCAGCTGGTAAGGGTTGCAGTAACCCAACCTTTCTATGACTTTTTGGATAGTGGCACTTAACTCCTGAGAATAGGGGTCTCCTCTGTTGATCACGGATATTGGCAGTGAGTGAGCAGAAAAGAGAATGGCCGACTCGCTTCTCTTCTCCAGTGGAAAATGGTCCAGCTCTTTCAGAATGTAGTCAACAAAGCAGTGGGTGAGGAGGCAATGGGTGGGCCACCTACTGATAGTGCTGCACTTCATTGTAAACTTCTGTCCCACTCTATTATAGGATCTTTAAATGGCATTTAAGCTGCCGCCTGTGGTACAGCAAGCATACTGTGGATCCTGCATGAAAGCAATAGCCCTTTCCAGGCCATCTCTCTCCATCTCTTCATTTGCTTCTTTTAGTAAAGAATGGACATGCCAAAATCCAATGAAGTATTATTTGTGAGGGGCTGTGTAGGGGGACAAGTCATCCAGCAGCTTCACCATAATACCTTCTCCCTGCTTGGAAATCCACATCTTGATGGAGGACCCACCTCCTGTTCTGTGGTACTGCCCTTGAATCTTGGAGGTTCTGCATTTGGCAAAGAATGGTGTAAACTTATTTTGAACAGTAAGTGTCATGAGGTCTTGGTCCAAAAAGAGCCTCAGAAGGAAGTCATGAACGTGTCAGAGGGTTTCAGGTCCTCCCATGTTTAGCATTAATATTCCAGTTTTCAGCTTCCTCTTCACTTGAACTTGAGGTTTTGCACCCTGGCCACACTGGGCTGTTTCTGTGACACCTGACTGGCACTTCTATGGATGACAGGCCCTCAAGCTGCCTTGTGCCAGCCGATACATTCCCGGGGCAACCTTCACCGAGTCCCAGACTCCTCCCATGGCAGCGCCCACAGGTGTCAGCCCAGCCAGGGCCCAGCCAGGATCTCTCCTCACCGATATCCCAGGACACCTGACTTCATGTGGTGCCCCCGTAGCCCTCCCAGTGCCTGTTTGTTTGAATTGCTTCATTCCACTAAATACATAACAATCTTAACGTGGTATTAAATATGAGTAAAAATCAAAATCAGAAAGAAATATATATATACACATATGAATGTCCACAGCTAGAGAAAATACATTCAATACAGATATTCAACATGGTCTTAGAGTCTTGTAAGTTGCTAGAGTTGGTCTGTACATTTGCCTCTGTCCTTCCTCAAGGCCTGAATGATAAGGTAAACATAATTCTTATTTTATCATAAAAGGAATGAAGATCAGTTTCCTCTTGCTTGCTGGGAATTTATTCTGGTTTTAGAGTTTCAGCTTCTAGTTGATGTGACTTAGAAGAAACCTATGACATTTAATGTAGAATGTTGAGGATATCTTTTACAATTCATTAGATGTCTTCTGTATGAGGCTCAATTCAGATATTCCATTTACATTAATTGGAATATTCTCATCACTAAACTTTCCTGGATTGGGCACCATGTTACCTCGTCCCATGCTTTCCTTCTACAGGAGAGTGGGTTGTATCTTCACTCGTAACAATCAGGTACCACTTCTTGTACATTTTTTTATCTTTAAATTATTGTTATAGTCCTATGTTCCCTGAAATTCTGTCTTCTGTTCCTTTTCTCTAAGTGTTTATCTGTTCATAATATGTTACCACTACTTTACTAGGATCAGGAGGTTCAAGAGATGAAAGACTGTATTCCATGTGCAGTGTCTAACCACACTCTGCCATTGCACCCTTGCCAGACATAAAGATGAGGAATAGTAACTTTCCTTGCAGACTCCAAGGACTCTTTTTCCTCATTGTTTTACACCTTGTACCAGGTGTTACAGCTGCTTATATAAAGTAGATACTCAACTGAATTGTGTAAAGAAACCTCCCTTACTTTGCTCTTTAGTGTCCTTGCTTTTTTTTAACCTGTTGTTTCCTCTCCCTGAAATGCCTCTACCTGGCAAATTTCTATTCACAACTCAAAGCCCAGCTGACATATCACCTCCTCTTAAGTCTTCCTTGACCACATCCAGAATGGAGTCAATCACTCCCTTATTTTTATGTCCTCAGTACCTTGCACATACATGCATCAGCAAACTTAGAACAGTTTACCACAATATATCCCTATGTGTGTTTATATATCTTTTTTTTTTTTTTTTTGTGAGACGAAGTCTCGCTCTGTCACCACGCTGGAGTGCAGTGGCGGGATCTCGGCTCACTGCAACCTCCACCTCTCGGGTTCAAGTGATTCTCCTGCCTCAGCCTCCTGAGTAGCTGGGAATACAG
The DNA here is from genome assembly GCF_000001405.40 of Homo sapiens. Classification (NCBI taxonomy): domain Eukaryota; kingdom Metazoa; phylum Chordata; class Mammalia; order Primates; family Hominidae; genus Homo; species Homo sapiens. Next base: position 34,871,232 of record NC_000003.12, on the reverse strand, counting down.
GTGTAGGCCACAATGCCCAGCTAATTTTTGTATTTTTAGTAGAGACAGTGTTTCACCATGTTGGCCAAGATGGTCTCGATCTCTTGACCTCGTGATCTGCCTGCCTCGGACTCCCAAAGTGCTGGAATTACAGGCGTGAGCCACAGCGCCCGGCCTGTATGTCCTATTGATGAACTCCTGATTAGTGAAACAATGTCTTATCCATCTTTGTTACTTTCCAGATCTAGCACAGTTCCTGGTAATAGCAGGCCATTAGTAAATGTTCATTTTAATGTAATTTTATGCATTTAATTTTCTATCTCTGGACGTCAGTATCTTATTTCCAAACAATATCACTTTAGCTTTAAAGTTTGTCTATTCCTGCCACTCTAGCTGTGTGACTTTGCACAAACTACTCAACCTTTCTGTGCTTTATTACTTTTACCCTAAGAAATGGAAATAGTAATATTTACTTTATATGGTTATGATAAAAAATAAATGAGTTTAGTTATGGATAATACTTAGCATAGTTCTTGCCATGTAATAAATATTTGACACATGTTAACATCATCATCATTTTCTGTTATGCCTATATTCACATTAGGCAGTATGTCCTCTATCCTATCACTGACAGCTCTGTGCTGCCTGTTAATGTTTTTGTCACTCTCTCTGAACCATGATATAATAGCTCAAGGTCAAAGATGTTGCCTGTCCACATGTATTTCCTTAGCCCCAAGATTAGTGCCTAAATAGCCATTGCTTAATTAATGTTTATTTATACAACTGATTGAATGAATGGAAAACAAACATATTAAAGTATTAGAGGACTTACAGAAGGAAAGAATATTTAACCTGTTTAACAATTTCTGAAAGGATATGTTCAAGAATATCTATTTGGACTGAGATCTGTAATCTCCACTCATCAAATGGAGGACCCAGGGTTACTATGGTCAATAACTTAAAAAGTGTGTGGTTTACTTAATGGACTCCTCTCCAAAGTACCAACACTCAAATATTACATTATGTCAAGTATATTAACTTTCACATATCAGAGCCACCATTACAACTACCTTTCAAAATAACAAGGATTTCAACTTAACTGAAGTTGCCTCACATGCCTCCCTCTTATAAAAAAAAAAAAAGATGAATTAAGGTAGATGTTTACATGTTTACATGATGGCATCATCCCTGCAAGCTCAGTCCTACACTTCACTTATCCCCATGATTTTGGAGAGAGGGGATGCAGTTTTGCCCAAATTCTGGCAGTAAATCTGCTTCCTACTCCTATGTGACAGGTGGCTCCCAGACAGGTAGGCTGGTAGAGCTGGGCTTCCTTTCATGCTGTCAAGGAGGAGCAGCATCCTGCTGCTTGACAGCTAAAGCCTTACCATCATATTAAGAGTCTCTTTTTCTTTTAATTCCCCTAGCCACAAATCTTTGAGAGATTTGGTCCTGTTGTGAACAAGGCTGTTGCCGATTGGTGGAGCTCTGCTGTGGTCTGCATATCCCCATGCAATGTATTTCCATCTGCATGGGGCATCTGCCTCCTCCATTCTGCCATCTGACTTGTCTTAGGCCAAGTGCTGAGACTTCTCTTAGGGAAGGGAGGAAAGAGGCCCAGAGTCAACCTCAGGCTTATATAGCACCTGATTCTGCCCTTATCTTTCTATCCAGTGTTTCTCAAATGTTAATGTGCTTACCAATTACCCAAGTTGTTCCGAGCAGATTCTGATTGATATATTCAGGTATTTTGCCTGAGATTATGCATTTGTAACAATGTTTCAGGAATCATTCCAAATGTGGTCCCCAGATTACCAGCATCAGAATCACCTAAGATCTGAGTTAGAATCTACATTTTAATAATATCCCCAGGTGATTTGTGTGCACTTTGTGATTTGAGAAACACTGCCTTTGAAGGTATTGAAATCCATATGGTAGGAAGTTATTTCTCATCTTCTTGCATAGCAAAAGCTATTAGTGATAGTTACTTCTCTTACCTCCACTCTGCTGATGCTGCTGGTCTAAGGAGAACTTTTTGGTTAGTAAGGCTTTAATCAGCATAATTTAAAGGGTAGCTTTTCTCCTACCTCTGGGCTACCATGACGTCATAGCTTTAATTTCCTAGGTGTACTTGATAGTGTTGTTCTGACCTTCCAATTAACTTATCTTCTGAAACCAGACTAACTCATTGCCCTAATCATCAGCATTTCAGTGTTTAAAAATATGCATTGAATTAAACTAATAAAAAAGAACAGAAAGCAAACAATTTACCCAATAATTAGTAAATCAATAGATTAATTGACAGATCAACCCTTATACCTGTTTTCTTTCATTAACATTTTAATCTTTTGTGCTTGTCAGAACTCCTAGTAAGAGAATAAAGAAGAAAAAAGGTGAATTACTTCATTAAATCCAATTTATTTCAATTTAACAAGCCAATTGTTGAAGTAGATGCTCTGGTGGTACCAAGACAAACAGGCACAACGTTTCCCTTCAAAGACTTTACAATGTCACAGGGTGAATGGACATTGCCGCAATATGAATGGACATCGGTGTGAGTAGAGCAGAAGATACAAAAATACGTTCACAAACTATACTCTGCAAAACAGAGGGACAGAAGATGCTAAATGCTACTGAATAGGCAAGAAAGGAAAGAGTTTCAGGGTTTTAATACTGTTAAGTGTGGTCCATGCAGCAGCATGAGTATCACCTGGGACCTTGTTAGGAATAGTAATTCTTGGATCCTCATTCAAAACTACTCAATTATAGTCTGGGAGTAGAACAGCAATCATTGGTTTAACAAGCCAACCAGGTGACTATTAAGCACAATAAAGCTTGAGAGCCACTGTTATAAAATATGCTAAATGCTATCAATAGCCAATGAAATGGAGGGAAAAGAGCATTAAAGCAGTGGTGTTCATAGAAATATAAAATGAGCAATCAGAATCTGCTTTTAACAAGAATCTTGGGTAGTTGGTAAGCACAGTAAAATTTGAGAAGCACTGGATTAAAATTATAAAATAATGTAATTTACAAGTTTGTAGTTCTCCTTTAAATAATTAAAAAGCAACTAAAATTAATTTGATTATATACTTTATTAAGCTCAATATAACCAAACTATTATCAACATGTCATCAATGTAAAATACCAATGAGAAATTTTATATCCATGCTTTTTTAAATGAATCTTTGAAATCTTGTATTTTACATTTATAGAACATCCGAATTTGAACTAGTTACACTTCAACTGCTTAATAGCTGCATGTGGCAGTAGCTACCATATTGGACAATGAAATTTTAGACCCTACTATTCCAAATGTGGTCCCTGGAATACCAGCATCAGAATCACCTAGGATCTGAACCAGAATCTACATTTTAATAATATCCCCAGGTGATTTGTGTTCGCTTTGTGATTTGAGAAATGCAGCTTTTGAAGGTATTGAAATCCACATGGTAGGAAGGTCTCTCACATCTTCTTGCATGGAAAAAGCTATTAATGATAGTTACTTATCTTACCTGCACCCTGTGCCTCTCAGAGCTTGTAATCCTCTGTCAAATCTATCTAGTTCTAGACTCTGGGACCCTATGAATCTAGGAGTTAGCAATATTGCAGAGGGAAGAGCAGCATTCCAGCAGGTGCAAATACAGATTATTTGAGGAATTCCAAAGTACCTGAATTCCCGTGTTTAGAACTATACAACACCCTCACCTTCCTCCTGCATATTTGCCCAGAATTACACGAAAAAGTAGTTATTATATTCAACGTAACTGTTTTGAATAGAAAAATTAACAACATAGAAGTTCCTGAGAAGAAATAATATAGTTGTTCTTAGAAAAGAATAAGGCAATGTTCTGGAAAGGCTGATGAAAAACTGACAGATCACACTATAAAAATAAATTAATTAGTGAAGATGAATGGGAGAAGCTATCTCAGCAGCTGGATTGTAGGAGGAAGGAAAAAGGAAACCAGTATTGCTGGCCCACGAGTAAGATACCAATAAGTAGATAACCTAGGGGAAGATGATGAGAATCTGTAGTCTCTCAATCCTGAGTTCTAGTTTGATTGCACTGTGGTCTGAGAGACAGTTTGTTATAATTTCTGTTTTTTTACATTTGCTGAGGAGCGCTTTACTTCCAACTATGTGGTCAGTTTTGGAATAAGTGTGATGTGGTGCTGAGAAGAACGTATATTCTGTTGATTTGGGGTGGAGAGTTCTGTAGATGTCTATTAGGTCCGCTTGGTGCAGAGCTGAGTTCAATTCCTGGATATCCTTGTTAACTTTCTGTCTCGTTGATCTGTCTAATGTTGACAGTGGGGTGTTAAAGTCTCCCATTATTATTGTGTGGGAGTCTAAGTCTCTTTGTAGGTCTCTAAGGACTTGCTTTATGAATCTGGGTGCTCCTGTATTGGGTGCATATATATTTAGGATAGTTAGCTCTTCTTGTTGAATTGATCCCTTTACCATTATGTAATGGCCTTCTTTGTCTCTTTTGATCTTTGTTGGTTTAAAGTCTATTTTATCAGAAACTAGGATTGCAACCCCTGCCTTTTTTTGTTTTCCATTTGCTCGGTAGATCTTCCTCCATCCCTTTATTTTGAGCCTATGTGTGTCTCTGCACGTGAGATGGGTCTCCTGAATACAGTACACTGATGGGTCTTGACTCTTTATCCAATTTGCCAGTCTGTGTCTTTTAATTGGAGCATTTAGCCCATTTACATTTAAGGTTAATATTGTTATGTGTGAATTTGATCCTGTCATTATGATGTTAGCTGGTTATTTTGCTCATTAGTTGATGCAGTTTCTTTGTAGCGTCGATGGTCTTTACAATTTGGCATGATTTTGCAGTGGCTGGTACAGGTTGTTCCTTTCCATGTTTAGTGCTTCCTTCAGGAGCTCTTGTAGGGCAGGCCTGGTGGTGACAAAATCTCTCAGCATTTGCTTGTTTGTAAAGGATTTTATTTCTCCTTCACTTATGAAGCTTAGTTTGGCTGGATATGAAATTCTGGATTGAAAATTCTTTTCTTTAAGAATGTTGAATATTGGCCCCCACTCTCATCTGGCTTGTAAAGTTTCTGTCAAGAGATCAGCTGTTAGTCTGATGGGCTTCCCTTTGTGGGTAACACGACCTTTCTCTCTGGCTGCCCTTAACATTTTTTCCTTCATTTCAACTTTAGTCAATGGCTTCTCTCTCTCTCCAGCCAAAGTGGTGAGATATGGCTCTGCTTCTCAGTATTTAGGGGGCTTTTTTTTTAAAAGGACTCAGTAAGTTTTAACCTCTGGGGTGTAGTTCTAAGATAATGAATTAGCATATCTGACTGGTCCTATTATTGGTCGGAAATGAGGCAATGGAGGGAGAAGAGGTTATCTCTGGATGATGGGTCACAGAAGCAGATATTTTAGGATTTATTCATAAAAACACATTTCTGCTCTTTTTCTATGCCCAGACAAGGTTCTATTGAAAATGATAGGAGGCTGTGCTGCAAATATGCTTGCCAGAATTCAGATGCACATAAATGGAGCAGTAAAGGGCTCGGCTACAGATGTATCTTTGTGAACAACCCAGTTAACAACAGACACAGATTGGGGAATTAGTAAAAGCAAGTTTTTGTATTTTACTGCTCATTCAAACTACAGGTAACAAAACTCTTCTAAAACCCGCATAGCACTTTCTTAAAGTCACCCCAGGCTTCCATTACAATAGTTTTGTTGTTGCTGTTGTTCCAGCAATGCCTTTTTAGGAAACAAGTGCTGTCTTTTATTACTGCTTAACACATTCCCAAAGCTCCAGCTCTCATTTATGCAGCAAAAGTAAAATTGAATTATTTCTCATTTCTCTCCCTTAAAGGCCCAAAGTCAGATACAACTAAAACTATCTGTAAGTGCTAGCCATACTGAAAAAAAAAAGTGATGAAAAATCAAAAACACAAAGCAACTTCAATTACATCCACTGAGACCAATTTTGGCCTCAGACAAGCAGGTGTATTTATTGGTCATATAAAGGTTGCCATGTTTAGAATGCGGCCTCATGATTCCTCATACACACCATCTCACAGAGGCTATCCATGAACAAAACGGATAAAAGCATCTCTGAGAAATCTAGTTGGCAAAGGCCTATGGGGCTTGGAGGCTGGGCTTTACATAGGCTATAAAGCTCAACACCCACTGAGAATCCAGAACACCAGCTGGGGTGATCTCCTAACTTACTTTCTTAATAAGGATAGTGTAAACTGTGACTGGCTTCTGGTCAAGGCTATTAGGAGTCCCCTGGCCAATTCACCAATGTCTCATATCCTTGCTGTGCCCATGGACACAGGCTTCAAACACCAGCCGTCACCTTAAACCCTGACATGAAATGTCTCACCAGACATCAACCCAGAGACTCACAGAAATTCACACATGTCCGGAGTGCTTGAGGAGCTTCCAGTTTGCCTTGCTGGCCCCCTGTCTCTGGTGCAAGCCTGGGTTTGAGATTCTTTCTAACTTTCAGTTCCCCAGCTGGACCTGGGTTTCCTTTTCAGACTGACCCATGGTTTCTGGAACCTACACTTCCATTTGTAATTATGAGAATATGTTGTAAACAGTGGCAAACAGCCTTAGTCAACAAGAGAGTACCTTCCTAAAGAGATGAAGTAAAAATAACAGAATAATAGAATTCAGTGGTTAAAAGGTACTCTTTGGTAAAATGTAAAAATCCCCATAAACTCCCAACTATCCAACAGATAAATGAGTCTTCTCTACAACTTGTTGGAAGAATCAATATAATTCACTATGCGCAGCAGTACATTTTTCTCTAAGGACCTGGCCTTTGAGTAATTGGGGAAACATGTTCTCCTAAAAGGCCAAAAGCATTGAGTGGAGGGAGAGCTGCCCCTAGAGTGTGTATAACAGTCACGAAGGGGGCTTTTTCAAGCTATAACCCTCCCTCACATTTCTGAAACATGCCCCTAGGGTAGCGTTAGGCATGAATATCTCTAAGAAAATAGTCTGAATTAAAATGCTTTTTGGTCACCTTGCTCCAAGGAGAATGACTCACTTCCTTCAAGTGTGCTGTGAGTTTCTTTGAGTCTGACTCTGTCAGATTAGTATGAGAAGATGAAGGTGCCAGAAATATAAACCACTACAGCAGCATAGAGAAGACTAAGACTATGCACCCATGTGGAGTCAGAAAACCTGAGACTTAGGCTGGCGTCAGCTGAGTGTTCTTGGGCTAATCTCATACACCTCTGAGCTTCAGTGTCTCCATATGTAAAATGGGTATGTGACCCACCTCCAGGGCAGTAGTGTGGATTGCAATAGATAGCACCTTTGAAGGCATTATAATAACTGTAAAATGCAAGACAAGTGGTAGTTATGACTATAACTGGGTAGAACCACTCCTTGATATTGATGGTAGACAGCATCAACCCAGTCATCTTCTCCCAGGGCAAATCATTGAGACCTAAGCATCAGGGTTTTTGAGAATAAAGCTGTAATTCTCAAAAGACTTCTCCCTGGCTGGTGAGCATATAAATCATGAGCTCAGATGGCCCCAGCTTGATCTTATGATCACCAACCATAACCTACAGCTGAAACTAATTATGGCAACTGACCAAAAGAGGAACTCATAGGGAAATGAAGATGAGCCAGCCCAACCCTGGGCCCATGGCAGAAAGCAGCCAACGTAGGATAAAGCAGCATTTTTTTCTACTAGAAGATAAACTCATAAAGATACACACACACACACACACACACACACACACACACATTTATATATATACACACTTACATAAGATCTACAAAGTTAGGTTTGTTTTAAAGGGAAGATTCTCATATTAAATATAATACCACATATAATGAAAATGTATAATCTAAATCAAATAATTTTCAAGTAACACAAAAATGAGAAAGGAAATAAAAACAATGTTAGTGTCAGGCACTTTATGCAATTCATTTTTATTCTTAATCTTTTAAATTGGAAAGGAGAGTATTATTGTCTCCACCCTTTTACAGACGAAGAAATTAAGATGATAAGCAATTTGACCAAGTGAAGGCCAGAAAGAAGATTGTCTCTCAAGCATATACTATCCTAGCAACAGCACCACTGACATCAACACCATTACCATCCTCATCATATAAGCCGCAGTCTAATAAGTACTAGAGTACAAATAACACACTAAAGGAACAAGAATAGGGCAGATTAAGTCTTTCTGGGTTTGAAAAAGTAATAATAGAGGTGACAGTATTTAAGCAAAGCCTAACAGAGAACATGTAATCGACTGGTTGGCTAGCTAAATATTCAGCAAGATAAGGAATGTTTTTTGATTAAGGACTTGTGGAATCATGCAAAAGCTTGAGAATCAGTGAGACTGAGACAAGTGTTTAGGGACTGCTGGTAAAGGCGTGTCAGGGCACCCTTCACAGAGTCAGTTCTGTAGCCCAGTAAGCCGTCTCCAAAGCAAAAGGTATCAGCTGTCATCTCAGCTAGAGCTCAGCTGACAAAGCCCAAGCATCTGACAAGAAGGGACCTGGGAGGTAGGTGTCAGCCCTGACAAGCCTTGGTCTCTGCCTCCAGGAAAGCAATACAGGCCTCCTTAGACTCCACCAGAAGGCTTACAGACAGACTGGGCTACAGAAGGCCGAGAGCCCCTGCCTCGTATCCCTCCAGTTCACAGCACATGAAGTTGTCAGTGTAAGTGCAGCAGGGTCTCAGTGGCCAGAAAAGGTCCTTTGTAGAAAATGGATCATGTCTCTTGCAGGGATTTTATGTCTAATGGCCAGGCTGTCGTTTAATGAGAGCCATGCTGTAATAAATATGCATTAGTTCCATTAAATTAGGTCCAGAGGTAGAGAAATCCCTGTAGATGTGGCTGTCAATTTTGTTCATGCCACAGAGCAGTCCTGCCTTACATTGTTTGTGAAAGCACCTAAATGTGTGAACTGTGTCTCCTCATTTTTGGAGTTCTCCTTCACCATCCAGCATATTGTTTGCTTCTTTAAATGTTTCTACAAACATCAGTGCAGTGTACATCTTTCTGTTATTTCAGTCAAATCTCAATTGTTCACTGTGGTAGTGATTGTGTATCATGTAATGTACTAAAATCATCAAATTACCCCAAACTAATTTTGAGAATTCGCAGTTTCTTTCGGGAGAAGAATTGTTTAAACTAAGTGTTTGAAATCCACCTTTTTCTTCTCTTTATTTATTTCATAAAGTTGCCACAAGTTAGACTCTATTTAGAGTTGGAGGGGTTGGGAGGCAAAATTCTATAAAGGAGAAGCCTGCAAACCTGACTGTGTGATCTTGGGCATGCTAATTAAACTCTCAGAGTGTAGTTTCTTCCATCTGTCAAGGGTGAATAATATACTTATGCTGTATAGTAAGCATTTCTATATGAATAAAGTAAGGTAGTGTTTCTGAGAATGTACTTATTAAGAGTAAAGAATCAAAGAGATGTAAAACCTTATACTTAATGAAGAATACACACAAAATTGTAATGATAATATGGTACAGCAAAAGGAGAGCATATATTAAAACACAATGAGAAACAATAAGGATTACTGTTAAACGTGGTTGGTAGGCCATATGTGTTTATCTCTTTTTCTGCAATTAACTATAATTAAATAACAAATTTAACATCATAACATTCCAAGAAGACCAAAAGGAAAAGCAGAAAAGACAATAGTAGACGAGGGATTGGTATTTCAACAAAACTTTTGGAAGCTGTAAAGTAAATGGATAATTAAGAATTACAGTTAACAGAATGATGGCGGCTGTAAGTAAAGCTTCTGCAGCAGGAGACACCACTGAGAAAGGGCAGTTGACCTTTAGAACGGAGAAAGGTATAGGACTGGGAGGATCCAGGCCATGTGTAAAGTTTGGATGAGGCATGCCTCTGGACACAGTGGATTACCTGCACATCTGAAAACTAAAAACTAAGGCCATCACCCACTCCACACCCCAGGAAAAGAGAAGATTCCTCTCTATAAGAACAAAATGGTCCCATAGAAAATATCACCAGACTGTGACATTTAGTGATAATTCCCCAATAAAAATTTTATCTTATCCAAATCATCTTAGAATGAAGCCACAAAGTTTACAGGTTGTGTGCCTACACATAGAGCTCTTAGTAAATTTTTTTGTTCCTCCTTCTTAAAAATAAAATGGACAGCCAAAGCGCACTAACAATTGAAAAAAGTTTTCAACATAAGAAACACAGAGACCAAAACAAAAAGAAAGGTGGAAACCTAAAAGAAACAGGGGGAAAATTAGTGAGCATAAATTAGATAAATAAAAACAAATTTAAAACAAAAACTATTATATCCCATAAGAGATTAGAAAATATATTACAAGAGTAAAAGGCTATTTTGAAAAATAATAATTTTTAAAACCTCATAGATATGAACATTTTATATCAAGAATATTCTCAAAAAAATAGAAACATAAAAAATTTTAAGGGCTTTCCCAAAAAGCACAACTACAGCAATCAACAGAAAGAGGGAGAGAAAGAGAGAGAGAGAGAACACGCGAGAGAGAGAGAGAGAACACGCGAGAGAGAGAGAGAGAGATTAAAAATAAAGACATACTTCAATAAATGAAGAAGTTTCAACTAATAGTAAGAATTCCAGAAGAAGAGTACAAAATAATCAGAAGGCAGGAAGTTATTGAATATAATACAATAAAGATTTTCAGTAATGAAGGACAGAAGTCACCAGAAGGAAAGGATTAACTAAAGTTCCAAGATTAAAAAAAAAATCCTTCCTACACAAACACACATACACACGCACATGCACACACATACATCCCCCCATGGACATCATAGTGATATTTCAGAACAGTGAGGATAAAGAGAAGATCCTAAAATATTTTAAAGAAAAAGAGTTAAGTCACATGTAAGGGAGCAGTATTCAGAATAGCATAGAATTTTTTAATAACAGCAAAGAAAACTAAAGAAAAATAAAGCATCATTTTTAAAATTCTGATTTCAACTTAGAATTCTTACTCAGCCAAACTACTCAACAATGTAAGAGTAAAGAACAGAGCATTCAAAATTAACGAAAATAACAACAAAAAATCTGTTTTCATATTCCTTTTTAAAATTATGTTTTATTATGATAGGAATATTTAACATGATATCTACCTTTTTGGCAAGTTTTTAAGTTATAAAATCCATTATTGTTAACTATAGGCACGATACTGTATAGCATATTTCTACAGCTTACTCATCCTGCTTAGCTGCAACTTTGTGCCTGCAAATTAGCAATTCCACTGGCCCCTATCTCCACTCCCTGGCAACCACCATTCCACTCTTTGATTCTATGAAACTATTTTAGATACCTCATGTAAGTGGAATTATGCAGTATTTGTCTTTCTGTAAATGGCTCATTTCACTTAGCATAATGTCCTCAAAGTTCATGTATGTTGTCTCATATTTCAGAATTTCCTTTTCTGAAGGCTGACTAGTGTTCCATTGTATGCATACACAACATTTTCTTTACCCATTCTTCTCTCTATAGACACTTAGGTTATTTCTGCATATTGCCTATTGTGAATATTCTTTGGGATCCTGATTTTTAATTCTTTTGGATAGATACAAAGAAGTAAGATTGCTGGATCACATGGTAGTTCTATTTTTTTAGAAATATTCATTTTGTTTTCCATAGCAAATGCACAATTTTTCATTCCCACCAATAATGTGCAAGGGTTCTGATTTCTCCACAATCTAGCCAACATTTGTCATCTTTTTTTATGATATCCATCCTAACAGGTATAAGGTCATTTTTAATTGTGGTACTGATTTGCATTTTCCTGATGATTGCTGACATTGAGCATTTTTTCATATATCTATTGGCCATTTGCATGTCTTCTTTAGAGAAATGTTATTCAAGTCCTTAGCTCATTTTATAAAATACACTAAAATTAAACTATCTAAGAAGAAAATTTGGAAGACAATCCCATCTATAGCATCACCAAAAAGAAATGTTTAGGAATAAAATTAACTAAGAAGGTGAAAGACTTTTACTGAAAACTACAAAACACTGATGACAGAAATTAAACAATACACAAAGAAATGAAAAAAAAATGTTCATAGATTGAAAGACTTAGTGTTTTTAAAATCTTCATACCACTTAAAGTGATCTATAGATTCAGTGAATTCCCTATCAAAATCCCAATAGCATTTTTTACAGAAATAGAAAAAAACAATTTTCCAATTCATATTGATCAGGAAAGATTCCAAATACAAAGCATTTTGAGAAAGAAAAACAAAGCTGGAGGAATCACACTTCCTGATTTCAAATTATATTGCAAACCTACAGTAATCAAAACAATAGTGGACTAGCATAAAGGCAACCATATATTCCAATGGAACAGAAATAAATCCATGCGTATACAGTCTACTGATCTTTGACAAGAGTGTTAACTAAGATTTGGAGAATGGATACTCTCTTAAACAAATGGTCCTGGGAAAACAGGATATCCACATGCAAATGAATGAAATTAGTCCCATATCTTACATCATACACAAAAGCCAATTCAAAATGGATTAAAAACTTAAACATAAGACATGAACTGTAAAATTCCTGGAAGAAAACCTCAAGGTCTTGGGCTTGTTAATGATTCCATGAATATGAGACCAAAAGCACAGGCAATAAAAGAATAAATAAGTAACTGGTATTACATTAAACTAAAAAGGTTCTGTACAACAGAGGAAACATCTTTAGAGAGTGAAAAAAAACAACCTATGGAATGGGAGTAAGTAATTTCAAACCATATATCTGATAAGAAGTTAATTATTAAAAAATATAACAAAGTCCTACAACTCAACATCCTTTCTTTTCATATGCTTTCTAGAGAAATTACTAGAGATATGGTATTTTTGATATTTCACTACCAAAATTAGTAAATAAGCATAGAAAGAGAAAGAGATGGATGCAGAAAGGATGCGACCCAACACAGAACTGTGTAGAAGAGGTCTTCAGATGATAGTTAGAGGTCAGGCCTAACTGAAACCGGTTTCTCTTGAAACAAAAAGAGAAAGCATGACCTCTGGGGAGAGTGATGTAGTAGAGCATATAAAGACTTTCCACGTTTGACAGATCTATTAGGACATTTGAAAAGAAACTTGTAGGAAGTAACAGTTAAATAAGTCAATTAAGTAATAAACAAATATTAGTCCAACATTTAAAAAAATGGGGAAAAGTTAAAAGGAATCACTTAATTTGGCAGAAGACTTCATTTGCATAGACATAATATAAAAATTATAATGGGGAGAACGAGGAAAGAGTAATTGCAATGAGGATATGTATTGGCAAAATAAATTTATATATATGATAACAAAGTATATAAAGTTTAAACTTAATAAATTAAAACACCCAATACAATCACATTTTCAGAAATATGAAGAAATATATCAGGAAAAAATCAAAATCATTAAAAATGTATTTTTCTGTGGAGCAGGATTGAAAAATGGGGAGAATTTTTTCACTTTCAGGCCCTTAGTGCCATTTGACTTTAACAACAGTTTGCTTGTATATTTGATAAGGAAAACTAACTGAATAGTTTCAATCAGAATTAGGCTCAATTTCTGGGTGATTCAGTAGTTTGACCTTGGACAATTTTTATAATTCTCTATGTTCTAGTATATTTATCTATAAAACAAAGATTATAATACCAGCTACCTCATCTAGTTATTATGAAATTGTCATGAACATAAGTAAAAATCACAGGTAGATACCTGGTATTCAGTAAAAAGCAACAAAATGTTATTATTATTTTACCACGTCTTCCTTCTTTTCTTTCTTTTTTTTTTTTTTTACCTTAACTAAGAGCTCTCCTTGAACAACATGAGGCTAATCAGGTTCAGTGGGTATAGCTCAGTACTGTATCTCAGTCTACTCTATAGAAGCTGTTTGAAAAATACACAGCTGTTTACCTTAGAAGCTTAGCATGTACTGGACCTCCTTAATGCAATTTTTTAAAAAAAGTGAAAAACTAAGAAACTAAAAGAAAACGTTAAGATCCCTACTATTTTCTACAGGTTATAAATTCTCTCATAGAGGAAAGTAATTTTCCAAATGTCGGTGCCATAGTGTATATTCTTTCAATAAATTCCACAATGCAAAAGTTACATTAACCTTAGTTATGTAAAAGTTACATGTTACCTTAGTTATTTCTTATAGAAATACACAAAAAAATTATAAATAGTGAAAAGACCAGCTTCTTTAGAGTCTCTAGGATACAGTGGTATATGGGCTCATGTAACTGTTTCAGGGTACATTGGCGCTTCTTCATTCAGGAGGGAATGAAATGGAAGATTCCAAAGAAATGTTTCAGCTGTTATAATGAGAAACGTTAAGAGCATGTTTATGCTGCCCACATTCTAGTCTCTTATACATTTAAGTTTAAGCAGTGTCAGTCTTCTAACATTTCCTGGCAAAGACCCACTCCAACCCCTGAAGGAGGCCCAGGGGAAAGTTCCTCACTGTCATAGGATGCCTGATCAGAATGCTATTTTACACTGAATGACAGCATAAGAAGAGCAGGAAGTCCCCGGAGAAAGCTGCTATGTTTGTCTCTCCTGCTAACACAGTTAACTCTTCTTTGCAACTCGCACAACACATCATTTGTGATTCTCTTCTCTTCGAATTCACTGATGTTTTCCCTGGTATAGGAGACAAAGGTCTGAAGTTAATAGCCTTATATCACCTCCAATCCCTAAACGTTGGCAAGGGAGAGCTAATGCTCCACAACAAATCTTATCCTTTGTCTGCTGCTGCTTCCATATGCCATATTTAGGGCCTCTCTTTAATGTGCTCTAATGTTTGTAAAAATCCCTGCTGCTGCTGTCACTGTACCAGACTAGAGAGAGCTTCTTCTGAAACTTGCAAGGCAGCTGAAACTAATTTTTCCTTGAAGCTTTGGAAAGTTCTAGAAGCTTACTTTGGAATCCACATACATCGTCCCCTGTATTTCCTGACTTCTGTGAAGTCTGTAGCACCACCATCCCCGAGGGAAGGAAGGTACTTGGGTTATTTTTAGCCTTGTTCAAAGCTAGAGATTTCAGGAGCCTCAAAGAGAGATTCAAGTTGCCAGAAGCAGCTAGTCTATTTTGCAGGATTATTCAGAATAATATTCAAAGAAGTGGCCTAAAGTGAAGGTAATTTTCAAAACAGCAATGAAACAAGCTACCCCTCCACACAAATTGAAGTATTTATTGCCTGAGATTTGTCTAGTCATGGGTGCATAAATATGTAACATGTATAAGTCATGTTATAGAGATTTTACTGTGCATACTTCAGTCATTGACTAATGTCTGTCCAATATTGAGTACCTACTGTGTACCAGGCTCTTTGCTCTAATCCACGTAACAACCCAGTAAGGTTGTCACATTACAGAATCAGTTGATTTGCCTAAGGCCATGAGACTTGTATATGACAGCACAAATTCAAATTCAGGAAAGCCTGTATTTAGCATGTCTTTTTATTCTGATGCTTTGACATCTGGGAGACTTGCTGACCCTGGAGGGACTGTCCCTTCCTGGCTAGTCAATTCCCAGAAATAGTGAAAGACTGCCCCACAAGTGTACCTTTCTCATGCCAACCAATCAATGCAGAGCCTGTATCCCAACCACCTCCTTTATCAGGTTCTCTCAGTGCTACCATTTGCCTGCCTAGTCATCCCAGGGCCAGGTACCAGTTAACTAGAAACAGGCTCTTAACTCCTGAGCCTGCTGAAATTATTCAAACCAGCTAATTCTAAAACTACTTGCCCTGGCTTTCCCATTTTGTTCTGTAGAAATCACAATAAAGCATTTTGCCCACATTTTCCCCTTTCTCCCTCTGCCTCTTGACTCTGCTGCTTCCCAACACGGCACCTGCATGGAAGGGCACGCCACCTCCTCTTGGAAACTCTAAGTCACAAACTATCTTTCAAATAGCAGTTGTCTAATCTGTTGGCCTGCTGACTTCAAAATAATATTAAATCCAAATTTTAAAATAAAGCCTGACTCCAAATTGTAGTACTTCTTCATGTCACTGGCTTGCTAGAGATTTATTACATGCTAAGTACTCTACTCATCAACACTTAACTAGAGCGAGGAAGTGAGGTAACTAATGTGTGAAATGTAGAAATGGGTTCACTCTGAGGTTTGTGCAAGTGCTGGCCCTGCACTTAATCTTGGTGCTTTGCTTGTCTCTTTCTAGTCTCAGCCCTGCTGCCTGTGTCCTGGGACAGCAGAAACAAAATAATCAGATTCTGCCCTCAATTTTATGGAAGAGACAGGCACAGCAATGAACAATTATCAAATGGTGCACTGACTAGTGATAAAGGTTTGAGCCAGTGCTGCAGGAACCATGAGGAAAGATTCTCAAATCCGTGAGTGAGTGGGAGGCAGGATTGAATGAAAAGTGGAGAAGGTGGATTCTTAGCAAAGAAGTTCCTTGAATGGAAACTCCAGGCACTGTCAGGAAAGAGGGTGCAGATGTGCTACCATACGTGTAAATAAAATACCCTCTATGAGCAATGGAACTTTTGTTTCTAGAGTTCACAAGAAAACTTACCGAATTACATCCTATCTCTGGTTGTGGTCTTTCAAACATTTAAAAGGTCACTTGTTTAACAAAGCTATATTTTATTCTGATTTGGGAGAATTTCAAAAGTGTCCTTGGTTTGATGATAAGTTATATGATTTTCTCATCTATGATCAACTTTAGTAATACCAAAGAACAGAATAAAAAGAATATTTCTATTAGAAGTTCTAGAAGTCTTTGGATGTTATTTAGTCAAATCTTTTCATGGCAAATGTGAATACTAAGGCACTGAGAGGTTACATAGTTTATATACCATCATTATCATTAAATGAAAGGTTTAGAATTGAAAGAAATTTCTTGACTCCAAAATGTTCCATATTTGAAAACCTACTTATAAAACCTCCTGAACTACATGTGTTCTTTCAATTCCATCCATAGCATATCACAACTTCCCTGATGTTAAAGATAAATATGAAGTACTCATGTCCAGTAACCAATAACTAATATAAAATCATGATTAACCTCAGAGGCAGATTCAATAATTTAAAAAATTATCCATATCTTCTATATTATTAAAATAATAAAATAGGCCGGGCGCGGTGGCTCACGCCTGTAATCCCAGCACTTTGGGAGGCCGAGGCGGGTGGATCATGAGGTCAGGAGATCGAGACCATCCTGGCTAACAAGGTGAAACCCCGTCTCTACTAAAAATACAAAAAATTAGCCGGGCGCGGTGGCGGGCGCCTGTAGTCCCAGCTACTCGGGAGGCTGAGGCAGGAGAATGGCGTGAACCCGGGAAGCGGAGCTTGCAGTGAGCCGAGATTGCGCCACTGCAGTCCGCAGTCCGGCCTGGGCGACAGAGCGAGACTCCGTCTCAAAAAAAAAAAAATAAATAATAATAATAATAATAATAATAATAATAATAAAATATCCATGTATACAAATATTTGCTCTCTCTTTCTATGCCCATCTCCTCCCCCTGCCCTCTCTCATCTGCTTCCTTCCTACCTCAATTTTTAAGATAGTACCTCCCTCATTAGTATTTCTCTTTAAAAAGCAGAGTTGTGTCATGGGTCCATTACTTAAGCTTTGAATTGTTCTGTTGAAGTCCTAGCCAGCTGGAAGCCTTTCTCATTTGATATTGAAGATGTACATCACATCTTTAAACACGTCAGCAATTACAGAAAAAAAAATCAGTGTTACATTTCCTCTGGCTTCAAATCAGAAGACACTTGAAGAGGCGGCATGAAAGAAATTAGACTGTCAGATGGCTTTCTGGCTGGGTGGAGCCAACCTCTAAATGGCCAGAACACTAAAGTCAGAATGACAGAAGTTAAGCAAGCAACACAGAGTGCAGGAGACTATAATATAGAGTTAATAGAAAACATAAGATTCAGAGCTCATATAAAATCTGAGGCAGGCTGACCCCATGATCACCCCATTGTTAGGGGCATTCTCATTAGCAATACCATGCACCTGTCAAGCATGCTTGAATTCTGGCCCTGTACTATTTCTCAGCAAACAAAGGAAACCTCTACACTGGCCAACAGATGTAATTGAAATGGAAGAAAAACATATATGATGGATTTGAGGTGAAATATATTCTAGAGAAGGCACAAAAGTGATTACACTCATAAATTATCTGTGTAGACCACAATGCATGCTACATCTCCGATGGATGGTGTGATGGAAGCTCATGCACACTAAGAGGGGCTGGAGGAAAACCAATAAAGAGGGATGTATTAGCCTAATCAAAGCATTAGATAATAAATCAAGGGAACATGATCTGGATCCACTCTGAGGCAGGCCAGTTCTATGAGCAAGGAGCATACTCATATTCATGCTAAGTACATATTGTGAACCTTCCCATTCATATATTGAAGCTCTAAACACCAATTTGTAAATTATATATGAAGATGGGGCCATTGGGAGGTAATTAGGATTATATTAGGTTGGCAAGGTGGGGCTCTCATAGTGGGATTTTTAGGGTCTTACAAGAAGGAGAAGACGGAGACAGAAACAGAGAGAGAGAAAGAGAGAAGGAAGGAAACAGCGAGAGTGTTCTTTTTCCCTCAGCATGCATACACCAAGGAAAGGCCGTGTGAGAAAATACTGAGAAGGTGGCCATCTACAAGCCAGGAAGAGAGCCCTCACCAGAAGTCTAGTCTGCCAGTATATTGCATCTGAAGGCTACACTTTCCAGCCTCCATATTTGTGAGAAAATAATTTTATTGTTTAAGCCACCCAGTCCATGGTATTTTGTTATGGCAGCCTGAGCAGACTAAGACAGTAGGCACAAATTTTTGCATAATCAGTTTTGAGATCACTAGGACACCTGCAGTAATTATTGACATCATTCAAGAGTAATGGGCCTGGAAAAAGAGCAAGGGGATTTCTAGAAAAAAGACCCACACTTGATAGAAAGAATCTATAGAAATTGAAGATGGAGAGGAGGCCTTGACATCCTACTCTCCATCAGAAACAGAGGGTTAGCTTACAATTTTCTTGGAAATTTTTGGCAAAAAAAAAATCTTGTGTTGAAGACCCATAAAAATGTCCAATAGGTGAATGTACTGCACACTTGTTTGACATGATTGTATGCCTGTAGTCAACTTAGGGAGGAAGAATGAATTACTAAGGATGAACATTTTTGTCTGCAAGCCAGTCGAGCATAGAGTGACAATGGACTGAGACTTGCTCTAGAATTCATTTCTAGTAGGGATTGTGCTTCCTTTGCCCAGGTAGGGCCTGGATGAAGAGAACTCTGCAACCATGTAGACTACAGATATACAACGGCTTTGTAGGAGGTTTAATGTATAGGTTATATTTAAGAAGATGAAATGACTCAGGATGAAATTTTAGAGAATGAGACTTGAAAATGGAGATTCTAAAGGTAAGTATAAGCAACATGTAAAAATAAATTTAGCATTATATCTATGGTTCTACCTGACTGTGGTCAGAAGGTCAGCTTCTTATTGTCCAGGGGGTCATGTTATGCTATACCTCATTGTATTCCACTTACTCCTTCTCAAAGGTAAAATCAGACAGTGAGCTTCTGCAAAGTAGGGATGGACTTACCCAGTCTGATTGTTCTTGGCAAGCCCTTTCTACATGCTCACTGGATAATTGGGGCCCACTCTTCACTTTGGTCTTGCCTGCCCATGAACCTTGTGCCTGGGTGGCCATGCCTTGTGAGGATTCATAGGCTCACCAGACTCTGAGGCTGTCCATTCATGTCTGTGTCTCCACTCTGCGGCAGGTCATCTGCCCATCCTCAACCCTTATCTACAACCCAATATCTATTATTTCCAACACCTACCTCAAATATAGATCTTAACTGCTTAGGCATCTCTGCCTTGTTTCCCCTAATTCTGATAAATGAGCTCCTTCTTGGCTCTACTCCATTCACTGTCAGCATGTGTAACAAATAGCCAGCCTGGACAGTGTACATGAGCACTCTGCCTGGGGTATTCCATCAGGCAGCACCAGCTCTGCATTTATGTTCCTTGTTCTTTGACTGTACTGTGTTATGAGCTGTGTTTGAATTTGTATAATTCCAGCCTATTTTTTCTTGCTTTGATTGAATTTAATAATTATTTAGAAGATCCAACTTATTACAACAAGAGTCTCAGATTGCCAGACAAAATTACTGGCTTTATGTATCAGACAAATACAAATGATTCTGTGAGTAAATATTTTGTATATCTGGCTAAGTACAAGAGGAAAGCAGTGATAGACTTAATTGTTCCTTAAGTGTTGTTTCCAACCATCTTTTCATTAAAAAAGAAAAAAATGTACCTGGTAAGTTTATTTTCTGCCTTAATTTCAAACCCACGAAGCTTGGAAAAATGGCTTTTATTTATTAAAAAAATAAAAAGCACAGGCATGGCCAAAAATAATAAAATACAGAAAAGCATTAACTCCCTGCATGTCTATTTCTCCTTACTCACTGCCTCACTCCACACAGAAACAGCCTTAACCTTTGCTACTCACAGCTGTTTTTGTGGCTATTTATGCTACCTTGTTCTTTAGTTCATCCATTTTAGGACATCTGCTATTAACTTTCTGCTCAAGATAAATTTAACATTCTTATACCATGTTAACTTTAAGATAAGATATATCTTATCTTTAAGATATATCTTAAAGATAAGATACATCTTATCTTAAGATATATCTTAAAGATAAGATATATCTTATCTTAAGATATATCTTAAGATAAGATATATCTAATCTTAAGATATATCTTAAGATAAGATATAACTCTATCTTATCTTTCTTGCCTTTCCCCCTAATTTTTTGTTCTTTAATTTTCCATTTTAGAACATTTGCTATTAACTTTCTGCTCAATATAAATTTAACATTCTTATACCAACCCCATCTTGTCTTTCATGCCTTTCCCCCTAATTTTTATGGTTCTATAAAATTAAATAAAATTAAATAAATTAGATAAATTTAAATAATGTGCCAAAGCTTTTCTCATCAATTTGTGCAATGTAACTGTAATACCCATATTATAAGAAAAGAAAATAGTGCACCACCACCCCCCCACCTCCCCGCTCCGCCACCAGCTTCAGGTAGCTCCCATTTTGCTTTGTCATTGCCAAGACAGCAGACACTTCTATCCTACCTTAATTATATGTTCTGTGCTTAATTGGCTGATTTTTTCCAGTATTTGAAAATCAATAGGGATCCATGCACTGAGCCAAAAGTCTCGAACAGCAAGGTGATTTCTTCCACTTAAAAGCTATATAACACTGGTCACATCGCAAGAACATTCTAGACCCACACTGTCCAATATGGGAGACTCTATTCAGATGTGGCTGTTTGAATTTAAATTAAAGTTTAAAATTGCTAGCCTTAGTCAAACTAACCAGATTTAAAGTGTGTAACAACAACATTCAGGGAGTGGATACCATATCAGACAGTGCATATAGTATACAGAAAATTTTTGTCATGGCAGTAATTTATATTTCTGCATTGCTAGACTGTGGGTTCTAGGTAGGTGAGAGGAGGAAGTCAAACTAGGTGATTTCCAAACTGCCTCTCGACTCTAAACTGCTAAGATTTTGTAATAGAATGCACCTTTTTCCAAAGCTGCTAAGCATACCCTCCCCAAAGCCAAGCTTAGTTAAAAGTACAGAAAAAAAAAAGTGGCAGAAAGACAAAAAATGTATTTACAGAGAAAGAAGATCCAAGCCAGAAGGAAAAAGAAATATCCCGTCAGAGATGTGCTTAAGAATAATGGTCTGTGGGAGCATATCAAGTGTTGCAGTGCAGCTCTTCAGGGGCTGCCTCCCTAACAGTGTTATTTGTCTTCATGCAACTTGTTCAAGGTTAGTCTAGCACATGCCACATGATCCCTTATTTTCTCTTTTCAAGGGCTTTTCTCCCACTTAACCATGTTTGCTTTATTGTATGCTCAGATTTCTATATTGTAAAACAAATGAGAACTACATAGACCTGAGCGGACAGGCTAAGGGCTTTCAAAGTTAGAATTCACAAATGTTCTGCTTTTTGTTAATTTCATGATATTAATCATTTTAGTAACAGCAGAAATATAAGCACAGAACTAATGTGTACAAAGTCCACACATAGGAACAAATTAAGAAAAATTTTGTGTATAATGTATTTATTTCCATACCAGATACCTGGAAATGTTTGGTAAGTAACTATACGGTGTCACAATCAGAGGACCAATGTCTCTCAGAGAAAAATATCCCAAATCTTTTGTATCAAGAAGTCAGTTTCATCCCTGTATACTGATTCTTTTTTTTTTTTTCTTTTTGAGACAGGGTCTCACTCTATAGCTCAGCCTGGAGTACAGTGGCACAATCTCAGCTCAATCTCTCAGGTGTAAACAATCTTCCTTCCTCAGCTTCCCAAGTAACTGGGACTATAGGTGTGCACCATCACAGCTGGCTAACTTTTAATACTTTGTAGAGACAGAGTCTCACTATATTGCCCAGGCTGGTCTCAAACTCCTGAGCTCAGTGATCTTCCCACCTGTGCCTCCCAAAGTGCTAGGATTACAGGCACGAACCACCATGCCTGGACTGCACTGATTCTTGAGTTGGGCAGGGCTGCCTCTGAAAATCTTGACTTTCACATTTGTGGGAAGGCAGACAGGGTAGGGAGGAAGGAAGAGGTGGAAAAGAGGAGTTAAAATGATATCATGGAAGGATCTAAAATATAAAAGAGAGGATTACTGAAGCAAATTAGTAAACTCTAGATTTCCATTATTATAAAAACAGGCAAAGTATTATCCATGGCACAACAATAGTATGGCAATTGCAAGCATGTTTAGGCAGATCACTAAAAGGATTAACATTTATGATTCTGTGATCTTATTTGCCATTGTATCCCCCTAGCCCAGTGCCTAGGACATGTTAGGCGGTCATTAAATCTGAATTGTAATTAGTCCCATGACATTTACGGAGCTTAATGGAAGCAACAAGGTGTGTTAGCTGTCAGAGTGTTTCTTAACCTAAGCATTGCATCACACTGTGATTTCACGTTAGGGATGTGGACAGGTCTCAGCTCCTGTAAGCTTTTTGAGCTTCCTTTTCAGTAAAATGGAGATCATATTATATGTCAGTATACACAGTTTGGTTTTTGGTTTGGGATTTTTTTTTAAGCAATGCAACCAACAAATATCTAAGATGCTACACTAAGAAATCACTAAAACAACATGAAGGTATTTGTGAAATATTGCATCTCTAAAACGTCAGCTTTGATAAGTAGGAGACAGTTAAAGGCAATGAGGTAATTCAATTGAAGGAGAAAAGTCAGCACTGATAGACCAAATGATTTTCAGCAGCCTCAGTTATGTCACAGATTTTTTTTTTATATCATCCTGCACGTGTCCTCACTCGTAGCCATTTTCCACCTGCTTTGCCAGGCTCTATGCCCTTCGTTCTGACCCCTTACATCATCAGGGTCTCTTGGCCCTCTGGGTCCTGATCGGGTTCACTAATTTGCATCTATAACAGGAGTTTCTGACAGAGACAGGTCAATGCGCTTGTCTCCTAGCTGTCTCCATGTCTCAGTATCTCAGTTCTAGTAGAAACCATGCACCTCTACAATGACATTTATGTGTAGTGGTCTCAATTTTTCAGCTCCTGCACTTCCCAGGCTTCATTCCCTCTGCTTGTTCCTTCAGGCCCATGGGTGGTAACGGTTTTCCACTTTTGCCAGTACCTCAGAGTTTCAGCATTATTTGTGTTCCCCTACCTCATCTCTATAAAGAGTCACTTAATTATATTCCTTTACAAATTCAAGATTTCTCTTTCATTTAAAGATCCTGTCAGATATATGCAGATCTCAGATCACAAATAGTCCCACAGCTCACTTTTCAGTTTTGTCTCAGTACTAGGAATGAATGGTGCCAAATATTCTCTACCAGAAGTGAGGATGGATGGAGAGGAAGTCACATGTATGCATATCTGTTTCTATCCAATGAGTGTGTAATAGGGCTGGAGGTCAGGGCAGTTTGACTCAGCACCAAAACAAGCGAAATGGATATGAAGACTATTAATCTAATTGTAGCCTTGTATCCTGGGCTTAGTGAATACATTTTGGCTTGATTTATGAGCGAGATCCTAACCTTGATCCCTGGTATAAGCCCACCCCTTTACCACATATTTCTATGAACTGGCATATATCCCACTCCTATTTCCCATTACAAAGTTCTATCCACCCAATATTTGAGTAATATAGATACCCCTACTGAATTTCCCTAAGTTACTGAATGGGCATCTGCATGGCTTTGTGAGCCACGTTCTGCTGTCTGTTACTGGCCTTCTTCCATCACATTCGAAATCAACCTCAAACTGAAAAGTACATATGAGCCTATTCACACACCTAAACTTAAAAACAAACAAACAAAGAACCAAAAAAAACCTCCTTCAAATCCATCTAGGTCACAAGATGCCCTAGCTAGATGTCAAAATATACAATCAGCTACTTATTCTTTCCGACTTAATTTTTTGTACATCACCTAAGACAGCTGTCATTAATGGATTCCAGGAGGGTTTTCACTAATGTTTAAGACACAGAAACCGTATACAATGCTGTCCCCGAAAAGCAAGGAGGAAATCTGATCTGAGGCTGAAGATAAAGGCAATCTTATACCTAAATAAAGCATTCTTCCTCAAGTTGCAAATTCAGGCATTCAAAAAAAAAATGGGAACACACAACAGCCCTCCGAAAGCAGCTATAACCTAACATTTGCTGACCAAAACTGAATTCTTCCTTCTGTTGAAATACTGAAGTTTAAAGGTACATTAAATGAACATTTGTATTCAGAACTTTCCAGAGAGTTTAAAACATTTTAATACTGAGTAGAATTTAATGAGTCTTTAGATATTAATAATGTCATTTGCTGCTCTTTATTGTTCTGTGCATGAAGTGTTTCCTGGGAAATGGACCTTAAAAGTAGGAACAATAAGAATTTGGGTTCTCAAATGAAACAAACAACATCTGTGCCTACTGGAAAATAATTGCTTGTATAGTCTATTGTCATATGGTAGCATGTGGGGGCCTAAAATGAAGCTAAAACGGAGAATATAGAATTTTGTAATTGAGTTTCCCAACCTCAGGAGGAGGTCCCCTTGAATATCAAAAAAAGAGAACATCTCTGAAATGGGAACACAAGAGAAATAGGAAAGGCAGAGCGAAAGAAGGATGAAGCTTGTTGTAGCCCTGGACAAGCCTCATTTCCATCTTCTTGTCTGTGACTTTCACACAGTTTTCTTCATTCAATTATCACAAACACTCCATGTGGTAGGAATAACACAGTTTAACAAAAGAGGAAATTAAGGTTCAGATTATAAATAGATTGCCTAACTTGACACCATTAGTGTCAGACATAGAATTTCAAATGTGTCACATTGTCTCTGGTAGATTGCATGATTAACTGCGATTCTTTATCTGCACTGTACCTACACCTTTTGCCACTTAAATTTGTGGCACTTTCTCACTGTGGGGAGCAAGATATTTATCTTTTGGGTGCTATTGCATGACTTCGCTTTTCGAATAGAGTTCAGTGGAAATAATAGTGTTTCACTAGACCTTGTGTGTTTCCACTTGTGCTCCGAACTCTCTTCTATCACCATGAAGGAGAAAATGGCTAGGTTAGTCCACTGAACCCAGGAAGAAGACGAGAGACACATGAATATAGTCTCCCTAATTCTAGATGGAGTCTAGAGCTCTAGACAGCTGCAGATATGTGAGTCTGCCCCAAACCTGACCCTAGTTCGGTTGAATTCCATAGTCATGTTTATTGTTGCATGTCACTGAATTTTTATGGTGGTTTGTTATGCATTAAAGACTGATATGCATGGTCTTGGAACTAGACAACTGATTTTCAAGAAGAGTCTTATAAATGGAGCCTATTCAACATATCAGTGTTACTGAGAATCTTAAGGTTGGAAGCAGATAAAAGTGATCATTCATACAGGTTGTTGCTATGGTTCTACCCAAAGGTGATTTCACTGCTAGTCATCCAGTGAAAGGTGTCCCACCACAACTCCTTCTCTCCATATGGATACAACAGACAGCATTAGGAACATTCAGCATAGGAGATGGCTGGAAAACAGGTCATCTCTACTTCCATATCCTAGGAATGAAGATGATTTCTGGAGATTGCATGATGCTATATTGGAAAGTCTTTTCCAGACAACTCTGCTCCAAGTAACTTTACTGCAAAAGTGTAGGTCCTGACTATATCGATCATGCTTTTGTTAAGAATCACATTGGTGAGACCCACCTAGGCTTGAGATATATTTACAGTTGTTTGAATGAAATAGTGGCTTGGTGGCTCAGCCACAGGCATTTTACAAGCCTCTGCAATCTCTCATCCTAAAGAAAACCAATTAATTTACCTGTGAGTGAAAGAATGTAGAAGCGACAGAGATCATGGATATCAGAGCTGAGAACAAGTCCTAAAACTGTCCTGAGCTGTATGAGTTTAGGCAAAACGTTTACCAATGCTAGATTTCAGTTTTCTTATCTGTAAAATGATGGTAATGATACCATACCTCATATCACATAAAGATAACATAAGGAAAGCAATTAGTATGGTTTCTGGCATACAGCGAAGATTCAACGAGTATAGCAAAAAGGGGGATAAAAACAGTATGACTGTTGCAGAGCACAGATCAGCCAAGAGAGTACCCACTGTCAGCAGTTTGAGCCTTCCACTATTGTGGGTTTCTGCTACCATCTGAGCAAAACGTCATTGATTTTTTTGCTCTGAAAATCCTTTATTCACATTAAATCTCAGCAGACTTCCCTCTATCACCCATGCCTTTGCCCATGTTACCATAGAAACAACTAAGCTTCGAATGTGCCAGCTCCACTAACTGTGGACTCAGCATATTTAGGAGATGTGAACATGCTGCTTTAATTTCTTAAAAATGTGTTGTATAGCTGCACTTCACCAACAAATTAAAATTATATTTCTATTAGCTTCAGTGTCTAGTTGTGTGTGTGTGTGTGTGTGTGTGTGTGTGTGTGTGTGTGTGGCATTGCTTATATTGACTCCGATAAGAATTAAAACACCTGTTCAAATTCTCTTAGTTTCATTGTTCCTCTCTTATTTCCCACCCCACTCTTTTCTTTTGTCTCTCCCTCCCTTTCTTCTCTTTTTCTGTCATTACCATAAAGTGTGACTGGGAATCTGAAATTAAATGAAATTGCTATCAAATTCCACTACTGGGTACAAGGAAAAAATGTCTCTGTGCATGTAATGTTTTCCATTTAAAGCTAGAAGCTGAAATATAGCTTAATAACCAAGAAATTGACAGAACTCAGTGCTCAACACTTGCTCACATCACACAGCTAGCTCCTTCCTTATTTCTAACCCTTCACATCAGGGAAGCAGTTAGACTTATAAGGAAAGAACACAAGAGTTAAGTGAAGAACAAGGTGAAAAGAGCTAATAAATTCATTTCATTTAGCGGATTTCCAGCTGGTGGGTCCTTTTTAATGGGCAGAGAGAAGTGTGAGAAAAGTCAGGCTGAGTGAGTCATCAGATCCCGCAACGTGGGAGAATTAGATTTAAGTGAAAAAGGATGTTTCCTAGGAAACTACATGATCTGCTTGTGGAACATCAAACAAGAGCAATTTCCTAACAACAACCATGACTAAATTGATCTACCTCAGACAGCTTTATCAATAGGGGGGAGATTAGACGCCTTTTGTGTTTTCTTAGTTACTATCATCAAATTGTCTATTATGTGATGGCTTCAGCTGCTGCATTTCTGACCTTCTGTAAGGACAGGAATGGTATCTGCTATTACGTAATTGGAAAGCAGTTTTCCCTATTTTCCATCTCTCCCCCATCTTCCCCCAAACCTTTGCAATATCTCTTCATCACCCCTTTCTAACTTGAATAGCAGCTTCTAATACTGTCTTTGCAGCAAGCCACAAGATCCAGTCATTAGAGTCACTAAAAATATCCTTCCAGCTTTAGTCATCCAGGAATCTAAATTAACTTACTCTCTTTTAACCATGACAGTGACAGTGAAGAATCTGTAATTCACACTAATAGGACAAGAGAGGTTGTTCTGAATTAGAAAATGATTTGAAAATGAATAAAAAACATCTTTTTCAAATATAGTTTATTACCACAAGCATATAGAATATTTAACTCAGATACTTTAACAATAGATGTTAGAAAGCTTTAGTTTAAAAAAGGTTTATAATTAGCCCACAAACTGGTGAGAAAGTAGACTTTTGTCATTCGGAGAAGTTAATTATTCATAAAATCCCAAAGGCTTTCTGGAGTCACAGATTCTGAGAGTCCTGTGGTTTGGAGAGTGAAGCCACTGTCTTTATCACCTCACTGCTGCTAGAAGCTACACCCACATACAGCTTTGCCAGTCGGCCTCTGGCTGACAACAGTTGTTACCGTGATAAAAACAGCAGCTGAAATTTAATCAATATATTCATTCAACTGAAATTTATTTAGCATCTAGTATATGTTGGACATTGTTCTAGTTAATGAATAAGAGGAATGATACCCCTCTTTGAGAAGATTACCCTCTAGTAAAAGGAGAAGGAAAAGATAAAAATTCAACAAATGTGTTAATTTTAATTAGTTATAATTTCTATAAGGAAAATAAAGTAGGATGATCTGATAGAGTGATTGAAATAGGGACTCACTTTGGATCACACTTTCCAAACTATTCATAGTCTAAGTGAGATGTGAACTGTTATTTTCTCCCAATCCATTACTGGACAAAACTTCTATAAAATATTATATGAATATATTACCAGAAAAATAATACAAAAATGCAAGTTTAGTTTTTACAGTTAGTAGATAAAAAAATGAAATTACTCCATGAAATAGTTGTAAAAATATCTAAATGTTTACTCTCAATTACTATTCTAATTTCAACACAGATCAGTAACAAGAGAGACTGCAGAGGCCTCTGTGTTCAGACCATGCTTGGACAGTAACTTATACATAGGCTGGTCAAGGAAACATTCTCTGAAATCTGAAGCCTTTTTTTGCACTCCATACACATTGTCTTCTCTTGGAGATTAGTTACTAGGTAAGTAGCAGGCTCTTAATAAATGTTAATTAATTAACAATGATGTCATTAGGGATTCGAATTTTATACTTCCAGTCATTTAAGGGTTAAATTTGTGTTTTGGCCCTCACCTAGATATCTAGCCATCTCTTTTAACATTATTTCTTAGAATTCCAGTTAAACCATCTTCGAAACACATTTTTGCAATGAACTCATTCAATGTATCTACTATTTATTGCATGCATTACCCTGGGCCAGGTATTATGGTGAGCATTTTACATACATAATTTCATTTTAATTTTCAAATAACCCTAAAAGCAGAAGCTTTTATTATCGTTTTATATGTTAGGAAACAAATATTTTATGTATGTGCCTAGAGGTGTCATTTTCTATTTATATTTTTAAGCTATTGGATTATGCAATTCCGTTACAAAGATGAAACTTTTACATTCTCAATTCTGTCAGTGATAAAGTTCATTAAAATTCCTTTAGTTATCTGGGAAATAGTGTCATAGAGTTTCTAGAGAATGGGAAGAAGAGATTTTGCTGTCTTCTCTTCATGGGTATAGTGGAGGATCCAGGATGAAGCTCAAGGCCAGGCAGTGGGTAGGTCTCACAGGGCTTTTACCTAGAGTTGAAGGAAGTGAGAATAAGACAGAGTGCACTAGTCCTGTAAGAAGATCCTTCTCTGGTTTTATTTGCTCATTTGTTTTTTCCTTTTATTTCCACAGTTCTTTTCTACACCACTTACTGGTGTGTTCTAACATGTTTAAAGTATATCTTTCTATTTATACATGTTCTTAACTTACATAAATAGTATAGGCTTTTAAATCTCATTGTTTCTCACTTTTTTCTACTCAGCACCTTCCTTATAAAATCTATGTTGCTATGTGTGCAGTTAGCAATGTACTGCTAATTGCTGCAGATCTACTTTGTTTTACTTAAGATGTAGCACAGACATGGACACCTTCATAAACTTCTACCTTCATAAACACTGCATAGATCAGCCTCATCTACATCTCCCTTCTAGTCTTTTGTGAAAACACCACAGAGATATATACCCAGGAGCAAAAGGGCTGGGTCACAGTTTGTACATCTGAATAAGTCCAGGCAGATTACTCCCCAGAATGATGCACACTGCCCTTATGCCCTCATTCAGATCCCAAAAGTCCCATAGCTCCACATCTCTCCATCTCTCTAGACCTGCTGCACAGCTCTCTATTTTGCAACTCCCTTATTAACATCACCCAACAATGTCTTTCTCTTTGGTCCTATGTTGCGGCCCTTTTCTCGGACTCCACGTTTTCCTGTAGCTTGACTTATTCCATAATTTTGATGATACAAAATTATGACACATAATCCAGTATCTTCCTAATAAAAATGAGGTGATACAAGTTTTGAGAACTTGCTTGTATAAAAATATCAATTGTTCTCTTATTTGATTCATAGTTTGAATAATTATAGATGTCTGGTGGATTTTTTTTTATCACTCAAAATTCTGAAGTAATTGCTTCCTGTGCTGCCGTTAATAAGTTCCAGGTCATCTGATTCCCAATTCTGTATATATTACTAATTTACTCCCTCTGTGGGAATTTGAGATATTTTATTTCTCTAAAGTGTTCGGGAGAACAAATATACATTATGACAATGTTAGTTAACATATGTGGCTTTTCATTCATTTGCCACAATTTAGGCACTTAAATTCTAAACAGTCTTATCCTTTCATTTGAGAATATTTTCTTGAATTAGTTCTTAGTTGTATCTTTTCTAAAACTCCTGTTTTTCAGATATTAAAGTCCATGAATTGCTCTCTACTTTTAAAACCTATTTTTTAGTTTTTAATTGGAGTGTTTTTTTCTCTTCTAGTCCTTCTAATTTCTGCTATCATATTTTCAAGTTCATTGATCTGTTTTTATAAATCTGAATGCTCCTGTTTCTTTGCTTTTACTTTTGTTTCAGAGTAAAATAGCCTTTATATTTTCTGAGGATATTTATTGTTTTTATTTTTTAGGTTGCTGTCTGCTTTCCACATTATCTCCATTTCCTCTTTTTGATTATTTTTATTGGTTTTTGTTTGTTTCTGTTTTGGCCTCTGTCTGTGATGCTAGGGCTTTTCCTCAACTGTTTTGTGGTCCTTGCCTTAGTATTCATATGGTAAGAAGGAAGCTGTGGCCTTTCTAGGAGTGGCTTCCTGGATGATCCTTTGACTCCTTCATTTTGGGGGAGACTCCTCAACTTTCTGTAACTCAACGTCTTTTTTCTTGTTTCTCCAGAGAAGAATCCTCTCTTGACTGAGGGTGTAAGTTGACTTGTCACCATTTTCTGACTTTCTCTTCATCTCTATGATTTCATGCTATGCTTTTACATTCACGGTTGTGTTGGATTCCTCATGCTCAGAGTCCCTCTGTTTCAAACTTGCAGGCAAATTAGCACGTTGCTCTGTGCTGAAATAAGGGACGGGCATTTGCCCAGTTGAAAAGGATCAACGAAGCGATCTGGGACACCTATTTCTAATATACACTTTCACTCATTTCCCAAATTGTTAACTTCACCTGCTTCCCCATTTCAGCGCTCTTGCAGCCCCCAATCACTAAGATTTGTTTATGCATGTGGTGAGGGAGTCTCTGTTATAACTCTCCTGGCCTCTAGATTTCCCATACTGTTAATTAGGGGCCAGCTTTCCCAGGTGTGTTAAATCGGTTTTTAATTTGCCTGTCTGCTCTCCAGTTTTCTGAGTTTTGCAATTCTCATTGCCTTCCTTATATTCTTTACTCTGAACCGTTTCTATTTTATGTCTTTGCTTCATTTTTGTGAGATTTCAGAAAAGTATAGAAATAAATGCCCAGGTTAATCCACTTATATCATTTAACAAGAAAGGGAATTACTATTGTTGTTGTTGCTGTCTTTTTTAACAGATTTTAGAACACATTCTTAGATACATAGTTCAAGGTACTATATACTTCCTTACACAGTTCAAGATACTGTACTTCCTTCTCCATAGATTTATAAACAGAAAAAAAGTGATTTAAAAAATGTATTCTCTTCTCCGAAACTATTGAATTGTGTACCACCAAAAGATATGTTGAAATCTTAACTCCTAATACTTTACACTGTGACCTTATTTAGAACTAGGGTCGATGCAGGTGTAACAAGTTAAGATGAAATTATACTGGGGTAGGGTGAGCCCCTAATCCAATTTGACAAAGAGCCTATAAGACCACCATGTGAGGACACAGAGACACAGGAGCAACTCTGGGAAGATGGAGGCAGAAATTGGAGTGATGCATCTATAAGTACTGATATGGTTTGGCTGTGTCCCCACCCAAATCTCTCTTGAATTGTAGCTCCCATAATTCCCCTGTATCATAGGAGGGACCTGGTGGGAAGTAATTGAATCATGGGGGTGGGTCTTTCCCATATGCTTCTTGTGATAGTGAATAAGTCTCACGAGATCTGATGGTTTCTTAAAGAAGAGTTCCCCTACACTAGCTCCCTCTTGCCTGCCGCGGTATAACACTATGCCTTTCCCCTCCTGTGACTTCTGCCGTGATTGTGAGGCCTCCTCAGCCACATGAACTGTGAGTCTATTAAACCCTTTTTTTCTTTATAAATTACCCAGTAGAAGCATGAGAACTGACTAATACAAATACCAAGGATTGGCAGATAAGCAATGTAAACCTAAGCTAGGAGAGAAGCATGGAAAA
Organism: Homo sapiens; assembly: GCF_000001405.40. Lineage (NCBI taxonomy): Eukaryota > Metazoa > Chordata > Mammalia > Primates > Hominidae > Homo > Homo sapiens. The sequence goes on along the minus strand of NC_000003.12, from coordinate 34,838,506 downwards.
ATCCTCCCTCAGATCCTCCAGGAGGAACCAACCCTGACAACACTTTGATTTCAGACTTCTAGCTTCCAGAACTGTGAGACAATACATTTCCGTTGTTTTAAGTGACAGTTTGTGGTACTTCATTACAGCAGTCCTAGGAAACTAATAGATTCTGGTACAAGGAAGTGGGATGTTGTAAAACAATGGAACATGTAGAAGTAGCTGAGTCACAAACAGGAATATTAAACATATTTCCAAGCAAAGAGTGGAAGGTGTGGCCTGATTTCTCCTTTCTGCTAATAGTAAACTGTGAAAGGAAAGAGAAAAATCAAAGAAGAAACTACTAACAGAAAGGAACCAGCACTTTGATCAGTGAAAAAAAAAAATTCTGCCAAAATATATTTAAAGAGATTTATTCTGAGCCAATATGAGCAACTGTGGCCCAGGTTTACACAATCTCAAGAGGTCCTGAGAAAGTGCACCTGAGGCAACTAGGTTACAGTTTCATAGTCTACATATCAGGGAGACAGAAGTTGCCAGTAAAATTATAAATTGATACATGGAAGCTATACATTGGTTTGGCCAGAAAAGGTGGGACATTTGGGGATAGGGGTGGGGCTTACAAGTCACAGGTGGATTTTAGGGATTTTTTTAGTTGACAATTGGTTGAGAGAGGTCAGCTATTGTCTAAAGACTTGAAGTCAGTAGAAAAGAACGTTTGAGTTAAGGGAGTGGGGACCAAACCCTTGTCCTGTAGTTGAAGACTTATTGGTGGTAGCCCTCAGAGAAAATAGATGCCAGATGTCTCTTTTCAAACTCTAAAGGTGTCAGGTTCTCAGTTAATCTCTCCTAGATCTGAGAAATGCCTAGAAGGGGAAGGCCTGTTTGCATTCATAAAGATTCTCTACAGGTGTACCTTTCTTCAACAAGAAGCTTTGCAGGGCCATTTCAATCTCGTGGCCCTATGGCACCCGTTTCAAAATATGTCAAATAAATATATTTGGGGGTAAAATATTTTTATTTTCCTCAGGGTTTGCTATCGGTCATGAGATGCTATACCAGAGACAGGTTAGAAAGTAAGTCACATTATATAGCATTAATAAAAACCCGTCTAAAGAGATTTTATGGTTTGTAGGGTCTGGCTCCTCAGATCTTTTAGGAATTGGGGCAGGAGAAATTCAAGGTCAGAATTTAGTCCTCAACTTGATAATTTGCAATATTCTCAACTATCCAGATAGCATGCTCTGGAAAAAGGGCCAAAACTATGGCTAGACAGACATTTATCAAAGAGATTGCTAAAGGCGTGTGATTCACGGATTCAGTCAATCATCTCAGGAACAGCCAGGAATAGAGATGTGGTTATCCAGGAAGGATTTGTTGAGAACCCTGGTGTCTAGCTTTGTGAATACCTTCAACATCCACAGATGACCCACAAGGTTTTTGAGAATTTTATACCAGCAAAAACAAAACAACAATAACAAAAACGAAAAACACTGCATGCCTGTACTGAAAGAATAGATATGGGATGAAATGAAGGAAGAACAACTCCTAGAACAGTCATGGATACAGAGGCCTGGGCCAATGGGACTTCCTAGGTTCCAGAGCATGGGGCTCCCACCCAGGTCCAAGAGGGTGGAGCCACTGCCTGGGGCCAAATGAGTGCAGCCATCCCAGAAATCCCAGAGGAAAGAGCATTAAGGCACAGATAATTATCCTCATGTCTCGGAACCTAACAGAATTTGCCTCACTAAGTTCCAAACTTACTTTAGACCAGTGATGCTTTTTCCCTCTAACGTTTTCTATTTGGAATGGACATGTCTGTCCTATACCTGTCACATCATTTTATCTTAGAAGCAGATATCTTGTTGTCTAGGTTTCTCAGGTTGAAAGATGGAAGGAATTTTGTTCCGCGATGAATAGTATCAAGAGTGTCACCCAGACCAGATGTAGTTGTGTTTTAAAAATGGCATTTAGGGCTGGGCATGGTGGCTTACAACTGTAATCCCAGCAATTTGGGAGGTCGAGGTGGGTGGATCACTTAAGGTCAGGAGTTCAAGACCAGCCTGGCCAACGTGGTGAAACCCCATCTCTACCAAAAATACAAAAATTAGCCAGGCATAGTGGCAGGCACCTGTAATCCTAGCTACTCGGGAGGCTGAGGCAGGAGAATTGCTTGAACCTGGGAGGCGCAGGTTGCAGTGAGTCGAGATCATGCCACTGCACTCCAGCCAGGGAGACAGAGTGAGACTCCGTCTCAAAAAAAAAAAAAGACATTTTTTAGTTGCATTAAGACTTTGGGGGTTGTTTGGATGAGGTGAATGTATTTTCCGTGTGAGAAGGACATGAATTCTTTGTGAGCCAGAGGAAAAGTCATTATGGGTTGAATTATGTTCCCTAGAAAAGGTATATTGAAATCCTAACCTCCAGTACCTATGACCTTATTTTGGAGTAGGGGCATTATGGACGCATTAATTAAGATGATAGGTCATACTGGAGTGCAGTATGACTGGAGTCCTTATAAGAAAATAGTCATGTGAAGACACAGGGAGAATATCATCTTAAGAAAGAGGTGAGACCAGAGTGATGAATCTACAAGCCAAGGAATACCAAGAATTGCCAGACATCAAGAGCAGTTCTCTCTCAGAGCCCTCAGAAGGAACCAACTCTACAGACACTTTGATTCTAAAGATCTATCCTGAAAAAGTACGAAACAATATAGTTCTGTTGTTTTAAGACACATGGTTTGTATTTTTTGTTATGGCAGCCCCAGCCCATGTTTAATCTACTTATGCCATTTGGGAAGAAAAGAAATTGCAGCATATTATTTATTTTAACTGTATTTAGAATACATTATTAGATATAGTTCAAGGTGAATGCACCTGAACTTTCTTCTCCATAGTTTTTACAAATTGAAAATAAAATGTGATAATAAAAACACATTCTCGTCTTATCCAAAACAGTACCCATGGAGAAGAGTATATTTTTTCCTATTATAATTCATAATATGATTAAAACAGGTACAAACATCAGATATGAAGGTGATAGAATTTGTTTTTTCAAAAGAAAATAAAACAAAGTAAGACACAGCAATGCAATAGAAGTGAGAAATTGTAATACAGCTCTCATCGTTTAATAGATCTCTTATATACAGTGCTTATAATAGAATTAATAAATTAATAGGTATATCAAACTGTATGCATCAGTATTACTATTAGATTTGGGAAAGCAGGGCTTTGATTCAGATGACACACTCTGGAGACCTCTTCTTCTCTCCAGCCATACCAGCCTCCAGAGATCACAGTCCACAAAGTCAAGGAAACATACCCTCCTTCTAAACCATCCAGGTACCTAGGACCAATAAATTCCAAGCTCAAATAGCCCAAAGCCCACTTCAAGGGTCTGCATGGACCTCTTCCCTAGGACCATCACTCAGAGAGCAGACTATACATCAGTTTACACAAACTTAGTCCTAAAGTTTGGCTACAGTTGTGGCTGTTTACAGAGGACGCGGATAAAACAGGCTTCTCCATGATACAGATACTTTAATGTAGATTTCCTATAGACATCATTTTATTTTACAAAAGAACAGCTTTTCAGAGCTACTCCTGTGTATGCAATTTCTCAAAAATAACCAGCTCAAAATATTTCAAAAAAGTATGGTATTGGGTTGGCATATTCTGGTTTCCTACAGTCATATTTTGGGGTAATGTGTCCTGAGCTCCAATAACTTCTATCTCCACTGGCAAAACAAGTTGTATGACTATACCCAAAATCAAGAGATAGGGAAACATATGATACTCCTTCACTAAAAGATACTTCAAAGTCACATGGCAAAGCATATGGCTGTGAAGAGGAGTAAGGAATGTAGGCTACTTGATACAGTCTGCCATAGTTCACGATGGGATAAAAGACGTGACAAACAGCAATGTAATTTTACCAAACTCAGCAATATGATATGTTGTACCAGTACATCTATTTATTCATATACTTACATCAAATGATAGACACTTATCTAAATTCAATTAAAATTTAGCAAAAAGCAATACTTTTTACAAACTAGTAAAAGTTACTCTCATATTCTGACAAAAAATAACTGCTCAACAGCTTGCCTGATACAAGTCAAACCCTAGAAACATCTGATTATAATACATATACATTTTTATATTTTCAAAATTTCCCAAATGATCAAATAGCAATTTATTATTATTATTTATTTATTTATTTATTTTCTTTTGAGACAGAGTCTTACTCTGTTGCCCAGGCTGGAGTACAGTGGCATGATCTCGGCTCACTGCAAACTCTGCCTCCCAGGCTTAAGAGATTCTCCTCCCTCATCCTCCCAAGTAGCTGGATTACAGGCACACACCACCAGGCCCAGCTAATTTTTGTATTTTTATTAGAGATGGAGTTTCGCCATATTGGCCAGGCTGGTCTGGAACTCCTGACCTCAAGTGATCTGTCCGCCTTGGCCTCCCAAAGTGCAGGGATTACAGGCCAGAGCCACTGTGCCCAGTCCTGAAATAGTAATTTTAAAATCAGGAAACATGATGAATCAGAAGATATTTAAAATGTCTAAGAAATTTTTTTAAATGTGCTATTATTTTCAATAAAATAGAAAAAAAGCATAGCATAAAGATTTTTTCTTGTTTTGTACTATGTTTTCATTTTTGTAATGTTTTCTCTGATTTAATTGATGATGAAATAACAGGAGGCGTTCCAGTGTATGGGCAACATAATCAAAGTGCTGTGAAGTAAGATTTTTTCAAACATGCTCTCATAATGTTTTCTATTAAGTATAAAAATAATTTTCCAATTGTTATAATACTCTGTATGTTCTTCCTGATAGTTTCTTTCCCCTGCTCTCTTTTAACATGTAGAAATAATTTTCACAAGGCTACCCATTCTAAGTGTGCCAATAAATGTGATTATATTTATTTTAGAACACATAGTTAAATTTATGGAAGCAAAACAACACACTATTTTTATTTATAACCATGATAAATTTTAATAGTGAGTTTACTCTAGCAGTGCATAATGGAATGACTGATACATTTAACATGATTATGATTTAATGTAAACCCTCGGGAATTCCTCAAGAACTCTTTCCCCTCCAGTGGTTCTGTCTGTAGCTTAGTAAAGGAGAACTGAATTAGAAATCAAGAAAGGCAAGCAAATTCTCAGCCTGGAAGCAAAGCCTCCCCTGTGAATCCATTGTTCCTCAGTTGACCTTTAATGTAGCACTTCCCAGACTGTTCTGCATTCACTGATCTACTTCTCAATTCCCCACTGTGCAGTTAGCTCCTTAAGTTTAGGTCTTGGCTTATTTCTCCTTATAACAATAGTGCCTAGCAAGGTGCTTAATAGCTCTTTGTTAAAATGAATGAGAAAACAATATGTGAGATGTTGAACAAATTATTTCAATGTTGTGAATATGTTTCCTCAAATGGGAAGGGAGCACCTCAGAACTGCTGGGTCAGCTGTATTGTTTTATATGCCATGGACAAAGTGATTATTTCATTTACCTGGCATGGCCCATTTACAATAACAATTTGTTATTTCAATCACTTTCTTGACATACAGAAGACACAGATTGATTCTCATTTATCTTGGTATCTCCAGCCCCTGAAAGAGTGTTCACCTTGATACATGAATGACAGAATAAATGAATGGTTAGGAGTAATAGGTACTGTTGGTGTGTCACTCACATCTTCTTTATTTGGCAAGTGCACCCACTCCCCACCTGTTGTCAATGTTGGTTGCTAATTGGTCACAGCTGGCCTTTCCTGCAGGTAATTGCCCTTGGTATCTACACACCACCTTGCCAAAGAGGCAGTCATCCCCCAGATACAACCTGAATTTAATGAGTGACTGACCTGTCTCAAGATGGAGCCAATCTGTAGTGAAAAATTGTGTTCCATAATTCTTAGGGGATCAGCCTGAAGCTGGGTTCTAGCTGAGACCACAACCTTGCTTAGTGCGTTTCCCTGCCCCTTCTCCTTTCCTCACTCCCCTTTTCCTAAAAGCCTCTCCCCAAAAATCACTTGCACAAAAATATCCTGTCTTGGAGATAATCTAAGACACTATTCAGTTTTTTAAGTTATTTTCTTTTGAGATCAGGTAGATTGTAGTTGGAAGGAATAATAGAGAGGAGTTCCACTTCTGGCATGACACAGTGAGGATCTCTGCTGAGCCACTTGCCAGTGAAATTGATGAAAACTATCAAAACTAAATTAATGCTTTTTGAAATGATCCTAAGGGTATACAGCAAAAACAAAAAAAAAATCAAGAAAATCTACAAAACTCTGTAAGAATTATGAGAGTTTGTGGTATTTGAACCAAAATCTATTCTTTTACTTCCCCTTCCCAACTCAGCAAGACAGAAATTCCACGCCAGAATGGCACAGCCAAGAATGTAGGAATCCCAATTTCCTCAGCTCCCAATATGAGGGCTATCTTCTGAGAATGGCAGAATGTCAGCAAATTCTTATCATGCCCCCACTGTCTGCCATTGAAAGTAAGTTTCAGATGAGTACAGTCAAGAGGTCAGGAATCCCTTCTCCTGCCCCTTACTCATGAGAACAGAACTCTACCTTGGATGAGGCACCACTAGGAATACTGGGGCCCTAATTGCCCTTAAAGGCTGGAGGTTCCACACAGGCAAACCAAGGAGACTTGGGGCTGCTGACTCCCTCATCCACCATGTCCTCAGCTCCCGAACTGAGGTTGTCACTCAGACACAAGCGTGCCATTTTCCCTACCCCCAGCACCAGAGTCTAGTTCAGAGATATTTTCTAAGTGAAATTACAGGCCATAGAACAGAGTTCCAAATACTTCCCCAAAGCAACTGACCTCATTTACAAAAGTGTAGAGAAGATCAAGCCTATGAGTACTCTCAAAAACAGTGGAATTCATGTTGAAAGACAGTTGGGAGGAGATTTATAGATTCACTGGAGATACAGGCTAAACTGTAGGGTAGCCAGTTTTTCAGAAACAGAGAAAGAGACAGCTGCAGGAAGTCTTCCTGATGTTGGAAAAATCTCAAACACTGGTCTGCACTGGGGCAGGAGTTTCAGATTTCCTCATGGTCTTCCCTGACACTGGTATGTTTGGCCTCATTACCAAATGATATAAGTTCTGACTCTCTATTGGGCCTCCATTGACACAACCCCAGAAGAGAAGGAAGGAGCACCTCATTACAGTTGTATGGGTATGGAATACAGGACCCAGGGATGAGGGGAAAAGGGGAGCTTATTACCACTCTAAGAAGATGAACATCCATGGTCTCCACTTGGCATTCATTGATGTCAACACATCAGGGTTGTTGGGCACATCATTATAGCTTTATAAGGATACAAGTCCAAGATCCCTACCCAACTAATGGCGTGGATGGAGGTCAGAGCCATGAGTTTTCCTGTGGTATTTATATAGAGTATAACAGTTACCATCTAAAAGTTGTCTGTCTTCCTAGACTGTTCCTTTCCTGGTCTGTTGCCTAGAGACAATAGGCTTCCATTGGAGCTTTTTTCTTTTTCCTGTGCCTATTGGCATTTCTAGTTTGCTTGCTTCTTCAGCTCCAAGTCTGGGGTATATGAGGAAAAAAATGCAAAAAAAAAAAAATTATCATTATGCTTTTCCTCACGCCCTAAGGTCCCTGGTTGGTTTGTCGTCTTCTCTCTACCTTTCAGTCTTCTGATATTTGCTTTGTTTACAATATCAAAGGTTTTTAGTTGTACTTAGAAGGAGGACTAGAGAAAAGTATATCTACTCCACCTTCCTGGAAGCAGAATGCCCTTGCTCAATGATTTTTACTAGCTAGACTTAAAACTGGACTAAGTTGAAGTCACCCTAACAATAGAAAAATGTTAAGATGATTTGTCTTCTCTAGTCCATGAAGGACAGTGCCACTTACTAAAATTCGCCTTTTTTGTCTTTGCTTTTCTAAGGTTATGAAATCCTCTTTAGAATGTTTGGCTATGACAATACAGTCCTTGCTGAGGATTTTGGCATTTCCTTTTTTGCTTCTCTAGTCCTACAAATTAGACGATATGAAAAGATTCCACAGATTGAACAAATGAAAAATATGTATTGCACAGATACCAAGTGGCAGGCACTGTATTGAGTAGAATACTTGTCTAAAGAGGAATTTATTTCACAGGCAAAAGAAAAAATTCAGCTCACTGAATTTAGTTTTCTGCATTGTAGAGGGCAGAGTCTAGATTTGAACACAAGTCTAACTTATTGGAAAAACCAATTATGCTTCTTCCCTGAATAGTCTTGAAAAACTCACTTAGCCTCTCAGCTTTCTATTACTGTTTATTGGAAATATGAATAATACTTATTTTGCAAGATTATTAGAAAGATTTAACAAATTGTCATGTGGAAGAATTTTAGATTCCATGGAGATGCAACTATGAAAGATGGCTACCATTAGAAAGTCATTTCCCATCACCCATCAGCAGAACTTGCATCTGAAAATACTTGTTCAGTCGTGATGCCCAATATGTAGTAGAGCCCTGGAGTTTAAAAGTTTGGGAACTGGAGCAGATGCCTAGATTCTAATTTGGGATTCTACTTACTAAATGTTTGCTCTTAGAGGAATTGCATAAATTTTTAGATTCTCAAATCCTGCATGTTGCCACTTATAAGTAGGAGCTAAACAATGGGTACACAGGTACATAAAGATGGAAATAATAAACACTGGGAACTCCAAAAGAGGGGTAGATGGAAAGGGGACAAGGATTGAAAATTGCCTGTCAGGTATAGTGTTTACTATTTGGGTAATGGATATACTAGAAGCCCTCTCTATCAGCACACAATATATCCATGTAACAACATGCAAATGTACCCCTTGAATCTAAAAAAAAAAAACAAATTTTAAAAAATCTTGGACTTTCAGTTTCCTCATCTGTAAATAAAGGCAATATATTACCTATGCCATTTGTTTTTTGTGAAGATTAAATGAGCTAATAATGTAAAGGATCTAATATAGTACCATCTTCATGGTTAGCAGTTATTATCATATACCTTTTTTGCCCATTGTCTTACCCAGAAATAATGACTCAGATTTATAAGTCGTTCTAGCAGGGTCAAGGTCCAACCATGGTCATAGAACAGATTAAAATGAATGAATTCCTGAAGACATCTCAGGTTTGCAAGAATGGAAAAAAATAACAAGAGAATTGGAGTCTAAGTTGAAATACTATATGGTGCAAAAGAGAGTATTAAGCCTTTGCATAATCCTTTAGCACTGCTTGCCTACATGGAGGTGCTGATTTAAATGTGTGGGAAAAAAAATCTTTGGAATTATTTCACACAGACTTTCATTTGATTCATTGCTTCTGTCACATTAAGGTACAATGCAATTGGCTTCAAAATCAGCATATCTACCTTGTATGTCTATCTCCATGTTCTTTTATTAAGATGCTCTTGCAGGGTTAATAAGTGTTTGTATTTAAATTGTTATATCTGTCAGTCAAATATAGTCTCCAGTCAATCATGTGTCTAGGTTAAGATGGAGAAGAGGGAAAAGCAGTAAAAATGACTCGGCTGACACAATGTGTATGAAACCTATTCAGGGAACAGGTTAAAAATGTATTTGTAATACTCAGTTAAGTTTGGAACAGAAAGTTTGTCCTCTTAAAATAGCCACTAAATAACTCAGGTGATGCACGATTTTTTCCTCTTCCCTTTAAAATTTACATATAAATATATAGAGAGAGACATATTTCACACTCAGGTTAGTATAATTTTGACTGCAAATATCAACTTCATTATGAAATCATCATTTTAATATCATCAGAAACAATTATGTGGGTACACGATAGATAATTTTTAAAACTTCCAGGTAAAGGTAACCATATTAAAAATGTACTAGGGATCAGGATTGTCTATGTCATGCCCCAATTTTAATAGTTTATGGCTTGGATATATCACAGCAGTTCTTTGACTCCCATTTTCTTTAAATTACAAATGGAGTGTGACTTCTCTTCCCCCAGGCTTCTCTCTGTCCACTTAAATACCCTTCACACAACCACCAGTGTGATTTTTGTAAATATGTATTAAATCCTGTTGCCCAAATGATTTAAAATCATTTAGAAACTCCTTATTGCCACTAAAATGAGGTTCGAATTCCCTAAGTGGAGCACAGAGTACCTTTTAATCCAGAATCCACTCACTTTTATGTCCAATCTTCTCCACATAGTCACATATGTAGATTGTATTTCAATCCTGTTGTAGCAATCAAAGTTGGCTAACATAACCATTCTTTTAATACACATGAATATTTGCAAATAAACTACCTTTCTTCTCAATGTCTCAATTGAAAATGTATTTTTCATGCTTTTTCTCCAAATCCTACCTACCCTGTTTCAATGCTTTACTGAACATGCTTGTATGTGTTTTCAATTTGACATATGTCATTTGTATATAACCCATGTATTACATTTCCTCACTAAATTCTAAGTCCCCTTCAGGGCAAAAACAATGCTCCATACATATAGATTTTACATGATGTCAGCAATAGTAGATTATTCATTATGTTGACAGTAATTAACGATTAAGAGATAGCTATCCAAAACTGAGAGATAGTTGTCATAAGTTGAGTTCCAATCACTGAGCTAAATATTTCAAACAAAAAGCCTTATTTGGCCTAAAAAGCCAGGAAAGGAGATATAAAATACTCAGTTAACCCAAAGGAGGACAGGAGTAGAACAGGAAAACAAAACAACAAAAAAAGGCTAGTAAAACACAAAGAATGTAATAGTAGACATCTCTAACCATGCAATAATTACATTAAATATAAATAGTCTAAACACTCAAAATGTGAAGATTTTCAGAGTAGACAAAAAGCAAGACCCAATTACATGCTATTTACAGCAGACACTTTTTAAATACAAAGACATAAACGATTGAAAATAAAAGGATAGGACATATATATACCATTCCAACTCTAAGCATAAAGAAGCAGGTGCTGCTATATTAACATCGAATATTGTAGTGCTCAAGACAAAAAATATGGATTAAGTATAATATATCTAAAATGGGACAAAAAGTATTTCCAATTTTGGATTTTTTAAAGATTTTGGAATGTTTGCATATACATAGTGAGATATCTTGGAAATGGGACCCAAGTCTAAACACAAAATTCATTTATGTTTCATGTACACCTTATACACATGGCTTAAAGGTAATTTTATAAAATATTTTAAAATAATTTTCAACATGAAAGAGTTTTGACTGCATTTTTACTGCACCTTATTACATGAGGTGTGAAACTTTCTACTTGTGGAGCCATATCAGCACTCAAAAAGTTTTGGATTGTGGAACATTTTGAATTGGGGATTTTCAAAGGATGCTGAATGTGTATCACCATAAATAGGGTCATTTCATAATAAAATAATTTAATAAAATCTATTGTATAGATGGAAAACCTGAAGCTTATAGAGAATGAACAATATACCAGGAAGTAGAAGAGTTGGGTATAAAACATAGTCTGCATGAATCAAAAATTCACTCCATTCACTGTGCATGCTGCTCAATGATAACTGCACATTCTGATAAATGAAGCAATGGATGAATAAACGTAATTTCTAGGGTCTTTTCATCTCCTAACTCTTGGTAGTTTATTTTCTCCTCTTCCTCTTCCAAACTATGACCTACTATAGGATCTTCATTGTCAATGGGTCTTTGGGAGAAAAGACAGTTCTATATTTCACATATATGCAGATGATTCCTAGTGGTGTCAATCAGTCTAAGATAATTTGTGCTTTGTTGTTTGAATGATTTTCTTTCTCACAATTTTGATGCTCTCATAACTATAGCAGGACAGAGTTGTAAGGAATGTCTATTTTCATAGAGGTGTAGAGCTAAGTTTCAGACATCCTATTGAGTTATTAATTTCAAACATGTTAGTATTTATTGGTTTAATAAAATATGTGATATTTAAGATGTCACAGGTTAAATGTATTTGCTCTAGTACTAGCTAAGCAGGATAAATTGATGAAAGGAAACAAGATTAAAGATTTTTATTTGCAAAGTATCTCTGAATCTAGTATCTCAGGACAGTATATTAGTGTTGGTTAATTTAAGCTCAGAATAAGAAAGCATTGCAGCGTTTGTAAGAATCTAACACTACCTGCTAAACATGTTAACACAATTTTTCTCTCAAACTCTTCTTAAAACTTTATTATTAAAGTGGCTTGTTTGAGCATCCTTGGAGAAGTGTGAAGTCTTTCCATGTTCAACTTCAGCATCACAAATTTTGCTTTAATGCCAAAAGTTCCAACAGTGGTGGCATCAATTCCCTCATTCCCAGGATTCTGGCCTCACTGTTATTGCCATTTGAGGTTTATTTGGGGAGACAATGTGACTTTATGGTCACGTGGCCATACCTTTGAACTAGAAAAAACTAAGTTTAATTTCTAATTTTGTTACTATCAGGGTGACCTTCTGCTTGTCATTAACTCTTCTACATCTCAATTTTCTCTGTACAATGGTGATTATAATATTTACATCAAAGTAGGCAAATAATTTATGTAGAATATGTAGCATAGTATCTAATACAAGGAAAGCTCTTAACACCTAATATGAAATAAGAAACAGAATGAAGTTGACTTCGCACTTTACAATCACATGTTGGTGTGTTATGGGTGCGGAGATGTTCCTTCATATGACTGTCTAGGCTACATTGTGGTAAGGTTGGTTAGTTTTCACTTGGAGTGAGTTTCCTCAGTTTCTGCAGAACTGCTTCTCTTGCACACTGAACTTAGAGCCAGTTTTTGAGAAATGAATGAATCAATAGAAAAGGAGTTTGAGGTTTCGGGGTTTAACAGCAATAATTTATTTTTATTATTTGTATGTTATGATTATTGTGTTCACTTATTGTAGGTTTTGCAATCAGTTGACATGAAGGTTAGATGACAGTAATAGTGAAAAATAGTCTGAATATGGAAGCTGCTTATGTTCATCCTATTTTTTGGATTTTTTTAAAAAGAGATAACACATTTGCATGATTCCAAAGTCAAAGTTTTGTAATAAGTTATATTCAAAGAAGTCTTGCCTTCATTCTTACCCCTTCCCCTCCATCTCCCTCCTTCCCTGACCCAATATGTAACTATTTTTGTTTTTGGTTTCACTTTCCAATATTTATTTTTGCATATATAAGCAGATAACTATATCTGCTTTTGGAGAACAGGTGGTGATTAGTTACATGGATAAGTTCTTTAGTGGTGATTTCTGAGATTTTGGTGTACCCATCACCCAAGATGGGTACACTGTATCCAATGTTTAGTCTTTTATCCCTCGCCCCCCTTCCACCCTTCTCCCTGAGTCCCCAAAGTGCATTGTATCATTCTTATGCCTTTACGTCCTCATAGCTTAGCTCCCACTTGTAAGTGAGAACATATCCTGAGTTACTTCACTTAGAATTATGGTCCCCAACTCCATCCAGGTGGCTGAGTAGTATTTCATTTTACATATATATCTCCTCTGTTTTCTTATCCACGTACTGATTGAGCATTGCGGTTTGTTTTTAGTGAGAAAGTTGCAAGAAATCTCAAACTTTAATTAAAACGAGAAAAGTTCCCTTGTCCCCCTCACAGGGTGTATGATGGGGTATGCCTCACTTCTTCAGTGCCCTGCTGCTCAAACCTCTAGGGGAGCATACAGACGGGCAGGCTGTGGAGCTCTGACGCCATGGCAGTGTCTAGGGGTGAATGTTTACAGCTCCTGAAGTCCCAGTGGGTGTGTGTTACAGGGTTCTCTTAGTTTGCTGTCTATAGGTGGCTTGTGTTAACCAGCTCAATTAGACCCTCTACCTTGTTGCAAGGACAGAGGGCTTTCTGAATCCCAGGTTCTTGCCTTGGTATACCGGAAGAATCAGATCACAGGTGAGCTTGAAGAATGAATGCAAAGTTTTATTGAGTGCAAGTAGCTCTTAGCCAGTGGGGGAGCCAGAAGGGAGATGGTCTTCCCCTGGAGTTGGGCCGCTCATAGGTTCTAGCTCTCCTCCAATGGCCCGGGCCAAACTCCATTTCCTCTTGCTGGTGGATGGCCTACTGGGGTGCCAGTGCCTGTCTGTGTGCTCTTCTGTGGGGATGCTCCTCTTGATGTTCTGTCAACAACCAGCTGCTTGTGTCTTCCTCCTCCGCCGGTTTGCTCCTCTTAATCTCCAGCTGTCTCTGTCTGCCCGCTAGGGTCTCTGGTTTTTAGAGGCCCAGGATGGGGGTGTGGGAGGCCAGGATGGTCTTGGAAAATGCAACATTTTGGCAGAAAAGCCGGATGACCTGTCCTTACCTAGGTCGGTGAGGATGGAGCCCTACCCAGGGACCACGTTCTCTTCTACCCAGCACTTCCCTTCCCCCCTTCCCCCCTTCCATATCATTTAAAAGGGACCATGTTCTTCCCTTCCCAGCACTCCCATATCATAATTATTCCCAGTCACTGATAGACATAACATGGAAGAACATGGATGTTCCATAAGTGGGGAAAAAAATAGATCTCAGAAATATTAAAAAGTCAGAATTTATTCTAAAGTATGTAAAATTAATCCTTATTTCATTTCTTCTGCAACATTGGAAACAGGAAAACATTTTCATCACACCAGAGAATAAGAAACTAAAAGACCATAAGAGTGCCTTGGCCATACTATCTCTGCGTGCTTATGTTCTTTTTACCATCCATGTGAAATGACGTGTTTGTTCAATTTGACACTTTTACATTTTCAATTGCTTCTTACACTTTCTTATTATTCCCTTGTGTAATACTGCAGTTTTTACTGATAGAGTTTTTTTTCTCAACAATGGTGTTATTAATGGTTTCCCTTTTGATCTTTTCAACAGCTTTGTTGATCTCCCCCACCCCCATTCTTTCTCTATTTCTTTCTTTTTCTATTGATCTCTTTTGGTCCACATTTCTCTTCGTGCCTCCTCATCCTTCATTCATAAGACAGGTTTCAATAGGTTATAAAAATGGCTGGCAATTCTTCCCCTTCCTGTGTCTATACATTTGCAATGTGACTTCGAAGATTCTCCCATCAAGCATGTCGTCTGTTTCTCCACCACTTAGGGTTGGTCTTGTAACTAGGTATGACTAGTGAGACAATAGCTACCTTACACAAGCAGAGACTTTAAACGTACATATGGGACTATTGCTTACAGGAAGATGGAATGAATGTGCTTTTCCCTATCCCTCCCACCATGTACCAGTAAAAACCCTCAACATTATTTATTTAAAGAATTATAAGAAGACTCTGAAAGGTGGAAAGAAGTAGCAGTATTGGCTAAGAACTGCTGGGCATGGTGGCACATGCCTGTAATCCCAGCTACTTGGGAGGCTGAGGCAGGAGAATCGCTTGAACCTGGGAGGCAGAGATAGCGGTGCACTGAGATCGTGCCATTGCACTCCAGCCTGGGCAACAAGAGTGAAACTCCATCTCAAAAAATAAAAATTAAAGAAGGAATTACACAGTGGTGAATTCCTTGGGTTATCTTTTTGCCTCAGATATCCTTAGACTTGAGGCTGAATAAACTAGAAACCGAGACATGCCAACAAGCCCAGACAAAAATTCTAACAACAAGTTGCCTTCTGTAGCCAAAGGACAAGGAAAGGGAACCCTAGCAAGGCAGAAAACTTGTAATCAACAACCACTCTTTTTTTCCATCCAAGCACCACAGTAATAACTGTGATGCCAGCCCCATCCATGCCATCGAAGGACAAGTGGGCAGTCTAGACTCACAACTTTGACAGGCTGTAGACAAGTTGCCTGAGTGCCTCTGTTGCTATAGTGTTATAGAAGATGAGCAATGAGCTGGAAATTATTATCGTTGACAGTAGCAATCACACCTTCACTGACACATCCACTCCTACACTGTCAGCGAAGACCATGTAGGGAGTCTGGACTTCTACCTTCTCACCTTCACCTGGCAGTAATAAGGTATTCTTCCCTCTCCCTAACTGGGAGGTTTCAAAGGAGGCCTTGTGATGAATCAGAACTTTTACCATTTCCTAGTGTAAATAAAATTAATGTCATGCCCAATGGTATCAATGGAGGTCATGTGACGGGCAATAATAAAGCACTTCCCAGCCAGGGAGTTATAAACAGAGGACTTGTGGGGAGCCACAACTCCCATCCCTGCTAAGCAGTGACAAGAACTCTCGGCATTTGGATGCCAATGGAGGCTGAATAGAAAATATCATTCTATTCCACCTGGCAGTAACAAGAGGGTACCTTTCTTCCTGTAAGAGATGTGTAAGAAGAAAAGAGATGAAACAGAAGTTTTAAATAAGATTGAGAGTTTCACAAATTTATATCCAAAATATCCATGTTTTAATCACTCATTATATCAAGAAAAAGGAAGATCTCAAACTGAATACAAAAATACATCATGGCTGTCAACACTGACATGGCAGAGAAGATAGAACTATTTGACAGATTTTTAAACAGCTTCAACAAGCAATTGCACATATACATGAAACCAATGGGAAAAAAACAGAAAGCTTTAGCAAAGAAATGGAAGATAGAAAGAAATCCCAATGCATATATTAGAACTAAAAAATAACAAATGCAAAGGAGAAGCTTAATATCAGAACGGAAGATACAAAGCAGAGACTAAGTGTACTTGAAAATAGAACAACAGATATAACTCAATCTTAACAGTAGCAAAATAGACGAAAACATAAATGGGAAATTCAGGACCTATGAGAATTTTTTAAAAAACGAACATTTGCCAACATATTTCTGGAAGAAGAATGAGTACAGGGCTGAAAAAGTACTCGAATAACCACTAAAAAAAATCCTGTATTTGGCAAAAGGCATAAACCTACAGAATTTAAGGGGGTGATTAAACTTCAAATAGGATAAAAAAAAGAAGTTTATTCCAAAGCACATCATAGGCAAATGGCTGCAAACAAAAGACAAAACATTTTGAAAACAATGAGAGAACAATAACATCTTAAATATAATAAAAAGTAATTCAAAAGATAGCAAATATCCAATCAGAAAACACAGAGGCCAGATGGAAATGGTGTAACATTTTTCTAATTGCTTAAAAAAAAAAAATTGCTAACTCAGAATCCTATGTACAACAAAAATATACTTCAGGAAGAAAGGAGAAATAAAGACATGATCTGATGAAGGAAAACTTAAAAAAAGTTTCACCAACATACTACCCTAAGAAATGACTAGACATTTTTTAAAATAGAAATGAAACAAATAAGGAATTTGGAACATCAGAAAGAACATGATAAGCAAAAATCAATAGACTTTTATTCTCTCTTTGAGTTTTCTAAATTATGTTTGATGCTTAAAACAAAACTGAATGTTTGATATGGTCCTAAATGTATATATAGGAATTATTTTTAGAAATATAAATAGGTAGGAGGTGGGATATAAAGATGTAAAGGGAAGAAAGCTTTCTACATTTCATGTGAATTGGTAAAATGATGACACCAGTAGGATGTCATAAGTTATATAAATATATAATTCCTAGAACAAACACACAATATTATTCAAAAAGCTACACTCTAAAACACTATAGGTAAATTAAAATGATATTCTAAAAATGTTCATTTTACGCACAGGAAGGTTAGAGAGAGAAAAGAAAAATAGAGAAATAAAAGCATGTAGTGGCCAAGGGGAAAGTTTCCCTTCATCCTCTGAAGGTCTGCTGAAAAATCAACTCACATAAGTCAGATTAATTGGAGAAAAGGCATACAAATTTATTTAATGTGTACACACAGCAACCTTCAGAATGAAGATTCGAAGATCTAGGGGAAATTGTTCATTTTTATGCTTAAGTTCAACAAACTGTGGATAACCATGTAGAAATATGATTGGAGAAAAAAGGTTATACGCTAATGCTAATAGACTAATTGGGGAAACTCAGCAAGGCCTGTCTATCTAGATTCTTCTTGGCCACTCTGAGTACAAATTTCTTCTTTCTAGCTATGGAACAGGACCCTCTGGAATGGCAGTCATAAGACCTATATTCAAACAAGGTATAGGTCAGATAATTTCTCAATGGCCACTTTTTTACACAGAAAGTCAAAGGGAAAATTGGAGTAATATTTTTAGGTTTTATGGGTGGCTTTTGGGAAAAAAAGGTTCTAGTTTCTATGGCCCACCTTGGGGAAGAGGAATTTTAGTTTCTATGTCTAGCCTCAGGGAGAGAATGGATCTGAGAGACAGGAAGGCAGGAGAAGGTCCAAGAAAAACTTTTGTTACCGAGGCTGCTTCTGAGGCCTTCATTTTGAGGTATTGTTTTCTGAGCCCCAACAACAGAAAAAGATGTCAGACTTAAGCCCTAACGTATCAATAATTACACAAATGCAAAAGGTTTCAAAAAGCAATAAAGAGACAAAAATTGGCAGAGTGGAATAGACATAAACCAGCTGTATACTGTCAAGAAAAAAACTCAATTCAACTACAATAATACATTATGATTAAAATTATGTCTGAAGAAAGTCTGTCATGTGAATATTAACCAAAATAAAGCAAGAGTATTTCTATTAATAACAGATAAAGTAGCATTCAGAGAAGAAACATTACCAGGTACAAAGAGGGCCATTACATAATGATAAAAGGGTCAGTTCATTAAGAACAATCCTAAATGTGTATGCACTGACAAACAGAGCTGCAAAATATAAAGTAAAAACTGATATAAATTAAAGAATAAACAGACAAATCTACATTATACAGAGATTTCAATCTTTCAACAATTTATAGACAGAAAACTAGCAAGCATAATCAAACAATATAATCTAATACACATGAATAAATAGTCCATCCAGTAACAGCAGAATGCACATTTTTTAACTGCCCATAGAACATGGAGTGGTATACTAGCTCATCAAACAATTTTCAACAAATTTAAAAGAAATGGAATGATGAAGAGTGACTTGTCTAACTACAATAGAATAAGAGCACTAGAAATAAATCACAGAAAAATAGCAGAACAATCTTTGTACACTTAGAAACTAAACAGCACAGAATAAGTCAGGAGATAAATTTTAAAAACATGAAGCTAAATGAACTAAAATACAATATATCAAAATCTGTGGGACACAGATACATTTCGGAGAGCAAAATTACAGTGATAAAAACATAAATTAGAAAAGAGCACACATGGATATAAATGGGGACAGTAGACACTGTGAACTACTAGAGGGGGAAGGGAGGGAAGTGGAAATGGGCTGAAAACTACCTTTGTGTACTATGCCCACTACCTGGATAGCATGACCTGCACCCTCACCTCAGCATCATGCAGTTTACCCATGTAAAAAACTTGTACATGCACCCACTGTATCTAAAAAGTTAAAATTTAAAAAAAGAAACTAAAAAAATAAAGTCTCAGTCAAAAATCTAAACTTCGATGTTAAGAGCTTAGAAAAAGAAGAGAAAAATGAGGCAGAAGGAAGGATATTACAAAGGTAAGAACCAAAATAACATTGGAAAGATGTCAGTAGGATGACAGAATAATAGGTCCCCAGATTATAGCTTCCAACACACACAAAAATCTAGCAGCCATCTATGAACAGAAGTATCTTTGTGGAAGCTTTTGGGTGCCTGTAGGAGATTATGAAATTCTGCTGAAGCCCAAGATTGGAGAGAGCTTCCTTGAGAAGGCAGGCACACACTGGTGCCAGGGTTAGCAATGTCTCAGCTGCAAGGCCAAAGCAACAGTCACTCTATGGAACTGGCCTCAGCTCCAGTTGGCCATGATCCTGCAACAAGCCCCATTCATCAAGGAACCCAGGAGGAACTATGCCCATCTGTGCCCCTGGTTATGGCATCACCCATAGTATACCTGACTGTGGATCTTGAAACCACCCTATGCCATGGCTCCAGCCCTAGTATACCACTGTTCCAGAGTCAGTCCTGCCTGCACAGGGATCCAGTGAAAGACACAACTATCTGTGCTCCCAGTAACATGCCTGCCAATGTCAGTCCCAACTGTATGTAGATCCTGAAGTAGCACTGTGACCTAGCAGCCTTGACTTGTTTCTTATCTTAGAGGAAAAGTTTTCAGCTTGTCATTGCTGCATACGATGTTATCTGTGGGCTTGTAACGTATGTTAAGGTACATTACTTCTATGCTTAATTTGTTGAGAATTTTTATCATGAAAGGGTGGTAAATTTTGTGAAATGCTTTTTCTGCCTCTATTGAGCTGATCGTATGATTTTTATCCTATATTTTGCTAATGTGGTATATAATATTGATTTGTATATGATGAAAAATCATTGCATTAATGTTGGCCTGTAGTTTTCTTTTCTTGTAGTATCCTTGTCTGCCTTTTGTACCAAGGTAATGCTGAACTCTTACATGAGTTTAGAAATATTCCCTCCTCTTCAATTTATTTAGAGGAGTTTGAGAAGGATTGGTATTAATTCTTCTTTAAATGCTTGGTAGAATTCACCAGTGAAAATGTCTGACCCTGAACTCTTTTTAATTGGGTGACTTTTGATTACCGATTAAATCTCCTTAATCATCACTATGCTGTTCAAATTATTTTGTAGTTTTTTATGATTCAGTCTTTGTAGATTGCATGTTACTAAGTATTATCCATTTCTTCTAGATTCTCCAACTTGCTGGCATATTATTGTTCACAGTACTCTCTTATGATTCTTTATGTTTGTGTGATATCAGTTGTATTTTAATCTTTCATTTGTAATTCCATTTACTTTAGTCTTCTGTATTTCCTAAAGGTTCATCAAAGAAAACGCTAAAGGCTTCATTAAAAGATTGTTAAAACTAATGAAGAAATTCAGTAAAGTTGCAGGATATACAACCTACAAAAATAGTTGCATTCTTATACACTAACAATGAACTACCCGAAAATGAAATTAGGGAAACAATTCTACCAATTTAAAAAAAAATTATAAATAATTTAAAATATTTTATAAAAATTGTTATAAATATATAAAATATTATAAGTAATATAAGAAAGAAAAATAAGTTTAACCAAGGAAATAAAAGAGCTGTACACTAGAAATAATAAAATACTGGTGAAAGATATTGAAGAGAACAAAAATAAATGGAAATATACCCAATGTTCATGTATTGAAAGAATTAATATTATTAAAATATCCATTCTACCCAAAGTGATATAGAGTCAACTTAATCCCTATCAAAATTCCAATGTCATTTTTCACAGAAATAAAAATTTCTAAAATTTGTATAGAATCTCAAAAGACCCTGACTAGCTTAAGCAATGTCAAGCAAGAAGAGCAAAGCTGAAGGCATCATGCGTTCTGATTTCAAATTATATTACAAAGCCATATTAATTAAAACAGTGTGGTACTGGAATTATAACAGACACATAGACCAATGGAACAGAATAGAGAGCCCAAAAATAACCTAAGGCATGGGTCAATACATTTTTGACAAAAGTTCCAAGAATACATAATGGAGAAAAGGTAGTCTTGTCAATAAGTGGTGTGGGAACTGGCTATTCACATACAAAATAGAGGAAATTGAACCCTTGTCTTACACCATGCACAAAAATCCTCTCAAAAGGATTAAAGACCTACACCTAAGACCTGAATTTATAAAACTCCTGGAAGAAAACTTAGATGTCATGTTCCTTGACGCTGGACTTGGCACTGATATTTTGGATATGACCCCAAAAATATAGGCAGGAAAAGCAAAAATAAAGTTTCTGTGCAGCAAATGAAACAACTGAGAAAATAAAAAGGCAATTTACAGAATGAGAGAAAACATTTGTAAGTCGTATACCTGGACAAGGGCATGATCACCAAAATATACAAGAAAGCCATACAATTTAATAGTTAAAAAATTTTTTTAAATGGGGAAAGGAACTGAATAGACATTTTTTCCCAAGAAGCCATAAAAATGGCCAAAAGTTATATGAAAAGATACATTCACCATCACTATTAGGGAAGTGGAAATAAAAAAAATGAGATATCACTTCATATCTGCTAGGATAACTTATCAAAAAGTCAAAAGTTAATAAGTGTTAATAAGAATGTGAAGAAAAGGAAGTTTGTATCCTGTTTTTGGAAATGTAAATTGGTACAACCACTATGGATCAGTATAGAAGTTGCTTTAAAAATTAAAAATAAAACCATGTGATTCATTAATCCCACTTGTGGGAATATATCAAAAGAAATAAAATCACTATGTCAAAGAGATATCTGCATTTCCATGTTTACTACAGCATTATTCACAATAGCCAATATATGAAAAAACCTAAGCTTCTATTGACAGATGAATTAAGATGATATCTATCTATGTATTATTCAGCCTTAAAAAACCCCGTCACTTGTGACAACATGGAGGACATTAGGTTAATTGAAATAAGCCAGATATAGAAAGAAAATTAATGCGTGATATTGCCTATATGTTGTATTAGTCTCTTCTTGTGCTGCTATGAAGAAATACCTGAGACTGGGTAATTTTTAAAGGAAAGGGTTTTAGTTGACTCACAGTTCAGCGTCACTTGGGAGGCCTCAGGAAACTTACAATCACTGCAGAAGTTGGAAACAAGACACCTTCTTCACAAGGCAGCGGGAAGGAGAAGTGCAAGCAGGGGAAATACCAGATGCCTATAAAACCATCACATCTCCTGAGATTCATTATCACAAGAACAGTGTGGGGGAAACTGTCCCCATGATTCTATTACCTCCACCTGGTCCTGTCCTTGACACATGGGGATTATGGGGATAATAATTCATGGTGAGATTTGGTTGGGGCCACAGAGCCAAACCACATCATATATGAAATCTAAAAGTTTCTAATACATAGAAACAGATAGCAGTAGAATAGAAGAGTGGTTCCCAGGGGCTAGGCATTGTAGAAATGGGGAAATGTTGGTCAAGGGTACAAATGTGCAGTTATAAGATGAATAAGTTCTAGAGACCAAATACAAAGTTCAATAAGTTTAGTTGGTAATTGTGTGTTACATACTTGAAATTTGCTCAAAAAAATTATCTTTTGTATTCTTACCACACATATATAAAAAGGTAATGGTATGAAGTAATGGCTATGTTAATTAGCTCAATTGTGGTAATCATTTTACAAATGTGTATATATTAAAATATGTATACCCTATATACAATTTTTATTAATCATATCACAAAAGTTTAAAAAGGCATAAATGATATTGAAAACAAAAACAATAGAGAACATCAATAAAGAGCTTGTTTTTTGAATGGTCAATAAAATTGACAAACCTCCAGCAAGACAAAGAAAAAATGAGGCACAAATTCCCAAAAGAAGGAATGAAACAGGAAATATAAAAACGGATCCTATAGACATCAAAGGATTAAAAAAAAGAATAGTGTGAACTACTGTACACCATAAAAATAACAACTTAGATAACATGAACCAATTCTTTGAAACCACAAAATACCACAGCTGAAGGAACATGAAATTGACAAATAGTGCTATACATATTAAAAAGCTTGAATTTGTAATTTTAAAACTCCCACAAAAGAAAACTACAGATCCAAGTGTGGGTGTGTCTGTGTGTGTGTTACCAATAAACTGTTTCATTTAAAAGTTAATACACCTTATTTTTTAGAGCAGTTTTAGATTTGTGGAAAAATTGAGCAGAAAATAGGGTTCTCATATGCCCCGTCTTGCCCCCTCCTCCAAACACTCCCTACACACAGCTTCCCTAATTAAAATCTTGCTTTATTTGATAGATATATAACAATTGACAAGCCAGTATTTTTATAATAAAATCCATGGTTTACATTAGAGTTTACTCTTAATGTTGTATGTTCATTGGGATTTGACAAACGTTTAATGACAAGCTACCACTATTACAGTATCATTCATAATAGTTCACTGCCCTAAAAATTCCACGTTTTACCTATTCATTCCTGTTGACCCCACCTCCACCCCCCAAAACACTGGTAACCATTAACATATTTTACTCTTTATAGTTCTGCTTTTTCTAGATTGTCATGCAGTTGAATCATATAGCATGTAGCCTTTTCAGATGACTCCTTTTAGTTAGAAATATGCTTTTAAAAGATCCTCCATGTCTTTCTGTGGCTTTATAATTCCATTATATAGATATGCCTTCATTTGTTTATCCATTCACCTATTGAAAGAAATCTTGGTTGTTTCTAAGATTTGACAACTATAAAGCTGCCATAAACATTGATGTGTAGGGCTTTGTGTAATATTTTCTTGTTTTAACTTGCAATTTCTTAATAACATGATATGAAGCAACTTTTTATAGGCATACTTTCAGTCTGTATACCTTCTTTGATGAGATGTCTGTTCAATATTTTTCCATTTATAAATTAAACCATTTTCAAATTCAGATGTTTTTACTGAAGAATTCTGCCAAATGTTAAACAAAAAAATTAACACCAATTCTACACAAACATTTTCAAAAATTCAAAGAGGAGAAAAGGATTTTCAGTATTTTATGAAACTAGTATTACTTTGTTACTAAAACCAAACAAAACTGTATAAAAAAAAGATCAACTTTTAAAATTAAAATAGACACAATTTTTAACCGAACATAAGAAATAGAAGGCAGAAATACACTCAAAATAATTGTAACCTATATGACAAAGTGAGGTAAATTCTGGTGATGAAATTTTGTTTCAATGGTCAAAAATTATTCTAAGTAATTCATTATGTTAATAGGCTAAAAAAAAATCGTGTAATTTGATACAGAAAAGGCATTTGACAAAAATTCCACACAAATCTGTGATTTGAAAAACTATCAGGAAACTGAAATGGAGGGGCATATCCTCAACTTAATCAAAACATGTACAACCTAACATGATGCTTGATGGTAAAAGACTGTTTTTCCCCAAAGATGGAGCGCAGGGCAAGGATATGTGCTCTTACCACACTTATTCAACATAGTTTTAGATGGTTTTAGCCAGTGCAACAAGGCAAAAAAGGTAATGAAAGATAAATAAAAAAGGAAGAAATCAAACTCCATATTTTTAGATGACATCATTATCTGCATTGGAAGATTAAAAAAAAATCTACCAAAAAATATTTCTAGAACTAATTACTGAGTTCAGCAAGGTCACAAGATAGATGAAAAATAATCAAATCAATTGTGTGTGTATATATAATACACACACATATGCATATATATATATATACACACACACACTAGTAATTAACATTTGGACATTGAAATTAAAAGCACAATACCAATTACTCATAAAATACTTCTGTAAAACTCTAACAAAACGTGGTGTAGGTTTTGGTATGTTTAAAAGTATCAAATATTGACAAAATATTTAAATAAGCAGAAAAACATGCAGTGTTCATAGACCTGAAGGCTCAAAAATGTCAATTGTCCCAAAATTGTTTTAAAGTTTTAACACAATTTCAATCAAAATCCCACAAAGATTTTTACATAGTTATAGACATTATTCTAAAATGTATATGGAAATGCAAAGAAAATAGGATAATTAAAATAATTCTGAAAAAGAAAAAAGCTAGAAGAATCAGCCTACTCAATTTTAAGATAGTTACAATAATCAAGACAGTGTTGTAAAGTACCAAGTTTTGTGATTTTTTTTTTTGAGGGGGGTGCAGCAAAAAGTATCTAATACAGAGCCTGAAACAGTTCCCTGATTTCCCAAGTTTTTGAGACCACCCTCTGGGCTAAATTCTCAGAATTACAAGGAATGGCTTGTGTGTCCAGAAAGCTGTAAGCTCTTTTGCTGTTCAGGGAAACTCAAGATTCTGATAACATCCTCCTCCTTGGATTATAGTTATAGATGTCTTCTGACCTGTGTTATGCTAAGCTCTGTGTCAAAGAGACAGCCAAATATCTCCTTTAATTAGAGCTAGTTCTTTAGACATTCTTGTCTGCTTCTGAATGCCTCCTGGAACTGAGAAAGACAAAAAACACTCCATTCTTTCTCATTTAATAAGTCCTCTGACACCTTGTCTCAGCCTCTCTTCACTTTATAAAAAGTAGAAAAAAAAATTCTAGGTTATTTCTTCTCTTCACCCTCTACTTTTTGGCAAGATAATGTTATAAAAGCCTGGCTTTGAAGTCAGAGATCTTTGTTCAGATATTGGCTCCATCATTAAATAACATGTTGCTTCGGGTAAGTCACTTAACCTCTCTGAGCCCTGTTTTTTTTTTTTCTATCAGTAAATTATAAAGGCTGATTGTGTAAGATAAGGTATGTGAAAGAGCCTAAAGCTGTGCGTGATAGATGGTAGGTGCTTAAGAAAACTAAATTCCCTTCCTCATCAATTTATTTCTTCAATCATGTGCCTGTGTAACTCGTCATCAGAGATGAACCTACTGTCCCTAAATTCGCTTCAAATAAATCATGTTTGAAGATCTGCTCTTCTTCTCTCAGTAAGAATTTTTATCTTATAATATTTGGTATTGATATTATTGTCCATTGATGAACACTAAGATTTCCAGTGTTGATCATGGAGGGTCATCATACAGAGAAGAGGAGAGTACAGAACATCAGGGACTCTTCTTGCATAGCCCACCATTGCTAACTCCAAGAGGTTGGTTGCAAGAACTTGGTCAAAGATACAAATGCTTTTTGATTTAAATGAAAACTGGAGAGTTACCTTCGCAATTCTAGTGTGCTTTCTCCCTGGGGAAAAAAAAAAAGAAAGTGAAATTGCTTTGTTGCCCCTTGCTAACAATAGCTGTGCCCCCATCAGGCCCAGTGACCTGAGCCCTTACCACTGAAATGAGATGACAAAGAAACACAAATTAGTGACTTTTCCTGAATGTATGAAAAAAGGCAAGACCTGCATTCATCTTCTGGGTGACAGGAAATGCAAATTAAAAATTAGAGCTGGCATATTCACCACCACCTTACAGGTCAACACTGCAATAATCAGCAAAAAAACAGAACAGAACTTCTATTTATATAAAAGGGCACCAGAAATGATCTAATCTCCATTATAAGTTATATCTACTGTCATAGTTTTTTTTCTAGAAGCAAATGCTGAGACCATGATTGTCCAAAAAGTTTACTGAGAAAGTAAAAGTCACATTATGTATTAGTTTACTAGGGCTGCCACAACAAAATACTACAGACTGAGTCATTTAAACAATATAAATTTATTTTGTCACAATTATGGAGACTGGAAGTCCAAAATCAAGGCCCATCAGTTTTGGTGTCTTCTGAGGTCTCTCTTTGACTTGTAGATGACTACCTTCTCACTGTGTCCTTATGTGGTCTTTCCTGTGTGTGAATGTGCCCTTGGTGTCTCTTTGGATGTCCAAATTTTCTCTTCTTATAATGATACTAGTCAGATTAAATTAGGTTGAACCCTAATGGCCTCATGTTAGCATAATCAACTCTTTAAAGACCTTATCTCCAAATATAGTCACATTCTGAGGTGTAAGGGCTAATGCTTCAACATACGAATTTTGAGGAAAAGAATTCAGCTCATAACACACTGGTAGGGAGATGAAAAAATGATAAAGGAAAGAAAAGGAAAGGCAGCCCATAAAGAGTGCATTATTAATCATATAGGGATATTAATTGTCATAGCTGGGGTGAGGGAGCTACAATATCTATATTACACATCCAGAAGTCACTGCTTAAGGGCTGCCTCTGGAAAATATTATCTCCCTGGACTCTCTAACCTACCAAGTGCATGAGGGAAATAGGTTCTGAAAATCTAAAGGCAACACTCCAAAAATAAATGCAGGAATGACCATTAGATAATGGATTGGTGTGCATGGATCAGAAAGGATGTGGATAGAGCACTGATTATGCCTGCTATCCCTACTAAACATTTTATAGGTGATTGTCCTTGGATTGCTTACGTTCTCAAAAGGTTTAGACCTAAAGCTTTAAATTGAAACTAGGATGTCTATTGTTTTAAGAATTTTATGTTGAAATACTTCACAATAAAATAACTGTAAAATTAAATGAAATAAAAGAACAAGACCTCTGTTGCTATAATCTTGCCAGTTTTAAGTTAGCTATTGCATAAGCATCAAGGTCTATTGGTAAAAGTATAGGGGTAAGTTGCAAACGAATTGGGTCTGGTCCTGCTCAGTGCTCTGAAAATAACTATTGGAAATAAGCTTGGAGAATTGAAGTTAATGTCCTCTCTCAGTTTCCATCCTTTTAAAATTTCTAAGACTGTTTCAAACTCATGACTAACAGTCTGTCATTGTAAAATTGTCATATATCTTTTACAAAATGGGAAAATATTAACTGAAAACCTTACCAATTACAAACATGAATGACCCTCCACTGACCATAAAGTCCAAACTCACCAAGATTTGTCCACCCTAATATGATATAGCCCTAACCTTGCTTTTGAACTCACTCACTTTTGTAAAAAAAAAAAAAAAAAAAAAAAAAAAAAGACAATCTTCCACCCCAGTCAAAGGAGCCTATTTATGGCTTAACAATCTAGCTACATCTTCTCTTGACTTCATGTCTTTACCCATGAACGATGTAGCAGAATAAAGACATCAAGAAAATGCAACCTTGAGCCATACTACCAAAGACAGGAATCACTTAACAACATGGATATGGACGAAGATATGCATCATTAGGCAATTTCATTTTTGTGTGAACATCACAGAATGTGCTTACACAAACCTAGATGGTATAGTCTACTACACACCTAGGTTATAGGTTGTAACCTATTGCTGCTAAGGTACAAACCACATGCCATTGTACTGAATACTGCAGGCAACTGTAACACAATGGTAAGTATTTGTGTATTTAAACATATCTAAACATAAACATATAGTAAAAATATGGTATAAAAGATGAAAAATGGTATACCTGTATAGGACACTTACTACAAATGGAGTTTGCAGGACTAGAAGTTGCTCTGGGTGAGTCAGTGAGTGAATAGTGAGTGAATGTGAAGGCCTAAGATATTATTCACTACTGTAGACTTTATAAACCCTCTCATTTAGGAAACATATTTATTTTAAAATCTTTTTTTTTGTTGTTTAAGAGACGGGGTTTTAAGGGTTTTATTCTGTTGCTTAGGCTGGAGTGCAGTGGTAATCATAGCTCACTGCAGCCTCCAACTTCTGGGTTTAGGGATCCTCCCTCCTCAGCCTTCTGGATAGGTAGGACTACAGGACTATGCACTACCATGCCTGGCAAATTTTTGAAAAAATATTTTTGTAGGAACGAGAATCTCACTATGTTGCCAAGACTGGTCTTGAATTCCTGGCCTCAAGTGATCCTCCTACTTTGGCCTCACAAAGTGCTGAAATTACAGGTGTGAGCCATCATGCCTAGCCAAAAAATATTTTTCTTTCTTCAGTAATAAATTAGTGTAACTTTTGTACTCTATAAGCTTTTTAACATCTTTAAAATTTTTCTGACTGTTGTAATAACACTAGCTTAAAACACAAATACAGTGAACATTGTACAGCTGTGTAAAAATATTTTTTCTTTATATGCTCATTCTACAAGCTCTTTTTTCTATTTTAAAAATTTGAGGGGTTTTGGAGTTTTTTTTTTAAGCTTTTTGTTTGTTAAAAACTAAGACACATTAGCCTAGGTTTACATGGGGTCAGGATAATCAAGACAACACTAGGCAAATTTTCAGCTCCATTACAATCTTATGGGACTACTATTGTATATGTGGTCTCTGGTTGGTTGAAATGGTGTTATGTGGGAAATGACTATACATAAAACTGTAATCTCAAACAAGGATTCCCTCCCACTGCCTCAAGTCTGTTTTCTCATCTGTAACAGGGGACAGTAACAGTACAGTTGACCCTTGTACAACATGGGGTTTAGGGGTACATTTGCAAGCGGTTGAAACTTGGCTTATAACTTTTGACTTCCCCAGAACTTAAACTAACTTAAATTACTGTTGACCTGAAGCCTTGCAGATAACATATACATTCAATTAACACACATTTTTATGTTATATGTATTATATACTGCATTCTTACAATAAAGTAAGCTAGAGAAAATAAAATGTTACTAAGAAAATTATAGGATGAGAAAACACATTTACAATTGATTCAGTGGAAATAGATCACCATAAATGTCTTCATCCTCCTTGTCTTCACATTGAGGAGGAGGAAGCTCAGCGGTTGGTCTTGCTGTATCAGGGGTTGCAAAGGCACAAGAAAATCTGCATATAAATGGACCTGAGCAGCCCAAACCCCTGTTGTTCAAGGGGTATATAGCACAGGTTTTTAAAAAGATTCAATTTTTTTTTGTTTGTTTTTATTTTATTTTATTTTTGAGACAGAGTCTTACTGTGTCTCCCAGGCTGGAGTTGAGTGGTGTGATCTCAGCTCACTGTAACATCTGGCTCCCGGGTTCAAGCAATTCTTGTGCCTCACCCTTTTGGAGTAGCTGGAATTACAGGCATGCATCACCACACCCAGCTAATTTTTGTACTTTTAGTAGAGATGAGGTTTCACCATGTTGGCCAGGCTGGTCTCAAACTACGGGCCTCAAGTGATCTGCCCACCTTGGCCCCCCAAAATGCTGGGATTAAGGATTCAATATTTAAATTAGTTAATAAACATACATATTTTTAGAATAGTATCTGGCACGTGGTAAGCACTTTTTTAAACATTTGTAATATACACTATCTCTTATATAAAATGTCTACCTCTCTCGCAATTACAGCTGTATTCTAAATAAGATCTTCATGAAGCTTCCTCCACTATATTCCAGCCTTAAAAAGAACTATTTCCTCTGAACTCCTGGGGTATGTGTGATCCATTCCAGGTATTTGGGTCACATGATGCACACACACACACACACACACACAATTCTTTGCCATTCTTTCCCTGGGCTAAACACTTTGCTTGCATTCCTTGACATTGCTCTCTTTGTTGGCTTTGCCCTGCCTCCTAACCTCTTCTTTTTCATCTCCTTTGCTAATTTGTTTTTCTGTTTCCAATCTACATTGCCAGGCCTCAGTAATCATCATTGACTCATTCTTGACTCTACTAACCCAACCTTTGGACAATCTCATTCAACAGTTTTAAAAGAAAACTTCAGACAAATAAAATTTGACGGAATTTAATTGAGCAAAAACCGAAAAAAAAAAACGATTTGTGGATCAGGCAGCTTCCAGAATCACAGCAGATTTAGAGACACTCCAGGAGTGCCTTGTGGTCACAACAAATGTATAGACAAAAAAAAAAGTAAAGTGACGTACAGGAATCAGAAGTGAGGTACAGAAACAGCTAGATTGGTTACATGTTGGCCTTTGCCTTATTTGAACACAATTTGAACACTCAGCAGTCTATGAGTGATTGAAGTATGACTGCTGGGATTGCCCATCACTCAGCTATTGTTACAGGCACATACTCCTAAGGAAGGTTTTCAATCCCATCTGCCTATTAGGTTAGGTTTCATCCATAAGACTCACATATGGAAGTATGGAGTCATTCTCAGACCATATTTAGTTTGCTTTAATAATTCCCCCCTTTTGGTCAGCCTCTCAATTTAGAGAGATTAACCAAAACTTTAGGAATTGATGCCACTCTCTGTCACCATCATAAAGACTTATTCAATCTCAGTGTGGAAGTCGCAAGTCTTCTTTAGTTTCAGTATGGAGTTTCACAAGTTTTTGGTGTCAATATGGAATTCACAAGTCACAGCTTTGTACCAGCTGAATGATTTTTATGTTCTTGCTGACCCAGTTGGAGTGAGACCATTCAACTCTCAATGGATGTCTGCCTACACAACATTTAAGACTTGAGAGGATATAGCGTGCCAAGGGGACTATTATTATGACTATCAAGAGAATAATATTATCAAAATGCCAACACGTGCTCCTTAACAGGAGTTCTTATGAAATGAACCAAACCCAATTGGCCAAGTTTAGGTTCAGACAATATAGACAGTTCAACAGTATTAGGTTCTAATTGGTCATAGTCCTCCTTTGGAGTGTGATAGCGATTAAAGACCATAGTTCACTGTAAAGTAGCCTGACTCAAAGAGGTACTCATTTTCATTGTTACCCTGGTAATACAAGTCATAATAACCTGGAAATATATTAGAAGAAATATAAAGATTAGAAATGCTTGGAAAACCCAAGCTTGTCATCCACCACTTAGGATGCCTGCAAACCAACTGTTAGTTGATCCTGTAAACACATCATAGGTTCCTCTCTCTTGAGAAAGTTCTTTAATGTATTTGGTGGCAGTGTCTAAGGAAACAGCAGTATCAGCCACCTTTTTAATTAAGTTTTCTTTGGTAACAAAATCAGGGGAGAGATAAGTACATCATTCAGTTCTGTTTAACACCAAACATAGGCTTCTAGCTTGAGCAAAAAGAAGATCTAAGGCTGCATGATGTTCCACCACGTGTTTTTGTTGAATATGTGTGTTGTCATCTACCTGAGAGAAGCTTCTACCTGTCTGAAACCCTGGGAGTTCTGATTGGCTACAAAATCCAAGATTTTTCCCAATTTATGAATTAGCTTTAAATTCCATATAACTGATACCCCATTACAACCAAAGGTGAGTCCCCAGGAACCCCACTCGAATCTGTCCTCAGTAGAAACCAGCTTATCCTCATCTATTTCAAGGCTAGTGCTAATTTTAGTTATTGATCATTTTGGCCTCTGATGATAAGGGCTATCATAAGAATTTTTGTGGCCAGGCTTGTGGCTCATGCCTGTAATCTCAGCACTTTGGGAGGCTGAGGCAGGTGGATCACTTGAGGTCAGGAGTTCGAGACCAGTCAGTTAACGTGGTGAAATCCCGTCTCTACTAAAAACACAAAAATTACCTGGGTGTGGTAGTGCACACCTGTAATCCCAGCAACTAGGGAGGCTGAGGCAAGAGAATTGTTTGAACCCAGGGGGCAAAGGTTGCAGTGAGCTGAGATCATGCCACTACACTCCAGCCTGGGTGACAGAGCAAGACTCCATCTAAAAAAACAAGAATTTTTAGGTGAAAGCATTAGAAAGGCAGGAGAAAGCCAGGCCAAATAACAAGAACTGAGCCAACAAGGAGGCAGAACAACTGAATACACAGCTTCTCCACAGACCAAGTGTAGACCCTCAGAGGTTGGAAAGGACGGCCACCTAGTTGCATTTGAGCAGGGATCAGTCAGATTTGACCGCAAATCTGCATCACTCCTGAACAAAATCCAGTGAGAAATTTACCTTTTTGTGGCCCCTTTATGGCATGTTGTAAGGATGTATAACCATATCTAGTAAAAAGAGACTCTACTGGATTTAATCTGGTTACATTATACCAGCAATTACTTGTATCAACATAAGTAATTCCCAAATCTTGAGTGCGTGATGCCTGGAAGCATACTATGCCTTTTTCAGGCATCACTTGGATTGGTTTTTTATGTTTGCTAATGACTGAGTTATAAGTTGAAAAAGTTAGAGAGTTGTTTTCAGTGAGTGTAGAAAAGCAAGTAGCAGTGATGTTTAGAATATCAGGAACAGCTTTCCATTCTTCTCTTGGAGCTTCAAGGTGACTGTCATTGAGAACATGGAGAGGCATTGGCATCAGTGGAATCATTTCCTGATTTTTTGGAATTAGTCCAAAAACCCAACAATTACTCTGGTTTTGTGCTAGACCATAAGCTCAAGCTAACACCATCCACTGATTATGGTCCCATGGATTTTCCTGTGGGGAAAAGGAAAGAAATAGTACAAAAAATTAGGAAAACAGAAAAACACATGATACTTTCGTGATGGTAAAGAAGTCTTGATCTGTGATCTTGGGAAAGCTATCCACAACTAGGATGTCATCTGCTTCAGGGTCGAGAGATTTCCCTGGTCAGCTTTACCCTCAAGCCTCCAACAGTTGTACAGTTCCAGGAGTCTGAAGGGGCTCATTTGAGTTGTGAGATGTCAAACCAAGGTTCAAGGCCCTGAAGCTTCTCTACAGTGAGGGTGGTGAGAAGAACTTAGTATGGTCTCTTCCATCAAGGTTCACGAGCAGTCTTCTTCTTATGTCATTTTCAGAAGGCCCAGTCTCCAGGTTCCAGACCATGAGGGTTTGATTATTCTCAGTTGGTGGATCTCCAAAAGCTTCCTTTACCTAGCAGAAGTGCACTTTGGCATAATGTATTAAAGTCTTGAAGTATTTAGTCATGTCAGAGTTTAAGAGAGCAGGAGAAGCATGAGGTGGTATTATTAGGGAGAGAGGCCTACCAGTGACTATTTCATGAGGGGTCAATTTACGCTTTCCAATGGGAGTGGATCTGATTGCCATTAAAGCCAAAGGTAGTACCTTTGGCCAAGGCAACCCAATTGATTCAGTTAACTTTTTCAATTTCAATTTTAATGTGCCATTTGTTCTTTAAACCTTTCCTGAAGATTGAGGGTGATAGGGACAACGGTAGTGCCACTGTGTCAGTAGCACCTTATTTAACTGCTTTATAATTTGCCCAACAAAATGAATTCCTCTATCACTGAAGATTTTTAGAGGGATCCCCCATAAAGGAAAAATATTTTCTAATAATTTCTATGCTACCATCACAGCATCAGCTTTCCTACCTGGGAAGGCCTCTATCCAACCAGAAAACATGCAAACTATTACAAGAACATACTGATAACCCCATCATGGGTGGCAATTGAATGAAGTCCATTGTAAATGCTCAAATGGTCCATCAGGTGGTGGAAATACACCACCTAAAGTTTTGATTATCTTCCCAGGATTATGAGTTTGACAAGTCAAACATTGATTACAAATCATTTTAGCAATTTTGAAACAGTCACCCCACGAGTATTTTTTCATAATTTGAATCATTTTGTCTGTTCCATGATGAGTTGTGGAGTGCAGAGCTTTCAACAATGGAAGCTTCAAAGACTCAGGAAGGACTAGGCGGCCATCCTGGCCTTCTGTAACGCTGCACTTCACATTAAATTTACATCCTTTTAGATACCAATTTTGTTTTTCCAAATCAGGTGCATTGCACTAGTTATTAAATAGGTCATCATAAGGAATTGGCTTGGATTAATCTTATGGGGTTCATTCAAATTGCATATCTTAAGAGTTTCATCACTAGCTAATTTAGCATAAAAATCTGACAAAGCATTTCCCTGTTATTTGGGTTCAGTTCTACAAGTATAAGCTTCAATTTTAATCACAGCAATCTGCAATGGTAACAAGATAGCAGAAAAGAGCCCATTCATTTAGAGTCTATTTTTGGTGGGTGTCCCACTAGAGGTGAGAAACCCTCTTAGTTTCCATATTATGCCAAAATTATGTACTACTCCAAAAGTATATTTACTATCTGTATAAATATTTAATGACTTATCCTTAGCTATATGGCAAGCTCTGGTGAGGACAGAAAGCTCCACAGGTTGGGCTGACTTAAATTGAGGAAGAGTTCCCTTCTCTATTAACTCATTTTGAGTGGTAACAGCATATCCTACCTGATATTTTCCTTCTAAGATTTTTGCAGAGAACCCATTTAAAAAAGTATTAATTTCTTCAGGATTATCCAGTGGAGTATCTTATAAGTCAACATGAGGGGCCACCATTTCTGACACTACACCTACACAGTTGTGGTCTTCACCATCATCAGACAGAGGTAACAAGAGTAGCAGCATTCTGCTGATTACAGTATTTTAGATGAAGATTAGAAGGAGATAGGTGAAGTAATTAATAAGATGTTAATCTACTTCCTGAAAAGTGCTGGATTCGGTTGGAGTGTAATAGACTTTCCACAGTGTGTGGGAGTTGCAAATTAAGTTCATTTCCTAAAACCAAATCTTATGAAGCTTCTACCAGCTTGGCTGCCGCTGCTACTGCTTTTAAACAAATTAGGATATGCCTTAGCGACTGGGTCTAATTGCAGGCTATAGTATACAATGGGCCTGTGTTCACCACCATGTTCTTGAGTAAGGACTCCTAATGCCTGATTTTTACACTCATGAACAGACAAAGTGAAAAGTTTAGTGTAATTTGGAAGTCCTAAACCTGGGTGCTGTTGTAAGGTCAACTTCATTAGGCTAAAAGCCTGCTCATGACTGTCTCCCCAAGGTAAAGGCTCTGGTATGGCATTTTTAGTGAGCTCATAAAATGGTGAAACTATTAAGAAAAAATTTGGAACCCAGGATCTGCAATATCCTGCAAGTCTAAGAAAGTCTCTTAACTGATTTTTGGTTGCTGCTTGAGGAAAACTTTGAATAGTTTTTTTCCTCTCAGGTGACTGGAAAATCCTGTCAGCAGTCAAACCATGTTCCAAATAGTGGACTTTTTATCTTAAAAACTGAAGTTTTTCCATTGAAGCCTTGTGATTTTTATATGCAAGTTGCTATAAAAGGTAAATTGAATCAATTTTAGCACACTCCTTAGTGGGAGAGAGTAACAATAAGTCATCTATGTACTGAATGACAGTAAAATTTTGAGGAAACTCTAGTGTCTTTAAGCCCTGATGCAATGCCTGAGAAAAATATAAAGGGACTTCAGTAAGCCTTCGTGGTATTACAGTCAAGGTGTACTGCTGATTTTTCCAAGAAAAGACAAACAAGTATTAACTTACTTTATGAATTGGAATGCTAAAGAAGGCTGAGCAGAGATCTGTTACTGTGAACCACTTGGAATTAGTTGGTATGTTAGATAATAAAGTATTAGTATTTGGGACTGCAGGAAATCTTGGTATTACAATTTTACTAATTGCCCATAAATCTTGAACAAATCTCCAGCCTCATCCATCTGGTTTTTAACTGGTAGGACTGGAGCATTACAAGGGCTGGTGTGTGGGATTATGAGTTCTTGTTTAATTAAATCTTCTACAATTGGAGAGAGCCCTTGAATTGCCTCAGTTTCTAGTGGATATTGGGGTAATTCAGGCCAAGATTTAGGATGATCTATTTGGACTTTTATAGGTTCCACACTTTTAATTCTTCCTATATCAGTTAGGGAAGTGGCCCATAAACATTTAGGTATTTTTGAAAGATCAGGGGTATTACAGGCCTGAGTTTCAATCTTATCAATTTCTACCTGTAGATAGTATAACAATTCTGGTTCAGGAGAATCAGGAAATTATAAGATTATTTTTCCTACTGAGCAAAATTTTATGTGCCCTTTTAGCTTTGAAAGTAGATCTCACCCTAACAAGTTTACTGGAGTGATATCACATAGTAAAAGTGTTTTTCTGAAAACAGCCCCAAAGTTAATTGGATGGGTTCAGATATGAGAACCTCTTGAACTTGATTTGACAACTCTACCACAGAAATGACCTTTTTACTCCGAGGAGTTTGTTGGCTTATTAAAGTGAGGTTTATGGTAGATAGAGTAGCTCCAGTATCCACCAGGACCCTACATGACTCCCCATTACCTTAACCTCTGTTTCTCCATGTTCATTTAAAGTTATTTCGGGGAGCAATTTACTGGAGAATACTTGCTGGTCTCTTAGAATCCCTCTTGTGGTGAAACAGTTTGGCTTAAAGGGAGGCCTATTGGCAGATGGATATAAAAATGGTCAATCCCTTTTCCAGTGCCCTAGTTGTTTGCAACACAGCCAAACATATTGGGGTAAAGAACTTCTTGTTCTAGGACCTCTTGATTGTGATTTAAAATGAGAACAAGAAGGTTCCTTTGGTCCCTTTGGTCCTGGTCCCTGTAACTGTTCTAATTGAAGGGGCATAAGCTTGTTAGCCTTTTGAGTTTTTTCTTGCTGTAGAGTCCTGTCAAAATGTTCAGTTAAGGCCACCAATTCAGTCATATCTGTAACTTCCTATCCAAACTTATGTTTTTAATTAAACTGCTAGGAGTTCATTTATAAATCGAGCAGTTAATGTCATTTCAGTTCCTATCAGGAAATACTCCTTGCTGTACTTTAAGCCCACGAATGTTTCACAAACAAAATTTGAAGCAAGTTCTGTAATCTGAAACTGGTTCATCCTTTTTTGGTTTACACGATTGTATGAAGGACCAATCAATTTTTGGCAGAAAAAATTTAGGAATTGAATTTAAAAGATTTTCAGCAATTTTTCTAGCTACTTTTGGTCCTTCTCATAAGGAGCTTTGGGAGGGATCTTTAATATCTACCTCAGGTTTGTCCCAGTCTACTGCTGCCATCCATCTCTGAGCTTCACCAGGCTCCAATATCATGTGAATAAACTGGTAAAGGTCAGGAAGTCCTCAATCATAAGCTCCTATGAGGATTCTAAATCCTCAGTAAATTTTTGAGGGTCTTCCCTTGGATCAGAGAAGTCCTTCACAATGACTGTAAGCTTAGTTTTAGAACATGGAGTGAAAGTAGTTACAGCAGGCAGGTCTGCCTGATCAGGTCTCACTTTGTAAGGCATCTGTCTAACTTCCTTTATTTTATCATCTTCAGTGTGAAAGGGTAACTTGGCAAAAAGGTTAGTGGACTCAGAGCACGTAGGTAGAGACATATAAAGAGAAGGAATAGTCGAGGTTAATTCAGAGTACAGTCCTCTTTCATCATGTCTTTAGTCTCTTGCTTAAGCTTTTCATTTGCTTTTTGCAAAAATCTTTTAAGGAGGCAATTTTTGATTCATTTAGTCTTTTAGAGCCCTCTGCAAACTAATGAAAGAACGCATCCTACTGTTTTTGTGGGCTTTTTGATCCCCCTTTTTCTAATATGCCTCGCAAATAAATAATTTTATCTAAATTAAAACTTCCCTATTTTGGCCATCTTCATTCTAAGTTTTCTTTAGTTAGGTTAACCCATTTTTCTAAAAATGCACACATTCTGGGCCCATAATTATTATACATAAAATTAGCTGGAGTCCCATATTGTGGAGTCCCAGACTCCTTGGATGGAGACGATCCCATTATTAAAATAAGTTACCTACTGGAGGTTCAAGGCCTCTAACTGAATCCAGTCCAGTTAATTATTGAATCCAATTCAACCTGAGACTCAGATCAGTCTAAGTATTTCTCAAGTAAACTGAGAGAGCTCCAAACACAAGTTAGTGGAGCTTGGAATCTGAGATAAAACTCACCCATGACCTCCAGTTATAATCAAGAGACCAGTGAGCATAACAGGCTTGGCAGGCACCTCTCCTGGTCACCTAGTGTTCCTGGGGTCACTGGAGTTTTACTTCAAATCCCGCTACTGATGCCAGATCTGTTAAAACTTCAGACAAATTAAATTTGATGGAGTTTAATTGAGCAAAAAAAGAAGAAATGATTCACGAGTCAGGCAGCCTCTAAGATCACAGCAGATTCAGAGACTCCATGGGTGCCTCATGGTCAGAAAAAAATCTAGAAACAAAGAGAGAGTAAAGTAACGTACAGGAATCAGAAGTGAGATACAGAAACAGCTGGATTGGTTACTGGTTGGCCTTTGCCTTATTTGAACACAGTTTGAACACTCAGCAGTCTATGAGTGGTTGAAGTATGCCCACTGGGACTGGCCAACACTCAGCTATTGTTATAGGCTCATACTCCTAAGTTAGGTTTTCAATCTTGTCTGCCTATTAAGCTAGGTTACCATTTGTCCACAAGGACTCAAATATAGAAGTACTGAGTCCTTCTCAGGCCATATTTAGTTCTCTTTAATGATAGTAAGAATAAAAACAAAACAAAACACCTTTATGTCAATGTCTTCCAAATTTACATCAGGAACACAGATCTTTCTCTTGAGCCCCAGACTAACATAGGACATCTGAAACTTATGTTAATAACTAAACTCATAATTTCACTCCTCATCTACACTCCTCACGTTTTCACTGGTTCCTAGATGGCAAATCCATACTTCTATTTATTCAGGCTTCCAAACCTTCGAGAGTCATTCTCAGTTTGTTTCTCTCAACCCCTATAGCAAATTCATAAACAATATTGTTTCTATCTTTAAAAATACATTCAAAATCCAACCTCTTCGCTTTTTATCACCCTGATCCTACCCACCTTCATCTCCTGTTTGGATTATTGCCATAGTTACTTATCTAGTTTCCTTGCTTATTTGTCACTGTCCATTTATTCTTTAAGAGGACCCAGAATAATCTTTTTCAAACTTACCCAGATCACATCCCTCCTCTGCTGATTCCCTCCAATATGTCCCAAATTATTCAGAGCAACAGATATGGCCTTAGCAATACTACATGGTCCCTTTTGATGTGACTGCTCTCCTTCCTCTCTCTCATTGTTTATAGCCCTCTGACCCATACTGACCTCCTTGCTGGTCCTTGACCCCTAGGACCAAGCACACTGTCCTCTCATTTCCTGTTCACCTGTTTTCTCTGCTTAAAACACCTCTTCCCTCATGTACACATTGCTTTCTCCATACTTTTTTCCCTAATTTCTCCAATGTCTTTTAATGAAGACTTTTCTAACCACTCTAATATAAAATGGCACTCCCAGGCCCAACCTCAATACTCTATATCCCTCTTTTACTCCTTTATTCTCCTTCATAGCATTTATCAGCTTCTTTTACAGTACAAATTTTATTTATCTGTTTACAGTCCAAAGTTCTTTCCTAAGAAATTGTGTAGCAATTGTCTATTTTAAGTTCAGTCTCGATCCCCACCTTCTAGAATATTAGTTGCTTAATAAATATTTGTTGAGTGACTGAAAAAATTAAAATGCTTGCAATGTGTACATCATGAAAATTTCCAGTTAGGTTGCAAGACACCCAAGAAATGGAGAGTTTTCTCTTTCCTCATATTCATAGTTTTTGGCCCAAGTAGAAGCTTAACAAATGTTAGCATTGGGGGTTAGAATCAGAAATTGATACAGTTGCCCTGAGCTGAGCTAAATGATTTCTTCAAAAGGCTTGGCTCAGTAGCATGAACTTGTAGCAAGGCAAATGGATTATGCTTCCTACTGTGTATTTGCTTTGACATTATGCTTCAACATGGAGCAGTGTTTATTTTTCTTAATTAACACAAGCAAAAGCCACCATGTGAATGATAATAGAAAGTGTCAAAAGTGCTCAGCAGCCTTTCATTTGGCTGAACTGTTCTTATCAGTTTTAAATATTATTCTTAATCTTGCTTTAATTATAAAGCCACCTCATTTCTATTCCTGAACAACTTTCTAGGGTAATGGAAGGAGACATGAAGAACATAACAGATAATTTATGGTTTTGGATAAACAACACTGATCAGTCAGACAACCTGGGCAAGGGAAATCAGCCACGACTGTGGTTTTCTTTGAATTCAAAGCCTTTCTGCCTCCAGGAGCAATTTGTGGCAGAAAATGACATATTATAGCACATTTCCACTGGGGCAGCACCCAACCTTCCAAAGGAGGAACTAGGACATTTACTCTGCTACTCAGCTTATTCTACTGCCTGATAGGAGAAATCACCTTTTCCCAAACCAGAAAGCTGGATTTTTAGATTCAGTGCTCTTGTTTTCTCTGGAGAGAAGGAACTACATTTTGAACCTAACTAGGCCTCAGAAAACTTGTTCCTAGATCATGAAGAAAGAAATCTGTTAGGAATCTGTGCTTTGCCATTAGGCCACAATAAAATAACTCTAACTAGGCTTGTGAAAAATATCCAGTGATGCTTTGGAAAACAAGGACTTGGTCGAATACTAGGTTCCCAAGGGGTCAACCCCAATGCTTTCATTTAGATTCTGAAACCAAAATTACTTGCTTTAGTGTTGATGGAAAAACAAAAACATGCAATGTAGTGAAAACACCTCTGTGCTTGGATTTTAAAAACCCGAATCTAGTTCCAGCTGTAGCACTAAATAAGCCACGTGCCTGAAGGAGGGGGAGGGCCAGCTCTGAACTCGTATGAACCTGAGTTTAATCCTAAATTTTAGGCAACTAATTCGATAAACTTCAGTAATTTCTTGACCTCTCCAGGTGTCAGTTTCCCCATTTGTTAAATAATTGCCTAAATTTGAACCTGATAGAAGTGTAAAGACTAAGCAATATGAAATTTTAAAGCACAAATTTCAGTAAAAGTGACTACTCAACTGATCTTGTTTCATGTACTTGATGAAAACCTTAACATCTTTTACACCTCTGTTCACATGTTACTTTTGATTAAGTGGATTTTATATGATGCATATCTTTTCACATTAAACAGCTTATTTTTCTACCCTTATTTATCCTTCCAGTCTAAATTAAGGGTTGGCTTTGCAGTCTTGGCAAAGCATTTTATACATAGCTTCATTCAACAACAACAGAACTCAACCAATATTTTTGTCTTCAATTTGATGTGGGTATTGATGAATAAGATGTAGTCCCCACATTCTGTGGGCTTGTAATATAGTAAAGAAAACAAACATATAACTAAGTAAGTAGAGTAAAATCTTTCCTGCATTCATTTATTATTTCTTTCAACAAGGGAGCAACCTAACTTGGTGTTAATGCCACTGATGTGGACATAAACAGAGTAGGACCTCTGTGCTCAAGGCATATTTGGGATTGCTGTTACAGGGTTTTAAATATCATGTAATATGTCCCATTCTGCCTGTGATCTGATCCATGCAGCTTGTCTTAGCCATCTCTCCTAAACAGGATTGTGAGCTACCTGAAGGAAGAGATTTTGTTATCTCCATTTTAGTATGTCCATTACTTTGCTTAATGAAATATTTAGCAGATAATAGATGTTTATTAAACAGCTTCAATTTTTAACTTTGTAGTTGGCAGAATAGTGAGTACATTTCTACAAGCAATCTCATTTCTTTTTCGCAATAACCCTGAAACATGGGCCTCATTGTATACTTTCTATCAATGAGAAAACAGGCTAAATTTACTTGCTTAAAACCTGACAACTAGTACTTGGACTTATTAGCGGGATTCATACTCAGTCTTCTGTCTCTAAATCCAATATTCTCCTCATGGTATCAGAAGCCTGTGGACATTGGCATGGAGACTCAGGCTTGGAAAGGGGTTGAATCTGCCGGGTCCTGACACAGCATCTAACACCACGCCCACCACCCCCTCCCCCACCTCTGCAGCAACCTAGATGACTTGTAAGTCCTGAATGTTCCCTGTCCCATCCCTCAAGTTACTGGTTCTAGCTGCAGATCTGCACTGCATGGGTCTCAGACTAAGAACTATAGGTCTGGGAGAAAGACAGCATTATGCTCAGGAAATAATCTCTTTTTTATAATTGAATAGGAGAGCAAGTTCTCACTTCTCACAGCTGCTGTGTGGACAAAAGCAGACTTTTTTTCATTTTTCATTGTTTCCCACATGAGAGATATGTTCTCTGAGTGCTTTTCCATACACTTACCAAACCTTTTCTTCTCTTGGTTTTTGGACCAATTGCAGAAAGACTGTGTCTGAATCATAAGCTAGCTGAGGCTGAGTATGGCCTTTCCACCATGCTAGGGCTAATCCCTGTGCGTGTTGGATTCTTACAGTTTTATTTGCTTCTATCCATCATCGAGCCCTATCCTCTGCCTGAGAAGATGTTCCTGGGGTATCTTGGGCCTACCCATCACTTTTGATCCACCCATCAGACTCTTGATATGTGCCTAACACTCTTTAGCTACTTTGGATCAAGGGCTTTTAGTTGGAGGCTCCTGGCCTAGATGTGAGAAGGAAGAGTAGCTACAAGTTCAGGACCTCCACTTTTGAGTCGAGGGAAGCTCCTTTGAGCCAGGTTTATTGTGTTTCCTCCTAGGTGCTTTCTCCACTACTCAGTACAGCAGACTTAGACGTCCAGGTCTCAGCACAGATCTGCAGGCAGGCTTCCTGTGCTCCTCAGTGTGTACATATGCCTGCAAATGCTTTTGTATACAGGTGTCTCCCAGTCTGTGGAGGCTCCTCAGGGCACAGTGATGCTCAAGGGGATGTGCCAGCTGTTGTTCAATGAGGCTTCAAAGCTCTTTGCTTTGGAATATGTAGGGTCTAGCTCCCCCTCTGCAGTCTGTTCAACTAGTCCAGCTGCAACATTTCTGCCCATGGCTCAGGCTTTCTCAGGCCTGGAAGCTTCTCCACGGGTGGTAACAAGGCAACCCGGCACCTTGGCAATTTTATAACTGGCTCCATGATGGTATACCATCCTTGCTTTTTTAAATGGTTTGTTTATATGACTCAGCACAGAATTTAGCAACAATGCTTAAGTCATGAGGATGGCCTGGAGCCATCCCACTTCTCCAGTCTTGTCTGGGGAGACATTGTGTTCCCTTGATGGTCCCAGTGCCCTTCTATCATTACATCCACCTGTAAGACAGACTTCTAGAGACTTGACTTCCAGACAGACCTGATATCATGCCTGTTGATTCTGGACATTCTTGCCACCCTCAAACAGTGTGAAATAGGTGGTAAATGGAGAACTTGGTACCCTCAGTTGGCAGAAGGAGGTGGGGAGAAACTGCTACTCTTAGAAACAAAACCTCAAGTATGGAACTCTACCCTGCCACATCCTCTCTAGGTAAAACAAGCTAGAAATTTTACGGGGCTCTCGATAAAAGTTAGAGCCAACTTTATGATACATTGTAATTTGTCTATAACAT
Source organism: Homo sapiens (assembly GCF_000001405.40). Classification (NCBI taxonomy): domain Eukaryota; kingdom Metazoa; phylum Chordata; class Mammalia; order Primates; family Hominidae; genus Homo; species Homo sapiens. Next base: position 34,794,257 of record NC_000003.12, on the reverse strand, counting down.
AAAGCAATGCAAATCACCATGTAAGCCTCAGTGAAGGAGAAACTGGATCAGCCCAGAGCTGAGGAGAAGAGTCAGGACAAGCAGGAAGTGTTCACTCAGAGAGTGACATAGAAGTGAGATCTAAAGCACGAGGCCAGGGTTCAGGAGGAGAAAGAAAGTTTAAGCATGGAGAATGGTTCAGTTCACTGAGCTCCTGCTGTGTTCTGGGTGGCCCATCACTAATGTTTGATGAGCAAAGTATCCCCCCATCCTTCTGGCTTAGTTGGGTTCCCTAGAAAAAAAGCCTGAGATGGGGATCCTCATCCAAATGATTTCTTGAGGGAATGCTCTTTGGTGAAACGTGGAATGCAATAAAGGTAGCAGGATGAAGCAGGCGAAGAAGCTAAGTAAGGATGTGCTCTCAACATCCCGATCCCATGGGAAGCTCTGGAGCATGAATTGCCTCGCAGAGTAAGTCCCACATTGAGGGAAAAGGGGTGGCGTTTTGTACCCTGTGTCAATCAATCATTGATCAAATCCTGACTCGAGCAGTGGGCAGCTTATCAAGCAAGATAGCTCCTTTTAGGCCAAGGGCAATTTTTTTGAGAAAGCAAGGATTCTAGGATGCTAACAGCCAATACTCTCAGTAGGTGGAGAGTGGACATATCTGCTGGTAAAGTGGATCTGAACGGGGCACTGACAGCATCTATGATGCTTTTTACCTCAGTAAGACACAGAAGAGGCTGGGAGGTATACCCCGTGGTCCCTTTAAATCTGCTAGACTTACCTACATGCGTACATCTGCCCTCTGGAAGTGGAATAAAAATATGAGCCCTGTTTGAAACAATAGCCCAAGACTGACTTCTCAGCAGTTTGATTCCTTTCTGCTCTTTTACTCCTGCTCCTGCCAATGCTTTCATGTTTGTGGTTCTCATTTCTGGATAGATTCTAAGTTTGCTCCTCCGGGCTATGACTAGGTTCATTCCTTAAGCTTCCAGTGCCCCATGGGTTGAGACTAGAAGTCTTAACCTCAGGCTCTTAAAACCACCTCCCCAGTCCTGACTACTCATCAAGAGTGGCCTCTGTTGTCTTTCTCTCAGGCAAAAGTGACAGACCTGATTACTCATCTGAGTTTATAAGAAGAAAGTCTTATAAAAATCTTTACCATCATGCCTGTAAATTAGCATTTTACAGTCTTTTATTTCATGAACAACAAACTGAAAGTGTTGTTTTTACATTAAAAAGAGAGACTATTTTTAGCTTGCAAAGGGAACAAGATGATATATGCTGCAGTTGTCAACTGTCTTTTAAAATGTATGTAGCACACGGAACTCATAAATATTTAAAAGGACTAAATAATTATCTGAAGCTCCCCAGTCTACTTTTAAAAATTATCATTTCCACAGGGATCCAGGGAGCATTTGTTCTTTGTCAACTGTCCAGGCTGAATTATCATATTTGAAAACTTGTCCCTCCTGTTTGTTACTGTTTTTGTCATTTTTGAATCACTACTCAGGCCCTTTCTTTATCTCCTCACTAGTTTCAATGCCACAAATTTGGCAAGTGTGACAAAATAGCTCCATTACAGATGGAGGATCTGACCATTCTGGAACCTGCTACAGAGGGGTCATAAATGGGGGCCAAAGGATAGACATAGGGGACATGCTGCCTTTTTCTGGATTGTCAGGAAATCTCCTAGGCAAGGAAGTATGATAATGCCTTCACTGCCTGGGACATTCTGAGAATGTGTATACAGAGTAAGAGATTTTCCTGGATGGAAAGAATGGCAGTGCAGGAAAATAGAGCAGAGAAATTGTAATTCTGTCTAGGCCACTTACTAATTATGTATCATTAATGCACTTATTATAAAGCAAAGCTCATAATAGTTATCTTGAAGATTTATTGTATTAAGGCTAATGCTGTTCAAGCTAGTTAAAAGGTAGAGCACTGTACCTGACACCTATTAGAAGCTCAATAATTGGTTATCTTCTTATTATTCAGTCTTTTAAATAACGGCATTTACAATTATTTTTAAAAGTAGAATTAAATATACTTATGTAGGGTTCCTATCTTCAACATGGTGAATCTTTTTTAAATGTTGCATTTCCTTGATGACTCCATGTCAACATTATCAACAATAATAATAATTTAAGCCTAGGACATGGATGACCCTCTGGTATACAGAAATACATAGTGCTGATTGTCCCTGCACTAACTCTTCTCAGACTGCAATGCATCCTACTTTTCCTCTACCTACTTTTTCTGTATTCTCTTTTTCCATATTATTTATCAGGAAAGACATGTGCTTACTTGTAGAAAATTCCCCTCTTGATTATTGCTTAGAAGTTGATGTGCATTTATAGACCAGATCACCAAGCCTGGCAGAATTGCAAATACTTAGGGTTTCTATTTCTGAGAATACAGAAGACAATATATCGTGAACATCCTACCAATAAAACACTTAGAAAAAATTGTATGAAGAAATGATAAACATGATTTTAAACGCACAGCAGGGCTCTAAAGAATGTAAGGGAAATATCAAGGAATGAAAAGTGAAGAATCTGAAATCAGACATGAGTAGACACTGAGGTTTCTGCTGCTTTAGAGGTGGCTGAAATATTTGAGAGTTAGAGTTTTACAAGCCATATATGTTTAGAAGGAAAAATGTTGGACCAATACTAACATCCCCATGTAAACCTGTGATGCTGATAATGCTTCATCTTCAGTTATGAGATGGACCAGGCTTTTACAAAATGGCACCTCAGAGATAAAGAAAAAATAACTTGTTTATTTTGCCATAAATTCTACATAAGAAAAAGAAAAAAAAATCCCCTGAGAATGTATAACCGTAATACTCTGCTCGTAAGAGTTTAAGTTTAAATTTAAATTTGCAATGCCTGCATGGCCCAGGAAACCCTAAGCTGATAAATTTAGACAAAAGGTGGTCCTAGGCTGGTAATATCTCAAGAGGACTCTGCAGAGGCAGTTGTCTTAGCCTAGATTCCTTAGAAGCCAAGTCTGTGGCAAAGGACTTGGGGCTACTATTTTACTAGGGTAAGTGAGAGACTAAGTGAGTTAAACTGGAAAGGAAGAAAAGCTGCCAGTATAAGGATGTGTTTTGGGGTAGTGCGACTTCTTATTGATCCCACAGGACTTTCTTCCAAGTAACCATATGACTTATCTTGGCAGTCTTCCCAGAAGAAGCAAGAGGACAGCTCTATCTTTTAATTTGTCAAAGGTTTTCATCATAAGGTATTAGCTACCCTACTGTGTCAGTGTTTACTGAGCCAGGTCTGTGATGTTCTCAACCCTGGCATCAAAAGGGAAGTTTCAGGCAACAGGCAAGAGACAAGTGGTATGAGTGTGATGGTGGGTGATATTGGGTGTGCCTACATGAAGCCGGTAGGACTCATAGGAGATCTGGTCACCACAATGGCAATGGAAACAAAAAGCAATTTAGGCTGAAAGGCTCTGAAATGGAACAGCAGTGATGTCTTCTATACCATAGTGCACATGATTACCGCAGATAAGATTCCACTGATAGTACACTTGCACCGAAAATTTACAAAACACAAAAATGCAAAACACCATGAGGAAGAGCAAACAAACCAACATAAAACCCAAGAAAATGTATGTGACAAAAAAAAATCAGGCATCATTTAAGAGGCATGTGTAAAATCACCACACGTGATGAAAGGAGAAACAACCCTAACAGCAGATTTCCATCTAATTTATGGACATGCTTCTCCCTCCAGCTTAATGCACTCCTTCTGTCTTTAGCTACAGGTTCTGCTTAGTGACTTGCTTCAAAAGAGTACAGAGTGGAAAGGAGTGAAAAGTAATGTTATAGGACCAACAGGTTTGTATGCCCACTGTGCAGTAACAGACCCATTACACTGAGGCAACAGGGTCTGCAGCAAAGAATTTAATGATCACAGCGTGCTGAGTGACAGGAGACCCTCAAATCCATCTCCCCAGGGGACTCTGAGCTGGGGTTTTTAAAGGGCCCATGGATGGTGATGGGCTAGAAAACTGGGGATGCTGAATTATTGGGGAAAGGGGGATGCAGACATCAGGGTGTGGAAACTGCCTTTTTTGGTGAGTCAGCTTCCTGTGGGCTCCTTTGGACCAGTTGATGTCAGCAAGATCCATCAGACCAGCTGGTGTCAGTAGTTTTATCAGTAGGCAAGACCTGAAGGAATATCTCAAAGGGAAAGCTTAATGTTATGTAACGTTCACGTTGTTATCTAAAGAGCAGCTAAAAAGAACTACAATCTTGTAACAGAGTCTGCCTGATTCTGGGACAATAGGGGCACCAAATAACTATGAGGAAGGAGGTCAGAGAATAAGCTGACTTAATGATCAATTCTGATGTGCTGCAAGCTTGGTTTATTTTTGTTTCTCCTCCTCCCTTCTTCCCTGATTAATTGTATAAAGTTTGTAGGGGTGGTTTCAGTAACTTTACAATAGAGAAAATGGGCAAACACCACCCTGGTCAGTTGACCAAAGCTAACGTCATCTGTAATAAGTCATATCAATAGAATGTACCCTTTATGTGACGTGATGAGAATGGCACTTTACCTGTGTGATCCTCCTCCCCTAAACCAATAATTCCAGTCCAATCTTGAGAAAATCATCAGAGAAATTCAAAATGAAGGACATTCTAAAAAGTACCTGATCAGTACTCTTTAGAACTGTCAGTCATCAAAAACTGTCACAGTATTGAGAAGCCCAAGGAAATAAAATGAATAAATGTAATGTGATATGCTAAATGGAATTCTGGAACAGCAGAGGGACAGTGGGTGAAAAACTTGTGAAACGTAAATGAACCACAAGTTTAGTTAAAAGTAATATACTAGCATTAGTTCCTTAGCTGTGATAAATATACTATGAATTGTAAGATAATAAAATGCAAGATGATAAGGTTAGGGAAAATAGGGTAAAGGAATGAGGTATGGTATACAGAAACTCTCCATATCAACATATAGCTTTTCTGTAAATATAAAATAACTACTCTAAAATAAAAACTTTATTTAAAAAATGACTGGCACGTTGACTAATAAAATTCACAAAATCAAAATCTAAACTCATCATCATCAGAGAGGTTGCCTTTCTTCTTTCCTGGCTGTACCGAGGAGGGAAATGGAGCAGGGCAGTAAGGCAGCCCACCAGGAGCTAAGGCATGTCCAAGAAAGTTGCCAGAGCTGGCTTGTGGTCCTGAAAGAGTCAGAACTTATGTGATGAAGTCCTCTAAGAGGGGAAGCAGTCCTGGAGGTTAGAAGATTTATTATATGTAGGGAAAATGAACAGATAAATAAATACACTAAGGAAAATGAAAGCCAAGATTCTAATGCCAGAGAAGAAAATACAAATATGAAAATGTGGAAAGCTAGAATGAACCCTGTGGTGTTGCATTAGTTAGAGGTATCAGTGTAAACACACGGTCTTCAATAAATACATGTAGATATAGAAATATATATATATACACATGTAAACACATATATGTATCATTGCACCATGCATAATACATATGCATCATATATGTATAGGTAATGTATGTGATATATATGTGCATATGCACATAATTACGTATGTATAAGATACATGTAAAATGACTCCATACTGAAAGGTCTACAGGCTTTTGGTGAAATGGCTGATTTCAAGGCTGGGGCAAAGAAAGTTAAAAATGAATTTGGAATATGTTATGCTGGGAAGTAGGCACAAAGTATGATGGGGACACCTAAAAAGAACAGAAGTCAGCACAAAAATTACTGGCCAAATCTGAAGGAATGTATCAAAATAATTAATGGGAGTAATGAATTCTTACCCACTGAAGAAATTAAGAGTCTATCAATCCACATGGCTATAAATAGATAAACAGAAAATATTCTTTTTTACAGTAGGATTTCCAGCAATAGGCCGGGCGCTATGGCTCACGCCTGTAATCCCAACACTTTGGGAGGGCGAGGCAGACCGATCACGAGGTCAGGGGATGGAGACCATCCTGGCTAACACGGTGAAACCCCGTCTCTACTAAAAATACAAAAAAATTATCCAGGCGTGGTGTCAGGCGCCTGTAGTCCCAGCTACTCGGGAAGCTGAGGCAAGAGAATGACGTGAACCCGGGAGGCGGAGCTTGCAGTGAGCAGAGATCGCGCCACTGCACTTCAGCCTGGGTGACAGAGCGCCTCAAAAAAATAAAAGGAAAAAAAAAAGAATTTCCAGCAATAAATATAGAAAGAATGATGGAATTATAAGATCAGCATTTAGTAACCACATAGTTATAATAAATGAAGACAAGAAATGTCAATAGTGAGTGATACTGACATAAGAAAGAAAAGTTTTACATAGTCTCAAGGTATCTCCTCTTACAATGTATACTAATTACAATGGGAAAAGAAGTAACTCTACAATGTTGAAATCTAGCAGGCACAACCTTAAGTAAGGCAGCAAGTTCACACCACCAGTTAGGGACAAATCAATATTGTGTACCACAGAAGAGAATGCAAGGAGAATATAGTATCAATTCTGTAATATTCTGTCCAAAAACGCATAACTAAAGGAACATTATAAATAAACATTAGACAAACCCAAGTTGAGAAACATTTTACAAAATGACTGGCATTAATCTTCAAAAACATCAAGGTTGTAAAGCTAAGAAAAAACACTGAGAAATTGTTCCAGATTAAAGGAGACTACATGGCAACTGGGTGCAAAATGGGATCCTTAATTGAATCAATTTGCCAAAAAAAGGTTATTGTGACTTCCACTCTGAGCCATGCTGGAGTAAGAAGGGCCAGATCTATATACTCCTACAATAAACAACTAGAAAACGAAACACATTATGTGAGTCAATCACTTTTAGTCACTGGGCAATAGCATCTCAGGACTGTAATCTCTGAAAGTCTTTCTCTGTGCAGATTGTTCTCCTTTGTTTTCTTCTTTGGAAAATCTAACAATTTGGGCCCTTAATTCTGATCTCTCTAATCAACTCAGCAAGATGACCAGGCTTTGATTGTTCTTCCTTCCCTGTGCTGTAGCCTGGAAACTGCTTCATTTTCTTCTTTTTTCTATCTAGGATCACAGGTGGGAGATAATTTGCACTCTCATAGCTAAATCAGTAGAACATCATGAAATGTGACATTGGGTAGTGTCTTCAGATGATGATTGGTTTAGTAGTGAGATTAAATTGGCCTTATGTGATAAAGATTACATTCACAATAACAAAGCATGAAAACATGCATGGAAAAGAATACAGTGATCTTTAGTAACTGTAAGTCAGAAAAGATGTCCAGCCATATTTAAAGGAATACACCAAAATTTAGCACCAAACAATATAAAATTCGAAGTATCCAAAAGTCAGAAATTCCTGGGCATAACAAAACAGTAGTATGTGCCCATAACTAGGAAAAAAAATTAATAGAAACAGACCTAAAAATGACAGAGATTAGAGAATTAGAATATGAGTATAATCACACAGCTTTTGTAAATTGGAATCATATGTTCAAGAAGATAAAAGCATTAAAATAATGAGGAATGATTAGTTGAAATTGACTCCTGAAAAAGTAAAACTTATCAAAATTAATATAAAATTATTGAAAAATACAATAGCTCTATGACTAGTGAGAAAAAATCAATCTATGACATTCAAAAAAAAAAAAAAACTTCTCACAAACTATACCAGGCACAGGTAGTTTTAATAGTAAACCTTCCTAATCTATGAGGGAGAATAAAACAACTGACTTAACAATATCTCTTCCAGTACAGCTACAAATAAATATTTCCTGGATATTTACATGAGGCCTCCATGACCTTCTTACCAAAGCCTTATAAGGGCATTATGAGAAAGGAAAATTGTTTTTTATAAATGTAAATACAAAGAATACTAATAACAGAAGCTATTGATAGCGAAAAATGTATAAATCTAAATCTATCCATATCCGTATCCATATCTGTATCTTTATATACCTTATAACTAAATTGAAAATATTCTAGTAATGAAAGTTTGGTTTAACATTCAAAAATATATTGTTTCCATATTTACAAAATAAAAGAAAAATATATGAATACTCAAGAGATGCAGATAAAGTATGACAAAGTCAACATCTATGATAGAAAGCTCTTAGCAAACTAGAAAAAGAAGAAAACTTGTAAAGCATATTTATAAACTAATAGGCGTGAAAATAAATTTTAGATGCAAAGTAAAACATTTAATATCAGGGTTAAAGCCATTTGTGCCTACCCACAGCACCTCCATTCAACATTCTATTGTATCAAAAAGAAGCAAGATATTACTGAAAAAGGACAAGGGGAACAATGAAGAAAATGAAAAAACATACCCTACTAATTTTCATAATTTATTTTATAGCTACAATGATTAAGATATTGTGTTATTAGCATCAGGGTAGTAAAATAAACGCTGTAAACAGAATGACAGAACAGAAACAGACTTATGCATATATAACCACTTGATTATGATAACGGTAGTACTCAAGAACAATGAAGAAAATAACTGTTTTCAATAACCCTTCTTGGGAAATTGAATGTCCATGTGAATAAAAGTCTTACTCTCTATTTCACAACTCAGAAATAATAAATTTCAGATGAATCTTTAAGTGGTAAAAAGTAAAATTGGGGAATTCAAAAGAATATAACTTTGCAAAATAACAAAGGTTTAAATAAAACTAAGAATACCAGTCATAGGGGAAAGCTTTAAAATTGGACTACATTTAAATTGTCGACTTCTGTTTATCATGAGAATTCAGTAAAACAAAGTAGAAAAAGATTGTTTTCAATATATACAAACAAAGGAGGGCTTCCATTAAGACATATAAAGAACACTTTCAAATTAATAAAAATTTTAACTTAAAAATTAATTACAAAGCAGTAACATGATCTAACAAAAATTGTAAGAAATTAGGAATACTTCACAAAAGAATACAAAGGTGGAAAATAATGACATGAAGTTATTGTCAGTAAGATAAAAAATAAAACAATCATGAGATATCACTTCACATTCACCAAAATGTCTAAAAATAAGAATTTTGATAATTTGTAAGAACGTGGAACAGTAGGATACTTTTATTTTATTTTTATTTATTTTTAAGACAAGATCTTGCTCTGTTGTTCAGGCTGAAGTGCAGTGGCGCCATCATGGCTCACTGTAGCCTCAACCTCTTAGGTTCAAGCAATCCTTCCACCTCAGCCTCCCTAGTAGATGGGACATGCGCCACCACACCCAGCTAATTTTTGTATTTTTTGCACAAACGGGTTTTTGCAATTTTGCCCAAGCTGGTCTTGAACTCCTGGGCTCAAGTGATCCACCCACCTCAGCCAAGGATACTGCTTAATACTGACTACTTGCTTCAAATATTTCAGAAAACATATTGTCATTAATCAATTTGAACATACAATGTATTCTGGCAATATCTTTCAGAAATGCATTCTTGTGTGTAAGAATATACAAGAATATTTATGGAATTATTAATCACCACAAACTAGTAACCACACAAATATCTATTCATTTCAAATGATAAAGTACTGTAAGAAAATACTAAATTGCAACTACACATTGAAAGATAAATATATCTAACAACATAATTTTGAGCCAAATAGTTCAAATGTAACATACTACTAACTAGATCATTCAGTTTATGTAAAGTTTAAACATAGAAAAGCTAATAGACAATGTTAGAAGCCATGACACTTGTAAAGTGGAAGAGGAAAGAGAGAAGACTGTTTTGGAGGGGGTGTGAGGAAGGCTTCTGGGACTCTCAATGCTCTGTTATTTAAAACGTGTCTACCTAGTAAGAATGTATTGAACTCCCTATGTGTACTTTTTTGTATGTGTGTTCTATACTGATGCAATAGAATTTTCAAAAGGGTGTTTCAAGCAGTTTAGAATAAGGAAAAATTGGAACAAATGTAAATGCCCTTCAATATGTTAGTGATGAATAGCTTTATAGTGCATAATTAACATGGAATAATATCCAGTCTTTTAAGCACTGTGATACTAAGGTAAGACACTGAAGTGAAGTGGAGAATATAAAATGTTATAAAATATTCAAAACATGATTCTTTACCATCCCCCCAAAAATTTAAACTCATGACTCCTTTTCAGTTTACTTATAGATAAAGGCAACTTCTTTTTCTAGCTCAAGTGAACTCCTCAGAAATTACTCAGCTCCCTGAGACAGCTCAGAAATATTTTGTTTCTGTGTTTTCAGTAAATTGCTCAACTGAGATTACCTAATGACATTTGTAACCAGAAAAGTTCCCTTTTCTATATTTAAACTGGGAAAATGATCTGTGTTAAATAATAACCAAAATATTATCTAACATTCTTATGATTTGAAATACTTTAACACCTTATTTTCTTTATGTGAATTTATATTACTGGATAAAACGCGAACCTAATAAAAGGCCTCATCTCAGCTTTACCCTAATTGTTGACTTTCTTGTACTATTACAGAAATTTTTCACAGACTAATTATCAGTATTTGCTGGTCAAGTCCCATTCCATTACAATGGAGATCACAGAGATTTCTCTCATATATTTTAAGATGAAAAAGAACATTTCAAAAAACAAAATATAATGACAATATTTAGGTAAAATAAAATTATATAGCTATGTGCATGTACTTTCATGCACATAAGTACAGATATGCAATGAAACCCCTCCAGATTCCTGTTTAGGCCAAGGGGAGGCACCACTTAGAGATTAGATGGAGGAGGAGGGGGAGCCTGGGGTATTTACTCCCCTGGCTCCCTTCCTGTTGCTCTGTGGTTTTTGGTAGCAGTGTTCCTCTACCACCAAAGGCTACAGACACAACTCTCCTTCTGGTAACCACTATTTCTTCTATTTCTTCTATTATTTCAGCCTAATGGCATGCTGAAGTAAAGCCCAGCCTGAGACCCAGTGAAAATTAGAAAGGCATTCTGTTTATAGAGAAGCAGGCAAAAAACTTCCCACATCAACTTCTCATCCTTGTGTGATCACAGCCACTTCACACCTCTTATGACCATGTTGAAAGAGAAATAGAAGTGGGCCAGCCACTTCATGTTCTCTATAAAATGTAAAGTATACAGAGTTTAAATAGAGACTGAAGATGATGTCCGTGTCAACCTAAGTGAGAATCATCCAATGCAGATGAATAAAGCTTTTAAAACACTCTGTGAGTCACTTTTGAGAGTACATGGAAGAAAGAGAGGGAAGGAGAGGATTAGCAGCTGCATGTGTTTGGGTAGGAAGGGGCTCCCAAGAGGCAGGCTCTTGGCTTTAGTCCTTCCAGAGAAAAGGAAGGTGGAGGACACGGATCAGTAAGGGAAGGCATTCCACATAACTTTGAACACCTGTGTTTCCATTTCTAAAGTCACAAAGCCACAGAATCAGAACCAACTGATCCATGGAAAGAAAGGACAGGGATCAATGTGAGGTGGGAGCAAAATCTGCCTCTTTGTTTTTCTTTTCCCACTAATGGCTTGTCTCATATAAAGAATGGGTCTTAAAATCAGACTTACCTATTTTACTTTTTGGCAAGGATCAAGGCAGGAAATTATCTTGTTAATTTCTTATTTAAATTTTCTGCTTTTATTATTGGCATCCATCAGTGTTGATTTGAGCCTTTTGTTTCCCCATTACTGTGAGTCCTAGTAAGGTGAAGTGAGCCCAGAGCTCCCAAAGAAAATTTGCCAGAGCACCTCCATCTGTCCTGGTTTCTCAGGGACAGCAGATGTTGTGAGTTGTGGCTGCTCTGCATTACTAACAATTTTTCTTTGTATTTCAAGTAGTTTTAACAGTAAGTGTTACTCTAAATATTACCTCTTAGCCCCAGGCTTCCCAATGAGAATGGATCAGATTGCCTGTGAGGCTGCAACTCTCAGAGGGCCCTAGCCTGCCAATCATTCAGCAAAGAAAGCTCTAGACTGTTCTTTGTGGGGCTGCCTAGATCTGTCTTTGGATGCACAGAGAGCAGAACCAGGAAACCAAATGCTAATCTGTTCTCTGAAGGATTTCATAATGCTTTTTTTCTTCTATTTTTCAAAAACAAGTTTTTATAAAACATTTCAGTAACTTTTTCAAGTCTTAAAAGTATAATATGTTGATCATACATAATTGAGGAAATAAAGGTTTATATAAGAAAATAAACATGAGCCGTAAACCTAACACCCAGATATATTCACTGCTTAGACATTAAGATATTTCTTTCCATCCCTTCATCTAGTTTATCTATTTATGATTTTTAAGCTGCTACTATTTAAGAAGATTATTTAAAGAACCCCACCTTCCTTTTTTCCTCTCCATTTCTATCTTATGAGTACATGTGTGTATGCTTCTGACCTGTTCATGACTCTGTTATTTTATCTTCTGAATTTTTAGCTGCTGCTGCCACAGTTAGCTGTTTATCACTCTTTTATAAATGCCCCAAACCTTGCTATTATTTATTTACGTATGTTCCAGAGTATTTCTCAAAATCCATACAGTAAACTATATAATTTGAAAATAAAACCAATTCCATTTTTGAACAACTTTCTTCTCCCTGATCCTCAGATTTAGTATCAGTTTTGGCAGAATTATTCATACCTTAAGGTCACGCTAGGTAGGCCTCTGGATACTATTCCTATGTGTTCCCGTAGTTTTCTGGTCTTTGTGTAGGTACATGAGGCTGCCCATGATGCTACCCTCTTCCAGTACTCATACCCATCTTGACTAGCCTTCTTAGAAGATCCTTACCTTGTTTCGCAATCCTAATGTTACCATCATTCTCATTATTGTCTGAACCAGAAATCTGTGAGGCATCAATGACTCCTCCCTAGCCTTTATCCCCAGCATACAATCAAGATCCTCTGATTCCAACTCCTGAATTGTTCTGAATTAATATCTTTCTATCCTTTCCCTTCAATGTCACCCTAGTTTGAACTCTGCTCATGTCTGCCCTGAATTACAAATCCATACAGCCTCTTTGAAAACACAAGTTGGTTCCACACTCACTGCCTCTAAAGCCTATCACACTGACATTTAGAAATTCTCAATAGTTTGTTCTTTCCCAGGCTTTGTTTTTCAACCTGCATTCCTTAAGTTCCTGAGAAGCACGCTAAAGCAGTAGTTCTCCAAGTGTGGTTCCAAGACCAGCAGCATCAGCATCACCCAGGAAGTGGTGATGCAAATTTAAGAGATGCAAATTTCCATGCCCCAGCTAACACCTCTTATAGTGGGACCTCGAAATTTGTTGTTGTTGTTTGTTTTTGAAATGGAGTTTCGCTGTTGTTGCCCAGGCTGGAGTGCAATGGCATGATCTCGGCTCACTGCAATCTCTGCCTTCAGGGTTCAAGTGATTCTACTACCTCAGCCCCCTGCGTAGCTGGGATTACAGGCATACACCACCACACCCAGCTAATTTTGTGTATGTTTAGTAGAGAAGGGGTTTCTCCATGTTGGTCAGGATGGTCTCGAACTCCTGACCTCAGATGATCCACCTGCCTCAGCCTCCCAAAGTGCTGGGATGAAATTTGTTTCAAAAAACTTTCCTGGTGACTCATATGCATACTAAAATTTATACTGAAAGAATATGCTATTTAAATACCTATTTTATTGGCTTTGGGGATAGTGTAACTTTACATGTATAAAGATTTTTGGAGAACTCTCAACTTTCTTCAACGAGGATACTAAGGTTCAAAAGTATATATGGCATGGCCAGGATAACCAGCTAATTAACAGAAATGCTGGAACCAGCAGCTGCATCAGTGACAAGTGGTGTTTCCACCACTCCATGCTGTTGACAGGACAGTCATCATGCCTACAGCCGAGAGGAATACCTTTGAATTCATGGCAGAGGTTTTTAGTCATGTAGATCCCTGATGATGCAACTTACTTCGGCAGACTTTATCACCAAAGAATGAAAGCTTCAATCAATGTCAAAAAGTTGTGAAAAATGACCATTACCTTCCTTTTCTTTTTCTGGAAATTTCGTTATTGTCGTTTTTTTTTCTTTTCTTTTGAGACAAGGTCTCCCTCTGTCACCCAGGCTGGAGTACAGTGGCATGATCAGAGCTAACTGCAGCCTCAACCTCCCAGGTTCATGTGATCCTCCTACCTCAGCTTCCCAAGTAACTGAGACCACAGGCATGTGCCACCACACTTGGCTAATTTTTTGTTGTTGTTTCTTGTAGAGACAGATTCTTGCTATGTTGCCCAGACAGGTTGGTCTTGAGCTCCTGGGTTTAAGTGATACTTCCACCTCAGCCTCCCAAAGTGCTCCAAGGCGGATCACAGGCATGAGCCACCACACCTGACCAGTCTTCTTTAACTTTCAATCACCTCCATTGTTTTTCGGTCAGCCTCTGAGATGTTGACTGTAAGGTCTTGCAGGACAAAAAGTATGTCTTCTATGTGTTACTAAGCTAATAGTAATGTTTCTATTATTAGGGAAAACACAGACTCATGGGAAAATTATAAAAATAGGATATTTGTGAAATGTGCCAGGCACTTTTATGTGCTGCCTTGACATCTGCCAATGTCAAGCTTGGTTCAGCCATGTTTGAGGGAAATATTATATAAGAGATATATTGCAATTGTAAATATAGTTTAGTAAATTCATTTCTTAGAATTGTTCCAAGAAAAATACATGTATGCATTCAGATGCATAGCACAAGGATATTCTGTGCAGATGTTTGTATAGTAACAAATAGGATAACTATTATAAAAACTAGAGAGACACTGATGTTAAGAATGCCACTTAGCTATTACAATTGAATAGGTTTCATTTATATACAGTATTTTGATAGAAGAAACTCTCCAGGACCTACGCTGTTGCATGAAAAAAAAAAAAAAGCTATGATACACTTAAAATTTGTAGTTAAAATAGCCATCAAAAATAATTGTATGTCTGTAATATCTATCATATATAACATAACAAACAGCATCTGATGTATAGAATATTCTCACTCAAATCTTTTCTATTGTGTTTGATTTATTAAAGTTTAATGCACACACAGCAAATTGTACAATCTGAAGTGTAAAGCTCAATTACATTATATAAATGCATGTACTTATATGATTACCACCCAGATCAAGATATAGAACAGTTCCATCATCCCAGTGTGTTCCTTTATACTCATTTCCAATTAAGTCCCTGTATACCCAAAGAGTGAATCACTTTTCTGACTTCTATCCCCATAGGTTAATTTTGCCTAATTTTGAACTACATAGGAATGAAATCATACAGTATGTATGTTTTTGTGCCTAGCTTCTTTTACTCAACATAATGCATTTGAGATTCATTAGTGTTGTTGTATGTGTCAGTAATTTATATCTTTTTTCAGAAAATGGTATCACATTGGGTGAATATACTACCATTTGTTTAGTCAATGTCTTGTTGATGAACATTTGAGTACTTCCCAGTTTTTTGCTAAAGCTTCATTAATTTTTGCATATAAGCCATTCCACTTGTTTTACCCTCTTTCTTTTTCCCACCATTTTCTTGCATATTTATCACCCTCAAGACTTTAGCCAAGCCAAGATGTATTTTCCAACCATGAAAACCCCACTGTGACCTTTCTCCATTTATTTCCCCACTGCCAATAACAACAGTGATTTCTGTTATCTGAAAATGTTATATCCCTAAGTCACGTGCTACTTTATTTTTTTCTTGGGACAGTGCTCCACAAACTAGGTGGAAAGTAAGAACAAAGCAAAGGGATCATCCCCTATTTCCTTGTATATACCATAGCTTCTAGCATTGTGCTATGTGCCATATTTGTTAAATATACAAAATGTTAACTTTAACCTTCGTAAGAGCTCAATAGGGTAAAAATATTTGCAAATTTCATCAACGCCGTTAATTGAGTGCTTGCTATGAGTCAGATGCTCACACTTGAATTCCTTTGTCAGCTTCACTTCTAACTAGCTACATTTACTTGACAAACTACACAGCTACTCAAAACTTCAGTTGCAGTATCTGTAACATGACAGTATTAGCTCATGTTGATATGTTGATATGAGGTTTACTTAAGGCATAGTGATTTGCCTATTGTACCAGGAACCCAGAAACTTTTCATACATATTATTCATTATTACCTAATTTAACTTTCGTTAGAAATTTCTAAATTTCATTTAATTCTGCAGCATTTCCATTTCCATCATCATTCTGTACCCACTAATAGCACTGTTACATGACAAACAGTTATTAATTTGCTTGTTTCTGGTCTTTCCTCATTAAAATGCAAACTCCATGAGGGTAGTAGACATTTTGTCTCTTTTAGGAAGCATTGCATTCTTATCCCTAGAAGAGTGCCTGGCATTCAGTAGATTTTCAATTAACATTTATTAAATAAATGAATTAATTAATATTTTTAGTATCTGCTTTGTTATGGGTGAGACTGAGGCTTAATGTTGCAAGTTCTATTGCTGAGGCTAACCCTCCTTTCCTATTCCTAGCAAGCCACGCCTCTGCTTGAATCTGGCCGGTAGTGGAGACCCCACTACTCAGCAAAAGTCTACTTGGTATTGGTAGTTCTGATTTTTAGGAGTTCTTCCTTATTCTTAGCTGACAGCTTTCCCCCTGTGCAAAATTACAGTGTCTCCGAGTTGAAAAGAAACTTGGGTAAAAATCCCAATGCCTGAGTACCCAGCAGTTCCTGTTTGCCTGATATGTCATGCTGGAGGCAGCATTTAATTCAGATGAGAAGTGACACCCACGTCCTGATGCCTCAGCTGCCAGCAAAAGGCCAGTGACAACTTCCATTACACAGAAGGGTGAGCCAGGTGTCCTAGAAAAACTCCAGCTTCTCAAATCCCGTCTACCTAATTAGATTCTCTCTGCAGTTAGCTGGATCCCTTCCACTGTGTCAAGCCCCAAATTCTGCCTTTAAAAGTGTGCGACTTTAGTGCTGCAGTTTAGTAAAGAAAGAGCTGAAGTTGGGGATGTTAGGGACAGCAGAAGCTAGGTGACGGGAAGGACGATGGGAAGAGGATGGGGAAAAGAGAGAAATGAATATCAAAATGCACCCACTTCTATATTTAGCAGAAGATGTTTTGTTTTAAGACATTGATTTGTGAGAAGTGTTTAACCTCATTAAGTTTACAGTTTTGGGATTTGGGAGAAAAAATTCTCTCTCTTCTTGGCTTCTGTAGGATGCTAAAATGGTTGGCTTTAGAAAACCTTTAAATGAAATGGTTATTATTAACTCTAATCATCTTGGTTTCTCTTTTTGGTTATGAGCTTTTAATGCCAAGAGTTGGAGACCTATGTCCCCTAGGTATGCAGCTTAAATTACATACATAAATGCCTTAAGGAAGGAACTACAGAAATGGTGATGGGAAGCAATGGCAGCAAAGGTAATTTGAGATAGTAAAATGAAACGGGTTTATTTCAAAGCCATTTTCAGCGACTACACCACTGACATCAAAATTGTGTTTGCGTGTGTGTGCATGTATGTGAGCTGGAGCAACCACAAGTCAAGTAAAATTTAGAAAAGGTAAAAACTGTTTCATGAATTCAGAGCAGAAATGATTCTCTCATATTAAGCAGTATGTTTCACATGAGAGAGATGAAATCCACTAATGTCACCATATTTTTAATCCAAAATCAAGACATATTATATGACACTAAAATATAATTTTTGAAATTGAGAAAAATCACAGAAAATTGGGTCTTTCTAAGAATGTCCTCTGTATGCAGAAGGCCACAATGTGGCCCTCACTAAGCATAAAGAGGAACTTTATTTCCTATTAATCATTTCCAATGTACAAATATTTCTTTAGCCATTTGCAAGGCCCTGGTAAAGAGGGGATGCCATTCAACATAAACCAAATAATGACATGCCTTCAAGAAACTTGCAGTACACTAGAGGAGAACCAATGTTTATGCCGGTTACCACAGGACATGGTCTACAGTGATAAATGCATTGCTGATCACCGCAGAGAAATTGAACTAGAGCATCCCAAGGGGAGATTATATATTACTGCTAAGTGGTGGCTGATGGCTCATGATGTAAATCTATAGAATCAATTTAATGTAATTACTTTTTTAAAAAAATGAAAGATGTCCTGAGGGTCCTTTGATTTACATGAGCGGAGGAGGCATGTCTATCCAGTTAGGTCTTAGGAGATTCTGCATAATGTTTGAGGGCAGAGGGTGGGGTTAGGATATCAGAAGAACAAGACACTAAAAGAACAGGACGCCTAATCAGGAGAACACCCGAGTCAGGTGCTGCAGGAGGCACTGGGGGCTTTTAACCAAGACATCGAAGAAGAAACCTTATGCTAGGAAGGTCGCTAAAAGCGTGCTTACAGAGAGCAGTTCCTGATTCCTTTTTCTTCTCCTGCCAGCTGAGGTGAGGGCCTATTGGAAGAGGTGGCATTTGAGATGGTACTGTGGTCGAGAGAAGAGCATATGAACGTGAGACTGAAGGGAACATAAGGGTAAGTAATGCCCAGACTCCATCCCATCCATGGTCTGTGAGCCAAGCCCAGTTTTACCCTCCAACCTCCATGCCTAGGCTATAGGAAGGTTGAAGCAGAAGCAATTACTCGTTAGACAAAAGCTGCCTCTAGCGTTTTAGGCCCTTGGCCCATGCAGATGCCTTTGCTACAGCTCCAAACAAACCTCTTTCCCTTGCTTTTGCCCTAAAGCCCTTTGGATGAGGGATGAAAGAGTGCCTTAAAATTCAAACAACTGCTACCACAGAATGTTAATGTAGGTTCAAATTAAAGCATCACTTTAATCCCGTGTATAGGCGCTCCTAATTTTACTATGATCCTGTGTAGGGCCACTGCCCCTTTCAAGACCCTGAGGTTGTAAAAGATTGATGGGAAAGGAGGCACACAGCATTAGAAATGTAGATGGTAGGATCATTTGACAGGGAAAAAAAAGGGGGGGGTAGGCAGAACATAAAGATTAGAGGGCTATTGACCTCTCTACTCTGACTGAGATTAACCCTGTATTTCCATTTCTGGAATACAAAATTCTTCAAACCTTAAGGAAGCTACAATAGGCCATAATACAAGGTCTTCTCCTTACAGTTGTATCAGTATCAAGTGTCAAATTCATCTCCTGGCACTCATGCATAGCAAGTCATTAAAAAGGAGGTATAACACACCTACACATGCTATAATAATAGATTATCATTTTTTATTGATACAGTGTCATCTCAGCATATTATATTCCATTTGTATTCATAGAGGAAGATTGAGCACTCACCCATATTTGAAATTAAAATATATTTTAACTTTGGAAATGTATTGTTTAAAGAAAATATACACATCTTGTCATAGTTGATAGGAAGAGAAAGATGTTGGAAGAAATACAATATGAGAATAAAATGTGCATTTTGAAATCCTTACTCCTCTTGCTACCTTGTATGTGGCATTAGCAAGTCCTATTGACATCTCTGAGTCTCTGTAGCTTCACACGTAGAGTGGCTGTCTTGTGTGATTCGCATCATTGTGTCATAGATTTAAAAGAGAATGTATGAAAAACTGGCTCATGGTCACAGTAAGTTTTCAAGAAAGGTTAGAGCCTTCCAACCCTCTGTACACACTTAAAAGGCTCTTTAAACTTTACATAAAATAAAAAAGGCAAAAATGCCTGTGATCTCACAGAAAATATATCACACTCTGTGTGGATATATTTTGTAAGAAAAACATTTTGGGGACAATTTTGGAAAACTCAAATAATATAAAAAAATATGGTGAAGCAGAGTGTCCTTCCCCACATTACAATTCCTCTGGCACAAAGTAACCAAGATAATAGGTTCATATAATTCTTTCAAGATAATTTTTGTGCATGTGTCAGTCAGTGTACACTTGATATTAATATATAATCATATTTACACAACAGATCATAGTATAAAATGTCTACTTGTTCTTGTTTATTGTACTCAATAATATATAGGAGCTCTTTCCATAACAGCATACGTATACATCCTCTTGCATTAGTTCATTTTCATGCTGCAGATAAAGACATACCTGAGACTGTGTAATTTATCAAAAAAAAAGAGTTTCATTGGACTCAAAGTTCATGTGGCTGAGGAGGCCTCACAAACATGGTGGAAGGCAAAAGTCATGTCTTACATGGTGGCAGGCAAAGAGGAAATGAGAGACAAGTGAAAGGGGTTTCCTTTTATAAAACCATTAGATCTTGTGAGACTTACTCACTACCATGAGAACAGTATGGCGGAAACCACCCCCAGATTCAATTATCTCCCAGTGGGTCCCTCCCACAACATGTGGAAATTATGGGAGCTATAATTCAAGATGAGATTTGAGTGGGGACATGGTCAAACCATATCATTCTGCCCCTGGTCCCTCCCAAATCTCACATTATCACATTTCAAAACCAATCATGCCTTCCCAACAGTCCCTCAAAATCTTAACTCATTTCAGCATTAGCTCAAAAGTCCAGTCCAAAGTCTCATCTGAGACAAGGCAAGTCCCTTCTGTCTATGAGCTTGTAAAATCAAAAGCAACTTAGTTACTTCCTAGATGCAATGAGGGTACAGGCATTGGGTTAATACAGCCATTCTAAATGGAAGAAATCAGTCAAAACAAAGAGGCTTACAGGCCCCATGTAAGCCCAAAATCCATCAGGGCAGTCAAATCTTAAGGCTCCAAAATGACCTCCTTTGACTCCATGTTTCACATCCAAGTCATGCTGATACAAGAGGTGGGTTCCCATAGTCTTGGGAAACTCCACCCCTGTGGCTTTGCAGGGTACAGCCTCCCTCCTGGCTGCTTTCACAGGCTGGTATTAAGTGCCTGCAGCTTTTCGAGGTATACGGATCAAGCTGTCAGTGAATCTACCATTCTGGAATCTGGAGGATGGTGGCACTCTTCTCACAGCTTCACTAGGCAGTGCCCAGTGGGAACTCTGTGGGGGACATCAACCCCACATTTTCCTTCCACACTGCTCTAAGCGGAGGTTTACCATGAGGGTCCTGCCCCTGCCGTACACTTCTGCCTGAAAATCCAGGTATTTCTGTACACCCTCTGAAATCCAGGTGGATGTTCACAAACCTGAATTCTTGACTTCTGTGAACTCACAGGCTCAACATCATTTGGAAGCTGCCAAGGCTTGGGGCTGGCACTCTCTGAGTCCCTGGCCTGAGCTGTACCTTGTACCTTGGTTCATTTTAGCCATGGCTAGAGTGGCTGAGACTCAGGGCACCAAGTTCCTAGGCTGCACACAGCAGGAGGGCTCTGGCCCCCAGCCCAAGAAATAATTTTTTTCTCATAGGCCTCTGTGCCTGTGATAGGAAGGGCTGCCACCAAGGTCTATGACATGCCCTGGAGACATTTTCCCCATTGTCTTGGTGATTAACATTTGGTTCCTTATTACTTATGCAAATTTATGTAGCTGGCTTGAATTTCTCTTCAGAAAATTTTTTTTTCTGTTGCATCATCAGGCTGCAAATTTTTCAAACTTTTATGCTCTGTATCTCTTTTAAAACTGAATGCTTTTAACAGCACCCAAGGCACATCTTGCGTGCTTTGCTGCTTAGAAATTTTTTCTGCCAAGTGCCCTAAATTATCTCCCCCAAGTTCAAAGTTTCACAAATCTCTAGAACAGGGATAAAATGCCGCCAGTCTCTTTGCTAAAACATGATAAGAGTCACGTTTACTCCAGTTCCCAACAAGTTCCTCATCTCCACCTGAGAACGTCTTATCCTGAATTTTATTGTCCATATCATTATCAGCATTTTGGTCAAAGCCATTCAGCAAGTCTCTAGGAAGTTGTAAACTTTCCCACATTTTCCTTTCTTTTTCTGAGCCCTCCAAACTGTTCCAACCTCTGCCTGTTACCCAGTTCCAAAGTTGCTTCCACATTTTTGGGTATCTTTACAGTAGTGCCCCACTCTACCAGTACAATTTGTTGCTGATAAAGACATACCCAAGACTAGGTAATTTATAAAGAAAAAGAGATTTAATGGACTGACAGTTCCACATGGCTAGGGAGGCCTCATAATTGTGGTGGAAGGCAAAAGGCATGTCTTACATTGTGGCAGGCAAAGAGGAATAAAAGCAAAGTGAAAAGGGTTTCCCCTTATAAAACCATCACATCTGGTGAGACTTAATCACGATTACAAGAACAGTATGAGGGAAACCACCCTCATGATTCAATTGTCTCCCACTGGGTCCCTCCCACAACATGTGGGAAATATGGGAGCTACAATTCAAGATGAGATTTAGGTGGGGACACAGCCAAACCATAACACCATTATTATATGTTAATTTTTATAAAATAGTTTCCTGTGATATTTATTTTCATTTTTAAAAATATTTTATTTGACAAGTATCTAGTGAAGAATGCACTGCTTGGTTTTTGTTTGTTTGTTATAATAATCAAAGCTCTGCTGTGCATTCAAGTTGAAATAACTTGGCCAATGTTTTTAGGTGCAAATCAAAAGATTGGTGTTGTTAAATCTAAGGACACTAACTTTTATTTTCCTCAGATAAGAAACAAAACTCTACAAATTTTTCCAGTACTAATATTATCAAATTTAAAATTTTGCCAATTAAATCGATAAATCCGGTATCTGATTTTTTCTTTCACTTAAATGTCTTTAGGAGTATGCTTTAGCATATTTTATTTATTTTTTCATTATTTGTATTTGTTTAGCTGTGACACATTTAAGATGCTTTCTCATTTATTGTATTTTACTAGTTTTTTGGATTTTTATAGAATCCTGGTAAAATATATGTTAAGATATTTATTGTCCAGTTTCTCATTTGTGTTTCGATTGTGATGTTATTAAGTTCAAAGTTTTTATGTGACTATATTTATTATTTTAGTTTAGAGTTTGTAAATTCTGAGTCTTACATACAATGCTTTGTCTGCTTCAAGATGATATGTAAATTCAGTCATGCTTAATTTTAATATTTTTGTGGCTTATTTTTTAGGTTAGAATTTGATCTAACTGAAAATTTTGGGGGCATAAGAAACAAGGTAAAACTCCAATCTAAAAAATGCTACTACAAACAATCAGAAAATTCAGGAGAACTTTTAGGTAATTAAATTAATAAACAATGATAAGTCTTCTGCAAGTATAATGGCTTTCTATTTATTTAAATCTTGTGTCTGTAAGTGTATCTGAGTGTGGGTATATGTTTACTCCACTGGAATTTTAGAGGTGACTTTATAAAAATTCTGCCTATTGCTTAAGTGTACACAAAGATATACTTGTTTGCTAAATGTATGATTTTAAGAATTTTTATAGACAATAATTTCTTTTATTAATATCTAGTCAGAATACCACTGCATATAGTCAAAACCAATATGATGATTTTAAGCAGAAAGGTCTTTAAAACCAGGAGTTCAGCTTCAGATTAGCTCTCCAGACTCTCCTAGAACAACTGTGCAGAACTGGCTCATCAAGGCAGCTGCTACCTTTAGCCATAGCAGGAAGCCAGAGAATCAGGAAGCCTCTGTGACTGCTGCCAGTTTCAATATCACACCACCTTAGTGGAAATCTTGGAATCAGAGAGAGCTGTTTCCACACCTGATAGCTGAAGGAAATCACCATTTATGCTGAGGTCTGGATAAGAGAGAACCACCTCCATAATTGTTGGTCTTGTCAACCAAATCCACAATGTCATATCTGCCTCTCTCTCCATGAGGAGTGTGAAAAATGTAGATTTTTAGCAGTTCATCCTCTTCGATATCAACATGTTCATCCTAAGGAAGCTGGCATACATTTTGAATGAACCAAATAGTCTAACAATAAACCTCACTTGCACACTTACCACTTAGATCATGGTATATTTTATTTTAAACATACACTGAACTACATTTTCTTATATGTGATTTTTAAAGTTTTTTTTTTTCTTTTTAAAGTAGACTTTATATTTTAGAGCAGCTTTAGGTTCACAACAAAATTTAGGGAAGGTTTACACATTTCTCATACACAATTTTCCTCACACATGCATAGATATAGATTTCCAAATTACCAACACCCCCTACCAAAGCAGTACATTTGTTATTTTTGTTTGTTTGTTAATTTTTATTTTTATTTCAAGTACCAGGGTACATATGCAGGATGTGCAGGTTTGTTACACAGGTAAAAGTGTGCCATCGGGGATTGCTGCACCTATTAACTCATTACCTAAGCATTAAGCCCAGCATGCATTAACTAATTTTTGTAATGCTCTCCCTACCCCCACCCCACCTCCAGCAGGCCCCAGTGTGTGTTTTTCCCCTCCCTGTGTCCATGTGTTCTCATTATTCAGTTCCCACTTATAAGTGAAAACATGTGTTGTTTGGTTTTCTATTCTTGCATTAGTTTGCTGAGAATAATGGCTTCCAGTCCCATCCATGTCCCTGCAAAGGACATGATCTCATTCTTTTTTACGTCTGCATATTATTCCATGGTGTATATGTACCAGTTTATTTATCCAGTCTATCACTGATGGACATTTGTGTTAATTCCATGTCTTTGCTATTGTGAATAGTGCTGCAATGAACATACATGTGTATGTATCTTTGTAAAAGAATAATTTCTATTCCTTTAGGTATATTCTCAGTAATGGGATTGCTGGGTCAAATAGTATTTCTTGTGCTAGATCTTTGAGGAATCACCACACCGTCTTCCACATGGTTGAATACATTTACATTCCCACCAACAGTGTAAAAGCATTCCTGTTTCTCCACAACCTTGCCTGCATCTGTTGTTTCTTGACTTTTTGATAATTGCCATTCTGACTGTCATGAGATGGTATCTCACCGTGGTTTTGATTTGCATTTCTCTAATGATCAGTGATGTTGAGCTTTTCCTCATAGGTTACTTGGCCACACAAATACCTTTTGTTGAGAAGTGTCTGTTCTTGTCTTTTGCCCACTTATTAATGGGGTTGTTTGTTTTTTTCTTTTAAATTTAAGTTTCTGGTAGATTCCAGATATTAGACCTTTGTCAGATAAATAGATTGCAAAAATGTTCTCCCATTCTGTAGTTTGCCTGTTCACTCTGATAGTTTCTTTTGCTGTGCAAAGCTCGGCAGTTTAGTTGGATCCCATTTATCAATTTTTGCTTTTGTTGCAATCGCTTTTGATTTTTTTTTTTTATTATACTTTAAGTTTTAGGGTACATGTGCACAACGTGCAGGCTAGTTACATATGTATACATGTGCCATGTTGGTGTGCTGCACCCATTAATTCGTCATTTAACATTAGGTATATCTCCTAATGCCATCCCTCCCCCCTCCTCCCATCCCACAACAGTCCCCGGTGTGTGTGTTCCCTTTCCTGTGTCCATGTGTTCTCATTGTTCGATTCCCACCTATGAGTGAGAACATGTGGTGTTTGGTTTTTTGTCCTTGTGATAGTTTGCTGAGAATGATGGTTTCCAGCTTCACCCATGTCCCTACAAAGGACATGAACTCATCATTTTTTATGGCTGCATAGTATTCCATGGTGTATATGTGCCACATTCTATTAATCCAGTCTATCATTGTTGGACATTTGGCTTGGTTCCAAGTCTTTGCTATTGGGAATAGTGCCACAATAAACATACGTATGCATGTGTCTTTATAGCAGCATGATTTATAATCCTTTGGGTATATACCCAGTAATGGGATGGCTGGGTCAAATGGTATTTCTAGTTCTAGATCCCTGACGAATCGCCACACTGACTTCCACAATGGTCGAACTAGTTTACAGTCCCACCAACAACAGTGTAAAAATGTTCCTATTTCTCCACATCCTCTCCAGCACCTGTTGTTTCCTGACTTTTTAATGATTACCATTCTAACTGGTGTGAGATGGTATCTCATTGTGGTTTTGATTTGCATTTCTCTGATGGCCAGTGATGATGAGCATTTTTTCATGTGTCTTTTGGCTGCATGAATGTCTTCTTTTGAGAAGTGTCTGTTCATATCCTTCGCCCACTTGTTGATGGGGTTGTTTGTTTTTTTCTTGTAAATTTGTTTGAGTTCATTGTAGATTCTGGATATTAGCCCTTTGTCAGATGAGTAGATTGCAAAAATTTTCTCCCATTCTGTAGGTTGCCTGTTCACTCTGATGGTAGTTTCTTTTGCTGTGCAGAAGCTTTTTAGTTTAATTAGATCCCATTTGTCAATTTTGGCTTTTGTTGCCATTGCTTTTGGTGTTTTAGTCATGAAGTCCTTGCCCATGCCTATGTCCTGAATGGTATTGCCTAGGTTTTCTTTTAGGGTTTTTATGGTTTTAGGTCTAACATGTAAGTCTTTACTCCATCTTGAATTAATTTTTGTATAGGTGTAAGGAAGGGATCCAGTTTCAGCTTTCTACATATGGCTAGCCAGTTTTTCCAGCACCATTTATTAAATAGGGAATCCTTTCCCCATTTCTTGTTTCTGTCAGGTTTATCAAAGGGCAGATGGTTGTAGATGTGTGGTGTTACTTCTGAGGGTTCTGTTCTGTTCCATTGATCTATATCTGTGTTTTGGTACCAGTACCATGCTGTTTTTGTTACTGTAGCCTTGTAGTATAGTTTGAAGTCAGGTAGCATGATGCCTCCAGCTTTGTTCTTTTGGCTTAGGATTGACTTGGCAATGCGGGCTCTTTTTTGGTTCCATAAGAACTTGAAAGTAGTTTTTTCCAATTCTGTGAAGAAAGCCATTGGTAGCTTGATGGGGATGGCATTGAATCTATAAATTACCTTGGGCAGTATGGCCATTTTCACGATATTGATTCTTCCTACCCATGAGCATGGAATGTTCTTCCATTTGTTTGTGTCCTCTTTTATTACATTGAGCAGTGTTTTGTAGTTCTCCTTGAAGAGGTCTTTCACATCCCTTGTAAGTTGGATTCCTAGGTATTTTATTCTCTTTGAAGCAATTGTGAATGGGAGTTCACTCATGATTTGGCTCTCTGTTTGTCTGTTATTGGTGTATAGGAATGCTTGTGATTTTTGTACATTGACTTTGTATCCTGAGACTTTGCTGAAGTTGCCTATCAGCTTAAGGAGATTTTGGGCTGAGAGGATGGGGTTTTCTAGATATCCAATTATGTCATCTGCAAACAGGGACAATTTGACTTCCTCTTTTCCTACTTGAATACCCTTTATTTCCTTCTCCTGCCTAATTGCCCTGGCCAGAACTTCCAACACTATGTTGAATAGGAGTGGTGAGAGAGGGCATCCCTGTCTTGTGCCAGTGTTCAAAGGGAATGCTTCCAGTTTTTGCCCATTCAGTATGATATTGGCTGTGGGTTTGTCATAGATAGCTCTTATTATTTTGAGATACGACCCATCAATACCTAATTTATTGAGAGTTTTTAGCATGAAGGTTGTTGAATTTTGTCAAAGGCCTTTTCTGCATCTATTGAGATAATCATGTGGTTTTTGTCTTTGGTTCTGTTTATATGCTGGATTACGTTTATTGATTTGTGTATGTTGAACCAGCCTTGCATCCCAGGGATGAAGCCCACTTGATCATGGTGGTTAATCTTTTTGATGTGCTGCTGGATTCGGTTTGCCAGTATTTTATTGAGGATTTTTGCATCGATGTTCATCAGGAATATTGGTCTAAAATTCTCTTTTTTTGTTTTGTCTCTGCCAGGCTTTGGTATCAGGATGATGCTGGCCTCATAAAATGAGTTAGGGAGGATTCCCTCTTTTTCTATTGATTGGAATAGTTTCAGAAGGAATGGTACCAGCTCCTCCTTGTACCTCTGGTAGAATTTGGCTGTGAATCCATCTGGTCCTGGACTTTTTTTGGTTGGTAAGCTATTAATTATTGCCTCAATTTCAGAGCCTGTTATTGGTCTATTCAGAGATTCAACTTCTTCCTGGTTTAGTCTTGGGAGAGTGTAGGCATCCAGGAATTTATCCGTTTCTTCTAGATTTTCTAGTTTATTTGCATAGAGGTGTTTATAGTTTTCTCTGATGGTCGTTTATATTTCTGTGGGATCAGTGGTGATATCCCCTTTATCATTTTTTATTGTGTCTATTTGATTCTTCTTTCTTTTCTTCTTTATTAGTCTGGCTAGCAGTCTATCAATGTTGTTGATCTTTTAAAAAAAACCAGCTCCTGGATTCATTGATTTTTTGAAGGGTTTTTTGTGTCTCTATTTCTTTCAGTTCTGCTCTGATCTTAGTTAATTCTTGCCTTCTGCTAGCTTTTGAATGTGCTTGCTCTTGCTTCTCTAGTTCTTTTAATTGTGATGTTAGGGTGTCAATTTTAGATCTTTCCTGCTTTCTCTTGTGGGCATTTAGTGCTATAAATTTCCCTCTACACACTACTTTGAATGTGTCCCAGAGATTCTGGTATGTTGTGTCTTTGTTCTCATTGGTTTTAAACAACATCTTTATTTCTGCCTTCATTTCGTTATGTACCCAGTAGTCATTCAGGAGCAGGTTGTTCAGTTTCCATGTAGTAGAGTGGTTTTGAGTGAGTTTCTTAATCCTGAGTTCTAGTTTGATTGCACTGTGATCTGAGAGACAGTTTGTTATAATTTCTGTTCTTTCACATTTGCTGAGGAGTGCTTTACTTCCAACACTGTGGTCAATTTTGGAATAAGTGTGGTGTGGTGCTGAGAAGAATGTATATTCTGTTGTTTCGGGGTGGAGAGTTCTGTAGATGTCTATTAGGTCTGCTTGGTGCAGAGCTGAGTTCAATTCCTGGATATCCTTGTTAACTTTCTGTGTCATTGATCTGTCTAATGTTGACAGTGGGGTGTTAAAGTCTCCCATTATTATTGTGTGGGAGTCTAAGTCTCTTTGTAGGTCTCTAAGGACTTGCTTAATGAATCTGGGTGCTCCTGTATTGGGTGCATATATATTTAGGATAGTTAGCTCTTCTTGTTGAATTGATCCCTTTACCACTATGTAATGGCCTTCTTTGTCTCTTTTGATCTTTGTTGGTTTAAAGTCTGTTTTATCAGAGACTAGGATTGCAACCCCTGCCTTTTTTTGTTTTCCATTTGCTTGGTAGCTCTTCCTCCATCCCTTTATTTTGAGCCTGTGTGTGTATCTGCATGTGAGAGGGGTTTCCTGAATACAGCACACTGATGGGTCTTGACTTTTTATCCAATTTG
The DNA here is from genome assembly GCF_000001405.40 of Homo sapiens. Lineage (NCBI taxonomy): Eukaryota > Metazoa > Chordata > Mammalia > Primates > Hominidae > Homo > Homo sapiens. The sequence continues at coordinate 34,765,272 of NC_000003.12, read as the reverse complement.
CCAGTCTGTGTCTTTTAATTGGAGCATTTAGCCCATTTACATTTAAGGTTAATATTGTTATGTGTGAATTTGATTCTGTCATGATGTTAGCTGGTTATTTTGCTCATTAGTTGATGCAGTTTCTTCCTAGCCTCGATGGTCTTTACAATTTGGCATGTTTTTGCAGTGGTTGGTACCAGTTGTTCCTTTCCATGTTTAGTGCTTCCTTCAGGAGCTCTTTTAGGGCAGGCCTGGTGGTGACAAAATCTCTCAGCATTTGCTTGTCTGTAAAGGATTTTATTTCTGCTTCACTTCTGAAGCTTAGTTTGGCTGGATATGAAATTCTGGGTTGAAAGTTCTTTTCTTTAAGAATGTTGAATATTGGCCCCCACTCTTTTCTGGCTTGTAGAGTTTCTGCTGACAGATCCACTGTTAGTCTGATGGGCTTCCCTTTGTGGGTAACCTGACCTTTCTCTCTGGCTGCCTTTAACATTTTTTCCTTCATTTCAACTTTGGTGAATCTGACAATTATGTGTCTTGGAGTTGCTCTTCTCGAGGAGTATCTTTGTGACGTTCTCTGTATTTCCTGAATTTGAATGTTGGCCTACCTTGCTAGATTGGGGAAGTTCTCCTGGATAATATCCTGCAGAGTGTTTTCCAACTTGGTTCCATTCTCCCCGTCACTTTCAGGTTCACCAGTCAGATGTAGATTTCATCTTTTCACATAGTTCCATATTTCTTGGAGGCTTTGTTCATTTCTTTTTATTCTTTTTTCTCTAAACTTCTCTTCTCACTTCATTTCATTCATATGATCTTCAGTCACTGATACACTTTCTTCCAGTTGATCGCATCGGCTACTGAGGCTTGTACATTCGTCGCGTAGTTCTCGTGTCATGGTTTTCAGCTCCATCAGGCCCTTTAAGGACTTCTCTGCATTGATTATTCTAGTTAGCCATTCATCTAATTTTTTTCAAGGTTTTTAACTTCTTTGCCATGGGTTTGAACTTCCTCCTGTAGCTCAGAGTAGTTTGATCATCTGAAGACTTCTTCTCTCAACTTGTCAAAGTCATTCTCCATCCAGCTTTGTTCCATTGCTGGTGAGGAGCTGTGTTCCTTTGGAGGAGGAGAGGTGCTCTGATTTTTAGACTTTCCAGTTTTTCTGCTCTGTTTTTTCACGATCTTTGTGGTTTTATCTACCTTTGGTCTTTGATGATGGTGACGTACAGATGGGGTTTTGGTGTGGATATCCTTTCTGTTTGTTAGTTTTGCTTCTAACAGTCAGGACCCTCAGCTGCAGGTCTGTTGGAGTTTGCTGGAGGTCCACTCCAGACCCTGTTTGCCTGGGTATCAGCAGCGGAGGCTGCATAACAGCAGATACTGGTGAGCAGCAAATGTTGTTGCCTGATCGTTCCTCTGGAAGTTTTATCTCAGAGGAGTACCTGGCCATGTGAGGTGTCAGTCTGCCCCAACTGGGGGGTGCCTCCCAGTTAGGCTATTCGGGGATCAGGGACCCACTTGAGGTAGTCTGTCCATTCTCTGATCTCCAGCTGCATGCTGGGAGAACCATTACTCTCTTCAAAACTCAGTTGGAAATGCAGAAATCAGCCATCTTCTGCATCACTCACACTGGGAGCTGTAGACTGGAGCTGTTCCTATTTGGCTATCTTGCAGGAAGCGCTTTTGATGTTTTTGTCAAAAAATCTTTGTACATGCCTATGTCCTGAATGGTATTGCTAGATTTTCTTCTAGTGTTTTTGTAGTTTTAGATTTTACCTTTAAGTCTTTAATCCATCTTGAGTTAATGTTGATATAAGGTGTAAGGAAGGGGTCCAGTTTCAGTTTTCTGCATATGGCTAGCCAGTTTTCCAAGCATCATTTATTAAATAGGGAATCCTTTCCCCATTGCTTGTTTTTGTCAAGTTTGTCAAAGATCAGATGGTTGCAAATGTTCAGTCTTATTTCTGAGATGTTCTATTCTGTTCCATTGGTCTATATATATGTTTTAGTACCAATATCATGCTGTTTTTATTATTGTAGCCTTATAGTATAGTTTGAAGTCAGGTAGCGTGATGCCTCTAGCTTTGTTCCTTTTGCTTAGGATTGTCTTGGCAATATAGGCTTTTTAAAATTTTTGTTCCATATGAATTTTCAAGTAGTTTTTTGTAATTCTCTGAAGAATGTCAATGGTAGTTTAATGGGAATAACATGGAAGTAATCTATAAATTACCTTGGGCACTATGGCCATTTTCACAATATTGATTCTTCCTATCTGTGAGTATAGAATGTTTTTCCATTTGTTTGTGTCCCCTCTGACTTACTTGAGCAGTGGTTTGTAGTTCTCCTTGAAGAGGTCCTTCATTTCCCTTGTCAACTCTATTGCTAGGTATTTTACTCTCTTTGTAGAAATTGGGAATGGGAGTTCATTCATGATTTGGATCTCTGCTTGCCTGTTGTTGGTGTATAGGAATGCTTGTGAGTTTTGCACATTGATTTTGTATCCTTAGGTTTTGCTGAAGTTGCGTATCAGCTTAAGAAGCTTTTGGCTGAAAAAGTGAGGTTTTCTAGATACAGGATCATGTCATCTGCAAACAAAGATACTTTGATATTTTCTTTTCCTATTTGAATACCATGTATTTCTTTCTCTTGCCTGATTGCTCTGGCCAGAACTTCCAATACTGTGTTGAATAGGAGTGGTGAGAGAGGGCATTCTTGGCTTGTGCCAGTTTTCAAGGGAAATGCTTCCAGCTTTTGCCCATTCAGTATATTAGTTGTGGGTTTTTCATAAATGGTTCTTAGTGTTTTGTGGTATGTTCCTTCAATACTTAGTTTACTGAGAGTGTTTAAGGTTAAAGGATGTTGAATTTTATTGAAGACCTTTTCTGTGTCAATTGAGATAATCATATGGTTTTTGTCTTTGAATCTGTTTATGTGATAAGTTACGTTTATTGAAATTGCATATGTTGAAAGAGGCTTGCATCCCAGGGATGAAGCCAACTTGATTGTGGTTGATAAGCTCTTTGATGTGCTGCAGTATTTGGTTCGCCAGTATTTTATTGAGGATTTTTGCATCGATATTCATCAGAGTTATTGGCCTGAAGTGTTCCATTTTTGTTATATCTCTGCCAGGTTTTGGTACCAGGATGATGCTGGCTTCATAGAGTGAGTTAGGGAGGAGTCCCTCCTTTTTAATTGTTTGGAATAGTTTCAGAAGAAAGGGTATCAGCTCCTCTTTGTATTTCTGACAAAATTCAGGTTTAAATCTATCTTGTGCTGGGCTCTTGCGATTGGTAGGCTATTTATTACTGCCTCAGTTTCAGAACTTGTTATTCTTCTATTCACAGATTCATCTTCTTCCTGGTTCAGTATTGAGAGGATATTAAGTGTACTGGAATTTAGTTTTGATGTTATTTTGTTGATCTGAGATCTTGCTAGCTTTTTGCTCTGGGCAGTTACTGCTATAAATGTCCCTCTTTAACACTCCTTTAGCTGTGTCTGAGAGATTTTGGTACATTGCATCTTTGTTCTTATTGGTTTCAAAGAACTTCTTGATTTCTGCCTTAATTTCATTATTTACCCAGGAATCATTCAAGAGCAGGTTGTTCAATTTTTGATATAGTTGTGTGGTTTTGAGTGAGTTTGTTAATCTTGAGTTCTAATTTGATTATGCTGTGGTCTGAGAGACTGTTGGTTATGATTTCAGTTATTTTGCATTTGCTGAGGAGGAATTTACTTCCAATTATGTGACTGATTTTAGAGCAAGTGCCAATTGGCACTGAAAAAAATATATATTCTGTTGTTTGGTAGTGGAGGGTTCTGTAGGTATCTCTCAGGTCCACTTGATCAAGAGCTGAGTTCAAGTCTTGAATATCCTTTTAAATTTTCTGTCCCAGTGATTTGTCTCATATTGACAATGGGGTGTTATAGTCTCCTGCTATTATCATATGGGAGTCTAAGTCTCTTTATAGGTCTCTAAGAACTTGTTTTATAAACCTGGGTGCTTCTGTATTGGGTGCCTATGTATTTAGCATAGTTAGTTCTTCTTGTTGAATTGATCCCTTTAGCATTATGTAATGTCTTTCTTTGTCTTTTTTATCTTCGTTGGTTTAAAGTCTGTTTTGTCAGAAACTAGGATTGCAGCACCTACTTTTTTCTGTTTTTCTTTTGCTTGGTAATTTTCCTCCACCCTTTTATTTTGAGTCTATGTGTGTCTTTGTATGTGAGATAGGTCTCTTGAATACAGTACACCAATGGATCTTGACTCTTTATCCAGCTTGCTATTCTGTGTGTTTTAATTGGGGCATTTAGGCCACTTAATTTAAGGTTAATATTGTTATGTGTGAATTTGATCCTGTCATCATGATGCTGCTTGTTTTGCAGACTAGTCTGTGTACTTCAGGGTGTTTTTTTAGTGGCTGGTATGGGTTTTTCCTTTACATATTTAGTGCTCCCTTCAGGAGGTCTTGCAAGGCAGGCCTGGTGGTGATGAATTCCCTCAGCATTTGCTTGTCTGGAAAAGATTGTAATTTATGAAGCTTCATAAATGAAGCTTCATAATGAAGCTTAGTCTGGTGGGATATAAAATTCTACATTGGAAATTCTTTTCTTCAAGAATGTTGAATATTGTCCCACAATCTCTCTGGCTTGTGCTGGTTTCTGCTTAGAGATCTGCTGTTAGTCTAATGGGCTTCCATTTGTAAGTGACCTGTCCTTTCTCTCTCGCTGCCTTTAACATTTTTTTTTTCTTTTCAACCTTGATGAATTATGTGTCTTGGGGTTGATCTTCTTGTAGAGTATCTTATTGGGGTTCTCTTAACTTCCTGAATTTGAATGTTGGCATATCTTGCTAGGTTGAGGAAGTTCTCCTGGATGATATTTTGAAGTGTGTTTTCCAACTTGGTTCTGTTTTTCATGTCTTTTTCAGGGACCCCATCAGTCACAGGTTCAGTCTTTTAACATAATCCCATAGTTCTCAGAGGTTTTGTTCATTCCTTCATTCTTTTTTCTCTAATGTTGTTTGCCTGCCTTATTTCAGAAAGATAGTCTTCAGGCTCTGATATCTCTTCTGCTTGGTCTGTTCGGCTATTGCTACTTGTGTTTGCATTTTGAAGTTTTCATGTTGTGTTTTTCAGCTCCATCATGTTATTTATGTTCCTCTCTAAATTTGTTATTCTGTTTAACAACTCCTGTAATGTTTTATCATGGTTCTTAGCTTCTTTGTGATGAGTTAGAATGTATTCCTTTAGCTTAGCAAAGTTCGTTATTACCCTTCTTCTGAAGTTCATCCATCTCAACCTCTGCTCAGTTCTGTTCCCTTGCTAGGGATGTGTTGTGATCACTTAAAGGAGAAGAGGTACTCTGGCTTTTTGAGTTTTCAGTGTTTTTGCATTAATTCTTTCTCATCTTCATGGGTTTATCTATCTTTGATCTTTGAGGCTGCTGAGCTTTGGATGGGGTTTTTGGGGATCTTTGTTGTTGATGTTGTTGCTTTCTGTTTGTTTTTTTGTTACCAGTCGGGCCCCTCTTCTGTAGGGCTGCTGTGGTTTGTTTGGGGTCCACTCCAGACCCTATTTGCCTGGTTCCCTCCTGCCCCTGAAGCACTTTGCTTGTCTGCACCAGTGGAGGCTGCCGACAAGCAACGATGGCAGCCTGCTCCTTCCTCTGGGAGCTCTGTCCTGGAGGGGCACTGACCTGATGCTGGCCTGAATGCTTATGTATGAGGTGTCTGGAGACTTCTGTTGGGAAGTCTTACCCAGTCAGGAGGAGCAGAAGCAGGATCAGGGACACACTTAAATAAGAGTCTGGCTGCCCCTTGGCAGAGTGGGTGTGCTGCACTGGGAGGAATCCCACTTGTCTGGGCTTCCCTGACTCTCCAGAGCCAGCAGGCAGAAAAGACTGAAACCATTCATTGATCCATGATACCATAGCCGCCCCTTCTCCTAGGGGATCCTCTCAGGGATATCATAGTTCTTTTCATAAACCCATGGTTGGGGATGCTGAAATTATCACAGGGAGGCCCTGGTGCATGAGGAAGAGTGGATTGGGGTTCCACTTAAAGAAGCAGTCTGGCCACAAACTGACCCAGCCGCTGTGCTGCACTGTGGGTAACTGCTCCCAGTCCAAACTGCCCAGTCTTGCTGGCACTGGTGGCAGGGGAAAAAGGCCTACTGGAGCTGCAGTAGTGGCAGCCACCCCTCCCCGCCGCCAAACTCGCTCTTGTTAGGCAGTCTCCAGCCTGCTGCGCTGGCCAGCAGGGATTCCAAGCCAGTGGGTTTTAGCTTGTGGGGTTCCATGAGAGTGAGGCCGCTTGGCTCCCTGGCTTTAGCCCCCTTCCCACAGAAGTGGATGGATCTCATGCCTCACCAGAGTTCCCAGAGCTGGAGTATGCAAATACTCCTGTGTCTCAGTGCCTGCTCAAGTGGCCGCCCACCCGAGCAGCTGCTGTGAGTCTGCACAGCTGTGTGCTTGGGACCCAAGGCCCTGGTGGCATGAGGTCATGAGGAGACCTCTTGATCTGTGGATTGAAGGCATCTGTGGGAAAAGTGTGGTTTTTCAGGGAGGGGTAACACAGTCTCTCACTGCCTTCCTTGGCTGGAGGAAGAGCTCCCTTTGCTCCATACAGCTCCTGGTTGGGCCCTTGCTCCACCCTGCTTTTCCTCACTCTCCGTGGGTCACGCCAACCATCTAGTCAGTCCCAATGAGAGAACCTTGGTATCTCAATTGAACCTTGGTATCTTCACTTGCCATTTTCATCCTTCTCGGTAGGAGCTGAAGAGCAGAGCTGTTTCTATTTGGCCATCTTGGCTGCTGTGGTCGATTTTTAAAGTTTCACCTTAATATTCACAAGCAAAGTTGGTTCATACTTTTCCATATTGTTGCACTCTTTATAACGTTTTGAGTGTCAGTTAAAATAATTTTGAAAGTATCATCTAACAGGGATGCATCATAAAGTCTCCCCCTTATACTTAGGTTTATATTAATGTCTCTTTATCTTTCACTTATTTTTGCTGCTAAGATATTGCAGATACTTGTCTGTCATTTTACATTTAAAATTTTTGGTTCACATTATTTTAAATATGTTTCTTGTATATGATGCATACTGGAATTTTTTGTGAAATCTGAGCCTTTAATCTTTTCAATAGATTAAAATTTATATCATTTTTCTAAATTAACAGAATTGGCCTCTCCAGTGTCTTCTTATTTAGCTTTTGTTTTTAATGTTTTCTGTCTTTTGCTATGTGTGTATGTATTATTTTAGGCTATATGAGGTATGTTTGTGTATAATTTCCTTCTTATATTTTAGAAGATCTACTGTCTCTCTTGTTTTTAAGTGCATAAGTTTACTTTTTGTAGTGTATTTAACTCTCTGTGTCATCTTTGAACAACATATCTATAAAGTTCCTGTTATGGCAGGAGAAAAAATAACATCTATCACCTTCCCTACTCCTTTTAGATCATTATGTTTATTAATATATTTGTATTATTGCTTCTTCCATTGATTTACTCTATAATTTTGTTTTTCCTATTGTAGACTTATCTAAATTCAGCAGAAGAAATTGGCTGACTTTTTGAGAAGCTGTAAGAAAATATGCAAATCTTTCCTTACAACTTCCTTTATCATCCACCTCCAGGTTTTGTTTTTGTCATTTTCACTTTTATATTGTCAGAGTTCCTAATATTTACTTCCTGGAACTATATTCCTGACAGAAATTTAGTCTTTGTTCTATATTTAAATGAATTCAATACTCACAATCAATTTTGTTTTCATGCTTTCACCGTTCATATCCAGTTTAAGTATCTTTTGTTGTCAAGGTCTTTTCACGAGAATATCTCATATTCCTTCCCAACAGAATAAATGGCCAAAAATATGCATGAGCAATATGCAGAATAACTTCAAAAGTCCACCAAATACAAAAATAAACTTCTATCACTGATAATCAAAAGCCTAGTAACTAATACACTGTGATAACATTATATTTTTCTCTTGTAGTGAAGTCTGTTAGTTGTCTACCCCAATATCTGTTCTCTTCGTCCTCTCTACCAATAAAATTTTGCTTTTTACTTGACAATATTGCCATCAAGAAAAAATCCGTATTTCATAATCTCACTCGTATCTGAGTATAGTCATGTGGTATTCTGGTCAATAAAATGTAACTGGAGGCTTAGTATGAAATTTCTGGGAGCAGTCCTAAAAGAAAGTTAAGTCACTTGAAAGGGCCTCTTTTCTGTCCCCTCGTTTTTCCTCCTTCCACTTTGTGATGCAGAAATGATGGCGGGAGCTCTAGCAGATGTTTGTACCATGGTTTACCTTGAAGTATTAGAGTCATGCTCTAGAATTGTGAAGATGATGACAGAAATCAGAGACCCTTAACATGTAGTGGATTGTATAGTTCCAAATTTCTGATACTTTAGAGAGAAATACAGTTTTACAGTGTTTTAACCAATAAATTTGGGCATTTTTGCTGTGTGCAACTGAACCTCATTTTATTGACAAGACTTTTTAAAGGTGTTGATAAGAGTGTGGGAAAATAGGCCACCAGCTCTATATATGGTTAGTAAAAGTTAAAACTCAGTGAGAAATTTTGTGTTGTATATTAAAAATCCATTGATGCACTAATTTTACTTTTAGCAAAATTGTATTTGTTATGATATATCCATACAATTCAATATTCTGAGTGAAAGTTATTTTAAATGCCCTGGAGTGCATATTTCAAACTATTTTGTATAGTAAAAAATAACCCTGTGTTTTTAAAAGAAAAAAACATAATAATGAGATAAGAATGAGAGAGATAGAGAGAAAGAGAGGACACATAGGGTAGAATATAAGAAAAAAATAAATGAAAGCCTAAAGGAGAAATCACCAAAGCCATGATTGGCTAAATATAGAAAATAGTGATGAATACTGAGGACAAATTGAATACATTCACAATAGAGGTACTAAGAGAGAAGAGCCGGAAAATATTTGATCTAATTCAGCTCCAGAACAATACTTTAAAATGGAGGAGTGGTTTTGCGAGCAAGCCTTAGAAGCTGAGGTCCTCCTTCACAGTAGTCTTCAGTGTGACAGTTGTATGAGGAGAAGAAACATCTGTCCAGGACTTCAGGATCCAAAATCTAGGCCACAGAAGAGGCTTTCATTTTTGAAGAATGAACATTAGGAGAATGGCCACCTGAAATCATAGAAAAAAATCCAATTCTGTGACTTACAGCCTCGATTATCTCCATGAAGAAAAAGAGCTATTCACAACTAAAGAGTTAAATTCCAAACACAGGACAGGAACCAAAATATTTTGTTGAGACCTGTGAGGCACAGATTACACAGAAAAACAGAGAGTTAAATTTTTCTATCATGGGAAAGGGCAAAAAGAACCAGGAAGGGAATTGATCACTCTTCTTTGGTAGTTAACAGTCAGGAAGAATCTGGGCCGGGCGCGGTGGCTCACGCCTGTAATCCCAGCACTTTGGGAGGCCGAGGCGGGCGGATCACGAAGTCAGGAGATCGAGACCATCCCGGCTAACACGGTGAAACCCTGTCTCTACTAAAAATACAAAAAAATTAGCCGGGCGTAGTGGCGGGCGCCTGTAGTCCCAGCTACTTGGGAGGCTGAGGCAGGAGAATGGCGTGAACCCGGGAGGCGGAGCTTGCAGTGAGCCGAGATCCCGCCACTGCACTCCAGCCTGGGCGACAGAGCGAGACTCCGTCTCAAAAAAAAAAAAAAAAAAAAAAAAAAAAGGGAAGAATCTATTACATCCTTATTGACTTCATTTATGCATTAATTTATTTTTTATTTACATATATATCATATTTTACCACAAACAAAACAAAGTCAAATTGAATGCTATCCCACGCATAAAACCACAGGTGAGTTTTTACATTGCACATTCTAGCAGTCATTCAACGATCAATTTCCGTCTTTCCCTGCTACTCTGTACTCACTCGTACTCTCCCTTTCATAGATGTGTGATTTCAACTTGTTTGATTCCCTTCTTGTCTGCTAACACCTAGTTATCTATTTGAGGCCATTTTCTGGATGCTTCATTGAAACAAAAACAGATGAATGTCATCTTCCTCACAGTAAGCACTAATCCACAAAGATATACTTTCAATGCCTTCCTAGTAATATGAAGTAAATGAATAAAAAAGACACTTGATGTATTTCCTCAAATTACTATCTAGAAATACTGTGCAGATTTACATTCCCACTGGCTCTATATAAATATGTAAATTTTCTTTCATCAATAGAGGTCATGATTTTTAACCTCTGTTAAAATTAAGATTTATAAAGTCTTTTCTAGTGTGACAGGATAAGAGCACTATGATCTGCATTTATTTGATTAAACGTAGGAATTATAATTTTGTTATTGACCATTTACAGTTTTTCTCTTGTGATTTTTCTCTTCTTGTCTTCAAACATTTTTTTTTCATTTTTATATTTATCTCCATCCCCTCCCTCTTTTTTTTTTTTTTTTTTTTTTTTTTTTTTTTTTTTTTGAGACAGAGTCTCACCCTGTCACCCAGGCTAGAGTACAGTGACACAATCATGGTTCACTGTAACCTCAAATTCCTGGTTTCAAGCAATTCTTCTGCCAAACCCTCATGAGTAGCTGGGATTACAGGCATGCACCACTATGCCCAGTTAATTTTTAAATTTTATTTTGTAGAGATGAGATCTCACTATGTTGCCCAGGCTGGGGTCAAACTCCTAGCCTCAAGTAATCCTCCCTCCTTAGCCTCCCAAAGCATTAGGATTAGAGGTGTGACCCACCATGTCCAGCCCTATCTCCCTCTTTAATTAATTTGCAATTACACTTAGTATATGAAGAATATTGACTCAAGGTCATAGTTGATAATAAAAGGTAATTTCTCAGGTTTTTAAAAGAAGTTCTTTCTATGTTGTTTGCAATTAAACTTCAGAATGTCCCCAATGTCATCCAGTTTAAGCAATCTCTGATTGCATACTGGTGTACTGTCTCTTGGTAAATAATTCCCTATTCTAGGCATCTTATAGCAAACCATGGTTTGGGAGGAGGCAGCTGGAGACAATCTTTGTAGTTAAAGTCAGTTAGCAATTCTGACCCTTCCACAAATGAAAATTTGAGATAAAATTGTTTGTATTTGTGTGTTTGCTTGCAACTTGTGTGTTTATTGTGAAAGACAAGAATCAAGTCCTTGTTATCTCTTGCATTCAAAATTTTCACTAATTCTTTGACATTGCTTTGTGGTAAAATATGATGAAATATGAAATGTGAAAATATTTTCAGGTAAGACTTAGAGGATAGAAATCAAGTGGAAGCCATTTTTGTTTTTGACACTCAGAAACTCAGAAGACCCAGACTGGTACATGGAGTGAGAGAAGTGTGTGAGGTAAACTATTTCATTATCACTTGCTTTATCACTATTCCTGAAGTCATCCAGGGGTAGCTAAGTTTTAGGAATTTCCAGCCTTGGTTTTATATTCCAGAATTGCAAAATTTTAAGCCTAGTGTTGAACTTGGGACACAAATCCAGGGTCTGTCTTCCTTCTGGTGAATCTCCTTTTCTATTTTTATTTTTTTGTAAATTTCATCTTTCATTTTAGATTCAGGGGGTCTGTGTGCACATTTGTTATATGGATATATTGTACCCAATAATGAGCATAGTACCCAATAAGTAGTTTTTCAACATACACTTCCCTCTTTACTTTCCCCCTCTAGTAGTCCACAGTGGCAATTGTTCCCATGTTTATGCCCATGTGTTCTCAATGTTTAGCTTCCACTTATAAATGAGAATATGTGGCTTTCTTTTTCTATTCCTGCATTAATTCACTTAGGATACAATATTTTTTATGGCTGTGTAGTATTCCATGGTGTATATGTACCATGTTTTCTTTATCCAGTTCACCATTGATGGTCACCTAGATTAATTTCATGTCTTTCCTATTGGGAATAGCATGGCGATGAATATACAAGTGTATGTCTCTTTTTGGTATAATGATCCATTGTCCTTTGGGTATATAACCAATAATGGGATTGCTGTGTCAAATGAGAGCTCTGTTTTAAATTCTTTGAGAAATCTCCAAACTACTTTCCACAATGACTAATTCCCACCAATAGTGTATGTGCTCCATTTTCTCCCCTGTATCATCAGCATCTGCTTTTTTTGTTTGTTTGTTTGTTTGACTTTTTATAATATAGCCATTCTGACTTGTGTGAGATAGTATCTCATGTGGTTATAATTTGCATTTCTCTGATAATTTGCAATGATGAGCATTTTTCCATGTCTGTCAGACGCTTGTATGTCTTTTTTTGAAAAGTATCTGTTCATGTTCTTTGCCCATTTTTAATGGAGCTATTTGTTTTTTGCTTCTTGATTTCTTTAAGTTCCTTGTAGATTCTTGATATTAGACATTTGTCAGATACATAGTTTGCAAATATTTTCTCCCATTCTATAGTTGTCTGTTTACTTTGTTGATAGTTTCTTTTGTTGTGCAGAAGCTCTTTAGTTTAACTAGATCCCACTTCTCAGTTTTTGTTTTTGTTGTAATTGCTTTTGGGTACTTAGTAAAAAAAAAAAAAAGAAAAGAAAAGAAAAACCTTGCCAATGTCAAGAAGGGTATTTTCTAGATTTTCTCCTAGGATTTTTATAGTTTGAGGGCTTACATTTAAATATTTAATCCAATTTAAGTTGATTTTTGTAAATGGTGAAATGTAAGGGTCCCATTTCATTATTCTACATATGGCTAGCCAGTTGTTCCAGCACCATTTATTGAATGGGGAGTCCTTTCCCCATTGCTTGTTTTTGTTGGTCTGTCAAAGATCAGATAGTTGTAGGTATACAGTTTTATTTCTGAGTGTTTTATTCTGATCCTTTAGCCTATGTGTCTGTTTTGAACCAATACCATGCTATTTTGCTTACTGTAGGCTTATAGTATAGTTTGAAGTTGGGTAGTATGATGCCTCAAGCTTTGTTCTTTTTGCTTAGGATTGCTTGTCTATTTGGGCTCTTTTTTGTTTACATATTAATGTTAGAATAGGTTTTTTTCCTAATTCTGTGAAGAAAAAAATTGGCAGTTTAATAGGAATAGTGTTGAGTCTGTAAATTGCTTTGGGAAGTATGACCATTTCAATGATATTCATTATTCCAATCCATAAGCATGGAATATTTTTTCCATTTATTTATGTAGTATCTGATCTTTTTCAGCAGTGTTTTGTAGTTCTCCTTGTAGAGATCTTTCATGTCCTCAGTTAGCTATATTCCTCAGTGCTTCATTTACTTTGTGGCTATTGCAAATGGAATTGTGCTCTTGATTTGATCCTCAGCCTAGAAGTTATTGGAGCATAGAATACTACTGATTTTGTATCCTGAAACCTTGCTAAAGTTATTTATCAGTTCTAGTGGCCTTGTGCAGGCCACTTTAAGATTTTCTATGTATAGAATCATATCACCAGCAAAGAAATATAATTTGACTTTTTCTTTTCCTATTTGGATGCACTTTATTTCTTTCTCTTGTCTGATTGCTCTGGCTAGGATTTCCCATACTATTATGAATAGGAGTGCTGAGAGTGGGCATCCTTGTCTTGTTTCCATCCTCAAGGGTAATGCTTCCAGATTTTACCCAGATGTTGGCTGTGGGTTTTTCACAGATGGCTCTTCAAGGAATGTTCCTTTAATGCCTAGTTTGTTAAGAGTTTTTTTGATGAAGGTATGTTGGAATTTATCTAGAGATTTTTCTGCATCTATTGAGATGATCATACAATGTTTGTTTTAATTCTGTTTATGTGCTGCTAGATTTGATTTGCTAGTATTCTGTTGAAGATTTTTGCATCTATGTTCACCAGAGATATTGACCTGAAATTTTGTTCTTGTTGCGTTTTTTCCCAGATTTTGGCATCAGGATGATGCTGGCTTCAGAAAATGAGTTGGGGAAGAGCCCCACCTTAATTTTCTGGAACAGTTTCAGCAAGGTTGGTACCAGTTCTTCTTTGTACATCTAGTAGGATTCAGCTGTGAATCTAACTGGTTCAGGGATTTTTGTTGATTGGTAGGTTTGGTATTACTGATTCAATTTTGGAGCTTATAATTGGCCTATTCAGGTTTTCACTGTCCTCATGGTTCAGTCTTAGGAGGTTGTGTGTTTCCAGGAATTTATCTATTTCCTCTAGATTTTCTAATTTGTGTGCATAGTGGTGTTCATATTAGTCTCTGAAGGCCTTTTTGTTTCTGTAGAATTGGCTGTAAGGTCATCTTTGTCATTTTTGCTTGTGTTTTTTGGATCTTCTATTTTTTTTTCCTTTCTTAATCTAGCTAGTAGTGGTCTATGAATCTTGTTTATTCTTTCAAATAACCAAGTCTTGATTTCATTCATCTTTTGTTTGGACTTTCAAATTTCATTTGTTCAGTTCTTTTCTGATTTTGGTTATTTCTTTTCTTGTGCTAGCTTGGGTGTTGCTTTGTTCCTTTTTCTCTAGTTGCTCTAGGTGCACTTTCAGACAGCTAATTCAAGATCTTTCTAACTTCTTGATGAAGACATTTAGTATAAACTTCAGTTTATACTAAAGGAAAGTTTAGTATATACTAAACATTAGTTTATGCTGGAGGGAAAGTTTAGTATAAACTTTCCTCTTAATACTGCTTTAGCAGCATCCTAAGGATTTTGGTTTTATCTCTGTTTTCAATAATTTCAATGAATTTTTCAAGAAACAATTTCATTGTTCACTCAAGAGTTATTTAGAAGCAAGTTGTTTAATTTATATGTTTTTATGTGGTTTTGAGAGATCTTCTTGGTAGTGATTTCTGTTTTTATCACATTATTGTTCAAGAGTGTGCTTGGTATGATTTTAATTTTTTTAAATTTATTGAAACTAACTTTATGACTGAGAATGTGATCAACCTTAGAATATGCTCCATGTGTGGATAAGAAGAATGTATCTTCTGTGGTTGTCAGGTGGAGTATTCTGTAGATGTCTATTAGGTCAGTTTGATCAAGTGTTGAGTTTAAGTCCAGAACTTCTTCATTAGTTTTCTGCCTTGATGATCTGTCTAACGCTGTCAGTGGAGTGTTGAAGTCCCCCACTATTACTGTGTAGCTGCCCTAGTCTTTTAGTAGGTCAAAAATAACTTGTTTTATAAATCTGGGTGTCTCAATGTTGGGTGCATATATATTTAATATAGTTAAGTCTTCTTGTTGAATGGAATCCTTTATCATTAGGTAATGCCCTTCTTTGTCCTTCCTGATTGTTGTTGGTTTACAATCTGTTTTATCTGATATAAGAATAGCTATTCTTGCTCTTTTTTGTTGTTTTCTGTTTGCATGGTGGATCTTTCTCCATCACTTTACTTTGAGCGTATAGGTGTCATTATATGTGAAATGGGTCTCCTGAAAACAGTAGAGAGTTGGGTCTTGTCTTTTTATCCAGGTTGCCACTCTATGTCTTTTAAGTGGGGTATTTAGACTATTTGCATTCAAGGTTAATATTGACATGTGAGATTTTGATCATGCCAGAAGGTGGTTAGCTGCTTGTTTTGTAGACTTGATGGTGTAATTGCTTTATATTGTCTCTGGGCTATGTGCTTGAGTGTGTTTTTGTGGTAGTCTAACTGGTAACTTCTAAGGAAATGTGATAAATTCCTCTCCTGGCTCTCTTTGCCTTCTTCTATGACAGAAAATTTAATTCTGCATTTTTCTGTTTAATCTGTGCCTCAGAAGTCTCAATACAATTTTTGGATTCTGGAAAGATTGAGTCAAAAACCTCACTTTTCTGAGAAATGTCTTTGGATGATTGTATTTATTCTGTTGTTTATCACTTACTAAGTTTGCATAACATGTGAATAAACAGTAATTTGCTTATATTTTCTAGCTCTAAAATGCAAACTAAAATAATGATTCCCTTATAAAATAGAAATAAAATTATCTTATTAGTATAAATTTTACCACTGGATAATTTTAAATTTCAATTTTCATAAATGTAGCATACATGGGATCACTGGAAGAAAAAAGACATTTCTAGGTACCCAGGTGGACAGGGCTAGGGCAGACTCATAACACTGTGATAGACTCATGATGAGACATCCAGAAGGAATACGCTTGGCAGAGATGAGCTGGTGTCTAGAATCTGAGCAACTCTAAATATTCCAGAATACTCCTCATGGGCCAAACTGTCACAAATAAAAACGAGGGCTGATGGCAAGAAGTGTCAACAATGAAGAGCATGTCACTACTACAGGGCTGAAGATTATTGAAGTATGGGAAGGTTTGTATAGGGACAGTGAAAAAGCATAGACTTTGCACTTAGATATATGCATTACAATCCTAGCTATATAAAACTCCGGGTGGCCATATGTATCCTCTAGGATACTTTTTGTTAAATTGTAATAATGAAGCCAATCTCATAGGATTGTTGAAAAGCCAAATGAGACACCTATGTAAAGGACTGGAAGGGACACCTCTTCCCCTAATTTATATAATTTCTAACATTTACTGTAACCATTACTACAACATCCAACATTACACAGTTGTTTAATGGAGCACATTGGCTTAGCTCTACGTATATCACTGACTTTCTTGCTAAGTGATCCCTGACATATAGAGTAAAGGAATCCTTGCTGCAACTTTCTAGGT
The DNA here is from genome assembly GCF_000001405.40 of Homo sapiens. NCBI lineage: Eukaryota > Metazoa > Chordata > Mammalia > Primates > Hominidae > Homo > Homo sapiens. The sequence continues at coordinate 34,748,698 of NC_000003.12, read as the reverse complement.
GCTTGTATATACACAACCTAGAAGTTCTACTGGAAAGCCTTAACCAATAGGTAGTGGAAATTAGTGGGTGAATGCTCTTATGTCCCTTGGAGATAAAAAAAATTGTGCTGGGCGTGGTGGCTCACACCTGTAATCCCAGCACTTTGGGAGGTTGAGGCGGGTTGGATCACAAGGTCAGGAGATCGAGACCATCCTAGCTAACACAGTGAAACCCTGTCTCTACTAAAAAATACAAAAAATTATCCAGGCGTGGTGGCAGGCGCCTGTAGTCCCAGCTACTCGGGAGGCTGAGGCAGGAGAATGGCATGAACCCGGGAGGTGGAGTTTGCAGTGAACCCAGATCATGCCACTGCACTCCAGCATGGGCGACAGAGCAAGACTCCATCTAAAAAAAAAAAAAAAAAAAAAAATTTGGAGTCCCATGCCATCTTTTGGAGGTTTCAACCTGATCATTTATCCCTGACCTTCTCTCCTCCTGTTTCACTCTCTCAGTCTCATTCCTGTTTCCTGGGATCACTTCCCAGACTATATTACCTGCATAGGAGTCCCTGCTTCCTGAGTTCAAGCTCTACATCCTCAAAGAACTTAGGCTAAAACAAGTATTTAGTCAAGCATATACTAAGTACTTTGAATATTCATACTCTAATTTTGGATCGCTGCATTTTTTGACAATAAATCTCATATCCCACCAAGGCTACTTACTATCTTCTCCCTTGAACTGATGATCCATGAAATGTGGGATGAGAACCACTAAATATGCTTTTCAGCTTTAGTGCCTTGAGAACTAAGTGCAATATACAGAGTCAGAAAGAGAGAGGGTAGGGGATTGGTGGTTACAGTGGGATTGTGTACAACAATTGTATACAGCCTTTATGCTCTAGGACAAGGTGATGGCAGGTAGATAAAGAAAAATTTAGTTTTAATGGGCATTGTAGAGAAGGGTTGGTAGAAGACAGAATTTGAGTTGAAGATGGCTGGTAGAAGGACAAAAGATGCTAAATTGGACCAAGATTGTTCTAAGTACATGATTGAGATTACTTTACACATTCTGCAAGTATGAGTGTTTACCATGTGTAATGGTAATTCTAAGAACCTAGGATATGAAAATGTTGAGATATAGCTCATAGTATTGAGAAGACCTTTGCTTTTGCAGAGCCACATTTGTCTGCTTATGTGCTAGATGATTCCTATGCATTGATTCATTTCAAGTTAACAGCCATACTATGAGTTAGGTAATGTTAGTTTGATCTTTCTTCATGAGCTTTCCTTCAAGGAGTTTAGTTTTAGATGTCAGAGTAATTTCCTACCATCATTCAAAATAAGAGATGTAATCAAAGCAACGGATTCCTGGCAATGATCCACAGTGGTGGTTTTGCACACTTTCTAGCCTTCTTCCAAAATGTCCTACACCTATATAGCACACCTTCTAGGAAAATCTTCCTCCAGTGTTTCTCTGCATATTATTCTAGATCAGTGGTTCTCAAATTGTAGTGCGTTAGCACCACCTGGGAACTTATGGAAAATTTAAATTCTGAGTCAAAAACTCACAGTCAAAAATCAGATGATTTTGATACATAATAAAGGTTGAGAACCACTGCTCTAGATCTTGTTCCATTCCTCTAGGTCCTGTCATCATTTTCTCTGCCTATTACCTTAAGCCATAATATCAGGACCTCTAATGAAAGGCCTGTCCCCATTTAATATGACCTTTCTTCATTCTTTTATATTATCATCGCATGTTAGTATCCACACATGGCTACTAGACAGTTCCTTTTTTGGTGCATAAAGATAATTTGGAGATAAACGGCAAGCATTGAGGCTGAAAAGGCATTAAAAAGGCCATATAAAAAAAGATCTCATTATTCATGCCAGGGAGCTTTAATTTTATCATAAAGAAAATTATGTGAACCCATTGAAGAGTTTTAAGCAGGAAAATAATCATGATACCAGGTATACATTTTAGAAAGCTCATCCTAGATGCTATATGAACCATTGAAAGGGAGAATGGAGATCGTCTCTGCCTTTCAGGGCTTGTCTCAGTCCCACCACTTCTATACAGCCTCTCCTGATCCCTGGTCACCAAAGAAACAGTCTCCTCTTTCTGAAGCTCCCTAGTTCGTGTGTCTCTTGCATCCTTTAGATTACTCAACCATGGCTATTTATAAATGTGCCTATCCCTCTGATAGTTAATAAATTCCTAAGAAGAGCTCTTTACCTCCCTCAGAACTTGACTTTGCATCTTGCATAAAGAAAGTGTCCAGACAATATGTGATAAAATGGAATTGATCTTTTCCACAATAAACTATTGAAGACGTGGCAGCATTTATTCATCAATTTGATTTGTTTGTTTTACTGCACTAGATAATAAAGATTCTGGTATTTTCCCAAGAAGTACACGTTTCAGTGAGAGAAAATGATACTGTATGAATTTTAACAATTAGCAGTTTTCTCAGCTCACAATGTTAATTTAGATTATTTAAAAGGTGAAATTATTAAATCTCATGTTAATTTGGATTATTAAGAGGGTACAATTATTTTTCCAGCCAGTAGCACATCACACATTTGGAGACCTGGATGGTACTATGTTCCTTATTCTCACAAGTGCATTTTGAAAATGTTTCATAGACTCTGATAGAATGTCAAAATGTTCAAAGGATTAGCACATGTTTAGTAGTTGTGACCCAATCTATTTCACTGCCTTCACTTTATTTTCAAGGATAAAAAATTTTTGAGATGGTAAGAAAAAATAATGCTCTGTTCAAAGACTACTTTTGACCTACAGAGTAGCATTTTCTTTGAACCATTTTGGGGCTATTTTTATTAGCCAGCCACTCAGCAGAACATACTCTTTAGCTGAATTTAATAGTGTAGTACAGAACACCTTCCTTCTTTTTAATTTTTCAGTGTAAATTACTGCAAGGAAATGACATAGCAAGTAGTACCAGTACTAAGGAAGATTAATTTTATGATATTAAAAAGTTTGGTTGTCAAAAAAGCCCCTCCACACCCTGAAGCAGACACTATAGTCAGTACTGACATCTCCCTGCCACCAGCCCTTCTACACAACCTGGTAGGGTCTTAACCCATGCCCATCTGTGGCAATAGGATGGTGATCATTAAATAACCCATATACCTGTGACACAAATGCACATATTTTTCTTATTCTCCCATATACTTTCATCATTCTTCCTTTCTCAAACCCTTTTTCACTTTTTTTCTCACCTTCCAATTCTCAACCTAATTTTTCTTATTTTTTCCCACCTCTTACTCTATGTCTGTATCCATATGTAAATTCCACTATCCATCTTTCCATCCATTTAACTTTTCATCAGATCTTTCTTTCACTCATGGGATGTTCATAGCCTAATAAATGTGATTGCAACAAGCTCATACTTGGGGAGAATTGCCACCTCTGTGGCTTGCAGACTGATTTCTGCCTGAGGGCATGGGCTAGGCAGCACTATCTCTGTATTTCCAAAGTAGATTGGCAAGGAAAAAATCAAGAAGGTTTCAAGACAATACACGATGATTAGGTTTATCCCCTGCGTGCCAGATAAACCAGTGAACATTGTTAAACAAGCTGGTGGCATGATCAAATTTATATTTAGAAGTTTCATTATGTTAGCAGTATTCAAATAAGTTAGGGGTATTTTATTGATAATAGAAAGGTATAGGAACACTTTTTAAAAGATCTTTGTATTAAAGACAGAAGTGTCAAGTTTCTGAAATGAGCAATTGTCAGAATGAGGAGATGGGAGGCAAGACTTGTTGGTTTAGGTAGGTGGGAATAAAAGTGCAGGAGGCTCACTGAGGTAACTTTGTAAATGAAATTGCTGGAGAAACAAGGATAGGGGCTTTTGAGGTTCCCATGGAATCAGATGTGAAAGTGGCCCTAGGTCAGGATTTCCCAACCAAGTATAAACTATGTTCATGCCAAGTAAATAATAATCAGACAAGGCCACTCCAGGACCATGTCTAAAAGAAGATAGAGTCAACGTTACCCTATAAACCCCAAAATAGCTAAATGTCTCCTTATCCAACTGACAGGAGCGGTCACTCTTCTTTATTAATGGTGACTTAGGCCTCACATTAATCATCACGTTTCCTAGGTAAAAATTACCAGGATACACAATTATCAACTTGTCTTTGACAGCACACAATTTAGATTTAATTCTGATGGTGTCTGTGGTGTGCATTTCCTGAGCCACAGCAAGCTAAATAAATATTGTAGCTTGTAAATAAATCTGTAGCTTATTTGGCTATAGGTGTATTTCTTATTGCCTGGTCTTTGTTGACTAGGCAACAAGAACAACCAGTTAGAGTTCTGTGGTAAGTTGTAGAATATGTGGGCAAAGAGCTCATCAGAGAGGGCCCAAGTGAAGATAGAGCTCTTGAAATTATAAATATATAAGTAATCTACACACCAAAGAATATAATGAGATTTTGTACAGAGAGAAGGGGCCTGACTAGGTCCCCCAAGCCACAGATATCAGGGATGGGCAGAGGAGAGGTAATAAAAAGAATTTTTAAGTATTCTCAATGTCAGACACATAAGAAAAGAGGATGTTCTAAAAAAGAGGTAGCTCTCCATAAAATGTCCAATGATATGGAAATAGTTGAGGAAAATAATCAATAAATCAATCAAGAAATCAGTTCAGCAAAGTGTAGAAAATAATTATGGTCAAATGGATCATTTAAAGGTTTTGTTGGACTGTTGTTAACACTGAGAGTGAGAAGTAAATTTGAATGTTCTTATTATACAAATGAAGCATAAAATCTGTGCATAGGGCTGACTAATGTAGCTATGATTTCATTGATATTCCAGATTTCAAACTCAAAGTCTTGTAAGGGGTGCAGTGTTTACAGTGCTTGATTCTTCTGTCACATCCACTGTGACTTCATATGGTGATTAAGAGCAAGCAGATTGTCACTAGTTAACCTCTTAACTCTCTACCATAATAATAGGAGTAGGTTCAGGCAGATCCAGTAACATTTTATAAGAGCAAAAGTATTACAATAATAGTGAGAGCCCCTGAAATGTGCCAAGAGCTTAGACTATAGCTTTGTATAGATTGTCTTTAATCTTCAAAACATCCAGCAAAGTAGGGCTTGTTTTTTCAGGTTTCAGAGTAGGACACTGATGACTGCAGAAGTTCAGTAACTTGCCTAAGTTCACATTTTAGGAAATCAGGACTTGACTCCAGAGCCTATGGTTTTTCCTCTGTGCTTTGCTATATGGGGAAGGAAGATGTTGGTGGATACTGCAGTGAAGATATTTGTCTTCCAGTGTGAGGGCCTTGGCTAGCATGGAGAATGTTGTCCCTTAAGAAATGAGATCAAGTAGCAAAATGGCAACAGAAGAAGACACTATACAGTAACATTGTAAATGCCCCAAGTGCATGGCCTATGTCTTATTTTTAATTTTTTTTAATTTTTATATATTTAGGGGATACAAGCACAGTTTGATTACATGGATATACTGTGTTGTGGTGAAGTCTGTGTTTTTAGTGTACCCATCACCCAAATATGTCTTATCCATTCCTATTTTATCACCAGCAAGCACAGTGTCTGGTGCAGAGCAGATGCTCATTCTATATATTAACTTAGCGTCCGACCTGGTTGCAGCACTAGGAAACAACCTCTCATTCTGATCCAATTTTTGCCAAGTGCATACAATGAAAAAATTAGATTCTCTTCTCCTCCCTCTGGAGTTGGATAGTGCCAAATTACAATTAAATCCAAATGATGGTTTCAGTTAAAGGTCAACAGCATTGGTAGCACGGATCGTTGAGCTGGGCTGAGCCCAGTGTGAATATTGATTATTGAGTTCAGGCTCTCACCTTGAAGAAACAAGCCCAGAGATGGGCTCCCAGGTGCTCCAGGCAGAGTAGGAAGGGGACCAGGTGTCAGAACAATGGGTGTGCTTTTTCCTTCTCTCTGGGCTGCCTCTAAGGTAGGCTCTTTGCCAGGAACAGGATGTGTTACATTTTGTTTCAGAAAGTTTTCCAGAAGGTCTGTGGGGGGCATTTTGTTCCTATAAAATTTCACTTGGGCATCTCCTCTTCTTTTCTAATTCCACAAGCTGGTATCTAGGATCAGTTGATGTGATGGAAAATATTTCAAGAACTTTAACCTTCTTCCAGAATGAAGTCATTATTTCAAGGGTAATGATCAGACATGGAAAGTGTTTGACCCTTCTCGGGGATCCCAAGATTGTGTGGATTCAAGGTATCAAAGGAAAATGCTGTGTGTGGCAGCATTGGGAAGGCTCCTTTCAGACTCTGACTCTGGGGAGTGTCTTGTTCAAATTCTCAGCTGCTATGTGCTGAAATCCATCATGCCATTTGTACCAAAGACACTCTTCCCACAGGTGGCTCCCAGCCAAAAACTGAGCACAAGGATACTATGGTGGCAACTCACTCTGAAAGGCAAAATGACCAAACAGTGTGCCTCTTTGAAATAATTACATCTTCACTGCACAAATATTTACTGAGAACCAAGCTATATGCTAAGTTCATTTCAATGCTTTGGAAGTCCAAAAATGAAACAACCAAACAAAAATCCTTGCTCTCTTCAAGCTTACATTTATGGCTGTGGAGGGCGGGAAACAGATGATAAATAAAATTATCAAAATATACATGTAACTTAGACAATGTTAAGTACTAAGGAGAAAAACAAATCAAGCAATGGGAAAAGTTCATGTCAAGGATTGGAGATTTGCAGATTATGAAGGTGTCCGGGAGATGTTCATTGATATAGGGACATTATTGCTGTGAAGAAACAAGGATGAAAGAAAATATCAGAGACTAAACATTCACAGATTTTCACCCTTCCTATTCTCCAAGGAGTGAAGGAGCAGGGTAGCTACTAGAACCACATAATCGATAAGGAAAGGGCACACAAGTCTCTGAGGAAATGGGAGGCAGGCAACAATGGAGGCAGACAGGGGAAAGAGGGAGTGAGATTGAGCGAGAGACACAGAGAGTCAGTGAAAAGTAGAGCAGCTGCTTTAAATTACAGAGCTCTGATGGAAGAAATGGATGAGAAAGGAATACAGAAGTTTTCCAGTGTGATGTGCTGTGAACTCCATGTTTTGTGTTCCCACAAACACTTGATTGAAAGCTGTTGAAAGTTAAATTTATTTCTTCTGGTTGAATCATATAACTATGCTGAGAGGGTTTTAAGATGAAAACAAAAAGGCTTTTTTGAAGTTTTGTTTTTCAGGTTTTTAGGTTTTTATAAAGTTTTCAGTTTACCCTAACAGCATTCCTAGTGCTCAATCTTAAAGCCACCCCATTAGACTCCACATCATCCTATCTAGACTCAATAAATCTGATATTTTGATCTGCAGCTGCCTGATTGCTGTGTCTTTTTCAACTGACTGTATTATCAGTTTTGGAACACTGGTGTCTTCATCAGACTTCCTCAAATCTGCATGCCACTAAAAAGTTCAAGGGGTGGCATCCCTCAGAGATGGAAAAATGTCGGCGCTCAAGTGAGAGTGTATGTCTCTGGCTCTGGTAGTTGTGTGTCGAATTAAAGTTGTTTCTGTAGCTTTAGTGGCTGCTTTAGAAGCCAGGTCAAAATTTAGTTGGAGGGCAACTTGTGTTGTGCATGTGAATTCAGGCTCTATGGGCTCTCACTGGGCCATCCTCTGATGAGCAGGCAATATTTATCTTAATCCCTCATGGAACCAGGAATCCTCAGAGCTAAACTCAGTGCATGTTTGACCAGAAGCCACCAAGGCCACTGCTGCTGGGTTTAGCTGCAATTCTCAAGAGCCATCAGGCTCTAGTCATCAGTGTAGGCATGTATCTTTGAGCCAATAACCAGGATCCAGCCAGTCACTATACATTTAGGTTACCAGATAATGAGTTACGAATAAGTGAGGAAAAGCAAAACAAGCTAGACCACGTAATTATAACAAAAGGGCTTCAGATCTTAGCATCTTCATCATCTTGGGTAGTGAAACCTCTGCCAGGTACCCCATCCAAGCCTGATTAGCCCATGACATAGTACATCTGATTTTTAGACAGGACTCAGGTTTTCCTTGATATTATGGCCATGAATCAAAATCTTTTTTTAATTAAGTTTATTAAGATACAATTTATATACAATAAACTGAACATATTTTAAATATATAATTTATTTCCGTGTATGAAACTCTCATCACAATCAACAGAGTGAACACAGTCTTTACCTCTAGAACCTTCTTCCTACCTGAAGTTCCTCTCTTCCTTATCCTCCAGGCAACCACTGATTGTCTTTCTGACACTAAAGAATGGTTTACATTTTTCAGAGTTTAATACGAATGGAGTCACATGATATATAGTCTTTTGTGTGGCTTTTTTTCCCATCAGCATAGCTATTTTGAAATTCATCCATGTTATGAATAGTTCATTACTTTTTATTACTGGATAATATTTCATTGTATGGATACATCTCCGTTTGTTTATACAGTTACCTTTTGATGGATATTGGTTTTGGCTATTACAAATAAAGCTGTTCTGAGTTCCTACACAAGTCTTTTTTATAGACATATGCTTTTATTTCTCTTGGGTTAATTCTTAAAAATAGGATTACTGGCTCATATAGTAGATGTATATTTAACTTTTTAGAAAACTAAAAAACTATTTTCCTAAGTAGTCAGACCATCATACAGGTCCACCAGCATAGACTGAGAGTCCCAGTTCTTTTACATTTCTCACCAAAATTTTCTATGATCAGTCTTTTAAATTTTAGCATTTCTAATAGGTGTGCACAATGTCATTGCAGTTTTAACTTACACTTTCCTCAAGACTATGTTGAGCATCTTTTTATGTTATCTCTTATATGAATATTTTCTTTAGAGAAATATCTGTTTAATCCTTTGAATATTTTTCAAGAATCTTTTTTCTTTGTTTGTTTTGTGGTTTTTTTTTTTTTTTTTTTGTGACAAGGTCTTGCTCTCTCATCCTGGCTGGATCCAGGGGCGTGATCGTTTAACTCCTGTAGCCTCAAACTCCCGGGCTCAAGCAATCCTTCTGGTTCAGCCTCCCAAGTAGCTAAGACTACAGGCACATGTCACCATGCCCAGCTCCCTTTGAAATATTTTATTGGGTCTTTGTGTTCCTATTATTGAATTTTAGGAGTTCTTTATATAATCTGATTACAAATTCTTGATGACACATGAAATAATTTTTACATTTTTGGCTTGCCTTTTTATTTTCTTAGTAGTGTTTTACAAACAGCAGAAGTTTAATGTTGAGAAAGTCCCACTGGTAAAGATTTTACTTTATATATAGTGCTTTTGGTGTAATATCTTAAGAAGCCTATGTCTAACCAATAGCCACAAACATTTTTTATTTTCTTCTTGAAGTTTTATATTTTTGGTTTAATATTTAGGTATATTATCAATTTAGTATTAATTTTTAAATGCAATTTGTGGCATACATCAAATATCTTTTTATCTTTTGCATATTGATATCCAATCATAGTACTAACATTGTTAAAAAAAAAAAAGACTATCATTTTTCCACTGACTTGTCTTTGCATCTTTGTCCAATATCAGTTGTCCACATATTTGTGGCTCTATTTCTTGATTCTCAATTCTTTTCTATTGATCTATTTGTTTTCATTGATGGCTTTCTTGATTACTACAGCTTTAATATAAGTTTTGAAATTTGGTAATGTTAGTCTGCCAAATTTATACTTTTTTTATAACTTTTAGGTTCGGGGTGCCTGTGCAAGTTTGTTATATAGATAAAATGTGTGTCATGGGGGTTTTCTGTACAGAATATTTCTTCACTCAGGTAATAAGCATAGTAACCGATAGGTGGTTTTTGAACTATCATCTCCCTCCTTCCACCATCCATCTTCAAGTAGGCCCTGGTGTCTGTTGTTCCCTTCTTTGTGTCCATGTGTTCTCAATGTGTAGCTCCTACTTATGAGTGAGAACATTTGGTATTTGGTTTTCTATCTCTTTGTTAGTTCACTTAGGATAATAGTCTCAAGCTGTATCCATGTTGCTGCAAGAAACATGATCTTGTTCTTTTTTATAGCTGCATAGTATTTCATGGTGTATACATACCACATTTTTTTTTATCCAGTCTATTATTGATGGTCATTTAGGTTGATTCTTTGTTCTTGTGAATACTGCTACAATGAACATACATGTGCATGTGTCTTTATGGTAGAATAACGTATTTTCCTTTGGGTATATGCCCAATAATGGGATTGCTGGGTCAAATGGTAGCTCTATTTTAAGTTCTTTGAGAAATTTCCAAATTGCTTTCCACAGTGATTGAACTAATTTACACTCCCACCAACAGTGTATGTGTTCTGTTTTCTGCTAGCCTCAACAGGATCTGTTGTTTTTTCACTTTTTATAATAACCATTCTGACTGGTATGAGGTGGTATCTCAATGTGGTTTTGATTTGCCTTTCTCTAATGATTAGTTATGGTAAGCATTTTTTCATTTACTTCTTGGCCCTGTGTATGTCTCCTATTAGAAAGTATTCATGTCCTTTGCCCATTTTTTTTTGTTTTTTGTTTTGTTTCATTTTTTCTTATTTATTTATTTAAGTTGCTTTTAGATTCTGGCTATTAGACCTTTGTTGAATGCAGGTTTGCAAAGTTTGCAAAGATTTTCTCCCATTCTGTAGGTTGTCTGTTTACTCTGTTGATAGTTTCTTTTTTACTTTATGTTATTTTATTTTATTTTATTTTATTTTATTTTATTTTATTTTATTTTATTTTATTTCCACCTGCAGGATGTGCAGGTTGGTTACATAAGTAAATTTGTGCCATGATGGTTTGCTGCAACTATCAATACATCACCTAAGTATTAAGCCCAGCGTGAATTAGCTATGTATCCTGATGCTCTCCACACCACCAACAAGCCCCAGTGTGTGTTCTTCCCCTCCGTGTGTCCATGTGTTTTCATTGTTCAGCTCCCACTTATAAGTGAGCACATGTGGTGTTTGGTTTTTGTTCCTGTGTTAGTGTGATGAGAATAATGGCTTCCAGCTCCATCCATGTCCCTGCAAAGGACATGATTTCATTCCACTTTATGGCTGCATAGTATTTCATGATGCATATGTACCACATTTTCTTTATCCAGACTATCATTGATGGGCATTTGGGTTGATTCCATGTATTTGCTCTTTTGAATAGTGCTGAAATGAACATACACGTGCATAAATATTTATAATAGAATGATTTATATTCCTTTGTGTATATACCCAGTAATGGGATTGCTGGGTCAAACGGTATTTCTGGTTCTAGGTCATTGAGGATTCCACACTGTCTTCCACAATGGTTGAAATAATTTACCTTCCCACCAACAGTGTAAAAGCATTCCTATTTCTCTACAGCTATGCCAGCATGTGTTGTTTCTTGAATTTTTAGTAATCGCCATTCTGACTGGCATGAGAGGGTATCTCATTGTGGTTTTGATTTACATTTCTCTAATGATCAGTGATGTCGAGTTTTTTTTCATGTTTGTTAGCCGCATAAACGTCTTCTTTTGAGAAGTGTCTATTCATGTTCTTTGCCCACTTTTTAATGGGTTGTTTGTTTTCTTGTAAATTTATGTAACTTCCTTGTACATTTTGGATATCACACCTTGGTCAGATAAATAGATTTATCCCATTCTGTATGTTGTCTGTTTGCTCTGATGATAGTTTATTTTTCTGTGCAGAAGCTCTTTAGTTTAATTAGATTAATTTGTCAATTTTTGCTTTTGTTGTAATTGCTTTTGGCAATTTCATCATGATAGCTCATGCCTATGTCCTGAATGGTATTGCCTAGATTTTCTTCTGGGTTTTTATAGTTTTGGCTTTTACATTTAAGTCTTTAATCCACCTTTAGTTATTTTTGTATAAGGTGTAAGGAAGAGGTCCAGTTTCATTTTTCTGCATATGGCTAGCCAGTATTCCCAGCACCATTTGTTAAATAGGGAATCCTTTCCCCATTGCTTGTTTTTATCAGGTTGGTCAAAGATTAGATGGTTGTAGATGTTCAGTCTTATTTCTAAGGTCTCTATTCTGTTCCATTGGTCTATGTGTTTGTTTTTGTACCAGTACCATGCTGTTTGAGTTACTGTAGCTTTTTAGTATAGTTTGAAGTCAGGTAGCATGATGCCTCCAGTTTTGTTCTTTTTGCTTAGGATTGTCTTGGCTATACAAGCTCTTTTCTGGTTCCATATGAATTTTAAAACAGTTTCTTCTAATTCTGTGAAGAATGTCAATGATAATTTAATATAGTATTGAATCTATAAATTACTTTGGGCAATAGGGCCATTTTCATGATATTGATTCTTCTTATCCATGAGAATGGAATGTTTTTCCATTTTTCTGTGTCTTCTCTGATTTCCTTGAGTGGTGGTTTATAGTTCTTGAAGAGGTTCTTTGCTTCCCTTGTTAGCTGTATTCCTAGGCATTTTATTCTATTTTTAGCAACTGTAAATTGCTCTCTGCTTGATTTGGCTCTCTGCTTGTCTGTTGTTGGTGTATAGGAATGCTGTGACTTTTGCACATTGATTTTGTATCCTAAGACTTTGTTGAAGTTCCGTATCAGCTTAAGCAGCTTTGGGGCTGAGACGATGGGGTTTTCTAGATATAGAATCATGTCATCAGCAAAGACAATTTGACTTCTCTTCCTATTTGAACATGCTTTATTTCTTTCTCTTGCCTGACTGCCCTGGCCAGAGCTTCCAATACTGTGTTGTTGAGTAAGAGTGTTGAGAGAGGGCATCCAGTTTTAGTTTTCAAGGGGAATGCCAGTTTTCAAGGGGACTGCTTCCAGCTTTTGTCTATTCAGTATGTTATTGGCTGTGGGTTTGTCATAAATGGCTATTATTATTTTGTAGTATGTTTCTTCAATACCTAGTTTATTGAGAGTTTTTAACATGAAGGGATGTTGAATTTTATTGAAGGCCTTTTCTGTGTTTATTGAGATAATAATGTGGTTTTTGTCTTTAGTTCTGTTTATGTGATCAATTACATTAACCGATTTGCATATTTTGAACCAGGCTTGCATCCCGGAGATGAAGCCCACTTGTTCATGGTGGATAAGCTTTTTGATGTGCCGCTGGATTCAGTTTGCTGGTATTTTATTGAGGATTGTTCATCAGGGATACTGGCCCAAAGTTTCCTTTTTTTGTTGTATCTTTGCCAGGTTTTGGTGTCAGGATGATGCTGGACTCATAGAATGGGTTAAGGAGAAGTCCCTCCTTTTAATTGTTTGAAATAGTTTCAGAAGAAAAATGGTACCAGCTCCCCTTTGTACCTCTGGTAGTATTCAGCTACAAATCCCTCTGTTCCAGGGCTGCTGGTTTTTTTTGTTGTTGTTGTTAATAGGCTATTTATTGCTTCCTCAATTTCAGAACTTGTTAGTGGTCTATTCAGGGATGCAACTTCTTCCTGTTTAGCCTTGGGTGAGAGTATATGTGTCTAGGAATTTATCCATTTCTTCTAGATTTTCTAGTTTATTTGCACAGAGGTGTTTATAGCATTCTTTGTTGGTTGTTTGTGTTTCTCTGGGGTCAATGGTGATATCCCCTTTATTATTTTTTATTGTGTCTATTTGATCCTTCTCTCTTTTTTTCTTTACTAGTTTAGTTAGCCATTTATTTGATTTTTTTCAAAAAAAAAAAAAACCCAGCTCCTGAATTCATTGATTTTTTTTTTTTTTTTTTTTGACCAGTTTTTCATGTCTCCATCTCCTTCAGTTCTGCTCTGATCTTGGTTACTTCTTGTCTTCTTCTAGCTTTTGGGTTTGTTTGCTCTTGGTTCTCTAGTTCTTTTAGTTGTGATGTTAAGGTGTTGATTTGAGATCTTTCTAGCTTTTTGATGAGGGCATTTAGTGCTATAAATATCCCCCTTAACAGTACTTTAACTGCATCCTAGAGATTCTGGAATGTTGTTGTCTCTTTGTTCTCACTGGTTTCAAAGAACTTGTTGATTTTTGCCTTAATTTCATTATTTACCCAGGAGTCATTCAGGAATAGGTTGTTCAATTTCCATGTAGTTGTGTGGTTTTGAGTGAGTTTCTTAATCTTGAGTTCTAATTTGATTGCACTGTGGTCTGAGAGACTCTTACGATTTCAGTTCTTTTGCTGAGTAGTGTTTTAATTCGGATTACATTATTGATTTTAGGGTAAGTGCCATATGGCACCAAGAAAAATGTATATTCTGTTGTTTTAGTGTGGAGAGTTCTGTAGATGTCTGTCAGGTCCATTTGATCTAGAGGTGAGTTCAAGTCCTGAATATTTGTGTTATTTTTCTGTTTCAATGATCTGTCTAATATTGACAGTGGGATGTTAAAGTCTCCCACTATTATTATGTGGTACTCTAAGTCGCTTTGCAGGTCTCTAAAAACTTATTTTATAAATCTTGATGCTCCAGTATTGGGTGCATATATATTTAGAATAGTTAGTTCTTCTCATTGAATTGATTCCTTTACCGTTATGTTGTACACTTCTTTGTCTTTTTTGATCTTTGTTAGTTTAAAGTCTGTTTTGTCAGAAACTAGGACTGCAACCCCTGCTTTTATTCTGCTTTCCATTTGCTTGGTAAATTTTTCTCATCCCTTTATTTTGAGCCTATGTGTGTCTTTGCATGTGAGATGGGTGTCTTGAATATAGTACACCAATGGATCTTGACTTTTTATCCAGCTTCCCATTCTGTGTCTTTCAATTAGGACATTTAGCCCATTTACACTTAAGGTTAATATTGTTATGTGTGAATTTGATCCTGATGCCAGCTGTCATCATGATGCTACCTGGTTATTTTGCAGACTTGTTTATGTAGTTCCTTCATAGTATCATTGGTCTTTGTACTTCAGTGTTTTTTTTTTGCAGTGGCTGGTAATGGTTTTTCCTTTTCATATTTAATGTTTCCTTCAGGAGCTCTTGAAAGGCAGGCCTGGTGGTGACAAATTTCCTCAGCATTTGCTTGTTTGAAAAGGACTTTAGTTCTCCTTTCCTTATGAAGCTTAGTTTGGCCAGATATGGAATTCTGGTTTGAAAATTATTTTCTTTAAGAACATTGAGCTGGGCGCAGTGGCTCATGCCTATAATCCCAGCACTTTGGGAGGTTGAGGTGGACAGATCACTTGAGGCCAGGAGTTTGAGACCAGCCTGGCCAATTTGGTGAAACCCCGTCTCTACTGAAAATACAAAAAAGTTAGCCTGGCATGGTGGCAGATGCCAGTAATCCCAGCTACTCAGGAGGCTGAGGCAGGAGAATCACTTGAACCCAGGAGCTGGAGGTTGCAGTAAGCTGAGATTGCACCACTGCACTCCAGCCTGGATGAAAGAGTGAAATTCCATCTTAAAAAATAAATAAATAAAAGCATGTTGAATATTGGCCCCCAATCTCTTCTAGCTTGTAGGGTTTCTGCTGACAGGTCCTCTGTTAGTCTTATGGGCTTCTCTTTGTAGGTGACCTGGCCTTTCTCTCTGGCTGCCCTTAACATTTTTTCCTTCATTTCAACGTTGGAGAATCTGATGATTTTGTGTTTTTGGGTTGATCTTCTCATGGAGTTTCTTAGTAAGGTTCTCTAGATTTCCTGAATTTGAATGTTGGCCTGTCTTATTAGGTTGGGAAGTTCTACTGAATGACATCCTGAAGTATGTTTTCCAACTTGGTTCCGTTCTCCCTGACTCTTTCAGGTAAGGTCTTTTTTTACATAATCCAATTGTTCTCAGAGGTTTTGTTTATTCCTTTTCATTCTTTTTTTTTTCTCTAATCTTGTCTGCCTGTCTTATTTCAGCAAGACAATCTTCAAGCTCTAAAATTCTTTTCTCTGCTTAGTCTATTTGATTATTGATATTTGTGGTTGCCTTGTGAAGTACTCGTGTTGTGTTTCTCAGTTCCATCAGGTCATTTATGTTCCTCTCTAAACTCGTTATTCTGGTTAACAGGTCCTGTAGTGTTTTATCATGGCTCTTAGCTACTTTGCATTGGGGTACAACACGCTTCTTTAGCTCAGCAAAGTTTATTACCCACCTTCTGAAGCCCGCTTGTGTCAGTTCATGCATCTCAGCCTCTGTTCAGTTCTGTGAACTTGCTGGAGAGGTCTTGCAAATATTTGAAGAAGAGGCACGCTGGCTTTTTGAGTTTTCAGCATTTTTGCGTTCACTCTTATCTTTCTGGGTTTGTCTAGCTTAGATCTTCGAGGCTACTGACCTTTGGATGGGGTTTTTATAGGGACTTTTTGTTGATGCTATTGTTATTGCTGCTTTCTA
The DNA here is from genome assembly GCF_000001405.40 of Homo sapiens. Classification (NCBI taxonomy): domain Eukaryota; kingdom Metazoa; phylum Chordata; class Mammalia; order Primates; family Hominidae; genus Homo; species Homo sapiens. The sequence goes on along the minus strand of NC_000003.12, from coordinate 34,732,466 downwards.
TTTGTTTGTTTTTCTTTTTGACAGTCAGGTCTCTCTTCCATAGAGCTGCTGTGGTTTTTTGGCTGTCCACTCCAGACTCTATTCACCTCGTTCCCTCCTGCATCAGAAGGTGTCACCTGTGGAGGCTATTGAATAGCAAAGATGGCTGCTTGCTCCTTCCTCTGGGATCTCTGTCCCCAGGGGAACTGACCTGATGCCAGAGGGAATGCTCATGTATAAGGTGTCTGTCAACCTCTGCTGAGGGGTCTCATCTCACCCAGTTAGGAGGCACAGGATCCAGGATCCACTTAATGAAGCACTCTGGCTATCCCTTGGAGGAGGGTGTGTGCTGCACTGGGGGAATCCCACTCATCTGGGCTGCCCAAATTCCTCAGAGTCAGCAGGGGGAACGACTAGGTCTGCTGATCCATAGAGACCTTGGCCGCCCCTCCTCCAAGGGGCTCAGTCCCAGAGAGATCAGAGTTCTGTCCCTAAACCCTGGGCTGGAGTTGCTGAAATTTTTGCAGGGAGGCCCCACCCAGTGAGGAGGGATGGGTCAGGGTCTGGCCTAAGGAGGCAGTCTGGCCACGATCTGTCATAGCTGCTGTGCTGCACTATGAGGGAATTCCTCCTGGATCCAAACTGTCCAATCTCCCTGGCATCAGTAGGAGAAAAAAGGCAGACTGTAGCTGCAGTGATGGCTGCCGCCCCTCCCCCAGGGAGCTCAGTTTTCTTAGGCAACAGGCAGCCACAGTGATGATGGCCACCCCCCGCCCCTGCCCCATCCCAAGAACTCGGTAGTCTTAGACAGTCTCCAGCCGAGTAGCCACTGAGAATCTGCACAACTCTGTGCTGGAGACCCAAGGCTCTGGTGGCGTGGGCTCACAATGGACATCTGATCTGTGGGTTCCGCAGATCTGTGGGAAAAGCGTGGTTTCCCAGGCAGGGTAGCACAATCACTCACCGCCTCCCTTGGCTGGGGGTAGGAGCTCCCCTTGCCCCATGTGGCTCCCAGGTGGGCCATCACACCACCCTGCTTTTCCTCACTCTCCATGAATCACACCAACCTAGTCAGTCCGAATGAGAGAACCTGGGTGCCTCAGTTGCCAGTGCAGGATTCACTTGCCACTTTGGTTCTTTTCGTTGGGAGCCTCTGACCACACCTCATTAGTTTCTTTTGCTGTGCAGAACCTCTTTAGTTTAATTTGGTCCCACTTGTCAATTTTCATTTTTTGTTGCAATTCCTTTGGTCTCTTTGTCATGAAATCTTTGCCAGGGTCTATGTCCAGAACGATATTTCCTAGCTTTTCTTACAGGGTTTTTATAGTTTTAGGTTTTACATTAAGTCTTTAATCGATCTTAAATTGATTTTTGTACATGTCCATTTTCAATCTTCTGCATATGACTAGCCAGTTATCCCAATACTATTTATTGAACAGGGAGTCCTTTCCCCTTGCTTGTTTTTATCAACTTTTTCAAAGAGCAGATGGTTGTAGGTGTGTAGTAGTATTTCTGAGCTCTGCATTCCATTTCATTGGTCTATATATCTGGTTTTGTACCAATACCATGCTGTTTTGTTTACTGTAGCCTTGTAGTATAGTGTGAAGTTAGGTAACATGATGTCTCCAGGTTTGGGTTCTTTGTTTGTTTGTTTGTTTGTTTGGCTTAGGATTGGCTTGGCTATTCAGGCTCTTTTTTGGTTCCATATGAATTTTAAAACAGTTTTTTTCTAGTTCTATGAAGAATGTCATTAGTAATTTGATAGCAATAGCATTGTATATGTAAGTTGCTTTTGGCAGTATGGCCATTTTAAAAATATTGATTCTTCCTATCCATGAGCATGGTATGTTTTTCCGTTTGTTTGTGTCATCTCTGATTCCTTTGAGTAGTGTTTCGTAATTTTTGTTGTAGAGATCTTTCATCTTCCTATCTAGCTGTATTTTGAGCCATTTTATTCTTTTAGTGGCTATTATGAATGGAGTTGCATTCTTGATCTGGCTCTCAGTGTAAATGTTGTTGGTGTATAGGAATGCTACTGATTTTTGTACATTGATTTTGTATCCTGAAACTTTGCTTAAGTTAATCAGAACAAGGACCTTTTCGGCAAAGATTATGGGGTTTTCTAGATACAGAATCATTTTGTCTGCAAGCAAGAAGAGTTTGACTTCTTCTCTTCCTAGTTGGATGCCTTTTATTTCTTTCTCTTGGCCTGATTGTTCTGGGTAGGATGTCCAGTACTATGTTGAATAAGAGTGGTGAGAGAGGGTATCCTTGTCCTATTACAGTTTTCAAGGAGAATGCTTAAACCTTTTGCCTATTCAGTATGATGTTGGCTGTGGGTTTCTCACAGATGGCTCTTATTATTTTGAATTATGTTCCTTCAATTCCTAGTTTGTTGATGGTTTTTTTAACATTGAAGGGATGTTGAATTTTATAAAAAACATTTCCTGAAATGATTGTGATGATCATGTGGGTTTTCTTTTAATTCTGTTTATGTGATGTACCACATTTGTTGATTTGTGTACATTGAACCAATCTTGCATCACAGGGATAAAGCCTACTTGGTTGTGGTAGATTAGCTTTTTGCTGTGCTGCTGAATTCGGTGTGCCAATATTTTTTTTTGAAGAGTTTTTCAGCTGTATTCATCAAGGATATTGGCTTGAAGTTTTTGTTGTTGTTTTTGGGTCTCTGCCAGGTTTTGGTATGAGGATGATACTGTACTGACCTCATAGAATGACTTAGGGAGGAGTCCTTCCTCCTCAATTTTTTGGAACAGTATGTTGCTGGGGTTATTTGCATTTGTTCAATTTAAATATTGGTCTCTCTAGTGAGGTTGGGGAAATGTTTATGGATGATATCATGAAATATGTTTCTCAACTTGCTTGCTTTCTCTCTCTCTCTTTCAGGGACATCAAGGAGTCAATCATACATTTGGTCTCTTTACATAACCTCAAATTTCTTGGAGGTTTTATTCATTCTTTTTTATTGTTTTTTCTTCTTTTTGTATGACCAAGTTAGTCCAGAAAGCTCTATGCCACTCCCAGGTGGGCTGCTGTCCTGTCTTGCTCTTCTTCATTCTCTGTGGGTCACTTTGTTTCCTTGATGAATCCCAGTGTGTCTACTTGAAGGTTCCAGTCACCACTCTTCTCTTCATGGAAGTGGTGCATATTAGCTGCTTCTAGTCAGCCATTCAACCATCATGACTGGACCCTTCATGCTTTTTTTTTTTTTTTTTTTTAGATGGAGTTTCGTTCTGTTGCCAGGCTGGAGTCGAGTGGCACAATCTTGGCTCACTGCAACCTCCGCCTCTTGGGTTCCAGTGATTCTCCTGCCTCAGCCTCTAAAGTAGCTGGGACTACAGGCATGTGCCATCATGCCCAGCTATTTTTTGTATTTTTTTTAGTAGAGACGGGGTTTCACCATGTTGGCCAGGATGGTCTTGATCTCCTGACCTCATGATCCGCCCACCTCAGCCTCCCTGAGTGCTGGGATTACAGGCCTGAGCCACCACGCCTGGCTGCTTTTTCTTTTTCCAAAATTTTTCAGCTACTCTAAGATCTTTGTATTTCCATATATATTTTAAAATTAACTTGTCAATTTATATAAACAAACAAAACAAGCCTACTTAAATTTTTACTAGGATTCTGTTTGGTCTGTAGACCAATTTGGGAAGAATTGATATCTTTACAATCTTGAGTCTTTTATCCCATGAACATGGTATATTTCTTCATTTTTTAAGATATTCTATAATTTCTTTCAGTACTGTTTTATAGCTTTCAGTGTATAAGTCTTTCACATCCTTTGTCAGATTTATGTTTAAGTATTTCATATTTTTGAAAGATAAGTACTTCATATTTGAATGATATTAAGTACTTCATATTCATAAATGGTATTATTTATATTTTAATTTCTGATTATTAATGACTAGTGCATATAAATATATTTTATATGAGTCTTGTTTTCTTGCAGTATTACTAAATTTACTTATTACTTACAATAGTTTTTCTGTATATTTTGTTGGATTTTCTATGTAGAAATTCTGTTATCTGCAAATAAAAACAGATTTACTTCTTCATTTTCCATTGAAATGACTTATTCTTTTTCTTGCCATATTACACTGGCTAGAACCTCCAGTAAAATACCTAATAAAATGTTAAGAGCAGATGGTCTGGTGTAAGTCCTGACCTGTCTTTAAGTGTGTTGACCGCCGTGGGTTTTTGTAGGTTCCCTTTCTTAAATTGAGGAAGTTCCCTTCTATTTTTAGTGTGCTGAATGTTTTCATTTTGTCTCTCAGAGATCATTTTCCTTGCCTAATATTCAGTATCTTAAAAATATATATTTTGTTTTTTTATTGGTTGTTGCAGGCAGGAGAGTAAATCCAGTCCCATTATTCCATCTTTGCCAAAAGCAGAAATCTAAAGCTCCTTTTGAAAACAAGCAAAGTAACATGAAGTTCAACTTATACATCGGATATGATTTATGATTATCATTGATGTCAGTTTTTCTTCTAGTTCACACAAGTTCAAAGTTTCTAAGCATGGTTGCAGAGGTGGTTTGATATGACAGTGAGTGATCTTGAGGCATTCTGCTAATGAGTCATAGTGTTCATCTCTGCCACTTTCTATTTACATAACCTTGGAAGTTTACCTAATCACTGTAAGCTGTAGGATTCTTATCTGTTAAATGGGGAGGTGCATAAGAAAAAAGTAAGATTATTAACGTAAGTAATCTAAGAAAATATATGTCATTTAATGGGTATTCAATAATTGATAACTTGTATGATTGGGGAAAAGAGCCCTGAATAGGAGTCAGATTTTAATACCTATGTTGACTGAGTCAGTTTTTCACTTTTTATCCAGGATCAGTCAATTGGTTTGGTTTTCTTTTCTTTTCTTTTTTTTTTTTTTTTTTTTTTTTTTTTTGAGACAGAGTTTCACTCTGTCACCCAGGATGAAGGACAATGGTGTGGTCTCAGCTCACTGCAACCTCCATCTCCTGGGTTCAAGCAATTCTCCTGCCTCAGCCTCCCGAGTAGCTGGGAATACAGGCACGCACCACCACACCCAGCTAATTTTTGTATTTTTATTAGAAACGGGGTTTCACTATGTTGACCAGGCTGGTTTTGAACTCCTGACCTCATGATCCACCCTCCTCGGCCTCCCAAAGTGCTGGAATTACAGGTGTGAGCCACCATTTGGTTTTCTATGTTGTCATATGTGTGTATAGATATATCTAAAATGTATATCTATCTTTCTATACATATTTAAAAGGCATTATTAAATTAGATGATTTTTACATTGATGACCCAGAAATCTCTAGAAAATTTGTCTGGAGTATAGATAATACACTAACACAATAGAATTTAGATAACACCCTGCATAGGTATGACATTCAAGTCCTCCTTCTCTTCTCAAGTTCTATCACTGGCCAAATCCACTGAATATGAAGCCAACTTCACTTTTCTTTTTTTCTTGCACAGATATTCCTGTTGTAGTAGGAAATCACACAGTAATAGCACCCAGAAAATCTGAGTTATAATTCCAATTGCTCTCTGATATGTGGTCTCTGTTTTCTTGTCTCTAAAATGAAGGTGTTGAATTAGGTTCTTTTAAGTACTCAAACATTCATTCATTGTGTTTCTACTACGAGCAGAGCCCTATATTATCTCCTGGAGATTCAGAGCCAAAAAATGGCATTCCTCCTCTCAGGATATTCACAATCCAGTATGAAAGGCAGGCATGCAAATAAAGAGTAAAATGATAATAATTATAAAAATAACATTACAGTAATAATAGCCATTAAAATGTATTGAGCATTTATTGTATCCTAGACAGTCTTAAAGGAACTAGGTACATGTGTTATCTCATTTAATTTTTGCACCACAACCCCATGAGGTAGAGATTACATTTACCTCCACTTTATTAATAAGTAAACTAAAGTACAGAGTGGTAAAGTAGCTGGTTCAAGACAATACAGCTGGTAAATGGCAGACCTGACATCCTCTCCTGAACAACTTGATACCAGAGGCTGCCTTCCTGGCCACCGCTCTGCGGTACCTCCCACAACAACAAGAGCTATGACACAGAGAATGTGGAGGTGTCTTCAAAGGCACAAGAACACCACCTACATCAGACTGGCAATGGCACAAATGGAAGGTAGACAGTAAGAGAAGCATTAAGATGCTCCTGCTCCCCTAATATTCCTGTACAAATTAAAGGTCATGCATGGTTTCTTATAACACTAAAAATTTCCCAATATTGAAGAACTTGGCTTGGTTGATTTTTCTTGTTTAAATGACAGGTCAAAACCTTTCCATTCTAGCTAATGGTTGCAGATTCATCCAACCCAAGGATTTCCGGGAGGATAATGATGAGGTGCTGGACTTAGTCTGCCCGAGGCACTGCCTGGGGGGTTTAACTGCCAGACCATCATTTAATAACTGGGACAGCAGGGGCATTTCAGTTATTTTTAGCCTTCCATCTTGACTCATTTTTAAACCTTTTAATCAGGAGAAGCTCCCCTAAGTGTTATGGCATTCTAAAAATGCAGGCAGAAAGGCAGGAGTGGGGGTGTCTGGGATCAGTGGACAGGCTGTTCTCAGCAGAGAGGTGAACTCTGACCCATATGTGGGCAACAGCTAATTAGAACTTGCAGGTTTAAAAGAGGAAAAAATTAAGTGCCAGGCAAGTGCTGTTTAACTTCCCCATCATTTTTGCAGGTTTTAATGAGAAACTGAAAAGAGGACAATACAAATGTTTGCAGGTGAATGTCAGGATTGTCAGGGTGTGATTACATTTCTGAATTCTTCCTGATTAATCCTTTTATATCTTCCACTTCTCTTAGTGGAGAAAGGCTGGGCTCAGTATTCCTTGAATTTAGAGCTTTTGTCTCCCATCAGTCCTGAGTAACAGGTGAACCACTGTTCTATACACAGAATACAAAGATTATGTAGAACAGTCTCTACCACCTAGAGGGATAAACTCTAGAAAGAGGTATATATAAAACAATAAGAGAAAAATTCCTCCCTCAGTGATTTAGTCATTTTTTCACTCACTAACTACTTCAAATATTTAGTGAATATCTACATTGTATAAGGCATTGCATCAAAGGAATCAATAAACCATCAATCCTGCTTTCAGGAAGCTGACAGTCAAATGGGGAAGAATAATGTGTAAATCGATTATTACAAGACAGTGTGGAAAGTAGAAAGCACAGAGGACATGAGAACAGAAAAGAGGTAATTAACCCAGCCTTGGAGCATTTGGGTTGCTTCCCAGAAGAAAGGGGAAAATGAATAATCTCTCTGAAGAGAGAGAGAAAACTATCCCAGAAAGAGAAAGCAGCTTACAGTAAGGCTCTTTCAGTGGACTTCCAAATAGCTTGGTAAAATTCAGGGGTGAAAGATGGGAGATGGATTTTCTCCTATGAAGATTTACAGCAATGAGAAGTTAATGTAAATGATTTAACTCGTTATCATTCACTTCACGTTTGGTGGCTTTCATGAACCTATTCTGCTGCTGCTTGCAATGGAATTTGTTGTACTTAGTTTTCCTAAAGTAAGCCTTTGTCAAGGGTATTTTCCTGGCTTTTCCACAACATTTAAAAAATTACGGCACTGACATTGAGAAAGGAGAAAAGGGGAGGACATAGGGAGACTAACCTTGGGCACCTAATATGGACTGTGATCATGACAGTTTACATAACTGATCCTATCAAATGCTCATGACTTCATTCATTCATTCATTCATGTCCTAAACCTCACACTGTTCTAGACTCAGTATACAAGGATTATATGGATAGTCTCTTCCATTTAGAAGATATACTCTAAAAAGGGGTATATGTAAAACAAATCCTATATAGTTCAATAAATGTAATAATACAAGTTTGTTCAAATAATAAAGATTATTCAAAGGAGGAAGAAGGGTTGAGAAGAAATGTTTAAGCTGTGCTTCAGTAGATAAAAAGTAAACAGTAAAGCTACTGGACAAGTAAAGCAACGCCTTGTAGAGTGACTCCATAGCCCTAGGGACAAGCCTGCACAAAGGAATTCAATAGCTGGCTCAACAAGGTTAATTAAGTATTATAGAGATAAATAAAGAAACAATTAGAGTTTCAGGCTACAGCCAGACTGTGGAAAAGGTCACATATCATTAAAAGCCATCTAGACTTTACTGTCACTTTTTTGGTTACAATGAATGGCCAGGAATTGAATAAGATATGGAACTGGAAAGAATATTATCTTGAATAAGTGAGAAATAAATTGGAAAAGGGTGTCAGACTAGAGGAAGAAAAACCAACTAGAAGGTCATTTCAATAGTCCAAATCAGATGTGGTGAAGTTCTGGTCTACAGAAAAATTAGCAGGTGATAATCTCAAAAGATATTTTGTAGATAGAGTTGGAGAAGGCTTACTGGTCAATTAGATGTGAGGGATGGAAAACAGGGTCAAATCAAAGATGACTTCTAAGTTTCTGACTTCAGAGACAATGTAAAACTTTGTAGAATAATCACCTATCACCCTTTCCTCTCCTTTCTTACATGAGAACAATGAGCTGCAGATAAGTCAAGTATTTTGCCCAATGTCATATAACTATTAAATGGCCAATTTAAGATTCAATCTAGATCTTGCTAACTAAAAGCATGCTCTCTCCCAGGTGTTTGGTGAGATTGCTGTTTTAAAGTTAGAGAGTAGCATTAGCATGTGGAAAAAGTCCTAAACTATCAGCCTCATCATCTGAAAAATATAGGGCAAGATAAAAAATTTTTTAAAAAGTGGAATGGAAAGTAAAGAGGCACCTGGAGCTGGTCCATTAGTGTTATTATCCATGTTTACTGTTTGGTTTCCTCTGAATTACCCACTGGTGGTCTAACAAATCTTTTCTGTTTTGATCCTCCTCATCCTAAGTTGCTCATCACAGCATTAATCAATGTTGCCTGGAAAATAAAATATAATTAGAAGTAACTCACACTAATTATGACTTCATTGAGTGCGTTGAATAATGAGAATGGTAACATCTTTTTCCTGGCATCCGAAGCATCTGTCGTCTCGTATTCTCCCTCCCCCTCCCATGGCCAGGAATTTTTAACCCATAAAAGAAACCGTATTGCTCAGCTAAATGTCATTTGAGAGATCTTTTTCTCAAAATAAGAAAATGAAATAAGGGGAAACTATAAGTTTTAACATGAACACCCTTTAGAGCTCACACATATTTCTAGGCAGCAAAATGAAATCATTAATCCATGAGGACTTCATCTATTTATCTCTCTTCTATTTTCATCTTATAAACACAAATTTTCTGCTACATTCCCAATACATTTGTTGGAAGAAGGGGATGAAAGATGAATTAATGAACACCCACTCGATAATTCCTGACCTTTCCTCTAGCATGACAGTTTTATCAGTCAAGCAGAGAGATAATATGATGAGGATAAAAAGCTAATATTCTCTCCTGGTGAAAAAGAATCAATGACACTTTCACCCACAACTTTATTGAAAAATGGATGATAATGGCTCGAGCACACCTACCAGAGTGAGCTGCTTGAAGCTACATTTAGCAAACTTCTAAGAAGATGAAATATAACTGAAATTGTGGGAAGGCCCACAAAAGAGGTGAAGGAATATTTCTTAAAATGAATGCAATAAACCCATTTCCCTCCAGCCTATTGAGGAACAATGAAGTGCCATTTATGGAAAGAGAGAATGAAAGCTGTAAATTGTTTGAGCTCACTGCATTTCACATTGAACATTCTTGTTTGGTGATCCTAACGGTTTTAGCCCTTAGGGAAACTTCCTCCAACTTCTGGACTACAGCTACTAGACTGCAGAGAGAAAAGAAATGCAGTCACCTATAAAATTTTTATTATTGGTAACAACTGGAGCTTTTAAAAATTATGTATATTTGAAAAGTATATTTCTGACCTTCAGGGGAAAGAACATTCTTTCTTCCCTCAAATTACCTAATTAATCTACCTTCAAGAAGGAGTATTAGTCTTATTGGTCAGAATACAAAGCTCACATTCTTGAGTTATCAATAAAATTATGATAAATTTTCTCCTGATGCTGAGAAATGTAGAGATCTTTCAAACTGGGGCACTTTGCGATTGAGTCTGAGTTTGGGGGACAGTTTTCCATAGGTACTAGTCTAGATTGCTGGAGTTCTATATTGGAGTTTGTATTTAAAGACTGAGCACTAGTAAACATTTAGGCTAATTTAATTGTGTTTTTATGTGCGTACGTTAGGGACTTGGCTGAATAATTCAGATAATCTTACCTCATCATTTCAAAAGGATGTCTGTTCTCATTTCCCAATATTGTAAGGCTAATTTTTCCTATTCCTCTTCCTCAGCTTTTCTTCCCTTTCTACTGGATTTTCCTATCAATAATTAGGGGTCCCTGGCCTCTCTTATCACCTCAAATTCATGATCTACAATCAGCAATATCCAAAAAGAAGGCTCAAAGAAGACTCAAGAGCTTCCAAAATCCCTAGGCACACAGAAATGTGCAAGTGTTACACTATGGTCAGGACTGACTACATAATTTTCAGGGCTCAATGCAAAATAATGATGCAGGAAACCCTCATTTGAAAATGATGAAGAATTTCAATATGGCAACAGCAGGGCGTTAAACCAAGTATGGGTTCTTTTAGGTATGGGTCCTAGGTGACTGCATAGATTATATGCCCATGAAGCATAAATTAGCAACAACTCTGGCCTTGACCTTCACCAACTCTCCTCCGTGGAATGTGGGCTGAGGAGATGAAAGAGCTGTTGCTTACATCCCACTGCTATGGGTTCTTTTTCCTAATAACCTAGACCTATTCCAATGATTAGCCAGGATTGGGGCTATTCTGGCTAATAGATTAATTAGGTAATTTGAGGGAAGAAAGAATGTTCTTTCCCCTGGAGGTCAGAGTGGGGAATATCCACATGTTATAAAAGGCAAGTATGTCTTTATCAAAATGATTCTCACATCCTTTTCCATGCTCCTGTGTATTTACCTGGGACCAATGAGGCACACTGCAAGTCCTCAATCACATGACAAACATCACTTTGATGTTGACTCCAAACACTTCAGAAATGAATGAGATCATGTCTTCTGCTGGACTTAGTGCATGGCCACACTCTACACTAGGTCAACAAATCACTTTTTATTCCATTTTGAAATCTGATTTATGTTATTCAGTTAAGTTGTTTATGTTATTTGTGAACCCAATAATTATGCACAGTATTATTAAAATAAAAAGGAATAGATTTGCCATCACCTTATAATCTTTAACCTAATAAAGATCATTATGTTATTAATATCAAATAAATTCACTATTCTGACAGAGAAAATCATATTGCACTCTCTGTAAAGACTACCTTCATGCTACTCACCTTATCCAAGCCAGTTCTACACTCACTCACATGCTTGATAGGATCATATCTTTAGAAAGTGCAGTTGGTCTTCCACTGAAACCAGTGCTGCTTCTTTGGCCTCACCCAAAATAGGCTACTCCAGCCCCACATGCTTTCAATGATTCAGTGAGTTATCATAATGCTAATCCCTTTATCACCCATCTATATATTAAATCAAGGCCCACACAGAACAAATGCTATTACTGTAAGACTTTATCTAAACATAGATTTTTAAAAATATAATTGACACTTTCTGAGCCCTGGCAGTGTTCCAGGACACAAATTATAATCTAGATGAATATTTACCAAAACATTCAACAGAATGCTAGCAGTCTTCCATGAGAAAAAAAGTTACTTGTGAGAGCTAAAAAAAAATTAAAACAATTGAATTCATGGAGATAATAGAAGGATGGATACTAAAGGATGGAAAAGGTAGCAAGAGAGGAGTGAAACTAGTTAATGGGTACCAAAAAAAAAAGTTAGATAAAATAAAGAAGATCTAGTATTTGATAGCACAACTGGGTGACTACAGTAAACAATAATTTATTGTATACTTTAAAATAACCAAAGGAGTACAATTGAATCACTTGTAACACAAAGGATAAATGCTGGACGTGGTGGATGCTCCATTTACCCTGATGGGATTAGTACCCGTTACATCCCTGTATCAAAATGTCTCATGTACCTTATAAATATATATGCCTACTATGTACCCAAAAAATTAAAATTAAAAACTGTTTGTGACACTCTTTGTCAAGCAGACCATCTTATGTGTTGAAGTAGGACATCTGAACAATTCTTGACTTTTTTCAAATTATGAGTATTTGCAATGGTGGCATGCCTATCCTTCCTGGAAGTTTCCATCTACCCTTAATGTCCATTTCTATTAATGCCTTTCCATTTCCACCAGCCATGCTTCTTCACCACCCCATTCTTATCATCATGGTCCAGCAGCAAGCACCTGGGCCTGCTATCTGATGGTCAAAACAGGCTCCAGTACAAGCTCCACGGGCTTTCTCTCCTCACAACACCAAGTTATCTCTTCTGTTTTTCCCCAACCCAAGAATAATCCCAAATAACTTTTAGCCTTTTTCTTTTTTTTTCATGTTTCCAAAGTGATCCCTTCAGAGGCCCACACTGAAGAAAAATGCCCTTTGCCTGGTGCCTTTTCCAACTTTGCTTTTCTCAGCTTTTTACCCATCTGAGTAGCAGCTGCGAATGACTCCATTAGTGATAGCCATTTCCATCACTTGTTCTTCTGTTGACTCTATTTAGGAAACTTCTATTTAAAATGATACAGAAATATTACACTTTTATGAATCTCTGCTGTTCCAAATACATAACATTCATGAGTGTTTTTCTGCGCTTTGTTTACAACCAATGTCTATGTTTTAAGTAAACGATTTGTTTTTCACAGTAAATTTTAGAAGTTCTTACAAAATCAAGGATACTGAATTTATGTGTTTTGGTTATATGTGGCTGCAAAGCTTCTGTGTAGTTCGCGACTTTCTGCTTAACCATATTTTATGATATTGTTTTAAGATAAATGTAAGGTAATGGGATACCTCAATCATTTTCTTCATGGTGGTAGTGTATGTGCACATGTGTGTGTCCAGTTAGAAAAAACTTTTCTACTTCAGGATCATAATATCTCCTGTAGTTTCTCCAAACAATTAAATCCTCATTTCAGTGGTATTTATTCTGGTATATGGCATAAGGTGAGGATGAATGTATGGATTATATAAATAGTCAATGCTCTTACATAATTTATGGAATGGTATACAACATCTACTGTGTACTAAACTTCCATATATTACTGGGTCTCTTTCTGGGTGCTCTGTTATATTCTATTATGCAAATACCACACTCTGTTAATTAAAATACAATTAGAACATGTCTTGATATCTAGCAGAAATAAGTCCTATCTTCCCAAGTTTTAGATCAAAATGTAAATGCTACTAATTGTTTTTTTCTTTCATATTTTAAATATCATTTTGTCAAGCAACCTCCACCAAATAAAAACCCTTCAGATTTTTAGATGAAAGTGCATCAAATCTGTGAATATATCTGGAGAGCTGATATATTGTACATATTAAGGCTTCACATGCATGAATATTACTTAGAGCTCTATATACTCGAGCTCTTCAGTAAAGCCTTATTTTTCCTAAAGTCATTGGGTAAAGTTCTAAGTATCATATATTTTTTCTTGTTACTTGTTAAAAATGATGTTTCTTTTTTCATTGTAATTTTTACCTGGTTATATGTATGTAAATGCTTAAAAGTTTTTGATGTAAATATTGTACCAATAGTACTGAACACTTATCAGTTTTGAATGCTTTATGAAGTTTATTGATTAATATTACCAATGAAAATTCTGAAAAACTATTATTTTTCTGGATTGTGAATGAGTTGATAGAGGAACTCAGAAAAAAATCAACATTGAGTGACAATGAAAACAACAAAAAAACCCTTTAAGACTCTTTAAAAGAGCCTGAAAATAAAAAATTAAAAAACGCACTTAAGGTACACTAAAAACAAGAACAAAACATTACTAATCTAAAAATAAATTTATTTTGTATGAAGTTACTTTTATTGAAATATCTGAAAAAGACATTAATGAAAAATATATTTTGTGCACTTGGAGAAAAGTAAAGAAATGGCTTTGATTAGAAGATAGATAATCGGAATATACAGGGTAATACAAAAAAGACTTAAGACAGAAGTTAGATGTGAAATATATTAGAGAAAACATAAAATCCTCAATATAAAAAATATCTTGCCAGGAATCAATTAAAATTAGCTCATCAGAGTGAAAGATAAAACTGAGAAATGGAAACAAAATGTATCACAGGAAGACCAAGGGATTAAAAATTATAAAAGTAGAGTGAAGAGATATGATAGATAAGCTAGGAAGCTTCAACATACATACAACTGCAATCCTAGAAAAACAAAAAAAAGAGAAGACAAAAAAAAGCTAATAAGTTCCTATAATTGAGGAAAGCCTTAAGTCCTTTTAAATAAAAAGTGTCATATAAGTACAGATTAAAATAAACAAAAATAAATCTACATCCCAAAACATCTTAGTGAAACAGCATGGTATCATGTTACAGTGAAAATCTTTTTCTTAACTTTTACTTTAAGTTCTGAGGTACAAGTGCAGGTTTGTTACATAGGTAAACTTGTGTCATGGAGGTTTGTCGTATAGATTATTTTGGGATCAGAAAAAAATAACTAATGGGTACTAGGCTTAATACCTGGGTGAGAAAAATCTTAATATTTAAAGAGAGAAGGGAGAGATTAAGAGCAAATAAACAATAATTAGAATGAAAGCAGACTACCCGCCAGCAACAATATATATCAAAAGAAACTGTCTTATGGGAAAATAACTCAACCCAAAATTTTACAGTCAGCTAAACTATTCTTCAATATAAGCACAAAATAGACACATTATAAAAGAGAAAGAGATGTCACCATTTGCAGACTTCAAGTGAAAAAAATTGAAGAATATATGTTAGCAAGAAGATTAAATATATTAATAGAAAATGTGGGAAACATTGAGGTGATGGTGACAAATATGACCCTCACCCAAGTCCTTGATTTTAAGTTTTCCTTCTGATCCTGATTCTGACATATTTGGTTGCCACAAAACTAATGATACTACACTAAAAAGAGACTAGCAGTTAATCATCAAATCCATAGAACATTTTTCCCCTGTCTCCTTTTTAGTGTTTACTTTTTTTAACCTCACTTCAGCATTTTTACATATTTGGTCATCCTCTCTTAATTGAAACTTCCTCCTGTCTTGGCATAGAAATATCTAAGGTGACAATGTGGCATAATAGAAAAGCCACACATTTTGGACTCAAACAAATCTGGCTTCAAATAAATGTTAAGACAACAGTTAAAGTATGTGATGACAAAGTTATTTAGACATCTTTAGATTCAGTTTCTCTATCTGGCGTGAAGCAAAAATAGTATGTACTTAATAAAATAGTTCTCATAGAAATTCATTACTTCATTAAAACATATATATTTATTTTTGCTTGTTCTGTGCCAGGCACATTTAATGTTTTAATATATAAATTTCAAGTCCAATGCTTGGTACATAGTAAGTATTCAATAAATTTTATATATTATGTTCCTTCCCTGCCTCTTTCAATTGTGGGTTTTTCCAATGTCCAAACTAATTTTGATGATGCTTTCTCTCTACTTTTTATCTAGAAAATCTCATCCATGCCCAGGGCTTTAACTGTCATTTCTATGCTGAATGATTCTGAGCCATATCCAGTTTTTGTGCCACATTTCTATTTATCTGCTATAAATATCCACACGGATAGCTTCTCCATACTTAGATTCCCTCCCCTCACCCCAGCTTTGGGACAGGGCTGTCTGGGAAGGAGTCCTCCTAACAATGGTGGACTAAGCTCCTGAACATAAAAGAAGCCAAAACCCTTTAGGTTCATCTACAATGCTTTCTTCAAAAGATCTTGGCAAAAAGGGGGAAATGAGAACAGAAAAATAGTACAGAGCAGTCTGAGCTCTGTGGGGTATGCCAAACTGTTATCAAGCCCAGAGAGACAGGAGTATGGGACGACAGTCATGCCTCCACTTCCTCCCCTATTCCCCATGCTCAGAGGCAGTTGTTAAAGACATTTGGTTGCTCACTAGCTGTCTCACTCGTTATCTTCATGTTCCTGGAAGTTATGTTACAAAGAACAATGTATAGCCAGTTAATAGCTTATGTTATTTTAATGTAAATTATTGGTAACAACTTAGGAACTCTTCTTTTTTCCGTAAAAACACACTTGTAACTACTGCTAATGGAAGGGTATATTCAGGACAACTTGAATCTGTGCTCCCAGGTGGCCATCCTCAAGCTTTGAGCTTGAATAAACTCTACACTTAATTGTAAAAATTTGAAATTCAAAATTTCAGAATTACAAATATCTTTGTAGAAGAAAGTATATTCTGTAAACTATCTACCCCAGTGCTTACAACAGGCAACAGAAGCATGTTAGTTCACTTTTTGTCTTCTATACCAAAACTCTCTTCACCCACTGACTTCCGTATTTCTGTCATCAGCACTATGTTCTCAGGGGTAAAACTTTGATGCTATAAATGAGGCTTTTTCTTCTTTGCCATAAGTGATCAGTCACTAGCTCCTATTACTACTTCTATTGCCACAGTGTCCCCTGTGTGACCTTCTCTGTGATATACTGGAGCTTCATGTGTGACCTACTGTATTAATTAACTCCCTAATTTGTCCTTCATCTTTCAATTTCTTCCCCTATCACACTGCCCTGCATACTGCAATCACTTTAGCCTTGCCAAATATCTACATTTTTACCATGTCTATCCCTTGGAATGATTCATTTTTTCCTTAACTTATCAGATACATCTTCGACTCCTTACTCTAACTGATATTCATGTCTCTGTTATTTTCCCACAGTCACCCTTCCCAATATTATATCCATTAGTTCACAAGAACGTTGTTTCTTCCAAATGTGCCTATTCCTCAATTCTTATATATGCCACCCTGAGCCCTTCCCTTGTAGCACTGACTCTGCCTCCTTCCATATACTAATTTCCAGGGACTTACAGATACATAAATCACTTAATGAATTCACATACTTTTGTAGAAGACAGAAAACTGATTAAATAAATCAGAATAATGAGTGATAAATATTAACACCAATGTGTAACTCAAGTGCTATGAAACCATACAGCACAATTAAAGAGACAAAGTCTACATAGAAAAATAACTTTTTAATGCAATGTGTTTTTTAATCCTCCCAATTGTAAGAGGATCAAACAGACATATCCAAGTAGAAATATTGTAATAGAAGATAATTAACAGGTCAGTATTATTTAAGGAAATTCTCAGTCAGAGAATGTTCTTAAGAACAGGTTGAAATTCCTCAGTTATGTGAAAATTTATATAAACATAGATAGGAAGTTACACAGTGGACACAGTATTCCACAGCACAGCTGCATAATATACAGAATAATTTTTATATGTTTTTCCTACATTTATTTTAAAAGAGTCAAGAGCAAAGCAGTAACAGGTACTTTTTGCTGAATACTCACTTCATTTCACTTCTCATATATTGTCATCCTTCAGAGCAAGCAGTATAATCTTCCACTCTGATAAAACTGAGACTCAGAAAAAAGTAAGTTTCCCAAGATCACAGTGCTGGTAAACGATAGACTACATTCAAGCATTGGATGTTACACATAATTTTATTCCTATTCTAGGTAATCATTTATCAACCATAGCACTATTGATAAGTGTGTTGTAGGGGTCTGTTCAGGGCATTGTAAGACATTTCACAGCACACCTGTAGATGCCAGTAGCATGCTCTGGCTTGTGACAACCAAAAATGTTTCTAGGCACTGTACATCTCCTGAGGAGACAAAATTTCCCTCAGTAAAGAACTACTGTTCTGGGTGCAGAAACTGTTCATCAGATGCGATTTATAACCTAACAGTAATATATGATCTTGAAACATATCTAAAGATAAATATCAAATACAACAGAATTGATAATCAGAGTGGGAGTGAGAATGAGAAATGAGGAAAAAAACATGAAGTAAAATAAAATTAAAAGGGGGGAATTTACTGGACAAATAATATTAATGTGCTATGAACTAAGGAGAAGGAGAAACACCACTTTGTACTTAAGTTCAAAAATAGAGAAATATAACAAAAATGAATGTGCTCAATGCAGGATAAATGCCCAGTTTGTCCCAGATTCTAGGCCTGTAGTGCTTTCCACATTAACAAATCAATGTGCTAAAACAATTACTATACCGTGGCTTCTAAAGTTGTCATCAGTTAGCATTATTTTTTGGCTTATGAGATTATTATTCCATGCATCTACAATATCTATATGTAGCTATATGTATAAGACAATATAAAGAAGGTCAGGATGCTACCTTAGAAAAAAAGCACTGTTCTTGGAGTGGAAAGTCCTACTTATAACTGTCTTTTATGGCTTTGAGCAAGTCACTTAACATCTGGAAAGTGATTGGCTTTGAGGAGATTCTCTCTCAGTTTTTCTTTTCTAGAATATCTTTATATCCAGAGAGAAACCTGTGAAAATCCTGTAAACCCACCCTTAGCATTTACACACACATTGACTAACACACAAACACACATAAGTTGAACAAGAGCCAGGGAGCTCTTTAGGACATAAAAATATGTGTTTTCATCCTAAGAAGTTAAGAGGTCCAGAACAAGAGAATGACTGCAGACATTTTTTCAAATATAAATAAGATTAATCTTGAATCGTTGTCAAAGTGACTCTTATTGTGTAAAATAATTTCAGAGTCACAAAAATATTTTTGTTATTAAACTCTTTAGTCAGGTATTCATTGATTTGCTAATTTAACAATGAGTAGCTATCAACTTCCAGGCCCTATTGTAGATGCTAGGGAATCCAACATTTCATAGAGCCTGCCTTCATGGATTTTATAGTCTAACAGAAAAAGACTAACCCAGTTATTACACAAATAACAAACATAGTTAATTACATTATAATACATGCTGTGGACAGGTTGTTATAATATAAAACAGGAGATTCTTTATTAGCTTGAATGACATGCAGGAAGATTTTCCATATGGATATGCCATTTAATTTGAGACCAGAAGGGTAAATATAAATTGGCTGGCAGAATTGCATTAAAAAAAGAAAAATGGCCCAGGGCAGTGGCTCATGCCTGTAATCCCAGCACTTTGGGAGGCTGAGGCAGGCGGATCACCTGAAGTCAGGAGTTCGAGACTAGTCCAGCTAACATGGTGAAACCCCGTCTCTACTAAAACTACAAAAATTAGCCAGGGGTCATAGCGGGAGCCTGAGGCAGGAGACCTGCTGGAACCTGGGAGGCGGAGGCTGCAATGAGCTGAGATCAGGCCACTGCACTCCAGCCTGGGCAAAGGAGCAAGACTCTGTTTCTAAATAAATAAATATATAAATGAAATAAAATGTTCCAGAGACAGACACAATACAGAAAGAAGAAGGCCATGTAGTACAGATGTTAGAAAGCATTTGTATTAGTCAGGGTCCTCCAGAGGGACAGAACTAATAGGATATATGGATATATGAAAGGGAGTTTATTAAGGAGAATTGACTCAAACGATCACAACATCAAGTGCTACACAGGCTGTCTGCAAGTTGAGGAGCAAGGGAGCCAGTAATGGCTCATTCTGACTCCCAAAACCTCAAAAGTGGGGATGCCGACAGTGTAGCCTTCAGTCTGTGGCCAAAGGCCCAGGAGCCCCTGGCAAAACACTGATTTAAGTCCAAGAGTCTGAAAGGCAAAGAATTTGGAGTCTGATGTTTGAGGGCAGGAAGCATCCAGCATGGGAGAAAGATGAAGGCGGGAAGACTCAGCAAGTCAGCTTCTCTCACCTTATTCTGCCTGCTGACAGCTGATAGGATGGTGCCCACCCAGACTGAGAGTCTGCCTTTCCCAGTCCACTGACTCAAATGTTAATCTCCTTTGGCAACACCTTCACAGACAGTACTTTGGATGCTTCAATCAAGTTGACAATATTAACCATCACAGCATTGTAAAGAAAATGGGAAACAAATGGCTTTAAGAAGGGAGTTGGCCAGGCACGGTGGCTCACCCCTGTAATCCCAGCACTTTGGGAGGCCGAGGCGGGCAGATCACGAGGTCAAGAGGTCGAGACCATCCTGGCCAACGTGGTGAAACCCCGTCTCTACTAAAAATACAAAAATTAGCTGGGCGTGGTGGCATGCACCTGTAATCCCAGCTACTCGGGAGGCTGAGGCAGGAGAATCAGTTGAACCCAGGAGGGGGAGGTTGCAGTGAGCCAAGATCATGCCATTGCACTCCAGCCCAGGTAACAGAGTGAGACTACGTCTCCAAAAAAATAAAAAATAAATAAAAGAAGGGAGTTAACATGATTAGATTTTTATTGTCCAGACATTAGAGCAAATGCTATTTAGAGAGTATATGGTAGAAGATAAGAATAAATGTGAAAAGATAGTTACAGAAGTCCAGTTAAGAGATGATAGGACATAGAATAGCATCATAACAATGGAGATGGTTAGAAGTGCATGTATTTCAAATACTTATAGGAAACAATTTACTTAACTTGGGCATTGGTTAGATATAAAAGAACAAGGAAGAGAGAAATTAAGAATGATTCCCAAGTTTTTGTTTGTTTGTTTGTCTGTTTGTTTGTTTGTTTGTTGAGACTCACTCTGTCACCAGGCTGGAGTGCAGTGGCGCGATCTCTGCTTACTGCAACCTCCGCCTCCTGGATTCAAGTGATTCCCCTGCCTCAGCCTCCTGAGTAGCTGGGACTACTGGCCTGCACCACCACGCCCGGCTAATGTTTTTTATTTTGGTAGAGATGGGGTTTCACCACTTTGGCCAGGATGGTCTCGATCTCCTGAGCTCGTGATCCACCAGCCTCGCCCTCCCAAAGTGCTGGGATTACAGGGGTGAGCCACCGCGTCCGGCCTCCCAGGTTTCTTTCTTGGAATCTGGGTGGTTCTTTCATTCAACAAGATGGACAAGATTGGGAGAAAACAAGTTTAATGGGAACACCAAGTTAGTGCCCAGGAGAAACATATCAAATGTAGCTTAAGTGCAAGTTCTAGAAATAAAGGATTCATAAGCTTGCTACAGTCCCACAGTAAAGTCTGATATTAAGTACAGCTCCATTCTGTTCCCAGTGAATATGGTGCTCCACTCCAACATCTTGCAATCTTACCTCTAGCTCCTCTAAATACAGGCAGGCCTGATTGCTCTTCGTGTTTTTCCCAAAGACTCTGTTTGTCTACTTATCTCAGCATAACCAAGCCTGCTACCCTCTCTCGTATGTTAACTTGTATATTCCTGTCCACTTAAGACAAACGTTTTCTTTCTATCCAATGCTATTTAATGTTAGTTTTGCTAAGACCCTACTTCCTTTCTCCAAGTTTCACTCATCTCCATGAGGAAATACATAACTGTTTTCCAACAAGTCTAAATTTACAGAGACCTGGGGGAAAAAATAAGTTAGGAAAGTCCAATACAAATATTGCTTGGCTGTTAAAGTAGATGAGTCAGATAGTTCTTAAACTAAAATATTTTTTAATATGGCAGTCTCATAGTGAGAATGAGAGATGATCTTTTATATAGAATGTTACTACTTTGGGAAAATCACAATTACCACTGACATCTCTCTGAAAAATGGCTTCTCTTGGGCCGAATATTAACTCTAGTGGAACAGATCTTCAACAGCAGTAAGTTCCTTTTTATAATGAGATCTCAACTTCAACTTTACAGCTAAGTCTCCTGGATTGCTATTATACATGAACCACTGAGCTTGTGCCTGCTTTGCCCATAAGCCTGTCACCAATTCTAGCAGCATTACCTTTTCAAACTTAAAAAAAAATCTTATTTGTTTTAAAACAGTTTCATTTTCTTCCATGAGAGAAGGACATCTTTCATTAAAAAATGGTTCTTTATGCAATAAAGTTCTTTGCTAAACAAAATATTTAATTAGAGATGCATGATTGAATGATACTGAAGGTTGCATTTCCTCATGTTTCTAAGCAGATAAGAATCCTAATTGCGGTTATTCTGACTTTATCTTACCAGTTCTAATTCTGACCTTTTCTTCATATGTAGTACAGTTAATACTGATTATTTAGTAGCATATTGTGGATAAATTATTCTTTACTTCTATATTGCAAATTTTGGATATTTACAGACTTCTGAGGTCATTAACATATAGCCAAATATCAAATAGTGATTACAATCCCCAAAAGAGAAGAAATAAAAATATATTTGATAATAAATAGGCTTCTGGTTATACTCTAGGTATTAAATAAGTAGTGTTGGCTTCATAGTCCATGATTTGATTAAAAGGTTTCATTTTTAAGGGAATATCACTCATAATGTAGGCCTAAAACCTGTTATATCTGTGATCCTGAGTGGCAAAAAGGAGAACCAATGATTAACAAAGGAGATAAAAAATTGATATTTAATTCATATTGCCTTATTTAGAATTAAATCTAAGAAACTTTCTTTATTACCAAGAAATCTGTTTCTCTCTGTAGTTATTTTCCTCCTCTTGGCACAAAATATGCTCACGTTTCCTTTGAGTACAAAAATAACAAATAAAAATCCCCCCATCAAGTCTTCAACTAACCTTCTCAATTCTCTCTTTTTCTTCACAGTAACATGTATTTCTTCCTTCTCACTTTCTCATCCATTAACTTCTCAACCTGCAGCAAACCCATTCCATCACTAGTGAAACTATTTTTACCAAAGAGTCTCATGATTAAAGTGAATATATTTCTTATCACCTAAACCAGAATACTTTTGAGAGTGAAAGGAGCACTGTTAATAATTAAGCATAAACTGTGACTATTCTAAACAAATAGGACATATGGCCATAACACACATAATAAATAATAAACTGATTACTCCCTGACCTTTCTGCAAATATTTACTTTATTGGCTGTTACTTTCTTTGCACAACTCTGTCCTTCTGTGTATTATAGATGCTCCTTTATCCTGGGTTTCCTTTCAACCATTTTGTTGCACCCCTCAACTCCACTTCCAGGGTCCTTTGGAAGTTATTTTTTCTCTATTTCTTCAGTGTTTATATTCATAAGGTATTGGTCCTGGACAATGTCTCTTCTCATAGCATAAAAACTCTTGGGTATTATCATTCACTATCATAATTTCAATTTCAATTTTAATCTATGCTAATAACTCTCATTACTAAGTGTCCAGCCTTATCTTTTCTTCTGAGCTCCAGAATCATATCCAGACCTTCAATTGGCATGCGCTTTTTCATAAACCATAGGCATATCAAAATTAGTTGATTAATCTGAAGTCATCTTCCTCTCCAAAAACTTACACCATATTCCAGAGTTCAGTGAAAGGTATTATTCATCTGTTCATAATATCAAGCAAGAAATATAAATGATAGCTGTGTTAGTCAGTGTATCTCTAACTTCTGTTAAAAAGATACAACTCAAAGCCAGGTGCAGTGTCTCACGCCTGTAATCCCAATACTTTGGGAGGCCAAGGCGGGTGGACCACATAAGATCAGGAGTTCAAGACCAGCCTGGACAACATGGTGAAACCGTGTCTCTACTAAAAATACAAACATTTGCCAGGCATTGTGGTGCACACCTGCAATCCCAGCTACATGGGAGGATGAGGCAAGAGAATCACTTGAACCTGGGAGGCAGAGGTTGAAGCGAGCCAAGATTGCACCACCGCACTCCAGCCTGGGTGACAGAGTGAGAGTCCATCTCCAAAAAAAAAAAAAAAAAAAAAAACCTCAAAATCTTAAAGTGTTAGTGTGCACAAAACACACACATGCACACCCCCCTCCATTTATTTCTCATTCACATTTGAGTCAAATGTGGATCAGTGGGGTGTGGTTTGTACCCATGCAATCATTCAGGGATGCAAGATACTTTAATGAATCTGCCATCTTCAAAATGTGGTACCAAGTCATTTTGACATCATCCACCTCAATAACTGGGAGATCAGAGAGCTTGGAAAAGACATGTACTTTAACTCTCTAACCCACAAATCATTTACGTTTATATTCCACTGGCAAAAGTGTTTCATGTGGCTTCACCCAACTGCAAGGTACATAAAATAAATATCAATTAACTTTGTTCAAAGAGAGAGAAAATGACTTGATGATCATCTAGCTAATGTTCACTGTATCATCTTACTCTCCCTCTTCTTCCTTAACTCTTATTTAATCACTTACTTAGTCTTGCTTATTCTTCTTGAACACCCTATAGTGCTATTTCCTATTCTACATTGCCAGTTCTTTATAGGAGATTCTCAAAATTCTTACCATGCTTTTGCAGTTGCCCGTGCTTTTCACGGATCTTTTAAATAAATGATCAGACACTGGTATTTTTTTTTCTTCAACTTTAAGTTCTGGGGTGCAGTGTGTACAGGTTTGTTACATAGGTAAACATATGCCATGGTAGTTTTCTGCACAAATCAACCCATCACCTGGGTATTAAGTGCAGCATCCAATAACTAATCTTCTGATGTTCTCCCTCAGTGTGTGTTTTTCCCCTCCTTCTGTCCATGTATTCTCAGCGTTCAGCTCTCATAAGTGAGAACATGCAGCATTTGGTTTTCTGTTCCTGGGTTGGTTTGCTAACAATGATAGCCTCCAGCTCCATCCATGTTCCTGCAAAGAACATGATCTTGTTCTTTTTTATGGCTGCAAAGTATTCCATGGTGTGTATGTACCACATTTTCTTTATCCAGTCTACCACTGATGGACATTTAGGTTGATTCCATGGTTTTGCTATTGTGAATAGTGCTGTGATGCACATACCTGTGCTTATATCTTTAAATTTGAATGATTTATATTCTTTTGTGTATATACCCAGTAATTAAATTGCTGAGTCAAATAGTAATTCTGTTTCAGGAATCACCACAGTGCTTTCCACAATGGTTGAAATAATTTACACTTCCACCAACAGTGTATAAGCATTTCCTTTCCTCTACATCCTTGCCAGCATCTCTTATTTTTTAACTTTTTAATAATAGCCATTCTGATGGTGTGAGATGGTATCTCATAGTGGTTTTGATTTGTATTTCTCTAGTGATCAGTGATATTGAGTTTCTTTTCATATGCTTGGCCGCATGTATGTCTTCTTTTGAAAAGTGTCTGTTCATGTCCTTTGCCCACTTTTTAATGGGGTTGTTTGTTTTTTTCTTATGTTTCTGATAAATGCTGGCTATTAGGGCTTTGTAAAATGCATAGTTTTCACATATTTTCTCCCATTCTGTAGGTTGTCTGTTTACTGTTTTGCTAGTTTCTTTTGCAGTGCAGAAGCTCTTGAGATGTATTAGATCCCATTTGTCAATATTTGCTCTTGTTGTGATTGCTTTTGGTGTCTTTGTCATAAAATATTTGCAGTTCCTATGTCCAGAATGGTATTTCCTAGGTTGTCTTCCAGAATTTTAATAATTTTGGGTTTTACATTTAAGTCTTTAATCCATCTTGAGTTGATTATTGTATATGGTG
This sequence comes from Homo sapiens, assembly GCF_000001405.40. Classification (NCBI taxonomy): domain Eukaryota; kingdom Metazoa; phylum Chordata; class Mammalia; order Primates; family Hominidae; genus Homo; species Homo sapiens. The sequence goes on along the minus strand of NC_000003.12, from coordinate 34,707,044 downwards.
TAAGGAAAGGGTCTAGTTTCAATCTTCTGCATTTGCCAGCCTATGTTTTAATCCCAGTTATGACTCTTCACTATTCCACTTCAACCTAGTGACTAACATTTCTGAAGCGCTATTCTTTCATCTGTTGAGTAAAGACCATTGTAGACAAATGACAGGACTCTAGCAATGATTAGAAACAATATAATAAAAGTAGCTGCCACATGATAGTCACTCAAATCATATTTTAAGTATTTAGGAAGTGGGAATGAAAACACTGTAAAGGAGTATATGGTAAATGTAAGGAATAATAAGAAGTGCAGATTAGGAGGATCGGTTGTCGTGTACTGTAAATGAAAGAAAAAATATATATGAATAAATTGCTTTAATTCCTATTTTTCTTTTGGGCAAAATTCCATTTGTATTTTTAAATGAATTTTTTATATAATAATAGCCTCATGAATGTAGAAGGGGAGAGAGAAATGTCTACTTCTCAAATTTGAAAGAGAGCATTACTTAATACGATGGCTTCACTGTACCCAGAAATGTTCCCAGAAGGAATTGCATTCTTTAGTTTAGAGAAATAACTGAAGATCTTCCCTAAAGTTATTCTGGGGAAGTGTGGCAGATGAATGAGTGCTAAGAGATGATGAGATTTTTTTTCAGACTGAAAAGTCTAAGGTACAGAACATAGGGACACTTCATTATTTAAAAGGTCGCAGAAGGAACTCAATTCCCTTTACCTCTAATTTGAATTCCATAGAGTGTACAGGGTAATATTAAGAGGATCAAAGAATAAGCCCAGAAGTAAAGGCTCAGGAATAAACCTTCCCCTCAAACTATAAGTGTTCTCTCACGAATGATAATGAGAAAAAAAAGAGTGAAAAGAAGTGATATAAACGGTTTAATCCAGTCCTCAGTTACATAGATGAAGCAAGTCTGTTGTATAAGTCACTAATTCCAGTGTCTTTCTTTAAAAAAATGAAATAATAAGGACCCTTCTCCCCACTCCTAAATATGTCTAGCTTTATAATAATTATAACCTTAATCGAAAATAATTTATTTTTATTATGGTTACTCTAAAACTGTTTTAACCATGATTAAGTCCTCCATGGCTTTATTTCTCTCTCTTTCATTTAGCTGATAACTGTACTAACTCTAACCAGGTATCCTGAACAACTTATCTTCCTGTCTGCCTCTTACTGTTATGAGAACATTTGATATCCAGTTGTTGTAGCTAATGATCAACATTAAATAGAGCATTAGTCAGAGAGGCCATTTAAAACACAGTTGAACATTAGGCAGAGAGGCCACGTAAATCCTAGAAAACCAAAAATGGAAATTATTCTCTACTCTCTAAGTGCACACCTTATGATCTGAGCTGATTAGTAAAGCTAATCAAAAATTTATATATATATTTACATATATATTTATATATAATATATAATATAAATTATATATAATATATATTATATATAAAATACATGTTATATATAATATATATTATATATAAAATACATGTTATATATAATTTATATATAATTTTATATATAACATATATTATATTTTATATAATATATTTTATATATAATATATAAAAACATATTTATATATATTTATATTATAATATAAATATCTATAATATAAATATTTATGTATTATATATAATATATATTTATATATAATATAAATATATAATATAAATATGTATATATTATATAAATATATATAATATAAATATACACATATTTGATAAATATATATAAGTATATATTTATATATATTTATATATAATATGTATTTAATATAAACATATATATTTATGTATAAGTATATATATTTCTATATATAATATATATTTCTATATACATTTTATATAATATTTCTATATACATTTTATATAATATATATATAATTTTTATACATATAAAATTTGTATATATAATTTTAATATATAAAATTATATATAATTTTTAATATATAAAATATATAAATTTTAATATAAAATTTATATATAAATTTTTAATATATATAATTTATATATGAATTTTTAATATATAAATTATATATATAATTTTTATATATAAAATTTATGTATAAATTATATGTATATTACATATAAATATATATAATATAAATATATATAAATATATATTTATATAATATAAATATAACATAAATATATAATATAAATATACATTTATATTAAATATATATAAATATATATAATAGATATATAAATATATATGATATATTATATATAATATATGATATATTATATATAAATATATTTAATAGATATATATAATAAATATATCTATATAATATATCTATTATATATAAATATATAATAAATATATCAATATATAATAGATACATTATATATAATAAATATATCAATATATAATATCTATTATATATAATAAATATATCTATATATAATATCTATTATATATAATAAATATATCTATATATAATATCTATTATATATAATAAATATATCTATATATAATATATCTATTATATATAATAGATATATATATCTATTATATATAATAAATAAATATATCTATTATATATAAATATATAATATGTAAATATAAATTTATATTTTAATATATAAATATAAATATAAATATAAATTTTTATAAATATAAATATATATTTTATATATTTTTATATATTATATATGTATATATTTATATATAAAATATATATTTTTGTATACAAATATATACAATTTTTATATATAAATATAAATATAATTTATATATATTTATATATTTTATATATTTCTATATTTATATATAAACTTATATTTATATTATATAGAAATATATAAATGTATATATATTATATAGAAATATATATAAATTTATATTTCTCTATAATATATAAATATATATAAATTTATATTATATATAATATACATAAATATATATAAATTTATATTATATATAATATACATAAATATATATAAATTTATATTTATATATTATATATACTTATATATAATTTATATTATATATAATATATCTTATATATAATTTATATTATATATAATATATCTTATATATAATTTATATATGTATATATTATATATAATATATATTATATTATAAAATTTATGTATAATATATTATATATTATAAAATTTATATATATAAAATTTGTATATATTTATATAATATATAAATATATATAATATACATATATAAATTTATATTTATATATAATGATATATTAATTTTTATAAATAAAAATTTATATATATTTATATACATTAAAATATATATATATACACACACACACATAGATATGAAAAATTTTCAAAGGAAGAGATATTCACATCAAATTAGGAGTCTGTTGGCCATGAGAATAACATATGCAATGAGTTCCTTATTTGGTCATCTGTATCCAAATCTCAAATTTTTCTGCTGCTGATTTCTAGTGTAACTTCATTATGGTCAGAAAACATACTTTATGTAATTATTTTATTTCAGATTGTTTTAAATTTTTTGAGGCTTCCTTCATGGCCTAGCATATGTACTATCCTGCAGAATATTCCATGTGCACTTGAAAGAATGAGCCACTGACCATATCTTTTCTCACACAGAAGAATATGTATTTTGTTATTGTTCGGTGGAGTGTTCTATAGATATCTGATATGGTTTGACTGTGTCACCACCCAAATCTCATCTGGAATGTTAGCTCCCATAAATCCCACATGTTGTGGGAGGGAACTTGTGGGAGATAATTGAAACATAGGGGCAGTTTCTCTCATACTGTTCTCGGGGAGTAAGTAGTGATGAATAAGTCTCAAGAGATCTGATGGTTTATAAGGGGTTTCCCTTTTCCCTTGGCTCTCATTCTCTCTTTTCTGATGTCAGGTAACACTTCCCTTGCTATTCCACCATGACCGTGAGGCCTCCCCAGCTACATGGAACTGTGAGTCCATTAAACCTCTTTTTCTTTATAAATCATCCAGTCTTGAGTATTTCTTTATCAGCAACATGAAAATGGACTAATAGAGTAAATTGGTACCGGGAGTGGGGAGCTGCTGTAAAGATACCTGAAAATGTGGATGTGGCTTTGGAATGAGATAACAGGCAGAGGTTGGAACAGTTTGGAGGGCTCAGAAGAAGACAGGAAAATGTGGGAAAGTTTGGAACTTCCTAGAGACTTGTTGAATGGCTTTTACCAAAATGCTGGTAATGATATGGACAATGAAATCCAGGCTGAGATGGCCTCAGATGGAGATGAGGAACTTGTTGGGAACTGGAGTAAAGGTGGTTCTTGCTATGTTTTATCAAAGAGACTGGTGGCATTTTGCCCCTTTTCAAGAGATTTGTGGAACTTTGAACTTGAGGGAGATAATTTAGGGTATCTGGCAGAATAAATTTCTAAGCAGCAATGCATTCAAGAGATGACATGGGTGCTGTTAAAAGCATTCAGTTTTAAAAGAGAAACAGAGGCTAGGTGTGGTGGCTTATGCCTGTAATCCCAACAGTTTGGGAGGCTGAGGTGGGTGAATCACCTGAGGCCAGGAGTTCGAAACAAGCCTGAACAACATGGAGAAACCCTGTCTCTACTAAAAATATAAAAAATTACCAAGGCATGATGGTGCATGCCGGTAATCCCAGCTACTCGGGAGGCTGAGGCAGGAGAATCACTTGAACCCAGGAGACGGAGGTTGTGGTGAGCCAAAGTTGTGCCATTGCACTCCAGCCTGAGCAACAAGAGTGAAACTCTGTCTCAAAAAATAAATAAATAAATAAAAATAAAAGGGAAACAGAGCATAAAAGTTTGGAAATTTTGCAGCCTGATGATGCAGTAGGAAAGAAAAACCCATTTTCTGAGGAGAAATTCAAGCCAGCTACAGAAATTTGCATAAGTAACAAGGAGCCAAATGTTGATCACCAAGACAATAGGGAAAATGTCTCCAGAGCATGTCAAAGACCTTGGTGGCAGCCCCTCCCATCACAGACCTAGAGGTTTAAGAGGAAAAAATGGTTTCCTGGGCAGGACCCAGGGACCCCCTGCTGTGTGCAGCCTACAACTTGGTGCCCTCCATTCACAGCCATGGCTAAATGGGGCCAATGTAGAGCTCAGGCCATAGCTTCAGATGATGCAAGCCCCAAGCCTTGGTGGCTTACAGGTGGTTTTGGCCCTGCAGGTGCACAGAAGTAAAGAATTGAGGTTTGGGAACCTCCACTTAGATTTCAGCGGATGTATGGAAACACCTGGATGTCCAGGCAGAGGTGTGCTGCAGGGGTGGAGCCCTCAGGAGAACCACTGATAGGGCAGTGCAGAAGGGGATATGTGGGGGTGTGAGCCCCCAAAACAGAGTCCCCACTTGGTCACTGCCTAGTGGAGCTGTGAAAAGAGGGCCACCATCCTCCAGATCCCAGAAAGCTAGATCCACTGACAGATTGCACAGTGCACCTGGAAAAGCCAGACACTCAACAGCAGCCTGTGAAAGCAGCCAGGAGTGGGGCTGTACCCTGCAAAGCCACAGGGGTGGAGCTGCCCAAGACCATGGGACGTACCTCTTGCAGAAGTGTGACCTGGATGTAAGACATGGAGCCAGATGAGATCATTTTAGAGCTTTAAGATTTGATTGCCCTGCTGGGTTTTGGACTTGCATGGGGCCTTTAGTCCTTTCATTCTGGCCAATTTATCCCATTTAAAATGGGTGTATTTACTCAATGCCTGCACCCCATTATATCTAAGAAGTAACTATCTTGCTTCTGATTTTATAGGCTCATAGGCAGAATGGACTTACCTTGTGTCAGATGAGACTTTGGACTGTAGACTTTTGCATTACTGCTGAAATGAGTTAAGACTTTGAGGGACTGTTGGGAAGGCAAGATTGGTTTTGAAGGCAGCTATGCTCTCCACTATACCACCAATGCCCCAGCATTGATTGGTTTTGAAATGTGAAGACATGAGATTTGGGAGGGGCCAGGCTTGGAATAATATGGTTTAACTCTGTCCCCATCCAAATCTCATCTTGAATTGTAGCTCCCATAATTCCCACATATTATGGAAGGGATCCATCCAGTGGGAGATCATCGAATCATAGGGGCAGTTTCTCCCATACTGTTCTCATGGTAGTGAATAAGTCTAAAAAGATGTGATGGTTTTATAACGGCGTTTCCCCTTTCCCTTAGCTCTCATTCACTCTTGCCTGCCACCATGTAAGACACACCTTTCACTCTCCACCATGATTTTGAGGCCTCTCCAGCCACATGGAACTGTGAGTCCATTAAACTTCTTTTTCTGTATAAGTTATCCAGTCTCAAGTATGTCTTTATGAGCAGCATGAAAACAGACTAATACAATATCTGTTAGGTCTAGTTGATTTATAGTGCTATTCAAGTCTTCTATTTCCCTGTTGAATATTTTTTTAGATTGTGTGCAAAATATTTACTTTTTTTAACCTTTATTTTAGGTTCATGGGTACATGTGCAGGTATGTGTCATGGAGTTTTGTTGTGTAGACTATCACATCACCCAGGTACTCAGCCTAGTACCCGTTACTTATTTTTTTCTGATCTCCCTCCTTCCACCCTCCACCCTCAAGTAGGCACCAGTGTCTGTTCCCTCTTTGTGTCCGTCACTTAGCTCCCACTTATAAGTGAGAATATGCGGTATTTGGTTTTCTGTTCCTGGGTGAGTTTGCTAAGGATGGTAGACTTCAGCTCCATCCATGTTCCTGCAAAAGAACATGATGTCATTCTTTTTTATGGCTGCATGGTATTCCATGGTGTATATGTACCACATTTTCTTTATCCAGTCTCCCATTGATGGGCATTTAGGTTGATTCGATGTCGTTGCTATTGTGAACAGTGCTGCAATGAACATACATGTTCATGTGTCTTTATGGTAGAATTATTTACATTTTGGGGGGTATATACCCATAATGGGATTGTTAGGTCAAATGGTATTTCTGACTCTGATCTTTGAGAAATTGCCACCCTGTCTTCCATGTTGGTTGCTCTAATTTTCATTCCCATCAACAGTTTATAAGCATTTCCTTTTCCCTGCAACCTTGCCAGCATCTGATATTTTTTTATTTTTTAATAATAGTTCTTCTGACTGGTATGAGATCGTATCTTATTGTGGCTTTGATTTGCATTTCTCTAACGATCAGTGCTACTGAGCTTTTTTTCATATACTTGTTATAAGTGGGCAAAGGACATAAACGGACACTTTTCAAAAAAATATATACATCCCTGTTAAATTTTTCCTAATTATTCTACCTATTGTTGGAAGTGAAGTATTGAAATATCCAGCTATTATTATTAAATTGTCTTTTCCTCCCCTCAATTCTTTCAGGTTTTGCTCCTTGTATTTGGGGCTGTATTTGTAGGTGCATAGATGTTTATAATTTTCAAATCTTTCTTTTTGCTTGATCCTTTTATCATCCTAAATATCCCTTTTTCTTCTAATACTATTTTTGTCTTAAAGTTGATTTTTTCTGACATTAGTATAGTGATTCCAGTTCTCTCTAGGTTGCTGTTTTCATGGTATATCTTTTTTCAGGCTTTTAATATCAACCTATTTGTGTCTTTGAATATAATGTGTGTCTGTTATAAGAAGCATAATTTGGATCATTGTTTTTTATCCATTTTGCCAATTTCTACATTTTGATGGAATGTTTGATCACTTTACATTCAATATAATTACTTATAAGATAGTACTTATATCTGCCATTTTGCTTTTTATTCTCTATATATCTTATGCCTTTGTTCCTCTATCCCTCAATTTTTATCCTTGTCTCTGTAAAATAGATACTTTCTAGAATCCCATTTTATTTCCTTACTTTTTCTTGTACTATATATTTTTACTTATTTTATTAGCAGTTTCCCTGGGCATAACAATTAGCATCTTATTTTAAGACAATGTGGTTTAGATGAATACTACCTCATTTTCAAGCATGTACAAAAATTTGGTTCAATGTATTGATAAACTTTGTTAGTTTCCAGGTAAAGTCTTACACATTTTTTACACCTAGGCATATGATATATGTATTTCTAAACTGCATAGATGATTTTCTTAAAATCCACCCACAAGTTAGAGCCACTGATCTCATCTAAGCAAACTGGAAGGGTAGAGGCCATAAAGAGGAATTTATTCCCCCAATATGGGGGAATTTTAATATGCTGTTAAAATCAGTGCTAGGACATCTTTAGGCCAGTGCCCTTTCAATCTTATGGGATAATAGTCTTTTCTTTTGGGTATTTTAGCTCCAGAATTCATTTTTAGAGAGATTCATCATTGATGATCTCAAAATTCTATTGACTAAGACACACAAGACATTTAAATGGGTCTCTAACTCTCCATAGGTTACTTTCTTTATTTAAACATTATCTAAGTCACTATGGATAGCAGGATCTAATCTGCAAGGAATGACAATTTTTAATTTTTTCTTTTCATTCAATACACAAATCCAAGCATCAAAATACACATAACAAAATAAAATATTAAACTGAAAATTTGAGTCCCCTCATCTCCCACATCTCCTCAGGCAGGGCAGGTCACTAACTAATAACCTACTTTATTCCTAACTCTTCAATCACTTATTGTGTATTCATACTTGTCATTACTCCCCTATTTTAACTGCAAAATATAAAAGTAGTATTGAAATGGTAGGACAAATACCCTAGAAATAAGAAGAGAGAAACCTCTCCCTTGCAGACACCAGAGAAGTCATTAGTATAAATGGAGTCACTCGACTGCAGAAAGCACATTTAGCACAGAGAGCTCTTCATCTGAGGTCTATTCACACCCTAGGGATAAAACCACTCAGATTCTGGGCACTTGATAATAGAATGAAATCCAAAAATACTAGCTCTCGTCCTATTACATGGTTTTACCAATTCACCCGGAGGCATAGCTTTTGTTCTCTGGATGATATGTGAACTTGATAGGCAACTGTGTTTTCTGTATGGTTTATTACTGTTACATTGGCTTGGAGCCCAGCCCTGCACAAAATATCACTGATGAAAAACACTTAGTATCCCTGTTTTCATCTCTAGAATACTGAAAAGTGTCCATATTTGTATCAGTCAGCTTATGTCAAGTTATCATGTGATAATAAATGATACATAAAGTAGTAATTGTAACAATAAAGGGTTATTTTCTTCCATATTAAATATTAATTATGGATGTGTTCCAATCTGTTTAGTGCCACTTTAATTCAGGGACTCAGAAGAAACTCTATTTTCAAACAGTGTTGTTCTCACGACAGAGGGAAAAGATATTGTGGCGAAGTATACACTGGCCACTAATGCTTCCTCTTATCAGTTACACACATCACTAGTGCTTATAATTCATTGGACAAAGCAAGCCATTATTCAAGTTTGATGACAATGGGGCAAAGGTATATACAATCCTTTTGCAAGGAATGGCATCATATTCAGGGAACTCCATGGAGAGACATACAATGGAGGTACAAGATATATCATGAAAATTAATGCAATCTACTGCAATATTCATTAAGAGATATCTTTTTTAGGAAATCAAAGCTCTAAAGCTAACAACTAGAACTTTTAGAAATAAAATAAATATATTTGCAATGTTCAATATTGCAGCAACAAGCCACATAAGGCTATTGTACACATTAAACATGGCTAGTAAACTGAGACACTGAATTTTTTGTTTTATATAATTTAAATTAATTTAAATTTAAATTTACTATATTGGACAGCCCTACTCTAAGGTTCGGATATAGAGAAGAAAAAAAAAGATAACTACTAGATCCTAAATAAAATAATCATGATAATGATGCTTGAGAAAGAATAGAATGGGAGAAGTAGTGGGAAATCACCCAATAAAGTATCTGCATGGGTGACAAGAATTTAGTGACGAAACAGAACTTCCTCTTGACAAATACCTCCATAAAGAGAGCTGGTTGCTTAAAAAATATTTTTAAAATGTTGATGTGACATTGCAGAATGTTAACGTGACCCTGTAAAACATTTTTAAATAATGAAAAATGACTATGTGCTTCTGGAATGAATACAAAGAACATTTCTCCCCAAAAGCAAGAATGAGGACAAGGTCTGTGTTTTGAAATTTCTGATGACTACCTAGAATGACAAAATGGATTTCTCAGATTTCAAGAGTTAGCATGGCCCTATGACTTTACCAGTCTGGAGGTTGCGTCTATGCGCCTATAAAAACAGTCTTCCCAATTGACATTCATTGCACACAAAGTGAAAATAAGTGTAAAAACTTTCCTTTACTGTGGTGCATACACTACCATAAAGACTGTATGCTGAAGGTCTTCCTCTTTTGCTTGTTTAGTAGAAACACAACACCAGGGAGGCACGGTGACTCACGTCTGTAATCCCAACACTTTGGGAGGCCGAGGTAGGCAGATAACCTGAGGTCAGGAGTTCAAGACCAGCCTGGCCAACATGGTGAAACCCCATCTGTACTAAAAATACAAAAAAAAAAAAAAATGCGGGGTGTGGCAGCATGCACCTGTAATCCCAGCTATGCTAGAGCCTGAGGCAGGAGAATTGCTTGAACTCGGGAGGTGGAGGCTGCAGTGAGCTGAGATCACGCCACTGCACTCCAGCCTGGGCAACAGAGCGAGACTCTGTACCAAAGAAAAAAGAAACACAACACTGTCTCAGCCCTACTTCCAGCCTCAGTCCTTTCATTCCCAGGGCTGATCTTAGGCTCTGATAAAACTGTAAAAAAACAGTTTTTAAGTGGATTCCGAGCTTGTTTTACAGAAAAGGGTGGTGGTTAAGGATGTGGCTCTGGTTTGAGCCCCAACTTTGCCACTTAAAGTTGTGTAACCTGGAGCAAGTTGATAAACTTCTCTGAGTTGCACTTATTTCATCTGTCAAATACAAATAAAAGCACCTACATAATTTCTTCTGAGGATCACATGAACTAATGCATATAAAGTGCTTAACCCATTTTTCCAGGCACACCAAAAGAAGTACTCAGTGAATAGCAAGGTTATGACAATAATTCATTACAACTTCTTTTTTTAAATGGAAATTTGCAAAGTGGAGGCTAAATTCATCATAAATCTAAACCTTATGACACCTAATATATTAGTGACACCTCACTGTATCCCCATGAAATACTTCTTTTATGTATTTAGACTGAAAAGGATGCCAGACAGATCTGGATATTGATCCCAGCTCTAGCATTTCCAACCTGGGTGACAATGTGCATAGTCCTCACAGTCTTTTATCTGGAAAATGGAGATACTCATGCTCAACTTCCTGTGTGGGTATGAGGATTAAATTGTTTCCCATATATAAAGAAACTACTGTAGTTCCTGGAACAGGTGTTCTGTAAAAGAGATTATTTTATTAGGGTTCTTACCCTATTGTTGAATTCAGAGAAAGAAATTCCAGATAGGCAAAAAACATTAAATATTTAATCCCATAATCAGCATATCCTTTATTAAGGATTTATAAAGGAGTTCAATTGAAACAGAAGTAAAAAGAGTATATCTTTATTGTATGGAGGGGAGCTCTACACAAGCCTAAGCATTAATTCCACTGGAGAAAAAAACACGCAAAGATTAATTGTTCATTACAGTTACATTATAAAGAGTAAAACAAGAGATTGATTCATGTTGATGCCCTAGTCCTAATATAATTTGCAACTAACATCGCAATGCTGTTCTTGTTCCATACAACTTAATCGTTTTGATAGCATCTTGAGAATTTTCTTTTTAAGAGAAAAAGAGAGAGAGACAGATGACAGATAAACAGATGGAGAAAAAGAGAAGACCTTAGAAATGATATTTATTTGGGGTACCACACAATTCTATAAATCTTTTAGGGGGAACATGGGACCTTGACTGACATAGACTTTACTTGGCAGGCTAATGTGTTTGACCTAAGGTCAAGTATTAATGAAATAACAATTTAGTATTTGAACATGAATAAAGTATACTTAAATTATGTAGCTTTTGGCCAGCTAATTTTCAGGGCTTTTTTAGTCATGGCCTTTTCATAATAAACATTGAAAATAGTAGGATTCACATCAAGAGTCATAACATTGTCATGGTGGTCCCACCAAATTATTCAAGTTCATCATACTCTGTTGCATTGTTAGACCTGTTTCATGCAGGTCACATACTTTGAAATCTCTCCAGCAGATTTAACTGGAGTATGATTTATTTATTTATTCATTTTGTTATTCAACTATGTATTAGAAAGCTCCTCTGGACAGGCACAGTGGCTCATGCCTGTAATCCCAGCACTTGGGGAGGTCGAGACGGGTGGATCACCTGAGGTTGGGAGTTCGAGACCAGCCTGATCAACATGGAGAAACCTCATCTCTGCTAAAAATACAAAATTAACTGGGTGTGGTGGTGCATGCCTGTAATCCCAGCTACTAGGGAGGCTGAGGCGGAAGAATCGCTTGAACCCGGGAAGTGGAGGTTGTGGTGAGCCGAGATCGCACCATTGCACTCCAGCCTGGGCAACAAGAGCGAAACTCTGTCTCAAAAAAAAAAAAAAAGAAAAGAAGAGGAAGAAAGAAAGGAAAAGGCAAGGCAGAAAGAAAAAGAAAGGAAGGGAAGGGAGGGGAGGGGGAAGGGAGAAGGAGGGAGGGAGGAAGGAAGGAAAGGACGGAAGGAGGAAGGGAGGGAGGGAGGGGAAGGGAAAGGGGAAGAAGGAAGGTAGGGAAAGGAAAGGAAGGAAGGAAAGGAAGGAAAAGAAGAAAAGAACAAAATTCTGGCCCTAAAAGGGTTTTAAGTGTATGTGAATGTGTGTGTGGTCTTTGTCTGTGGTGTCTGTGTATCTTGGAGGGGAGAGATACATTAGCAAATATGTCAAAAATTATTCCAATGTGAAAATTAGTTAAATATGTTAATAAACAATATGAATATTCATATATGTATAATGTATATAAGCTGACTATACCGCATACATTCTGACTATAAATTATAGTTAGCTCCCTATACATGGTGGGGCAGAAGGATAAGAAATATTTCAGCCCAAGAGAAAACCTTACAATCAGACTTTTGTGCAACCACAGCAGTCTGCAGGTATCTTCTTGTGTAGTAAATACTCTAGCTAGTAAAAACTCTAGTAAATACAAGCCAGAGTTTAAGAACAAGCTTATTTTCTCAGTCATTTTCTTTCCATCTCCACTTGCTTTTACTCTCAACTTTTCACAATAGTTGCTTTCAAAAGAAAGAAGAGTCATTCTAAAATTAATAAAATGTGGAAAATAGGCATATTCATCTGCTAGGGCTGTCATAACAAAACAGGCTGGGAGGTTTACACAACAGAAATGTATGTCTCACAGTTTTAGATGCTAGATGTCCAAGATCAGAATGAGAATGCTGTCCAGTTGGTTTTTGGTGAAGCCTCTCTTTCTTGCTTATAGACAGCCACCTTCTCTGTTTTCTCACTTGGCTTTTCCTCTGTGCATGCACAAAAGGAGAGAGATCACTGGTATCTATTTCTCTTCTTGAAGGACACCAGTACTATCAGACTAGGCCCTACCTCATGGCCTAATGTAACCTTAATTGCCTCATTAAAGGCCCTAAATTCAAATACAGTCACATTGAGGGTTAGGGCTTCAACATATGAAGGGTAGAGGCATGATGTAATCAATAACAATGAAGCTGTTAAAAAATGAAATTTTGAAATTGCATTGTGCATGGACCAGGAAAGAGCAGAATACTAACTGGGTGCTCATTTCAGACCCTGTAACCACTAAAGAAGTTTGTCATCATTAAACTAAAACATAACTTACTTTTTAAATAAGTTGTAAGTAATATCTTCCTTACTAGAATTCTGAAGGTAACATTTGCTTTCCATTACCACAGTTCACATTTGATTGTACTGGCAGGAAGTCAAGATTCACAGAGCCCCCTTCTGTATAACCAAAATTAATTAATATACAGTAAGAATAGGAGGTCCCCCTGGCACACAACATTAAATGATGCCAGTTAGAAGCAAATATTATGCTGAGTTCAATGTGTATATTTCAGAAGAAAGCTGGAGAAAGCAATTTCAATCCATACACTGGGTGGCTTAAATAACAGAAAGTTATTTCTCACAGTTATGGAGGCTGGGAGTTCATTAACAGTGTGCAGGCGTGGTCCAATTCTTGCGAGGTATCTCTTTCTGGTTTCTGTTGAGATGGCTGATTAGGTTTATAGCTCATACCCACAGAAATTTTTTTTATCAAATAGTTGTTCAGCTACACACTTGAGGTTATCTTCCAAACAAATTTTCTCAATTTTTGCAATGTGCATAGGCTCAGAATTTTACAAATATTTTTTGGCAATTCCTTCTTCAATTTATTTTTAACTTCTCACATTTTATTATGAACAATCATGAGGAATCAAGTCACTCCTTCAATGCTTTGGTTAGAAATGTCCTCAGCTAAATATCCAATTTCATTGCTTGAAAGTTCTATCTCTTATAAAACTTTAGAACATGAATACAATTCAGCCAAGTTCCTTGCCATTTTATGAAAAGGATTGCCTTTTCTTCATTGTCTAATAACATGTTCCTCATACCTGTATAAGATATCACTAGAATGGGCTTTATTGTCCACATTTCTATCATTATTCTGTCTATGACTACTTATATATGATGTAAACTTTCTCTACAACTCCTTTCTTCTGAGCTCTCATCATAATTGTCCTCATTGTGTACATTTCTATAATGTACCTCAAAACTATTCCAAGCTCTACCCATTACCTAGTTCCAAAGCTGCTTCCACATTTTTAGGTATTTGTTAAATAAGCACCCCACTTGTGGTACCAATTTCTGTGTTAGTCAGCTAAAACTGCTACAGCAAAATACCATAGACTCCACAACTCAAAAAAAAGGCATGTATTTCTCACAGATTGGGACACTGGAATTTCAACATCAAGGTGGCACCAGATTTGGTTCTTGATAAGGGTCCTCTTCTTAGCTTGAAAACTGCTGCCTTCTCACTGTATTGTCACATGGCAGAGAGAGAGAGAGAGGGAAGAAGGGAGACAGAGATCAATTTTTTCTTCTTCTTATAGGAACACTAATCCCATCAGGGGGGCCCCACCATCATGATTTTATCTAAACCTAATTACTTCTCAAAGCCCCCCCCCAATATGATCATATTGGGGTTAAGACTTCAAAATATAGTTATTATAATTAAAATTATGAGTTATATATAGATAGATATGAGTTAAATATATATATATATAAATATACATATATGAGTTAAAATATCAGTTAACTATAATAACTAGTGAGTTAAAATGTCAGTTATTTCCATTTTTATTCTTCATTATTGAGATAACACAAATGTCAAAAGAGTTGATGATGCATATCAATAACTATTTATTTCAAAAGATATTACTTATATACAATGAAACCTATATTTCTTTGCCTAATAGCATATTAACTCAATAAATTTTTAAGTTTTAATGACAAATAACTAAAATGTTAGGAATATCTTCTTATATAATAATTACAACATGAAAGCTAGGATGCTCACTATTAAATAGTAATGTTTTGTATTTCTGCTAGAATATCTAACATTATTCATTTTTCAATAACTCACATTTTCCTCTAAATTCATCATTTTATATATATATATATATATATATATATATATATATATATCCACCTTTTTTTAAAGTAACCTTTTTAAAATTGTAGAATTGTATGTCAGGTTTTCATTAAGTACAGCCCAATTATATTGGAAATAAACAGAAAGTGACTTCTGGTTTCATTGAAGAGGACTGGCAACATAGAATGGTGCTGGAGATAGCACCAGGAAATGCTATTAAACCCACTCAGATTGACAAAATAGTTTCACTTGGGTCAGGAAAGATAAAAGTCTTTCAAGTATAACTTAAGCAAATAAGATGAGGGCAAAATGTACAGTAGCTGCAAGTACATCAATGAGATGAGTGTGAGCCAGGTGGAAGAAACAGGTCTGCACCAGAGAATGCTAGGAAGTCGATAAAAGTATGAAGAAGCAGATAATCTAGCCTTTTGGAACTCAAAATGCAATCAATAGACCACCAGCAGCCATGTCACCTGAATTCGTAGGCACCACTCCAGAGCTACTGATTCAGAATCCACATGTAAACAAAACAAAATCCCCAAGTGACACGTATGTAAAGTTTTAGTTTGTTGTTTGGTTCCTGCTCAGTGTTACCTGACAGGCTGCCTCCGTTCTCTGCTATTACAGTATTCATGACCTTGGATACTCATGTCTTTTGTCTACTCTATATTTTTTGTCCAAACGACTTCTTTTTGTTCACCCTAATTATACCTATTTCTTCTTTTATCAATAGGTATATTAAAATCTCATTGAAAACTTAAGATTGACACTCTGAATAAAGGTGAATTAATAAAATGATAAAATAATCCAAAGCTACAGTGACCAAAATATGAAGCCAACATATTAAAAGATTAAAAATAATTTTGTATATATACACATACATAGGGAATATATATATATTCCCAATGTGACCCAGTGAGCCTCGAGTACATATTGAAAAATGCATTTTTGAAATTATTGAACAAGAAAGTAACAATAGTTGTATTACCTTGTTGGAGCTGTAACAAAGTACCACAGACTGGTCAGCTTAAACAACAGAAATGTATCATAGTTCTGGAGATCAAGGGTGTCTGCAGGGCTGGTTTCTTCTGAAGCATCTGTCCTTAGCTTGCAGATGTTTATCTTCTATGTCTTTACATGGTCTTCCCTCGCTGTATCTGTATCTTAATCTCCTCATAAAGATGCAAGTCATATTGAATTAGGACCCACCTAATGGGTCCTGATGCCATTTTAAGAAGACCTTTAGTCAAATTGGGTTCAGTGTATACTGCTCGGGTGATGGGTGCACTAAAATCTCACAAATCACCACTAAATAACTTACTCATGTAACCAAATACCACCTGTTCCCCAAAAACCTATGGAAATAAAAATAATAAATAAATAATACAAATAAATAAATTAATATAGTCTGTAAATTCAAAAAAAAAAAAAGCCTTTCACAACCCAAAATGCAATCCATAGACCAGCAGGAGCAGTTCTAAAAGAACATCAGAACTTATTTCTCCTAATTGTAACTTTATACCAATTGACTATCCTCTTCCCATTCCCTCTTCCCCCTCCTCTCCTTAGCTGATTTGATATTAGAGAATGAATATATGTACCAAAATATCACACTGTACTCCTTCAATACATATAGTTATATGTCAATTTAAAAATAAAATAACAAAAAGAAAATATATATATAAATGTCAAAAATAATTAAGCGCACTACACGATATCAAGGCTCATTATATAGTTACAGCAATTATGACAATGATATTGGCATAAGGAGATACAAAAGGACTCTGAAACAGAATAGAGTGCAGAGAACCACACTTACATGGCTCTCTGTCAATTGACTTATGACAAAGGGAATATTACAGAGCAGTGGCATAAGTGTGGCCTTTCCAATATGGTACTGGATGAACTGAATATCCTTGTTGAATTAAAAAAAAAAAATCTTGGTTCCCTACCTCAAACCATTAAAAAAAAAAAAGCTATTACAGATGGGTTGCAGATCTAAATGTGAAATATAAAGAAATTATTTTAGGAGAAAGCATAGGAGAATATCTTTATGTCTTTGATATAAGCAAAGATTTTTCAAACAGAAAAAAGATGTGCAAATCATAAAATCTGATACACTGAATTTTATTAATATAGTTCAATTTTCAATAGATACCATTAAGAGAGGAAAAAGGTAAGCCACATAGATAACATAATTGCAATATATCTATCTGAAAAAGGGCTCTTATCTAAAATATATAAAAAATGTTAGAAGTCAGTCCAAATAGGTAATTAAATAGAAAAAATATATACAAAAAGTTTGAATAGAAACTTTACAAAAGAGGATATCCAAATGGTCAGTAAGCATGAGAAAATGTGCTGAACTTTATTAGTCATCAAGATAGAGCAAATTAAAACCACAGTGAGATATCATTAGCCTCCCATCCAAAAGCCTAAAATAGTAAGAACAACAGAAAAAAACAGTGTTTAATATTTCTAAGATTCTCCAAGTTTTTTTTTTTAGTATACTTTAAAATCATGAACCGAAATAATGGGAAAATAAGGTTGCATTAAAATCTTCACATTACAGAAATCATGTCCAATATTTCTAATTCATAATGTTAGATTTAAAGTAGCACTGTCAAACTCATGTCCAAATTGATTTTATCCATGGAACTAATTAAAATCTGATTAAAATCAGATTCTTAGCATCAAAGTAAGATAATAGAGCCACCTGTTTGGCTGCTAAGTTATTGATCAAGTCAGCAGAAGATCAACTCCATGTCAAATGCAAGTTACTGTAGACTACACTTCTCAGTATAACTGGCATAGTAATTTAGATTATCAGCCTCAATTAGCTTTTTAAAAGTATGTGACTGTACTGTTATAAAATCATTTTCATTTGAAAAGGAATAGGTTTCTTGGACTTTTCTCAAACATGTTGTCATTAAATGGTTATTTTTAAAATTTAGCCCAGAAATTAAATGGTATCTTAAAGTCAAGTGAGTTATCTTAGGCAGGAAATTTTATACCCAAATCACTCTGAGGGTGCTAGAAAGATATTGTGTTATTGTCTGTCCTCACATCAACCTGGGTATAGCAATCAAAGATACCTGCAAGTAAGAGTGGTCTGCTCTTAGAAGACCAGAGGCTAGTTTCTCTGAGGTGTTTTGGTTCTGTTGAGCATAGGACAACCAAAGAATTGAGTGCTGGTGATCTAGATGAAGAGAAATGGCATAACTGCCTAAGACATTTACCAAGTGGAAATTATGGAGGATTCTCAGACACATATGTAATATGAACAAAATGTGAGGTAAAATTGAGTCAGCTATCAAGAGCCACGAGACTTTGAGAAAGCTGAAAAACATTTTCATTCAAGTGTTTTATTGCTGTGTAAGAAACCACGCCAAAACTTACCAGCTTATTTTCTCACAATTTTGTGTGTTAGGAATTCAGGAAGGGTAAAATGGAGCATCTCATCTCTATTCCAAGCTGCTTGGGACCTCTCCTGAGGTAGCTTACACTGACAGCTGCTAGCTGGGATTGCTAAATTTAGGTCCTATGTCTGAGTTCTCATTCTAGCTCTCAACTATGTTTCTCAGTTCTCTTCCATATGGCTTCTTCATGTGACTTTGGCTTCCTCATAGCATGGTAGTTACAAGGTTCCAAAGAGGACTATCTCCATTGTGCAAGGCTTAACAAAAATCTGCTGACACGATACTTGCTAATGTCAAACTGGTCAAAGCAAGTTATACAAGCCCACAGTGGAAATGGAAGAGGACAATACACAGCTTGAATTCCACTTCATCTGGAGGGAGTGGTATGTTTGTAAATATTTAACAATCAACTCTTCAGGAGAAACAGCTGAGATTTGTAGCATTTGCCAATTTCCAGGTTATAAATACTCCAAGCATGGCCCTTTAAAACTACCAAGTGACAAGCCAAAATGACAAAATATAGAGTTGGGACAAGATGTACACAATTGGCTTTCATAAGCTAGTACAAGTTGGCTCTAGCATACCACTGTCTGGAAACTTAAGCTGTGTAAGCACATAATGGGGACCAATACCTAGAAGACCAGCAAGATCAGAAACACCACTGATGAGATCAAAACACCTAGAATAAAAAGTGAAGATACTTTAATTTCACCCACCTCATCTATAGGCCCCACATTTTGGAGGAGGGAAGTAGAAAGAATTTTAATTTTGAAGGCATGAACATTAACATATTTGACCTATTGCATCTAACTCAGCTCAATGGGTTCAACTAAAATATAGTATTCCCTGTGCCCTAAAAAGTAATACAGATCGAATCAATTAGAGAAAAGTACAACAATTTTTTTAGATTGGCTCTCACTATGTTGTCCAGACTGGCCTTGAACTCCTGAGCTCAAGGGATCCTCTTGCCTCAGCCTCCCAAATAGCTGAGACTACAGGCACATGCCACCACACCCAACTACAAAATTATAATTTAAATGAGGAATTTTATTAGAATATAGTGTTGTGGGACAATCAAAGAATGGAGAGACCAAAAAACGTTCAGGAGGGTTTATTAAATTAAGGTGATCACTGACTCAGCCAGACATATGTCCAGAAAGTCTGAGCCTCAAACAAAGTGCTTTTCCTACTTTTAAACATCTTAAGGTGGGAACTACATGAGGCAAGAAGCAAGTTACAGAAGCAAGAAACATAGGCAGCATTACAACATTTCTTACATCTTGAGAGAAACATGTCTTGCAACCTAAACTTATCGGTCTTGTGACCCTGCAACAGTGCAGGAACTCACTGGGCCTGTAATAAACATTGAGGAATGTGGAGCTGGGGAGTATAAATAAGGTCCACTGTCCACAGAGAGAAGACAGGCTGTTAGTATTCTCTTTTAACTTGAGTGTAAGTTGGGGGTCACATTTGCAGCAACTTCAAGAGGATTTTAAAATTTCTATTACTACTACTATTATGTTATAGTTGATTTCATTAATTCCTTCTTCATTACTCCTTTTTGGTGCTCAACACAAATGTAAATTAGTAAAGAGCACAATAGTTAGCTACTTCTTCTTGAGTGGGTACATACTCATCTTGGGATACTGGTTGGTACTTTTGCAGAGCCATTATTCGGGTGGTGGTATGTATGTCCTTGGAGGCTCTGATGCTGACTGTCTTGTCCTAGATTTTTACAGATGGTCCCAATATTATTTAGTTTACTGAGATGTACAGCTTGGCAGGCATCAAAATATACAGAGACAGGCCCTTTATGTGAGTAAGGGAATACGTCTGTTTTGTTTACAAGTTTACAGACCCCGGTTTCTGTGAGGTTTGTATATGATGGCATTAGGGGTTCGCCAATTTGGACTTCAAACCAGAAGTCACAGGGCAAGAACTCTGGGTCATAACATACTTGGAGCTGCCCATTTCCAGGATCACAGACCAGGTAACTAGTCTGGTTATAGACACAAGTTCCTGTAGGAGTCCCTGTACACTCATAGTAGGTCTGGTATAACAGAGTTTTAGAAGCTGGTCTGGAAAAAGTGTGACTATCATACAGTGATGACAGGCATCCTGGTCCCCTTTTATAACCATAGGTGAAAGTGTCAGTGGCTTCAGTATTACTAATATAATTAAACTTACTTATACTATGCACGGGCACCCTTCTGGATAACAAGTTTGGCAGCATTTGCAAAGATATCATGACAGCAAAACAATCAGTACAAGTAAGAATATAACTATGTTTGTAAATTTAATCCACATTTTCTTGTCTATTGTTGACTTCCTCAGGCTTTGGCTGTGCATAGACTAGTCAGCTTCCAGTTGTGTGACTAGAACAAGGCTCCATGTTTCCTCAAGCTTCAGCCATGCATGGACCGACCAGCCTCCAGTGTGGTCGGAGCAGGGCAGTTGTCCTTGTCAGCAGCAGCTTGGTTTCACTGCAGGATCAGCCGTGTCGGGTGGTCTGGGTTTTGTTGACTGGTCCACTGGTCCTGGGAGGTGGCTACTGCTGGTTTCAGCCAGCTATGATGAACCCAAGGTGTGATACCTGAAACTTTAACAGCAGTGGGGGTAGACAAGATCACAATATGGGGACCATCTCATAAAGGCCTTAAAGTGGATGGGTTCCATCATTTGATCTAGACAGAGTCTCCAGGTTGGAAGTGATGTACTGCATCTGTGAGGCTAACAGGTATCCTTTCTCTTACCCACCCTTGTATTTCCTGCACGGCCTCACCTAAGGCTTGCATTTGCCTTCTTAAGGTTAATCCCCCAATTTCTTTTAAATCTCCTTTTATCTGAGTTATGATAGGGGGTGGTCGGCTGAACAATCTCATAGAGTGAATACCCAGTTAATTTAGTAGGGGTGCACCTGATTCGGAGAAGGACCATGGGCAGCACCTGATCCCACCTTAGATGAGTTTCTTGGCAAAACTTCTTTAACAGCTGTTTGAGTGTCTGGTTCATTCTTTCAACTTTTGAGAACTCTGTGGGCGATAGATAAGCTGTTGGCAGTTTCCATTTGATTTTTAACATCTGCGTTAGCTGTTGTACTATTTTTGCCACAAATGCTGGGCCATTGTCTGGTCCTAAAGTTAGAGGCAGTCAAAATCTAGGAATAATGTCCTTTAATAAGATTCTGGTTACTTCCCGAACTTTCTCTGTCCTGGTGCGAAATGCCTCGGCCCACCCTGAGAAAGTGCAGACAAACATTAGAATGTACCGGTAACCTCTGGCTCGAGGCAGCTAGGTAAAGTCCACAAGCAGGTTTTCACAGGGTGTAGCTCCAGTTTCTTGAATCCCTGGGGGCCATGTTGGCCCCTGCTGTGGATTGTTTTGGGCACAAGTTAAACATTGCTCACAAAGAGCTCGAGTGATGGCAGTTAGGCACGGCACATAGAAATGCCATCCTACACGAGTCTCTAATGCGGTTTTTCCCATATGCGTTTCTTGATGAAATTGCTTTATGAACTGGGGAGCTATTGTTTCTGGGATGGCAAGTCTCCCATCTGAGAACTTCCACAAACTTCCTTTCTGGTAACTTCTGCTCTCCTGCTCAAACCAAGCCTTTTCATTAGAGGAGTAGTTAGGGGGTTCTGTAAGGGGAAGCTCCAGTAAGGGCGTGGTAAGGGTTTCCTCTTCCTTCTTAGTTACGTCTGTCATTGCAGCTCTTTTGGCTTCTCTGTCCACCTTTCTTTTTCCTCTAGCCTCATCACCTCCTCCTGTTCGATGCCGTTTGCAATGGATGACTGCTACTTCTTTTGGAGCCCATACAGCTTCTAAGAGCTGCTCTATTTCCTTTTTATTTTTGACTTCCTTTCCTTCAGTTGTTAATAATCCTCTTTCCTTAGATATGGCTTCATGGGCATGCAGAGTGGCAAAAGCATACCTTGAGTCAGTATAGATGTATACCGACTTTCCTTTGGCCAAGAGCAATGTTTTATTGAGAGCTATTAGCTCAGCTCTTTGGGCCAAAGTTCCAACCGGCAGAGGGCAGGCTTTGGCTACTGAATTCAGTGTTACCACTGCATATCCAGCCAGTCTTCCTTCAGATACGAAGCTGCTTCCATCAGTAAAGTATTCAACATCTGGGTCCTTTAAGGGCTGGTTCTTTAAGTCTTTTCAGCTTCATCCACTGTTTCCACAAAACAGTGATACCCTGGGCCACACAACGGGACTTTCCATGCTCCACCCATTCTATTGGCAGCAGTGTGGCTGGATTTAGAGCATTCACAGTCTCCAAGGTTATATACAGGTTTTCACACAAAAACCCTTGATATCTTAACATCCTAGTGTTAGAAAGCCAGCCATGACCCTTCTGCTCCATCAGGGTGACGACTGCATGGGGCATCCAAATTATTAAACTTTGTTTAAATGTGAGCTTGTTAGCATCTTCCACTAACAGGACAGTGGCTGCCAATGCCTTGAAACAGGGTGGCCATCCCATAGCCACCAAGTCCAGTCGCTTGGACAAATATGCCATGGGCCGATACCATGACCCTAGTGTTTGTACTAAGACTCCTGTAACTATTCCTTTTCTTTCATGGACATATAGGTAAAAAGGCTTTATCATGTCTGGCAGTCCTAATGCTGGGATCTGGATCAAAACCTTCTTGATTTCTTTGAAGGCCATGTCCTGTTCTTTCCTCCACAGGAGGGGTTCCTTTTCCCCCACTTTGGTAGCCTCATACAATGTTTTTGCCAAGAGCGAGTAATTTGGAATCCAAATGCAACAGAAACCAGCTGCCCCTATAAACTCCCACACTTGTTGTCTAGTGTCAGGTCAAGGAATGCCGCACACAGTCCCTTTTTGCTCAAGTCCAAGCTCATACTGCCCTTGAGAGATGTTAAAGCCAAGATACCTTGCTCTTTGGCCACAGATTTGTGCCTTTTCCTTAGATACCTTATAGCCAGCCTTCCACAGAACACGAAGGAGGCTTTCTGTGCCTTGAAAGCACTCTTCTTTTGTGGGTGCAGCCAACAATAAATCATCCATGTACTGAAAGAGGACACAGCGGTCACTTGGTGGCACGAAAGCCTTCAGGTCTGAGGCTAGTGCTTCCTCAAAAAAATGGTTGGGGAGCATTTAAATCCTTGGGAGGCCTGGTCCAAGTATACTGTGATGAGCTCCACTCAAAGGCAAAGATGCCCTGGCTTTCAAGAGCTAGTCAAATGCAGAATAATGCATCCTTTATGTATAAGCACATAAACCCAGCAGCATCAGCAGGAATTTGCCCAAGCATTGTATATGGGTTGGGCACAATGGCATATAATGTAGCTGCAACCTTATTTACTGCCTGCAAATCCTGTAGTGGCCGGTAATCCCCAGAGGGCTTTAACACCAGTAGCAATGGAGTGTTCCAAGAAGAGGCACATCTTTCTATTATCCAAATTTAAGGAGCCAGTCTATATGCTTTATAATCCCATGGGTGGCTTCTACTGGCATGTGATACTGACAGATTCACACTGGGTAATTGCCCCGCAGCAGTTCCACCACTACGGACGCCTGATTTATGGCTAGCCCCAGGGGATTGTCTTCTGCCCAGACCCCTGGCAGCTTGAGAAATAATTCCTCATATATTGCCTCATTTCCCCACTGTCAAAATGCATCTTTACAAATTTTGCGTCTCTCATAGAGTCTCCATTCCTCTCTTGTTGGGACAGTAAGGGTCATTATCATGGCTTTTCTTTGACCTAGGTTTAGAGTCATGTCCCCTTCTGGTGTAAAGATTTGTCCTTACAATTTCTGGAGCAAGTCTTTTCCTAACGAGGGCACTGGACAATTTTGCAAATATAAAAATTCATGTTGGACTTCTTGTCCTCCAATGACACACCTTCTGGATTGACAGAAAGGCCTTTTCTCTGATAGTCTGGTTGCCCCAACTATAGTAGCATAGTTTTTAAAAAGCAGCCCAATGGGCCATGTCACCACCGAGTGTTCAGCACCTGTATCTACCATAAAGTCCATCTGTTGGCCTCCCACTTTCATGGAGACCAGGGGTTCCTGGAGGCCTAGAGAGATGGATCCCAGTCTGTCTCAGTCCTTATATTCCTCAACTCCTGCTAAGCCAACCAGATCAGCGTCTGGCTTTAGAACAATGGCTAGAGGCTGCAGTCCTTGGCTGGGCATCAGGTCCCTGGCTGCTGCTTTCTTCCTTTTCTCTTTCTGGACATTTATCCTTCCAATGCCCTTTCTGTTTGCATCTCATACATTCATCCCTCTCAAGCCTAGGCCAGCCTTCAAACCCTGGCCTAGCTTGTCCTCTCCCGTGACCACATCCATGACCATGTCCACGTCCTCTCACAAAACCAGTCTCTCTTTCAACCAGAGCAGCAGCCAACAAATCAGCCTTTCCCTTGGCTTATGCACTTTGCCCCTTTCTTGATTTCCTCCTCTTGATTAACAAACACCTTAGTAGCTACTTGAATGAGCTGGATAATATTCATACCCTCAAAACCTTCCAACTTCTGAAGCTTCCATCTAATGTCACCTTGTGCCTGGCCCACAAATGCCACATTAACCATGCATTGATTCCCTACAGCCTCCAGATCAAATGGTGTATAAAGCTGGAATGTTTCACAGAGTCTTTCATAAAATTCACTGGGACTCTCATCAGCCTTTTGGCATACGTCTGAGACCTTTCCCATATTCATTGCCTTTTTCCCTCCAGCCTTTATTCCATTAAGAAGTGCCTCCAAATACCTCTGCAGGTTTTGCAGTTCTGCCTGGTTGGATCCCAATTTGGATCTGCTTCTGGGAACCTCTCCTGTGCATACCACTTGACATAATTTTTGCCTTCAGATGCATTGCTTTCTAACCACTGTAAGGCTCTCTGAGCAACTCTCCCGCATTCTTCTGTATTGAACAATGTTAAAAGTAGTTGCTGACAATCAGGCCAGGTAGGGTTAAGAGTCACAAAGATGGACCGCATCAAGTCCATGAGGGCCTGGGGCTTCTCTGCGTAGGAGGGTGTATGCTGTTTCCAGTTAAGGAGGTTAGTGGTGGAGAAAGGCTTGTAAACCAAAAGGCATTGCTCTCCTTGTACTTGACCTTATTTAGCATGATAAATTTGGCTTTTTGTCTCCTGGAGAAACATCTGCATGGCTTGGGTGCGGCCGGATCTGAGACAGCCTGCCCCGTCACCTTGAAGTGCTTCTTTAGTCTTTATAGGTAGGGGGCTCTGACTCTTCCCTGCGGGGTGATGCCTGAGGCTCACTCTCCTCTGAACTTGATTCCTCAGGGGCCGCTTGTGCAGCATCTTGCCTTGGCCTTGCTAGAGATGGATAGATTGGGACATAGAGAGGTGGAAACTCCCTCTTCTCGGGCAAGGCCTGCAGAACAGGTTTTTTATGTTTTCCTTAAGGCTTTTCCTTTCTTTCCACCATCCCTTTAGGTTCTTTTGCTACCTCAGATCTGGCACGAGCTACCAGGGTCTTACAGGAAGTCTCATAACAGGCTTGTAAACACTTGGGGTGAGTTTGAATGATGCTCAGCCAGGAGTCAATGTATGGGAACGGGTCCAGGTACCCAGGCTGTTCTTTGACTCTGGTTATGACCCTAAACACAAGGCCAATTATCTCTCTGTCTATCGTTACTTAGGCCAGCCACCCAACACTAAAAGAAGGCCAATCTATTTCACAGAGAGTTCTCAATCTCTGAGGGGTTAATTTAACTCCATAATATCCATTAAAACCTTTCTTGAAATTCTCCAACATCCACTCCAATGGAGTAGGCTTTGATGCTTTTCCTCCCATTCCACCCTTTGTGATGCACTTTCACTCTCACTTTCACTCCTGGACAGACCAGACCAGGTCCTATTACAGCAGGTTCAGACTCTGCTTAGCCAGGAGCATGCCTGTCACAGCTAGCTGCAGCTATAGAGCTGGTCCTATGGGCTGTATGCAGTGTCATAGGTCTGGTTTTTCCCACACTTGCCTTGGAGCACACAGTACACACTAAGAGATCTGTGTCTCCCCACATCACGCCCCACATTGGTCTCTCCCAGGACCATCTCTTTCACTCACTTTCACACACCTCCCCATCCCTGAAACAGTTTTTCTTTCTGACCGACTCACGAGCCCCACCCACATCTGGTGTCGGTTAGGGTGTGAGTTTCATCCAAATCAATGGCCTTCTCCAACTGTCCCAACCCCCTCAGGTCAGACTAGTCCTCATACCCTGGCAGGTGATCAGGCTCCCCTTCCATCTTTATGGGACAGGTCTTGCCTTAGGGCCAAAACCTTACCACGGTTCAGATGTCTATGTGCTGCTCCCGTGACTGTCCTGCAACCCTTTCTACCAGTTCCATTTGTGCTGTCGGGGGAGGGCTCTGGAACGAGGGAGGGACATTCCCCTTCCAGGCTGAAACTCTCCTGGTGGCACCAAGGACCCCAGGTCTCCTGCATCGTGGGGCTCTAGCCCACAGGCAAAGAAGATAGAAAATAGGCCATCTCCAATCCCAAACGGGCCCGCAGAAATATTATGGGACAATCAAAGACTGGAGAAACTGAAAAAGGTTCAGGAGAGTTTATCAAATCAAGGTGATCACTGACTCAGCCAGACATACATCCAGAAAGTCTGAACCCCGAACAAAGGACTTTTCCTACTTTTAAACATCTTAAGGCAGGAACTACGTGAGGTGGGATGCAAGTTATAGAAGCAAGAAAAAAAGGCAGCATTACAACATTTCTTACATCTTGAGAGAAACATGTCTTGCAACCTAAACTTATCAGTCTTGTGACCCTGCAGCCAGGCAGGAACTCACTGGGCCCATAATAAATGCTGAGGAATGTGGAGGTGGAGAGTATAGATAAGGTCCACTGTCCACAGAGAGAAGACAGGCTGTTAGTATTCTCTTTTAACTTGAGTGTAAGGAGGGGTCACCCTTTGCAGCAACTTTAAGAGGATTTTAAAATTTCTATTACTACTACTATTAGGTTAGAGTTGTTGATTTCACTAATTCCTTCTTCAATAGAGTACTTCTTTTGTGAAACCAAGGGCCAGTCTTTAAATAAAAATAATTTCTATTTGAGCAGGTTGGGAGGAGCAGCAGAAAAAAGATCAATTACCTCTCTAAGTAATGGTAATTAATAATTCTAAGGAAAGGAGAAAGTACTGTACTTACAGTAAGACAGTAATATAACCCTTTTCTTACTCATTTTGGATTTAGCTAGGATTTATGTCTCAAACCCTAAGGCCTGGAACACCAGAAGAGGTGTTAGGCACACACTTGGCAATGCCTGACATTTACCACTTAGCCTTAGGGCCTGGGAGATAAAAGGAACCAGTGAAGAATGTGACACAATAGTGATCATATGCCCAAACTAGGGAAATGGCCACTTCTCTACTTGTTTTTTGCCTAATGGAATGTGTGCTTGTGTTGTTTGATATTCTGTATTTCAAGAGAACCTAGACACACAGATGTTTAAGTGAAATCTCTAGAGCTTCCACATATGTTCAAGATCTCTCCCTCCTTTCTCCTTTCCTGCCTTCCTTCCTTTTATGTACCTTCCTTCTTTTTATTCTTTCTTTTTTACTATTTAACATCAAATAGGTCAAAGTTAAATGCTGAAACCAAGCAATTATGCAAATTTAAGTCAACTGGTTTGTGATTTCTGGTTGAGATAAAACTGTGCCTGAGAATCCACCTCCAGGGTTCTAAGAGTTGCATCTATTGTTGGACTAATGTCTATGAAAGTTAACAAACACACATGCCCATAATCTCATTGAACTGGTAGGAATTAAAAATTAAACCCAGGTCCATGCAACTTCATGTCCAGTATTATTTCTACTATGCATTTTGGATCTTAGGCTATAGAAATAAGATCTACCTACTGTCATCCAAAGGAAGCATAAAAACATGATGTTTTATATGAATACAAAACTTTATATATATATATAGTTATGATCACACATGTTTAGTTAATGTATTAGGCACCCTGAATAGAAGAATTTTCATAATAAGATTGATAAGATATATTCTGCATCAATCCTACATTCTTTGTTAAATAGAACCACACAAAATTCAACAATGACACCCCTCTGGAATCTTGGGACCCCCAGAAGCCCTGTAGCTGAATGGCAAACAGAATGAGGCTGGTAATGAGTTGCATTGGGTGAAGTCCCTGCCCCAATATTTACTAAAAATAAAATGTTCAAAGGTGTCTCAGCCTTCTTAAGCTTCATTTCCTTTATAAGATAAAGAAATAATAAAAATAACATTACCTATCTCAGAGTGTTAGTTAGAGAAAAACAGAATTATAAATGTAGAGACTGCAACAGAAGATCTAGTGTATACTATGCACTCAAAAAATAAATAACATAGTTATTGACATTATTTTATTCTAGAACTTGTGGGTCAGCTTGTGACAAAACCCTCAAAATTTTGATTAAAAACTTAGAAAATTATCTTTGGCACTCAAATCACAGGCAGAAGGTGATAAAACGTTTTACTGCTGCTGCTTTCTATTCTGATTTACTGCTGCAAACAAACACCCCTCCTCCCCCAAAAGAAAAAAAAAGGTCTATGAGGAACCTCTGTGAGGAGGTAATTGTGTGAATTTGTGTGTGTGTGTGTGTGTGTATGCATGATAGATATCTATACTATATTTTAGACTAAATTCAGAAGTTTTCTCATTTGCATATAGAGTATATTTCTATCTGCAGGAGGCCAGTTGGACCCTGTCTGTATTTGGAAACCATTTAGGGAAACTCTAAGTCAGCTTAAAATGTCAAACAATTCTTTGTGGCTCAATGGGATTATAGGCTTTTTTTCAAAAATTTCTTCTTTGCACTTTTTTTTTGCATTTTTCTTTCTTAATGAACATGTAATATATTTAAAACTAAAAAGTTTTAATTTAAAAGGAAAATAGCTCAAGAATTTTATAATATTCATAAGTATTTAGTGATTTTTGATATGACTAATAAAATCAAATAAAAATATATTAATATTTGCAAGTACTTTTGAGACATTATTGGCTTTGAGAATTTGATCAGAATGACCTTGAAATACAGACTGTAATTTCTCTTGAGTAGAGTGGAAAGATAATTTAGGCCAGCACATTTACCTTAAGTTATATAACAACAAACCTGTATTTTTTATTGAAAATGTGACTTACATTGACTTCTACTCAGAGCAAGTGGTTCAACTATTCTTCTTCATAACAAGATAGTTTAAACCCTATGCCATTTATCACTCATTAAGTCACTTAGTGATTTAAAACAAAAGGGACATATTTAACTCATGAATCTGTGGGTCAGCTGAGTCATTCTTTTGGTGCCAGCCATATTTAGCTGATCTGAGCAGAGCTCACTCATGGATCTGCAGTCATCAGGTCAGTGGCTGGCCTAGGATGTCCTCACTCCTGTCTAATGATTGGCTGGCTGTTGGTCAGGGTGAAGATGGTGATGGTTCACTTGTCTCCCTCCAGCAGGCCATCCTGGATTTGCACACATCGTTGTTTGCAAGAATCTCAAGAGAGTAAAGCCTGGACTTGGAATTGGCACACCATCACTTCTGCTGCATTCTTTCGTTCAGTGTCACTCACCAGGCACAGTCATATTCAAATAGCGAGGAAAGAGATTTCACCTCTTAATGGTAAGAGCAGCAAATCACACTGCACAGGACATGGATACAAGAAGTAAACAATTGGGGGTCATTATTGAAATTGATTAATTATAAACCTTGCTTGCTGGTATTTGCAAGTGTGCAATCAAATATCCCACAGGATCAAACTCCTGGTGTTCAAACATTGATGGTATTAAAATAAATGGGTCGGTATGGCAGTATGTAGAGACACAGTGTACTGTATGAACATTTTAGGTATAAAACTAATAGCCTAATGAAGTCTCATTCCTTGTGTTCCCACTTTTCCATTTTAATGGAAATGTAACACATTTGGTTCTTTCACAAAAAAGAAAAGGTAGCTGTGTTCCAAAGAGCCCCAGTCCTTCTGCACTTCTGCCTGCCTTTAATGTAAAACATCCCAACCAGGACCAGCAATCTCTTTCCTCTTCTCTAAGTAAAGTTAGACTCGGTTCATAAGTCTTCTACATGCTCTTTATAATTTTACTCAATAACTTCAATACCAGTTCCAAACAGTAGTTGTGGTTTGAAGGAGAAAACCAGTGGTATGCTATGAATTCATGTAAATGAAGTAATTGACTATGGTTAAGAATTGAGCAAGAACTTTTTTGTTACGGAGAAGTAAGTTTCACTTACTGAGTAGAACAGTAAACAATTAGAAAATGGATTTTCTCTAGGTGAAATTAAGACTATATAGTACACAGTATGTTTTGTTTATGTGCTGGGGGTGGGAGGAGAGGGCTAAGGAACAATATATCTGGCACTATTTTCTCCTTACCTAACATACAATCCCCTTTATCTTCCTAGTTAATAGAATTACAACTTGAGAGAATGAGAGTATGGATGGCACCAAAGTGCCCAGCACCCAGTGATGACAAATCATGACTTGTCTAAGCCAATATTGTTAAACCTGCCCTCAGCTTGTCTAGATTCCCTTATAGACAAAGGTGGCTATGTAATCAGTTATTGACCAAAGAGTCACAAAAAAACATCTAGTAAGGGTAGGGATTTGGGGAAAATAATGTAAGTTTTAAAGACAGTATAAATGCACATTTCTATTTTTCTTTTTAAAATTTTTGTGGGTATATAGTAGGTGTATATATTTATGGGGTACATGAGATGTTTTAATACAGACATGTAATGTGAAATAAGCACATCACGGGGAATGAGGTATCCATCCCCTCAAGCCTTTATCCTTTAGTTATAAACAGCCCAATTACACTTTTAAAGTTATTTTAAAATGTACAATTAAGTTACTATTCACTATTGTTACCTTATTGTGCCATGAAATAGTGGGTCTTATTCATTCTTCTTATTTTTTTGGTAGCTATTAACCATCCACCTCTCTGCCCTCCACTACCCTTCCCAAACTCTGGTAACCATCCTTTTACTCTCTATGCCCATGAGTTTCACTGTTCTGATTTTTAGATCCCACAAATAAGTGGGAACATATAATGTCTGTCCTTCTGTTCCTGGCTTATTTCACTTAACATAATGATCTCCAGTTCCATCTACGTTGTTGCAAATGACAGGATCTCATTCTTTCTTTTTTATAGCTGAATAGTACTCCACTGTGTATATGTACCACATTTTCTTTAACCATTCATCTGTTGATGGACACTTTTGCTTCCAAATCTTAGCTATTGTAAACAGTGCTACAACAAACATAGGAGTCCCTACCGATTTCCTTTCTTCAGGTCTATACTCAGCCAGTGGGATTGCTGGATCACAGAGTAGCCCTACTTTAAGTTTGTTGAGGAACCTCCAAACTGTTCTCCATAGTGATTGTATTAATTTACATTCCCACCAACAGTGTATAAGGGTTCCCTTTTCTCCACATCCTTGCCAGCATTTGTTATTGCCTGTCTTTTGGCTATAAACCATTTTAACTGGGATACGATGATACCATATTGTAGGTTATTT
Organism: Homo sapiens; assembly: GCF_000001405.40. Classification (NCBI taxonomy): domain Eukaryota; kingdom Metazoa; phylum Chordata; class Mammalia; order Primates; family Hominidae; genus Homo; species Homo sapiens. The sequence continues at coordinate 34,674,533 of NC_000003.12, read as the reverse complement.
TGTTGTTGTTGTTTTTGTTTGTTTGTTTTTTTGAGATGGAGTCTTCCTCTGTCACCCAGGCTGGAGTGCAGTGGTGCAATCTCAGCTCACTGCAAGCTCTGCCTCCCGGGTTCATGCCATTCTCCTGCCTCAGCCTCCTGAGTAGCTGGGACTACAGGCATCTGCCACCACACCCAACTAATTTTTTTGTATTTTTACTAGAGACGGTGTTTCACCCTGTTAGCCAGGATGGTCTCGATCACCTGACCTCGTGATCCGCTGGCCTCGGCCTCCCAAAGTGCTGGGATTACAGGCGTGAGCCACCACGCCCGGCCCAGTTTTTAATAGTTTTTCTGTGGAGTCTTAGGTTTATATAAATAAAATATTATATCATCTGCAAATAAGGATAATTTGACTTTTTCGTTTCCAATTTGGATGCCTTTTATATCCTTCTCTTGTCTGATTGCTCTAGCTAGGACTTCCAGTACTATGTTCAATAACAGGGGTGAGAGTGGGTATCCTTATCATGTTCCAGATCTTAGAGAAAAGACTTTCAGGTTTTCCCCATTCAGTTTAATACTAGTTGTGGGGTCTGTCATACATGAATTTTATTATCTTGAGCTATGTTACTCCTATCCCCTGTTTCTGGAGGGTTTATATTATGAAGGGATATTAAATTTTATCAAGTGCTTTTTCAGCATTAACTGAAATGATCATTTTTTTATCCTTCATTCTATGTGTGTAATGTATCACATTGACTGATTTGCATATGTTGAACAATGTTTGCATCCCTGAGATGAATCCCGCTTGGTCATGAGAAATAATATTTTTAATGTATTGTTGAATTCAGTTTGCTAGTATTTTATTGAGGATTTTTGAACCAATATTTATCAAGGATATTGGTCTGTAGTTTTCTGTTTCTTGATATGTCCTTCTCTGGTTTTGTTTTCAGGGTAATACTGGCCTTATACAATGAGTTTGGATGTATTCCATTCTTCTCTCCCTTTCAGAATATTTTTAGTAGGATTGGTATTAATCTGCCTTTAAATGGTTGGTAAAATTCAGCAGTAAAGCCACAAGATCCCAGGCTTTTCTTTCCTGAGAGACTTTCCATTATTATTTCAATCTCATTACTTGTTATTAGTCTGTTTAGATTTCTTCATAATTCAATCTTGGTAGGTTGTATGTGTCTAGAATTTTTCCAATTTATTGGCATATAGTTGCTTATAGTAGCCGGTAATGATCCTTTGATTTTCTGCAGTATTGGTTGCAATGTCTGCTTTTTATCTCTAATTCTATTTATGTGGGTCTTCTATTTTTCTTGGTTAGTCAGGCTAAAGGTTTATATTTTTTGGTATCTTTTCATAAAACCAAGTTTTCATTTCATTGATCTATTTTTGTTTTCTTCATTTCAATCATTTTTACTTTCTACTAATTGTGGATTTGGTTTGCTCCTGCTTTTCTAGTTCTTTAAGATGCATCATCGTGGTATTTATTTGAAGTTTTTTTTTTTTTTATGTAGGTACTTATTGCTATAACCTTCCCTCTCAGTACTGCTTTCTCTGTATCCCTGATGTGTTTCCATTCTCATTTGTTTCAAGATATTTTTCATTTTCCTTCTTATTTTCTTCATTCACCCACTGGTCATTTAGGAACATATTGTTTAATTTCCATGGGTTTCTTTAGTTTCCAAAATTCCTCTTGCTATTGATTTCTAGTTTTATTCCATTGTTATCAGAGAAGATACTTGATATTATTTCAATTACTTTGAATGTTTTGAAACTTGTTTTGTCTATCCTTGAGAATTATTCATGTGCTGAGGAAAAGATTGTGTATTCTGCAGCCATTGGATGAAATGTTTTGTAAATATCTATTAGGTCCATTTGTTCTACACTTCAGATTAAGTCTGCTGTTTCTGTATTAATTTTCTTTCTGGAAGATCTGTCCAATGCTGAAAGCACTATGTTGAAGTCTCCAGCTTTTTTGAATTACGGTCTCTCTCTTTAGCTCTAGTAATACTTGCTCTATATATCTGAGTGATCCAGAATTGAATGCATATAGACTTACAATTGTTATATTCTCTTGATGAATTGACCCCTTTATCATTCTATAATGACCTTCTTTGTCTCTTCTTTTTATTTTATTTTTTTGAGATGGAGTTTTGCTCTTGTTGCCCAGGCTGGAGTGCAATGGTGCAATCTTGGCTCACTGCAACCCCTTTCTCCCAGGTTCTAGCAATTGTCCTGCCTCAGCCTTCTGAGAAGCTAGGATTACAGGCACCCACCACCATGCCTGGCTAATTTTTGTATTTTTATTAGAGACAGGGTTTCACCATGTTGGCCAGGCTAGTCTTGAACTCCTGACCTCAGGTGATCTACCTGCCTTGGCCTCCCAAAGTGCTGGGATTATAGCCATGAGCCACTGGGTGCTTCTTATAGTTGTGGTCTTGAAATCTCTTTTGTCTGATATAAGTAGAGCAACTCCTGCTCTCTTTTGGTTTCCATTAACATGGAATATCATTTTCCATCTCTTTATTTTCAGGTTATGTGTATTTTTATAGGTGAAGTGTGTTTCTTCTAGGCAACAGATCATTGGGTCCTGTTTTCTCATCCATTCACCCACTCTATGTCTTTTGATTGGAGAGTTTAGTCTATTTATATTAAATGTTATTATTGATGAGTTAAGGACTGATTCCTGTCATTTTGTTATTTGTTTTTTGGTTGTTTTGTGATCTTCTTTCCTTTCTTCCTGTCTTCCATATAATGAAGGTAATTTTATCTGGTGATGTACTTCACTTTCTTGCTCTTTTTTTTGTGCGTATCCATTGTATGTTTTTAGATTTGTGGTTACCATGAAGCTTTGCAAATAGTATCTCATATCTTATTATTTTAAACTGATGACTCCTTAACACTGATTGCATGAGCAAACAAGCAAATAATAAAAACTAAAAGCAAAAAGAAACTAAAAAATCTAAAAAAAAGAAACAAAAAGAAAACTAATAGAAATGCTACTCTTTAACTTCATCTCCCTGCTTTATAACTTTTGTTGTCTCTATCTTATTTTACTGTCTATGTCTTGAAAAGTTGTTGTAGTTATTATTTTATCTTTTCATATTTCTACTTAAGCGTGGTTCACACACCACAGTTACAATGTTATAATAGTCTGTGATTTTCTGTTTTGTACATTCAAATGATTTTTTTGTTGCTCATTACAAACTTTTTCTTGCATACTGAAGTACTCCCTTTAGCATTTATTGTCAGACAGTTCTGATGTTGATGAAATCCCTCAGCTTTTGTCTGTGAAAGTCTTTACTTCTTCATGTTTGAAGAATATTTTCACCTGATAAACTATTCAAGGGTAGAAGTTTTTTTTCTTTAGGACTTTAAGTATGTTATGGACTTTAAGTATGTTATGCCACTCTCCCCTTGCCTATAAGGTTTCCACTGAAAAGTCTACTGCCAGATGTATTGGAGCCCCATTGCTTGTTATTTATTTTCTCTCACTACTTCTAGGATTCTTTACCTATCCTTGACCTTTGAAAGTTTGATTTTTTTTTTTTTTTGAGGTGGAGTCTCACTCTGTCACCCAGGCTGGAGTGCAGTGGCACGATGTCGGCTCACTACAACCTCCGCCTGCTGGGTTCAAACAATTCTCTGCCTCAGCCTCAGCCTCCCGAGTAGCTGGGATTAGAGGCACCATGCCCGGCTAATTTTTTTATTTTTGATAGAGATGGGGTTTCATCATCTTCACCAGGCTGGTCTTGGACTCCTGACCTTGTGATCCACCCACCTCGGCCTCCCAAAGTGCTGGGATTACAGGCGCGAGCCACTGCGCCCAGCTGCAAGTTTGATTATTAAATGCCTCAGGGTAGTCTTCTTTGTGTTAAATCTGCTTGGTGTTCTATAACCTTCTTGTACTTTCTCTAGGTTTGGAAAGTTATCTATTTTTATCCCTTCAAGTGAACTCTCTACTTTTATCTCTTCTTCTACCTCCTCTTTAAGGCCAATAACTCTTAGATTTGCTCTTTTGAGGCTATTTTCTAGATCCTGTAGTCATGCTTCATTGTTTTTTATTATTTTTTCTTTTTGTCTCCTCTGTGTATTTTCAAATAGCCTCTATTCGAGCTAATTCTGCTTTATCCATTCTAATTCTGCTTTATCCATTCTGCTATTGAGAGACTCTGATGCTTTACTCAGTATGTCAAATACATTTTTCTATTGCAGAATTTGTGCTGCTTTTTTAAATTTTCAATCCCTTTGTTAAATTTATCTTATAGAATTCTGAATTTCTTCTCTGTGTTATCTTGAATTTCTTTCTTCAAGTTTCTTCAAAACAGCTATTTTGAATTCTCTGTCTGAAAGGTTACATATCTTTGTTTCTCCAGGATTTTTTCCTGGTGCCTTATTTAGTTTATTTGGTGAGGTGTTCATTTTCTGGATGATGTTGATGGTTATTGATGTTTGTCAGTGTCCAGGCATTGAACAGTTGGGTATTTATCATAGTCTTCACAGTCTGGGCTTGTTTGTAGCCATCTTTCTTCAAAAGGCTTTCTATGCACTTGAAGTGACTTAGGTGTTGTAAGCTAAGCCAAACTGCATTAGAGGGCACACCCAGCCCAGTAACACTGTGGTTCTTGCAGACTTGTAGAGATACTGCATTGGTGGTTTTAGATAAGATCTAGAAGAATTATCTGCATTACCAGGCAGAGACTCTTACTTTTCCACATAGATGATGTCTGTCTCTCTGTCCTGATTCAGGTGACACAAGCCCCCACTGTGGCCACCGTCACTAGGACTGCACTGAGTCAGACCTGAAGCCAGCACAGTACTTAGTTATTGCTCAAGGCCTGCTGTAACCACTACGTACCAGCCACTTATGTTTGCTAAGTGCCTAGGGCTCTGCAGTCAGCAGGTGGCAAAGCCAGCCAGACTTTATGTTCTTCCCTTCAGGGCAGTGAGTTCTCCCAGGCCCTCCTGCATCCAGAGATGCTATCTGGGAGCCAGAAACTGGAGTCAAAAACCTTAGAAATCTACCTGGTGCTCCGTACTACCATGGCTAAGGCCACTCTTTCCTGCCCTTCCCACAAACCAAGGAGTCTCTCCCTGTGGCTACCACTACCACAGGCCCACAGTGAGTACTATCAGGCTACCACTGATGTTCACTTAAGACCCCAAATCTTTTCAGTCAGCTTGTGGTATATACTGCTAGGCCTGACACTTACCCTTCAGGAAAGTGTGCTCCCCTGTGGCCCAGGGCAGGTCCAGAAAGGCCATCCAAGAATCAAGGCCTGGAACTGGGCACACCAAGAGCTTGGTGCTCTACCCCGCTGTGGCTGAGCTGGTACCTAAGGTACAAGACAAAGTCTCCTTTACTTTATACTCTGCCTTTCTCAATTAGAAGGAGTCTTTCCCTATAGACAACACAGCTGGGAATGTGCTGAGTCAGACCTGAAGCCAGCATGTCTGTCTCACCCATAGCCTAGGGTATGTATTACCTGGGTATCAGTGCTCGTTATTCAGGGTTCAAGTGCTCTTTCTTTAGTCGGCAAATGATGAATCCTGCCATGACTGCTTCCTTCCCTTTAGGCCCAGAGTGTGTCTAGAAATGTCATTCAGGAGCTAGGGGCTGGGATGGGGAACTTCAAGGCTCTTCCCAGTGCTCTATTAGACTGTGACTGAGCTGGTATTCAACATGCAAAACAAAGTGCTCTTTACTCTTCCCACTTCTCTCCTCAAGAAGGAAGAAGTCGGTTTTGTTGCTGCGAACTCTGCTGCCTGGTGTTGGAGGAGGGGTGGTGCAAGCACTCTCTTAGCTGCCCCAACTGGTGTCTCATTAGGATATGTGACCCCAACATCCACTGTCTTCATGCCCAGGACAGTGCTAGGACTTACCTTAGAACTGTAGTCCGTGTAACCTACACTGCCTTCCAAGTTTGTTTAGAAACCCAGAGCACTTTAGCCCATGGTGGTGAGGCTTGCTGGAGCTCAATTGCTGACTGCTGGGATTGGCAGTTCTACTCTGGCTGGGGCTGGTCTAAATGCTCTCTCCATGAGTGGGCATCCACTGAGTTCAGGCTGGGTTTGCTTTCCGCTGTGACAGGGCAGCAAGGAGTTCAATGCACTGTCTCACAGGCACTGAGACTTCCCTTCCTCAAATACACAGATTCTCCATGCCACACAGTCATAGTAGTGCGGATGGAAGAGGGGTGGCATTAGTGATTCAAAATTGTTTTTTCTATCCTCTTCAGTGCTTCTTTCAGTGATATGAATAAGTCAATACCAGGTACTGTGATTGCTCACCTGAGTTTTGGTTCTTATGAAAGTGCTTTTTTATGCAGATAGTTGTTAAATTTGGTGTTCCTGCAGGGGGGATGATCAATAGAGGCTTCTATTTGGCCATCTTGCTCAGCCTCCCCCATCTGTTGAAATAATTTAAAGTGGACTAAATAAATGGAAAGATATTCCATGGTCATGTATCAGATGACTTAATATTGTTCAGGTGGTAATATACCCCCAAATTAACATACACATTCAATGCAAATCCCAGCAGGCTTCTTTGCAGGAATAGGCAAGCTGATTCTAAATTCATTTTGAAATTTAAGAGATCCAAAATAGCCAAAATAATGTTGAAAAAAGAACAAAGTTGGAAGACTCATACTTTCTGATATTAAAACATATTACAAACCTGTAGCAATTAAGAAAGCATAGTGCTGGCATAAGGATAGACATATAGATGAATGGTATAGTAGTGAGAGCCCAGAGACAAACTTTAGTTTTACATTAAATTGATTTTCAGAAAGATCGCCATGATAATTCAGTGGGGAAAGAATAATCTTTTCAACAAATAGTGCTGGGAAACTTTATTCACATTCAAAACACTGAACTCCCACTCCACATCATACAAAAAAAATTAACTCATGATCATTGATCTAAATGTAAATCCAAAACTCTAAAGCTCTCAGGAGAAAACCTTCATGACAGTTAGGCATACGCTTTTATATAACAGAATAAAGCCAAGCAACAATTTTAAAAAATAGGTAAACTGGACTTCATCAAAATTAAAAATATTTGTGTTTCAAATGATACATCAAAAAGTAAAAAGATAAATCATAGAATGGTGAAAATAGTTGTAAATTATATATGTGATGAGACTTGTATCTAGAATATATAAGAATATTACAACTCAATAATAAAAAGACAATTTAAAAATGTCAAAAGATTTGAATAAACATTTCTCCAAAGCAGATACATAAATGGCCAATAGACAAATGAAAAGGTGCTCTACATTGTTGACCATCAAGAAACTAATCGTGCTGTAGCATTTTAATTTACATTTATCTTAAGCATAAGGAAAGTCATAACCTCTTGGCTCTTCCTGAGAGTCATGAGATCCCCCATCCCAGTCCCTAGCTCCTGGATGACATTTCTAGACACACCCTAGGCCAGAAGGGAAGCTGCTGCCTTGAAAGGAAGGAACCAGTCATGGCAGGATTCATCATGTGCCAACTGAAGAACACTTGGACCTTAAGCATAAAAGAAATGTAAATTAAAATGCTATAGCTTAAAAACATGAGGATAGGGTTATACATCAACCCCACCTTTCCTTTCATGTTCTAGGATAGAACTAATGCTTTATTCTTGTTAGGAGAAAGTATACTTACTTACACATTTGATGCTTTTTTAAATTTAAGGTTAACAACTAAAGACACACACACACACACACACTCCACATCATTAGAGAAAAATTTTACAAAAATCAACTTAAAAGAAGCTGGAGAATTAAACAAAAAAATATCTGTTACTGATGGTGTAAGTCCAAATATATCTGTGGTTATAATTCATACAAATGGATTAAAATCACCAAATAAATAAAAATTAGGGGTTTTCATATTATAAAAAATGATAGTACTACTCTGGCCCATTGGTTTATTGTTTCTAAGTCAAGGTATATGCTACTTCCTGGAGAAACATCTGTAAGAGATCTAAGAGAAGAGTTTAAAATACAATAATGAAAAAGACACATCGTATAAATGAGGCATCCCCAACCCTGGGAGCATGGACTGGTACCTGTCCATGGCCTGTTAGGTACCAGGCAGCACAGCAGGAGGTGAGCAGCTGATGAGAGCGCATTACCACCTGGCTCTGCCTCTCAGATCAGCAGGACATTAGATTAGATTAGATTATCATAGGAGTGCAAACTCTATTGTGAACTGTGCGTGCAAAGGATCTAGGTGGCATGCTGCTTATGAGAATCTAATGCCTGATGATCTAAGGTGGAACAGTTTCATCCTGAAACCATCCCCACCCCCCACAATGCCCCATCCCCCCACCATGGAAAAATTGACTCCTAAAAAACCAGTCCCTGGTGCCAAAAAGGTTGGGGACCACTGCTGCATAGTGAATAGAAATAAAGAACATAACTTTCTGAAAACAAAAAAAGATGAATAAAATCAGATATGTTTGAATATATTTCTATGTATGAAAAATCATTTAGAGATAGTTACAAAATGTCATTACAGCAAACTCGAATAAAATAATAAATATACTATTTTGTGGATGGGAAGATATAATGTGATAAAAACATAAAATTTCTAAATGTTAAATAATATATAATCTCAATATAATTCCATTCAAAATTACACAGGGGTTTTCATGAAACTTAATAAACTCAACCTAAAATTCACAGAGAAGAAAAGCCTCAAGAATAACTAAGATATTACATGATCTCACTCATGTGTGCAATCTAAAATCTCGGCCAGGCATGGTGGCTCATGCCTGTAATCCCAGCACTTTAGGATGCCGAGGTGGGTGGATCACCTGAGGTCAGGAGTTCAAGACCAGCATGGCCAGCATGGCGAAACTCCATCTCTACTAAAAATACAAAATTAGCCAGGCATCATGATGGGCACCTGTAGTCCCAGCTACTCAGGAGGCCAAGGCAGGAGAATTGCTTGAACCCAGGAGGTGGAGGTTGCAGTGAGCCGAGATTGCACTACTGCACTCCAGCCTGGGCAACAGAGCGAGACTCTGACTCAATCAATCAATAAACAAATAAGTTGATCTTACAAAGGTTGAGAGTAAAACTGTGATTACCACAGCCTGAGAAGGGTAGAGAGGAGGGGAACATTGTTAGAGGTTGCTCAACGGGTACAATATTAGATAACTAGTTAGGAGGAATAAGTTCTAGTACTCTGTGGCACAGGAAGATGACTACAGCCAACAATAATGCATTGTATGTTTCAAATAGCTAGAGGAGAGGATTTTCAATGTCCTCAGAACAAAAAAATAAGGTGATGGGTATGCTAATTACCATGACTTGATCATTACACAATGTATGCATGGATCAAAACAACATATTGTACCCCATAAATATGTATTATTCAATTATTATGTGTCAATTAAGAGAATAGGAACTAAGATGTATTTGAAGAAGGATAAGGCAGGGGGAAACATCCCAGCTATAAAACCTTTTTGCAAAGTTTTGCAAAGTATAACAAAAATCCAGAATAATGAAAGCACAAAAATAAATTGATTGGTAGAATAGAACAGAAAATTCAAACTAAGACCTATCATAACTAGATAGATGAGAATTGACTTTATAAATTATGGATAAAGTATATACTCTTCAGTATAATTCTATCCACATCGAACAAAAGTAAAATAACTACTTCACGCAGTACAAGGAATTAAATTACAGAGAGAATAAATTCCATAATTTAAAAGTTTAAAACTTTCAGAAGGGAATGTAGGACAATATCTTTATAAGCTTGACGTCCCGTAGGAATATTTTAACAAAACACAGTAAGTAATCATAAAGAAATAAAATAATACAATTAATCTCAAATTATTTTTTTGAATAATATGAAACACCATAAAGCAACTGAAATGGAAAGTCACTGATTGTGGCTATTCACATAAAAGACAAATGTTTATTCTAGTATAAACCCTTTTGGAGCCAGCTGAGCTGGTTAGAAATTGTGCATTACTTAAAACTGAGCTTGAGCAAGTAGCTTACTTTTTTAGTACTTCAGTTTTCTTATCTGTAAAATGGAGTTATTACCTACCTTAAAAGGTTGAGACAATTTATCGCACTCATATATCTCAAATGCTCAGAAAGTACCAGGGACAAAGCTCAATAAGGGTTAGCTATTACTGTTATTATCCAGAATATATAAATTCCTACAGATCAATTAGAAAAATATAAGCAGTCTCGGTTTTAATATAGACAAAATGACAAATACACACACGAATATGCTCAACCCGCCATAATCAGATGCATACAAGGTGAAAGAACACTGAATTCCCAGTTCACAAATCTTTAATTGAATTAAAAAATCAGGCCTGAAAATACCAAGTGCAGGATCATAATTTATAAAATATAAAACTCTGATATATTGGCAGAAGAAGAGTAAATTGACACAGTATCTTTGGAGATCACTCTGAGAACATGTAATAAAGTTGAAAATGTGCATTAATAACCTATAAATTCCGCATCTATAGCCATAACTTAGAAAAATTCATAATTTACTAAAGAAGATATATTAACCAATACCAATCAGACTTGAGACCACCTAACTGTCCATCAGTGAAAGAACAGATAAATAAATTTTGAAATATTTACATAATAGATTTCTAAGCTATGGTGAACATGAATTAAATATGGTAAATCAATTTTGAAGACAGTTTGGCAGTTTCTTACAAAACCAAATATACTCCTACCATAAAAATCCAGAAATCATGCTCACTGGTATTTACCCAAATGATTTGAACTTGTGTTGATACAAACAACTGTATATGAATATTTATAACAGCTTTACTTATAATTGCCAAAACTTGTAAACAACCAAGATATCCTTCAGGAGGTGAATGGATATACTGTGTGCATTCAGAAAATGAAATATTATGCAGCACCAAAAAGAAATGAGCTATCAAGCTGTGAAAAGACATGGAAAACCTTAAATGCATGTTACTAAGTGAAAGAAGCCAGTTGTAAAAACCTACATACTATGGTATTTCCACTATATGAAATTCTGGAAAAGACAAAACAATAGAGGCTGGAAAAGGATCAATGGTTGCCGGGAATTTGAAGGGCAAGAGGAAGAGATACACAGGCCCAGCATAAGGGATGTTTATGTCACTGAAACTATTCTTTATGATACTGTAATGGTGGATGCATAACATTATGCACTTGTCAAAACCACAGAACTGCAGATCACAAAGAATGAATCTAATATAAACTACAGACTTTAGTTAATAATAATGTATTAACACTGGTTCATCAATTGTAAAAAATGTACCACTCTGGTGCAGGATTCTGATGAAAGGGCTTATGAGAACCCTCTCTAGTTTCTGCTCAATTTGGCTGTGAAGTTAAAACTGCTATAAAAAATATTTAAAGGGGAAAAAATAATAGAATGTATAGATTCATGTATGGATTTGAATAAATCTCAAAATGTAAGTGAAAAACTGCAGAAATCTACACTAGAGTAAAATTAGTATTAGAAAAATTGAAAATATGCTATTTGTTGTTTGCATGTATACTTATTAAGTGTAATAATATAAAATCATGCAAGGCCTAAAGAAGTATCAGGTTTCAAGATGATACTTTTTTCTGGAAAAGAAGAAATATGGAATTAAGGAGTGGTACTTAGGGGTCTTCAATTAAAATATGTAATATTTTCATTCTTTAAAAAATCAGAAGGACATATAGAATCATAAAATATTCCTTAAATTGTTGTTAAGAAGATGAAATAAGACAATGAATGTGGGAATTCTCAAATTGTGCCTGACACAAATTGACACCTTATTAAATGCTCTTTCATGATTCTTGGTCCGGTACTATTTCTTTCAGGTCACGCTTCCTCTCTCTGAGGCCTCTCTGCCTCTGCCTCTCTGCTTAAGGTAAAGTGAAAAGTTGGTTTAATGGAAGCAGCAGGGGCCTTGGAGGCAGCCAATCTGGACTTGAACATCAGGTCTGCCACCGACTATCTCCATACCCTTGAGCAAGCCACTTAATCCCACAAGTCATTCTAAGATGAGAAGGTTGAATCAGGTCATGGGCAACATCCCTTCCATCTTTAATAGTCTATAGCTCTGAGTTAAAACAGTTGCACAACTGAGCTTAGGGGTTCCCCATTTTAGTAGGTTATAGTCATTCAAAGGACATTGATTACCTTTCAAAATAGTTTCTATAACTTATACAGTATCTTGTGGTATTCTCTACAACAAATTAAACATCTCTGTATTTCAGGTCAGTGCTGTGAGCAAGATAAGGCATCTGCATTGACATGGGAATCAACATGTTTGAGGAGTGTGCTGTGTCTATTGAACATGATCAATTGAGTGATGCATCCACACCATCCATTACCAGCACCAACATCCCCCTTTCCTCTTTATCCATTTTTTCTTTTTAGCTCTTCACATCTTCTAATATACCATATTGTTAGGTTTTTATCACGTTATGTTGGTTTTTCTCTTAGTAGAATAATGTAAACACCATGGAAAGGGGCTATTTTTGTCATTATATTCTCCCCAGGTACATAGAAAACTATCTGGCATAGTACATGCTCATTAAATATTTGTCAAAGGAATGATTATTTGTAGCCAACTTCAAATTAAGAGAGGTCCCAGGTCCAGCTACATTTATCTACATTTTAAAGATCCCTTTAACTTCTATCCATGATCTCTGCCCTGCTCTTATCCCATAAGCAAAGCTTTAATTCTTGCTAAATTGTATTCTCAAAACGTCATGTATTTACCTTTTATGGCATTTATCACATCCTGCATTATATTATAGTTGTGTCATCTTTTCTGTAGTAGAGACTAAGTGGAACTGGGCCTAAGTAATCTTATTTTCTACCCAGCATATATGTCACAATATATGTTTTTAACTAAGGTATTGCCATTGGCATCCTGTCCTTCCTCACTCTTTCTTCCTTTCTCTCTCTTCTGACATGTACTCAAATGGTCCCATTCTAGATGAATCCAATCACCCTCTCCACTATCCCAAATTTTAAGTTGTACTAAACAAAATATCATAAGCATATAGACAGTGGCCATTAAAAAGTCTTCCCTGTAATCAAGTGGCAATTTATTTACAATCCCCTGGCCTTGACCCTTCTCATCTTAAAAGTGCCTTTCAAGTTTTCAGGCTTTTCATCAAGGTTCCTAGCCCATCCAATCTTTTGTTTCTCAGTAAGTGACCTTGCCTCCTACTCAGCACAGGAAATTGATTCTCATGGAAGAATATTTGTCCAGTACAAATTCCATTTGCTTCCCATCCCTATCCGTGAAATCTTATTAATGTCTGCATTCACTTTCCTTCCCTTCTCTAGAATGCCTTCTCTCTTTTCCAAGTAACCTGAGGTCTTTGAATAAACCCTTCCTAAGCCTAGGATATTATTCCATCCATTATTTCTTTTTTTTAAATTATCTATTTTATTAATTTTTTATAGAGATGGGGTCTTGCCATTTTGCCCAGGCTGATCTTGAATTTGTGGGCTCAAGCAATCCACCAACCTCCATGGGCCCTTCACTGGAGCCCACAAATGTGATCCAACTTCTCTCAAATTGAAAAATAATGCCTTCTCTAAATGTTCCAAAATAGAGCATTATTAGGAACAAATAAATATCTTTTATTACTGAGAAAAAAATGTAAAATGCCAACAAATAAAAAATAATTAAATACCAACAAATTATCCAAAATACAAAATGTCAACTTCTCATCTTTTATATGTTTATTTTTTTCTCATTGTAAAAACAATGCAGCCGGGTGTAGTGGCTCACGCCTGTAATCCCAGCACTTCGGGAGGCCCAGGCGGCAGATCACTAGGTCAGGAGATCGAGACCATCCTGGCTGATATGGTGAAACTCCCTCTACTAAAAATACAAAAAATTAGTCGGGTGTGGTGGCAGTCGCCTGTAGTCCCAGCTACTCGGGAGGCTGAGGCAGGAGAATGGCGTGAACTGGGAGGCGGAGCTTGCATTGAGCCGAGATTGCGCCACTGCATTCCAGCCTGAGCGACAGAGCGAGACTCCGTCTAAAAAAAAAAAAAAAATGCATCCATTCTAACTAATGTCAGGAACAAGACAAGGATTCCTGCTCTGGAAATGGTAGCTAGATACTTATATACAAGATGGGAACAAGAGGTACTAAAACAAAAAGTGAGATGCAAAATAATCAACTTGCATATGAAATTATTATATAACTGGAAAATGCAAATAAATCAACTATAATACTATTAGAACAATGAGAAACATATAAAATGGCTTATATAGATTTAATATAACAAAATGAAAAACTTTCCTAAAATAATGGCCAGGTAGAAATTATAAGAAAGAAAAAAAATCTGATTTACAATAACTTTAAAAAAGATACCTTTGCCAGACTCAGTGATTCACGCCTGTAATCCCAGCACCTTGGGAGCCTGAGCAGGAAGATCACCTGAGGTCAGGAGTTCAAGATCAGCCTGGCCAACATGGTGAAACCTCATCTCTACTAAATGTACAAAAAAATTAGCTAGTCGTGGTGGTGCATGCCTGTAATCTCAGCTAATCAGGAGGCTGAGGCAAGAGAATTGCTTGAACCTGGGAGGCAGAGTCTTCAGTGAGCTGAGATTGAACCACTGCATTCTAGCCTGGGCAACAGAGTTAGACTTTGTCTCAAATAATAAATAAATAAAATGGTACATTTTCTGAACATAAATATAGCAAGAAATGTATTGTATCTATAGAAAGATAGAAACTAAGCTTCAAAATATTATAGAAGAACATAAAAGAAGAAAAATAAATGCAAAGCTATTTGAGTAGGAATGCAAAATTTTCTACAAATTAATCTGTATATTCAGATGTAACAGAAAGGTTTTGAAATGACAAAGTGTTAAAATTTATCTGATAAAATCATCACTTCAAAACATCCAAGAAATTCTGGAAAAAAATTATAAATATTAAATGGGAGTGAGAAGCTACAAGAGTAATAGAATTTGATGCTAGAATAGAACAAAGAGATCAATAGAGTAGAAAATTCAGAAATAGACTCAAATACACATGGAGAATTTAATGTACATTCAAGGATTTGATGCAAATTAGTAGGAGGGATTATTTAGTAAATATTATTTGAGAATAAAATTGGCTAATCATTTGCAAAAGAGCAGTGCATTCCTATCTCACTCTTGGAGCAAATGCAAAAAGCCCCAAAGAGTACATAGAATAATAGTGAGCATTCATGTACCCATCTTCTGGCCTAAATCATCATAACCTTGGTGGAAGCTTTCCGTGCCCCTCCCAAATCACATTCTCCCATGGCTTCTGAGAAGTAAGCATTATCTTAATGCTGGTGTTTAACATTCTCATGAATCCTTTTATAATTCCACAATATAAGTATGTACAGTATTCCCCCTTATCTCTGGTTTGCCTTCACAGTTTCAGTTACCCAAGGTACAGTACAATAAGACATTTTGAGAGAGAGAGAGGCTACATTCATCTAAGTTTTATTACAATACATTTTATAATTGTTCTATTTTATTATGTTTGTTAATCTCTTACTGTGCCTAATTTGTGCATTAAACTTTACCATATAGTTGTTTGTATAGGAAAAATATATAGTATGTACAGGATTCAGTACTATACATGATTTTAGGCATACACTGGGGGTCTTAGAATGTATCCTCCACAGATAAGAAGGAGCTATTGTATTCCTAAACATTTTTTACTTTTATTTTTCATGATTAAAACCATATAAACATCACATTACATTCAACTTACTTTTTCATTTAATATAGTATCTGTAAGTAATACTCTGATTCATTGATTTTCACAGGTTTATAGTATTTAATTTTATGGCTGCACCATAATTAAACCACTTTTGTGCATATGGACACTTAGATTTCTTCTATTTTTCAATAATGTTTTTAAAAAATCATCAAACTTGTCTCATAGTACGTAAATGGAGCTTAATAAGTAATGTTCCTAGAAATGGAATTGCTGTGTCATACAGTGCATTCCTATGTGCCATAGGGTATGCAAAAATTTAAATACATTAGATATTATCAAATTACTTCCTCATACTGCTTTTCAAAATTTATTACATGCAAATAAAAATCACATTGACCAAAAATGTAAATATAAAATATCAAAACTAAAGATGACACACAGGTAAACATGTTTATGGTAAAATGGGGATGGTGTTTTAAACTGTAAGTAAAAACTCAGAGCCCATCAAAGAATAGTGCATGTAATTATTAATAATAGAATAAATAAAAAACTGGATAATATTTGCAGCATAGAAATCTAATTTACTATTCTAATAGCTTAAGAATAAAAAAGAAAATGTAATAAAAATGGTAAAAGAACAGAACTACCATTCAACGCAGAAATCCTGTTACTTGGTATATACCCAACGAAATATAAATTGGTCTACCATAAAGACACATGCACTCATGTGTTCATTGCAACACTATTCACTATAGCATAGACATGGAAGCAACCTAAATACCCATCAGCAAAAGACCGGATAAAGAAAATGTGGTACATTTACACCATGAGATACTATGTAGCCATAAAAAAAAAAAAAAAAAACAAACAAAGAAACAAGATCTTGTCCTTTGCAGGAACAAGGATGGAGTCGGAGACCATTATCTTAAGCAAACTAATGCAGGAAGAGAAAACCAAATACCACATGTTCTCACTTATAAGTGGGAACTAAATAATGAGAACACATGGACAGAAAGGGAGGAACAACAGACACTGGGGCCTACTTGAGGGAGAAGGGTGGGAGAAGAGACAGAATCAGAAAAAATAACTATCGAGTACTATGCTTAGTACCCGGATGATGAAATAATCTATACACCACACCTCTGTGACACAAGTTTACCTATATAACAAACCTACACACGTAACCCTGAACCTAAAATGAAAGTTGAAAAAATCATAAAAATCATAAAAGGCAATCTATGTAAAATGAAATCATTCAACAAATACCCATAAAATGTGCAGCCCAATGCAAAATTAGTTAAAACAACAAACAGATACCATTTTCATCTGTTAGGTTGGCAAAAGGTAAACGTTGAATTGTAGACATTGTCGGTGATGAAAATGGTAAAAGATTCTCATGATTTGTTTCTAATGATTAAGAACTAGTATTTATTAAATGTTTATTATGTGATAAGCAGGGTCCAAAGTACATTATTATATTAATTTCTTATGTAATCATAACACAACCCTGAGGTAATTATTGTTATTGCCACTTTACCAATGAGGAAAATGAGGCATAACAAAGTAACTTTTCTATCATCAGATAGGATGAGAGCGAGCCAGGATCTGTAATGGAGCTATCAAATCTATGCATTTAGTGTATGTGTAAACATATTTGTGAGTATATATGCATATAATAATATATATAAAACATATATTCTTGCACGTATATTCCTATTTTAGTATATATCATATACATATTTATATGCAAATATATGTATTTATAACATATGTATATTCTATTAAATACATTGTGTAAATACAAACATTCATGCACATTCTCTTATATGTATTTAGACAGTGCTCAGAGCCATACACAATAACTTGTTGACTTTTGTAACCTCTATGGATTGGGATTGGAATGTTTAGAATGGAGAAAAAGACTGTTATTATTTAACATTTTAATACTTATGGGCATGTATTACTTTCTAAAAGTTATTTTATTTATAAAAGCCTGATGCATTTAATAACATAATAAGGAGAAAAATATAGCTGAGAAACCATAAGCCTAGAAAGATAGAATTTCAGTTATCAAAGATAATTAATTTTTACATTTTAATGTATATTCTCATATATTGAACAAAATTTAAACAGATATATCTTTAAAAGTTATATGTATATAAGGTGTAAGGAAGGGATCCAGTTTCAGCTTTCTACATATGGCTAGCCAGTTTTCCCAGCACCATTTATTAAATAGGGAATCCTTTCCCCATTGCTTGTTTTTCTCAGGTTTGTCAAAGATCAGATAGTTGTAGATATGCGGCATTATTTCTGAGGGCTCTGTTCTGTTCCATTGATCTATATCTCTGTTTTGGTACCAGTACCATGCTGTTTTGGTTACTGTAGCCTTGTAGTATAGTTTGAAGTCAGGTAGTGTGATGCCTCCAGCTTTGTTCTTTTGGCTTAGGATTGACTTGGCGATGCGGGCTCTTTTTTGGTTCCACATGAACTTTAAAGTAGATTTTTCCAATTCTGTGAAGAAAGTCATTGGTAGCTTGATGGGGATGGCATTGAATCTGTAAATTACCTTGGGCAGTATGGCCATTTTCACGATATTGATTCTTCCTACCCATGAGCATGGAATGTTCTTCCATTTGTTTGTGTCCTCTTTTATTTCCTTGAGCAGTGGTTTGTAGTTCTCCTTGAAGAGGTCCTTCACATCCCTTGTAAGTTGGATTCCTAGGTATTTTATTCTCTTTGAAGCAATTGTGAATGGGAGTTCACCCATGATTTGGCTCTCTGTTTGTCTGTTGTTGGTGTATAAGAATGCTTGTGATTTTTGTACATTGATTTTGTATCCTGAGACTTTGCTGAAGTTGCTTATCAGCTTAAGGAGATTTTGGGCTGAGATGATGGGGTTTTCTAGATAAACAATCATGTCGTCTGCAAACAGGGACAATTTGACTTCCTCTTTTCCTAATTGAATACCCTTTATTTCCTTCTCCTGCCTGATTGCCCTGGCCAGAACTTCCAACACTATGTTGAATAGGAGCGGTGAGAGAGGGCATCCCTGTCTTGTGCCAGTTTTCAAAGGGAATGCTTCCAGTTTTTGCCCATTCAGTATGATATTGGCTGTGGGTTTGTCATAGATAGCTCTTATTATTTTGAAATACGTCCCATCAATACCTAATTTATTGAGAGTTTTTAGCATGAAGGGTTGTTGAATTTTGTCAAAGGCTTTTTCTGCATCTATTGAGATAATCATGTGGTTTTTGTCTTTGGCTCTGTTTTTATGCTGGATTACATTTATTGATTTGCGTATATTGAACCAGCCTTGCATCCCAGGGATGAAGCCCACTTGATCATGGTGGATAAGCTTTTTGATGTGCTGCTGGATTCGGTTTGCCAGTATTTTATTGAGGATTTTTGCATCAATGTTCATCAAGGATATTGGTCTAAAATTCTCTTTTTTGGTTGTGTCTCTGCCCGGCTTTGGTATCAGAATGATGCTGGCCTCATAAAATGAGTTAGGGAGGATTCCCTCTTTTTCTATTGATTGGAATAGTTTCAGAAGGAATGGTACCAGTTCCTCCTTGTACCTCTGGTAGAATTCGGCTGTGAATCCATCTGGTCCTGGACTCTTTTTGGTTGGTAAACTATTGATTATTGCCACAATTTCAGAGCCTGTTATTGGTCTATTCAGAGATTCAACTTCTTCCTGCTTTAGTCTTGGGAGAGTGTATGTGTCGAGGAATGTATCCATTTCTTCTAGATTTTCTAGTTTATTTGCGTAGAGGTGTTTGTAGTATTCTCTGATGGTAGTTTGTATTTCTGTGGGATCGGTGGTGATATCCCCTTTATCATTTTTTATTGTGTCTATTTGATTCTTCTCTCTTTTTTTCTTTATTAGTCTTGCTAGTGGTCTATCAATTTTGTTGATCCTTTCAAAAAACCAGCTCCTGGATTCATTGATTTTTTGAAGGGTTTTTTGTGTCTCTATTTCCTTCAGTTCTGCTCTGATTTTAGTTATTTCTTGCCTTCTGCTAGCTTTTGAATGTGTTTGCTCTTGCTTTTCTAGTTCTTTTAATTGTGATGTTAGGGTGTCAATTTTGGATCTTTCCTGCTTTCTCTTGTAGGCATTTAGTGCTATAAATTTCCCTCTACACACTGCTTTGAATGTGTCCCAGAGATTCTGGTATGTGGTGTCTTTGTTCTCGTTGGTTTCAAAGAACATCTTTATTTCTGCCTTCATTTCGTTATGTACCCAGTAGTCATTCAGGAGCAGGTTGTTCAGTTTCCATGTAGTTGAGTGGCTTTGAGTGAGATTCTTAATCCTGAGTTCTAGTTTGATTGCACTGTGGTCTGAGAGATAGTTTGTTATAATTTCTGTTCTTTTACATTTGCTGAGGAGAGCTTTACTTCCAACTATGTGGTCAATTTTGGAATAGGTGTGGTGTGGTGCTGAAAAAAATGTATATTCTGTTGATTTGGGGTGGAGAGTTCTGTAGATGTCTATTAGGTCTGCTTGGTGCAGAGCTGAGTTCAATTCCTGGGTATCCTTGTTGACTTTCTGTCTCGTTGATCTGTCTAATGTTGACAGTGGGGTGTTAAAGTCTCCCATTATTAATGTGTGGGAGTCTAAGTCTCTTTGTAGGTCACTGAGGACTTGCTTTATGAATCTGGGTGCTCCTGTATTGGGTGCATAAATATTTAGGATAGTTAGCTCCTCTTGTTGAATTGATCCCTTAACCATTATGTAATGGCCTTCTTTGTCTCTTTTGATCTTTGTTGGTTTAAAGTCTGTTTTATCAGAGACTAGGATTGCAACCCCTGCCTTTTTATGGATTAAAGATTTAAACGTTAGACCTAAAACCATAAAAACCCTAGAAGAAAACCTAGGCATTACCATTCAGGACATAGGCGTGGGCAAGGACTTCATGTCCAAAACACCAAAAGCAATGGCAACAAAAGCCAAAATTGACAAATGGGATCTAATTAAACTAAAGAGCTTCTGCACAGCAAAAGAAACTACCATCAGAGTGAACAGGCAACCTACAACATGGGAGAAAATTTTCGCAACCTACTCATCTGACAAAGGGCTAATATCCAGAAACTACAATGAACTCAAACAAATTTACAAGAAAAAAACAAACAACCCCATCAAAAAGTGGGCGAAGGACATGAACAGACACTTCTCAAAAGAAGACATTTATGCAGCCAAAAAACACATGAAGAAATGCTCATCATCACTGGCCATCAGAGAAATGCAAATCAAAACCACTATGAGATATCATCTCACACCAGTTAGAATGGCAATCATTAAAAAGTCAGGAAACAACAGGTGCTGGAGAGGATGTGGAGAAATAGGAACACTTTTACACTGTTGGTGGGACTGTAAACTAGTTCAACCATTGTGGAAGTCAGTGTGGCGATTCCTCAGGGATCTAGAACTAGAAATACCATTTGACCCAGCCATCCCATTACTGGGTATATACCCAAAGGACTATAAATCATGCTGCTATAAAGACACATGCACACGTATGTTTATTGCGGCACTATTCACAATAGCAAAGACTTGGAACCAACCCAAATGTCCAACAATGATAGACTGGATTAAGAAAATGTGGCACATATACACCATGGAATACTATGCAGCCATAAAAAATGATGAGTTCATATCCTTTGTAGGGACATGGATGAAATTGGAAACCATCATTCTCAGTAAACTATCGCAAGAACAAAAAACCAAACACCGCATATTCTCACTCATAGGTGGGAACTGAACAATGAGATCACATGGACACAGGAAGGGGAATATCACACTCTGGGGACTGTGGTGGGGTCGGGGGAGGGGGGAGGGATAGCATTGGGAGATATACCTAATGCTAGATGACACATTAGTGGGTGCAGCGCACCAGCATGGCACATGTATACATATGTAACTAACCTGCACAATGTGCACATGTACCCTAAAACTTAGAGTATAATAAAAAAAAAAAGTTATATGTATAAATTTATATATATTTATATCTACTTATATCTAAGCATATATGTATATATGCTTACCTATGGAACATTTATAATGTGAATATGATATGATTTATATATAAATTGATCACATTTGTGTATACAAATTCTTATCATTGTTACTGCTTTATGGTCTATCCTAATTTATTTAATCATCGAGTGAATGAGTGGACATTCAGGTTGTTGAAATTCCCTTTCAACAGATATTTAGACTATTCCACCTCTACACAATAAAACAATACAGAGTAATGACAGCTACAAATAAGTTAAAAATGAAAGAGAAACCTCTACAAATAAGACAAAAGTAATTAAAAACTTAGAAAGTATTAACCAATTATCCCACATGTTACTTAATTTCAGTTGTTAGAAAATATGGCTTTGGAACCAGCAAGGTGTAAATGACCCTGTTAGCCCTATCAGTTCCTTGAAACATTTCCCTTCAGGGGAAGGATGAGCGGGACGGGGAGGAGGAGGAAGAAAGAAGGAAGAAGAAAGAAGAAGATCCAAAAATGGGCAAGCAGAAAGAAAACACTGTATAAACTTAAATTGTAAAGGTACATTTTACAACTTTTCATGCACATATTGCTTCACCTCAAAATTGCAATGCAAAATTTCTTAATAGAATTGGAACTAATTTCCTCTTCTCTCCTTTCAAAGTTCGGGAAGAAGATGGAGGGGCATCCAGTATTACCCGCAGTTCAATATTAAGCTTAGTGAAGCTTTTTCTATAGTACCTTTACAGAGTTCAGCAGCCTACTCAGAAAAAAATCGCCAGTTTTGTAAACTCCCTAAGTTTAGGACTAGTGGAAGCACTAAGAAGAAGCACTGTTTTCTTTTTTCTCCCGCAAAATAATCAGAGCGTCACTCTTTAGAACCTCATCTAGGAGAACCCCAGATAACCCAAAGCCTTTTATCTTTTGTCCTATCCTAATACTGTTCTAGATTTCTATCACAAATAGGAAATAGAATACAGAAATTTTGGATATGCCTGGCTAACTGTACATTTGGACATTTCCACAAAGCCAGATTTGGGGCAAGTCAAAGAACGCCATTTAAATTATTTCAGCAAATTTAATCTTACTTTTCAAACTCTGATTGATTTTTACAGAGTTATGAAGTCCTCAGGAATCAGGAAATATGAGTTCTATAAAAACAGTCACTTTACCACATCTCTCTGGACATTAATTTTCTCTTATTCAGGTGATAGAAAGCCCTGTCATAGACTAAAATATGTGTTATTGTTACTGCCTTAGCAAAACACGTGTCAAAGAGACATTCTGATTATCTTTGGGAGAAAGAATAACTGAGCCACAAAAAGATCAAATACTAAGAAGAGACTTGTGTGAGTTTTATTTTAATAACAGAGTACTAGATTATTTGAACTGATTTTCTCATTGCAGGCAATTTAAAAACTGGACCAGTAACATCTCCTTGAAGACATCTGAGCACTGTCACATGGTGGTGAGGAATTGTTTACTTTAGATGGGGGCCTGACTTCCTTTTGACGGCATTTGCTAGTTTTGAAAGAGGCAATTTAAACAGTAAAACTGTGATTATGAAGAGTACTGAGAGGCCTTCTGGGGTACAGAACATATTCTGTTATTTTGAACTCTGTCATGATACATGAGTGTTTGATATATAATAATTCATTAATATATATACGTATGTTTTATGCATTTTTCTCTTTGTGCTATAGTGTAAAATAAAATATATTTTTAGAAAATTCTTTGGTATTTCTTTGATAAGAACCTCGTCAAGGCAATTGAGCTCCATGGGAGAGAGAATGGGAAATAATTAGCTTCTGTGTTAAGCTGAGAAACAGAGAAAATGTCAAGTGAGCTACCAGCCAATCTCCCTCCCCCAAACTTTTGGGGTCATGAATATTGAGTTCTTCAAAAGGTAATTTTGTTTGTTTTTTCTTTTTTGAGAAGGAACATGATAGTTTAGCATCAATTATTTAAAAGTAGAGATAGTGGAACCCTAAAGGGGGAACTTGAAAGAAAGGAAACTAGGGTTGAATTCAATTGTACAGTAGGAAAATTATAGTTAATACCAATTTATTATATAATTCAAAATAGCTAGAAGAGATTTGCAATGTTGCCATCACAAAGAAAAGATAAATGTTTGAAGTGATGAAAATACCAATTACCCTGATTTTATCATTACACATTGTATACAGGTGTTAAATATTATTTGACCCCCAAAATATGAACAACTATTGTAAACCAATAAAAAATTTAAATAAATACAAGGTAATTTTGTCTTTTCATTTGTGCTTTCTAAGAAAGAAGATGATATTTTGCCATCAGGTACTTAAGAGTAGAGATGGCGGAACCCTAAAAGGAGAAGTTAGTTAGAAAAAGGAAACTAGGCTGGATTTCGCATCCGCAGAGGAACAATGCCTGAACTCATCACCATTCTGTCTCTATATCAGATTGAGCTAGCCCAGAAACTGGCTGCCAAAATGGGCACTGTGCCCTATTCCAGCTCCTGGAATAGACGATCCAGCCAGCACCAATCCAGATGCAGACTGCTTTGGCCAGTTGCCAATCTGTTACCATTATTCCACAATCTCTGTGTCTGGTCATCTGGGCCACCTTCTGAGAGGGAGCCTCATTCATTCCAAATTTCAGAACTGCCTTCTGTCAGTTCTCCTAGCTGTTATGGATGGAGACTTGAGTTTTAAACTCTGAAGACAGACAATACATCCCGATGGACTCTAAGTTGGGGATTTCCAGGTGAAAGGAGATGAAAGAGGACTGGACATCCCTAACATTGTAGGGATGAACTAGATGCTGTCCAAGTTCTCTTATTCTTTATAACTTTATGATTCTGGCTTCTTCCTATCACCTTTCCTTCCTTATCATCACTTCTTTTTCTTCTCAACGTTTTTTAACCTTGTGTGAGGTTAAAGTTGGAGATACTCAGAACTGATGTGCTGATTCATTAACATAGATTTGGTATTTTACCACACTTCAGTTTGTTACTCTAAAGGTTAGGGACCTCTTGCCAGCAATACTCAGAAGGCCAACAACTTCATCCTTGAGAAGTCAATTTAACAAGCTGACTTAGTCCCTCAATCAAATGATCTATTTTCATGTGCTAAAACCTTTCAAAATAAGAAAACTTACTGAACTGTAATGACCAGAGATGGATAATTTGTAGTTTTGGTTAATTTAAGTTTAACCTTAAAAGTAGCAAATACTTCGGGGATTAGCGAGCATTACATAATATTGACTGCTGCAAGTAATTCTAAATTATCCAACTTTCTTGCCTTGATCAGGATTACACTCTGAATTTCATTGGTCTTTGATGATTAATGGTAACTTTATGAGTCAATCTGAGTTTAATGATAACTGTGTAGTTACGGAAAATGAAGTTCAGCAAATATTCGTCTTGAACCTAGTATGGCTCAAGCACTATGCTAGGCACTGCCACAATGATAAGCAATGCAAAGCTCCTTTCCTTACTGAAGGAGGGAAACATATACAAAATTAACAATAAAATGAAGTGATAAGCATCTGCTGTAATAGCTATGTGAACAAATTATTAAGAAAACCTAAAGAAAGGGGATATTGAGACTTACTTACTTTGTGTGGATGTGCAGAAGTCATGGATCAGCCTCAAAGTTGGTTTCAATATATATTTATTAAAAGGGAAACTGATATTCTGATTTAATGAATACTAAATATGAGACAACCATATTTTAATTAAAGGAGCACTGAATTAAGAGTCAAAACAACAGGGGCTGAGGTCTCTAGTTATATGACTTGGGGACAAATCAATTTTCCTGACGTTCAGTTTTCTCTTGAGAAAACAGAAATAATAATGTGTAATGACCCAGAATTGCTGTTAAAATAAGATTTAATAATGTTACTTGAAACAATCTAGTAAATTAAACCTTGAAATGTAAGTTGCTGTTTCATAAATTAAAAAAATATCTAATATCAATGTCCTCTAATCACATTCCTCTGGTTACTAAAATCCAGATTAGAATTTAAAATTTCCTAGCTGAGATTCTAATCTGAAAAAACCTGGCTTCTCAAATTCTTACGTGTGAAATCAGAGCTATTAACTTCTAATTTATCTATAATGTTCCTGTGGTTCTCTTTAAGCTGAACTCTTCTTTTTTGAATGGGGTACGTTCTTCAGTTTCAACTGAAATATTCAGACAATACCACTATGTTTTGGATGGTTTGTTAGCCAGCAATTCCATAATTTTGCAGCTACTAATAGGAAGCAAAGAAATCCATTCTGAGTTATACTTCAGAGCTCTTTAATGGTCAGAAGGCATCTTAAGGATGGACGAAAGAAGAAAGTAATTAGTATGAATAATTCCCAAACTGAATAAACAAAGCTTAGCAGATTACAAGTTTTTATT
The DNA here is from genome assembly GCF_000001405.40 of Homo sapiens. Taxonomy (NCBI): domain Eukaryota; kingdom Metazoa; phylum Chordata; class Mammalia; order Primates; family Hominidae; genus Homo; species Homo sapiens. The sequence continues at coordinate 34,648,457 of NC_000003.12, read as the reverse complement.
TTCCTTGTCTTTACATTAGCCTTCAGGCTGCCTTACCAAATTATGTTTTGCTCGGTTGATGTGTAGTTAAGAGAAAGGAAATGAGCACTAGAATAAGCAAAGGATGCCAGCAGAGGAAGACACTTTGAAGTCTGTTCCTGGAGTACAACTTCTTTTGTCTTCGAACATTACTATAGTTTGATCACCATCTAGATGAAAGCTAGTGTCACATATTCAAAGTTAACGTGTTAATCCCTGAGATAAACAACTACATGGGAACCAAATTTCAAAGGAAACTGGTAGATTGATTGAATTACCTTACTGCCCTGTTTTTTTCCAGCCCTCATAAGTGAAATCTATCTAAAGAGTGATGTTTAGCAACAACAAAGAAAGAATGAGGGGAAAAAATCATTATATTTTTAAAAATAGCCAGCAAACATTTATATATATGAAATAGTACTCCTTAAACACTTTAAATTGACTAATTATATTTATGAATAAAGTATGGTTTTTGTTTTGCAAATTGCACAGTAATTTAAGGCCGTAAAATTTGCTAGGGTGAGCAAGCAGCAGGTCAATGCTTTCTACTAATGGTCATTGTTTTGTTTTATTTCCTAAGTCCTCCTGTTTCTTATCTAATCTATTTGTCTTTTGAATTTATGCAAATTCCTCTTAGGACAATAACAAATTGGCTCTATCTCCAGAAAAATCTCTCCCCATCTTCTTTTTATCTTTTATACCTTTAGGCACCTTTAAAAATTCTTTAATTCTAGAGAGATATTATGAAATCTATTTCAGATTGCTGAATCTGATATACTTTCTGGCACTTCTTCAGGTTAATGTTAAACACAATAAAATAAAAATAATTTAAAAGCATTAATTCCAAACCACAACTTAAAAATGTTTAGAATTATAAATTTTGTTATATAATCATAATTAAAAATTTAAAAATAAAATGAATATATAAAAAATAATTCTACTTAATATATGTGAGTGTTATTGTAGAAATTTACAGATTTCTTGAAGGAATATTTTATGTATCTAAACTTATTTCTATTTGCATAATTAAATGAAACCATAGATGTACTATATCATATCTAATTGCCATCTACTTGTAACGGCTGTGCAAATGTGAATGTCTGTATATGAAACTGCAGGCACTCACATTACTATTAATAGATAAAAGAACACATGGTGGGGTGTGGTGACTCATGCCTGTAATCCCAAAGCTTTGGGAGACCAAGTGGGGGAATCACTTGAGGCCAAGAGTTTGAGATCAGCCTAGGCAACAAAGTGAGACCTAGTCTCTACAAAAAATAAAAATGTTAGCCAAGCATGGTGGTGCATACTTGTAGCTGTAGCTACTCGGAAGGCTGATGTGGGAGGGTTGCTTGAGCCCAGGATGTTGAGACTGCAGTGAGCTATAGTTGAGCCACTGCACTCCAGTCTCGGTGACAGGGCAAGACTCTGTATTTAAAAAAAAAAAAAAACTCTTTATGACACGATATAACTATAAGCTTAGCAAAGGCTAGGAATTTTGTTCACACAAACGCATGCAAACAAATATTTACCTATGAAATGTAGAATGTTAACATTTAAATGTTAAAACTAAAAATAATGTTTCTTACTAGTTACTCATCTTTAGAATATCCAGTTTCAACTTACTTGAAACACTGATATTAACTCTTTGAAGAAGACTCTTATGAAACAGTTACTAAACAAACTGAAACACTTTAAAATTATTTTGAAGTTATTATGATTCACAGGCAGTTGCAAAGATGGTTGAGAGGCTCTATGTACCTTTCCTTCATTTTACAAATAGTTCCATCTTATATAATTATACTAATATTAAAAACTAGAAATTTTACATTGGCATGTGTGTGTATAGTACTATGTCATTTTGTGTGTGTATATTCATGTAATCACCACCACAATCCAGATTCAGAGCTGTCCCATCACCAAAAACACCGCCCATATGTTCCCCTTTATAATCACACCTACACCCACCTCCCTACCATCCTTAACTGCTGAAAACCCCTAATCTCTTTTCCATCTCTGAAATGTTGTCATTTCCAAAATATTATATAAATAAAACAATACAGTATGAGACCTTTTGAGATCTATTTGTTTTGTATGTACCAAGAGTTTATTCCTTTACATTGCTAAGCAGTATTCCATGTTACAGATGTAACAGATGAGTGTTTGTTTAAACACTCATCTATTGAGGGATGTTTGTATTATTTTCAGTTTGGGGCTATTAATACAGCTGATGTGAATAAACATATATACATCTTTATGCAAGCATAAGTGTTTATTTCTTTGGCATAAATGCCCAGGAGTGCAATCGTGCTGGTCATATGGTATGTTTGCATGTTTAGTTTTGTTATTGTTGTTATTGTCATTTTAATCTGCTTTATTGAAGTATAATTGTATGCCAAAAAGCTACACAGGTTTAATGTATATAATTTGATAAGTTTGGACATATGCAAATATGCCTGATACCATCACCACAACCCAATAAATAAACATATCCATCATTTCCAAAAGTTTCCTTGTGTTTGTGTTTTATTTTTCTGCTATTTAGTTTTATAAAAAACTGCCAAACTATTTTTCAGAGTGGCTGTATCATTTTAAATTACCACCAGAAATGTATGAATAATCCATTCCCTCAGCAACTTTCTTACATTTACTATTGTTACTACTTTTTAGTTGTTTTAATAAGTGTATAGCAATAACTCATTACAGTTTTAGTTTGCATTTTCCTAATGGCTAGTGATGCTGAACCTTTCTTCATATGCTAATTTGCCATCCATATATCCCTATAAGTTTATTGTTTCCTCCTGCATTTTGCCCATTTTCTAGATGGATTGTTTTGTTTTTTAATGTTGAGTTATTAGACTTCTTTATGTATTCTAGATACAAGTCCTTTATCAGATATCTGAATTGCAAATTTTTATCCTAGTCTTAAATAGTTTGTGTTTTCCTCCTCTTATAAAATATTTTTCAGAGTGAAAGATTTTAATTATAATGTGGTCCAACTTATCAGTTTTTCCTTGTATAGACTGTGCTTGGATTTTATGTATAAGAACTCTTCCTCATGCCTAGGTCTTTAAGATTTCCTCCTACGTTATCTTCTAAAATTTTATACTTTTATATTTTGAGTCTATGATCAATTTCTAGTTAGTTTGTATAACGTGAAGTTTAGATCAAGGTTTGTTTGTTGTTGTTGTTGTTGTTGTTGTTGTTGCCATTAAATATCCAGTTACTCCAGCACCATTTGTTGAAAAGACTATCCTTCCTTCATTGAATGACCTTTGCAACTTTGTCAAAAATGAGTTAACTGTATATGTATGGAGATATTTCTGGCTTCTCTTTTCTGCTTCATTGATCTACTTCCCTATTGTTCGAACAACACCATAAGATTTTGATTACCAGAGTTATATAATAATGTCTTAAAATTGAATAGAGTGATTTGTATTGGTCTTTTTCAGAATTGTTTTAGCTTTTCGAGTTTCATTGCCTTTTCAGATAAATTTTAACAATAATCTGTCTATATCTACAAAATGGCTTCCTGAGATTTTGCCTGCATTACACTTCTATATCAATTTAGGGAGAATTGACATTTTTAAAATGTTGAGTTTTCAATCACAAACATGGTAGAGCTTTCCATTTATTTAGATAATCATCTTTTATTTCTTTCATTAGTATTTTGTAGTTTTCATTATGCAAGTGCTGTACAGTCAGTCCTTTATATCTGCAGGTTTTACATCTACTGATTCAACCAACTGTGGTTCAAAAATAATTGAAAAAATAATTTAATACAAAAATAAAATAGAATACAAATATAAAAATACACTATAGCAAGTATTTCCATAGCATTTAGATTATATGAAGTATTACAAATAATGTAGATAGTTAAAAGCATAGAAGAGCAAGTATATAGATTATATGCAAATATTACATAATTTTATATAAGTGATGTGAGCATTCATGGATTTGGGTATCCACTCAGGAGTCCTGGAACTAATACCCCAGGTATAATGAAGTATTATTATGCTTGTTTTGTTAAATTTGCATCTAAGTGTGCATTTCTTGGGATATTACAGAACTAATACCCAGGTATAATGAAGTATTATTATGCTTGTTTTGTTAAATTTGCATCTAAGTGTGCATTTCTTGAGATAATATAAATCATATTATAATTTTAATTTAATTCTTCTTTCCAGGTGCTCGTTACTAATATATAACAGTGCAACTGATTTTGTAGGTTGACTTTATATCCTGCAACTTTGCTATAATCATTTATTATTTCTAGAAGTTATTTTTTAAGATTATTTAGGATTTTCTAAGTTGACTATCATACCAATTTCACAAAGAAATAATTTAATTTCTTTCATTCCAATTTGCATCTCTTTATTTCCTTGTCTTATTGCATTGGCTAGAACTCAGTACTATGTTGGAGAGCAGTGGTGACAGTACACCTCCTTGCCTTGTTCTTAGTGTCAGTGAGTAAACATTTACTCTTTGATCCTTAAGTATAATGTGTTAGCTGTAGGTATTTGTAAATATTCTTTTTAAAAATTTGAGAAAATTCCATTCTAGTCATAGTTTTCAAAGAGTTTTCAGTCATGAATTGGTACTGAATTTTATAAAATGCTTTTCCTACATAAACTGATATGATCATGTGAGTTTTCTGCCAATCCCTATCTTTTAATTAACATATTTAGGCCATTCACATTTGATGTAATTATAGATAGATTAGGGCTGTCTGTTTTTTGTTGTTGTTCTGTTTCTTCTTCTTTGCTTTCTTTTTCTAGAAGAGATTGTAGACAATTTGTATCATTGCTTTTTAAAATATTTAATAGAAATCTCCAATAAAACCATCTTGACCTGGTTCTTCTTTTAAAAGATTACTAATTATTGATTTAATTTCTTTTATAAATATAGGCCTATCAAGATTGCCTGTTTTTCCTTATATGAGTTTTGGTAGTTTGTGTCTTGCAAGAATTGGTACATTGTATCTAAATTGTCAAGTTTGCGGTCAGAGTGATGTTCATAATATTCATAATATTCCTTTATTACCCTTTTAGTATCCATGGGATCAATAGTGATGAGCCCTCTTTATTTCTGATAAGAATTTGGATGTTCTTTCTTTTTCTCTTGATTAATCTGACTAGCAGTTTTCCAAATGTATTGATCTTTTTAAAACAGCAGTTTTGGATTTTACTGACATTTGTTATTGTTAGCAAAGCCTCTATTTTCTGACCTATAAAGTAGAAATAAGCTTCATATTATTTTTATGATTTTATAAGAATATGTAAGAAAAATAATTAGGTAATTTCTAAAATGTAATTTTTATATATTATTTTTATCATTCTAGGTAGCTAAGTATCAATACGCTCAAACAAATGTGTCCCACTTTTAGGAAAGCCATTCAAAGATACATAATTGAAAGTTAAAAAGCAAACCAAAAATATCCATTTGAAAACATGCCTCTAAATAAGCAATGCTTTGTGCAATTTCTTTTTCAAAACTGTTTGACAAAAACCAAAACAAACAAAAACAGAAGTTGACTAAATCTGAGAACTGACAGTTGATACTTAATTCTCAATACATATATTAAGTCCCCAGTGTTCCATGGACTTTATTATTTCTGTGGTGCTTCCACAGTAAACAATAATTTAAAAAAAAAAAAAGGCCTTTCCTTCCCCCAGAGCTCTTGTCTACTGGAAAGTAAGAAAATGAACAGATACACAAGCAAGAAAAAAGCATAATAGTAATTGATATGTAGAGATTAAAATATACTGATATTAGAGCATAATTAAGTTGCTACTTTAGACTGGAGACAAGGACATTCTTTAAAGGTATGCTATTTATGATGAAATTTAAAAAAAGAAAGTTTTGTAGAAACTAACTCAGTTATCTTAGTCTGGGTCCCTCTAGAAGCAGACCCAAAGAAAAGGACTGAGTACGAGCACCCTACCTAGTAGACAATCTGATCTGCGCCTTATCAACCAAATTGTTTCGCCTATACACCCCGTGGTGCCAAACCCAGATACTCTCCTATCTTCAATACCTGCCTCTACAACCCATTATTCTGTTCTAGATCTCAAACATGCTTTCTTTACTATTCCTTTGCACCCTTCATCCCAGCCTCTCTTCGCTTTCACTTGGACTGACCCTGACACCCGTCAAGCTCAGCAAATTACCTGGGCTGTACTGCCGCAAAGCTTCACAGCCAGCCCCCATTACTTCAATCAAGCCCAAATTTCTTCCTCATCTGTTACCTATCTCGGCATAATTCTCATAAAAACACACGTGCTCTCCCTGCCAATCGTGTCCGACTGATCTCTCAAACCCAAGCACCTTCTACAAAACAACTCCTTTCCTTCCTAGGCATGGTTAGCGCTGTCAGAATTTTTACACAAGAGCCAGGACCACACCCTGTAGCCTTTCTGTCCAAACAACTTGACCTTACTGTTTTAGCCTAGCCCTCATGTCTGCGTGCAGTGGCTGCCGCTGCTTTAATACTTTTAGAGGCCCTCAAAGTAAGTAGAGGCCTTTCCTACAGGGTCTGAGAAGGCCACCGCAGTCATTTCTTCCGTTCTGTCAGACATAATTCTTCAGTTTAGCCTTCCCACCTCAATACAGTCTGATAACAGACGAGCCTTTATTAGTCAAATCAGCCAAGCAGTTTTTCAGGCTCTTAGTATTCAGTGAAACCTTTATATCCCTTATGGTCCTCCATCTTCAAGAAAAGTAGAATAGACTAAAGGTCTTTTAAAAACACACCTCACCAAACTCAGCCACCAACTTAAAAAGGACTGGACAATACTTTTACCACTTTCCCTTCTCAGAATGCAGGCCTGTCCTCGGAATGCTACAGGGTACAGCCCATTTAAGGTCCTGTATGGACGCTCCTTTTTATTAGGCCCCAGTCTCATTACAGACACCAGACCAACTTAGACTGTGACTAAAAAAAAAAAAAAAAAAAAAAAAAATTGTCATCCCTACTATTTTCTGTCTAGTCATACTGCTATTCACCATTCTCAACTACTCATACATGCCCTACTCTTGTTTACACTGCCAGTTTACACTGTTTTTCCAAGCCATCACAGCTGATATCTCCTGATGCTATCCCCAAACTGCCACTCTTAACTCTTGAAGTAAATAAATAATCTTTGCTGGCAGGACTATGCCAAATCACCTTAAGCACTCTCTAATCAGACATCCTGAGTCGTCCCAATTCTTAGACCTTTTATACCTGTTTTTCTCCTTCTGTTATTCCATTTAGTTTTTCAATTCATACAAAACCGTATCCAGGCCATCATCAATCATTCTATACGACAAATGTTTCTTCTAACATCCCCACAATATCACCCCTTACCACAAGACCTCCCTTCAGCTTAATCTCTCCCACTCTAGGTTCCCACGCCGCCCCAATCCCGCTTGAAGCAGCCCTGAGAAACATCGCCCGTTCTCTCTCCATACCACCCCCCAAAAAATTTTCGCCGCCCCAACACTTCAACACTATTTTGTTTTATTTTTCTTATTAATATAAGAAGGCAGGAATGTCAGGCCTCTGAGCCCAAGCCAAGCCATCGCATCCCCTGTGACTTGCACGTATATGCCCACATGGCCTGAAGTAACTGAAGAATCACAAAAGAAGTGAATATGCCTTGCCCCACCTTAACTGATGACATTCCACCACAAAAGAAGTGTAAATGGCTGGTCCTTGCCTTAACTGATGACATTACCTTGTGAAAGTCCTTTTCCTGGCTCATCCTGGCTCCAAAAGCACCCCCACTGAGCACCTTGCGACCCCCACTCCTGCCCGCCAGAGAACAAACCCCCTTTGACTGTAATTTTCCTTTACCTACCCAAATCCTATAAAATGGCCCCACCCTTATCTCCCTTCGCTGACTCTCTTTTCGGACTCAGCCCGCCTGCACCCAGGTGAAATAAACAGCTTTATTGCTCACACAAAGCCTGTTTGGTGGTCTCTTCACATGGACGCGCATGAAAGAGAGGTGATGCAGTGAAGGTAAAGATGTCAGTAAAGGTTTTATAACTCAGCAAGTTACTACAGTGGTCAATGACAACTTCGTCCTGCTGTGCAACTCTGGGAGGCAGTGTAAAATACACATCTACCCCACCTGAAGGATAAAGAAGTTAGGTGTATTTATATACTCACTTTGGTCAGTTCTTGATTGAGGGTTATTTCTAAGAGGTATTAATTCCCTATAACTTCCAGACTGCCTCTTTTGCAGACTTAGCAGCCTCTTGTAGCAAAGAAAGATTTCAGGCAAATAAATGCACAGGCTGATAATTCGAAGTCCAGCTGGGATGTATACAAATGTAAGTGTCAGAGAGTATGGATGTGACACTGACAGCATCTGCTGAGATGTGTTTGAGGTTGAATTACAGATGGTGAGCAAAGGGAAAACTAGTAAAGATTAAGTCTAAGAGGAAAGAAGAGTTCAAATTCTAAGGAGCCATAGGCCATGATAAGTATGGATTTTATTTTAAGCACAATGATGAGCTTCTGGGCACTTTTAAAGAGGAAGGTGGCTTAATTGACATATTTATAAAAGATCACCTTGGTTGCTAGGTAGAAAACATGTAAGGAGGAGAATAGGAACAGGGAAATAAATTTGTAGGCTATCATAGCAATTATGGCAATACTGATGACACAAACTTGAGCGTGATAATATATTATATGGATCATTAATTCTTAATTCCCCACCCTCTCCACCTATACATACGGGAAACACACTCAGAAATGATGCTTAAAATCTAACCAATGTCTTCTAATAGGTGTTCTGCAATGTATCTTTAAATCTTCGCAACACCCATAATTCCAATCCTTTCTCTCCCACTCAAGAAAGCATATGGAGGTGTGTGAGTGAAAGTGATTCTATTATAGGAAACAACTAGAATCTGCTTTAATATTTTTTGCAAAGTATTTTGTCATCAGTCAATGATGACACACTTTACAATTGATTCAGATAAGCTAATGTTTCTTAACATTATGATTAATCATTGAGAGAAAAATGATGGACCATGTTCTCTCAGCATCTGATCAGGCAGTATATGATTTTTCAGATATAAGGATATCATCAAATACACATATTTCTAATAAGGCCACATAATCACAATCAACATGAATTCTTCTTCTACCTGACTTACAGAAAGATTCTGATGCATTAATCAGGGTTCCAGAGAATAAAAAAGACTTGCTGAGGAATAATTGACTTATCAAGAAATATTAAGAGAAATAAAAATGGTTACATTAGCCAAATGATGTCTGGAGTAAAAGAATGACAATATTACTCTACCAATATTTGAAGCACCTAAACACTTAGCAAAATATTATTTTTGACTTAAAAAGGTATTAGATACCAATTGAAATACAGCCAAGAATAATATTCCTTATATATATGGAACAAATATCTGTAAGTGTTGTCATGAAACATAGCACATTAGAGCAAAAGAAAACTTAGCGTTAAGCCCAACCAAACTTTTGTGTTTCATGAAGAGGATGTGAATTTCCAGAAAGAACAAGCAAGAGGCACAGGGATTCAATTACATAGAGGAGAGAATAGATATTTTTTAAATTATGTAAAATTAGATCAAGGTGGTTTTTTCCACTTTATTCCTGTTGAATTACTGATAACAATTTTCCAAATGTTGTATCTACCAGCATAAAAAGGTGCTTGTAATGACATTTCTTTGAAGAAATATCACAGATGAGCAATAAAGTATTCATGTTGGTATCTATAATTCCGAATCTCTATTGCAGAAAAATATGTATTGTTAACTTTTGCATTCAGAATCAGATAATTAGCACAAAAGTCACAAAAACCCTAAGCAAAACATTATATACACATTAGTAGCTTCCTACAATTTTGTAAAAAAGACAAGTGAATGAGAGGAGCAGGGAACTTCCAGTTACCAACCTAAATACCAAGAGAAATAATGTCTATGTTTTGCTTTGCATATAATTCTGCTGTTACTAAGGTAGGAGGCAGGACTTGACTCTGGAGGTGGGAACTTGAACTCAAGACTAGACGGAAGACTAGCTGAAACAGGGAAGAGGCGAAAGTACCTCTCCCTAAGACATGCTCACCAGTGCCATGTCAGTTTACCATTGCCATGGCAACACTCAGAAGTTACTGCCCCTTTCCATGGCAGTGACACAATGACCAAGAAGTTACCACCCTTTTTCTAGAAATTTCTACATAATCTGCTCCTTAATTTGCATGTAGTTAAAAGTGGGTATAAATATGACTATAGAACTGCTCCTGAGCTGCTACTCTGGGCACACTACCTATGAGTTAGCTCTGCTCCACAAGGAGAACTTCCTCGGTTGCTGCTATACATTGCTGCTTCAATAAAAATTCCTAACACTACCAGCTTGCCCTTGAATTCTTTCCCGGATGAAGCAAAGAACCCTCCCACGCTAAGCCCAGTATGGGGGCTTGCCTGCCCTGCATCATTACCAGATAAAATTTTGATTGCAAGTACTCTATTAGCACTAGATTTTTTTTGGTATTTTTATCTCATAACTCTGAAAATGAGCCTCAACAACCTCTTTCTCTAATGTTGTTCCCTATTTATACATCTGGTGGAGTACTACACTGTCCCAGGTCCTCTGCTAAATACTGATAATTTTTTTAAAGTGTGTGAGACCAAGTACCAGGTATATCCAGTACTCTCCAAAATGGTTTTAACATTACCTCTATCTACAAAATAAACTTTCCATGAAATAAGCCCATACACCCAATTCATGTTTATTATACCAACATTTGCTAGTATATTAACATAACATATGCATTATTAAAGAAGATAACAATAGAAATTTTAGACATTAGATAAAAATAAGTACCAATAGAAATTTAATATTATCTTACTACATCCCTCTAAAGAATATTACAATCCCCTAAGGAATAAGCCTTTCCTTCTGGTACCAGCTATTAGAAGTTAGATGAACTGACTTTTCACCTAGCTTGCAAGTCTCTTAGGTGATGAGGCCTCATTCTATCTTGATCTACTCTGCATCTCCTAGAAATATCTAGCACAGATGCTTGCACCTCATGAGCACTCAGTTTAATTAATAGGATATTTTTAAGTACATGCTTACTTCCACTGATAGACAAGAGAGTGGACTGCAGAGAAAAGGCTTTAAACTCTTCAAGGGTTAGGTCATGCCTGGCTTCTTAGACAAAAGACATAGAAGTAGATGTGTGAGGCCAGGTGACCGAATGATTTCCTTTTCAGAACTCTGCAGATATGTATTGACTTTCTATGATTAAAATTTGCCTTAGCCAGAAAAGTTTCAACCAAACTTAATTTTTAATTTGCATTACCTCCAAAATCCAGGGAATTATGTTTTAGAAAACACCATTAGTTAGCCCCATAGATAAAGACAGCTGTTTAATATGCTATATTCTTTTTACTCTCTTGCTCTCTCAAAAGCAGGGAAGGGGTAATAAAGACACTTCAATTTAACAATAATTTATAAGGTCTTTCTTCACCAGGAAATAATTTTGTAGCTTATAGATTATTTTTAGCCATATAAATAATTTCTCTTTTTATTAAGGCAGACATTTATTTTAGTCATCTGTGACAAACTATGGGATGTCTACTTCATCAGCCCATAAAAACAGGCTTCTTTGTTCAGTCCTACAGGCAACAAAGCTGGACAGATCTCTTTCAAGGAGTTAAAAGCCCAAATCTAACATGCATTGTTCCTGCACTGGTAATTCATCCACGTACATGCCAATGCATACATTTTGAGCACTTACGATGTGTCAAACCTTGGGCTACTTTCCAGTTAACTATTAACTTTTGATAATAAGGATACATACAGCCTAGCTCTAATAGAAACAATTCACTTAAAGAGGAAAAAATCATATAGTAAGTTAGACCTCTAATATAACTTTCTTTCTGTAAGTGCCAGATATATTTCATTTTTGTCTTTGATCATAGAGGAAATCTTGCAGGAATTGCACACTCTTCAGCTAGTGCCCTCTTGGCCAAGAACACATTTAAAAACTGGAGAAACAGAATGGAGTAAATTTGAGAAGATTATCAAGTAGAGCCTCAATTTTTTTATATCTTAGACAATCTTGTTCTTTCATCTGTGAATGGAGCTCCTGGGAGGATTTTCTCTCCAGGATCAGTTGGCAGAAGACAGTTCCCTCTATGCAATTAGCTTTTCTCCTCTTTTCATTTATTTCATATCTCAACAATTCTTTCTTATTTTGAGGAGTCATTTTTTTCTAAAACTTATTAGAAAATTATAGGAGCAAACAGTATATTTAAACTCTAACTTATTCATTAAACAAATATTGAGTGCATAATGTTTATGACCTAACCATATGCTGCTGTCCTAAATATGTACATTCTTATATGGAGGGTATGTACATCACTGCAATTCATGGAAGAAGAATGATGTATATTATTTATATATTTTAGAAATACACATTAGGTTTTTCTTACGTTATAAAGCAGAAAACACTCAAAGCAAAAGTCAAAAATGTAAAAGAATCTACAAAAAACAAAACAAAACAACTTCTTGGAACTAAGAAATTAGAGCAAAGTTGCAGCATATAAGGTCTATTAGTTTGCTAGTACTTCCATAACAAAATACCACAGATTGTGCTTCTTAAACAACAGGGACGTGCTGGGAAAGGAAGGGTGTAGTCTCTGGCTAGGGCTCCACCCCCCGCAGCCTGTCCCCATGGACCTAGGTGATGACAGGCATTTCTGTTTTCCTGCCCAAATGTTGTCTTTCCCAAGACCATCCTGGCCCACCACACCCCCATCCTGTGCCTATAAAAACCCTGAGACCCTAGCAGGCAGGCACACAAGCAGCTGGACGTGGAGAGGAACTCACCGGTGCAGGAGCAGACCAACAGACAGCGGCAGGCCGGCAGGCCATCAACCGGCGGATTGATGCGGAGTTTGGCCAGGGCAGTCGAAGGAGAGCCCAGGCCACTAAGTGGTCCGACTTCAGAAAGGAAAACTACCTTCCCATTCCATCTCCCTTCTGGCTCCTCCATCTGCTGAGAGTTACTTCTAATCAATAAAACCTTGCACTCATTCTCCAAGCCCATGTGTGATCCAATTCTTCCAGTACACCAAGGCAAGAAACCCCAGGATACAGAAAGCCCTCTGTCATTGTGATAAGGCAAAGGGTCTAATTGAGCTGACTAACACAAGCTGCCTACGGATGGAAAAACTAAAAGAGCACACTGTAACACATGCCCACTGGGGCTTCAGGAACTGTAAACATATACCCCCAGATGCTGCCGTCGAGTCGGAGCTCCACAACCTGCCTATCTGCCTGCTCCCCCTGGGGATTTGAGTAGCGAGGCACTGAAGAAGTGAGCCACACCCCCACTGCACAGCCTGCTAGGGAGACAAGGGAACTTTCCCTGTTTCAGCCGGAATTTATTTTCTCACAGTCCTGGGGGCTAGAAGTCTAAAATGAAGTGTCATTAGGATTGCCTCTCTCCTTGGCTTGCATAGAGATGCCTTCTCATCATGTTCTCACATGGTCTTTCCCCTGTGCACACACATTTCTGGTGTCTCTCAATGTTTCCAAATCTCCTTAGGCCAGGCACAGTGGCTAACACCTGTAATCACAGCACTTTGGGAGGCTGATGCGGACTGATCACTTGAGGCCAGGAGTTCGAAACCAGCCTGGCCACTATGGCGAAACCCTGTCTCTACTAAAAATACAAAAATTAGCTGGGCATAGTGGTGCATACCTATGATCCCAGCTACTCGGGAGGCTGAGGCAGGAGAATCACTTGAACCTGGGAGGGGGATGATGCAGTGAGTGGAGATCGCACCACGCCACTCCATCCTGGATGACAGAGTGAGACTGTTAAAAAAAAAAAAAAAAAAAAAAAAAAAAACTCCTCTCATGAGGACACTGGTCAGATTGGATTATAGCCCACCCTAATAGCCTCATTTTAACTTAATTATCCATTTAAGAGCCCTATATCCAAATATAATCACATTCTAAGGTGCTAGGAGTTAAGGTTTCAAAATACAAATTTTGGGGGGTGAGGAGCACAATTCATCCCATAACACAAGGTTAATATACAAATCTCAGTTGTTTTCCTAGAGAACAGCAATGAATAATTGGAACTTGAAATTAAAAACATAATACCATTTACATCACACCCCCCAAAACAGAATATATAGATGTAAATCTAACAAAATAAGTGTAAGATCTATATGGGGGCAATTCCAAAACTCTGATAGAAATCAAAGAAAAACTAAATCATGGAGAAATACTCTATGCTTACGGATAGGAAGACTCAGTATTCTCAAGATGTCAGTCTTTTCCCACCAGATCTATACATTCTACATAATATCAATTTTTAAAACCCATCATGTTACTTTGTAGATACTGACAAACTATTGTTGACCCTTGAGCAACAAAGCGGTTAGGGCACCACCCACCCACATACCTGAAAATCCATGTATAATTTTTGATTCTCCCAACATTCATTCATTCATTTACTTATTTATTTAGACAGAGTCTCGCTCTGTCCCCCAGGCTAGAATGCAGTGGTACTATCTTGGCTCACTGCAACCTCTATCTCCGTTCAAGCAACTCTCGTGCCTCAGCTTCCTGAGATGCTGGGGCTACAGGCACATGCCACCATGCCTGGCTGATTTTTGTATTTTTAGTAGACTGGGTTTCACCATGTTGGCCAGGCTGGTCTCGAACTCCTGGTCTCAAATGATCCATCTGCCTCAGCCTCCCAAAGTGCTGGGATTATAGGCGTGAGCCACCACGCCCAGCCTGATTCTCCCAAAATTTAACTACTAGTAGCCTACTATTGACCACAGAAACCTTACCAATAACATAAATAGTGAATTAACACATATTTTGTATCTTATTATATGCTGTATTTTTACAATAAAGTAAGCTAAAGAAAAGAAAATGTTATTAAGAAACTCATAAGGAAGAGAAAATATATTTTCTATTTATTAAGTGGAAGTGAATCATCATAAAGGTCTTCATCCTCATCATCTTCATATTTAATAGGATGAGGAAGAGGAGTAGGAGATGGTCCTGCTGTCTCATGGGTAGCAGAAGCAAAAGAAAATATGCATAGAAGTGGACCTACATGGTTCAAACTCATGTTGTTTAAGGGTCAACTGTAATTCTAAAGTTTAGATGGAGAGGCAAAAGATCCAGAATAGCTGTTGTGAACTGAAGTGTCCTCCCCTAAAATTCATATATTGGAGTCATAATCTCCAATAGCTCAGATTGTGACTATACCTGTACATAGAGCCATTAAAGAGGTAGACAAGTTAAAATGAGATCTTAGAGTAGGTCCAAATCCAGTCTGACTAGTGTCATTATAAGTAGAGGAGATTAGGACATACTAGAGATACCAGGGATGTCTTTGTACAGACAAAAGTCCATGTGAAGAGGCAATAAGAAGGTGGTCATCGACAAGCTTAAGAGAGGCCTCAGAGGAAACCAACCCTGCCAGCACCTTGATTTTGGACTTCCAGCCTCCAAGAACTGTAAGAGAATAATTTTCTTTTGTTTAAGCCACCTAGTCTATGGTACTTTGTTATGGCAACCCCAGAAAATCAGTACAATAGCCAACATGATACTGAAGAAAAAAATCAAAGGACTGACATTACCTAATCTCAAGACAGAGTGTAAAACTATAGTAATTAAGACAGGGTGGTATTAGAGAAAAAAATAGAAACATAGATAAATGAAACAAAATGGAGGGCTCAAAAATAGACACAGACAGACTCAACTGATCTTTGACAAAAGAGTAAAAGTAATTCAATAGAAAAAAAATACAGTCTTTCTAACAAATAGAACTGGAACAACTGGATATCCACAGGCAAAATGAGTGAATCTAGATACAGACCTTACACCCTTCACAAAAATTAACTCAAAATAAATCATAGACCTAAATGTAAAATCCAAAACTATAAAAATTCTAGAATATACTATAGGGGAAATTCTAGATGACCTTAGTAATGACTTCTCAGAAACAGCACCAAAGATATATGTTCCATGAAACAAAAAGTTGACAAATTTAACTTCATTAAAATTAAAAACCTTTGCTCTGTTAAAGACACTGCCAAGAGAATGAGAAAACAAGCCACAGACTGGGAAAAAATATTTAAAAAAAAAACATAAGATAAATGACTATCTAAAATAAACAAGAATTTATCTAAATTATATCTGAAATAAACAAGAATTCTTAAACTCAACAATAACAAAATTAACAATCTGATTTTAAAATGGGATAAAGATCTGAAGACACCTCACCAAAAAAATGTGTTGATGACAAACATATGAAAAGATGCTCAACATTTTACATCATTAGGGAATTGTAAATGTAAAGAACAAGTTACTACTATATACCTATTAGAATGGTTAAAACTGAAAAAACAAACAATACCAAATGCTAGCAAGGAGATAGAGCAACAAAAACTGTTCTTCAATCCTGGTAAGAATACAAAATGGTACAGCCAACATTGGATACAGTTTGGCAATTTCTTATACAACTAAAAATATACTTACTATATGGTTGAGCAATTTGCACGTCTTAGTATTTACCCAAACAATTTAGAAATTTATGTTCAGACAAAAACCTGCACACAGGTATTTATAGCAAATTTACTCATAATTGCCAAAATTTGGAAGCAACCAAGTTGTTCTTTAATAGATGGATATATACATAAACTATGGGAATTCCATACAATGAAATATTATTCAGTGCAAAAAGAAAAGAGATGTTGACAACAAAAGACATGAAGGAATCTTAAATGCATATTGCTAAGTGAAAGAAGGCAGTCTTCAAAGCTTTATATATTATTATTCCAACTATATGACATTCTGGAAAATGCAAAACAATGAAAAAAAAAAATCAATGATTGCCAGGGAATAAGGGGAAGGCAGAGATGAACAGCCAGAGCACAGAGGATTTTTCAGAGTAGTGAAACTACTCTGTATGATATCACAATGGTGGACACATGTCATTATACTTTGTTCAAACCCACAGAACATACACACCAAGAGTACATCCTAGTGTAAACTATGAACTTTGAGTGATAATGATGTTTCAATGTAGGTTTATTGATTGTGACAAATGTAACGTTCTGGTACAGGAGGATGATGGTGAGAAGGCTCGTCATGTTTTGGGGCAGTGGGTATGTGGAACATTTCTGTTCTACCCACTTAATTTCACCATTAACCCAAAATTGCTCTAAAAAATAAAGTTTGTATTTAAAAAATAGTTTCTCATTATCCAATCCCCAATAACATTAGAAACATAACAAAAAAGTACCAAAATATTCTTAACTCTTAGTTAAAATATGCAAGTAATATAATATGCACACATGTGCAAACACACACACACAGTTTACCTATGCAAAAAAGATCACCAGATCACCCAGTGTAACTATACCTTGCTTTTACAGTTTTATAATATATTTTGAAGATCTACTGATAACAGTAAATACCAATGTAGCACACTTTTTAAACTGTGTAGAATTTTGTTGCTTGACTATACAGTGTTATATTTTATTTAATGCATCATAACTTATATAGTTTTTTTTAACTGTTAGAAAGCTATCTTCCATATTATTGTGTAGTTTTAAAAAAGTGTCCCTAGGTCAACCCCTGGTAATGAAATTGTTGGGTGAAATGGTGTGCACATTTAAAATTGTGTTGGATATTGATAAATTACTTCCAAAGTGGAATCAGTTTGGACTTCAATCAAAGGAGAATGTCCATATTCCAAGACCTTCTTAAAATTGGTATTATTTATGGTATTCACTTTTGCCAATTAAATAGACATAAATACTATCTCATTTTATTTCTATTCACTTAAATATAAGTGAAAACTAGAATTTTTATGTTTATTTATATTTTGTCTC
This sequence comes from Homo sapiens, assembly GCF_000001405.40. Lineage (NCBI taxonomy): Eukaryota > Metazoa > Chordata > Mammalia > Primates > Hominidae > Homo > Homo sapiens. Next base: position 34,630,535 of record NC_000003.12, on the reverse strand, counting down.
ATTTTCTGTAAAATAATTGCCCATTTTATGGGTGCAATATTTATTTATTAATAATTTTTCAAAACCAGTGTATATATTGCAAGAATTTTGTGAAGTTTTATTTTTATTTTTCATACTACCATGCTGTGGCCATCCTCTAGTTTTTCATTTTTAATTAACTACTTCATTAATATTTCATATAAATTAAATGACTCATTTGTCATTGCTTTGTTGTAATATTGCTAAGGTTTTATTTTTTGTATTTACATGATTAGCAGATCTCGAATTCATTTTGAAACTGAAGTAATCATAGCCATCCAAGTTTATTTTTTTCCACAAATGTCAATTCAACTTTCACAACACTATTTTTCATTTAACCCGTCTTTCCTACTGATGCAATTCCATATTTATTATAGATAACACTTCCATATATTTCTGGATGAATATTTTCTAGAATCTAAACTTTATTCCACTGACCCTATTTTTTCTTTTTTTCAGAATTGTAGCAATTATATAAATATATTTCTCAGAAAATATTTTGTAAAGTTTTCCCTAAAACATCTCATTGGTATTCTATTTTAGATGGCATAGGCTTCATAAATTAATTTTGCAAGATAACATCTTTATGATATTGAGGCTTTCTAAGAATAAGTTATGTCTATTTTCCAAGTCTTCTTTTATATCTCTCAAAAGAGTTTTAAAGTTTCCTTCACATAAACCCTGAATATTTCTTCTTACGAGCTTTTTAAGTCTTTTCTTTCCTGGTATTATAAATGGGATATTTTCTTTATTAAATTTTCTGTTTATAGTTGACATATAGAAAAACCAATGATTTTAATATAAATTTTGCAAACAGGGAATTTTCTGAACTCTGTTTTTTATTTCTAATAGTTTTCAGACAATTCTCCTGAATTTTAATAGTACACAATCATATCGTCTGCAAATAAAAATAATTTTATGTGTTTCATTCTCACTTTCATAGTTCTTTTTTTCTCATATAACTATACTAGCTAAGACATTCAAAACAATAATACTGATGATAATCAACCTCTTTGACATCCTCTGGACCGAACCTACTTTTTACTTTAGTATATAGACAAGATTTATCAGAATTTGTCCACCCATCTACTTTTCTTTTTGCATTCTTTATGGGGTGGAAATATTATTAGGAGCATTGACAAACCATGCAAAGTCTTGGATATTATTGTACTCCTCTTTCTCTGGCTTACACATTTTAAAGACTGCTGTGTAAAACAGTACCATTCTATGTGTTTGATGGTGGCCAGTGCAGCAATAGGACATCTATTTTTGTTCATACTATGGTATATAGATGGAGGTTGTGATCTAACTTCTCTCTCTCTTATCTTACCACACATGGGCCATCCTGCAATTGACTGTGTGTCTATAAGGTGCCAGACATTTCTCTGTGGAATTTACATTCAGTAGCATATTTAACTCTCACACCAAGCCAAAGAAATAGTTGTTATTATCCCTACTCTACTGATGAACAACTTGTTTTAAGTTACATGGTTAATTAGTGGCAGAGACAGTACTTGAAACCTCATCTCTCTGTCTCTAAAGCCCACAGTCTGCTGTATTTCTAAATCTCAGGAAGGCTAAAATAAGAAGTATACAAAATTTTGGTTGGATGTAGAAGAAGGAGCAATCAATTTGGCTCAGGGAGGATCAAAAAGTGTTGATTATACTCTTAAGGATCTGCACTGAAAAGAATGAACAAAAAATTGATCTCCCACTATGATTCAGGAAGTACCCTCCACACCCCACAAGAGAAATAAGCACATCACAACCTTACAATAGTCCTCGATTGATTTTCCTCTGGGGGTTAGACAGTTCCTCAAGTTACAGCTTGGTCAATTATTACCAAGTCCAGGCTACTTTCCTTAAGAGTGAGCACATGCTCATAAGGTTCTTCAGGGAGGAAAAAAATTTGTTCTTATCTGAGGAAACTTAATTCAAGTTTTAAACTCATTTCTTCTTTCAAGCAGTTTCTACTGTAAACTCAATTATGTGGTGGGATTTATTGAAGCACAGAACAGAAAAGACATTTGCTCAGAAGTAACTCTGGGATATGATGTGGATTAGACCTGGAAAAAATAATAAATCATAAAGCTACTGAGTCCTGAAAACACTGAGCCATACTTGAAAGTAGTCTAAGACTTGAACAGGGTGAGTTACTGTTAAATGAACATGAATATGTCAAGAATGATATCTGAATTACTTCCCATTTCAAAAGTTTCATTTGCCTCCAATTTTTCTCTTAACTCTTTTTAACACTATTAAAAAATATTAGAATTTCCTTTCACTCCCTTTCATAGAAGAATAAATAAAAGAATAATTGAATTTCCAGGGGTTACTCAGGAAATAACTAAAGATCTATAATTAGAATCTATAATTCCTGATCAAAAAATCCTTTAATTCCTTGGGTGATGCTTGCATTTTATTATGCCTTACTATTAATAAAAGGATGCTGTGAATCAGAGGTTCATCATAGATTATCTTTTTTTATTCTCTCTATATCATCCAGCCCTCTGGAGCTTCTGTCCAACTAAGTTCTGTTGCTTTCACAAAAAGGCCAAGTCAAAAAGCCCTAGGGCAAAGATAGGCAGCTGGAGAACCTTACCATAATGCTCACAAAAGATTACATAATCAACTCTTCATTTCTGTCAAGAAAATTCAGTGGTTGTTTCTTTATCACTTCCTTAGTACTGGCATTATTATATTGTGGTTCAGAATACTTGAAGAAAAGTCTGGCATACGACCTTCTCTCACAGAATGTGTAAGCTAATGTATAATCAGTTCTCTCTGAGATGCCCGGCTGCCAATGATTCTGTCTTGGTGGAATAAAATCCTGAACATAATCAGAACTACCACTTTTCCATTCTAGTGGAAGATTTACAATTTGGAAACTCTGGCTAAACACCTTTCTATCCACTAGGTTCTAGAGACTGTGCAAAACCAATCCTAGGAAATTTATTTCTGGGCAAGTCAAAGGTGAGTTTCCCAGTATACACTTAGCTTTACCATCTCTCATCAGGACTAAGCTCCAAGCCTGCCAAAGGTCTAAATTCCTACAAGTACCAGACTAATTTCTTGCTGTTTTCTTTCCATTTTTACTTATTCATATCTTCTCATTCCCTCAAGTATTTTATTATATTTTACCAAATGTGTTCTTTCAAAGAGCCTCAAATCCTATTATAAAAATGTGTGATAAGAACAAAAAGATACATAGAAAATTAGATCAAGATATTAGTCTGAGAACAAATGCTTAGATCTTTTGCTTCCCTAGAGAAGACATAAAAAATGTAATAGACCAAACAAAATTATAATACTAGCAACAAACAAAAAAGATTATCTTCAGTGAATCAAATTGGTTAAAGAATCTATGAGAGTAAAATGCAGAAACAATCAGCTTGACAAGGAAGACCACAGATTAAAGGACATAAAGAGAAAGAGACAGCTTCCAAGGGCAGAAACACTATTAGAAATTCTCCAAATCAAAGGTAAAGGATGCAATAAGCATATATAGAGAGAAATATATGTATATAAATATATATCTATTTCAAATATATATGCATATAATATATAAATTTACTTCCACCAAAATTCATCATAATTCTCAATAAATATATATTGATTTAATGTAAATTAATTAATTTAAATGTAATTAATTTAAATGAATATATATTGAGAATTATCATGATGAATTTTGGTGGAACTAAGTTTACACCAGTTTTTCTTTCATACTTTGGTGACACAAACTTTAGGGCAGAGATGTGGATACTTGTATGAAAGAGGACAAGAAGTGTCAAGGTGAGTGGTGACACCCAGAAGGAACAAGATCATGCTCCCTCCAAACACAAGCCACTGGTGAATGACCCAGATAAGCTTGTTCCATGCCATTCTCTAATTAGTGGAAGCAGGCTACAGCATGCAAGAAAAGTGAAATCTCAGAAAGAATGTTGAAACAAAGTCAAAAGCAGTTGAAAAAAAATCAAAATAAAAAGACATTTGCAAAAATTTAGAGTACAACGTAATGGAATCAAAAATGTAAATAAATTTTTATTTATTCAAGTATTTTAATAAATATTTTATTGTTTAAATAATATTTAAAAAGATAATACATAAAAATTAGATTTGCTCTAGAAAATATTTTTAGGAAAGACCTTGTTAAGCAAGGCATACAACTCAAAAGCCATAAAGGAAAATATTATTGAGCTTAACTATATAAAAATTATAAAAATTTTTTAGTGTGGGCATCATAAACAGTATTAAAATAAAATGGAAGGGAGAAGAAAATAATTACAACATATATAACAAAGAATTCATATGAAGACTATCTAAAGAAATTCTGCAAACCAGTAAGAAACAAAAAACCTAAATTCTCAGCAAAGTGCCTAAGAAACTTATGAAGAGGGATACAACCTAACAAATTATCAGAGAAATAACAATAGAAACAATGAGATACTATTTTTTGCCTCTGTAGATGAGAAGTAATTACAAAAATACACGGGAAAACTCTACTGCTCCCATGGTATATGAGCAAAATATCAGAGTAAGCAACTTTAAGCTTCTTCCTTTCCACAGAAACATTGAGAACCAAGCAGAAACTGTCAGAACTAACTTTGCTAGAACTACAGAAAACAGTTAAAGATTTGTAGCAACTCAGTAAGTACTAAATCAAGTAAAGGCAACTATTAAATGGTAGAAAAGCTTTGTGGCATTTAACTTACTTCATTCTCTCCCAAGCTCAGCAGCAGTCTTGAAGATTGCAGGCCAAATTCCTAGTGTGGAACCTAGTCTGTGTTTCCAGGGAAAGCAGAAAATACCTTATTCACAGATTATTCAATATGTCTGTCCTAACTTGCCTGGGGGATACCTGAAGGATTGACCAAAGGTGTCATCTCTGTTTTGCCTAACATGGGAACTTATTCAGGAAGGAAAGTTGGTGAACAATATTTGAAAACATTGTAAGGCTAATGAAAAACCAACAGTGGCCTGTGACAAAAGATACAATTGAGACATTCAATAAACTATCAAAAGCATGGGAAGAAAAGCTAGGGAGAGTTTATTTGGAAAGTTAGGGCATTCAAAAGCACCCAGGTACACTAGAGAATTTAGAAAGCCACGAACATGTCCAGGGCAAGACCTCATAATTAAAAAAAAGTACTGAAAAGAGGCTAAGCTTTCATATCTATCATATATTTAGGCTCAGTGCAGTACCAGCTGAGTGTTGAAGGAGTGTTCCAATACAAAGCCGATATGCAAAGACTGGGAGAGATGTTTTTGCTCGTATGGCTCATCATGTTAAATATATATATATATATATATATATCTGTCAAAGCACTTTCTAAACACAAGCTAAAATAAAAGAGGCATAAGGGACCCCCAAACGACAAAAAAAAAAAAAACAGACTTTGCACAAATGCTGCGGTTTGGGAAAGCCAATCAACAAATGGATGACCACAACTATCAACAATCCAAAAAAAGCAAACTCTAGAGGAGAGGGAGCTGATTTACACAATATGATATTTACAATACAATATTACCACAATATGATACTCAAATGCCCAATTGTAAACAAACAAAAAAAAACACAAAGTATACAAAGAAACAGGAAGCATGACCCATTCAAGGGAACAAAATAAATTGACAGAGACTGCCCTTGAGGAAACCTAGACATTGGAATTAGTACACGAAGATTTTGTCAAATATCAATATATTCAAAGAACTAAATTGGAGATAGAGATGGACAAAAGCCAAAGGAAATAAGAAAAAAAGATATGTGAACAAAATTAGAATGCTAAAAAGAAGATTGAATATCTCTCTCTATATATATATATCTACTGATATATCTATATCTACTGATATAGATATATATGATATATATATGATATATATGATATAGATATAGTATATATAGATATACTGCTATATCTATATCTGTATCTATATGTACTGATATAGATATAGATATGCTGGAACTGAAGAGTTCCAAGAGTACCATAACTAAAATAAGAGAGGTTAAGCAGGTAGATTTGAAGAGTCAAAAGAAAGAATCATGAATTTGAAGACAGCAAAGTTGACATCATCCAATCTGAAGAGCAAAAAGAATAAATAAAGTAAAAAGCCTATGGAACCTATAGAACACTATCAAGTACACTAACATGTGCATAATGGGAAACCCAGAAACAAAGAGAGAGAAATGTGCATAAACAATATTTGAAGGAATGGCTACAAACTTCCCAAACCTGATGAAAGGTTTAAATCTATAAATTCAAGAAACTTAGTCCCTCCACTCTGATAAACCTAAAAGGATCCATCCTGAGATGTACTCTAATCAAAAACAAAAACTACAAGAAATTCTTGAAAGCAGCAACAGAGCAGTAACATGATCACATATGACAGACTTCATAAAATTAAAAGCCAATTTCTCAACAGAAACCATGGCAGGAGAGACAGTGGGATGGCATATTTAAGGTGCTAAAAGAAAGAAAAAACCTGTCAACCAATAATTTTATATCTAACAAAACTGTGCTTCATATGGAGAGAAATGAAGACATTCCCAGAATAACAAGAGCTGAGGAAGAAATGGCAAATGAGTAACTCTAAGAATGTAATTTGATTCTTTATGAATAAATAAAGAATTTCAATAAAAGCAACTAAATGGGCAAATATAAAAACTAGTATTCTTATATTTTTGGTTTGCAATTCAAATTTATTATTTTCTAAATAATTTAAAAGTCAAATGTATAATAATAATAAATATATATTATTAGGTATACAATCTATAAGATGTAATTTTTGACAACTACAACACAACAAGGGGGAGAACAAATATGTATAGGAGCAGAGTTTTTGTCTGCTATTGAAGTTATGTTGGTATTAATTCAAACTATATCCTATAAACATAGGATATTAAAGACAGCCCCCATGGTTACTACAAAAGTAAATGTGTATTTTAAAATAGACACAAAAAGAACAGAGAATGATTCAAAATACTTTACTACAATCAACTAAACACAAAGAAAATGACAATAGAGGATATGAAGGACAACAAAGGTAAAAACCATAGAGAAAATAAATGGCATAATGGCAGTTTTTCCTTACCAGTAATTAATTTAAATGTAAGTGGATTAAGCACTCTAATCAAAAGGCAAAGATTTGTAGAGTGGAATTTTAAAAAGGATCCAACTATATGAGATCTATAAGACATTCACTTTAGATCCAAAGACGCAAATAGGTTGGAAGTGAAAGGATTGAAAATATGTTTATGCAAATTATAATCAAAAGAGAGCTAGAGTAGCTATACTAAATTCAGAAAAATAGACATAAGCAAAACTTCTACAAGAAAGAACTACACTACATGTTGGTAAAAGGGTCAATTTTTCAAGAAGATATAACAATTGTAAATATATATGCATCAAATAACAAAGCCCCAAAACACATGAAGCAAATGTTGACAAAACCAGAGGAAGAGATAGGCTTTTCTAAAATAATATTTAGAGACTTTATATACCCACTTTAAAAAATAGACAGAAGATCTAGATGGGTCAATATAGATCAAAAATACTACACTATACTATACTATTAATATATATCACCAGACCTAAAAGACATATATAAAACATTCTTCTCACCAGTAGAAGAATACACATAAGTGCATATGGAACATTCTCCAGGATAGTCTGTATGTTAATCCACAAGTCTCAATAAATTTTAAAACGTTGAAATTATACAGATCATCTTTTACAAATACAATGAACTAAAGTTAAAATTATTAACAGAAGGAAAACTGGAAAATCCACAAATATCTGGAAATTAGATAACATAGCCTTAAATACCCAATGAGTTAAAGAAATTCAAGAGAAATTAGGAAAAAATTGAGGTAAATAAAAATGAAGCACAACAGAACAAAACTTGTAACATGTATAGAAAGCAATGCTTAAAGAAAAATGTATAGCTATAAGTGCTCACATTAAAAATCATCTCAATAGTTTGACTTTACAACTTAACAATTTTGAAAAAATTTTCCTGTAAGCCAAAGCTAGCAAGGAAAAAAATAATAATAAGGTAACAGTGGAAATAAATGAAATAGGTAATAGAAAAACAATAGAGAAAATCAATAATAGCAAACTCTGGTTCTTTGAAAAAAAAATCAACAATTTGACAAACCCCTAGCTGGATTGAAAATAAAAAGAGAGGTAGTTTATGCAAACAAATAAAATAAGAATGTAAGTGGGGACATTTTACTGACTTTACAGAAATTTTTAAAAATCATGAGGAAAAAAGATGAACAATTATATACCAACAAATTAGATAAACTAGATGAAATGAGAATGGTCCTAGAAATGTACAAATTAATTTAAATGACTAAAAAAGAAATTGAAAATATCGGCAGACCTGTAACAAATAAGTAGATTTAATCAATAATAATAAAATAACCCTCTGAACAAAAACAGTCAAGGACCCAAAGTCTTCACTAGTAAATTCTAGCAAACATTTTAAAAAGCATTAAGACCAATTCTTTTCAAACTATTTAAAAAAATGAAAAAAGAGAAAATGCTTAACTCATTGTATGAGGTCAGCATTACCAGAATATCAAAGCCAGATAAAGACATCACAAAAAAGGAAAATTACAGATAAACATTCTTTATGAATATATATGCAAAAATTCTCAATAACATACCAGAAAAAAAAATTAAACTGCATATTGAAAGAATATGAACAAGTAGAATTTTCCCCAGGAATGAAAAGTTTGTTCAACATGAGACAATCAATCAATCCAACGCACCACAAAAATAGAACAAAGCAGAAGAAAAATCATAATCACTTCAATCGATGCAGAAAAAGGCATTCGGCAAAATTCAACACGCTTTCATGATCAAAACTTTCAGAAAATTAAGAATATAAGGGGTTAGCCTTAACATATGAAAGGACATTTCCATTTACAATAGCATCCAAAAGAATAAAATTCCTAGGAATAAATGTAACCAAGGACGTGAAAGATCTGTACACTAAAAACTGCAAAACATTGCTGAAAGAAATTAAAGATCTGAGCAAATGAAGAGACATTTTGTATTCACAAATTCAACAATCTAATACTGCTAATATGCCAATACTGCACAAAATGATCTACAGAGTTGATGAAGTCCTCAAATTTATTTGAAATTGCAAGGAGACCTGAATAACCAAAACAGTCTTTTAAAAAAGAACAAAGTTGGAAGATTCATACTCCCCAATTTCAAATTACTGCAAAGCTCTAGCAATCAAATCAGTGTTTTAGTGGCATAAGGAGAGATATACAGGCCAAAGGAAAAAAAATCAAGAGTCCATAAATAGACTCATACATCTATAGCCAATTGATTTTCAGCAAGAGTGCCAAGACCGTTCAATGGTAAAAGGAGAATCTCTTCCACAAATTGTGCTGGGACAGCAGAGTTAAAGAATAAAGTTGAATTTCTATCTCACACCATATATAACAATTAACTCAAAATGATTCAACAACCTAAATTTAAGTGTTAAAACTGTAAGCCCTTAAAAGAAAACATAGGGTTAAATCATCATAATCTTATATTAGTTTAAGATTCTTAAAATATGACACCAAAAGCTCAAGCATCAAAACAAAATATAGATAAATTGAAGGCTGCATCAAAGTTACTAACTTTTTTTCATAAAAGGACATTTTCAAGAAAGTGAAAAGACTGGCTTCTGGTTCCATAATGGCAAAATAGAAGCAAGTTGGTTTCACTACCCACCACAGAAAACCAAAAACTAACATACAGCACCAAAATCATCACTAGCAATATTAGACAATTCAAATATGAAGATGAGACACTTCCCAGGGCCACGGAGAAGTGAGAAAACTCCAGGTAGACAGTAAAAGAATGTAACCTGCATATCTGTGATGTCCCTCCCCCTATTCTGCCAAGCACCAAGCACCAGGAAAATTTTCGTCCAACTCACAATTTTTAAAAAGGACAAAACGTATTGAGGTGGACGGCCACCTCAAGACGGTGTTGTACCACCATCTTGAGTTTGCTGGCAGGAAATCTGCTCATGCCTTAATCCACAGGAAGCATCATGAGTCCCTTAAGCATCACTGAGGACAGGGAAGACAAAAAGAGAAGATGGGACTACCATCCCCAGTCCTAGAACTTCTGCTCTATAACTCAGTCAAAGGACATGCCCAGTCAGAGTGGCTGTTCAGCATCACCACGCTGTAGATTTATTCCATAAGTCCTCTGGACACAAGCCCCTTTCCAGTTTTCCCACATTGCTGGGTATCCCCTTCCTGAGCTTCCGCAATGAGGAAGGCCAGTGCTCCTATCCTTTACTAGAGCTGAAGTGAACCTGGGCTTAAGATGCCACCTAGAGCCAAAAAGGAGGCAATGATCTAGTGGCAAACAACATCTAAGCAAACATATTTAATAAAAAACAAAATCAGCCAGACAGAAGACTGGAATAAATAATTAATCCTTCAATGCAAAGACATAGATATATGTCCACAAGAAACAACAGCAAACAGGGAATCATAATCTCCCCAATTAACAAAGCAAAGAATCAGTGACTGACCCTAAAGAGACCGTGATATGTGGGCTCTCTGACCAAGAATTCAAAACTGCAGTTTTAAGAAAACAGTGATCTCCAAGATAACACAGAAAAATAATTCTGAAATTAATCACAGAAATTTAACAAAGAGATTGAAGTATTTTAAGAAGGCAAACAGAAATTTTGGAACTTAGAAAATACATTTGCTAGACTGAAAAATTCATTAAAGGATCTCAACAGCAAAGTGGATCAAGCAGAGGAAAGAATCAGTGATCTTGAAGACAGCCCATTTAAAAATACAGTGAGAGGAGAAAAAGAAAAATTGAAAAGCAACAAAGATCACCTACAAGATACAGAAAATTAGATCAAAATACCAAATATAAGAATTAGTGGTGTTCAAAAAGGAGTTGAGCAAGAGCACAAAGTGGAAAGCTTATTCAAATAAATAATAAGAGTACACTTCTCAAAATTCAATAAAGATTTAAATATCCAGGTACAGGAAGGGCAGAGAATACCAACAGATTAGACCCAAATGAGACCGCCCCAAGCCTAAATTAATCAAATTCTTAAAAGTCAACAACAAACAGAAGATACTAAAAGCAACAAGAGAAAAGAAGCAAATAACATATAAAGGAGCTCCAATTCATCTGGCAACAGAATTTTCAACAAAAAGCATATAGGCCAAGAGGGAGCAGAATGATATTCTTGACATTTTCGAAGTGCTGAAAGAAAAGAATTGCCATTCAAGAATACTGTATCCAGCACGCTTATCCTGCTAATATTAAAGTGATATAAAGTCTTTCCCAAACAAATAAAACTGAGGGTATTCACCATCACCAGATTTGTCTTACAGGAAGTGCTAAATGCTAAAGGAAATTCTTCGATCTTAAAGAAAAAAATAAATGAACTTTAAAAAATTGAAGGTATAAAACCCACTGGTAAAATTAAACATACGGACAAACTAAAATACTCTGATATTTGAATTGTAGTGTGTAATCCACTTATAATTCCACTATGAAGCCCAAAATGCAAATATATCATTTTGCTATAGTTATAGAAACCTATTAAGAGATACATAATAAAAAATAAGTTGAAACAACTAAGAGTCAAAATGTGGGGGTACGATGTTAAAGGGTAGAATATTTTTCTTTTTTATTTCTATTATTTTCTGTGTGATCTAAGATAAGTACTCATCTCTTTAAGACAACTTGTTATGTTTATGTTTTTTATAAGTCACATGGTAACCACAATGCAAAACCTATAATATACTCACAAAAAATAAATAGCAATGAATTAAAACATGCTACCAGAGAAAACCACTAATCACAAAAGACAGGAAGAAAAAAGAAAGGAAGAGAGAAGTTACAAAACAACCAGAAAACAATCCAGAAATGACAGTAGTAATTCTTAATAATAACACTGAATGTTAATGGACTAAATTCTCCAATAAAAAGCTATAGAGAAGCTGAATGAATAAGGAAAGAAAACCCAACTATACGCTACCTACACAAAATCTACTTCACCAATAAAGGTACACATAAAGTGAAAATGAAGGGGTGCAAAAAAAATGTATTCAAGGCAACTGGAAACCACTAAAGAGCAGGAGTAGCTATACTTAGATAAAATGATGATTACAAATAAAAGTCTATAAAAACAGACAAAGAAGGTCACTATATAATGATAAAAGGGTCAGTTCAGTAAGAGAATATAACAATTATAAGTATCTATGCACCCAACATATGAGCTCCTAAGTATATAAAGCATGCATTAATAAATTTAAAAGGAGAGATAGGCTGCAATATAATAATGATAGGGGACTTTAACACCCTTGATATAGTTTGGCTGTGTTCCCACACAAATCTCAATTTGAATCGTATCTCGCAGAATTCCCACATCTTGTGGGAGGGACCCAGGAGAATGTAATTGAATCATGTGGGCTGGTCTTTCCTATGCTATTCTCATGATAATGAATAAGTTTCATGAGAGCTGATGGTTTTATCAGGGGTTTCCACCTTTGCTTCTTCCTCATTTTTCTCTTGCTTCCAATGTGAGAAGTGCCTTTTGCCTCCCATTTTGATTCTGAGGCTTCCTCAGCTATGTGGAACTGTAAGTACATTTAAACCTCTTTTTGTTCCCAGTTTCAGGTGTCTTTATCAGCAGCATGAAAACAGACTAATATAACCCTATGTTCAGAAATGGCCAGAATAGCCAAAGTTATGCTGAGCTAAAAGAACAAACCTAGAGGCATCACACTACCTGATTTCAGAATTTATTACAAAGCTATAGTAACTAAATCAGCATCATACTGTCATAAAAACAGATACATAGACAAATGAAACAGAATACAGAACCCAGATATAAATCCACACATTTATGCCAACTCATCTTTGTCGAACAATGATGAAATGGGGAAAAACAGTTTCTTTAATAAATTGTGCTAGGAAAACTGAATATCTATATGCAGAGAATTAAACGGAAACACAATCTTTTATTAGACACACAAAAAAATCAAATGAAAATGGTCTATACATTTAAATCTAAGACCTAAAATTATAAAACTACTAGAAGAAAACATTTGGAAACATTACAGGCCATTGGTCTGGGCAAAGATTTTCTGTATAAGATCTCAAAGCACAGGTAACTAAAGCAAAAAAATAGAAAAATAGGATTATATGAGGCTAAAAAGCTCCCATATAGCAAAGGAAACAATCAACAGTGAAGAGACAACCCACAGAATGGGAGAAAATATTTGCAAATTACCCCCCTGACAAGGAATTAGCATCCTGATTATAAAAGGAGCACAGATATCTCAATAGCACGTGCACACACACACACACACACCCCTATTAAAAATGGGCAAAAGTTTGCTGAGCATGATGGCTTCCAGCTTCATCCATGTCCCTGAAAAGGACATGATCTCATTCTTTTTTATGGTGGCATAGTATTCCACGGTGTATATGTACCACATTTTCTTTATCCAGACTATCATTGATGGGCATTTGGGTTGGTTCCATGTCTTTGCTATTGTAAATAGTGCTGCAATAAACATACGTGTGCATGTGTCTTTATAGTAGAATGATTTATATTCCTTTGGGTATATACTCAGTAATGGGATTGCTGGGTCAAATGGTATTTCGGGTTCTAGATCTTTGAGAAATTGCCACACTGTCTTCCATGTTGGTTGCTCTAATTTATATTTCCAGCAACAGTATAAAAGCATTCCTATTTCTCCATAGCCTCACCAGCCTCTATTGTTTCTTGACTTTTTAACAATTGCCATTATGAGATGGTGTGAGATGGTATCTCCTTGTGGTTTTGATTTGCATTTCTCTAGTGATCAGTGATGTTTAGCTTTTTTTCATTTGTTCGTTGGCCACATAAATGTCTTCTTTTGAGAAGTTTCTCAAAGGAAGTGTCTGTTCATATCATTTGCCCACTTTTTATGGGGTTGTCAAAACACAGATACTTTAAACAACAACCATTCATTTAGTTCACTACTCAGTGGATTAGCAATTTGGGCAGGACTCAGCTGAATGGTTTATCTGGTCTTCTCTGCATTCACGCATGCATCTCTGCATAGCTGTTAGGTTAGCTTAGGCTGACTGGACTCAGATGGTCCCAGCTGAGATGGCTTGTTTCTAGTCTATATGGTCTGGCAACTTCTAGTAGGCTAGCTTAAGATGTTTCACCTGATAGCTGGGCAAATTCCTAAGAGAGGAAGCAGAAGAATTCAAGGTCTTCTGAAGTGTAGGCTTGGGACTCGCACAGCATGACTTACGCATTTCATTGTTGAAGCAAGTTCCAAGGTCATCCCAGGTTCACAGAGTAGGGACATAGATGTCACCTTTTGTTGATAGAAGCTAGAAAATCACATTATAAAGGGGGTGTTGATATAGGAAAGGAATAATTATAGCCATTTTTGCAATCACTCCACTAACCCATTCTTCAAATTAAGCAAGAATCAGAAATTGAATTTCTATCCTGTATCTGGGATGTCCTAAGAGGTGTGATTAAAATGCATCTTTTTATTCTTACTTAGTGTCTACATGTTCTTTGTGCAAATTTTTCTCTATGCACCTATGTAAAATACATTCTGAGATTTATGGAAGGTGCCAGTACTCCAAATTCTTTTAATTCAGTCCAGCAGCTATGATCTCAGAGCTAAAAATACAGAAATAATAGTTCAGTTTTTACCTATTAGTGGCTCAGAGTCTCTCCAGAAACCTCCGTGTAAAATGCATCCGAGAAACACATATGAAGAAGAGATTCATTTTTCTTTGGTAAAAAGATAATTTGATTAGGAGTTTAAAAATTAGCTAAAACTTGGCAGACCATGAAAGACAGGAAAGGTAGTCCAGGTAAACAGAATAGGATGGTAAAGGATAAGAAACTGCAGCAATACGAAGCATACTCAGCAAAGAGTGAGTATTTAGTGTGGAAAGCTAAGTTGGAAGAGTACAAGGAGTTGTGGGAATGGCTGTAGATTCATTCTCACCTAGGGCGGAGCACGGGAATCCTCCCACCATATGCAAAAATGTCTGAGTAGTCTCCCACACCTCACTCTGATCACTTGTTTTATTAATGAAATAATTCATAGCTAAGACTATACAGTATTTAAAATTCACAATTTTAGAATAATGCTCTCTATGAAGTCAGAAATGCTTTTTGTCACATTTTTCATCGTTTTTTCATTGCCTTCTGCAGCAGAATAAAAATATTGTTTTCCTTATATTTGCTTTTCAATATTGGACACCCTGAAATTAAATTATCGGCTTCAAGTTAGAATGATACTTTTTTATAGCACTTCCTGCACTCACTTCATGCCATAGAATTTATTTTTCTCCAGAGACTCGTTTTTTGGTGTAAAATTGAATTCTGGCACAGTCTTGATTCTTATTGATGAGATTCTTTGTTAACTGTTGTTCATCCTTAAGATATTACCTCATTAAATACTGGAAGGTTAACAACTGAACCTTGTTTGCCTTGAGTAAATCATACTCAATTTTCTGGAGCTCATTGCAAACAATCTGCTCCAAAAGAGCTAATTAGGGCTGAGAATACAAACGTGAGTCTGGATGGCACTGTCTGCATAGTCTCAGTTACAGACTTCTTTTTCTCCTTCAAATCAACAGAATCATTGTGTAAGTCAATCTCCTTTTTTTTCTCAGAAGGGAAATGTATGCTGAAGGTGAGAATCCATGCACTGTGGCATTCTGATGGCAATGATGGCTGCAGTGGCAGAATGTGAGCCATAAAATATATGAAAAAAAAATTCAGCTTCCTAGAGCTGTACTAATGGTTACTGGCAAGTTCATAAAGGTGCTGGAACTGCCATTCATTTGATTGAGAACTGCAGTGTAGAGTTTCTAAGTGCAGCTCAGTTAGAAACATTCTTCTGCCTCCCCCACCACCACACACAACTCTGTGTGTGTGTGTGTGTGTGTGTGTGTGTGTGTGTGGTGTTTGGGAAGAAAGGTAGAGACTTGTCAATAGATAAAAGTAGTTCTTGTCTCATGTATCGGTTGTATCTTGCTGCATAATGAGCACCCAAAATGCATGGCTTCATACAACATTTTATTAGTGCTCTTGTATCTGTTGAGTAACTGGGTAATTCTACAGAACTTGGCCTGGCTCAGATCACCTAATCTGGGCCCATTCGTAAGTCTGCAGTCACATCCTTGGTTGAGCAGAGGCCAGACTCAGCTTGGGTAGGGGAGGGTTCATCTCTAGTCCATATGGTCTTTCATCCTTTTATAGGCTAGCCTGAGCTTATTAGCATGGTGGCTCAGCTGAGTTCCAAGGAGGTGAACAAAAGCATGCAAGTCCTAGGCCAGGCGCAGTGGCTCACACCTGTAATCCCAGCACTTTGGGAGGCCAAGGCAGGCAGATCACAAGGTCAAGAAATCAAGACCATCTGGCCAACATGGTGAAACCCCATCTCTACTAAAAACACAAAAATTAGCTGGGCGTGGTGGCACATGCCTGTAGTCTCAGCTACTCAGGAGGCTGAGGCAGGAGAATTGCTTGAACCCAGGAGGCAGAGGTTGCAGTGAGCTGAGACAGTGCCAATGCACTCCAGCCTGGGTGACAGAGTGAGATTCCATCTCAAAAATAAATAAATAAATAAATAAATAAAAGGAAGCATGCAAGTCTTCTTGGCCTAGAGTTGGAACTGGCACAGCCTCCCATCTACCACATCTTATTGACCAAAGCAAGTCCCAGAAATAGCCCAGATTTAAACAGTGGAAAACAGACTTAATCTCTTAGATGCATTTTTAATTAGGTAGTTCTTTTGCTTACTGATTTCTTGGAACTCTTTCTATACTAGAAGATTTAGCCCTTTGTCATAATGTAAGTTGCAACTATATTTTCTAATTTGGCATTTAACTTTTGACCTTGTATGGTATGTTTTCTTTTTTTTACTCAAGTTAGTTAGTTATTTTTCTATTGACTTTTGATTTATGAGTAATAGTTAAGAACTTCTTCAATGTCAAGTTTTAAAATAATTCTATGTTCACATCTAATAAATTTATGGTATCATTTTAATGTTTAAGTTTGTATTTAAGTATAAAATACATACATAAATGTATGTAAACCATAAGTGTAAAACTGACTGAACTTTCACAAACTGAATATACCCATGTAATCAGTACCCAGATCAAGAAAGAGAACATTTACAAGACACTAGAAGTCCCCTTGAACCCTCTTTTCAGTCACAAGCATCCATTTCCCCAAGGTTAAACACTGTCTTGACTTCTGAGACCACATCCACATGAACTTCTTACACTTCACATTCTCAGAGTGTCTAGAAAATTTCCAAAGCTGCATAATTGCTTACTGAACAGATTCACCTACAATAATCAGAATAATTATCCATATTGCCAATGGAATTGACTGTGCTCAGAAAGGACAATGTAGTGTATGCTGGGAATTTATAGATGATTCAGACATCGACAATAATGTCTGAGACATTGTGAAGGAAAAGACTATTTCAAATTAAAGATTAAAATAAAATTCTAAAGAACATGCATTTTAACACCAGCAAAATAATTTTTATTCATTGAGTCTGCCATTTCTGGATCCTTCTAATAAATAATAAGTTTCCTTACCCTCATTACTCGACGCCAAAAATGAATCAAAACCTTTACCAATGTATTTTGTTGGATTTTTGTTGTTGTTGTTGTTGTTGTTGTTGTTGTTTGTTTTTTGAGACACAGTTTCACTCTGTCACCCAGGCTGGAGTGCAGTGGCATGATCTCGGCTCACTATAACCTCCACCTCCTGGGTTCAAGTGATTCTCCTGCCTCAGCCTCCTGAGTAGCTGGGATTACAGGCACACGCCACTACACCTGGCTGATTCTTGTATTTTTAGTAGAGACAGAGTTTTACCATGTTGACCAGGCTGGTCTCGAACTCCTGACCTTAAGTGATCCGTCCGCCTTAGCCTCCCAAAGTACTGGGATTACAGGCATAAGCCACCACACTCAGCCTGTATTTTGTTTCAATATTCTTCTAACATGCATAGCAAACTCCAGAATTTAGAGAAGCTTAATGGTAAGACTTTTTTAAAAAAGGATGATTTACATATTCAAAAAAAAGCAAGAAAACCAATTTTGATTATGAAGGAATCAAGTCATTGTCAGTCATGTAAAATCAGAGGAATCAAACAATTAGAGGGTCACAGGTAAGTGAAAAAAGGAGGCAGAAAGTATAGGCTAAAGTGAGAGAAGTGGACTGGCTCAACTCCAAAGGAAGTGGGTGTTTGGGCTGTCAAAAAATAAATGCAAAATAAATTTGTGGAGACAAAAGGGATAGGGTTAACTCGTATGTTTCAACATAGATTATTTATTTGGGTAGATTGGAAGTGTTAAAGTTTATAGCCTGGAGGTTCAGGAAGATGAGAAAGTTTGTAGCTCAAAACCAGAGAAATGAAGACTTTGAAAAAATTCAACAATAGAAAAAAAATCTACTTTCTTTATTGCATTGACAGCTCTATTCCAAGATTGCCTTAAACCTTCCAATTGTTAAATGTGATTCTTTTCCATTCTCATCTTTGTTTGTTTTGTTTGAGACAGGGTCTCACTCTGTCACCCAGGCTGGAGTGCAATGGTGCAATCATGGTTCACTGCAGCCTTGACTTCCCAGGCTCAAGTGATTCTCCTACCTCAGCCACCACAGTAGCTGGGACTACAGATGCATGCCAGCATGCCTGGCTAATTTTTGTAGTTTTTGTGGAGCTGGGGTTTCACCAAGTTACCCAAGCTCGTCTCAAACCCCTGCACTAAAGCAATCCTCTCTGCTCCAAAATTCTGGAATTTCAGGCATGAGCCACCACCCCCGGGCTAGTTCTCATCTCATTTAACCTCTCTATAGCTTTTGATGTTACTAATTACTGTTTTTGAAATTTGTCTATCCTTTGACTTATGCGAAACTACCAGCTCCATTTCTCTTATTACTCCTGCTCAGTCCCTAAGTTTGGGTTTCCACCAATAGCAGACCCTGAGTAAGAACTCGTGTCCAACATTGACTCAGGAGGTGATCCAAGGAGGAGGAGTGAGAACAGGAGAGAATGAAGGAAGGAGGAAAAGACAATAAGTCATGTTCCTTAGTCCACTGCTGTGGGAAGTTGGGCTCAATTTCATTGTAAGCATTTGATTTCTAAAGTCACTCCTGACACTAACTATCTTAATTTGGGTACTCCTGAAAAGCAGTCAGTGACAAGGATTTGTGGGCAGATATTTATTCCTGGATGCAGGAGTAAAGGAGCTGAGAGACTGAGGGAGAAAGAAAGCTTCAGTAGAAAGTTACACTCTTGATCACTTACTGAGAGTAGTGGGCAAGATCCTCTACTGCAGACTTTGAGGAACATATAGTTTGCCTCACAGAATTTTCCACCAGAGAGCTGACCAGAAGTTTTAAATCATCAGCTCCCATCCCATTACACATTTGTTGAGGGCTGTCCTGGGTCATTCACTCTCTGCACTTCCAGACTTAAACTAATGTACATGTACTTAAACTAATGAGCTCCTGACAGTGTCCAACATATTAGAGAAACCTGGGACATAAAGGGGAACACATGTGGCATATGCTGAAGGTGAAACATCCAAATGCAGTACATGAAGCCCACAAGGAACTAGCCACTGGAGAACAGTTGAAATCAGAGGTGATTTTGAGAGGATAGGAGTCAGGAAGGTCCCAGAGGTGTGTGATACTGTTCCATATATATGCTCTCCTTTCTTTACTCACTAGTCTATCAAGGCTAGTGTGTCTAAGAAATCTATGGTCCTGACCCACCTTCACCCACACAGAAACATTATTTAATTAAGCACCTCTGTGCTTGTGTAATGAGAGCATATGATTAATAATTCTATAGTTTGTTTCTCTGGACTCTCACCTCAATATCTATTGATCTTCAAAAAATTGATGTGATTAGACTAAATCTTCTTGGGAGTGTAAAGAAAATATTTCTTTCAAAATCATTGTGAAGAGTTGACAACCACAAAAACATACCTAAAAGCCCATGATCTTCATGCCTTTGAAGGGTGAATGCTAAAAGTAGACTAGATAGCATGTTAGCAATTAGAAAAACAAAATCTAAAAGAATGTATTTATTTAATTTTTTTGTAGATGGAGTTTCGTTCTTGTTGCTCAGGCTGGAGTGCAATGGCGCAATCTCAGCTCACTGCAACCTCCGCCTCCCAGGTTCAAATAATTCTCCTGCCTCAGCCTCCCAAGTAGCTGGGATTACAGGCGTGTGCCACCACACCCAGCTAATTTTGTATTTTTTTAGTAGAGATGGGGTTTCACCATGTTGGTCAGGCTGGTCTCGAACTCCTGAACTCAAATGATCCACCTGCCTCGGCCTCCCAAAGTGCTGGGATTACAGGTGTGAGCCATCTCATCAGACCAGAATGTATTTGTTTTTAATTCTTAGGTATTGCTTACTTGGTCAATGAATGGTTTAGGTCTTCACATTTCCTGCTTGCTGGCCTGTCACTCTGAACTTCTGCCTTCTTCTCCCAACCCCATACATTTACTGTCTTCCAGAAATAGCATATTTTCTTGATGCATTTTTACCCTGGGCTTTCTATCACCTGCTTTCTAGTATGAAGGGTAGCATAAAAATAGGTATATGAATTCTGGTCTAATTGATGTCTCTTACACACGTGTATGGTTTATTAATTAAGTTCTCCAATGAACTGTCAAGCTATAATTAGCACAAAAGCTTTTGAATACTTGCCAATACAACACATTCAGGAAAGTCTAGACAAATGCAGGGGGTAGGAATTGTAGGACTCAAATAATATTTTAGGAATGGATTAAAATGCAATAACCAAAATACAAAGGATAAAACCAAGCATCTTTTTTTGAAGCAAAGAAAGAGGAAGGAGAGTGATCAATAAAGATACAATAGGGAATATCTGTCTAGCTAGAAAGAGCTGTAGTGATTTGTGGAGATTTGAAGGATCCACAATAAATAACAACCTAAGACATTATTACATTGCTGTGCCTTATGTGAAATGAATATCATATATAATTCTACCAGTAAGAGATTATGCATCTTTCTCTCCTATAAAGAGCATTTCTCTAGAAACATTTTGGGCTCTTGTTCTCTCAGAATTGACACATTCCAGAATAGCTCCTAGTTGCACTGATTGTTCTCTAGTTTATGAACAAAGATGTATATCATTTCCTATCTTTTTTTGCCCCTCACCTTTTGCCTAAACAGTTCCATGTGATCTCTGTATATCATATTGTGGGTGAGTTTGAGTTAGTCTGATGCCTCCTAAAGGGACTAGATCTGACTCAGATTAAAGACAGCCATACACACCACAACTCCAAGACCACCTCCAGGACTAAAGAGATGTTGAACAAGATAAGGGTGACTACTCTCATCACTCCAATTCAACACAGTACTGGAAATCCTAGCTAAAACAATCACATAGGAGAAAAAAATAAAAAGCATCCAAATTGGAAAATAAGATGTCAAACTACCTCTCTTCACTGATGATATGATTCTACGCCTAGAAAACCCTAAAGACTCTGCTAAAAGACTCCTGGAACAGCTAAATGACTTCAGTCAAGTTTCAGGATACACAATCAATGTACAAAAATCAGTTGTATTTCTATTAACCAATAACATTCAAGCTGAAAGCTTAATCAAGAATGCAATCTCCGGCCAGGTGCAGTGGCTCACACCTGTAATCCCAGCACTTTGGGAGGCCAAGGTGGGAGGATCACTTGAGGTCAGGAGTTCAAGACCAGCCTTGCCAACATGGCAAAAAGCTGTCTCTACTAAAAATATAATAATTAGCTGGGCGTGATGGGCATGCGCCTGTAGTCCAGCTATTCAGGAGGCTGAGGCCGGTGAATCATTTGAACCTGAGTGGTGGAGGTTGCAGTGAGCTGAGAGATCGTACCACTGCATTCCAGCCTGGGTGACAGAGCAAGATTCTGTTCCTACCACCCACCCCCAGCCAAAAAAAAAAAAAAATAATAATAATCTCATTTACAATAGCCACAAAAAAATACATCTGACCAAGGAGGTAAACGATATCTACAAGAACTATAAAATATTGCTGAAAGAAATCATAGATGATGCAAACAAACGGAAAAACATGCCACGCTCATGGATTAGAAGAATCAATATTGTTATAATGGCCATATTGGCCAAAGCAATCTACAGATTCAATACTATTCTTATCAGACTACCAGTGTCATTTTTCACAGAATTAGAAAAAAAACTGTTCTAAAATTCATATGGAAACAAAAAAGAGCCTGAATAGTGAAAGAAATCCTAAGCAAAAAAGACAAAGCTAGAGGCATCACACTACCTGACTTCAAACTATGTTACAAGGCTACAGTAATCAAAACAATATAGTATTAGCAAAGAATCAGACACATAGAACAATGGAACAGAATATATAACCCAAAAATAAAGTTGCACACCTACGGCCAGCTGATCTTCAATAAAGTTGACAAAAATAAGCAAAAGAAAAGGAGATACTATTCAATAAATGGTCTTGGGATAACTGACTAAGAAGCATAAAACTACATTTTACCATATACAAAAATTAACTCAAGTTGAATACAAGATTTGAATGTTAAGATCTAAAACTATAAGAATCCTAGAAGAAAACCTAGGAGACACCATTATGGACATTGCCCTAGGAAAAGAATTTATGACTAACTCCTCAAAAGCAATTGCAACAAAAACAAAAATTGACAATGAGACCTAATTAAAGAGATTCTGCACAGCAAAAGAAATAAACAGCAGAGTAAACAACCAACAAAATGGGAGAAAATATTCTCAAACTACACATCTGACAAAGGTCTAATATCTAGAATTGGTAAGGAACTCAAATCAACAATCAAAAAACAACCCCATTAAAAAGCAAACGAAAGACATGAATAGACACTTCCCAAAAGAAGATATACAAACAGCCAATAAACCTCAAAATATACTCAACATCACTAATCATTAGGGAAATGTAAATCAAAATCACAATGAAATACCATCTCACACCAATCAGAATGACTATTATTAAAAAGTTGAAAACCACAGATTCTGATGAGGCTGCAGAGAAAAAGAAACACTTGTACACCGTTGGTGGGAACGTAGACTAGTTCAGCCACTACGGAGAGCAGTTTGAAGGTTTCACGAATAACTTAAAATGGAATACCACTCAACCCTCCAATCCCACTTCTAGGTATATATGCAAAAGAAAATAAATCATTCTACCAATAATATACATTAATGTGTATGTTCGTCATAGCACTATTTGCGATAGCAAAGAAATGGAATTAACCTAGATGTCTATCAACTTTGGATTGGATAAAGAAAATGTGTTACATATATACCATGGAATAATAAATACACACAGCCATAAATAAAAGAATGAAATTATGTTATTTGCAACAACATGTATGCAGCTGGAGGCCATTATCCTAAGTGAATTAATGCAGGAACAGAAAACTAAATACCTCATGTTCTCACTTATAAGTGGGAGCTAAATATTTGGTATTCATGAACACAAAGGTGGGAACAACTGACACTGGGGACTACTAGTCAGGGGAGGGAAACAGGAGGGGAAGGATTGGAAAACTAACTGTTGGGTACTATGCTCACTACTTGGGTGACAAGATCATTTATATCCCAAATATAAGCATCACACAGTATATCCATTTAACAAACCTGCAAATGTATCCCTTGAATCTAAAATAAGTTGACAGTATAAAAATAAATAATTTAAAAAAGACAATACCTCTTCATTACAAAGAAAACAGGGACATATATACCTAAAACACAAAGAAAATTTAAACATCTACAATCTAACCACTTTTATTATTGTTATACATCCTGAGTGTTTGTTTCCCTTTAATAGTGAATAAATGTTGATGTGTTTAATAAAATTGAGGAGCTGCTACGCAAACGAGAGAGAGAGAGAGAGGCTAACAGAGAGACAGAGAAATGTTCAAAAAAGACTGAGAGAGACTGAGAAATGTTCAAAACTGTGCCAGAAGATAAGAGGTGAGAAACAAAGCCAGGTAAGATAGGTGTTGCCAATAACTCTAAGGAATTGGTGGCTAGGGAAAGCTCCTCAGAAAGCAGAGCTTGAGATAACAATTTGGGTGCACAGGATTTACTGAGGGAGTGTCCTTCAGGACAATCCTATAAGAGAAGAGAAAAGAAGAGAAGAATTGTACGGGGAAAAGGCTAAACTTACATTAGTCAGGGTTCTATGGAAAAAGAGAACAAATTGTGTGTGAGTGTGTGTGTGTGTGCGTGTATGTATGTGCAGAGAGAGAGATAGATTAGAATTAAAGTTATATAAAGATATAAAGTTATCTGTAGATAAATATAAATGTTTATATCTCTATAAAGACGTTTTTAGACGCTATTGGCTCTTGTGACCATGGAGGCTGAGGGGTCCCATAATCTGCCATCTGCAAACTGGAGATCCTGGAAAGCCAGTAGTATATTTTAAGACCCGAGAGCTGAAAGCCAATGTTATAGATTCCAATCTGAGCCTAAAGGCCTGAGAACCAGGAGTACCAAGGGTAAGAAGAGATCAGTATCTTAGCTCAATAGTCATATGGAGAGAGTGGGTTCACCTTTTCTCTGCCTTTTTCTTCTATTTAGGACCTCAAGAGATTAAATAATATCTATCCACATTGGATAGAGTTTTACTCAGCTTACAAACTTAAATATTAATCTGTTCTGGAAACACTCTCACAGAAACATATAGAATAATGCTTCACCAAATATCTGAGCATCCTAGAACCCAGTCAAGGTGACACATAAAATTAACCATCACACTTGTGGTCTCAGGTAAAGTCTTATCCACAGGGGCTCTGGAACATAAATCTCAACACAGAGATAGTCCCAGTTGAGACAAGTGGGCTTGAATTATGCTCCCTGATATCACTTAGTCATTGCCCCAGTTGCCCCTGAGTTGGACAGCAGCACATAACCTCTGATAGTAAACCGGTTTCCTATCAGCCAAGGGCAATTCTCCCATAGGAGGGCAGCTGTAAGTCATCAGCAGCCAACATTCACAGAGCTGGAGAACAGATGCACCAGTCTGCTTAGGGGATCTGGTGCTTTCTCAGATGTATTTCCATAAGAGACGTTGAAATTCCCTCTACTAAGGGCCTCAGAAGTCCCTGATGATGCTCTCAATGCAACCCTGAGGTCAATGAAATGGCATATGGAGCTATGTTAAGCTTAGTACTATAACTCAGATTTCATCTCTCTCTCTCTTCATCCTCAAAAGAATATTTACACAGATTCTTCAAGTTCCCCAAACAGCACGCTACCTACAGCCAAACCCTCTGCTCAGTTTTATGTGAGCTAACTGCACTGGAAACCAGATAAACCATTATTCCTGAAAAACACAACTTGTATCTAGACAGAGTAGAAAAAGTCTTGCTGTATATGAGCAAAAAATGATTCTGCGATCATCTTGCCTAGAACTGGTGATATCTAGGCATCAGAAGAAGGCAGAAGGTACATAGTGGGGTTCTGCCCCATTTCCATCACAAAATGGATGGAAACCAGAAGCCAATGAAAGAGAAGGACAGCCATACTGAATACCCTATTAGTAAAGAGTACATTTCCGGTCTGGTCAATTTTAGTGGCAGCAAAGGCTCTGCCATACTTTTAGAACGAAGCAGAGCCAGCATTCCAAAGACACTATTGCAGCACAAGCCTGAGCTTATCAAGCCTTCACTTCTGTTAGGACTGCTCACCAAAAATAAATAGGTGGTCACAGGTAATGATTCATGGAAATAATCCCTGTACTGGCCAGTCTAAGGGAGGGTTTATCACTTCTGTTTGTAGTCAATGCCCTTTTAAGGGAGAGGAGTCAGAGGAGGGTGGGAAAGTAAGATGGAAATAATAGCTTACTTTGATACCTCAAGCAACGAGGCTTCCCTCAGGTTTTTCATTCCATACTATTCCAATTAATCTGAATTATAGTCTTGGACTTCCTAGTTACTATTAGGGAGGCCAAGAATTATTCTATGGCAAAAGGACCTGAGCTGGTAAACAACTTTTAATCATTTTCAATGCCTCTAATGAGAAAGGCCTTGAAATCCAGCAAGGCAATAATATATATAGCTTTGGGGTTAAATATGCTGATAGCTTCAGAAAAAAAATACACCAATCTCCAGTGATGTAGCTAATAGCCCCCAGCAGGTCTGAAAAACTTGAATTGATAGTCCCAACACTCTCCTGCCAGCAGCTCCTAAACTCCCAGTTACCACCAATATTCCTTGAATGTTCTCTGATTATGGCATTCTTGGGGGCCTAGGGCATGATTCTATCATTTAATTGATCTGTCAGTATGGATTATCATCTTCCTGATAAACTGTGCTTGCAGCCTAAAAGTGAAGTTTATGGTCATTCTGGGGGTTCTTCTGAGACAGGATAGTTCCCTTGACCCCTTCACATGAGGAGTGGCTTTCTTACTCAGCCTGCAGTGCTCAAACACCTTGCAGGAGGGAGAGCATATAGGTAAGCAGGTGCAGGGGCCAGGGCAAGTGCCTTTCGGTGCCAACAGGTGCAAACCCTATACTGACCTGTGGTAACATCTAGGGGTTGCCTGCAAACCCTGGAGCCCCAGAGGGCGTGTGTTACAGTGTACTCCTTTAGCTTTGCCATCTATGGATGGCTGAAGTGTTAAACACCTCAGTGGAGAGTCATTGTGACAGCCTTTTGCACCCACACCCAGGTCCTTGTCTGGTGTCCAGAAGGAATGAGGTAGTGCAAACAAATTGGAGGATGGTTAATGTGGGGGATTTTATTGAGTGATGGAAGTGGCTCTCAGCAGGAAGGGGATCTGGAAGGGGGATGGAGCGGGAAGACAATCATCCCCTGGACTTTGGCCATTCCTCTAAAGTCAAGCTGCTTTTCTCCTATGTCTGGCTGCTGCTTCTCTTCTCTCCTTCTTTGCTGCTCCACTCTGCTCCTCTGCCATTGGAGCTTGGGGTTTTTATGGGTACAAGGTCAGGGGAGTGGCAGGCCAGGGTGGTTTTGGAAAAGGCAACATTCAGGAAAGAAAACAGGAATGCATGTTCTCATTTAGGGCTGCGGGTCCAGGTTTGAGGGTGGAGCCCTTGCCAGGGACCCCACCCTTTTCTATCTAGTATTTCCCTGCATCCTGTCCATATCACTTCTCTGACAAAAATGCATCTATTTTTTCTAATAATCACATTGATGGGTCTTATCTACATATAAGGGAAACTAGAATGTAACCATTCATAACTCCGGAAATAATATACAGCTTACCTTGTAAATGTTCTAACATCTCACAAACTGGGGGCTTGCTCTCTTTTTTCAAAAAAAGACAATATTATTTTTCAAGAGATCTTTTGACAAGATCTCTTTAAAACTTTTTTAATATTTAAAATTACAAACTAGAAAGTTTTTTTGTGGTGGTTGTATAGTATTATGAGTTTTAGTAAATATGTAGAGTTATGTAACCACCATAACAATCAGGATACAGAATAGTTCTCTCGAAGCAAAAAAAAAATCCCTCATGATACTCAGTTGAAGTCACACCCCTCTCTCCACCCCAATCTCTGGCAATTACTGACTGTTTTCTCTGACTGTTTTGTCTCTTCCAGATATCACATAAATAGAATCCTACCACATGTAACTTTTTGAGTACAGCTACTTTCAGTTAGCACAATACATTTGAGCTTAATTTATGTTGTGATATACATTACCCTGACAGAGCTGAACAGTTTTCATTGTATGGATGTATCACAGAGTGTTTAGAATTCACCCGCTGAATGAAATATGGGTTATTTTCAGTTTTGGAATTATGAAACATAATGTTATAAACATTCGTTTATATAATACGAACTCATGTACTAGTTTTTGCACAAACACAAATATTTATTTCTTTATGGTAAATACCTAAAAGTGGGATTAGTGGATTATAATGGTAAATATGTTTTACTTTCAAAAAACTGTAAAATATTTTTTGTCACTCTCTCATTTTGCATTCTCATCTGAAATGTAGAAAAGTTCCAGTTGTTCTGAATTTTCAACAACTCTCTATTTTTTCAGTTTTCATTTGATTACTTGGTTGCTTCTTTTTTTTTGCATTAAGTAATGTGTCAGTATCACATTATAGTTTCAATTTGCAATTTCTAATGACGAACAATGAAGAGTATATTTTCATGTGTTTATTAGCCATTTTCCCATTCTCTTTGTGGAAGTGTCTGTAAAAATGATTGCCTGTTATTTTCATTAGGTTCTATACTTTCTTATTATGGAGTTTTGAGAGTTGGTTACATAATATGTCCTTTTTGAGAAAACTGACTTGTGAGTATTCTCTTTTCACGCCTATAACTTGTATTTTTATCCCTTTATCAATTTCTTTCACAGAGCAACTATATTTTATTTTGACAAGTTCCCATTTATTACTTTTTTATACATTGAGGGGTTTTTTGCATCAGATCTATTTTTTTTTTTTTTTGCCTAACCAAAGATCATAAAGAGTTTTTTTCTAAAAGTTTTATACTTTTAGAATTTACATTCAGTCTAGGATCTATTTTGAGTTAATTTTTGCCTGAGATATTAGGGATATATTAAGAATCATTAATTTGTATAAGGACATCTACTTGTTCCAGCATTATTTGTTACAATTTTATCTTTCCTTCATTGATTTTCTTTTACATCTTAGTCAAAAATCAATGAACCATATATGTGTCAGTCAATATCTAAATTTGATATTCTGTTCTCTTGAGCTATATGTCTAGCTTTTTACCAATAACATACTGATTTAATTAAAGTAGCATTAAGTATTGATATCAGATAAGGTGAGTCCTCAAACTTTGTTCTTCTCTTACAAAATCATTTTGGCTATTCCTTTTTTACATTCCATATACGTGTTAGAATCATTTTGTCAATACCTGCAAAAGAAATCCTGCTGAAATTTTTAAAGGGATCGTGTTAAATCTATAAATGAATTTCAGGAGGATTAACATTTGGAGTATATTAAATTTTACAATCCATGAACACATGGTATATTGTATATCTTTCTATTGATTTACCATCTTATTTGATCTTTTCCCTCAGCATTTTGTACTATTCAGCATATAGATCCCATACATATTTTGTGAAGTTTAAAATTGTAGGAAAAGCTATTATAAATAATACTTTTTAAAAAACTTGTTTCCACATGTTCATTGCTATTATATAGAAGTATGATTGAATTTTGTGTACTGATTATGTACCTTGTGCCCTTGCTAAATTCAATCATTAGTTCTACAAACTTTTCTGTAGATTCTTTGATCTTTGTTACAAAGAAAATCATGGCTGAAAATAAAGACAGTTTTATTTACTAACTTGCAAATATATTGTTAATTCTTTTTCTTGACTTATTGCACTGGCTAGAACTTTCAGTAGCATGTTGAACAGTAGTGGTGAGAGAAGACATTAAGTATGATGCTAAGTGTAATGAAATATGATGTTAGCTTTTTGTAGATGCCCTTTATCAGAATAAGGATATCCCCTTCTCTTAGTTTGTTGAGAGGTTTTATCATATTAAGAGTGTAACTTTTGTTGAAATCCTTTTCTAAATCTATTAATATGACTGTGTAGTTATTGTTTAGACAATTTATATAGTTTATTATATTAGTTGTCAAATATTAAACAAAGCTTTTTCACAATAAACCCTACCTGATTGTCCTATATTTTCCCTTCATAAATTGCTTGATTCAATCTGATATGTTGCTGAAGACTTTTATATCTGTGTTTACAATAAATATTAGTCTATAGTTTTTTTCTGTATATTTATTTCTCTGGTTTGCTATCAAGGTAATTCTAGTCTCTTAAAGTGAGTTAAGTGTTTTCTTCAATTTCCTAGGAGAAATTTTGTAAAACTGATAAAGTTTCTTTATTAAATATTGGGTAGAAATTGCCAGTGAAACCACCTGGATCTGTAGTATTCTTTGTTAGGAGATTTTGAACTATGAGCTCATTTACATTAAAATGTATAGCGCTACTCAGTTTATCTATTTTGTCATGTATGACTTTGAGTAGGTTGTGTGTTTCAAGGACTTGAGCTAGGTTGTTGACTAACACGGGCTTAGAGTTGTCATTTACAAGGAAATACTATAAGCAACAATTATTTTAAATGTGTTAAAGTTTGTTTAATGACCCAAGATATATCCTAACTTAAATGTTCCATATTCACTTTTGAAAAACATGTTTTGCTCTTCTTGGAGAGAATATTCTATAAATATCAATTTGGTTAAGTTTGTTTTTTAGTTTTCACATATTCTGACTGATTTTCTGTCTAGTTTTGTCAATTATTGAGAGAAGCATGTTGAAATCTTCAGTTATGACTGAGGATTTGTCTATTTCTTTTCTCAGGTCAATCAGTTTCTATTTTACATTATTTAAGCTCTGTTGTTAGATGCATGCACATTTAAGACTGTTATGTTTCTTCATTAATTAATCCTTTTATCATTAAATATCATCTCCCTTTACCATTGACTAAAAGAGTTCATACTGTACTATTTATATACAATATTAGAAAATGTAAACTAATCAATAATGACAGAAAATACATCAGTGATTGCTCAGAGATGGGAAGTTAAGAAGGAGCTTTAGGGAGGCATTATTTAAAAACATGAGGAAACTTTTGGGAGCTATGAATATACTCACTGTCCTGAATGTGGTCATGACGTCATGGGTGTATACATATGTTAAATCTAATTAAATATTCAACTCAAACATAACCAATTTATTGTATGTCGATTACACCTCAATAAGTCAGTTTTCAAAGCACTATAATTATTTTAATCAACAGAACAAAAATCATCAGGAGTCAAGCAAAATGTAACTCAGATCACAGGTGTTGTCCAAGCTTTGTTCAAGAGAGAAGTAAAGGAGTGAGAGATGTGCACTGATGTAGATGAATGGTGAAGGAGGGACGCAGGGACATGAGCATGCTCTGGGGTGATGCCTGTTATATGGTCCTTGAAGTGGCTATCCTGACAAGATTGAAAGGAAGTATGAACAATGGGAAGAAAAACTTCAGGAGAAAAGTGCAGTTTTGGAGAAACAGCCATGGGGAAAGAAAAAGTGAGGAAAGTGTCATGAATGCTGGATAATGATAACTAACATTGACAAGTTGAGGATTTGGGGCTTATCTGTGGTTTGTGACTCCTTCTATCTATTGGGAATTCTGACATGGAAGAACTGAAGACAGTGAGTAATTAAAAGCTTGAGTTTAGGAATCAGACAGACACAGGTTTCAAAGTTTGCTTGGCATAATAACAGTGCCCAAATCATTGGGTTAATGTGAGGTCTGAGCGAATGCATGTAAAGACTGGTGCTCAATACAAACTGACTAGTGTATGCATGCACACATACACTAAAACCCATTGTGTCAGACAGCGGTAGTAACACCAGCAGCTCATACAAGTTGCCTGCTTCCTTGATGTTTAGTTTTAGCTGATGCTAAAAACCTTCATGTGTTTTAGGCACAAAGTCATTCTGAGCTAAGTCTCAGAACTATTTCAAAAGGGGATGGGAGTCAACCATGAGACTTCATACTTACCTTCAACTTCAACCTTTAAAAAATTGTGGTAAAATACACATAATATCAAAATTACCATCTCAACAATTTTTAGTATACAGCTCAGTAGTGTTAAGTACATTCACGTTGTTGTCCAACCAATCTCCAGAACTATTTTCATCTTGCAAAACTGAAATTTTATACCCATTAAATAACAATTCCCCATTATGCCTTTTCCCCATCCCTTGGCAACTACCATTCTACTTCTTGTCCCTATGAATTTGACTACTTTAAATAACTCATAGAAGTGGAATATAACGGAATTTGTCTTTTTGTGACTGGCTTATTTCACTTAGCATAATGTCCTCAAGGCTTACAGATGTAGTAACATGTGTCAGAATTTCCTTCCCTTTTAAGGCTAGATAATTTTCCATTGTGCACATGAGGGTATTTGTGTGTGTAAATATATATACCACCTTTTTTATACATTTATCTGTCAATGGGCACTTACGTTGCTTTCTCATTTTGTCTGTTGTGAACAATGCTGCTATGAACATGGCTGTACAGATATCTCTTTGAGACCCTCGCTTTTAGTTCTTTTGGGCATTATACCCCAAAATGGAATTGCTATATAATATAGTGTATTAGTCTGTCCTCGCATTGCTATAAAGAACTACATGAGACTGGATAATTTATAAGGAAAAACGGTTTAATTGGCTCACAGTTCTGCAGGCGGTACAGGAAGCATAGCGGCTTCTAGGGAGGCCTCAGAATACTTTGAATTACGGCATAGAACAGAGGGGAATCAGGCATGTCTTACATGGCCAGAGCAAGAGAAAAAGAAACAGTGGGAAGGTGCCACACACTGAACAACCAGATCTCATGAGAACTCTATTACGAGAACAGCACCCAAGGGGGAAATCCACCTCCATGATCCAATCACCTCCTATCAGGCCCCTCCACCAACACTGGGGATTACCATTTGACATGAGGTTTGGGCAAGGACACAAATCAAAACCATATGGTAACTCTATTTTTAATATTTTGATAAACTGTTATACTTATTTTTCATAGTGGCTGCCCTGTTTTACATTCCCACCAACAGTGCACAACTGTCACAATTTCAATTTCTCCACATTCTTGCTAACAAATTACTTATTGATTTTTTTATAGTAGCCATCTTAATGGGTGTGCGATGGTATCTCATTGTGATTTTGATTTGTACCAACTCCAGTTCTCGATGTAGGATTTTCTCTAAATAACCAAAGCTAATTTTTAAAGAAGTAAAAATAATAATAGTTCTATCTCTCTAGAAATAGGCTAGTCTTTAACATGCCTATTTAACACAAGTATTTAACACAAGTTTCAGTGATATGTAAGTTGCTAAAGAGATAGCTGTTTAGTCTAAATCTTTCTAATTTCTCCTCAATTTCTCTCCCTCATCTCTCTTTTCTTGCTTATTATTTTTTGACTTTGAAAAAATCAGAAAATAAATTTTCAACAATAAAGTAATTTGGGGAGCAAGGACGCTTGATCTGGACTCATTGACTCCAGAGCCCTTTTGTCTAGCCTCTTCTGATTAAATCCTAAAGATTTCCGCATCAGGAGTAACTGAGAACACAGGACAGGCCACCAAGAGAACCATGTTGGTTGTAACCTTATGAGACTCTCACATCATGTGGTCCTTCACCTACCAATGAGACCACAGGAATATTGGCTTCTATAAGAAGAAAACTTGCTTCCAGTCCCCACTGTGCTATGTATTCTTTTACAAATCTTTAAACTTATGAACATGTTTCCTGATCTCCTAATTAAGAGAGTTAAACTACATGTTTTCTTAGTTTTTGAAAATTCAAGAATTCCATGTCACTTGGTAATTTGTATCTCAGTAAGAGATTATCATGCTGAAGTTGCCCAAAATTGGGCCTATTCTAAATGAGATTATGCACATCATTAAAAATAATGACACATTGTGTTATATGCCACATCATTTTAGATGATAATATGACAATACCACAAAAATATAATACTTCGAGATGCTAATAGCAATTTTTTTAATGTTGAACAGCCCCCCATACCCTCCTCATACACACAATGCCTTATCTGTTCAAAGTATTTATTCTAAGTATGAATATAGTGGCAATACTAGTGTCATCTTGGATTATTCTCCATCACACTGCATGGGATCATGGCAGATGACAGACCATATTCTGTCTGATCTAACCTAGCTAAACATATGTGTCCTTTTACATGATGAGTTAAAATAAAGCAGGGCTTTTTCACAGTTTATAGAGCCTCAGGAAAAATCTGTTCCATACCTAGTCCACTTTGTCCATCTGCCATCTCTTCTTTGTGTTAGGGTAACCTTGTCCATTGCAAGTCCTTGCTAGAAGTGCATTTCCCATGATTAAAATTAGAGAATATTTAAATAATTCCAATTAAATTTCAAAACAAAAAACCCATTAAATTGCACACTCATTGAACTGCTATTATCTCCAGTTTCTATATTAAACTAAGTGGCAGATAAACGTGAGTAAAACTCTCACCCTGCCTTGACAGAGCCAGTGAACTGACATAAAATATGGATATGTTGTGGACAAGATGGGTTATCTCTTCACCAAATCTGGTTCCTTTTCCTCCTAGGCGTAGAAGAGGATTCCATTTTAACTTCTAATTTTCAGTTACATGTGGCCATAGGACCAAATGTGGTGAGTGGGAGTGGGTTAAAGCCAGGTGTGCCACTTTCAGATATAGCTCATAAAAATCTCCTGCATTAACATGTAGTTTATTTCTTTTATTCCATCTGCCTACTGAATGCTAAGGCCCAGGGTGATCTTGGAATCTGCATGTTAAAGATGGCAGAACGACCATGAGAAGCGAAGCTCCCCTCCCCTGGCCATTCCCCTTGCTTCCCATTGTCAACTGAATTTAACATGAGCAAGAAATAAACACCTATAATACTAAGTCATCAAGATTTTAGGGTTTGTCTCTGAGAGCAACTTCCCTTAAATGTTATCAGCTTACATAAAATAATTTTAATATTGACCAATGAAATAGCTGCAATAAAAATTCAAAGTGCTATTTGAAGAACAGGAATTAAATAGCTTAGTATGGTGGCAGTTTAATTTGTAATTTCCTAGTTTTCCTCCTCCTATTGAGTTCAGAATACAATACCCCAAAGTGTGGCACCTTGGCATGCTGAGTACTTTGAATTGAAGAACATAAGAAGGATCACAGCAGCAAGATTATCCTGATCCCCTTCCTGCTCTTCTGTCTCCCATCCCTCTTTCTCCCCTGAACCAAATCATACAAACAATCCTGCTGGAACTACAGGGCAGGTAGTTGGGGTAATCCTAGAGTCATTTGGAGCCTCTAATCTGGATACCACGTTCACCTAGCACAAAAAAAACTGAAGATTATTCACAGCCTGCCTAAGGCAGGTCTACATGTGCAAGGAAGTGGCTATACTTTGGAATTTGTTTTCTTCTAAGTAACAGTGGGCATTTACAAAGGCAATAATACTGTAGGGGTTCTAGGATGTCAAAGCAGACCAGAGGTAGCCATTAGACAGTTGAACTGCCTCTCTGTAAATGCAGCTATCTTCCTGAGTCTTTAAGGCATCGATAAAAAAATTACAATAAATCGGAAGTTCTCATAAATGAAAAGTAAATCTCCTCAATAACAAGCTAAAAACTTCTGGTGCTAGAATTTAGACTTAGCTCTACCTGACTTTAAAGCCCATATTCTTTCCAATATTCTTCATTTTAAGCATCCTCCCATCCTCCAATTTTGTTGTTGTTGTTTTTGTTTATTCTTATGCTCACATCCTAGGTAAGAACACTGGGGCAAAAAAGAAGAAAA
Source organism: Homo sapiens (assembly GCF_000001405.40). Taxonomy (NCBI): domain Eukaryota; kingdom Metazoa; phylum Chordata; class Mammalia; order Primates; family Hominidae; genus Homo; species Homo sapiens. Next base: position 34,595,085 of record NC_000003.12, on the reverse strand, counting down.
ACGGAGATGAGATGAGATGAGAAAAGGCGAGGAGAGAAAAGAGACACTGGTATATTCTGGAATAAACTGTATCTGATCCTAGTTCATGACAGTCATTGTCATTCTTCCCCTACTCAGGTGGAAAGACCAAACAGAAAAATCACCAAACATGTGAAAAGACTCACCACAAAAAAAAAAAAAGATTAGTGTGAACGATGAGATTTTTCTCTGAAAGAGTCATCCTTTGATTTCACTGTTGCAAAGGGAGTCCTCGACTTTGGGAGTAGTCAGTGAGGTAACTTGTTTGTTCACATAAAAGGAAATAGTGGAGGCAGAGGAGAGGGAAGCAGGAATAAACTGGCGTACAGGTTACATCATTAACTGACTAGCCTTGGACAAATGATTTAATTTAATTGAGCCTCAGTTTTATCAAATTAAAAAGGGGAATAACACTTGGTATTATTTTTAGTTTTTGCTAATGCAAACAAAAATTGACAGTTGGTGGAAGCATATTACTAATTTACAGAATTAACAAAGGAACATGGGAATCAATACGACAACACTGTGGGCAAGTTAGCAGGAACACTATAGCCTCATCTAGGATTTCCACAAAGCAAATAAGTTGAACAGTATTCAGTAATCTTAAAGCTCAGGTCAAGATTTATCTACTCAGGATTGACTCTAAGTGGCCTGATTGTTTCACATTTCTACCGTGGCTAGGGTATCTTAACTTACTGTCTAATTGGACACTATCAGATGGGAAAAAGGTAATTTTCTAAAAGAACATCAAGGTGATATTGCCAAAAAATAGTTGAGTGGATGTTTAGTAGACCAAAATAAGAAGCGTCTAACATTATGTCCTCATAAGTTTGTTATGGGGATTAAATTAGAGACTGTCAGTAGAGCACTTAATAAATGAAGGCTAAAATCAGACAGGGGAAAGATAAGGGTTTTATGGTCTGGTAAATTAGAGGACTTGGCAATCCTGACTTTGTAAAGCAGAAACATGACCCATCCTGTTTTGTTATCAATTAAGAAACTTCTGAGGGACCAGAGTCAATTTAAGAGTCATTTCAGTCATTTTCCTTAAACTAGCCTGAAGAAAATCAAAATAATCTGCTTTAGAGCTCTTTATTCTTTATCCTTTTCTTCTAACCTTTATTTAGAAAAAAAAAAAAAAAACTTTCCCTCTGGCCCTTCTTCTTCCATTGTCTTATTTTAATGTCTCTTGAAATTTTTTTTTAAATTGGCAGATGACACTTCTAACTATGGCTGTATCCTTGGAAACTACAGAAAATTGGCTATTTTGGGCTAATCTGTTATTGTGAATTTTCATGACAACAGCCAAGGGTATATTTTAACTACTGTTTTTACTCTAATTCAATTGGAAAATAAAAAATGTTTAAAGCCAAACAGCCCTTAGACACTCTAAGGCTGTTTCTGTTTCTTTATATGCCTCAGTGGTGAGTATAATAGGACCCAGGAGACAGTCAATACATATGCAGCTTGCCTTCCTGGGTTTACTGCAAAAGGATGTCTACATTATGTGGTAAGACTAAGGTGGTTTACGGCCAATAATATGTTCAAATTCCATGTAGTTGGTTCATGACCATTGATCTCAGACTTGCCCTGGCCAGTTACCTTTCTTTGGGGGACGTAGATAAGGAAAAGCAAAAGCATTTCTTCTCAAGGCTCAAGTTTGAAGTCAGTACTATCACTTTCTTCCAGGCAGGAGATATGTAGCTCTTGCCAAACACTAGGTGAAACCCACCCTTCTAGATCTAAGACTGCACCATGACCTGGATTTCAGAGCTGAAGACCTCATACGCTCCCAGGGCTCACATTTATGCTACAGTGCAAAGCAGAGGGAGAAATAGCCATAAACCCTTATTAATTTTTCTTCACATTTCCACCTGGCCAGAAGGGAAACTGGATTTGACTACACCAGTCTGAAAAAGACAAAAGAAATACCATTACTTTCTTACTGTGAACATACATAATTATTGCTTCCTAGCCAATACTTCAAGATAAGTTTCAGGCAGCGTCCTTCCATCTATGATGTAAGTTTCAGGAAATGCAGACATCTCCTTCACCACCCCCTAGCACATGATATGTGGACTCATGCTCTAAACCTGGTATGTTGAGTGCTGTAACCTGCGACCCTGCATTTCTAGAGTAGGATGTAAAAGCACAGGTTGAGTTACAGATTTGTCACCTAGACTGCTATATGACTGAAAGCCAAATAAATGGCAAGGTAGCAATTATTCATGATTAGCAGAACTCAGTAGCACATGTAGTCAATGTCCATAATTCCTGTGGTGGTTCTGTCCCTGGTACATATCTCCAAGGGTATGTGCCCCAGCATGGCTTACTAAAGAGAGTGTTCCAATAGGGAGATGGTGATAGTGCTTTGCCACCAGGACTTTCATCTTTAGACTGCTTCACCAGCCTTCTCACTGATCCTGAAAGGAGAAGGAGTAAAGAGCATGACTGGCACAAGCACATGTAGGAACACTGCAGTCCCACTACAGTCAGTCCCTCACCCCAGCCAATGCTTATGCACCTGGCCACACTTCCACAGCTGCTGGCATGCATGAGTGAGCATGGATCTCACTGCCACCACCCATCAAAGTGTTATGGCCAGTGGACTGGGAACAACACAGCCCCTTTAGTACAGCATGTTCCTAACCTAAAGGGGCCAGAGAACAAAGCCTGGGGCCCAGTACCAGCACCCTAGAGCTACAGCACATAACCCAGGATTTCTGAGCTGAGCCTTGGCCCCCTAAAATCGTCCAGAAACAAAGCCACTTGACCAAACCCACCTTACACCACAATCAAACCCCCAAGAGCATCAAAGAAGAGCAAAAAAAAAAAAAAAAAAAAAAAATTCCATCCAAAGGATAGCAACTTCAAAGACTGCAGGAACATTATCCCATACAGATGAGAAAGAACCAGTTCAAGAACTCTACCAATGCAAAAAGCCATAGTGTCATCTCACCTCCAAATGACTGCACCAGTTTCCCAGCAATGGTTTTTAACCAGGATTAAATGGATGAAATGGCAGAAATAGAATTCAAAATATGGAAAGGAATAAAGATGATCAAGATTCAGGAGAAAGTCAAAACCAATCCAAGGAATCTAATGAGTACAATATAATGATACAGAAGATGAAAACAAAATTGTCATTTTAAGAAGGATCCAAACTGATCGGATACAGCTAAAAACTTACCTCAAGAATTTCATAATATAATTGCTAGTATTAACAGCAGAATTGACTAAGCTGAGGAAAGAATCTCAGAGCTTGAGGACCAGTTCTCTGAAATAACTCAGTCAGAAAAAAATAAAGAAAATCAGTTTAAAGGAATGAGCAAAGCCTCTGAAAAATATAAGATTATGTAAAGAGACCAAATCTATGTCTTATTTGTATCTGTGAAAGAGAGTAAGAGAAAGCAAGCAACTTGGAAAACATATTTGAAAATACAGTTCATGAACCTTTCCCCAATCTCGCTAGAGGCCGACATTCAAATTCAAGATGAAGAGAACCCCTGTGAGATATTATATAAAATGACCATCCCCAAGATACATAGGCATCAGATTGTCCAAGGTTGAAATGGAAAAAAAAATGTTAAAGGCAGATAGAAAGAAGGAGCAGGTCACCTATAAAAAGAACCCCATCAGGCTAACAGTAGAACTTTCAGCACAAATCCTACAAGCCAGAAGAGACTGGAAGCCTGTGTTCAGCATTACTAAAGAAAAGAAATTCAAACTAAAAATCTTATATCCAAACAAACTAAGCTTCATAAGTGAAGGAGAAATAAAATCCTTTTCAGACAAGCAAATGCTAAGGGAATTTGTTACCATCGTGCCTGCCTTATAAGATATCCTTAAGGGAGTGTTAAATATGGAAAGGAAAGACTGTAACCAGCCACCACAAAAAAAACACAGAAGAATATAGACTACTGACACTCTTAAGCAATCACACAATCAAGTCTGCATAGTAACTAGCTAATAACATGATGGTAGGATCAAGTCTGCACATATCGATACTAACCTTGAATGAAAATGGGCCAAATATCCCAATTATAAAGCATAGTGGCAAGCTGAATAAAAAAGCAAGACCCAAGGTTATGCTGTCTTCAGGAGACCCATCTCAAATGCAGTGATACCCATAGGCTCAAACTAAAGAGATGGAGAAAAATCTACCAAGCAAATGGAAAACAGAAATAAGCAGGGGTTGATATTCTAATTTCAGACAAAACAGACATGAAATAAAAAAAGATCAAAAAAGACAAAGAAGGGACTATAATGGTGAAGTGTTCAGTTCCATAAGAAGACTTAACTATCCTAAATATATGTACATCCAATACAGGAGCACCCATATTCATAAAGCAAGTTCTTAGACACCTATGAAGAGACTTAGATAACCACACAATAACACTGGGAGAGTTAAATGCCCCACTGAAAGTATAAGCTAGATCATCTTATCTATCTATTACAAAACAAACCAAGATATTTGGGCCCTGAACTCAATAACTGACTAAATAGACCTAACAGATATCTACAGAATTATCCACCCAAAAACCACAGAATATACATTCTTCTCATTACCACATGGTATATACCCTAAAATCAACCACACAACTGGCCATAAAGCAATCCTAAAACAAGCTCGAGAAAAGCCAAAATTATAACAACAACACTCTTGGATCACAGTGCAATAAAAATTGAAATCAATACTAAGAAAATCATTTAAAATCATACAATTACATGAAAATTAAACAACTTGCTACTGAGTGACTTTTGGGTAAACAACAAAATTAAGGCAGAAATCAAGAAATTATTTGAAACTAATGAGACCAGAGATACAATATACCAGAATGTCTAGGACACAGCTAAAGCAATGTTAAGAGGGGAAGTTTATAGTGCAAAACACCCACAACAAAAAGTTAGAAAGATCTCAAATTAACAACCTAACAGTCCACCTAGAGGAACTAGTGAAACAATAGCAAACAAATCTCAAAGTTACCAGAAGACAATAAATAACCAAAATCAGAGCTGAACTAAAGGAAATTATGATCTGAAAAAGCAAATACAAAAGATCAATGAATCAAGGAAATGGTTCCTTGAAAGAATAAATAAGATAGAACTCTAGCTAACCTAATAAAGAAAAAAAGAGAGAAGATCTAAATAAACACAATTAGCAATGACAAAGGATATTACCACTGACCCCAGAGAAATACAAGAAACCCTCAGAGACAACTATGAACAACTCTCTGCACACAAGCTAGAAAACCTAGAAGAAAAGGATAAATTCCTGGAAATATACAACCTCCCAAGATTGAAACAGGAAGAAATTCAATCCCTGAAGAGAACATTAACAAGCTCCAAAATTGAATCAGTAATAAAAAGCCTACCAACCAGAAAAAGCCCAGGACCAGGGGAATTCACAGCCAATTTTTACCAGATGTACAAAGAATAGCTGGTACCATTCCTACTGAAATTATTTTTAAAAACTAGGAGAAGGGATTTCTCCCTACCTCATTCTATGGGGCCAGCATCATCCTGATACCTAAACCTGGCAGAGACACAACAACAACAACAAAAACACTTGAGGCCAATATATTTGATGAACACATATGCAAAAATCCCCAATAAAGTACTAGCAAACAAAATCCAGCATCATATCAAAAAGCTAATCAACTACAATCAAGCAGGCAGGATGCAAGGTTGGTTCAACATATGGAAATCGATAAACATAAACAGAACTAAAAACAAAAACCACATGATTATCTTAATAGATGTAGATAAAATTCAACATCTCTTCATGTTAAAAATCCTCAACAAACTAGGCACTGAAGAAACATACTTCAGAATAATATGCCATCTATGACAAACACACAGCAAACATCATATTGAATGGGCAAAAGCTGGAAGCAATCCTCTTGAAAACAAGTACAAGGCAAGAATTCGCACTCTCACCACTCCTATTCAAAATAGCACTAGAGGTCTTAGCCAGACCAATCAGGCAAGAAAAAGAAATAAAAGGCATATAAATAGAAAGAGAGGAAGTCAAATTATCTCTGTTTGCAGATGATATTATTCTATGCCTAGAAATCACCACGGTCTCTACCTAAAGGCTGCCTGTTCTGATAAACAACTTCGGCAAAGTTTCAGGATACAAAATCAATGTGCAAAAATCAATAGCATTTATATACATCAATAACATCCAAGCTGAAAGCCAGATCAAAATACAATCCCATTCATAATAGCCACAAGAAGAATAAATTATCTGGGAATACAGCTAACTAGAAGGGTGAAAGATCTCTAAAATGAGAATTACAAAACACTGCTGAAAGAAATCAGAGATGACACAAACACCCCATGCTCATATTTAGGGAGAATCAATATTGGTAAAATGGCTATACTGCCCCAAGAAATTTATACATTTAATGTTATGCCTATCAAACTACCAGTAACATTCTTCACAGAATTAGAAACAAATTTTTTAAATTCATATGGAATGAAAAAATAGCTCAAATAGCCAAGGCAACTATAAGCAAAAAGAACAAAGCTGAAGGCATCACACTGCCTGACTTCAAACTATACTACATGGCTACAATAATTGAAACAGCATAGTATTGGTACAAAAACAGACACAAAGACTAATGGAGCAAAAATAATGTGACACACCTACAACCATCTGATCTTCTACAAAGTTAACAAAAACAAGCAGTGGGGAAAGGACTCTCTGTTCACTAACTGGTGCTGGGATAACTGGCTAGCCATATGCAGAAAATTGAAACTGGACCCCTTTCTTATACTATTTACAAAAACCAACTCTAGAAGGATTACATAATTAAATGTAAAACCTAAAAATATAAAAACCTTGGAAGATAATCTAGAAAATACCATTCTGGACATAGGCCCTGGAAAAGATTTCATGACAAAGATACCAGAAGCGATTGCAACAAAAACAAAAATTGACAAGTGCTACCTAATTCAACTATTAATAATGAGCTTCTGCACAGAAAAAGAAACTACCAACAGAGTAAACAACCTACAGAATGAGAGAAAATATTTGAAAACTGCATCTGACAAAGGTGTAATATCCAGAATCTATAAATACTTAAACAAATTAATAAGTAAAAAAGAAACAACCCCATTAAAAAGTGGACAAAGGACATGAACAGACACTTTTCAAAAGAAGATGCAAGCACAGCCAAAAAGCATATTAAAAAATGTTCAACATCACTAATCATTAGAGAAACACAAATAAAACCACAATGAGACACCACCTCACACTAGTCAGAATGGCTGTTATTAAAAAGTCAAAAAATAACAGATACAGGTGAGGTTGTAGAGAAAAGGGAATGTTTATACACTGCTAGTGTGAATGTAAATTAGTTCAACCATTATGGAAAGCAGATTGGGGATTCCTCAAAGAACTTAAAACAATTACCACTTGACCCAGCAATCCCATCATTGGGTATAATCCAAAGGAATATAAATTGTTCTACCAAAAAGACATGTGCACGCATGCATTCACTGCAGTACTGTTCACAATAGCAGAGACATGGAATCAACCTAACTGCCCATCAGTGGTAGACTGGATAAAGAAAATGTAGTATATGTACACCATGGAATACTATGCAATCATAAAAAAGAACAAGATCATGTCTTTTGCAGCAACATGGTTGGAGCTGGAGGCCATTATCCTAAGCAAATTAATGCAGGAACAGAAAACCAAATACCACATGTTCTCACTTATTAGTGGGATGTAAACATTGCATACACGTGGTCACAAAGAAGGGAACAATAGACACCAAAGCCTACTTGAGGGTGGAGAGTAGAAGGAGGGGGAGGATAAAAAAACTACCTATCAGGTACTGTGTTACTACCTAAGTGAAAAAATAATCCGTACACCAACCCCTGGACAAAAAATTTACCTATATAACAAACCTGCACATTTACTTCTGAACCTAAAATTTAAAGAGAGAGAGAGAGAGAATGGAAGGTGATGCAGAGAACAACTAATTATTTCATAAGTTTTGTTTTGCTATTTGGATACTAAATGTTTTGTACATACATCTCACAGGAATATATGGTTATGGCTAATTAAAAACGGGGTTCTACATGACAGGAATGGATGAGCAGTCTACTAAAATTCTGCTTGACATTTATAGCCCTCAAAATTTTGTGCTTAGCACAGGCAATATCTAAGCCTTCACGATAGGACCCTTTCACACTTGAGTTACTTCCCAGATTCAGACCCTTTTTAACTAAGAGAAAGCTGGATAACCTAGAGGGAGGACTCTGCAATAACATCACGGGTACTTATCATAGATCTTCCTTCCAGCATTCCCCAGATGGCTTTGTGGCCATTTACCAAGCTAAGTGGGAATTGGGTAAAGAGATGTATTTAGACATTTGGAGGTTAAAGTTGAATTTAAATGAAAGCTAATCCCTAGGGACGTAGAATGTCATTGTGATGTACAGAAAATAATAAAGTCTTTATAGAGGTCAAATATTCAATAGATTGTAACTCCAGTCTATCTCACAGTCCAAGTTGTTTCTTGAACCTATATCATGTATATTTCCTTGATTCCCAAGTATATTTTAGACTATATATCCTCAGCAACTGGCATAATCAAAATTGTAATCTGACCCATGGACCAAGGTTTATTTTGGTAGAAAGGTGAATGAAAGGATCTAGAACTCCCTTTATAAACCAAAATTCTGAACCAAAAGCACAATGGCATCCCTGGAGAAGTCTCAGAACCATTCAGGACTCAAGAGATGCAACGTGTTGATTCTTCTCACATTTCTATTTAACTCACCAATTCAGCTAATACAGAAGATGAAGATCCTTGATAATAACAATGAACGGTCATTTGTTTAATTAAGTAATGAATCCATTTGAAGCTGTTTTGCTAGATGTGGTCTGCTTGCTGGAAGAAATTAATTAATCTGCAATAGTCAGTATGCTGCTATTTATTTATCTAACAACTGTTTTTTCTTATCTTAAAAAGAAGAGTTACCAGAACCCATTGTTTTCACCTAGCAGAAATAACTATACAGCTTTGCCCTTCATAATTAGCATATTTCAGTGTTCGGTATCACAATTTGGTTTGCAAGAACCTTGAACTTCTATCTCAATATACCATACTGATTCATCATATTAGTGGATCTATGGAGCTGAAAATAGCAAATACAACTTGCAAGATATCTTGGAAACACTTGCAAGATAGTGGTTAGGAGGTGAATCCCTTGCAAATATAGACATCAGTTTTAAGGTAACCAGTAATCTTGAGCATGTTGGCATATACTTTAAGTGAAAGACAGATTCCTAAATCTTTCACTTCCTATTACTGAGGAAGATGCCAAGTGGACTTTTGGAATTTTACAGGCAACCTATACCATATTTAAGTATGCTTTTCCAATCTATTTAATGGATTATCAAAAATGTTTTGATCTTTGAGTGAGTTCAAGAGTAAAGGAAGTTATTTAGCTGGTCCAGGTTGCAATGTCAGAAGTTCTGCCACTTGGTTCTCACAACCCAGCTGACTCCATGATGCTTGAAATCTGTGGCAGTGGGATGCTGCCTGGAGCCTGTGACAATCCTGATAGAAAAAAAAATCACAATTCCTAGGATTTATGGATTAAAATCCTGTGCAAGGAAAAAAAAAAGCCTGTACACTGTTTACAAAGTAACTATTATTTTGAAGAATACTCTTGCTTCATTTTCTTTCTTAGTTGATGCTAATCCATGTGCCCATTCAAACTGAGCTAGACATCATGAATTGTGTATTACCTAGAAACTCCAAACAATGAAGTCAGATGCACACAGCAGCACACCTTTATCAAAAGGAAGAGGTGTATATGACACTAGGCCCAAGCAGTTCCTAAAGCATAAGAAGGTTACATGAGCAGATGGCTCACACACACAGCATGTCTTCTCTTGGCACACGATCTCCCCTCTATCAACCCACACTTTTGATCTCATGGAGAGTCCCTTCTGACTACAGTAACTGTAATTATCATAAACAGGGACATTTTTGAGCTAAAAAGTAGGCCAGGAAAACAGGCCTAAAATGGGACTGTCCTAGCCAAATCATTAGGCATTTTCACCCTACCTATAACTCAGTACTTTCCAACTAGGAGTGATTCTTACCCATCCATTAAAACATTTGACAGTATCTGGAGACATTTTTGGTTGTAACAAATTGGGAGAGGGTATGCTATGGGCATCTAGTGGGTAAAGGTCTGGGATGCTACCAAACATTCTATAATGTACCTAAACAGCTCCCCCAAAACAAAGAATTATTAAACTTAAAATATCAGCAGTGCTGAGATTGAGAAACCTTTTTATAACTACTTGGTTTAAAAGAGAAAAAAAATCAATTTATAAAAAAATCTGCATGATAAGCTAACACCAGGTAAAAGTGTACGGCTGGACCATTGCAACCACACTCAGAGATGGATTGGATGTGAAAGAGTTTAGAATAGGGATATATCCCCAGTAGGTATAAGTTTAAGTGTTACAACTCATTTCCTACTTGGATTAGAAGACAAGGTATGCTGAAGTAATGATCCACATAGACATGATTACAAGGTCATGTCCTTGGAAGGAGCAAGTTTGGAAGACTGATGACAAGGAGATTTGGGGAAAATATATGTGAATGTACCACTTTCAATGGACCTCAGGATCTCATTGCAGAAGAGGTTGGATCCCATTGCAGAAGAGGCTGGATCCCATTGCAGAAGAGGCTGTTAAATAACAAGATAGTCTTCTCTGAGTCTGCCAACTGGCTTCCTCTCCCCAGTCCCCCACTGAGATTCTTAAAATGTGGCCATAGTAACTGAGCTGGTGATTGTAAATAGGCTTTTTTAAAAGGTTGTTCTTTAGTTCTACTATACTTCCTGAAGAAAAACAAAAAAAAGGTTGGTTTAATTTTTGTTTTTGCTTTGCTAATTCTCATCTGAATCCCACCCTTGCTTAGTGGTAATTCACTAAGAGTAGTGACCTACCAGGAGCCCCAAATATGGTAACAGATTCTAAAAATGATCAGTTCATCTCCTGGTGGCAAAGTGATTACATGGGATCCTTTCAATTATGGAAGAGCCAGTAATTTGTCCTCATGCTAAATGACACTTGTATTGGACTCAAATTCTCTTTAATTGCTAAACATATTTCTGTTAATGTCATACAAATCCTTATAACATTAATATGGTAGCATGCACAATGATGCTTTCCATCAAAAAACTTATAATACAATGGATATTTAGAAAACTAATGCCAATAGGTTTTTTTTTCATGTACCTCCTCTTCTAGAAGTAGCTTGCCTCATAGAATGGTAAAGTGGCCTATCGAAAAGTCACTTGTAACACCAGCTGGGAAAAAACACCTTGTAAATTCAGGGTACTGCTACAGAGGAAATGATATTTGGAACGAAAAATAAACATATGGTGATTTTTTTTTTAATGCCAGAATAAACAAGTCTGAGTCAGGAAGTTCAAGAAGAAATAGAAACTTGAAATATTATGTCTAATATTATTTTTGCAGATCTGTTTTGCACAAACCAATCCTTGCTCATACATTATAGTTGGTTCTTTCTTATTATATGTACCATATATGATGTATCCTATACCATTCTATAAATGACTTTATATTAGGCAGTATATTTTATTTCTCTTTGATTTACCAGTGTTTAGTAGAATATGAGAGACACTGTGTAAATATGTATTTAATAAACGCATGAATAAGGGAACCACTAAGTCAATAAATAATAAATGAAGCCGAGTCAGATAGACCTATTTTTTCAAGTGACCTCATAGGAAATTTGCCTTCATTTGCAAATGTTCTTTACAAAGCCAGGCATGACTTAATGCTAGAAGCATTATTAAGTAAAGGATATAGTCACTTGCTTTCATTGATTTTACTATCCACTTTTAGAGAAAAAAAAAAGAAAAATAGAAATGCACTGCTAAGGCTTTTATCACATCACCTTCCACTGTGATTTGCTGTTGGATAAAAATCTAAGTTATTTTGGTACAATCAGAATGTCAATAATTGTATAACTACATGATTCTAGTACAATTAAAATGCACTGTTTTATCCATCTATCTGTCATCTGTCTGTATATCTATCTATCTATCTATCTATCTATCTATCTATCTAATCTTTGGCAGCAACCAGCACAAATATGCAGTAAGCACATGTCACTACCAAACACATTCTTCTGTGACACTTGAGGCACTGTTTACTCCATGGCCTCTCTGCCTTCGAGGAATCTTTTTGCCACTATAACTGGACTTTGCTGGCAAATCAAAATAGAAGAAGTGACTCTATGTAGGCTTTAGCTTAGCAGAGTTTTAAATTTCTTAAAAAGACAAAACTTAGACATCCCCCTGATTCAAAACTGTTTTGAATGAGATGCTTTCAACATACATTTGAAGTGGGATCAAATTTTAAAGGATCTCTCTGAAAGAACAGAAATCCTTCAGTGAGCATAGTAAAAGATGGAAGAATCAGACATAGAGGTATCAAGAAAACCAAGGCACATGATAAACCACCCCCAAAACTTAGTGGCTTAAATATATAACCCTTTATTTAGCTCATATTTCTGCAGGTCCGCAATTTGGGCTCAGTTCATCTGTGTGGTTCTTCTAGTCTTGGTTGGACTCAGTCATGCATATGCAACCAGCTATACAGTTGGTTGACTAGTTAGTAGCTGCTCTAGGATGCCCTGTCTTGGAAAGTCCTGCAGCAGACTATCCCATACTCATTTACATGGCAACTGGGAAGAGCTCCAAGAAGAGGGATCTCAAGCATGCAAGCCCTCTTGAGGCCTGGGTTTGCAACTGTCACATCATTTTGCTGTGTTGTATCTATCAAAGCAAGTCTTATGTTCAGTACAGATTCAAGAGGTGGAGAAATAGATTTCATCTCTTGATGGGAGAAGCTGCAAAGTCATTAGCAAAAGACATAGCTGCAAGCAGGGGTGGGGGATTGTGGTCTTTTGCAACCCACTACCCAAGAGTTCAGAGAGAAAGCTGACTAATTTACATAGCACAGCTGTCAATAAATGACTAATAACATATACAGCTTGTCATCCTAATGAATTAGTGGACAGAATCTGGAATTTACAGTAAGAAGATTCATGTGTCACCATATGTTTGACCTAAGACAAATTGCTTAACCTCTCAGAGCTTTCATGTCCTCATGAAATTTAAGTGAGGATAATATTTAGTTCACATGATCACTATGAAGATAAGTGAGTTATCTGTGAGTTAATTTATGAGAAAGTATGTTAAAGTCTATAAAACATCAAGTAAAATATTAGCATAAGCAGTAAATTGTAGGAGTTGAGAGCATTGGCCCTGGAGCCAGACTGTCTAGGTTAGAATGCAGTGCCTACCACTGATTAGTTTCTTAACCTTGGGTGAGTTCTTATAATTTCTATGACTTATTTTCACTTGTATAAATTATAAGCATTACGATTTTTATGGTTATAATCAGGGAGGCACTCTGCCAAAATTTGAGGACAAAAATTTCTAGAACCTGGTATAATACTGTACATTCAGGCCTATGTTTATTGTAAATAAAGGGCATTATGTAGATTTAGGCAAGTCATTTAAACTTTGTTTCTTCACGTGTTAAATAAGAATGTTTCAACTTGGCTACTCACTGAAGCATAGTGAGAAGTAATTAACACATGATAGTTACAAATACTGAGTGCTGAGAACTTCCTCCTTTTGATAAATTTAGGTCTAGAAAGACTATTCACAGGAACATAGGCTACTCTAGGACCACTGTTGGCCACCAAATTAAGAAGCTCAAGTCCTGAAAATTTCTCATTTTAATGGTACAACCTTAGTCTGAACAGATCCTCACCATTTTAGTAAAGGCAGTAAGCATTATTAGCCCATTTTATGTATGATCAAACTGAGGATCCCAGAATTAAAGTAAATTGCACAAGATCACATAACTAATGAATGACATTAGTGATTCCAGATATAGCCACTCAGCTTCACAGCCAAAGTTTCTGCAACTATAAAACATGTTGTTCATTTTATTATTTACTTATTAATCCCTTTATTTAATAATTGTTGAAGAATTGTATTAGCATGGGAAGAGTATGTTCATGTTGTACAGACCTGAATTTTACCATTATTTCATTCATGTATATGCCCATACACTTTCATGTAATGTTTCTTCATCTATTTATTCAGGATATATATATTGACCCCATATGATGTTCCCATGAAGGGGACTGAACCTACTAACTGTTTAATGTCAGGTAAATTCCTTACTATCTTTGGCTTTGTAAAATGATATAACAATCACTATTTGGATTAATAGAGCTAACAGATACCAACCATTTAGCACAGTTTACTATACACAGTAGAAACTCGACAAATTGTTTTGTGGAAGATGTTAGAGTGGTCTTTACTTATTCCACAAACATGTATGAGCAAGGAGCTGCCAATATGTTCCCTGCCAGCACATAGTCCTGATGCTGGCTTCATGGCAGAATGAAGTGAGTACAATCAGTCTCTCTTGTGATCAAGCTAAAACCTGAATTGGAAGGATAGGGTGAATTAAAAATATATATATGGCCCAGGACTTCTGATCATACTGAGGCAGAGAGAAGCTCAAAAGTTGAAACAGAGCCAAGCTTATTGTTATATTGATAGAGTCAAATGTATTACTTCAGATGCAGTCTGAATTTCTATCTTTTAGTGACTCTTCTCTAACGGTTTTGATTATTAGAGTACCTTAGTATTCTACTTTCTTTTATTTAACCTATTTCAATATAGATGACTTGATCTTCCAACCATAAAGGCTGACTACAACTGAAACATTATCAGTGCCTCTATCTTACTAACTCTCATTCCCCAAATCCAACTGCACAGTCCAGCCCATAGATCCCACCTCTGCCTTGTCTCATACTTCCAGCTTCTCTTCTCCACCTCAATTGCAATAACCTAATCAAAACCCTCACCGCCTCTGCCTGGACTTGTGCACTATAAACATATCATCCTCCTGTCTCCAGCAACTCCCCTGCACCTCCACACCATCCTTTATGTTAGCCCTCATCTTTCTTCAAAACCCAGGTTATAAATTCTCCATTATCTTCTGTTTTCCTGGCAGGCTTCCTATAATTTTAATCAAAATGTCCCCAGTGGTAGGAAAGGAATTATGGTTAGCATTTCTCAGACTAAAGCTTGAATTAGCTTACAACAGCTGCAACAGTACTTTGACATTTCACACATACTGTAATAAAAAAATTTTTTAATTGTATTTTTCTACAAAATATTATTTTTCATTTGAAAGTAATGTTTTAAATTGCTTATCATGACATAAAATTGCTTCTTCAAGAAAATGTGCCAGGTATGTACCATGGTTTTGCAAATTATCTGGCATATTGCCGGTGGTCCAGATTGAGAGGCACAGACCCACAGCTCTAACTCTTTATTACAAGACTCTCTATGAAGCAGACCCAGCTTCCATATCACTGTCAAACCACCTCAAATCATCCACCTGTCCATCTTCTTTCATCTGTGTGCCCTGAGCATATTAGAAACTTTCCTAGCCAATGTCTCTGTTCAAACTGAATCCCTAATCAGAAAAACCCATGTCTCCAGCAATGAGTTCTAATTCTTCTTCAAAGAGGAATTGTAATGCCAGCTACTGTGTTAGAGTAATTGCATTTTCCTAATTTAGAGGGGCACTAGATTTTACTCACTCTTGTCTTCCAGTTTTCTGCATAGAGTAGGTACTTATTGAATTTGTATTGATATAAATGGTTATTACCACAAATATTGGCACTGATGGCAGTCAATAATGTTATTAATGATGTAATAAATACCATATTTACCACACTTTTCCTTTCCCAAGTCACTTTTCAGGATCATAGAAAATCAGGCACCAGCAATAACATTTTGAAAGTATTATTTTTGCAGATAAAGAAATTAAATCTAAGAGCAGTCAAATATCTTAGCCAAGATTGCACAGCTATAACGATATCTGGAGTTGTTTTCCCTGTCCTAGTGAGGAAGAAACCAGGTCCAGGATATGACAATGGAAACCTGAGTAGCACTGAAGAGGGAATGACTGACAGGATCATAAACATGACTATGGTCAAGGACTATGGGAGAGAAACGTACAGTGGTAAAATCTGTATCATGCTTCAAAGAGGATGTCAATTCTCCTCCCAACTTAGTCTCTGATGTAAAGTAAAACTCAGATAAGTTATTTATACCTTTTTCTAGATATCCATTTCTTCCACTATAAAATGGGAAGAGTGATGCCCATATACTATACTACACACGTAAGTTACAAAGATGAATAATAGAATTAAAGTTGAAGAGAAGACATTGAGAAATCACAATGAATTATTTCTCTAAAAGAAAGAATGTTTCACAAGAGTAAAGGCACTACCTGGTTTTAGTGGCTTCTCAATCCAACTGCACTGAGTCTAAAAGTAATATTAGACACTTGTCTCTTTTTTCACATTTTTCCAACTTTCTCCAACTCTACTTCTAATAAGAAATATTCCTTAACTTAATGAAGAGGCTGGAATCTCTCATTTCCAACTAACAGTTCTGTTCTTGGGTAACTTGATGCTGTACTTGTGTCTGAGCTATTCAATTGTTATGGACTGAAAGTTTGTGTCCCCATTCCCCAAATTTATATGTTGAAGCCCTAACCTCTAATGTTATGTTATTTGGATGTGGGGCCATTGGGAGTTAATTAAGTTTAAATGAGGTCATAATGGTGGATTCATCACCAGAAATTTGGATTTGTTAAATTTGAAATATCTGTAAGCTATTCAAATGCAAATAAAATTAAAAACTGACTATGAGTCTGAAACTGAGACAATCAGCTCTACCTTGAGATATATATTTGGGAATTCATAACAATCAGATGGTTTTCACACCTAATGAATGAATAAATCACCTGAAGAGAGATTGCTCAGAGAGCCCTGAAACTGGGAGATTAGTGAAGGATTAATGGAGCTCAAATGAGAGAAAGTGTGATGTGTAGCCCAAGAAAGGAAACTGTTTCAACAAAGTTCTGGTAAATTATATTAACTACAACCTAAATGTTAAATAGGATACGGATCAAGAAGTGTGCTTTGGGTCTGGAAACAACTCAAAACCAATTTCAGGTGAGTGGTGACAAGACATCAAATTGGAATGAGCTGATAACTGAAAGGGGTAGGCTTCTGAGCATATTGAGTAATCAGAGAATTGGAGGCAGAAACTCCTTATTTCTAGACATTTGTCTATGAAGAACGGCAGAGAAAATGGAGATAGCTTGGAAAGTGAGATAGGGTCAAAGAAGGTTTTTAGGAACACCTTACTTGTGTCATCCTCCTCATCTGATCTTAACACTAAGCTTGTCAAGAACTGAGAAGGACAAAAAAGGGAGCACCTTATTTGAGCCTGATTTTAGGAACTTTGTCAGGAGTGCATCTCTTTAATGTTTCTACCTGTGAGGCAGTCAAAAAATCTGGGCTGAATATCTGATTCCCCCTACAGATCATTTGTCTGCACTTCATCCTTCTTCCTACTCCCCAGATTTCACTCTTCTAATTTGACTTCTGGGACTCTGCATGTTTATTTAGGCTCCCTGCCCATTCCCACCTTTTCTAATACCCCTAGCTTCTTCAGCAGGTCCTATGCCCCACAACATGATCAGTTTTCAACTTGTAGTTTGAACTACTTAAAAAAGAATATGTCACAAAGACCTACTAAATGTCAGCCTCTCAGACAGATGATATAGCTCTCTTGGCAAGGGCTCGCCTAATAAATGGTTTTGTGGTTCACAAGAAAGAAGGTTGATGTGAGTGCTGATGTGACTAAAGCTCAGTTGAAATATTAATGACTAAACTCCATTAGATCTCCACCCAACCTGAGCTACTTCCCAATGAGTTAGTCTCAAGAGCCATTTTTTTGTTAACTTATGACTTAATCAAATGTCATATCTCTTTCAAATTTTCCCATCTCCAATCCCTTCAAAATCTATTCTTCATGCCTCCTACAACACAGAGGCCTGTGACTCAACTTCCCTAACAAGTCTGAAAGTCATCAGAGGCACTGAATGAACCTAAATATCCTACAGCAGCCCATAATAAACCTTACCGTGTTTTCTTACATTGCTGCTTGAGTCAACTGAACCACACTTAAGGGAGCACCAGGCTGGTTAGAAATAGCCTTCTAAAATTTTTGTTCCCTTCATGTCCTCTAAAGCATAAAATCTTCTTGCCTCAGAGTCCTGGTTTGTTATCTTCTGCCTATGGCCAGGGAGTTTAAAGAAATAGATTCAGAATCAAATTTTGCCATATGTGGAAATGCTGTAGAAGTATGATGATATCACATGATTATTTACCTTTATTCACAGGACTTTGATCCTGATAAAGATGAAGTTTATGAATAATAAAGATACAATTGAAGATACAGTGGGGTGGATATAGAACAAACTCTACATATGCTATGTTAAAAGGCAGCAATAAATCCAGCCATACTTAATTGTCATTATCTCTTTAGTAGAACTGTCATGTCCAATCTCCTTTGCACAAGCTCTTGATTCCTTGTTCCTAACTGTCCACAGTTTGCTTTTCTCAATAATTATATTAAGTTAGATAAATTAAAGTCTAACCAAAACGAATTTTACATAATATCCCAGTCCATTTGTGCAGAGTCTCTAAAAACCTCTAAACTATTTCTCTAGGCAGTAGGGTAGCTAATTATTTACCCTCGCAGCTGCCTCCAAGGCACTTCCGATCCTATGTTTAGAACAGAGAATGATTCCATTTGATTAGGAGAAAAAAATGCCCACAACTTTCCTAAAACAACATGAAAATTCCATCTATCCAAGGGGACTAAGTAATTTACTCTCTGCAGATTCCTTTGGATCCTGAAATAATGTGCAGTGATGCATAGGCACATGGTCATTATGCCCCAGATTTCCTCATTTAGGAAATCAATTCTTAAACGTTGGGGATATGCAAATTCAATTATTCCTGAACTGCAGAATGATAATCATGCACTGAAATATGTATTAGCATATTCACGCAGAGCAGGTTTCTCCTCCCCCAGGGTTCTCTGCCACCTGTTGAATTAATTTGGTCTCATCCCTTGACATCCATCAGGTTCCACATATGACAGGGGCAGACTAACTTAACCTGTTGTCAGAGGAAACTGCAAAGTAACAAGAGAGTGTCACATCTCAGCAGAATACTACAGAGAAGAGGCAAAAACTAGAACAAATGCTTAGCTAGCCAGTCACCAGATATTCCCGAACAGTGCACCTTGGCAAACAAGGACCATTTAAATCTAATTAAGAAGTTTCTCTTCTGGTCCACTGGGGATCTGCACAACGACACAAGAACAGTGCTTAACTGGCATCATGCTTGCTAAGCAAGCACTTGGGAATTAAATTCTTTCTTATTGTTCTTTTCAAATATTTCTGAACCACAGAGAAACTCTGCTGTCATGATTCTAGAGAAGCAGAAATAAATTTCATTCTCAATCTGATTTTAATCTATACACAGAGAAAAATATCTTTTATTGTTTTAGGACTCCCTTGCTGACTCAAATCTTCCAAAGGCTTGGGACACTTGTTATATAGCGAATATATATGAAACATTCATATAAAATATTATATATATAAATAATATTTTATGTGTATCACATAACATTTTCTGTCCCAAAGAGTTATCACATGAATACTTCCTAGCTTCTATCTTTACTCATTTTGGTGAGAAAATTTAGTTATTCAATATTCATTTCCAAATTAAGTATCATGTTTCCCCCAACAAAACAAGTTTTTCTCTCATCACCTTCTTCCCTAGCTCCTCTACTGCAAAGAATCTCCCTTTGACCAATGATGAAACCCACCTAAATAGCTACTTCTGGATTCAAATTATTGAGTGATTATAGGAACAGGAGAGCTATGCAGCCCAAACGCACTTGGGGAGAAACTTGACAAATTCACATGTATTAGTTAGTACTCAATTTAATCATACCCTACTCTGGAAATCTGCTCTAATAACCTATAAATGTATTTATCACACCTCTTTGTACAGTAATTTAATTTTGCCCAGTTGTGTAGCAGGGTTCTTCGATTTTCAGTTAAGAAACAATGTTTTAAAATCACTCTGTATTTCATGGGTCTAGCACTTATACGATGAGAAATAAATGCACAAGTATTTCTGGAATAAATGAGTTAAAGAAGCTGAAATTTTATTTGATGAAAATAATAAAATATATTATCCATGACCATCATTTTAGCTTCTTAGTATATAAATAGCATTATATTGTATTATAGCACTACAATGCTTTCTGGAGGTATAATCAAAATATAATATCTATTTTTGTATATCAGAAAACTGATATATAGAAATATATATAGAAATATAGAAATACACAGAAAAATGTGAAAACTTCAGTTAGATTGGTTTTAGAGAAGAAGTAAGGTTCCTGGCTTCTACCTTGTTCCAATATTTTTTTTCTGTCTCACAATTACACTAGCCTCCTAATTCTAGTCTTAAATTATTTTTCTATTACTATCCATCAGTGCTGATTTTCTGTTCTCCTTCTTTCCAATACAGCTGTAATTATTCCAGCTGTAGCTCTACTTCCACCATGGAGTTTCTATTCGTCATGCTATTTTTATATTCTACTATCCTTTAGTATGTGCAGCCAGATTCTCATACACTCCTTCAGATATCTTCATTTATGAATAATTATTTCATTATACAAATGCTGGGGAACTTCTGTGTAATAGAGGTTGTATTGTATAAAAATATAAATAAATTTTTTCTCTTTTAAATTCTGTCTACATTCCCTTCTCCTTGAACAAGGGACAGCCTGAGCAAGAGGCATATCTTAAAAGATAGTTTTAAAATAGCTTTTGTTATCTAAAACAAGCAAAAAGCTTTATAGGAAGATAATAGATGTAACAGACAGGTTTTATTACAAAGGAGAAGGAATTTTTCTAAGTTCACTTATCTCTCTTGTAAACATATCCAGAGAGCATCTTGGTGGATAAAATCATAAAGAATTTTACACAATGCCTGAAGTAAAGACAAAGGATACGAAGAAGAAAGAAGAAAGAAGGAGGAAGGAAGAAGGAGGAAGGAAGGAGGAGGAGGAGGAGGAGGAGGAGAGAAGGAGAAGGAGAAGAAGAAGAGAAGGAGAAGAGGAGGAGAAGAGGAGGAGAAGAAGAGGAAGAAGAAGAGGAAGAAGAAGAGGAAGAGGAAGAGGAAGAAGAAGAAGAAGAAGAAGGAGGAAGTAGGAAGCCCTAAACCTGGCCTTCCTAGATTAAAGAATTATGGAAGCATAGAGGAAGGGAATGGATCATGGACCCAGATATAAATACTGAAACTATAAACTCCTACAATGAAACAAGAGAATATCTTCTCAACCCTTGGGTAGGAAAAGATTTCTAAAATAGAATTCAAATAGTGTTCACTAGAATATAAAAAATAGACATTGATAACATAGTCACACAGAAAGAAGCCTTGTTAGGTCTTCAAGCCTCTCTTGGCTTTCACATAGCTTGGATACCTAGAGAAGTTCCTGTGTGACCCTTGATAAAGCAAACAATAATATGGCTGAAAGTCAGTGGCTTTTTCTTGTGAAATAACCTGACATTAGAGATGAGCCCAGAGCAAGCTGTTAGACACAGCCAAGATCAGAGACCTTTGCAACATCCAAGAGTGCTGTGGGGATTAGTTTATAAGAGAAAATTACTGATCTCTGATTGAGCTAAGAAGGCAAACCTCCAGTTCCAGCAAAGACTTCAGCAGCAAACACCAGAATAGCCAGGAATGGGACTAGCCATACTTTAAAAGCCACAAGTCCAATGAGCAACCTAATACCTCTTCAGATAATACCATACAGATCCCTTAGGCTATGCATCTCACATATATGCAAACAACATACTAGAGAAGTATAGAGAGAAACCATGGAACTCAGAAAATACAAACAAAAAAAATTCCTGACACATCTAATCAGAGGCTAAGAAACCTACGGAGAGAAAGTTAAATTATGAGCTTGGATTGACAGTACCAAAAAGGTCACAATGTCATTTTTACCCCCTTACCTCCTCAAATAGCTTGATGTTTAAAAGAGCTCTGAGATCAGAGTGCTTGGGTTCAAGCCACCCATCTTCAGTTCACCAGCAGCATTACTTGAGTCAACTGTATCACTTTTCTAAGCCTCAGTTCCCTCGTCAAATCAACAGGGACTATATCAGTATCTATACCAAAGCACTACACAATAAACAGCCTCTGATACAAACTATGTGTTCAATGCATAAACATCATTAAATATTCCACTATAGTGTGGTAAGTTTACAAGGAGGAAAATTAAAATCAGATTGGATAGTATGGGAGGTTTCCCAAAGAAGGTGGCATAACTCAAATACTGAAAGGCATATTGAGATTGATGAGAGGAAGGGGCTTTGTAGAAAACTGTATCAAACAGATCAGGCAAGCTGGAAGAAATGGTACAGCTAAGGACTGCAAGGGGGATGAAGCCATATCATAGAAAGCCTTGTATACGGAATGATTCTGACTTTGCAATATGTGCAATGATTGGGAAGAATGAGATTAAAAATGGAAGTTTTTAATTCAGAGCTGATATAATCAACCCTTTGACATTTGGAAAAGACAACTGGCTAGTATATAGAGCAGTATTTTCCAGACAGCAGGTCTGAGCCTGCTTCAGATCAATGTAGTAAGTCCAGGCCAGCATAATTTTTAAATGAAATAGAATAAATAAAATGAGATCACCTATATCAAATTGGATCATATACTGGAGGACTAAATATCACTTTGTGAAATTTTGATTCTATATATATTACGAGTGTGTGTGCCTGCATGTTAATGACTCAGATGCAAAATTTCTGAATGTAAACCATAGCAACTGGGAAAAAATGAATTGGCGAGACAAAGTGCAGTGATAGGAAGACTAGGAACAAAGTGCTTACCATATTGGAATCTGAAAGAGTAGTTTTATCTTGGTTTGTTTCTAATTAAACTAGAGGAACCATTTTACTTTGAGTTTTTGGTGTGTGTGTGTGTGTTTGTTTGTTTTTTTGGGTTTTTTTTGTTTTTTCTTGCAGTCTATCACCAGTTTTCAAGTGCTTGAATTTGCACTTCAATATTGCGAAATCAATCAATATTTCCCAAGACATGAAACTTCAGTCCACATGTAAATGTGATTTTCCCTTTGATGTTTACACATTGTCACTACATACCTAAAATATTTTGAAAACACAACATAAGAAGGCTAAGCCTCAGATTCTTGTTCCTGCTTCTATCCTACTGGCTATGTGACTTTAGCCTGTGTGAAACTTCAGTGAAAGAACTGAATAGTATAATCTGTTAAGTTTCTTACAACCCTTCATAGTATATAATTCTACTTGACTGGCTTGTTCATGAACACAGAATATTTTGTGAGATTTGGGATTCAAATTCAGGGTGTTCGTGTTGCTAACCTATGACATCAATTGAGCTAGGCAACCATTGTTTTTCAGCCTGCAAAGAAGTATAGTTGTAAAAATCATGTGTCCTAACAAGTGTTCCCAGCAGGGTGACTCAATCCTGTAATCTCTGATTGCAATGCTATTTTGCACGTAATGCATTTTATTGTGTTTCTTATACCCCTACTGCATAACAACTTTCTTGGGAAGGGGAAAATTCCTTAGTCTTTAAATATTCACTGTATCTAACACAGAGGTGAATTTACAGTAGAAGCATATATAATTCTCAATTAAATAAAATGGTAGAATTTGCTTCTAGCACTAAACCTTCAGAAAATTGAAAAACTGCATTTTAAAAAGTCTACTGAAGGGATCTAAAAGTAACAAAGGCAGTTAAAAATGGACGAGTCAAGATCCCAGAGGTGGGAACTACATTGCTACGAGCCTAAAATTCTTTTCAGTGTTTCCTCTAGAAATTCCCCTTTTGTGATTTCTACCTGATGATAAGACAAGAATCTAAGCAGCCCAGAAGGGAGTTGCAGCTAAATGGCTAAGACACCATGTACAGCTTTCAATGGTCTCAAAATATGAACTAACATGAAAGAATTGAGTCAGAGTCTTTAATATATTGTACCACAAAAGTGAAAGCAAACTGAAAAGAGACAAGCCCTTATCAAGGAAAAAAAAAATCAAAAAAGCAGATTTTCAAGTAGTCCTCATTAGAACATCTTAACAGATTAGCAATTCAAGAGAATAAAATTCTTTAATATAATAAAGAATATATACAAAAACAAATAAAATTTAAAAACTAAAACATGTTTAATGGTTAAATATTTAAAGATTCCTTCTGATCAAGAAGGAATGCCATTCAGTATTGTTCTAGAGGTTCAGGTCAATACTATAAAGCAAAAAGTGTGTGTGTGTGCAAGACAGAGAGATTGCAAAAGAAAGAAATGAAATCACCATTATTTTAATACAGCATGGTTATATAGAGAGGAAAATGTTTACATGTATATAAATTTAAAAATACATACATGCATGTACACAGGTCAATGTTTGCAAAGTGTATATTTATATATACTAGCAATAGACAACTAGAGAATGAAAATAATAAAATACTATTATCTATACTATCAGAAATGCCAAATACCTAGGACTCAATCTATAAAAAGGCATGTAACATCTCTCTGTAGACAACTAAAAACTTTTATGGCAAAGTCAAAACCTTAAAAATAATGGAGGGTCATGCCATATTTATGAAATGGAAGGTGAAATATTTAAAAATATGTCTCCCAAATTGACCTGTAGATTCAATGTAATCTCAATTAAAACCTCAGCTAATGTGTGTTTGCATAAGTTTACATGCTGATTCTAAAATGTATATGGAAAAGCAAAAGGCCAAGAACAGCCAAGACCATTTGGGGTGAAGGAACAAATTTAGAACAATTACACTAACAGATATAATATCTTATAAAGTTCCAAGAATTAAGAATAGAATGGCTTTGGTATATGGCAAGAAAACAAGCTATACAGAATAGAGGAGTTCAGAACCAGATCATGTATACATATGGTCACGATTTATGTAAAAATGTGACTTTGTAATTTAGTGAGAGAAATACTCATATCAAACAAGGATACAAATTCAGGTAGTCATAACACCTACAAATAATTTTTAAAAATTTAAAAATACAGTAGAAAAATGGGAAAAAGTCTCAAACAGGAACTTCACAAATAAAAGAGTATCCAATTATTCAATAAATAAGCATAAACACGTTCAATCTGTTGAGTAATATCAAAGAAAAATTGCACCTAATGGAGTCACACAGGAAAGGAAGACTCTATTCAAGACTTGCAAGATGGGTGAGAGATGAAACTCAACTCCTCTGAAACTAAAGGCTGCACACTTTTCAAGCACTGAGGTGAGCTAGGGGAAAAGTGCTGGAGGACATTAGTGGGGAGAGGAGTCCATGTGATTAGGTCATCTGTGTTTGCTAATTAGCACTTTACCTTCCCTCAGAAATTGGGAGATAGAGGCCTCATTGTTCCTCACTGTTCTTAATGATTACATTTTAAAGATATGGCTCCCAGATCCTTGAGGAAGACATTTCTAGGTTTTAAGACTGGTAAGAGACAGGAAGAAGTTGTACATCTTAAAGAGGGAGAAAAATGTTCCAAGAAAAAGCAGTTCTGGGGCCTAAGACCAGGAAGAAATCTGTCAAAAGTTTAAGTCAGCTCAGGGGAATGAAAAAGCTATCTTGGTCAGTCATTAAGGAAATGAAAAATTAAAACTACAGTGATGTTTTATTACTACTTCATTAGAAAGATTAAAATTTATTTTAATAAAGGGCTGGAAACATCAAGTGTCAGTGAGAATATGAAGCAACTGAAATGCTTCAAAACTGTTGATCAAAGTATGAAACAACAAAAGCATTTTGGGAAAGTATTTGGAAGTATCTACTAAAACTGAACATCCCTATATACTATGACTCAGCTGTGTATTTTTAAATATATTTTAGGTGTATACTAAGTAAATATATGTATGTGTCAGAAGCATTTGAACAAAAGCAATTCCATCTTGAATAGGGGCTGGGTAAAATAAAGCTGACACCTACTGGGCTGCATTCCCAGGAGGGTAAGTGTTCTTAGTCACAGGATGAGATAGGAGGTCGGCACAAGATACAGGTCACAAAGGTTTTGCTGATAAAACAAGACAGAGCAAAAAGCCGGCCAAAACCCACCAAAACCACGATGGCAACAAAAGTGACCACTGGTTGTCTTCACTGCTCATTATATATTAACTATAATTCATTAGCGTGCTAAAAGACACTCCCACCAGCACCACGACAGTTTACAAATGCCACGGTAATGTCCAGAAGTTACCCTATATTATCTAAAGTGGGAAGGAACCCTTGTTTCTGGGAAATCCCTGCCCCTTTCCCAGAAAATCCATGAATAATCCACCCCTCATTTAGCATATAATGAAGAAATAACTAAATATACTTAGTTGAGCATCCCATGCCCTGCTCTGCCTATGGAGTAGCCATTCTTTTATTCCTTTACTTTCCTAATAAACTTGCTTTCCCTTTACTGTATGGGCTCACCTTGAATTCTTTCTTGCATGAGGTTCAAGAACCCTCTCTTGAGGTCTGCATTGGGACCCCCTTTCCAGTAACTTATGTATGTACACATTTTTTTTGTTTTTTTTTTTTTTTTGGAGACAGAGTTTTGCTCTTGTCCCCCAGGCTGGAGCGCAATGGCGCAATCTCGGCTCACTGCAACCTCCGCCTCCCAGGTTTAAGCGATTCTCCTGCCTCAGCCTCCAGAGTACCTGGAATTACAGGCAT
The DNA here is from genome assembly GCF_000001405.40 of Homo sapiens. NCBI lineage: Eukaryota > Metazoa > Chordata > Mammalia > Primates > Hominidae > Homo > Homo sapiens. The sequence goes on along the minus strand of NC_000003.12, from coordinate 34,568,262 downwards.
GTGCCACCAGGCCCAGCTAATTTTTGTATTTTTAGTAGAGAAGGGGTTTCACCATGTTGGCCAGAATAGTCTCGATCTTCTGATCTGCCTGCCTCAGCCTCCCAAAGTGCTGGGATTACAGGCATGAGCCACCGCACTCGGCCATATATATGTTTTTATATATATATATATATGTTTATAACAGGTTTTGTTCATAATAGCCAAAAACTTGAAACAACTTATATATTTATCAATAGTTGAATGGTAGCTAAATTGTGGATTTCTGTAAGAAAATATAATACAGTAATGTAAATAAGTGAATTACCTAAACATAATATTGAAGGAAATAAAGCAAGACACAAGAGAGTATATGCTATGATTCCATTTATGTGAAGTTAATAAAGAGTCAAAACTAATGTATGGTATAATAAACACACTTTAATAAGGATGAAGGGTCATGACCAAAATGGGCCTAAGAGAGGCCATTATGTTCTTCTAATATTCTATTCTTGATCTGGCTTTTTAAAAAAAATCACTAAATGTGTTTACAATTTGTGAAAATTTACCCTTATGAATTGTGCACTTTTCTGTATATATGTGATAGCACAAAAATGAAGCTAGAGAAGTTTAAGAGAGCTCCAAATGATTGGTAGAAGTTGGTGAGTCTTAAGGAATTCCTACTCCTACACTGGAAAAAAAAAAATGCACGTAAACTAAAAGTAGGGAGGCCTGTTGTTAACTAGGGACATTCTGGACCCAAATGTTATGTGAAAACAGCCAAAGGCTGTCAGCTCATTTTTATCACAGACAGGCAGGCAGGCCATTTGTGTATAAAAAAGCACAGTCCTTGAATAATCATCACATTTCCTTGTTTTACAAATGTAGAACTATCACTCCAACAGTGAAGGTGATGACAGCAGTCACTTTTGTTACTGTTGTTGTTTTATTGTAGGCAATCTAAAATTAGAGCAAATAACTTGCTGGAGTTGGTGGTTATTGAATTTTCCCACTTTATTTTAAGCTATAACATTACAGGGGACATTGAGTACTTCCTAATTTTCCTTGCAAATGCCCCCAGCAAAACAGAACTGAAGATTTTTTTTCTATCTACAAAGAAAGAATATTAGCCTGGAGTCAGACAGTTATGGGTTCAAATACACATATTTAACCTTGTTACATGATGTGTAGTAAGAAAAATAATATTTTGAGCAATGATTTTCTTAATAGGGGGATAAAACCACCTCTTTTCCAGATTAATGTCAGTTTTAAAGTAATATTATATTTTCACAATCTCGGCCATGACCCTAACTACACCTCAGCAGTGGTAGAGTAATTGTTGAAAGCAAGAAGGTGGGAATGTCTTTTGTTATCCTTCAATAGATAAGATGTCAATTCTTAAATATGTCTTGTGTGTGTGCTTTTCGTTACTCCAATTAGTATTTATAATGTGAGTGAAGCTGCATTCTTGAGACCTGAAGTGGCAGTTACAACTAAATCATGACCTTCCTTCAGTTTTATACTTCAATTACACTTTATATGGAGGATATAATTTCACATTTGGTAACACTTGGGAGATTAACCAACACACTCATTTATGATACTTTACTCATCCAAACTCACATCCTGCTATTAAGTTGTAGGTACAAATTCACCAGGAACCCAATTCTTATCCAACCATTCGTTCACTTATTTAACACACATGCTATGTAGACAACATACTGTGTTGGGCACTTTGGCATGTATTATTTCATTTAGATTTCTACCACCAACTTCAGAACTTCATTAGTAGCATTAGAGTAAAATAATAATAAGCTAAAGATTACTGAATAATTTGAAAATGATCAAGATGAACTAACATTCCCTTCAACTTGATTAAACTTTAGACAAGTTTCTTCCTGGTTTTAGGTCCCAGAACCACTTTTTCTTTAGGCCCCAGAACAGTTCTCCTTCTTTAAGAATTACATTTTCTTCCTGTCTTTTGCCAGTTTTAAAACCCAGAAATGTCTTTCTCAAGGACCTGGGAGCCATCCCTTTGAAATGCAATCATCAAGAAAGATGGAGCCTCTATCTCCTATAGTTTCTGTGGGAGGGTAGAATCCTAACTCCCCTAAGTGCCAATTAGCAAATACAGATGACCTAATCATATGGACCTCGCTCCCCACTAATGTCTTCCAGCACTTTTCCACTAGCTCACCCCAGTGCTTGAAAACTGTCCAGCCTTTAGTTTCAGAGGAGTTGAATTTCATCTCTCTCCCCTATTGCAATAGTCTTGAATAAAGTCTTCTTGCCTGTTTGACTCCATTAGATGCAATTTTTCTTTGGCATTACTAAAGAGATTGAACATGTTTATGTTTATTTATTAAACACTGATACTCTTACTTGTGAAGTTTCTGTTTAAGACTTTTTCCCACTTTTCTAATGTATTTTTCTTTTTTGTTATGATTTATAGGCATTATTATTGCCTGGATTTGAGTCCTTTGATAAATGTATTTTTCCAGGCATTGTGAAGTAAAATGAAGGCCTTTCTAGAATCAGTAGCAGCCATTTGTCTCTGGTTGTTAGGCGTCTCTCACAGGAATGGGCAGCTGCCAAACCTCATGGGACCTGGCAGTTTTGAACCTATTCTACGAGGGTCTGAGTTGAGTCTTTGATCCTGCAGCTAATATCTACTCTCCCACTTTCCTTGTGTCATGAGATCATTCTCATTTTCTCAATGTGGATTTTCATAACATCTTAACTCAGCAACCATTCACCCAGTCTACAATCACTGTCAATTGCATTATTCTTGATTTATATGAGTCCTAGCACATCAGCTCAGGCCCAAAACTCTATCGCTGAAGTAAGCATTTGTTTGTTGCAGGGAAACTGTTTTTCATCTGAGCCATAGTGACCAAGAGTAATTACAACATATATTTATTTTAGTGCATGGAGCCAGACTCAAATCATGACTTCTCATATAGATGTAATTAATGAAGAATAAGGTCATTTACCTAAAATCTGGTGGGAAGGTAAGTAAAAAACAGAAGTAGTCATTATATAAAAAAGAAGTATTAATATAAACTGTCCTTTAACATACAAAAAGTTGTTCAACTTATAATAAAAAGGAATACAAACCAAAACTAAGTTGGGAAATCACTTCTCACCTATTAACTTGGCAAAAAGTCAAGTGATTAACAAGCACAATTCACTCAGTTGGTGAGGCTGTGGAGAAACAGGAATATTCATACATGGCTGGTGGTAGTAAAAAAAAAAATGGAACGACCCCCATGGAGGAACAATTTGAAATGTCTGCTAAGATTACACATGCATTGACCCTTTGAGACAGTTTTCTCAATCCTGAAAATTTTACGTTGAAGTCTCACCTCCACCATAAAAAATGATATATGCAAGATTATTCACAGTAACAGTGAAATATTAGAAACAAACAAAAATCCAACCCTGTCTTTAGTAGAATGGTTGGATAAATCATGATACATCCAAACAGTGGAGTACTTTGCAGCCATGAAAAATGAAAAAGATTTTTTTATTAATTTCTATCCATAAGTATATTTTTAAGTGAAAAGGTCAAGGTATAAAGGGGTACATATAATATGTTACATCTTGTATAAGAAAGATGACATAAAAATAAATGTATATACAAAAATACATAGCAGATTATATATTAATTATATATTAATTTGTACACTGATTTAAAATATAGAAATATATATTGTCAATATGTTTGTATATATGTTTCTATATGTGTGTGTATATATACTCATTTATCATTTTTACAAAAGTAAACACAGAAGGCTAAATCTAATTAAAACAGTTATATGTAGGGGTGGATAATAGGGTAGAAAGAATATTTCTGGGGATGGATAAGATTAGTCTAAGTTTAGCTTGATACATTATTTCAATGTTTGAATCATATAAATATTTTATAATATTCAAATATAAATTAATTTAAAAGTATGAAAAAGGAATACCCAAAAATTGAATACAAAAAGAAACTAATTAACCTAATGCATACTACACTGATAGAAAAAGGCACAGAGATTAATTGACCTACTTTTAAACATAGTAACCTGACTGTACAGTCTTAATGGCATATAAGAACAACAAATAAGTAAATAAATCTTGAACTTGAATTAGTAGATTCGTTGTTAGTGATGGTATTGATGTATTTCTGAAACTGGAACGCATTATAGGAAAGAGAAAATATATTGCTGTTGTTGAAATTCTGCTAATAGTTGGTATTGATGTTGTATTTCTGAAACTGGAACACATTATAGGAAAGAGAAAATATATTGCTGTTGTTGAAATTCTGCTGATAATTGGGAGAAGGAAATTAATAATACAGAATGTGAGAAGGATAGGAAAAAGTTGTGATGTTAGAATTGAAGTTGAGGTATTATAAACTCAATATTTTTTAAAGTGGCCACAATTTATGCAAACTTATGTGTAACAGGTTTTTTAAAATATATTTTTAACTTTTATTTTAAATTTAGGGGGTATGTGTACAGGTTTGTTACCTGGGTATATTGCATGAACGCTGACATTTGGGATACAAATGATCCTGTCCATCACCCAGATAGTGAGCATAGTACCGAACAGATAGTTTTTCAATCCTTGCTCTCCTCCCTTCCTCCCCATTTTTAGAGTCACCAGTATTTACTGTTCCCATTTTTATGTCCATGTGTACCCAGTGTTTAGCTTCCACTTATAACTGAGAACATGCAGTATTTGGTTTTCTGTTCCTGCCTTAATTCACTTAGGATAATGGCCTCCAGCTACATCCATGTTGCTTCAAAGGACCTAATTTTGCTCTTTCTTATGGCTGTGTAGTATTCCATTATATAGATATACCACATTTTCTTTATCCAATCCACTGTTGATGGACACCTACATTGATACTACGTCTTTGCTATTGGGAATAGTGCTATGATGAACATACAAGCACAGGTGTCTTTTTGGTAGAATGATTTCTTTTGGATGTGTACACTGTAATAGTATTGCTGGATCAAATGGTAGTTCTCCTTTAAGTTCTTTATAAACTCAGTATTATTTATGAAATAATTTTTCCTAGCTCTGTATACTAAAAATAGAACCAAGATTGATAAAGTTTTTCTATAAAGGGATACACAGTAAATACTTTAGGCTTTCTGGGCAGTATACGGTCTCTGTTTCATAGATTTCTTGGTCATTCTGGTCTTTAAGAAACTGTTTATTTGTGGGGTTATTTGTTGATTTGTTTGTTGTTGTTGACTTTTTCCCATTTACAATTTTTAAAATAATTTTTAGTTCTTAGGATGTACAAAAACAGGCCACAGACAGGATATAGTTTACAGGCCATTGTTTGCTTATTCCTGGGTCTAGAAACACACTCCAATGGCCATGAGCACACCTAGCATCCATACTTTGGTTTCTAAATACATTTCGTATCTTAAAGGGATCCAGACTTTTGAAGAAGCAAACGATTCCATGTCTAGGACCTGGACAGCATGAAGTAATCCTGGAACATCTTCTCTAGAAAGCAAGAAAAAAGTATCAGAGCATAGGATACAGACAAAAGACAGTGCCTCCACCAGCAAAATTAGTACACTTTGAGCACAGTGATGGATTACAATATACTGGGATAGGGGAGGGAAATCTATGAGTGGTACCCAATGAAAAAATGGTAGAATTACAAAATCACCATTTTAATATTGGAATCTGATCATTAATTCATGCAGTGTTCATCAATAGAAGAACAAAAAGCTGGGTAAATGTTGGGGAATAGAACAGTCATACAACTTCAAAGTAACCATACATTACTTATTAAAAATAAACATGTTAATATAATGCATAATTAGAAACTCCTATGGAGAGATCTGGAGAGAGACAACCTTAACTAAGTGATTGTCTGAGCATCACCCATTATCCAACAAACTGAAATCTCATTGCTTTCTGATGGGATGCAATGGGAAGTACACAACATTATCTGTGCAATATTTTTTTGCAACAAATCTTTAACCTGAATCTAATCATGAGGGGACAAAAAGACAAGTCCAGATGTGGGGTACTCTGTAAAATAATGACCCAAATATTTCAAACAAGTCAATGTCACAACAGCAACAACATGAAATGCCAAGATAACTGTGCTAGATTGAAGGAGATAGAATTAAAGACTTAACAACAAAATGCAGTGAATGGCATTTGCCTGGATCTGATATTCACAACAGTTATAACATCTATAAAAATGTTTTTGAAAAAATATGAGAAAGCTTGAGTATACTAGATAACATTATTGGGTGAATTTTATTTCCTGCATGTGCCAATGGTATTATAGCTATGTAGGAAAGTGGCCTAGTTACTAGGTGATACATGCTGAATTATTTAGGAATGATATGTCATTATATCTTCAATTTACATTCAAATGATTCTGCAATATATAAAAATATCAATATATATGCAGAGAAAGAGGAGAGAGTGCAAGTAAAAGTGGTAAAGGATGAATCACCATTAGTGACTCTAGGTAAAGGAAATCTGAGCATTTTTTTTTATTATACTTTAATTTCTAGGGTACATGTGCACAACGTGCAGGTTTGTTACATATGTATACATGTGCCACATTGGTGCACTGCACCCATTAACTCATCATTTACATTAGGTATATCTCCTAATGCTATCCCTCCCCCGTTCCCCTACCCCTCAACAGACCCCGGTGTGTGATGTTCTCCTTCTTGTGTCCAAGTGTTCTCATTGTTCAATTCCCACCTATGGGTGAGAACATGTGGTGTTTGGTTTTTTGTCCTTGCCATAGTTTGCTGAGAATGATGGTTTCCAGCTTCATCCATGTCCCTACAAAGGACATGAACTCATCCTTTTTTATGGCTGCATAGTATTCCATGATGTATATGTACCACATTTTCTTAATCCAGTCTATCATTGATGGACATTTGGGTTGGTTCCAAGTCTTTGCTATTGTGAATAGTGCCAAAATATACATATGTGTGCATGTGTCTTTATAGCAGCATGATTTATAATCCTTTGGGTATATACCCAGTAATAGGATGGCTGGGTCAAATGGTATTTCTAGTTCTAGATCCCTGAGGAATTGCCACACTGTCTTCCACAATGGTTGAACTAGTTTACAGTCCCACCAACAGTGTAAAAGTGTTCCTATTTCTCCACATCCTCTCCAGCACCTGTTGTTTCCTGACTTTTTAATGATTGCCATTCTAACTGGTGTGAGATGGTATCTCATTGTGGTTTTGATTTCCATTTCTCTGATGGCCAGTGATGATGAGCATTTTTTCATGTGTCTTTTGGCTGCATAAATGTCTTCTTTTGAGAAGTGTCTGTTCATATCCTTCGCCCACTTTTTGATGGGGTTGTTTGTTTTTTTCTTGTAAATTTGTCTGAGTTCTTTGTAGATTCTGGATCTTAGCCCTGTGTCAGATGAGTAGATTGCAAAAATTTTCTCCCATTCTGTAGGTTGCCTGTTCACCCTGATGGTAGTTTGTTTTGCTGTGCAGAAGCTCTTTAGTTTAATTAGATCCCATTTGTCAATTTTGTCTTTTGTTGCCATTGCTTTTGGTGTTTTAGACATGAAGTCCTTGCCCATGCCTATGTCCTGAATGGTATTGCCTAGGTTTTCTTCTAGGGTTTTTTATGGTTTTAAGTCTAACATGTAAGTCTTTAATCCATCTTGAATTAATTTTTGTACAAGGTGTAAGGAAGGGATCCAGTTTCAGCTTTCTACATATGGCTAGCCAGTTTTCCCAGCACCGTTTATTAAATAGGGACTCCTTTCCCCATTTCTTGTTTTTGTCAGGTTTGTCAAAGATCGGATGGTTGTAGATGTGTAGTATTATTTCTGAGGGCTCTGTTCTTTTCCATTGGTCTATATATCTGTTTTGGTAATCTGAGCATTCTTGATGCTTTTTTTCAACTTTACTGTAGGTTTGGAAATGTCTTAATAAAAAATTAGGGCAAAAGAAAGTAAGGCTTTTACCCAAATTGCAAAATCATATAAATTTTGTGTTTAAGGGTATTTACAGAACTGTTTTTAGTAACAAAGAAACAAAAGAGAACTTTAAAAAATCTAAATGTACCTTGACAAGGATATGATTGAAGAATTATGTCACATCCATGTAATGTCATTAAAATAGGAAGTACATTTATATGTACTGATATAGTTTGTATATTTGTCCGTGCTCAAATCTCATGTTGAAATATAATCCTCAATCTTAGAGGTGGGGCCTGATGGGAGGTGTTTGGGTCATAGGAAGGGATTCCTCATGGCTTGGTGCTGTTTTTGAGATAGTGAGTTCTCACAAAATGTGGATGTTTACAAGTGTGTGGCACCAATCCCCACCTGCTCCCTCTTGCTCCTCTTGCCCTGTGAGACACCTGTTCCTCCTTCACCTTCCACCATAAGTAAAAGCTTCCTGAGGCCTCACCAGAAACAGATGCTGGCATTATGCTTCCTGTACAGCCTGCAGAACCATAGCCAAGTAAACTTTTATTATAAATTATCCAGTCTCAGGTATTTATTTATAGCAATGCAAGAATGGTCTAATACATGTACAGATAGAAGAAAATGTCCTATATGATATAGATGAAAAAAAATAGGAAGGAAGGGAGTGAGGAAGGGAAGAAGGGAGGAGAAAGAAGCAGAAGGGTATGAATGGGTGTTTACTCCTAGCAAAATATACAGGTTCTGGAGAATATATATAAAAAAAAAACCTGTTAACAGTGATTACCGATAGAGAATGAGAGGGTGATCAGGGATAGGATTTTAATTTTTACATTACACATTTTATTACTGTTATAGTTTATCATGGGAATGTTATCACTTTTATAATAAAAATAAGAAGTGTCTATCCTATCCCACCTCACATTGTATAAAATTCTTAGAACAGTAAACCAAAATATATCTATTACTTACCAGTACTTCTTGAATTAGGCAGTCTTTGCTCTTTGGCTAAGTTCTCTGAGGTCAGTACCACAGCTACAAGTACATTTGGCAAATGCTGATATAAGTAGGCTCACAGGTGTAGGCCATGACTTAGAGCAATATCTACTGTCTGACTAGGTTAAATGCCATAAACATATTATATGTCCAGATTCTGAATGGTGCTGAAAATCAGAAGGAAATTCATTGGTTTCGGCTTTACCAATTATTGAATGGCCTTTGCAAACTATAAATCAGAGTACACATGTGCACTATTCTCATTTCCTTAGAGACTTAGTATAATCCTGTAGTCAGAGCAATCATGCTCTCTTACTGGCTACAAATTGGGAACAGGAGTTCAGAGAGATTCACGATGACAATATCACCTTTCTCCACAATGTTTTTGGCTCCCATTAATAGTATCAGCAAATAAACTATCAGAGTTCTTTTCAACACAGACGACTGGGCCCAGAATATATGGGGGAGGTTATACCCCTCATCTTGACTTAAAGAGGATTATGTATCCCCTTCCAAGTTGGCTTTTTAATTTGCTTCAACATTCAGAATTATATCCTCAAAGCAACCAACTTTCAATATCTTGTAGGAACTTATAGGACATCTCAAGAGTTTGTAGGCCAATTCCTATAGCCATTTTCGTAACTTTATATAATTCACGAGACATTAAAAAGCACAAAAATTATAAACACCACTAATTTGATGGTACCTTTTATTCACATGTGGATAAAGTCTGGTAGGTTGGAAAAGTTTAAGCAAACAAAGTAAGATGGCTGAGATATTTCATACCATGAGCATAAGTCAACAGCATGAGTTAAGCCAAAGACAGCTAAGAAGCCCTGAGCAAGAACTGCCAGGACTGTAATCAATATGTTACCTCTGACATTTACAAACACCCTTTAGAAGCAAAACACTATTTTAAAACCTTTTAATGTCATTTATGAAGTTGGCTTGCCCTTTAAATGTCTTTCATTCCTCTTGAGAATTAAATCAGTTTCAATGAGGACCCTTTTTTGATTATTTGAACAGCAGTTGGGGGTAAGGAGCAAAAGAAGAAGGCTCTTCACCTGCTTGTAATAGCCTATTGTCATTGTGATTGCCAACCTTTCAACTCTTCCACTGTCCTTAAGAATTCATAAAAGAGTGACAGGTGACAGCTTCCTTCTCGGATGGAACTCCTTGCTTGAGAATCAAATGGGACTGGAAGTCGATGCAGAGGAGGCTTTTTATGAGCATGGCTTTGAGAGAGCCATGGCCCTGCCATTCCCTGGCACACAGGAGATACCTATCAGTTGGATTCACAGAGGCATATCCTCCCTCTTAATGTAGTCTGCAGACATGAGGATCCTTCTGGTGAACATAGGGTCTACATGGGAGTCAATGGGGATGGGCAAAAGCCAAAAATTAGTGGGTCAAAAGCTGAGAATGTTAGCTACTGTGGCCTGTGGTTGAGACAAATGCAGGCACAAAGGGGATAGGAGGTATCTATATGAGGCGTGCCAGGCCCTAGGTCAGTGCACACAGAGTAGTGTGCCATGATGGTACTGTCAACCTCTGTATTCTCAGCAGAATCAAGTACAGAGATGGGGCACGTCCAGACCTCTAAGGATAAAACTGACAAGAGCAAGACAATGTAGTTTAACAAAACAAGGTACTTGTATGTATATACAGGTTTAAATCAAGACCCACAGCTCTCCCTTTAAAATATACAACTGGCACCAAATTAATAAAAGATAGAAGTTCTATGCAGGGAAATCAAGACAGAGGCCATATCTAAGCCAACCATTAGGACTGGCTTTAATAACCTGAAATTTTCCCCAGAACACCAGGCTCTACCCTGACAGTATTAGATCAGGGTCCTCAGCAGATAATAAAGCTGTGTCCTTGAGGTAAAGTTGTTCTGGTTAGGTGTACTATAGCAATAGCTTCTCTTTGGAAGGATAGCCATGGAGAAATATAGATGATGAACAAAAGGAGAGTGAATCAGAGTTGCTAGAATGGCTAGATCTCCTCTTAGTAAAAATGCCAGGTGCTCTTCAATGGGAGGCATCTGTCTAGGAATAATTCAAACTACCTAGCTGAGGAATGCTCTGTATGGATCTGCCCTTCCACAGTTAGCACTGGTGAAAAATCACAGCTTAATTGGAATCCAGTCCTAGACTCAGCATAACCCACAGCAATTACTGTAGCTGGCCTACTGGACCAAGATGCAAGATGGTTATCCAAATGTCATAACCTTTAAGGATAATGCCCAGTGTTCACTCTTTACCAATAACCCTGCCAATTAACTAAGTTGCCAATCACCTTCCTCTGTTTGCTTACATTTTGAATCAGAGAATATTAAAGTTATTGATTTTCTCCTTACATTATAGATAAGGAAATTAAATCTGGCTCAGAGGCAGAATAACTTGCCTGAATCTCCATAGTCAATTAGATTAGAAGAGATTGAAGCTCTTCTGATTTTAGAATTCTCTACCAGTACTACAATGTTGTCTTAGTCAACTAACACAACCCAGGATTTTTGAATTCCAGCTGCCACCAAGGTCAAATACATTCAGTATGTCTCCTGCAAGTAAGAGTTTTATTTAAAAGAAGGAGCAACAGTAGGGGGTCATCCACCCTGAGATCACTACTGCTATCAGATACCTTGTTTTATCTCCAAAATTTTGCTTCTTTGAGTTAGTTCTCTTTGATTCCGTGTAGTTTTTTCAAAATATGGCTTCTTTTCCATGTGAAGTTTGCCTCATCTATACTCAGAGCTCTAAGCAAAATTATGAAACAGAAAGACACAAGATTTAGAATCTGAAGAAGTTAGTTTTACTAGATTCTGAGGCTCCATGTCTATGTGACTAAAGAAGTCATTTAAGTCAGTTATAATTTCATCATCTAAAATAAGAGAAATTGTTCAAGATGATAGACCCAGCATATGTATGTTTACCTAATACATGGTCTATTTAAGCGAATAAAAAAGGTGCCATTCATGGACTAGAAAATGAGAGGAAATTGTAGTAGATAGAAAATAGATAAAAGATATTGACAGGGCAAATGGAAGAGAGAAAAACACACCTGAAAACATCTAGGCATTCTACAGGGAAGTTGTTTGTTAAAACACCCCACGGTACACACAGAACTCAAAGTCAGTTCTCCTATCCAAGGAAAAGGGTTGTTGGAGAGGGAAATTTACAGAGTTCCAGAGAAACTCCTTATTCCAAGCCTCCTACATATCCTAATTACCCTGACTTAGTTTAGATACCTACAAAATCAAACTTAAACAAGAACATGATTTATATGGGAGGTGATCCCAGGAAGCAGGTATGAAGAACAGCAACAGTAGGAAAAGAGAGGAACAAGAAAACTCAATAAAGGATGTGTTATTTGAGGATTGCCATTGTAGGCCACTAGGACTCCATCCTGCTGGGAACCTTTAGGAACCTCATAGAACATGACCCAGAATTGTTTCCCTGAAAAACAGAAAGCGGAGGCATTTATCCATTGATCCCCCTGCCAGTCCCACCATGGGTAGGGTTGTCCCTGGAGGCATCATCCAATGAATATGTCCATGCTCTCTGGCCCATGAACTGAGTAAGACTTAGCATGTTTCCAAACCCAGAAGGCAAAACTGTAGAGAGAAATAGCAAGCAATTGAGGTAGGTCATTGGCAGTGCCAGGGTCATGTCCACCAGAGTGGCAGCTAAAACCAAAAGGAGATCACAGAACATGGCATACGTCACAAAAATTATCTGTTACAGTCAGTCATTAAACTGAACCACAAGGACCTGAGACATTTGAAGAAAATTTACAGCATGAAAAAAGAAGCCTAAAGTGGAAAAAAAGAATTATCTGATCCCAGCTAAATTAGAGTTGATCAAGGAAAAGAACATTTAAATTATTCTAATAAGCATATTCAGAATAAAATAATAACCATATTCAGAATAAAATATTCTGAATATAATATTATTAGAATATAAATTATTCTAGTAAGTAATTTTCAGAAAGAACAAAAAGTTTTTTCTCCCAAAACCAAAAATGGGCCTCTGGAGAAATGAAGCAAACAGAAAAAAGAAACTTTCAAAAAAATAAACATTTTATTGCAAAAAAAAAAAAAAAAAAAAAACTCAGTAGTTGGATTGAGAATAGATAGCATTAAATACCAAGACTAAGCTCGAAGAAAGTTTTCTTGTAGTTAAAAAATAATGTATTTTCAGATTGACTAGCAAAATCAATGAGGAAAAATGTTCCAGCAATTTCAGAAGTCCTAGAACAAAGAGAAAATTATAAAAGCTTCCACAGTTGGAGAAACACAAATTAACATCAAATTTCTTACCATAAACAATGGACACTGAAAGATAATGTAGCAATTTTTTTTCACATTTGTTTTTTCAACCTTGAAATATATACCCAGCCAAACCATTAAACAAATATTGGACAAAATACCTTTCAGGAATGTAAGCTCTCATAAAGCATTAAAATCAGATAATTGTATTTAAAAACAACCCATCAAAGAGGGTACTCTGGGGAAAAAATGTAAAAAGAAGATGAAGTGAATTATAAGGAACAGCAGCATTGGATTGTACCCAGAAAACTAAAAAAAAAAAAAGCTCCAAAACAGAACCTCCTGGGTCTCCACACTAAAGTATTTATTTTGGGAGTGGAGGTAGCAGGATTTAATGACACAGAATTAAAAGTCCTCCTTTGTGGGAAGAGTTGCTCACTTGGTTCAAAATGAGTAACAGTCACATAATCATGACTCTACTGTAAATACTATTTTGGAGAACTTCAATTTGAAAATCAGCCTACAGACAAAACACACACAAAAAAACAAGTATAATGAGAACAATATAAATGTTATAAGCCTTGACAACATATATGGTATTAATAAATAAATACGAATATTTGTGGAAATTCTGATTTGAAAAAAGAATAAAAAACAAAAAGGAAAACAACAACAAAGATTAATAGGTGAAGAAATGAGAAGAAATAGAAACAATTAAATATGTATTTATTCTACCTTCTAACAATCTCTAGCATTGGTAAATCAAGAAATACAAATATGAATATATATCTTTTACAGTTAAAAAGGGAATTACTAGAAGAACTAAAATAATATAATTGGCAACATTGAAGTATAAAGATAAGTTATATACAGTAAAGTAATTTTAAAAATTCTAAAATCTCTTTTTTTTAATTTTAGAAATATGTTACTGCTATGTTGCTGAGGCTGGACTTGAACTCGGGCTCAAGCAATTTCTTGCCACAGCCTCCTGAGTAACTGAGACTGCAGGCATGCACCACTGTGCCTGGCTCTCTTCATCTTTTATTGCATAAGGTAGACTGTTGCTGTCTAAAGTTGATAGCTTAATAAATAGAAGCAGAAATAAAAACATTTAAAATTCTAATGGGAAGTGCCAAAAGAATGAAGAAAGAAAATGTTTAAAAGGTACTTATCTCTGGGGTGTGGTGATGGAGGTGGGGGAAGATTGATACTTTTACAACGTCATTTTAGACAGTTTTCAAAAACTAGATTTTTTCCATGTTTAGATATTGCTTTTAGAAAGAATACTTTGATAGAGACTCAAAAGCCCAATAGTTTGCCAGCTACAAATGAAGTTTCCTGGGCTCAGCCATGAATTCACTGTGATTAATAACAACTTAACCGGTGCCCAGGATTTAGGAGAATAAGTAACCTTGTCATTCCCAACCCCTGAGCTGTGGCTTCATTTTATATAGCCATGTTAATTCTACTTGTAATCCCCATGAAGTGCAGGGACTTCTGTTATTTCTTATCTTTAAGCCTCTTTTATCCCTGCTGAACTCAAAAGGATAACTTTTTAAAAGAGCCAATGGGGTGGGGGAAAACAATGAGAAATGACTAGCATTTTGGAAGATGAAAAGGAATGACAATTATTAGGTTAAAATAATTAGATATTTATTCCTCCCTGCATAACTCAAAGGGATCAACGTTTCTTGTGTGATGAGAATTTCATGTATCTCTAAATTACAAAAGCCTTGTTTTCACTGAAAGTGCATCAGATCCTGAAGTATTAAATAATATACCAAATCAAAAATTTATGAATTCAGCTTCTTATCTTAGGGATAAGACTCGGTTTTTAATCTTCTATATTTCTTGGGAGAAGGGGAGGACACAGAAGTCAGAGAATATTCAAACGAATTAGTGAGTCTGAGTTAAAGTAGAGCCCAGCTTGTTCTACCAGTTGATATTTGAATATGCCCAGGTGTCTTCAAAATTCAGTTCCCCATTGGCACTGAAGTAAATAGGAAATTTCATGAGTATGATTACCAAGTCTTGATTTTCTCCAGTAATAAAAAAAAATCTGTCTCCTGAATTATCTGGGTTTCTACTCTTTGAGACTACCATAACTTGCCTTTTGGGGAAGGAGGAAGGGCAGGAGGAGGGAAAGAAAAGTGTAATTTTGAATATGTAGTTGGTAACTATTCTCTTACTTTGTTCTTTGAAAAATAGGAACTAAATCCATGAAGGATTTTCAGTTTTACTGTGTCTGCCTTATAGATCCCACACCTGCCTCCTGCAATACACACACACACACACACACACACACACACACACACACACGCACACCCTAAATTCATCTTTTACCTCTACCACTTGTGGACAAGAAGTGCATTGGCCTTAAAAACTTGGTGACTTCAGAAGTAATATCAGCAAAATGGCAGACTAAGAAGCTCCAAGCCCATGTATGTAGAAGTCAAATTCACAAAGACAGAAAGTAGAATCATACTTACCAGGAGCTGGGGGAAAGGAGAGTGGGAAGTTATTATTTAATGGGTACAGAATTTCAGTTGGAATGCTGGATAAAGTTCTGAAGATAGGTAATAGAGATGGTTATACAACAATGTGTATGTACTTAATGCCACTAAACTGTACACTTAATTGTTAAAATGGTAAATTGAACGTTAAGTATAGTTTAGCACAATATTAAAAAAAACACTGTAGTGATCTGCAGTTGGTTCATGTATGGCAAACTGTTCTACTTGTCTCACTAAAACTTGCATATATCACACTGCAGTTCTATAATAATTTATGTGCATCAAGAAAGGATTAATTTTTTAGTAGGACAAGGTAAGTCAATACATGTATTTGGCAATTCTGTCAAGATAAGTTATTTTCCATTTAAGAGTTTGGAAATTGAAGGAGTAAATTTTTGTACTTGGGAAATTCACAAATGTGTGTGTTTGTGTGTGTGTGTGTGTGTGTGTGTGTGAAAGAGACCGTGTGTGTGTGAGGAAGAGAGAGACGGAGACAGAGAAGGAGGTAGGGCAGATTCAAAGTAGAAAATCACTGTCACAATTAGAAGCCCTAGAAAGTGCTTGTGGAATCTACCTGTGGAATCAAGTAGATTGGATTTTGCCTCATATTCCTCTCATTGCCTGGTTGTGGGTTCTTGATCAAGTCATATACCTTTCTGAACATCATGTTTCCTCATCTATAAGAAGTCAAAATACTTATTATGTTAGTTATTATAAAGATTAAATATATGTAAAATACACAAGTGCCGAGCACTTCACACATAATAAAATGTAATTGTTACTCTCCTTCTCATTTTGTGGTGATTTTTATTGCCATTCTGTTCTAATATGGTTCATGTCTTATCCAGCAATTGCATCACAAACTACAGCTTATTAAGACAAAGCCAGAGTGTTGCTAACCTTCTCTCAGAGAAATTTAGTCCTGAAAATTAAATCTCTGTCAACTCTGAAGCAGAGTTCCTGTGAGCTGTGCTTTCTAGGACTCAGCTCACCTGCCCAGGAAGTGAAGATTCAGAGCAAGTCATCAGATGGAAAGGTGAAAGGCTGAGGACACAAAGCAAGAGCTCCCACTGGACCACTCACGGCGGCAGGCTTCCTTTTACAGCATAAACTGCAGCATATCTGGCCCCTCTGCTGGCTCCTAGACATCCTGTGGCTGTTCTAGGAAAGGAGAAAATAGAACCTGGGAAGTTGAAAATAATGTATGTTTCCCTATAGTACCAATGAGGAGGGGGAAGAGAAAGAAAATGGAACTAGTCAAAGTAGCCACTTGTCTCCAAATCTGGAAATTAGGTTTCAGTGGTAACACCATCTACAGCAGTGCTGTTCAATACAGTAGCCACTAGCCACACATAGCTATTTATATTTAAAAGAAAATTATTTAAAATTGAATTAAATGTAAATATCAGTTCCCCAGTCACACTAGCCCATTTCAAGTGTTCGTAGTCCCATGTGGCTACTAGATCCATATTGGACTGCACAGCAAAAGGAAAGGAAGATTGCAATCACTGCAGAAAGTTCCATTAGACATTGCTGGTCTACAGGGAAGAGGCAGAAACAAAACTTAATATGTCTAGCCAGACAAATTTCCTGAGCTGCTTCTGCAAGGATCATGACTTTAATGTGGTCTGGAAACTATGAAAGTCCCACAAGGGATTCAATTAGAACCCTTTGCAAACTAGCCTCTCTAGACCTATGAAAATTCTGCAGCCCTCAGTCAAGGCACCACAAGGAGAAACTCTCTGCTGTCTGGTGAGTGCTGCAGGAGCAATTTGCTGAGGGGCCCACCTCTCAGTGGACTCTGTAACCTATAAGGGCCTTCCAGAAGTCACTTTGGCCATCTGCCCTTCTCCAGGGCAGCATTTCCCTTATGCTTGGCAAGGGGGGCTGTCTCCCAGGTTTCAGTCCTCTTGGTGGAAAGAGCACAGAGTTCTCCTCAGTGTCTTCTCCAAGCCTGACTTTCCACCTTGGAACTTCCCTCAATCAAATTAATATAAAAATACTAATATTGAAGACCCATTGATGATTTTCTTGCAGGCTAGAAGAAGGTTTCAAGGTTATTAACATCTATTATAGCAACAAGGTGGCAACTCAAAAAAACATTGGGGCACTGAGTAAGAAATGTGGGTTTGAGTCAGAGGAATGGGTTTTAATCAGATAAATTCAGAAGTTAGGACATTCTACAAGAAAACTAGTCTGCGTGCTAAAAAATATTAATGTCATGGAAAAAAAGTGGGAAAACTGTTCTAGATTAAAGAGATATAACCAAATGCAAAGTATGCACCTTAATTAGATGCTGCTTTAAAGACTAAAGCAGCAGCTATAAAAGACATTTGGGGACAGCTGAGAAATGTTGATTCTGAGTTGGATATTAAGTGATTATGTGAAATTAGTGTTAATATTCCTAAGAGTCATAATGTTATTGTAGTGGTGAAGGAGAATATTTTTATTCTTAGAAAATATAAGCTGAATGAAACATTTAGGGAGAATGCTCATGGTGTCTGTATCAAATGCTTAGACAAAAAAGCAGAAATATACAGAAAATTAAAGCAAATATGGCGAAATATTAATTATTGAATCTAGATGGTATACAGATGGTTATTTTATTTTATTTTATTTTATTTTATTTTATTTTATTTTATTTTATTTTATTTTTAAGACGGAGTCTCGCTCTGTTGCCCAGGCTGGAGTGCAGCGGCGCGAACTCGGTTCACTGCAAGCTCCACCTCCCGGGTTCACGCCATTCTCCTGCCAGGATATTCTCAATCTCCTGACCTTGTGATCCGCCCGCCTAGGCCTACTTTAGTTCTGGGATTACAAGCGTCACTGAGTACAGATGGTTACTTTATTTTGCAACTTTTTTCTGTGTCTGAAACGATTCAAAATAACAGTTTGGGTTGTGGGATAATTAGAATAGATTTCAAAAGGGCCAAGATGTAAGAGAGAAGTCCAAACAGGACAAGAAGTCCAGAGAGATGGAGTGCAATAGAGTACAGAATGCCATATCTTGTGCCTAGGAAAAAGCCAAATCTGATTGCATTATTTTAATATGTGTTGGGTGTTACCATGTACCAAGCATCAGACTAACTAGGCACTTCACGTTCATTATCTAGTGTAAACCTCACAATATTCCCAAAACCATAATCGTTATCCTCATTTTGTTGATGTGAAAAGCTGGAGCTGTTGGGAGGCTGAGGCAGACGAATCACTTGAGCCCAGGAGCTCAAGACCAACCTAGGCAACACAGTGAGACCCTGTCACTACAAAGAAATTCAAAATTTGTAATATATATCTGTCATCCTTGCTCAGTTCATGTATTAATTATTAATTCTAATATATATATTTTCTATTTTGGGATTCTTTAGTATTTTCTATATATAAGATCATGTCATTAACCAGGCATGGTGTGATGTGCCTGTAGTCCCAGCTACTCAGGAGGATGAAATGAGAGGACTGCTTGAACCTGGGAGGTTGAGGTTGCAGTTAGCCATGATCATACCACTGCACTCCAGCCTGGGCAACAGAGCAGGACCCTGTCTCAAAAAAATTTTTTTTAATTAAAAAAAAAAAGCTGAGTCTGACAGAGTTTGAGTCATTTGGTCAAACTTACACAGCTACTAAGTAGTAAAGCTAGGATGCAAATAAAAATCTGGCCATTTCTAAAGCCCGTGCTAATTGCCTCCTGTTAATTTAGCATCAATAATAATTCTTTCTCCAGTAAATTCAGTAGCAAGAGGGAAAAAATTAGGTCACGATTACATGAGTCTGAAACGGACAAAGACAGGGAGCATGGTAGGGGGCTCATGAGAGAACTGATTTTGGCTACCAGCACTTCAAAAATATTTTAGGTTCCAGTCCTCTGGATTATATGGGGTAAGTGACAGCTTCCCAAATCATATGATTCTCTAGGATCCCTTACCAGGCATTAGGATGCCCCATGGGTTGAGACTGTCCATGGTATCTTGGAGGTGTAGAATGGGTGGCTAAAATCAGTTCTTTGTCCTCACTCTACAAGAGGACACTGCATCTAAGTCAGACACAAGTTCCATTTCACTAATAGCTACTTATTCTCTTGGGATTTCTCTTTCTCTGATAAACTAGCAACTTGTTGAGATAAATCACTGGATTCCACATCTTTCATTTTCTCATAAAATAAACTTTCTATTGACATAACTTGGCAAAGAGTATCCTAAATTCTGATCATTCTCATTGAGTCTCCACCATGAAACATTTCAGTGTGTTGCTTCTTTCCTGTAACTATATAATAAAGTACAGCCTTATAATCTTTTAGTCAGCAGTTATGTCAAATTGTATTCTAAGAGCAAGAAGTGAAGGAGGTGATGGCTGAGGCCATTTACATACCAACAGATCCCAACATCCCTGGAATGTTAGATGTTTTAAGATTTCCAGGTGCTCTCCTCAGTGGAAAATTCTGCCACACACACACACACACACACACACACACACACACACACAATGTAGAGTAACATTTCTTAATGGGAGATCATCCTCTTCTACATGCAATTGATTCATTTTGCCTAAGCTTATAGAGCTGCCCTTGTTAGTCCACTATAAACTGTAAGTCTGTATCTTCCCCCATTTGAATATGAATGTTAATATTAAAATAACTGATTGAGACTTTTTTGCCTCTCTACCTCCACATGTAATGCAGTGCCAACTACACATTCCTATTTTGGCTGAAGGAATAAACAGGTTCATGAAGGACAGTTTTGTTGGAAAAGCTGGAGTATATTTTGACATGAAAAACAGACCACGTAGGATAAGTTGCCACATTCTTGTTTCTTAGGATTAGCATTTCCACGATCTCTGCCCCAGGCCAAGCCACCAGCAATGTTTGTCTAAATTACTGCAACAGCCTAGGCTAGTGCAACTGCTGGTATTCCTCTCATCCCTTGGACACAAATCTCCATTTCCCATGAAGCAATTGGAAGAGTCTTTTTAAACATGCAAATCATATGTGGTGACATATGAGAAGTTTCAAAACTTTTAGTGTCTTCATATGGGAGCTGAATAAGATCCTCACTCTTAGTCACAACCCACAAAGCCTTGCCAATATCCTAACCAAACACCAAACCTCATTTCTTACTACTCTCTTCCATTTTCACTCTCCATTCCCTCTAGCTTCATCCTCATGGTCTGAAACATTCTCTCCTCCATAGCCTTGTGTGGCTTGCTCCTCATGTGTCAAATCCCACTTTTAATGTTTCTGCCTTACAGAGACCATTTTCTATTGCCATACCTTGTTCTTTTTCTTCATAGAACCAATAAAAAACTATATTTTCTTCCTTTACTTGTTTTTTTCCTGTCTTCACCACCAAATAGTTGGCTTTATGAGTTTTAATATTAAAAGAACTGATTGAGACTTTTTTGCTTCTCTACCTCCACATGTAATGCAGTGCCCATGCCCTGCACATAGTACACACTCTATAGCCCATGATATACACACAAGAAATCTTTATGGCCACTGTAGGTTATCGAAAAGCTCTAACAGGAGAATTGTCCCTCGAAGGGAGTTAGTTTGAGGACCTCCCCCATATACCAAAAGTTACAGATGCTCAAGTCTCAGATATAAAATGGCATAGTAATGGCATATAACCTACACACATCCTCCCGTATACTTCAAATCATCTCTAGATTACTCATAATACTTAATACAATGTAAATGCTATGTAAATTGCAGTTAAACCATATTGTTTAGAGAATAATGACAGAAAAAAAGCCTGTACATGTTCACTAAAGATCTAATTACTTTCCAAATATTTTCAATCCATAGTTGGTTGAATCTACATATGTGAAATCTGCAAATAGAGAGGACTAACTATACATGCCATTGCTTTACATTTCAGTGTCTTGGCAAAGGCAGATGGAAGGGAAAGAAGCCTTGACTAAGCAGGATGAGATCTGGAGATATTTACTGATCTATAGAAGCTGACCGCCCCACCCTCAAACACCCCTCACCACCACCACCAACACACACACACACACACACACACACAAGACTGGTGTTTTCATGCCTTAAAAAACAAAGAAGTTGGTGCAGCCACCATTATCATGCTGGGAGGCAGCAGATCCACTGTCTAGCATCTTTTCTTCCCTCTATCCTAGGAGCTTCATGTTCATAGACTTTTTTATTTTAGCTCTTTTGCCAAACTGTGCACTTCATGACGGCAAGGATTGCTCCATTTCTGTCTTGTCAGAGCCTCACTCCAGATCTAGTCCAAAATACATATTAAGAATATGTTTATTAAGCTGAACAAAATATAAAATTTTTGTTTCCAAAGACTCCTGCTCTACAGAATGACTCAGAGGTAAAGAAAAATCCGTGAACCTACAATATCAAAATAATTAGAAATTATGACACAATGGCATGTAGCAAGCCTTGAATTTTAGATCCATAAATGAGAATTCAAATTTCTTTTGATAACATATTGCCTATTCCTTTTTTTTTGATGCTTTATAATAGGAAAGTCAGCAATTCTTTTGATAATATATTGCCTGAAAGATTTTAACCTGTCCAGAATATTTTTGTACTCAAAGAGGCAAATAGTAATTAAAACAATCTTATTTTCTGACTCCCAAAAGGCCTTAAGTTCTAGAAATAAAAGTCTATTCTAGGTTGGGCTAGAAAAAAAAATTGATCCCACTGTGCATAAAAATGGTGCCCTGCGAATCTCAGTAACATCAGGAACCAAACAGTGCATTGAATAGGAACCTGATTGGAAGACATAAAAGGAAAATTTGGTTGATTGTAATCCTTATATATGACAGAAGTTGGATTTTCTCAGCTCAGTTGTGCTCTATGGGTATCTGACAAGTCTAAACTGCAGCTTAAAGGAGTTCAATAAATTTCAAGTTGTTTTTAATGTCAAAGGGTTGAATTTAGACAAGCTGTGTTGACTTGAAATTGGACAGCTGGAATTTGTATTTTCAGTTGTTGGAAATTTCAGTGCGGATTTGACTAGTATTGATGATTCCCTATTGATGTGAAGCATTGTAAAAATCATTGAATTCTATAAAGTGTCATTCTTTTCACTTTTTTATTTAATGCTTTTTGTTATTGAAAAAGCCCACTGTTTTCTAATACATTTAAATAATCTTCAGAATAGAGAATATAATAAATCAGTAAGAAAGTCAAGATCCAGTGTAGCTTAGAATAAGCTAAACTTGTAATGAGGCTGTTATAAATGTTAACTTTCCACAGTAGCTGTTTTCTGGGCACCTCACAAATTGTATAATTTGTCTTGTGTTTCTAAGTTCGATTAACAGGTGCTGCAGTGTCAGTAGTGTGATGGGAGCTGTGATTACCAACAATATTGATATATTCTGGCTATGACATAGGTCAATGATTCCTCCAGAAAGCCATAGAGAATGGAGATACAAGTCTCCCTTCCATAACATCTACATATTAAGCAAGACTTGTTTGCGTCTATTGAATAGCCTCCCAGACATAAATACTTTCATTAGGGAGTTCTTTGCTACGTTCTCTGAAACATGACTCTCAGAGGAAGGTTGAGATTAACAGTGCATCAGGTTATGCTTAATCTTCTTTCACTATTCCATTTTGTTTTAATCCCATAATATTTGCATTTCTGAAATTAGGGTATTGTATCCATTGGGGTGGGACCCAGAGGCCTCATTTGGGTTAGATTTATTATCTACTAAATGACTTTCTTAGCACAAATTTTTATCTCTTTGTGTGCCAGCTAATCTCAATGCTCTATCTTGAGCAGATTCTATTACAGCAAAATTTATCATTCTTTTTTAAAATTTTCTACATAGCTTTTAGAAACTTTCTTATTAATAGTAAATGCTAACAGACACATTACAACACAACAGACAGAGATAAGAGTCACACCTTAAATATGATAAGATGTCTTTGACCCTGAAGTTATCCCCAAGTCCTTGGTTTAGAAAAATATTTCATTTGTCACGAAAATCTTTTGCAGGCCCAATGAGTCAAATTCCTGGAACAGGGGACATTAATTAGAGATATGTTTCTTGTGCAACCTCAGGCTTGGGCAGGGAGTCGTGGAAATGCAAGCCAGGAGAAGAGGTTTGGGTCTTAGGTGAAAGAAAACCATAGAAAGTTATGTTAACAAATAGTTAATAAAGAAGTACAAGTGAGAGGAACTGGAAGCAACAGGAAAGAGCTGGGCGGTGGACAGAGAGGTACAACTGAGGAAGCTATTGCAGCGCCAACTTTCTGATTATTGCTCAATCAGTTTCAGTGTTACTTTGTATCTATCAGTTGACTGATTCTACATGTCCTTTACAACCATGAATGCTGGGCAGTTTGGTTTGAAATTTTTGATTAGGTTATCACATCGAGCACTGCTATGACTGAGGATGGTGGGGCACAGGAGCTTAAGACTGGTATTGGTAGATGGAGTTGAAGATTGCTGTGTGGATGGAAGTAAAGATGAAGATAGAGATGAAGATTGGTTTGGGCTGAAGATGAGAAGTGGGGGCGGAGATGAAGATGGCGTGGTGAACCCTGTCAACATTAGCTATGGGAAAACAGGATTAGGCAGATCTTTGATTGAAAGAATTGAACCACAGCCAAGAATATAGGACAGATTCTGACCAAAATAGAAGATTCTAGAATGAGCTAGTCAGAATATTGGCACAAAATAAATGAATTGTTGCTCAGAGCAGAACTCCATACCTACTAGGACGAAAAGCCTAAGTCACATTGCTGCTGGCTGGGCACCAAATGCTAACTAACTTCATCTTCCAGGGACTGGACCTATTGCTGCACAATTTTCTCAGCCTCCACTAGCTGAAAGACTGCACAGCCTCTCTGTTAGGTCAGAATTAGCTCATGACATGGGCATGCTGAGCCAGAAAGTTGTAAAAGAAAGGCGAGTATGTGAGAAGTGTATAAGTGTGTTGTGCACTGTGAGTGTATGTGTGATGTAGTATATATATTTGTTCACGCTTGGACAGTTAGTTCCAAGGGCAACCTAGTCATGATATCTGTTTCTTATTAAGTGGCAACTTTATTCAGCAGGAACACTCTAGAACACGATTATCTTCTGTATATATCTAGCCTAAGATTAGGGATAATTCTTAATAACTATAACCAGGAAACATTTGTAACTGCATTTTTCCTATATTGAAGCAGATAGCAATAGAGAGTGTTAAGATAATAACAAAAATGCAAGCAAAAATATCAACACATTATTTAAAAGGTCTTTTAAATATTTAAAATGGAAATATTCATTGGTTTTATTTCTGACAAAAACTGACAAGTCTCATGGGGGGAATTTAAACCTAACTTCGAGTTAAATGCTGTTGACCATCTAAATGAAAACAAAATGAGATGTGGATCTCACATACAGTATACATTTTCAAAAGCTGTCAGTGTTAGAGCAAAGCAGGTTTGTTATAAATTAATTGTTCTTTTTCTGGATGCTTCACAATATTGAAGTCAGCATCTGTTGATCCTTTTAGTCACAGAAATACACTTGTGAAAAACTAATAGAAGATGATGATACAGAGATGGAGAAATATGTGTGTTGTTAGTAAGAGAAACAGAGAGACCAAGCACAAAGGAAGAAAGAGACATCTACAGAGGGAAACCAGAAAGGAAAAAAGAGAATTCACAAACCCAGACTGTTAAGAAAAATTTCTGTCTGCAGTGCCATTTATTGAAGATTTTGTGGTTGCTGATAGTTGTGACATTTTATGACAGCAAACCAAGAGACTTCTGGTCAGTAACACCTTAATTGTTTGGCTCTTACCCAGACATACCCTCCTCCTACATATTGATGGAGTGACAAAAATCCGAGTTTCTTCATGATCTTTTATGAAAACATTTATTTTAAGAGGCTAACACTTTAAAAATTGAACTGGTAGAAATCCATAGAATAAACTATGTTATCTTTCCTCTGTTCCTTGCTGCTTCAAACAGAAAATTGTCAAGGGCAAGAAGAAGGAACAAGTGTACTTTTAAGAACAAAGTGTTTTCATTTGATGAAGATTACAATGCAGGTTAGACTTCTCGGCCACTTTAGGTTAGAGTCCAGTTTCTCTAAAATGAAGTATTTACCTCCTCTTGGGAAATACGAGAATAAAGTAGGTGGCCAGAGAGTCATCATGTGCTTCAAAGTTGTATGTACCACCCATCCACCATCATCCATACCATCGTCAAAGTTAACTCAATATCAGAGATACCAAAGTTATAATGAAGAATCGTGACTAAGGAAGCTGGAAGGAAAACACGTAAGAAAGCACACGTTCCATCTCCTGGCTTCTGGCCCATACATAATTTCATTTCAGAAAGCCAAGATCCCCATTTCTAGAAGATCTGTAAGAGAATTTTATTCCCAGAGAAATATATTTAAGGAAACATCCATGGCCTAATAAAATGAACAAAGAACTGGGAATCAGCAGTTACAAGTTTTGTGGAATGGGGTAAGCTCACTTCACCCCTCAGAACCTCAGTTTCTCCATTTGTGAAAGGAAAAATAATAATCTCACACTGATTAACAGCATTAGGGCAATCATAAATGTCAAAGGAAATTGTTGCCACTTTGTGAATGCTGCTTTGTCAATTCCAGTTAAAGATGGAGGCACCTGTTTTCTCCCACATATTTCATTTTTGCAATTTAAATTCACAGAAATCAAATAATTCATTCTTCCCATTATTTAAAAATACTTATTGCCAAGTTCTGAAGATATGAAAGCCCTTGTCACCAACAAACGCTCTGTCTGTGGTCCTCTTCTGACTTCCTGGCTGCTCCCATACGAGAGGGATAAGCATCTAGCATTATTCTAGGTCTGACATGTGAATGCTAAATTTGCCAGTGACAACTCATCAAGTTACCAAATCCAGCTCTACTGAGAACTCTCCATAGGAGCCTGGGCAATTATTTGCTCATCATTATTTTCTCCTTTAGTTTATAATTCTCAGCTCAGAGCATGCTCTGAGAGTAAAACAAATGAACCTTTTTATCATGAAAAGTACTCTGAAAACCAAACAAAATTGAAAGTTGATTTTGCCATGGTAAACCATATAAGAATACCTGTATTAAAGAGTCTATCACATCTCCAACTTTGTGCTAGGTACCATGAGCAATACAAGAGAAAAAAAGACACATATCCCTGTCTTCTGAACATGTCTTATAGCTCTGGCCCCCTAAGTTTTGCCATTATAAAATGTCAGCTTCACGTTCGCCTTTCACTGAAAGGCTGAATGTAAAATGAGAAGTTCTAAGTACAAACCTCAGCATATCTGTAAAACATTCAAAGACAATGCCTCTGACCATTATTCAATGACCCTTTATGCAAAGATTCACAAAAGAGTGGTCTGTCTAAACTCAAACTTGAGAAAGCATGCAACCCGAAGTAGAGACAGTTGTTCCTTGTTAGAAAAAGGTAACCTATCAGGCTTTTAGTTTTCCCCTTTTTGTTTTGGGGGAAAACTCAAAATGAAGCCTCAGATTCACAGTTGCTTTCTTATATTCCTTTTTTTTCCCTTGTAAATTCTTTTTATTATTATTATGCTTTAAATTTTAGGGTACATGTGCACAACGTGCAGGTTCGTTACATATGTATACATGTGCCATGTTGGTGTGCTGCACCCATTACCTCATCATTTAGCCTTAGATATATCTCCTAATGCTACCCTCCCCCCTCCCCCCACCCCACAACAGTCCCCGGTGTGTGATGTTCCCCTTCCTGTGTCCCTGTGTTCTCATTGTTCAATTCCACTTATGAGTGAGAACATGCGGTGTTTGGTTTTTTGTCCTTGCTTTCTTATATTCTTATTACTACTCTTCCTTTCCCTATACTTATGAGCCTTTGTCATTGTCCTTACTATATAGTACAAGGAGATTCTTATATATTTATAATATTTTTGAAAGATAAATATAAATTTTGACGTAGATATAATCAATAATTAAAGTTTCTGGTACAATTAGCCAAAGCAATAGTTCAGAGACTCTTCTGTCCATGGCTCCTAATGCCCAAAGAAGAAAAGCAAAAATGGTAGATGACATTCCAGGGCTTTCATGACCAGTCCAGGCCACACTGCATATTCCCTAATTTTAGCCACATTGATTTATTTGGACATTTTCTAGTTGACCAGGTTGTTCATACTAATACACCTTTGCCTTCATTTGCCTCTCCCCTCTCCAACACTCTCATTCTTGATCACTGTGGCAAATCACTTACTCTTCCAATTGTGGTTCAGATCAGGCTTTCTCTGAGTATTCATGACAGCCCCAGACAGAATTAGGCAATTTCGGTTTTTGTTTTTGAATTCCCTGAGGCTTTTATTGCATTTTGTTATTCTTCTATGATGTTTTTAATGTCTCATATATCTACAATGTCTGCCTTTTTTCCTCCTCTAGACTAGAAAATCCTGGAAGACATGAACTGTATCTTTGCATTTTCATCTCCAAACTTTAGTGCAGAGCTGGACACAGAATAGGTTCACAATAAATATGTATGTTGCTGACTAAATTAATGAATAAACAAACAAATGAATGGGGTTCCACTATAATACCAAGTTCAAAGTAAGAAAACAACAGAGAAAAACATAGGTGGCTCGTAGCACACTCCAAGGATAAAATGTGGAAGAAATTTAATTACTAGTGACAAATAAAAAAGCACTCATTCTGCCAAAGGGAAGGCCATGTGCGATGAAATAAATTATCATCCCAAGAAAGCCTTCCTGAAAAGAAGAACATGAGATAAGGGGGTTGGGGTAGGGAGTAGTACAGATTTTTCTTTATTCTTATGGGAAGGAAATGACATTAACATGTATGAAAGTCCTGCTGTGTTCCAAGAAACAGACCAAGGCTTCCACATGTAGATTTATCTAATCCTCACTTTGTTCCTTAATAAATGTGATATTATTATCATTATCATCATTTCAAAATTATGCTAAAGGCCCTTGAATTTTGAAAGTTGTGCAGTTTTCAACATGAAACAAAAGCACCTACTGCATTGTCATTTATGATTATCTTTACTCCTGGCAAATCTTATGTATCTAGCAGTAATGAGGAAAGGTTATTATTTCTTGAATAACCCATAGACACAGCAAAAATACATATTACTTTATTTAGAAGCTTTGGGTATGTTTAATGCCAGACTGATAATATATTTAGAAATCATTTTAGAAAAAGCTAGAAAGACAACAGATGTTGCCTGCTGAGGACGTTTAGCAGGAGGTGATGAGGCTAAATATAATGAACAAGCCCATGACCTATGCATTAGTGGAAAAGTCTTTGGTCAGACACTTTTGGCCATATTCATCTGCTATTTAGCCATCTTGATTAGAGCCCTTAGATTAACAACTTTTCATTCATTAAACTAAATATTTACTAAGCATCTACTATATACCAGACACTAAATATGTAAGAGAAAAAAAGCGCCAAATTTCCTTGCTTGCATGCCACTTCTCCCTGTACTTGAATCATTTGGTGCATTATTCTTATACCAGAAGCCTATAGTATTTGTCTCATACAAGAAGAGTATTGGTAGAGGAAGTAAAGAAGGACCAATTCTAGATATAGTCTGGATATTTTGAAGGTAGTGCTAACTGGATTGGATGCAGATTGTGAGAAAAAGTGGCTTGAAGGGTATGGGGCCTGAGCAGGTTGAAAGATGTAATTGTCATAATCTAAGAGGGGGAAAGCTGAGGAGTAGGAGGAAAATGGGACATTGAGTTTGAGGGGTCTTTCAAACCTCCAAGTAGAGAGCAGGTGGGCATATGAGTGTCAAGTTTGAGCAAATAAAGAGCTGAGTTGGTTGGTTGGTTGGTTGGTTGGTTGGTTGGTTGGTTGGGAGTTATCAGTATTTCACTGGGCTCAAATCGCCTAGAAAATGTCAATAAAGCAAGAAAAGAGGTCCAAGGATTGAGCTTTGGGCACTCTAACCTTAAGAAAAAGAATCATAATGAAGACCTAGAAGGAGTTGCCACTGAGCTATGAGAATAAAAAGGGTGAGAGTGGAAGTGAGAATAAGAGAGACAGAAAGAGAGAGAGACAGGGGAAGAGAGGGAAGAAACAAAGGAGAGAGAGAGAGAGAATGGAGTTCTGGAAGTCAAGTGAAAAATGCACATCAAATCAAGGTGGAGGGAGTGATTAACTTTGGCAAATCAGCTGATGGCTGAGAACTGATCCTTAGATTTAGCAATGGAGAAGTCCTCAGTAATGACGTTAAAGAGAGCAGTTTCCAAGTAGTATATGAATTTGTGTATATGTGGCAAGTGGTAGTGGGGTTGTTAAAGTGTGACTGAAGTGAATTAAAAGCCAGTGGGAGGAGGGGACTTACAGATGGTGGCTTTAATAACTATTTCAAGACATTTTCCTATAAAAGGGAACAAAGAATAGAGGCAATAATTGGTGGGTCACGTCAATTGGGTCTCCAGAAATAGATACGAAGATAGAGTTAGAAGTGAAATGGATTTATTTTGAGTATCTTCTGTGATATATAAATGGGAAAGGAAGCAGAACTAGACAGAGAGAATCTTCATGCCATGATGCAGGCCTGAGACCTATGAAAAGAGAGGGGGAAGAAAGGAGGATTACATAGTAAGAGCCTCAGACTGCAGTACAGCTTAGAAAGTCCCAGCTAGCCCATCAGAGAGATGTGGTGAAATGACTGCCTACACAGGAGTTTCATACTATACAAAAATGGCCAGGCCCCTAACTACCCCCACCATGCTAAGTCTCTGTCTGGGGTCTGGCTGCAAAGAGCAGAGCCTTGGTTCAGACAACTGAGGAAGACCCTGAAGGTGCTGCAGCTGAAATTTGTGAACTACATGCACCCTCAGTAATTTCTTTTTTGAAAGAACATCCAAGATGTGCACTTTCATGGATGATGTTTAAGGTAAATAGAGTCAAGGGAATTATTTTGAGAAGAAAAGATAAAAATGTTTTTCTTGGGATTTCACCTTTCAAGTCCCCACAATCTTGAAAGCTCTGAGATTCAACATAGGCTTCACTGGCCCTGCACCACTGCCTCTTTCTGTGCTCTTTATCCACACATAAAAAATTGAAAACTGCCCACAGTGAAAAAGCTGGAGTGAGTGGGGACCTCACCTGCTTTGTTAGTTACAATCAATTGCCTTCAAACCATTGTGCATATGTTTTTTGTTTCCAATCCATTATTTAATTGTGTAAACGTAAGGCATGCAAAATGATGTTTTGATACACATATACATAGCGAAGGGATTACTACAGTAAAGCAGACTGACATATCTATAATCTCACGTCGCTCTCTTTTTCTGTTTTTCTTTTTTCCTTTGGTAAGAGTACCTAAAATCTACTCTCACAGCAAATTTTGAGTAGACAATATGGTATTATTAACTATAGTCCTCATGCTGTACATTATATCTCTAGGCTTATTCATACTATATAACAACTTTTTACCTTTAATCAGCATCTCTTAATTTTCCCACTCCCTTGCCCTAGTAAGCACCCCTAACAGGTGCAAGATCATAGATCTGTGGTTTTGATTTGGATTTCCTTGATAATTAGTGATGTTAAGCACCTTTTGGTCTACCTGTTGGCCTTTTTTTCCCCCGCTTTGGAGAAATGCCTGTTTAGATCTTTTGTTCTCCATTGTATCTTTTTGGTGCCCTGATTGAAAATTAATTAACCATATATGTTTAGGTTTATTTCTAGGCCCTCTCTTCTGTTTCATTGGTCTAAGTATCTGTTTTTATTCAAGTCCATACTGTTTTGATCACTATAACTCTGTAGTAGAATTTGAAATCAGAGCATGTGATGCCTTCAACTTTGTCTTTTTTGCTAAAATTGCTTTGGCTATTCAGAGTCTTTTGAAATTCCATATAAATTTATTCCTAGCATGCACTATTGGTTTAACACATGCAAATCAATTAATGTAATACATCACATTAACAAAATGAATGATAAAAATCACATGAATATTTCAATAGATGTAGAAAAAGCATTTGATTAAATTTAACATCCTTTTATGATAAAAAATCTCAAAAAGTAAATATAGAAGGAATGAACCTTTTCTAAGTTCTGCAATTCAGACATTAAATTGCAAGTAACATCAAGGAGGCATACTAGGTGGGCAAGAATCCTCTGAAATAGTAATAACATCTATCTTTTATTAATAAAAATGTCATTGTGGCCTGAAGTTAATGGAAAGTCTATGTGGCTTACTACTCTTGAACCGTTTTGTGTATTTTGTGTTTGTTTATGGTGCTTTCAGAGCTTAGGATTGTATTTTAGAAGAATTATGCATTCTAATTCATTCATCCATCAATGAATTTCTATAATAGATGGAGGTTCAGTGTGCCCTGGGTGCCCAGAATGAATATAATGAGTGTATAATTTATCCTGAGGTAAAAATGACATTAATATGACCAGCAGATACTGCACAAAAAGCAGAAGGTAAAGGTAAATCATGAAAGATGATTAGAAGTTTACTAGCCACAGAATATGAAGGACACACCAAGTCAATGAAAACCGTGTGTGCAGGGCCAGTAGGGCAAGACTCCTGGACTACTCAGCAAACAGCCAGTCGCTCAGTCTAGACCCTGCAAAATTGAAGAAGGAGCAGACTAGAAATACAATGGAGACCATGTCTGTAAATGTCTTTTATGCCATGGTAAGTAGTTTGAATTTTAACTTGTAGAAAGTATTTAATCAGAGCAATAGCAAGATAAGAATTAACTTTTACAAGATCAATCTACCAAAGTTTGGAGAACGAATTAGAGGATAAAAACTGAGGCAGAATGCTAGGTAGAAGGTTGATGGGAAATATCAAAGCTTAAGTACTCCTTAATAGCAGACCTAATACTGTTAATTGCACAGGGGCTTTTCTGAGGCCCCTGTGGAGACTTGGAGATAGGCAGCAGCTCTTTTGACGTATTGTGTACTCCAATGTGTCTTCACCATTAGGCATCATACGGAGACACATGCTTTAGTCCGGCAATTGTGAAACAAAATTACTGGGCTTACTAAAGATACCAGTGTAATTCAAGCTCTACTGGATCTTACTGAATTGGGTTGTTAGTATAGGTGATTCACATAAATATTAACAACCCCAATGTTACTGATTTCTTTTCTCTCTTACTTACACAGGATTTCATTCTCTTTTTTCTCCAAGTCACAGCCAATTGTCTGAAAGTCTTCAGGGTGACTCACAGGGGATACTGACAATTCTAAACATTTTAGGCCAGACATCACCTCCATAGCCTGCTGGGCACTGCTTCCCCTTAACTAGAAACCACCTCTATTACACCAGTGCTACCCTAGAGCCAGAGCTACAAGCAGGTCTTTGAAAAACAAGAGGAGAATGCCTTCTTCCCTTTGACATATGTTATGCTAGATGGTTATCTTAGTTTGGGTTTCTAGAAACAGAGCCTGAAACAGGTGTTCAGTTGCACCTGATTTATTGATGGAGTGTTCTCAGGAGAAGGGGAGTGCAGTAACTAGGATTGGGCAGGAGAAGGAGTTGAGCAAGGATGTAGTTTCAGTTAAAGATTAGCTTCATGCTGATCCAATGGGGTGCTCTGGTGCGAACTGCCCCACTGAGTTGGCTCCCCCTCGAGGCAAAAGGGTAGCCTCTTATATAGCCATTTCATTTCAACATTGGCTAAAGGCTGCTAGGGTAAGGGAGTATGTGCATAAACCCTGGAACAAGGCAGCCTTTGTATGAATGAAGGCAATTTTCTGAAAAAGGGGGCAAGTATGAGCCATTAGCAGCCAACACTCAGGGAAGCTGGGGAATAGGTTCACTAGCTCAGAAAAGAGGATCTGACCTGGGCATCAACAGCATCCCCACTCTGTGGAGTTCAGTGTCATTCGGCCTAAAGCCCAGGTTGCAAGGTTTAATAAAAGAGCTCCTGCTATATTCATTTACATCACTACTGCTTTCCACAAAGAGCCAGAAAACATGAGAATGACATAGAGTGAAATAGGATTTTTCTTTCTTCCTAGCAACAAGGATGGGCTGGTGACAACGTGTATCACTTGCTAGAAAGGAAAATAGGCTTGAGGTGAAAGAATGTTTGGGTTTCTACAAACACCTTACAGGCATGGCATATAGTATGTGTAGTACATTACCATGATGACTTGGTTTTTAGTCATCTCCTGTGTCTTTGTTTTGTTCCATATGACACTGCAGTTTCTCTCACTAAACTGAGAGGGTCTACTTTCCTATCCTTTGAATTTGAACTAATCTGTATCTTGCTTTGGCCAAGAGAATGTGGCAGAAGTTCCAGTGTCCCAATTCTGGGCCTGCATCTAGAGGCTTTATGTGTCTCTATCCGCTTTATTGAGCCTCTGCCATCACAATGAAAAAAACACTGTGAGGCTATCCCAGTGGAGAATAAAAGACACACAGAGGAGAGCCAATTTATCCCAGATGTCCCAACCAAAGCCATTCTAGATCAGTCAACAGCCAGCCAAACCAACTAAAGACTCATGAGTGAGCCCAGCCAAGATCAACAGAGTCACTTAATTGTGTTCCAGCTGATCCCAGACACAACAATAATCACTTATTCTTGCACAGCACTATGATTTGTGATCATTTTATATCATTATTGTGGTAAGATAATTGTCATAGTAGATATGCAATGAACATTTATTGCATATTAATCAGTGTGTTATATCACCAAAGAGGCAGAGAACTACACCATATGAAAGAGCAGCACTGAAGCAGAGAGGAGAAATTTTATTCCCCATTCTCATTTTCAGAAGTATGTCCAACCAAGGCAACATCAAAAAGTTTGGAATCATCGATATTGCTGGAGGAAATTACACTAATAGACCTCTGCAAAATGTTCCCTGCTCTAACAATCTACAATATCTGAGTCTTGGCATAAGCACAGTTGGAAGGAGAATAACAGTGTCAGAGTAGAGCTACAATGCAGAGGCTAGCCATTAGCATGCACCCTGCACAGTGCTCAGTCTCAATATATTCTGCAAGTATTTCAAGCCAGCCCTGCATGTTTTTTCTCCATCTCTCCATAGCTGGCAACCACAGACAATTAAGTGAAAAGCACTTAAAAACTGGAGCCTCTGAAGCATTCTTTATGTCTGTCTCAGTCTCGCTAGTTTCATGGGCCCATTTTTAATTTTGCCTGGCAGCACTCCATGAAAAAAGGGAGGTAAATCAAAGAGTTACTTTCTATGAGGCCTTTGAGACTACACAAATAAGTAATTCCTATGGTTTTTTATTTATTCTCTTAGTGTAGGCAATTTCACTTTTGCTTGGATTCTTTTCCTCCTGTTACTTTTTGCATCACCTTCTCTCCTGCTCTCAGCTCCATTATTTCCAAGTAGGATATGGTATTGGTTAAAATAAATACACTGCACACCACACCCCACCTCTAATGGTTAATTTTTGTTGCATTAGCAACACAGCACTCCTTCTCTGGCTATGCATATCAAGTTTCACACTGAGAATTTTTGAAAAGAAAATTTTCCTCAATAAGAGATAATCTTCTACCCAATGACCCACCCTACATGATAACTCTTGTGAGCATCCAGCCATACCCTTCATTTTCTTTTAACCCCAAATAAGTATGGTTCTATATAAAAGCACTGAGTCAGAACATGGAAGCACCTTATAAGTGAATAATTCGTCCTGGCAAGACACAGGTCAATAGGAGAAGCTCTGTGATTTTAAATGGGTGAAAGAAGTGCACACTCATCCTTTATCCCAGTTCTATCTCTGCATCTGTCTCTACTCAGTCTTGGAAAGCTGATTCTTCCCACCTGAGGAAAGCCCCTGCATGTCTCCTGCTTGTATTACTTGTTCTTAATCTGCTTTCGTGTCCGGACCAGGCAGAAGCCACCAGAACACTTGCATAATCCAGGTTCTTGGCAAATCCCCCTGATACACACATGTACACAAACACACTAGCACAGGCATAAAAGCTAAACTACAAGAAAAACGTACTCCCTTGCCTCATTGCCATATCCATGGAATAGATAGCAGAGAGCGGGACAACAGAGACCTGAGGTGGGGCCCCTGAGGCGTATGGGTAAGTAGAAGATTTTAGAGCTTCACATACCCTTCCCTTAGGTGGGCACAGCCTGGACATGGGCAGCTGTCC
Organism: Homo sapiens; assembly: GCF_000001405.40. NCBI lineage: Eukaryota > Metazoa > Chordata > Mammalia > Primates > Hominidae > Homo > Homo sapiens. The sequence continues at coordinate 34,532,488 of NC_000003.12, read as the reverse complement.
AGGCCACTTCCTCTGCTTCCCAAACCCAATGTAACCCTCTGATACCTTACTCCCATCTGTAGCAGGGATGTCTAACCTTTTGTGGATGTTTAAGTCTATTTGAGAATCTTTTGAAAGTCACAGGCATTATTTTCAGACATGCCTATACGCACAGGCATCCAAAAGTCTGTCTATTACATCAGTTGTGCCATGGCCCAAATCCTCTGACCTAAGATCTACACACAATTGTCCTTCTACTAATGGTGCAAATGTCACTGTCTCATTCCCTTGCTGTTTACTGATCTCAGCTCACCCTCTTCTGGTTTCTACTCTCTTGGCTTTGGTTGACAGCTTTGCCCTTTACCAATCTGTATTTTTCACTACTCAGTTACAGCAGACATGCTTCCTACAGGGGAGCACAAATGTCATCCCTAGATCTTATGAAAATGTGTTTTCTCCAGCACTTGGGGGTCTTCACAGCACATAACGTTCCTCAGGATGCCACATGATAGTGGTTTTACAAACTAAAATTCATTAGAAAAATGAGAAGTGTCTCCAGAGTCAGACTGCTTTGGTCCAAAATAAAACTGTACCACCCCCTAGCCATAAAATGCCTTTGCTGAGGCTCAGGTTTCTCATATTTAAAAAGGAATAATGATAACAACTCTCAGAGTTTTGGAGGTGATTAAATGAGATAATCCTTGCAAAAGACCTTAAAATGGGGCCCAGCAACAAAGGAATGCAAAATGAACTTTAATATTTAATTATTGTCATTGCAATAGAAAATCTTTAAAAAGAAAAATTAAATCATATTTAGCCATAAAATAATATTTGTATCTATCCATTAATATAAGAAAATTATATACAAATTCGTTCATGTGAATGATTACTGATGTGCCCAACTCCTTTGGCAGTTTTAAGAAGTTGAACTAAAGTGACTCGGGACTCCTTCGTGTTCTCTGGAACTTCAACTCTGATATTCGTAACTGAGATTTGTCTCAAGTTTTGTTTTCTGCGCTCTTATTCTAAGGTTTTGGAATCAATGTTATGTTGGCTTTTGAAAAATAATTTGGAAGATTTCCTTTTATCTCTCTGCTTGGGACCAATTTAACTAGTATTGAAGTTTCTGTTCCTTGAAGGTTGAAAGAATTCACCCGAGAAACCATCTGTGCCTGGCACTGCTTTGAGGAAGAAGTCTTTAAAAGTTTCTCGATATCTTGCATGTTTGCACATGCAGAAGTCTTCTATATCTCCCAGGTTTAATTTTAGTAGTTTGTATTTTCCTAGAAAATTACCCATTTCAAATTTATCTGAAGAGAGTTTTGTAAAATGTTCTTTTAAAATTCCCACGCTTGCCTCTGTATTAAGGGTTATTTCTTATTTCTAATTCTGTGTATATTCACTTCTTTCTTTACCCACCCCTTTTTAATTTAGTTGACTGAGTAAGCATGGGGTTACCTACATTGTTTCACTTGGTTTTCCAAATAAGCTCTTAGGTTTAGTTACTAAGTCAGCTGTGTTCTATTCTCTAAGAAACCCATTTCTGTGTTAATTTGATTATTCCCTTACTCATGCTTTTTCTCAGTTACTTGCTCTTCTTTTCACTAACTTCTTGATATAGATGTTTGTATATTTGTTTTCCTTTATTCTTATTAATGTAAGCAATGGCTGTCTTATATGGCTTTTAATACATAGTATTATTACTAGTATTGTTATTGTTAGCCATTATGTTTAAGTATACTAAAATATGCATTTTTATTATCTTCAAAGTGAGCGTGGTTTGAAGAATTTTTTTTAATTGTTAAGTAATACAGGCATATCTCAGAGATATTGTGGGCTTGGTTCCAGACCACTGCAATAAAGCAAATATCGCAATAAAGGAGTCACATGATTTTTTTGGCTTCCCAGTGCATATAATAGTTATGCTTATACTATATTGTAGTCTATGAAGTGTATAATGGCATTATGTCTAAAACTATATACATACCTCAACTTAAAACACCTTATTACTAAAAAACACTCTAGCAATCATCTGAGCTTTTGGTGAGTAGTAATCTTTTTGCTGAGGGAGGGTCTTTTCTTGTTATTGATGGCTGCTGACTGATCAGGGAGGTAGTTACTGAAGGTTATCTATGACAATTTCTTAAAACAAGAAAACAGTGAAGCTTGCTGCATCAGTTGAATTTTCATTTCACCAAACATTTTTCTGTAGTGTGCAATGCTGTTTGATAGCATTTTATCCACAGAACTTCTTTCAAAATTGCAGTCAATTCTCTCAAACCCTGCTACTGCTTTGTCAACTAAGTTTATAAAACATTCTAAATCCTTTGCTATCATTTCAACAATGTTGCCAGCATCTTCCCCAGAAGTAAATCCCATCTCAAGAAACCATGGACTTTGGTCATCCGTAAGAAGCAACTCCTCACCCATTAGTTTTTTCATGAGATTGCATCAATTCAGTCACAACTTCAGGCTTCTCTTCCAATTCTAGTTCTCTTACTACTCTACCACATCTGCAGTTACTTCCTCCACTGAAGTTTTGAATCCTTCAATGTTATCCATGAGGGTTGAAATCAACTTCTTCCAAATTCTTGTCAATGATGATATTTTGCCTTTTCCCATGAACCGCAAATTATCTTAGTGACATGCAGAATGATAAATCATTTTCAGAAAGTTTTCCGTTTATTTTGCCCAGATCTGCAAGAGGAATCACTATCTATGGCAGCTACAGCCTTACGAAATGTATTTCCAAAATAAGATTTCAAAGTCAACATTACTCCTTGATTCATAGGCTTCAAAATGGATATTGTGTTAGCAGACATGAAAACCTCACTTTCTTACCTGCTCATTTACTAGATAGTTAATTGAGTGCCTTTGGGCAGAACGCTATGCTAGGTGTTAAATATACGGAGAACTTTTGCAAAAGTCCCTTCCTCTAACCAACTTTTAAACTTTGGTGTTCTTTGGGATTCTGTTCTACATCTGTTTTTGCTCTTACTCAAAGGTCTCTAGGAAATCTCATCCAATTCCATAACTATTATATAGTCTCTCTATACTGAGGACTTCCAAATCTTTATCTCCTGTTGCAGTGTACATACTATCTGTGTGCTAATGACTCTCAAATATCTATATCCCATCCAAATTTTCCCACTTGACTTTGAGACCCGTATATCTTACTCTTTTCTGGACATATGCACTGGGTTATCACAGATAGGTCATATTCAACATATCCAAAGCCCACTGCAATTCACTTCTTCCTTTTATAGGAGCACCGCAATCATTCAATTGCCAAACCATAAACTTCAGTGGTTGACTGAATAGTAGAGTACACTTTATGGCTATGACTCTTCTAGGAGTATGCACCAGCTTCGTACCAGTGGCTGGGGGGAGGGGAGGGCTCTTACCACCACTCTTTCACAATCTCTCTGCTTCAACTGCTTTCTGTTCTCTAGTTAAATCTTCATTTAACCCAAATCTGATTATTTCTCTACCCTGCCTAAAGCATTCAGAGATTTCCCATGTCCCCTTAAGAAGAAAGCTGAATTCCATAGTGTGACATAAAAGACCATCCTGATCTGGCTGTTTACCCAATCAGTCTCTCTGAACTGCTGTCTCTTTCAACATCAGGCTGCTTTCCGTGTCTCAAACACACCTCAGTCTCTATCTCCAGATCTTTTGGAGGCTATCTCCTGTGCCTAGAACATTTGCCTCTCCCTCTTCTTTTCCACTCACATTATATTGAGAGGCTTTGTTTTACTACTATTTACTAATATCATCCTGTTTTATTCTGTTTCCATATGTTCTTTTTTCTTTAATTGTGTCTTTGGTCACATTGGGGAAGTGACTGTGAGGGTACACTTCTATTAATAGTAATCTTTAGGGAGATTTAGGTGTGTTTAACAGGCTGTCTGAAATTTTAAAAAGTGCCTGATTTGTAGCATTTGCCAAATTGATGGTATAGATATTCGCACCATGGCCAGTGATTTCAAGCTACCACCGTAATATCACAGAACACACAGCTAAAAAAAGCTGTGCACAGTTGGCCCTCAGAAGTCAGTGCAAGCTGGTTTCAGCCCCTTACTACCATTAAGGTTTATCAAATGTAATTGAACCTACAATTTTCTAATATCTTTAAATAATAAACTAATATCTGTTAAGTTCACCCACGCAAAAGGAAGAATTTAACACAAACCTCCTTTCCTAACCTCTTCTCTTAGCTTCCCAAGTTTTATTATTTAATTTTGGAATATAGGTTATTATAATGTATTTACGTTATGCATTATCTCTTGTGTTATTTTTGACATTGGCATGCAGATTTAAAACTCTATTTGAAACCATTATTTTATATAAAACCATTATTTTATATTTATATAAATATAAAATATATTTTATATTTATATAAATATAAAATATATTTTATATTTTATATTTTATATTTGAATTATTTTTGCCATAAAGGAGTGAGAAGAGCATTTATACATAGTCATGCTTATGCTAATTTATCACCCAGCAGCCCTGTGATGTTTGGAATGGGCATGGGCATTGTCTTTCTTGTGCTTTCTCCTATGGTGATGGCAATAGAGCAACAAGTCACTGTTAAATTACTATGTTAGTTCACTGCCCATTCCTTTTTCCTGTTGTATGTCTTAATTTTAAAAATAAAGAACTAAGGCATGCTAGCAGTATGAAAACATCTCTGGTCTGTAGAGATAGAGGGCTACCATTCTTGTTTGTCAAGAATCAACGTATAATCTGTTCTTAAACGGAAATTTTGTTTCAAGGCACACAATTTGTTCTGAGTAATTACTGGGTCATTTATTATGTTAAATCAAATTTTCACCATGGAAGCATTCAAACTGTGGACTAAATAGTTTTGCTTTTAAATAACTACTTGGTATTGTCTGACAACTTTATGTAAAAAAAAAAAAAAAAAAAAAAAAAAAGGGCTTCCTTTACCTCCATGTTTCTAGAATAATCAGTTTGAGCCAAAATTACTAGATAGAATTTCTTTTCTTCTGAAGAAAAACTACCTTACAACCACCCAGTTCTTACATTGTAATTGCAGTGCAGGTGTAGTTATGGGATTAAATCGGCAGCAAAGAATGGAATTCATAAGAAACTTAGGAGCTTTAAGAAACTAAACACATCAACTTTCTCGTCCCACCCCTTGCCAGACCTCACTGCATAAGAGGAACAGCAGTATGAATTATCCAAACCAAAAACAGATCACTGGTTAAGTCACTCTGATTATTTTTGTAAGAAAATAATTACACCTAATTACAAGCAGGGCTGAGGTGTTGCTTTCCTAATGAAACAAAGGGGGCAGGTATAAGTTCAAGATCTCATTATCCAGCTTCGGATAAGGCTTCTAAACATACCACCAAGACACTTCCTGCTGGTATTTTACTACTGTGTTGATTTGGACCCAGTAAGGTCTTCATGAGAGTTTGCTAAAATAAAACTCCACTTTGGATGTTTCTTCTCCTGTGTGACTTTTGGAATTCTGCTGAGATATAGAAAATAGAAATAAGTGGGAAGTATCTAAAGGACTGTCAGTGTGTATTCTCAGTGTTCCAGGGCAAAGAAAAAGCCCTGTTTCTATTTATGAGTAAGCTGAGTCTTATGAGATATTTTAAGTAATGATGCAGCCAAAGTTGCAGTCCAACTTTATTTCTGAAATTTCATTTTTCAACTCAGTTGTTGGTGAGGTAAAACATAGATATTTAATCCAATTCCTGAAATAATATTCTTTGTTGGCGAAATCAGATAGGAAAAGGGAAAGAATCTGAGGTTAAAGGAGAAAGAAACATGCATATGTGAAGAAAGTCTTAGTGAAGAAAGACCTGAAAGATATAAAACTTTTGAGAAGGGCTGAGTAAGGGAGATTCTGGAAGGCTAAGAATAAAGGCATGAGGCACAGTAGCATCAGAAAACACAAAAATACAAGAACTTTTATGATTATACAAGGAAAAAAGATACTGTCCCACAAAAAAATAGAATTGTGTGGACTAAGTCTATACCTAAAGTATTATAGGCACTTTGTCAACAGAGAAAAGGTGAAGCCAGAGCAAATGAAATATCAAGAAACAAATGTCATCCTTTGTCCCTTTATTTTATTTATTTTAAATTATTATATATTACGTACTTATTTTTAACTTTTGTTATAGCTACGTTTTATATTTATTTCTTTTACTTATTTACTGTTCATGCTTTATTATTTATGAAATAAACTTTGCTTTAGAAAAATGAGTGTGGCTGTGCTGAGCAGGGTCAGAGTGGACCAAAAGGAAGGCTTGGAGGAATAGATAATGTTGAGAACCTCTGTCATGTTCTGAGAAAGCCAGAGAGGAAATTGAGAGGGGCAGGCTAGGCAGGGCTAGGACCTAGGGGTGACCTTAGGAAAGGAGAGTCTTGGTGCAGACAGACTGTGAGCTGCAGCAGGAAGAAGCAGTGGCTGTGGAGGGAGAGAGGTTGTCCTTGCCCAGTGGTGGTGTCCAGATAGGCAAGTGGAGAAAGACAAAAGAGACCCTCAAAACTACTGATAGCCACAGATACTCATGGGCTTTCAGTAATGGAGAAACCTATTATGGGATAGCAGTTCTTGAAATTGAAGTTAAGACTCACACTTCTACTCACTAATGCAAGAGAAAGAGTGGATGAGAAGTAAATCCCAAGTCTCAGGGGAATGAGAGCAGAGACCACGTAATCTAGTCTGAGGAGGTGGTAACCTTTAAAATGACTGAGTGAACATTCAGTTAAAGGTTCTGCTGGTAAATCTCAGAAGGTCTTAGGGAATTTAGTAAGAAAAGTTGGGAATGTTGAAGTGTGATACTTAGATCTTGAAGATATTGATAAAATTCCCACATTATGACGTTTTCAGTTGAAACTGGCATGTCTAGAAAAATAAGGTTGGGGAAAGGTAAACTGCATTTCTATCAGAGACTCTTTAGGCTGAATGATTGTAATTCAAATGGTTATGATTCTAGTGACTTGGATCCGAGCAAAATTGGAAAAGATAAATTCTCTGCCTGAGCCTAGGATTAGTGACTACAAAGATAAGGAGGTAAAAACAAAAGAAGAGCATTGAGATTCAGAGAGACCAAACATCAAGAGCCCTCCCCTGTATATTACAGTGTACAGACACACACTGAGGAAAGGAATATATGTTCCCACTGTGGAAAATAGACAACTACTGCAGTCTGAGAGCCAGGAGAAGATTAATGGTGCCTTTCTTACCCATCCTTTTGTTTTAGAAGTTTGCCAAGATGCAAACCATTGGGCTGAAGGCTAGGGGAATGGACAGGGTATGGCCCTATTCCAGACCAAAAATGATGGTTCTGTGGGATCTCCAGCTTTGGTTACTAGCTCTTGAAGTTTAGCTAATGGAATTAAGTAGAAATTCAACCAAGTTTTTAAGTTTCTTTTTTAACTTCCAAAAATGTTTACAGTTTGGATTGCTCAAAAAGAAGTAATCTCTAGAGACCTGAATCTTCTAAATAGTACCACTCCTAGAAGAGGAGTCTTCATTTTTCCCCTCATAGATATGGCCATGGAAGGCAATGAATGAGAAGCTCTTCCCTCCTAAGAGCAAGAAAACAAAGATCAAAAATCTCACTCCAATACCCAGGCCATGAGTCTTTGTTATTCCAGCTGGCATGATGTTTGATACATACCACTTCCTACTGATCTTGTTTCTCATTTTCCCCTTTACAAAATGAGACATTTTGTTGCAATTATTATTTTCTTCTTCAGGAAAATAGGGGAGTTGACAAAGCAATTCAAAGGATAGTTATAGACTGTCAAATCACAAGGCATCTCCACCAGATTTATCTGTGAAATGGCCAAGTCCAGAGACCCAGGATTTAAATACATATTCTGCAATGAAAGAAGATTCTTACGTCTTCGAACTGAGAGGTGAAGCCAGCTGGACTTCCTGGGTAGAGTGGGGACTTGGAGAACTTTTCTGTCTAGCTAAAGGATTGTAAATGCACCAATCAGCACTCTGTAAAAATGCACCAATCAGCGCTCTGTGTCTAGCTAGAGGACTGTAAATGCACCAATAAGCACTCTGTCTAGCTAAGGGACTGCAAATGTACCAATCAGCACTCTGTAAAAACGCACCAATCAGCACTCTGTGTCCAGCTAAAGGATTGTAAATGCACCAATCAGCACTCTGTCTAGCTAAAGAACTGTAAATGCACCAATCAGCACTCTGTAAACATGCCCCAATCAGCACTCTGTAAAATGGACCAATCAGCAGGACGTGCATGGGGCCAAATAAGGGAATAAAAGCTGGCCACCTAAGCCAGCAGCGGCAACCCGCTTGGGTCCCCTTCCACGCTGTGGAAGCTTTGCTCTTTTGCTCTTCACAATAAATCTTGCTGCTGCTCACTCTTTGGGTCCACACTACCTTTATGAGCTGTAACACTCATTGCAAGGGTCTGCAGCTTCATTCCTGAAATCAGCAAAACCATGAACCCACCAGAAGAAAGAAACTCCAGACATATCTGCACATCAGAAGGAACAAACTCCAGACACACCATCTTTAAGAGCTTTAACACTCACAACGAGGGTCCATGGCTTCATTCTCGAAGTCAGCGAGACCAAGAACCCACAAGAAGGAATAAATTCTGGACATATTTTGGAGACCATGAAAGGACTATCACCTATCACCAAGCAGTGAGTACCATCGGACCCCTTTCACTTGCTATTCCGTCCTATTTTTCCTTAGAATTTGGGGGCTAAATACCAGGCACATGTCAGCCAGTGAAAAGCAAATAGCATAGCTACTGGACTAAAGACACAGGTGTCAGATTTTCTGGGAAAGGGCTCTCTAACAACCCCCAACTCTTCAGAGTTGGGAGCATTGGTTTGCCTGGAACCAGCTTCCGCTTTTCCTGTACTTCCAGGCTGAGCTGAGGGTCGACAGAGAGGAAAGCTATTCAGCTCCGGGGTCCCGACAACAAGTTGGTTGACCCTGCGGCCATGGGCAGAACTCTCAAAGTCATGTCGCCCAAGTGAGACTCGCTCATCTATCCTATCTATCCTGACCATTGCCTCCTGGGTCCTAATGCCTGTCAGACAAATTTCCTCTCACGTCTCTTCTCCGAGGCTGGTCCAGCTTCTAAAAACCACTCCCTGTCACTGGTGCTTTTCTAGTTTCTCCTATAAGAATTATTTCTAGTATAAACTTCAGGACTCTGTTCCATTGTTTAGGCACCCAGGCTCACCAATCAGAAAGACATAATTTTTGCCCAAAGCCTTGTTTGGGTTGGGGGGACTATCTGGAATTTTAGGAGCCCTCCAGACTATCAGGCCTAACAAAAGCTATTACTGAAGCTAGGATATGAGGAGCCTCAGAAATGATATCCTTCCTATTCATATGATGAGAAGTGAGGACAAAGGCATCACTCTTCTAACCCTGGAGATCCCTTCCCTCCCTCAGGGTATGGCCCTCCACTTCATTTTTGGGGCATAACACCTTTATAGGACAGGGGTAAGGTCCCGATACTAACAGGAGAATGCTTAGGACTCTTAACAGGTTTTTCAGAATGCATTGGTAAGGGCCACTAAATCCAATTTTTCTTGGTCCTCTTTGTGGTCTAGGAGGACAGGCAAGGGTGCAGGTTTTCGAGAATGTGTCAGTAAGGGCCACTAAATCTGACCTTCCTCAGTCCTCCTTGTGATCTAGGAGGAAAACTAGTGTTTCTGCTGCTAAATCAGTGAGCGCAACTATTCCAATCAGCAGGGTCCAGGGACTGTTGCAGGTTCTTGGGCAAGAGGTATTTCTGCTGCTGTGTCAGTGAGTGCAACTATTCCGATCAGCAGGATCCAGGGACCAATGCGGGTTCTTGGGTAGGGGAGAAACAAACAAACCAAAACCGTGGGCGGTTTTGTCTTTCAGATGGGAAACACTCAGACATCAACAGGCTCACCCTTGAAATGCATCTTAAGCCACTGGGACCAATTTGACCCGCAAACCCTGAAAAAGAGGCAGCTCATTTTTTTCTGCACTACAGCTTGGCCCCAGTATTCTCTCTCTGATGGGGAAAAATGGCCACCTGGGGGAAGTATAAATTACAAAACTATCCTGCAGCTTGACCTTTTCTGTAAGATGGAAGGCAAATGGAGTAAAATACCTTATGTCCAAGCTTTCTTTTCACTGAAGAATACACAACTATACAAAGCTTGCAATTTACATCCCACAGGAGGACCTCTCAGCTTACTCCCATATCCTAGCCTCCCTATAGCTCTCCTTCCTATTAATGATAAGCCTCCTCTAATCTCCCCCACCCAGAAGGAAACAAGCAGAGAAATCTTCAAAACACCACAAAAACCCCCAGACTATTGGTTATGTCCCCCTCAAGCTATAGGGGGAGGGGAATTTGGCCCAACTCGGGTACATGTCCCCCTTCTCCCTCTCTGATTTAAAACAGATCAAGGCAGACCTGGGGAAGCTTTCAGATGGTCCTGATAGGTATATAGATGTCCTAAAGGGTCTAGGGCAAATCTTCTATCTCATTTGGAGAGATGTCATGCTATTGTTAGATCAAACCCTGGCCTTTAATGAAAAGAATGTGGCTTTAGCTGCAGCCTGAGAGTTTGGAGATACCTGGTATTTTAGTCAAGTAAATGATAGAATGACAGCTGAAAAAAGGGACAAATTCCCTACCAGTCAGCAAGCTGTCCCCAGTATGGATCTCCACTGGGACCTTGACTCAGATCATGGGGACTGGAGTCACAAACATCTGTTGACCTGTGTTCTAGAAGGACTAAGGAGAATTAGGAAAAAGCCCATGAATTATTCAATGATGTCCACCATAACTCAGGGAAAGGAAGAAAATCCTTCTGCCTTCCTCAAGTGGCTATGGGAGGCCTTAAGAAAATATACTCCCCTGTCACCTGACTCCCTTGAGGGTCAATTGATCCTAAAAGGTAAGTTTATTTCCCAATCAGCCACAGATATCAGTAGAAAGCTCCAAAAGTGAGCCCTAGGCCCTGAACAAAATCTGGAGGCATAATTAAACCTGGCAACCTCAGTGTTCTATAATAGAGACCAAGAGGAACAGGCCAAAAGGGAAAAGCGAGATCAGAGAAAGGCCACAGCCTTAGCCATGGCCCTCAGACAAACAAACCTTGGTGGTTCAGAGAGGATAGAAAATGGAGCAGGCCAATCACCTAGTAGGGCTTGTTATCAGTGTGGTTTACAAGGACACTTTAAAAAAGATTATCCAACAAGAAACCAGCTGCCCCCTGTCCACTATGCTGAGGCAATCACTGGAAGATGCACTGCCCAAGAGGACAAAGGTGCTCTGGGCCAAAAGCCCCCAACCAGATGATCCAACAACAGGACTGAGAGTGCCCAGGGCAAGCGACAACTCATGTAATCACCCCCACTGAGCCCCGGGTACGTGTAACCATTGAAGGCCAGGAAAATGACTTCCTCCTGGACACTAGCATGGCTTTCTCAGTGTGAAACTCCTGTCCTGGATGACTGTCCTCAAGGTCCATTACCATCCAAGGAATCCTGGGACAGCCTGTAACCAGATATTTCTCCCACCTCCTGAGTTGTAATTGGGAGATTTTGCTATAGACAGTAAGTATGCTTATCTAATCCTACATGCCCATGCTGCAATATGGGAAAAAAGCGAGTTTCTAACCTCTAGGGGAACCCCCATTAAATATCACAAGGAAACCATGGAGTTACTGCATGCAGTGCAAAAACCCAAAGAGGTGGCAGTCTTACACTGCTGAAGCCATCCAAAGGGAAGGAGAGGGGAGAACAGCAGCATAAGCAGCTGGCAGAGGCAGGGAAAGACCAGCAGAGAGTTAGAGAGAGAGAGAAAGAAACAGAGAGAGGAAGAGACAGAGAGACAAAGTCAAAGACAGACAGAAAGGCAGAAAGTCAAAGAGAGAAGGAAAGAGAGGAAGTGACAGACATGAAGTCAGAGAGAAAGAAGAAGTCAAAGAGACAGAAAGAGACAGAAGTAGTAAAGAAGAAACAGTGTACCCTATTCCTTTAAAAGCCAGGGTAAATGTAAAATCTATAATTGATAATTGAAGGTCTTCTCTGTAACCCTATAACACTCCAATACCACCTTGTTGTCAGTGTAAACAAGAGCATAGCCCAAAAGCACTGAGGCCACTGACAACCTGTAGCCTTCCTATCAAAAATTCTTAACCCAGCAGGTTTCCTAACAAGGGATCTATGTCTTAATTAATTGCCATACAAAGGTTCCACCAGACCTAGGAGGAACTCCCTTCAGGACAGGATGATAGATTGTTCCTCCTGGGCAATTAAGGGAAAAAGACACAATGGGTATTCAGTAAGTGATAAGGAAATTCTTGTAGAGGCAGAGTTAGGAAAATTGCCTAACAATTGGTCTGCTCAAATGTGAAAGCTGTTTGCACTCAGCCAAACCTTAAAGTACTTACAGAATCAGGAAGGAGCCACCTATACCAATTCTAAGTTAATATGGACTGAACGAGGTCTTATTAATAGTGAAGAATAATTGAAATCCCAAACTTACAAAGTTTTCAACAAAAGTAAATTTTGCTACCAAAACCACTGAGGCCTAGACCTCCTCACTGCTGAGAAAAGAGGACTCTGCACCTTCTTAGGAGAAAAGTGTTGCTTTTACACTAACCAGTCAGGGATAGTATGAGATGCTGCCCAGTGTTTACAAGAAAAGGTTTCTGAAATCAGACAACACGTTTCAAACTCTTATACCAACCTCTGGAGTTGGGCAACATGGCTTCTCCCCTTTCTAGGTCCTGTGACAGCCATCTTGCTATTACTCACCTTTAGGCCCTGTATTTTTAACCTCCTTGTCAAATTTGTTTCCTGTAGGATCGAGGCCATCAAGCTACAGATGGTCTTACAAATGGAACCCCAAATGAGCTCAACTAACAACTTCTACCAAGGACCCCTGGACCAACCTGCTGGCCCTTTGACTGGCCTAAAGAGTTCCCCTCCGGAGGACACTACAACTGCAGGGCCCCTACTTCGCCCCATCCAGCAGGAAGTAGCTAGAGTGGTCATCACCCAATTCCCAAAAGCAGTTGGGGTGTCCTTTTTAGAGGGGGGATTGAGAGGTGAAGCCAGCTGGACTTCCTGGGTAGAGTGGGGACTTGGAGAACTTTTCTGTCCAGCTAACGGATTGTAAATGCACTCTGTAAAAACTCACCAATCAGTGTTCTGTGTCTAGCTACAAGATAGTAAATGCACCAGTCAGCACTCTGTAAAAATGCACCAATCAGCACTCTGTGTCTAGCTAAAGGATTGTAAATGCACCAATCAGCACTCTGTGTCTAGCTAAAAGATTGTAAATGCACCAATCAGCACTCTGTAAAAATGCACCAATCAGCACTCTGTGTCTAGCTAAAGGATTCCAAACGCACCAACCAGCACTCTGTAAAAATGCACCAATCAGCACTCTGTAAAATGGACCAATCAGCAGGATGTGGGTGGGGCCAAATAAGAGAATAAAAGCAGGCCACCTGAGCCAGCAGCGGCAACCTGCTTGGGTCCCCTTCCACGCTGTGGAAGCTTTGTTCTTTCGCTCTTCACAATAAATCTTGCTGCTGCTCACTCTTTGGGTCCACACTACCTTTATGAGCTGTAACACTCATTGCAAGGGTCCACAGCTTCATTCCTGAACTCAGCAAGATCACAAACCCACCAGAAGGAAGAAACTCCAGACACACCATCTTTAAGAGCTGTAACACTCACCATGAGGGTCTGCGGCTTCATTCTTGAAGTCAGCAAGACCAAGAACCCACAAGAAGGAATAAATTCCAGACACAGAAATACAGTACCAACTACCTTCTTTGTTGCAGTCACCTATAAACTCCAGTACCAAACGCTCCGTTCTTTGATGATTTTAGCGCTTAGCTCTACCACTGCTCCTGTCATAATCCTTGGTGAGCCATTTATTATTGGAAATAAATGTAGTTCCTTGACCTCCTGTCACCTAATGATCTTATACTTTATTCCATTCTGTCATACCCTAAACCTTTTCAGCATTTAGGTAATTTTTATTGTCGAATCAGATTATAGTGACTAGATCATAATTTATTTATTCTCTTCGTGAGTTTTTTATAATTTTTGGCTGTTATGAACAAAGCTGCTCTATGTTATCCCATTGCCTTCTGACTGAACATTGTTTCTGATAAAAAATACTCTATGGTAGGTAGATATCGAAAGATTTCCCCCACCTAACATTATTTCATATTTCTTCTATCACACACTAATCTTGGTAGGGCTAGTGCTGTGAGGAGATTTTGCACATATAAAAGTCCTAAGTCAGTTTATCTTAAAATATGGATATTATCAGGAGAGTTGAACCCATTTACATGAGTTTTCTCAAGCTAGCAGCAGAAGGGGAAGTTAGAGAAATGGGAAGCACTAGAATTCAACACACCATTGCTGACTTAAAGAGGGAGGAAGACTCATGGTAAGGAATGCAGACAGCCCCCAGAAGCTAAGAATAGCCCCAAGGTGACAGCCTTCAATGAAAGAGGGCATCTGTCCTATAGCCACAAGAAACTGAGTTTTGCCAATAACGATGATGAATCTGGAAGAAAACCCTCAAGCTCCAAATGAAGATGCAGCCAGCCATCACCTTCATTTTAACCTAAGAAAAGAACCACTTAGCTATACCATGCCATGTAGTCTGACCTACAGAACTGAGTCAATAAATGAGCATTGTTTTAAGCCTCTAAGTTTTTGGTAATATGTTACACAGCAAAACGAAACTAACACATCATCTATAACTAATTATTCTCTCTTTTAGGTAAACTCTTAATTTTATGATTGCTTTTAAGATTTTGTCTTCACTTTTGGCTTTCAGTATTTTGAATAATATGTGCCTAAGTGTGAATGTCTTTGATAGTATCCTAATTGGGGTTTACTGAGCATCCTACACTTATGGGTTGCTTTTTTTGGCATCTTTTATTTTAGATTTAGTGGGTACATGTGCAAGTTTGTTACACGGGTATATTAGGTGCTCCTGAGGCTTGTGGTGTGGATCCTGTCTCCCAGGTAGTAAACATTGTACCTATAAGGAGTTTTTAAGCCCTTGCCCCTCCCTCCTTCCCCACTGCAGTAGTCCTTAGTGTCTATTGTTCCTATCTTTATGTCCATGTGTGCTTAATGTTTAGCTCCCACTTACAAGTGAGATTACATGCTATTTGGTTTTCTGTTCCTTACATTCAAAAAGTTTGGCTAATTTGTCATCAAATATTTTTTCTGCCCCATCCATTCTCCCTTCTCCTCTAATACACACACATAATAAGGTACTTAAATCTTTCTACAAGGTCATAAAACTCTGGGGGGTTTTTTCCTTATTTTTTTCCTCTCCTTGCTTTAATTTGTATTAATTCCCAAACTCTTATCCCATTTTTCTTTTTTTCCTAGAGATTAGCTAATATAACTATGACTTTTATTTAAAGCCCTCATTTGCTAATTCATACACTTAGTTCACTTCTGTGTCTGTTGCTATAGACTAAATTTTCTCTTGACTGTAGGCCATATTTTCTTATGTCTTTGATGATTATTTTCTGACTAAATCCTATTGCCCCTTCTGAATCAAAATCAAAAATCAAAATCTGAATCTGAATCAAAATTGAATCAAATTTCACCTCACCAGTACATGTGACTTGACCTGAACTCTCCTTCCCCATTCTTACACTCACTGAAAATCAGCCAGAAGGATCCAATTCTCCCCTATTAGTGTCTCTTTGGACTACTGGGACATCAATGAGCGTTGCTAAGGAAGCAATTGCTACCTTAAATTCAGACAATGTGGGCTTTTAACACAAGCTTTTCTATGAGCTGAGACACCTTAAACAAGTTGTGCTTAATTTCTCCTAGCGCTATAACAATAATCTACTGAAGTAGATAATAAAAACTATATTATGTATCTTTTGAAGATTAAATGGATGATTACATGAGGATCTTAGTGCAGCATCTGGCATATTCAAGATGCTAAATAAAAGTAATTACTGTCAGAATTAAATAAAGTGATGAATATAAGGCCATATAGTTTATCAAGAGAATTTGCATTTTTTATGATTTCAACTTTTATTTTAGACTCAAGAAGTACATGTACAGATTTTTTAAATTGGCATATTGGGTGATACTTAGGTTTAGGGTAGAAATGATACCATCGCCCAGGTAGTGAGTATAGTATCCAATAGTTAGTTTTCAAACTGTTGCCCCTCTCCCTCACCAGAATATGTATTAATCACCAACTATATTCCAGCTTGTTCTAGATACAAAAATTCAGCAATAAACAAGTGTGACATTGTCTTTTCCCTGAAGAAATTTACATTTTTACAGAGGAAATAGAAAATAAGCATGCAAACAAATACATAAACTAGATAATTCCAGGTTGTAGAGAAATGGGAATGTGATGACGACAGGAAGGTGACGCTCTAGTTTGGTTTGTCACAGAAGAGCTTTCAGAGAAGGCACTTTAGAGCAGAGACTGAATGACGATATAGAGGCAGATATGTGAAAATATGGTGGAGGAGCTTCCCAGGCAAAAAGAACAAGAAATGCAAAGACTCTGGGTCAAGAAGCTCAGTATGATAGAAATTCAGGTGGAAAAAAGCATGGCTGAAAGAGAGCATTGAAAGGAAAGAAATGAAAGGACATGAAGTTCAAGATGAAGCCAAAAGCCAGATCAGGGAGGGCTTTGTTATGTTACAGATTTTTAGTCTATTTTTACTAATAATGATGGGGACTATAAGAAACCTCTTTAGCAGACAGACAATGAATTATAGACCAGCAAGGATAAAACAAGTCCAGTTTTAGTAGGTTATGGTAATTATGCTGGTGAGAGATGATGGTGTTTGGAATTAAGGTGGAATATGTTAGACCTAGTGGGAAGAGTAGAACGGGATATATTTTGAAGGTAAAGCTGACACCATTATCTGATAGATGGGATGTGAGAAAAATAAGAGGATGATGCCTAGATTTTTTTTTTTTCTGAGCAAGTAAGTAACTGAAGATTCCCTTTACTGAGGTTGAGAGGAACTGAGGAGAATCGTATCAGGGACTGTGGAGAGTGGAGTCTAGAGTTCTGTTCTGTTTACATTAAACTCAGGGTGTGCATAGATCCAAGGGGAGATGCTGAGCAAATATTCAGATGTACAAGTTTAGAGGTCAGGGAGTGTGGAAGAGTTAAGCACTAGTAATAGATGATGAACGAATACTTCTTAATGTAAGGAAAATATAAAATAGGACTGGAATGCTCGTATCAGTGAGCTTTAGCCAGGACAAAACTCCAGATCTCACTGGATGTAAATTCAAAAAGAGGTCACAACCACTTCCTTTCCTAGCTCTCACTCTCCACTCCTTCTCATAGGTTTAAAATCATATCCTAGGAAGGATTCATTGTCACTTGAATATTTTAAACTGATAGTTCCCATTTTAAAAATAAAGAGGGCTTTCATTGTCAAGAGAATTCAAAAATAAAAACTCAAGGGTGAAAACGAATCTGCATGTTAATCAGACAGAGGTTTTGAGGAGTGCACAATATGAATAAAGCACAAACAAAGAGATGTGCTTCCAAAGTACTGTGAAAACGGAAGGTAAAGATTCTCCCTGAAGTACAGTTAGTGTCTGCACCAGAGAATAAAGGAAGAATGCTAATGCAGATCCTGGAACCTAACTGGGATGAGGACTGCTATCTGGATCAGACACTGAGACCCTATCATCCCAAAAGATAAGTGTTATCTTATTCCCAGTACCTGTCACCCCAGATTTTTCAGACACTTTGACAAGCAGAAACAATAGGCTACTTTGGGAGAACAAGGACACTGAATCCAGAAAAATCAATCATCTTTCACCAGTTATGCCTCATTTCTCCTTCACAGTGCCTCCAGGATCATGTTGAGGGGGCAAATGTTTGAGGGACATATTATTTAAGACAATTATTATCGTCAAGAGAATCCAAAAATGAAACACTCAAGATTGAAAACAAATCTGTATGTTAACCCAAAAAGATTCGGTGTCTCTAGAGGTTTGGGATTCTAATCAAAGCACTTGAGGCAACTAGCCTATTAAATCTGAAATCAATAAACACTTTCTTCATACTCCTCACTGAAATTGACTATCAGACCAAATGTTGTTTTCACCTACTCACTGGAGAATGGCTGCTGTGGGGAACCCATGGGAATAAGTCATAGGTGTGCCCTAGATGAGCTTACAAGCCCAGCTTTAAAGCTCACTATGTGACCTTGAGCCTCCTTACCTCCTTAAACTCTTGAGCCTCAATCTTCTCAACAATAAAATAAGGACTATTTTATCTCTTTGCCAGGATTATTCATGAATGTGAAGGTATAATATAAATAAAACGTTTAGCGTCGTTCATGGAATAAATGCTCAAAGGATGTCATTTATTTCTCCAATACACTTCTCTACACTTTTAGAGCATGATGTGTGTGCCTCTACTTGTATCATTTCACCTTGTGTCATAATTAAGTAATTTAGAGTCATTATCTCCGCTACGTCGTAACCATTTAGAGGAAAGAGGCCCTGACTTATTCATCTCTACATCTCCTTAATATTTTCAGAGTAGAGAATTTCTCACACTGATGCAAACTAAATAAATGTATGTAAGATGAATCAATAAGTGAAAGAATGAAGAGAGTAGGTCTGCATTCATTCATCCTGCTGAACAGACCCAGGCATGCATACCAACTTTAACCTGGTTCACAAAGACGACTTCCACTAGATTTGCATTAAGTCATCTCAGGTAATAGCAAGCTCAGGGCCTGCTATGGCATGTACCTACAACAATTTTATCAAGATACAAGTGATGAGAGCCTGTAGAATCTCACCTTTAACTCCACTCTTATCTTTGTGAACCAGGCCAGGTCTTAAAAATGAGATCTCTTCTAGATAGAAGGAAAAGAATAGTTGGATGCAGAGTATGTGAGCATACATATGAGCTTTACTCCCAGCTCTTGTGTGTTTAAATAGAATTCAGTAGAAACAGCTCCTTCTGTCCTGTGATTCTGATCATATTTATCCTGATCCCTAAGGTCATCTTTCCTTTCAGTACCATGACTGGGGACAGGTCCTACCACCAGCACGGAGGATAAATGGCTCATTCAAAAGACATATGCAAAGGATGTGGAGAAATAGGAACACTTTTACACTGTTGGTGGGACTGTAAACTAGTTCAATCATTGTGGAAGTCAGGGTGGCGATTCCTCAGGGATCTAGAACTAGAAATACCATTTGACCCAGCCGTCCCATTACTGGGTATATACCCAAAGGATTATAAATCATGCTGCTATAAAGACACATGCACACGTATGTTTATAGCGGCACTATTCACAATAGCAAAGACTTGGAACCAACCTAAATGTCCAACAACGATAGACTGGATTAAGAAAATGTGGCACATATACACCATATACACCATGGAATACTATACAGCCATAAAAATGATGAGTTCATGTCCTTTGTAGGGACATGGATGAAACTGGAAACCATCATTCTGAGCAAACTATCGCAAGGACAAAAAACCAAACACCACATGTTCTCGCTCATAGGTGGGAATTGAACAATGAGAACACATGGACACAGGAAGGGGAACATCACACACCGGGGACTGTTGTGGGGTGGAGGGAGGGGGGAGGGATAGCATTAGGAGATATACCTAATGCTGAAGGACAAGTTAATGGGTGCAGCACACCAACATGGCACATTTATACATATGTAACAAACCTGCACATTGTGCACATGTACCCTAAAACTTAAAGTATAATAATAAAATAAAACCTCTACAGATAGTTAAATTCGTGAAATCAAAATCTTTGCATACTATGCTCCCACATGTTGTGCAATTTTATCTTTCTGTACCTCAGACAGGACCTAAAACCCTGATTTGTGGTTTCTTTTGCAGTTCAAGAAGCATTCAGACTTTATATTAACACCCACCAGTATACTGGATGCTGATTCCTCTAGAGAGACACTTAAGTATCCAGGAGACTTGTTAAAAGACCCCATTTTTCTTCACATGGCTATCTATGCATCTAATCTGTGTCCAAGAAATCTACCATGGGATACCTAATGTTTCACTGAACTTCAGAAGTGACAATGGAAAGCAATATAAAGGCCTCCACGGGTAATAACATTTCCTGCTTTTCTAGACATGGGAGGAATTTAGTTTCCAGTACCAATTTTATTCTTCAGCTTTAATTAAGGCCCCTGTAGCCTATTGATTCATGGAGTATAAAGATTTACCTTAGAGGCAGAAGAATCATAAGCTAAATAAACAATAGTAAGCAGGGTGTCGGGAGGATCAAAGAGACTCAAGCTTGATCCAATCAATGTGTTAAAGACAGAAGCAAGAGCTGCAGGAGAGAAAAGATGAGTTTGCCAACTTCCCCAGTGCTCTTTTTGTGTGTGAACATTCCCGTCTGCTTGACCTCCTGTTTCCATGTGTTACTAGTGGAGATCAGACACGGCTTGTCCTGAGAGGAGTATGGTTGGCCAGCATCTTGTGGTCTTCCCTTGGGAAGTTTATGGTGAAACTTTCACAAACAATCCTGTTTATCAGGAATCAGTCTCTCACTCAAGGTTTTCTGAGCCTGTCATTTCACGCATGTTCACTATACCACTAACCTCATCACCACCAATGTTGTTTAAGAAAAAAAAAATTGTTAAGGAACTCTATTCTCAATCATTTGGGGATATGACACATTTAGTGGCTTCTGCCTGTAATCCCAGAGCTTTGGGAGGCCAAAGTAGGAGGATCTCTTAAGGCCAGGAGTTCAAGACCAGCCTGGGCAACATAGCAAAACCCCATCTCTACAAAAAATTTTACAATTAGCCAGATATGGTGGCACATGCCAGTAGTCCTAGCTACTTGGGAGGCTGAGAGAAGAGGATAGCTTAAGCCAAGGAGTTGAAGGCTGCAGTGAGCCATGATCACACCACTGCACTCCAACCTGGGTAACATGGCAAGACTGTTACTAAAAAAATAAAATAAAATAAATCATTTGGGAATACACTAATATTATGCATGTTTGTGTAAACTTAAAAAATAAGGATAATAGTAGGTGTGCTATAGATCTTTTGAACTAATAAACTAATTCAGATCCAGCAGAAGATAAGAATGACTGGTTCACGAATAAAAGGATGTTTGAGAGATAAGCACATCCAAGATGAACCTATCCAGAGCACTATGTCAAGGCCCTAAGAGATATGCCCTTAAGAGGGTTCTACCTTGAGCAAACACTTAGCCATATTACATTATGCACATGTGAACCATATGCACTTATGTCGGAGAAAATAGGAAGAAAATTTATCCCTTGGAAAAACATTACTGAGGTATAAACTAATTTTCTGAGAATACAAAGCTCTCTGGTTTTGAGAAAAAATAAAACCAAAAACCGCACCTGAATAACTGTTTATGCAATGAAGAAGAGGAGGAGGAGGAGGAAGAGAAAGAGGAAAGGGAGAAGACAAGGGGAAGAGGAAGATAGAAAAGGGGAGAAGAAAGATGAGGAGTAGGGAAGTGGAGATATTTGTCTATCATCTGTCAAGCATGAGCATAAACAGTTTTCATGCATTAACTTATTTAACCTCTATAACAACCCTATGAGTGGGTTTCATTTTTTAGATAGAACATTGAAACTTAGGGAGATTAATTAAATGACCCAACGTTACCCAACCAAACTCAGACTTTTTCAGTAGAGGCCATGCTCTTAACCACTATAAGGAAAAGAGAAAGAAGGGGAAGGAGCAGAAAATGAGGCAAACTTAAACATTTTAAGTGCTTAATATATTTCAACATATTTTTATCTACATCAGAGTACTGTGAAAAGAACGGTGGTACAACCTTGTAAAAGGGAAAGTGGTTTTAAAAATGTAAGTCTCCTTTCCTCACCTCTAACCTAATTATTCAGTTCCCATTAATAGCAGCTTTTTACGTATCCATGTATCTCCCCAGGTATTATATTTTCCTCCTCAATAAACACCAACATCATCTCAAATGTCCAAGTCAGAAAACTAAATCATCCTTAATTCCTTTCTGCCTTCAGTGCCCACATCTAATTCATTCACCATCAAATTCTGTGAGTTTTGCTTCCAAGTAAATATCTCTCAATTTTATCTACTTCCTTTCATCTCATGACTACTAACCTAGTCCAAGCTCTGACTGTCTCTCATAAATATTGGTAAGATAACCTCTTTACTGATCTTGCCATGACCACTTGCATTTTCTAATCTATTATATACTCTACAACCAGAGATAACTTTTCAAAAAACAAATATTTTCATGTTGCTCACTTACTTAAACTATTGCTTTTAGGATAAAGACCTATAAGTGCTTAGCATCGTTAATATTATCCTCTATGGTCTGGTCCCCACATTCTTCTCCAACTTCACCTTGCACCAAGATCTTCATTGTTTTGTTTCTGGTCTAACTCACTGGCTTTCTCTCAATTTCTTAAATGTTCTGTGCTTCATTATGCCATAGTGATTGCACTTGATATTACATCTGCCTGGAATGCTCTCCACCTAAGTAACTCCTACACTTATTTCAGCTCTCAGTACTTCCACTGAGAAGTCCAGCAATTAGAGCTGGATTCAGAGATGTCATGGGCAATGAACACTCATGAAATGGCTGGAACTGTAGGGAAGTATGTTAACTTAACTTCTCTCGCTCTCCATTTCTTCACTTCTAAAGGGGAAATAATACCTACTTTTCAAGGTTATTCTGCAGAAAGAAGAAGGACCATATACAGAGTTTATCTCTACTGAATAAGTAGATACTGAACGTTTATTGGTTTTTATCCATTCTTCTGTTTCCTCAACTGTAACTAGAAATCCCACACTGAGAATGTCAAGGGATTACGAGAAAATGATGAAATAAGGCAAGGGTCAGCTAACTATAACCGGTGCAGCAAATCCACTCTGTGGCCAGTTTTTGTAAAGATACTGAGCTAAGAATGGTTTTTATATTTTTAAAGGGTTGTAAGGAATGAGAAGGAGGAGGAGGAAGTGGGGAAAAGGAGAGAAAATGAAGAAGAAGAGAGAAAGAGGAAATAGAAGAGGAATAAGACAAAGAAGGAGGAAGAGCACAGGGAGGGAAAAAAGAAAGAAGACAGGGAGGGAAAATAGACTATATGTGGCTCAGAAAGACTGAAGTATTTACTATGTAGCCCTTTACAAAAAAGCATTTACCAAACATTGAAATAATGTATATAAAAATGATGCCTGAAAGTATAGGGCCCTTAAAAAGGAATGTATTATTATCTTTGTTTCTTGGCCTTCACTTAAATCCTTTCTCTTATCTATTTCCCAAAATGTTAGGCAAGCTAAAGTAAAAGCTCATAATTTCAGGCTTAAAATGTAGATATGGTGATATTTACAAATTTTTAAAAGCAAATCCTTTCTATATTCCCAGATTAAACTCTGCAACAGCTGAAATTAACCTTTTGCATATGAAATAGCAACTTGCAAAATTCTATCTGATTTTTCTTCATTCAGAAACCACAAAAACTTTCTGTACCCATCAGTTCCTCTGAGATGGGAAGCAGTGTGGTGTCATAGAAACTCCAAACACACTTCAAGATCAGAACAACATGGTTCATTTCTAGCTCTGCTACTTCTTGGTTATGGAAACTTCATCTCTTTTAATCTGTTTCTTCATCTACATATAAATTCCACCCTCTTTCTGAGTTCAAATTTAAATCCTCCATAGAACTTAATTTTTGGCAGCTTATGTATAGCCATAATTAATGAAGAACAAGTTTGAAACAGCAAATGCTGAGCATATGGGTATTCCAGAGACATATCAACATCATTATCAGGAAAAATGAGATGTCACTCAGTGTGTGCATAGCAGTTTTCAGATCCAACCCAAATGAAAATTAATATCCCTCTCTTTGGTACAATATGGACCAAATATTATACAATCTGCCCTAATAGAAGCATTGTAGGTGACTTGGTATTCAACGAAGAAAATGGGAAATAACAGTATGCTCTTTCTATATGTCTGATAAACAGACAATCCCATGTACCTGGGTTGGTACAAGGAGCAAGGCCATGGACTAAATAATTTTACTGGCTGGGCGCAGTGGCTCACACCTGTAATCCCAGCACTTTGGAAGGCCGAGGCGGGCAGATCACGAGGTCAGGAGATCGAGACCATCCTGGCTAACACAGTGAAACCCTGTCTCTACTAAAAATACAAAAAATTAGCCAGGCGTGGTGGCAGGCGCCTGTAGTCCCAGCTACTCGGGAGTCTGAGGCAGGAAAATGGCGTGAACCCAGGAGGCGGAGCTTGCAGTGAGCCAAGATCACGCCACTGCACTCCAGCCTGGGTGACAGCGAGACTCCGCCTCAAAAAAAAATAATAATAAATAAATAAATAATTTTACCAATTTGTCTAAGCTTTCCTTTTCTTCAGAAAATTCTTAATTTCCAGAAAGATATTTTAAATTAACAGATTTACTAAAAGATGTGTCACATGCTGGATAACCAGCCAGATGGGGAATTTCAATATATAGCTTTCAGGACCTTGACTACAGGTAGATGCTCAATGTTTGTTGGTTTTTATCCATTCTCCTGTTTCCTCAACTGTACATAGAAGTCCCACTCAATTAAAGTCAAGGGGCTATGAGAAATAAATGAAATAATGTGAGGTTGCATGAAGATACAGCATTGTGAAGAAGACTTGTTCTCATCTTCTTTCAGAATGCTTTTGTCCTGAAATCCAAAGTTTTAATGAAAAGGAAATTATCTTTATTCACACCTCCCTGCTTGCCAAGCACACCACAAATGCTCTATCATTTTCCCTCATTCTACCCAGATTTTATACATACAGAAGAGGGTTATCAAGATAAGTAATTTTCCCATGGTTATAGGAGAAAAGGAAAAGCTTCCAGTGGTGAGATTATAAACCTTCAAGAATGGATTATGTCCCTCGTGGGAAGTCTCACATACCCATGACTTGGAGTGGTAGATGGAAGCACCATTTATTTCAAGTTCTTAGAGATCCTCAAATGAGTACAAGTTTCTATTTTTCCTTCTATCAAAATTCTACTGTCTTCCCAATGTATGAGAACTTCTGATTGTTTTGGTGGTTGGAGGAGGAAGATGGGCTGATCAAACAGGATTCACTGGAAGGGAAGATGATTAAATGCAAGGTGCCTGAACCCCATAGAACAAATCAGCTATGAGCGCAGGAATAAACTTTTTTTTTTTTTTTTTTTTTTTTTTGAGACAGAGCCTTGCTCTGTCGCCCAGGCTGGAGTGCAGTGGCATGATCTCCGCTCACTGTAACCTCTGCCTCTGGGGTTCAAGCGATTCTCCTGCCTCAGCCTCCCGAGTAGCTGGGATTGCAGGGGTGCACCAACACACCTGGCTAAATTTTTTGTATTTTTAGTAGAGATGGGGTTTCACCATGTTGGCCAGGCTGATCTTAAATTCCTGACCTCATGATCCACCCGCCTCGGCCTCCCAAAGTGTAGCAATTACAGGCCCAGCCGACTCTCTGAACTTTTGTACAGGTTTTTGTCCATCTGTCTGTTCCATGACACACAGGCACTAGCATATATTCAGCTATAATAGCTTATAAATGCAAGATAATCAAATAAATGAATAAATGAGAGAATAATTATGCCTGAACAAATGGATGGATGGACAGATGGATGAATGAATGAATGAATGAATGAATGAATGAATGAATGAATGAAATCTCTCCCAAAGCTATAACCAGCAAGTCAGACAATCCATAGAACTCTAGCTCAGGCCAAAAGGGTCTACAATGATAATAATGAAACTTAAATTTCAGAAAACTTTACTTCTAAGGTTTCTTCCAAGGCCCTGGCAGGAGCTGTAGCAATGTGTTTGCAAGACCCCAAAACTTTGAAAAAAAATTGCAAAAGTGAGAAATTTAAATCACAGTAGGTTAAAACTGCTGTCTCTGCATTCATGTGAAGTGACTTTAGAGTGGCCATGTGCATTTTTAGATCCGCTAAGGAAGAGGTTGAGTATATATACATAATATAAATTTACATCATAATTTATAATTTGGGTTCAGTGGGACATATTTATGTGGCTCATAGTCCCTTTCATGTGTGGTTAAGTTATTGCTCAAGAAGGTGGAATAACTTCTAGGAACACTCTTACCACCTGTTGTGCTAGCTCACTGGGCATCATGACACAGGGCTTGAGGTGGAAGTATAATATAAACATGTCTCAAAGCTATTGCCACAGAAGTATGTGGGTGATAGAGTCTAAATAGGTTTAAAATATGTGGAGTCAGAAGCTAGACTGTGGAAAGTTTTTCCAGTCAATGGACATGTACATTTATAAGCAGAGGATTTCATTCTAATCAATTCCAAGTCAAAATGAGAAATGTATCTTGTCAGAAATATACTTGATAAGGTATCTCAAACAATCATAAATGCATGCTTTATTAATGATGTTCATTTAAATAGAATGTATCAAACCAAATTCCTGTGTCTGTCAGGTATAAACATGAAGCAGTACAATAAAGAGTGAGCACATCACTGAGTCTAGTTGCATATTTTATATATGCCAGTGTAACAATTGGACCTTAGTATTCCTGATACATGGGACAAAGTCTAGTAACCGTGGATAAAAGGCACACAAAATGGTATCTTACACAGCAAAGCCACCTGAAGAAACAAGGTTTCAATGACAAACTTTCTACACATCTTTATCAGCATGTTATTTGATTACATAATTATGGATCTCAATATAATATGGCAGCAACTTGGATATGTTTATTTGTATTTATTACAGAATTAATTTCAGAATATAATAGTTTTATATAATTTCATTGATTTATATAAACATTGAAATATATATCTATATTGATATATATACATAAATACAATGGCAGTTATTCAACAAAATTAGTTAAGAATTGGTAAGTTTTTAATAAAATGTATGTTTTTATGGGTTTTGTGTGTTTGTAGTACTTTTCTGCAATTCTAAAGTTATCATTTATATAATTTTTCTCATTAGAGGTAAATATTCATTTTATACCTAATTTTGTATTTAAAATGTTTTGTGACATAGCTATACACACATACACACACACAAACTGTATAAGCATCGAACCCTGCAAAGCCTAAATCCACCCCTTAATTCAAAGGGGTGAGCTTTTTCTCAACAATTTAGCTTCTAACTAAAAAAAAAAAAAAAAAATCCTCCTTTTGCCTGAGTAGCACATGATTCACATAGTATGTGTGTAACAAAAAGCTAAAAAGTATGCTAGTAACTGGGACTGGCCAGTGATAGAGCAAGCAGTGGGAGGATAGTATGTTGTCCTTTTGACCTCTTTTTTATTTTCTCCCGAGTCACCTGGTCCAGGAAATCAGTAACCCTCCAAATCCATGGAGCAAACATCCTGCCCTCACTGTGTTCCTGATTGGTGTCTCTCTTCTCTCCGTTCTGTTCCATTCTCCCCAACACTTTCATATGCAGACTTTTCCACATGTGCTGGCTCATGTCATGGTGATAGATGATTCCTGGTAAAGGTCACTAGCCCAGGGCTGCATTTATCAGCAGCAGTTTTCTGTCATAGCTGGCTGAATTACTCCTAAGCCCGGAGAAGAAAAACAGCTGCCAGAATGAATCAAGGGAACTTTGGGTGGGTATTTATGAAGCTGTGTGCATGTGTATCCACGTGCAAGTATGGTCATAAGGGAGGCATGCCATTTTCACCCATCTAGATTCTTATAAAAATTCTCATAGCATCACGTTTTAAAAAAAGAAAGAGTGAAAATTAAAATGTCTCCTTAAACTTGCCCCACAAGTAGGTGTATGTCCATGCCTCATTGTTCCTGCCTGCTTCTGTGTTCTCCAGCAACAATTGCATAGCTGAAGTTAATGACAGAGACCAAAGGGCAGACTCAAACCTGCTGAATGGGGTCCATGGTAGAACTAGTTTACTTTGATGTTGTGTGTGTGGAAATTGTAATTGCATCACATAATGGTTGAGTTAGTAGAGGTATATGGCCACATTATTCTTCTCTGGGAGAAAATTCAAGATGCACGTAGAACTTCTTGCCTACTCTTTGCCGGTGGGCCCCCTTAGTGTCCTCTATCTAGGAAAATATAGTTAATTATTGATTAACGCAACCAGTTGATGGTATAATGTTAAAAAGAAATACAAAGGGAAACAAAATGTGATGCCCATTTTCAGAGTGCACAATCCAGCATTAGAAATGGACAGATAAATAATAATTTCAAGATAGTTGATATGTTACCAAGTTGGGTGCTGTGGGAAACCAGAGAAGAAAGCAAATACAAAAGGAAGACCGTGATGCTTCAGTGAGCAGGAAGCACAGGAAGTTTTTTGAATAAAGACTGAAATTTACTAGGCAAATAAGAGGTGCAGGAGTTGTGGGAAGAGATAATGACAGCATGATAAAAGGTACAGGAAAAGAGGCACAGTGTATTCTAACATATATGAGGACCTTGGCATGACTAAATCAAAGGGTGGTACCAGGAGATGTTGCTGAGGGGCAAGGCTGAGGCTGCCTCCTACAGAACCTAGTGAGGGCACCATTAAAGGCAATTTTCATATGCTTACCTAACAAGTTTGACAATCAACAGTTCTTTCTGTTTTCCATTTTGAAAGTATGAGAAAGTTGCTACCCCCAGCTTTGCTGGAATTTTATCCCAGAAATTATTCTGTATGGTTTAACCTGATGATCCCTTTCAGCTACATCTAGTAATATTTCTTAACTGGAGCACTGAAAAAAATTGACTCAAGCTTCAATTAAATGAGGAAATCATAAGCACAGGCAAGGCAATTAGAGGGCAGTTCACGTGAAGTAAGGTGTGTAGGATTACTTCTCTAGACTCAGCTTCAAAGTCAGTGTTAGTTAATTAACTCTACAGAGTTTTAGCTTCTTTCCTTGTCCAAATGTAATCTGCTTTCCACTGGTCAGCACAAAGACAAGAAAATAAGATTTTGCAAAGGTAGAAAAGACATGGGACATCCAGCATCAGGCATGTGGGCAAACCTCATGAGACTACAATTACTATTTCAGGCTTCAGCCACCACTGTCCTAGGCTGAACTTGGTAATTATCCCAGTATTGAAGCCACTCTGCTCTTCCTGTAGGTGAGATTGTCAGAAAATACAGGTGTGTAAGTGAAGTGTACAGAAAAGAGAAATAATTTTGACAAATATACCTGAATACATATACCCTAATAAGTGTTATCTCCACAGAAATAATTCCTATAAAAATTTACTTTAAAATTATACTTACTCCAATGAAGCTTGCATTTTCAAACAAGCGGGTAACTTTTTCTTATGTTATAGTTGATATTTGTTTGCTTCTAGAGCCTAAGAACCCTATTGAATGCCCCAAGAAATGGAGACCCTCTCATCCTCATTCTAAGTCAGTGGTGTCTATGACAGTAGTTGTCAACTGGGGGACAATTTTGCCCCTAGAAATCATTTGACACTACCTGAAGACATTTATTGTCTCAACCAGAGGGGGATGAGCTACTGGCATCTAGTGAGGCCAGTGATGCTGCTAAACATCCCGTATACATAGTTCTCCCACCCCCACCAAATAATTATCTGACCCAAAATTTTGATAGTACTGCTGTTGAGAAACTCTAAGTATAAATTTAATTTCTGGAATAGTAAATAGTCGCCAAGGCCAAGGACAAGCCTGTCCTTTAAATTCCATAACTGCTTGAACTCCAGACATCTAGTGCCACTTTCCACTCCAGCAACTCACACCAAATCCATGTCAGTATATGGGCTCCTTGACTGCAACCTTCCTTACTCCCAGCACTGTCTCCCTTAGTATCATTACACTTGCTCTTTTACCTCATTCTCCCCTTTATGTTTTTATGCCAATCAACTCTTCTCACCATCCCTTGATTTCCTACTTAAATGAAAAACATAGTGGATAATTTGTATATTTCTTACCAGTACCCACTAATTTCCTTTGGTCTCATGCTAGCAGCATCCTCTTTATAATAATCTCTGCCTCTAGATAAACCTAATTTTCTACTTTGCCCAACTTTTTACCCAGGCTCCTGAGCAACTGGAAGATAAAATATTGCAAACAAAAATATTGGCATCAGCAACAAAGATGTTTATTATTTCCTCCCTTTTTCAGCTCATGTTTTTCTCCCCCCAACACCTCTTTCTCCCATGTCACCATAAATAACTATCCTGACCCACTCTCCACTCTGAATTTTCACTCACATCAGATGGTTTGGATTTGTTCTTCAAAGAAGAATATACTGAAGCATCAGTCTTCAATCATTCATCTTCTTATCCATACCTAAAACTTTGTGCAATTGAGCTCATCTCTACCACATTCCCGCTATTTGGCTCCAATTCAAGACCTATTCCACCATCCCATTTCTTACCTAATTTGAAGTTGTACTTCAGCAGTTATTCTCTTTAAGCCTACATCTTTGATATTACCCAAACAAATCAATGTGTATGTATCTTCCAACTTATAAAACTCCCTTAGCCTTCTGTCCTCTTCCAGTTATAGCCCCTTTTCTTCTTCATAGCCAGGCTCCTAAAAGATATGTTCTCTCTTGGTAGCTTCAGTCCCTTTCTCTCTTTTTTGCCTCAACCAACTGAAATTTAGCTTCCTTGTAAAAAAAATTATGAGTGAGGTAGCTTGGAAATAAAGAAGCAATAAAGCAGATACACAAGAGGTGAAGGAGGCAGAAGTAGCAGGATTAGTCATGGACTCCCTTTTGGATGGCAAGAGAAAAGTAGAGAACTAGAACCAGGATTTTGACTTGAATAACTAAATAAAAAGTTGTATAGTCCACCAAGAAAGGTAATTAAATGATATCTAACAGGGGTTCAAAAGTAACCTGAAGGTAGGGGGTGGAAAAGAAATAAAGCTGTTGATTCTCAGTCTTATGATCTTCAGAACCATACTTTCTAACTGTGTGAATCTAAGTTTATTGGTCATAGTAGTCATGGTAGGCTACTTACTAAAACAAACAGTGCCAAAATTTCAATTTCTTAATACTATAAAGGTTTTCCTCACACTAATGTCACAGTCCAGGTTAGGGATAGTAACAGGGTCCAGGGTCTCTGCTCTATACAGTAATTTATATCAATGGAAGATTTCTTCTTTCCGGTGGCTCTACCATCCTTTAGGCTCAAAGTGTTCTGCTGAATCCATTGCCTCTAGTGAACTGATGGAAAAGAGAACGTGCATGGAAGATCATACCTAATTGAGTTGAAAGTGACATATATCACTTCCAACAGTATTCCACTGACCAAAATTCTGTAATATGGCCCCACCCAACTCAGGAGAGAATGAAAAATAGAGTTTAACTATGTACAGGAAGAAAAGGAAAGAAATTTGGGAAATACATGGAAGCCTGTGTCACAACGAGCATTAACAAAGTGGAGCCCACTCTTACACTCTCTGCCTGGATGAATGGACCTCTAGCCCAGTCAGCCTGAGCTAGGAACTCAGAGTTGGCTGCCCACTCCTCCAGATCTGCCACTATATGCATAAGTTCTGTTGACTTTTTCTACTGAACATCTGTGGAGCTGGCTTCTTCCCTTCTAACCATTTCAAAGATCCACTGGGTGAGCCCATGTTCTACCTAAAATGTTTTAGGAACTTCTGAACTTGGCTTCTGCTTAAAGTATTACCATTCTCTTCAATGTAGTTTTCACACAGCACAAAGTGACACTTCTAAAATGCAAAATAGGCTGACCACGTCACTTCCCTGCTTAAGTGTCTTTAGTGACCGATCACTGTCCTTACAGTAATTCAAGCCTTTCTGTATAACATATGGAGGCCCTTCATTATCTGGGGCCCATTTGTTCTTCAGCCTAACATGTCATCACTAACTTACAGTATTCCACATTTCAGCCATCAAACCACTGTACCTTGAATTCCCTGAACTGACTCCATTCTTACAAACCTTCAGCCCTGGTTTATGACATTCCCTGAATTAGAAATGCCCTTTCTAACTCCCCCATCCCAATATTCCCCACTTGGTTGTCTCCTATTCATAACATTCATCTCACTAATCATTACCCTCAGAAAGCCTTCTCCATCCTCAGGAATATCTAAATCCCTTCTATCAGTTTCTACCAGAAGGCCCCTGCACATACCTCCTCCACTGTGTTTACCACACTATAGTTTATACACTCATTTGACTTCATTCACTAGATATTGTATCTGTCTGTACTCCCACTGCCTAGGATGGCATCTGGCACATTTAAGTATTCAACAAATATCCATAGAACTTAAACCACATTCATCATTAAAATGATTGAATTATTGTGAATTGTCTATTTTTTTAAAAAGTGAGAAAGAGGGCTTCCTGTCGCCTCCCCTCACCTAACACATGCTAGGCAAAATACCATTAAACAACAGACAAAAATATTAATAACAATAGTTATCTTCCCAGTAATAATCACCCAGTCATCAAGCTGAAATTATCTATTTTATTTCTGAAATATAATAGGTGATTCTAATTGTTCTTTTGATTACATTTTCAACTACCTTTTTCCTATCTCCTTCCATTATACTCATCTGATTAGAAATAAAGAACTCTTCTTAGCTGAGTCTAATTCTTCGACTACTTTGCATCTGCATCTCAATGGCTTAATATAGCTAGAGAAAAATCCCACAATGGCCACTGACTGGTCTCATGCAAACCTAGGGACCATTAGCTGCCCATCAATCCTACGATATTTTCTTATACAATTTACTCATTCATGCTCCTAAAATTCCCTTCACTCTTTGTTTTTCCTTAAATTTCCAACTTCCTTCCATGTCCCTAATCTCAGCCAATGTTCTGGCTGATTATTTTATTGAGTAACAGAAGCAAGCAGTATAGAACTTTCTCTTGCTACTACAAGTCAGTCAGTCTACCCACATCTGTATGTATATACTCTTTCTTCCCCCTGTTACAATAGAAAATATATTTGTGCTTTACCCAAGATACCTCCTCCATTTCTTCCATTCTATTCTAGATTTCATTCCCTCTTATTCCTCAAGGAATCCTTTTTTTTTTTCATTATTCATCTTCTCTACTGCAATATAGGAAATCTCTTTCTCTCTCCCTCTGTCATGAACCATTCTCATCAGCATTAAAATATTCTCATTAAAGTTGTTCATCTTACAACAAACCTCTCCCTTGATCTCAAAATCCTCCCCAGTTACTGACCCATTTTCTCTTTTCTTTTATGGCAAACTCCTCAAAAGTTTGCTGCCTCCTCAACCTTTCTTCCTATGCTCTCCACAAAACTTCTTTTATCAAGCCTCCAGTGATCTCCGTGTTGCCAGTTTTAGATATCAACTCTTAGATGTCATCTTATCTATTTTGTCTGCAATATTTAATACAGTTTTTCAGTCATCTCTTCTCCTTCAAACATGTTCTTCCTTTTGCCTCCAAAGTGTCACCTTTGGTTCTCATTTTCCTTCCTTGGCTGCTCCTTCTGAATCTCATCAGCTGGCTGCCCCTTATGTTCCATATTTATGAACACCAAAATGTCTCAAAGCTCAGGCCTTGGGTTTAAGTAATTTCATTTAGTTTCATTACTTCAGTGCCGTCTACAAGAAATGACACACACATTTAAAATTTCTCCTCTGAAGTACAGATCCTTATTTCTAGCTGCCTACTTACTGCCTCCACTTCCATAACTAAGAAACATTTCAAATTGTATACATATAAGCCCTAACTATATTCACAATCAAACTCCTAGTCCATCAGCCGTACCTCTCAATAAATTGCAATTCCATGTTTCATGGAATTTCTCTCATGCGAAAATTTGAAGGCACCCTTAATTCCCTTCTTTCCCCACTTATCCCTCCATCTGGTCTTGCTATCTATTTTCAGAGTACGCCTAGACTCTGCCTATTTCTCTACGTCTCCACCAATATGACTCTGAATTTGAGCCATCATCTCTTTCCAGGGCTTTTGTCACTGTCTCCTAACTGATCTCCCTGCTCCACCTCAGCATTCCTGTAGTTTTCCTTCAAATACCAGCCAGAATAATCCTTTAAAAAAGCAAACACTTTGAGAGGCCAAGGTGGGCGGATCACAAGGTCAGGAGATCGAGACCATCCTGGCCAACATGGTGAAACCCTGTCTCTACTAAAATACAAAAAATTAGCTGGGTGTTGTGGCTGGCACCTGTAGTCCCAGCTACTGGGGAGGCCGAGGCAGGGGAATTGCTTGAACCCAGAATGTAGAGGTTGCAGTGAGCTGAGATCACAACATTGCACTCCAGCCTGGGCAACAGAGCGAGACACCATCTTAAAAAAAAAAAAAAAAAAAAAAAAAGCAACCCATGCCAGGTCATTATAACTTTCAGTGCTTCCCATATCACTCTGAATAAAAATAAAAATCTAACCACGCAGACATGCAGGATCTTGCCTCTGCTATGTCTCTCATATCTCCTATCATTCTTGTCCTTGCCCTTTTCCTATTTTTTTTTTCCTTTTGAGATGGAGTTTTGTTCTTGTTGCCCAGGCTAGAGTGCAATGGCGTGATCTCAGCTTACTGCAACCTCTGCCTCCCAGGTTCAAGTGATTCTCCTGTCTTAGCCTCCCCAGTAGCTGGGATTACAGGCATGTGCCACCATGCCCGGCTAATTTTATGTTTTTAGTAGAAACAGGGTTTCTCCATGTTGGTCAGGCTGGTCTCGAACTCCCCACCTCAGGTGATCTGCCCGCCTTGGTCTCCCAAAGTGCTGGGATTACAGGTGTGAGCCACTGCACCCAGCCGCTCCCTCCCTTTTATCCATGTTTGCCATCATATGATGCCTTAAACACTAAAAACACCATCCCATCTTACGGTCTTAGCATCCATTCCTCTGCCTGGAATGTTCTTTCTCTAGACAGACAAATTCCTTCAACCCTTCTTTATCCTTCCTCATCACATGAGAGACAGCCCCTCTATCTACTCTAGCTAACATCACATTCTCTCCATCTCTGCCCTTTGCCTGCTTTGCTTTTGCTTCTTAGAATTTTTCACAACTGGACATATTATTTACCTGCTAATTATATGTATCCTTCATTAGGATAGAAGATAGAGTCAGCTCCTTGAAGGGAAAAATTTTGTTTTGCTCAATGCAATATCTGCAGTAATTAGAATTACAGACAGGTAGTAATAATCAATGAATGTTTATTATGTGGTAGCTAGAATATGTGCGTCAGGCAGCATTAGAAATAATACATACAGGGACAGTGTGTCATCATGGTTAAGGCTGCAGATTTGGGTCAAAATGCCAACTTGAATCCTGGATCCATTATTCACTGGCAATGTGATCTGAGTAAGCCTGTCTGTGCCTCTGTTGTATCATCTACAAAATGGAAATAATATTAGTACCCCTATCAAGGAATATTGTGAGGAGTAATTTGAATTAATTCATATAAAGCTCTCAGAATAAAGCTTGTGACATATTAAACGCTTCAGTAATATTATCCATTGCCACAGACTTGATTGAATGATACAGTATTAACAAGGCTTTCACTGTACTACTTTTATCATCATTAAATGACCTTTTTAATACTTGATCATTTGCAAAGGAATTTTTACATATGTTATTGTGCTCCATTCTCACAACCAACATATAGAGCATAAATAACCCCAAGCTGGAGATAAGACTTAGGCACAGGGAAGTAAAAGAGAGCATGCACACGTGTGTACACATGCATATGCACACATTCGCAGATCCTCTTTTGCTTGACAAACTGCTGTTCACCCTTCAAGCACTGTGCCCACATTGCACTTTGAAGCTTTGCCTGACCATCCCATTTCCAGCCAGGTGGAGTTGCCTTGATCTCCTTTCCACCCCCCTGCCCTTGCTGCCAACCTTAATGAATAGATCTCTCGCAATCTTGTCTCTCCCACTGGACTCTGGACTCTTTTTAGGTAGGTATAATGACTTGCCAACTATAGTGCTGTACATGTTGGCACGAGCTCCATGCCTTTTTCCTCTGGCATGACATAGTCATTCAGAATCCATATTTCTCTGACGTTAACACCAGTTGCACCAGCTGCCAATGAAGGATGCCCTCTTCTAACAAAAACTTTACTGAAAATTAGCCCCCAGAGAGTGTCTCATGTGTGCTGACTTATTCCTCCTCAATCTATCTGGATACTCTCAGTGACATCTGCTGACATCTTAGCTAGACAAGGTCCCCAGACCCTACTCTGCTGCTGCCATTTTCTAGGAAAAAGCTGGTATCCATTGCTTTCTAACTCCTCGGTTTTCTCCACACTTCTTGCTCTGGCCTGTCATCTGAAGCCCTCTCCACCTGCAAGTTATGCTGTGTTCATCTTCCTTTTGTGCCTCTCCTATTAGAGAATTACCAGCATTGCTACCAGAAACTCTAATGTCTTGCAGATAGGGGATAACAACCCTCAGAATTTTACTTGAAGCCTCCTCTCCATGGAGTTTAGCTCTAAGTCCATAGTGCTGGGCAGGAAGACAAGTCTAAGTACGGACAATGAGCTTTCCATTCAAGACATCCCCTATCTCTTACAATGAAATCATCAGTAGGGCCCAAGCCTGTGGATCCCTAGAATAAATTTGGGCCCAAGCCTGTGGATCTAAACTTCAACTTCCCTAGGATAAATTTTCCCTACAGACATGCCTGAATTGTTCCTGCTCTACTATCTCCCCCTAATACACCCTAAAATGTCAGCCAGCCTGGGGTTCAAGATGGAATGTTCCCTTCACTACAAAGTAAATAGCTAGCAAGGGGTAGATGGAATATAGCCCATTTGACTCAACAGCCCATGTGTTTTCCAGTTTCCTTGCCATGCTACCTCTTTCCTTGAAACTGGATGCCCAAATCAAAAATGACAGCCAGGAAGCATGACTAATGAATTCAGTGCTTCTTATTTTAGGTATAACTGTGCCAATGAACTGAAAACTTCTAGTTTCTGGTCCTTAACTCTGGCACTCAAATGCTAGATCCCTGGTAAGGAGAAACTATTTGTTCTGATTATTTCCATATTCTATTAACAAGGGGAAAGATATCCCCAAGAAGAAAGGTTTTATATATAATATATATATATATAAGTTATTATTTATATATTATACATTATATAATTATATACATCATATATTTATATATATTAATATTTATAAAATATTATGTGTGTATATATATATATACACATAATATTTCTGTTAGAGGGTCAAAAGATAAAATATTTGCTTTTTGATCACATAACTACAAGGTTCAGGGGACAGTTGGAGAAGTCTGCCCTATTGAGAACACCATGAACCTGATTGCTGTCTCTTCCTAAATTTTCAAAGTATTTAATAGAAGAACTCATAGCAGGTGAGGTACAGTGGCTTACACCTGTAATGCCAGCATTTTGGGAGGCCAAGGCGGGCGGATCACGAGTTCAAGAAATCAAGACCATCCTGGCCAACACGGTGAAACCCGTCTCTACCAAAAATACAAAAATTAATTGGGCGTGGTGGCGTGCACCTGTAGTCCCAGCTACTCGGGAGACTGAGGCAGGAGAATTGCTTGAACCCAGAAGGTGGACTGTGTCTCAAAAACAAAGAACAAAGAACAAAGAACAAAAAAAAAGTTCAGCAGAAAAGGAACTTGAAGAGAAATTGTACTCACACACTAGGGCGTGCAGTGGTGCAACTATCCATGTGCAGTCTGCCGTGGCTTGTACAGCAAACTGCAAAATAGCTCCCATTCTCCATCTCTCTGTGTGTCCATACCCCTTTGCAATGAAGTATAACTGCAAAATAGTGGTGTGCAATGTGGTTTATCTCCCCCTTCCTTTGAATATGACCTGGTTTTTGTATTTTGCTTTAGCCGTAGAATACAATGGAAGTTTTGGGGTGCCAGAGCTGAGCCCAGGCCTCAAGAGTTTACATTCTTCTGCTCATTCTCTTGGAATCCTGCTGAACTGTTCTGTAAATAAACCCCTACCAGTTTGCTGAAGGTTGAGATACCCAGAGAAAAAAGATAACTTG
Organism: Homo sapiens; assembly: GCF_000001405.40. NCBI lineage: Eukaryota > Metazoa > Chordata > Mammalia > Primates > Hominidae > Homo > Homo sapiens. The sequence continues at coordinate 34,494,519 of NC_000003.12, read as the reverse complement.
GTTAAAGTTTACCATAGCCAATAAATAATAGAATCCAAAGCAGGACCAAAATCCAACTTCCTAGGCTCTGATGCTAATGTTTTTTCTAATACACATATTCCCCAACTCCATCCTCCCCAAGGAGTTAGTTGCATTCATCATGATGGAACTAACACAATTATGTTCCCTGGAAAAGAGAAGGGGCATTAATCTCACCAAGAGCTTGTTTTCTAACTTGCCTACCAGCTAAGATTTTTGGAGTGGCAGACACTATTCGTGCCCTGCTTATAAAGCTCTCAGCACTCACCATTTCTGGGCATTATAACTCTAAGGCTTCTATAATTGGGGCAAGAGATGGTGTGTGCCACAGAGCTTTTGTCCTGTCTGCTGGAGCCCATTCTGCTAATTTCCAGGCAGGCCCAGGAGAGTTAATGACTTTGCAAGCTGGCCTCAGGAGTAAGTATGTAAATACCCTGTCTCACTCAATCGACAGGTGGAAAAACTCTGAAACATTTCTACGCTGTTTTCCAATGGTATTGAGCTATTTGCACACTGCAGGAACCTGCTTGGGAATGTAGGGTTCATTGCTTCGTTTTCTTCCTTATCTCACTTCCTCACTCCTCATGGGATCAACTTGTAAACTACTAGCAATCAAATGTTTGTTTCAGGGTCTGCTTCTGAGACAACTCATTCTAAGACATTTGATAAGCTAGGGGTAAGCAATTTTTTTCTTAAAAGACCAGGTGTTAAATATTTTAGGTTCTTGGGTCATAAGATTTCTATCACAACTACTCACTTCAGTTGTTATGGCATGTAAGCATAGATAATACTTAAATGCATGTACATTTATGGGTTCTAATAAAACTTTATTTGCAAAAAAATAAGTGGTGGGCCATATTGAACCCTGGGCTATGGTTTGCTTACTCCTGTGATAAGCTAATAATATGGCTCTAGTTGCCGTATACAAAAGGGAATTTATTGGAAGGATACTGTGTAACTCTTAGTCAAAGGAAAACTTAGAAACTGGAATTGAAACTGAACAGAACAGGGGTTCTAGGAAGAAAATGATTATGGTCTCTTCAGAGCATGCTCCCAGAATTAATCAGTTCCAAGTCATTTTTCTGCCATTGAATCTGTCCACTCAGAACTCAGAAAGTCAGGATGGAAAGACCAATCAACATGGCTTGGAACATGAGTCCACTACTTTCCTAGGGTAGTGCAGTGCAAGAACATGCGGTTGACAATCCTACCACAGATACTATGCAATGGGGAAGAAATATTTTTCCTATGGAATTCAGGGTAATACTGCCAAAAGAAGATAAACAGGATGATGGATGGCCACAGAAAATGTCTACCACATTTGCTAGTCTGACATTTTGTCAATCTTCTGAGTTTTTTGGTTCCACCTTAATAGTTATTTTCCAACTCTGGTCACTGTTACTTCCTCCTCAACTTTGATCCTCCTCTAGAATTTCTGTAACATTTTTCACAATCTCCATTACTTAAGGGAATTTATCTAGTAATAGAACTAATTTACTACACAGAAAAACGTTTTTGTTTGTAGTCCTGTCAAATATTAAAAGTGTGAATGCATCAACAATTTGACACCCTAAATTCATCCATTCCCTTGTATCTGTGTCAGTCTCTGGCATGAGATCTTAGAAGGCCACTTTGTGCTCCCAATCCTAAATCACATTTTAATGGACAAAATTCCCCCATTCTGGCAAATCAGTATGAGGATCTATAAGTTCTGCAGAGAATTAGACTACTGAATAAAATTAAGCTGTCAAAATGCGGATGCTAACTTGCAATTCCTGTTCTAACCGAAACAGCTTCCTCTGATTATATTATCAATATAGAGACACAGTCCTGTGCAGACCAATTTTAGGATCCAAGCCCTCCATATGGCAATGCTACATGAATCTGTGACATTTTATAACATTTCTTAAGTGACTTAGGATAAATGTCACTAGGCTATTGAAAAAGTAAATGGCTGACCTTTAAATAGGATCATTAATTAGCTCATTCCTTGTCTAAGCATGACTTCCTGCCCTCCTACACAACCTCCAGAAGTTAGATATATCTGAACCCGACCACCCTAATTATCATAGGTCTAACCTTGCTTTGACCATCTCATGTTCAGAGTTGGAGAAGTTGTCTATCAAGTTTTGCTTACTATAATGGGGCTTGACTTCTGTAAATCATTCAGAATACAATTTTCATTTTCTTCAAGAAAACCTAGGAGGGTTGGCTATAGATGTACTGAGAAAATATGTTACTTATTGGATCATATTAAGTTAGATAAAATATATTTTTTACATTAATTTTTGTCTTTTTTTACTTTTTAATGTGGCTACTAGAAAATTTAAAATTACACATGTGATCAACATTATATTTCTATTGGACAGTGTTGCCCAGTGTTGTAAATGTGCTCATAGTTCACTGAGAACACTTAATAAGTGTGAACCATGGGCAAATTTACAATGTATATGAAGGCTTCTGTTTACATAAGACCACTACCAATTGCAAAGCCACTCAGATTTGGCTGTTGTTCTTTCCTAGAGCATTACTCAAGCAAAAAATTAACTTAAAAAGAAGCATGTGAACTAAATTGCAAACATTTAAGAACCTTCAATGTTAGTAAATGAAAGAAAGCTGAGCTCATATCAGCTGTGTTATTAATATTCATTACAGTGATTAATCATGGAAGTAATGTTTGTTGATTGTTTTTCTGTAATGCTCACAAGGCTTGTTTTGGCATAAAGTGTAAGAGGAGCTGATCTTTTATTTGTTAAACTATGGTTCCAGTGGTCTGCCTTGCAAAAATAACCAACATCAAAACCCAAGACGATTTTCATAGTGAAGACCATGAGCTTACAGAGGGGAGCCAGCACACAGAGAAAGGGAAGGAAGGAAACAAGAAAGGAAAGAAGCATTCAAACAAGTGTCTTCATCTCTAAAATAAGATGGGACTTGAACTAGGCCTCTAAGGCAGTTTTAATCTTTGAAAATCTTTGTAATAAAATAATTTAGCCTCAAAACAATGTTTTATTTAAATTTGTGAGTGAAAGCTGAGTGTTGTGGTAAGCGTCTATAGTCCCAGCTATTCAGGAGGCTGACGTGGGAGGATCAATTACTTAAAGCACAGGTGTTCAAATTCAGCATGGGCAACATAGCAAGACACTATCTCTAAATAAACATAAGAATGATAATAAATTCATTTTTGAATGAAAAGATACAGAATAGGAAAGAAAGCAGAAAGTGAGAATACGCAATGAAAAATAAAAGTAATGAAGAGATGGAGAGCACACAAGTGAGAGAAAATGGAGGAAGATTAATCTACATTTCTTCTCCACATGGAGACACACACTCCATCAGCCATAGGAGAAGGCACTAACTGCTGGCTTACTGAGCACCTCTTTCAGACCAGGTGTGCGTTGGAAACTTAGGGCACATTTTCTTTAATGCTTAACTCTGCCGTGTAAATATTATGCTATTTCTCATTTGAGGAAACAGAGTCTAATAAATTGGGGCAAATACATTAGCCAAGATCAGAAGTAGCAGAATGAGAATTTAGAACCAGGCCTACTTAACTCCAAAGCCCATGTTTCCCTACTTCTCCTAAAAGGTATGCCTATCACTTTACCCTACTTCCTCAAGTGTATGCTGTCAATGAAGAATAAAATCAGAATTTATTGCTTAAGATCTGACAACAAAGCAACAGCTTTGAAGTCGACCACTCCTATAGACTCTGAGGTCCAGTGCTGTTCAATATAATAGCCCTCAACTACATTTTAAAATCACCCCAGATTTTGAACAGTTACTGCTAAAATAAGAATGAAAATGTCATTAATAAGCTTTAGATTACATATTAGTATGATAATGTTTGGATATATTGAATTAAAGTGAAATATATTATTTAAGTACATCTGTTTCATGTTAATTTTTAATGAGGCAACTAGAAAATTTAAAAATACTTTTATTTTCCATTTTATATTCTATTGGACAGCAATACTGTGGGCTATGAAGAGGAGGCTTACTATTGCACTAAACACAATACATCGTGTTGCCGATACATACATATGACAGTAAGAAGGTTCTCCTGAAAACTTAGATTTGTTCATCTGATGGTAGGTTGAAGACACTGTGTGCCCCACCCACACCCTCTTTAACAGACCTGGGCACTAATTCCTCAGCTGCAGTGAGTGTTGGCTACTAGCAGCTCACAGCTGCCTTCTTCTCTGAAAAATTCACCCCAGACTGATAGCAGTCACCTGGGGAGGGAAGTTATAGTCCTCCCTCACCTCCCTCCCCCAAAATAAGTAGCCATCTTATTGGCTACTGACCTATTTAGTTGCCTCAAGGCCAGACAATTCTGTGGTGCTTTTATGACCCAGAGCCCCCCTTGGAACAGACCATGTTTAGACTTTACCTTGCTTTGTCCCTTCCCCTGCCTTATTCTACTTAGCTCCCTTCCTTATGATGATGGGAGTTTTTTCTTCTCTGGCTTGTTGGTTGTCTTTTGTTTTGTGAAAATACCCTCAATGAGCCACAAGCACAAAATCCTTGTGTAAGGCTCTGCTTTTGGAGAACCCAACCTGAAATCTGATGAAACCCACATTTTTCAGTCTGTTTCCACAAGTCAAATATTATGCATGTATTAGTATCAGTAAAAAGTGCAGCAAGCATGGCAACACACTACTAGCAATTATTGATTTCAATGATACAAGCTTATTAACCCATTTCTTTATGCCTGACTCCAGTATAAAGGATGCATTTCATGATGACTGCTGGCCCCCATTCTAGTTTCAAATGAAATGAGACAAAAATTAATTAAATTACAGATATCTTCCTGGGATTTAATTTACATTGCTTACTTAATACTGGATTAGAGAAACAAAAACATGATAAAATTCAATACTGGACTGGCTAGAAAGGAAAACAAAGGGAGCTAATTTATTTTTACATACCAATTGTGCCAGGAACCAACCTATGTGCTTTTAAAACTTTACCTCTTTTAAGATCTGAGATTATTGTCCCTACTTCACAGATGAGAAAACTGAAGTACACAGAAGCTCTCTAACTTGTCCTAGGTTACTTAAAACTCAGACCCTGGGGCAAACTAGTGCAGGTGTCTTTTTTTATACAATGTTTTCTGCTTAGGGAGCTAAGTAGTAGAAGATAAGGAAGCAGGATAAAGTCAAACTTGGTTTGATCCAAGGGAGCTGCTGGGTCATAAACAGCACCACAGACTTGTCTGCCCTTGAGGCAAACAGTGGATAGTGAATAGTGCTCTACCAATAATTTTTTAACTTTTCTGATTAGTCATACCTATAATAATCTAGATACCCAATATATAAAGTTCTAATTATTTTAGGTCACTTTTTAAATATGAGTAGTTTTTTAAAAATATCATAATACCAGTAAAGAAGTAAGAATGAAACTCATGTCTCCAGAATATCCAAAGCAATCTAAGCAAAAAGAACAAATCCAGAGGCACCACATTGCCTGGCTTCAAACTACACTACAAGCTAGCATAAACAAAACAGCATGGTACTGGTACAAAAATAGACACATACACCAATGTAACAGAATAGGGAAGCCAGAAATGAAGCCATATGCCTACAAACAATTGATCTTCAGCAAAGTTGACAAAAATAAACAATGGAGAAAGAAGACCGTATTCAATAAATGATACTGGGAAACAGGCCAGCCATATGCAGAAGAATGAAACTAGACTCCTATCTCTCACCATATAGAAAAATTAACTCAAGATATATTAGATTAGACTTAAATGTAAAGCTGAAACTATGAAAATCCTAGAAGAAAACCTAGGAAAAACTCTTCTGGACATTGGCCTAGAAAAATAATTTATAATGAAGATCACAAAAGCAAATGCAACAGCCATTTTTAAAAGACACATAGGACTTCTGCACAGCAAAAGAAATAGTCAACAGAGTAAACGTATAATCTACAGAACAAGAGAATGTATTTGGAAATTATGCCTCTGACAAGGATTATATCCAAAATCTACATGGAACTCAAACAATGAGAAAAAAGAAAAAAACACCTTATTAAAAACTGGCTTATACACTGTTGGGCAAAGGACATGAACAGACACCTCAAAAGAAGTAGTACAGGTAGTCCATAAACATATGAAAAAATGTTCAACATCAGTAATCAGAGAAATGCAAATTAAAACCACAATGAGATATCACCTTATACCAGACAGAATGGCTAATATTGAAAAATCAAAAACCAACAAATGTTGGTGTGGACGTGGAGAAAAGGAAATACTTATACACAGTTGGTGGGAATATAAATCAGTTCAACTTCTATGGAAAACAGTATGGAAATTTCTCAAAGAACTAAAAATATAACTAATTGACTCAGCAATCTCACTACTGGGTATCTATCCAAAGGAAAATAGATCATTATATAAAAAAGACACCTGCATTTGTATCGTCATTGCAGCACTATTCACAATAGCCAATTCACAGAACCAACCTAAGTGTCCATCAACAGTTGACTTGATAAAGAAAATCTGTGTGTATACACATGTATCACATATGTGTGTATGTATAGATGTATACATGTGTATACATCTATACATATATTTATACATCTATACATATCATGGAATACTATATAACCATAAAATAGAATGAAATCATGTCCTTTGCAGCAACAAGGATAGAACTAGAGGCCATTACCCTAAGTGAACTAACTCAAAAACAGAAAATTAAATATTGCATGCTCTCATTTACAAGTGGAAGCCAAATAATGGCTATATATGGACATAAAGATAGAAATAATAGATACTGCGCACTCCAAAAGTAGAGAAGGGGGTTGAAAAATTATCTATCGGATACAAAGTTCACTCATTAAGTAATGGGTTCACTAGAAGTCCAATCCCTACCAGCACACAATATACCTAAGTAACAAACATGTACATGTACCCCCGAATTCAAAATAAAATTTTAAAAATAAAAATGCATGTCATCTATTTTGTCATTCTTTATTATGTTTATATTATTAGAATCCTCTTAAATCCACACTTTGCAGAAGTCTTGAGGAGCCATTTTGTGAGTGATGGTTTGGTTAAAACTAAACATTAGCTAAGAATCCACTTGGCATTGCATAATGATGAGAGAAAATGAATGTAAGGCATCCACTTTCTCTCAAGAGGCCCTCACTATTTGATATATAGCCTGAATGAAGGTATGTCTCTCAATCTGTATTTAAGTGTTTATTAGAAAGTTTTATATGCCCTTTTTTTGTTTAAGATGGAGTCTCGCTCTGTCGCCCAGGCTGGAATGCAGTGGCATGATCTCGGCTCACTGCAAGCTCTGCCTCCCAGGTTCATGCCATTCTCCTGCCTCAACCTCCCAAGTAGCTGGGACTACAGGCGCCCACCACCATGCCCAGCTAATTTTTTGTATTTTTAGTCGAGACGGGGTTTCACTGTGTTAGCTAGGATGGTCTTGATCTCCTGACGTCATGATCTGCCCGCCTCGGCCTCCCAAAGTGCTGGGATTACAGGCGTGAGCCACCATGCCTGGCCTAGAAAGGTTTATGTGGTTTCTTATATGCTCTAGATTGCAAGGGATTTTAAATATAACTTCTATGACTCTTTTTGCAGGTTAATAGTTGGCCTTTTGGTGCTTGAATTGTCCCACTTTACAGATCAATCTTCTACTCCATAATGCCTCCCAGGGATGTCAGCATCCAGTCATTCCTTTGTGGCCCACCACTTTATTTCATCTTCTACTACTGCAAGATCCTTCCACTGAAATCAGTGTTTGGGTTTCTTTCCTGGATAAGAATCATTAAGATATATTCATTAATTTAGCAGCATGGGCCTCCAACCTAGCTCCTAACTAATGCCATCCAACAGAAGACTGATGTAGGTATCTTTTCTGACAACCCTCTCTAATATATTTTCTTTGGTTTGATTACAAAAGATGAAGAGAGTGCCATCCTCCCATAAAAACATCAGTGGCATGGACAACTCTTCCTCTACAGCCTCTCTGCTTCATGTTGATCTCTACCAATTTACATTAAGACTCCCTTCTCCTTGTAGACCAAGGTCACTCTCAACCTTCATGTTCCTCTACCCTTAATTCACACCAGGTAACCCTTTCACCGCTCATATGTTCTTATTAAATCAATCACGTGATGGGCAAACTGCAAAAAGTCCAGGGCTGAGAGTTCAAGTACATAGTATCACTTTCTTACTCTACCACTTTCTTGCGTCCTTTACATAACTTCTTTCAAGCCTCAATTTTCTCTTCCGTAAAATAGGATAGTGGCTGTAGAAAGCAGTTGGCAGATGGTTGTCTCTTAATAAATGTTAGTTCAATCTAGAATTCTCTTCCTTCTAGGATTTCACACAAATTTCTTTTTTTTTTTTTTTTACTTGGATTCATCACCTCACATAGTTGCCTCTGTGTGTGTGTGTGTGTGTGTGTATGAGTGATAAGAGCATTTAAGATCTATTGTCTTAGCAAATTTCAAGTATACAATACAGTATCATTGGCCGGGCATGGTGGCTTATGCTTGTAATCCCAGCAATTTGGGAGGCCCAGGTGGGCGGGTCACTTTGAGGCCAGGAGTTTGAGATCAGCCTGGCCAACATGGTAAAACCCCATCTTTACTAAAAATACAAAAATTAGCCGGGTGTGGTGACACACACCTGTAATCCCAGCTACGTAGGAGGCTGAGGCTGGAGAATCGCTTGAACCCAGGAGGCAGAGGCTGTAGTGAGCCAGGATCACACCACTGCACTCCAGCCTGGGTGACAGAGTGAGACTCTGTCTCAAAAACTGAAAATAAGAAAAAAACAAACAAAGAAAACAGTATTACTTTCCTCCAAACGACCATTTCACTTTCTCTGTGACAGTACAGATATTGGTCCTGTCCCCAAGACCTTTGTATCCTTCTTTGTCTCTCATTTTTGTCTACTCTGCTACTTGCTTCTTTCTATACTCTTTTAATCACGACTTTTCTAAGACACATCTTCCTCTTTCTTTTGTTTTGATCCCCGTGGTTTCTTTTTATTCATTATTTTTTCACTTTGATTTTGACTGTTTCCTTTTGTATCTATATTCTAATAAATTTGCTTGCCTGACTCTTCTGCTCTTATGAGGCATCTAGACTTCCTTTAACAGGCCAGCACACCCATCTCCCAGTTGTTGTGAGTGTTAGCTGTTAACTACTCCCTTCTGAAAATTTCCCTTTGCTAATAGAGGCTGCCTCACTCAGAAATATCTGGAAGGTTATGCCTTCCCTGTGGGATGTCCTGTAGTCAGTGAATGGCCACTGCACAGGAGCAAAAGGCCAGTGTCCTTGTCTTGAGACAGGCCAATTTTGCAGTGGCATTTACACCTCACACCTCCCCATGAATTAGGTTGGGGCTTCATTTCAGCTATACCCACATCTCTGCTTCTTCCTTGTAGTATCTGCTTCCCTTGTTTCCTTACACATTTCTACTTCAATAAATCAACTGTTTAAGAATCCTTGCCTCACACTATTTTTAAGGAACCTGAACTAAGACACATTCCATCAACATTTTTCCCTCATTAACATTTGCCTTCACTTTTAAATTTCATTTGTTACTTAATTGTTCATCTTAAAACTGATAGAGCACACATTTCCTCTCTCCAAAGACCAACGGTAAACAGAAAATATAGATCATTTTCTTTGCAGTCTTTCTTCCTTGAAAAATTTCAGAAGAGGTCAGAAGTTCAAGACAAGCCTGGCCAATATGGCAAAACCCCATCTCTACTAAAAATACAAAAATTAGCCTGGCGTGGTGGCACACACCTGTAGTCCCAGCTACTTGGGAGGCTGAGGCAGGAGAATCACTTGAACCTAGGAGGCGGAGGTTGCAGTGAGCCTAGATCCTGCCATTGCACTCCAGCCTGGGTGACAGCTAGACTCTGTCTCAAAAAATATATATATATATATGGTCTGTGTATTGTACACCTTGGCAAAGGGGTTATCTTTTCAAGCAGGTTTGAGAAACCCATGCACACCAGATTTCTCCATTGGATACCCCCTCTATTACTCCATAAATTCAAAAATTGCATGCAAAATATCTAGATGATATACATGTGGTGGGGATTGGGAACAGAAGGTCCAAAATCTGTTTTTGGGATGGCCATTGATCTACTCCACCAGACAATGTTTCCCTCTCTAATTCATTCCATGATGCATCATTACTGAACTCAGTATCAACTGAGGCTTGGCCTTCTGTCTCCTATGTTGCATTCTGGGTCTGTAAGAGTTAAATTCCTATGACCTTGTGAAAAACTTTTGAATGAAACCCTCACTTTTCCAGGAAAGAATGAACAAATATTGGCCTAGTTTGCTTTGCAGATAAATGGTCTAAAATTTTCACCCTTCGACTGCTTGAGGAGGTGATGTATTTACCTATGATCACACAGCTCCTCTGCATTCAGGCTATGGCTCTCCTTCTTCCTTGCAGAGAATAAATGTAAAACCTATTTTATTTTACCTTCACTTAATTAATAGGAACACTTCCCAGAGGATTAACTCCTTTAAAATTTTAATGGAGTCACTGAGCTTTTAGTTGCTTTGCCATGATATAGCCTCACAGTTATGTTGCTTTAGCTCTTGTAATTGTGTGGCTACAATGTGCATACATGCTAGAAGGTTAAATGACTTGAAACTTGATTTTTTTTAAAGTGGTTAATGAAGAATAGGGTTTATGGGCTCAGCTGTTCCCCCTAACCTCCATAGATCATTAGTATAAACTTGTCTTAGATCCATCACATTTTTGTGACAGTTGGAGTAGGCTTGGAGGAAAAACTCCACATCTAGAACAGGGCCAAAGTGAAAGTGAAACTTTCTATTCCCTATGATAAATGAGTCTCCAAAAGCCAGGATTCCCTCTCAAATCTGGTTCTGCAAATCTGGAAGCACAGTCAATTCTCCCCACATCATGCAGTTGAAATGAGATCATATTCTGTCACATCAGAAAATGAAATCAACAAACCACTGTGACCTATTAACAAGAGATGAGAATGACTTGGCTAGATTATTTGAAGACCCATCTCTTCGTTCAGATGATTTTAGCACTGTAATTGTATGACTCAGCTGTCCCACATTTTACACAAGAATAAATGTAATTTGGGTTTCAGTTATAAGGGGAAACATTTTGCTTTAAAAGTTAGAAACTTTATAAATTTTTGAGTGACATTTAGTTAGGATGAAAATGAGAATCTAGAGGAAAATGATTGCTGTCTTAAATATCTGGAAGACATGTATCTAGAGAGCAAAAATAAGCCAATGGTTGTAGGTTGCATTGAGGTATGTTTTGGTTCATTGTTCAGAGCCCCACAAAAGTGAAATGAATTCTGGGTAATTAATAAGTTTCTCATTACCCCAAAGTATTCAAGCATGGGCTCGATACCATCTTGCAAAAGATTTACTTTGAGGCAGTTCATTCTAGGTGTATTCTAATGTCAAAATCCTGCAATTCCAGGCTTGGGCAAAACACCCAAGACTATTGTTGAGAGGGGCAGATATAGCATAGAGTAATCCAAAGTCTGAATTAAAGGTCTAATGACTGTGATTGTGGTATTTTCAAATACTAATTTTCTTCACATAATAATCAAAGCAAATGAGGTTTAGGGCCTCTGAGTTTCTTTTCTAACAATAAGCTTAGAGAATTATGTAGCATTTGAAATATAGAATTTAGAAAAATATACCCTTTAGCTTTTGATAGAGACCTAATTTTCAAGTTGCAGCCCTGTTCACCAGGGAGCTACTATATTCAACAGCCTTTGGCAGTATACCAATATTGTCAATTAAACCTCTTAAGAAGTATTCAATATGGCAGGAAGTACTCAGTTGCTACTTTCTAAAACAATTCTTTATCAAAATTAGTTACGGTATAAATTGTACAAAAAAAAATCAAAAAAATTACTTTGGAATCTCATTCCTGTTTTTTACTGAGAAATAACATGACTCTAAGGGCCTTCATCCTGAAGTAAAAGCATACATGCAGAAATATTCATAAAGCTCATTATATATGGAACCATTTCACAGGCTGTCATTCAACCAACCACTAACCTTTCCTATGTGTCCAGTATTGTCCTGCTAGGTACCACTGGCATAATCCACCATTCAATCAACTCTCTTGTTCATTATTTTGTTTGTTTACTTCATGGAGTTCAAATGAGATTCTTTTCTCCCAGCTGGATATATCTATTGAGCAATGGATTACATCAACCTGGATTTAATCTTAGAGAGCTAAAGTTGTATAAATAACAGGAATAAAATTGGGAAGCTATCAGAGGGTCCACAACTCTCCAATGTAACTTGAGAAGCTATATGGCATTAATGATACAATCTGTGCCTTAAGAAACATGGAAAAGTTTCCTTAGATTCTAAAGTAAGAACACATGGTGAAAATTTTGTACCTTCAGAATTAGTTTTGAAAATACTACTTTCCAGCAACTCTAAACATTAAAAGCAGTCATCTTTGTGAAATGCTCAAACTTTGAGATGCTCATGAGAACTGAAGACAACTGCTAAAATCTCAGATTCATGTCTCTCATCTCAGCATACAGTGGGGACACTAAATTAGTGCTAAGGAGAGTTTCAATTTTTTATTTTTAAATAAATTCAGCTAAATTTATGTTCAATAAGAATGTGTATAAGTAACTTTGTTTAAAGTCTTTTTAAATAATCTAATAAATTGGTCCAAAAAGTAAATAATTTTCTGCTTTAAAACAAACAAGCAAGCAAATATCAGTACTCATGTATTAATATTTATCTCTCTTTCCATTTTTGTGTCTATCACCTATTAATTAAATTTTTATGGTTAAGTGCTTTCCTACCATCACCTCCTTAACTCTTTGTCTCTTTACCCTGAGCTCTGACAGTTTTCTTCATTACACATGTCACTGCCTGGCATTCATTAGTGTGTGCGAGTGTGTGTGTGTGTGTGTGTGTGTATTCATTTGTTTGTGTATCATCTATATCTCCACAGAGAATGCAGATTTTTTAAGGTAAAAAATGTTGTTGGTTTTGTTTACCATCATACTCAGTACTCAAAACACATACTGGTATATGATAAACCCTCAATGAATATTTGTGGGAGGGAAGGAAGAAGGAAGAGAAAAAGAAAGAAAGAAAGAAAAGGAAGGAAGGAAGGAAAAAAGGAAGGGAAAAAATAAGGTTAGGTATACACAGAAGGTTAGGTACACCTAAGCAAATATTTTTATTAAATTATATTAAGGAAATATGTAAATACAGTATATTATCAGAAAAAAGTGCAAAACTGACTCAAACATTAAAATATAAATACATCTATGAAAAGTAGATTTTATTACTAATCAAAAATTTTCCACAATAAAAACAAAGGCCTATAAGGCTTCACTGATAAATTCTACCAAATGTTTAAAGAATTAACACCATTTGTTTTTCACCTAGTTCCCACAAGCAGAACAGCAATTCTTAAAGAACTCTTCCAAAACTTTCTTCCAAAAGGGGAGAAGGTAATACTTCTAAACTCATTTTATAAGGCCATTATTGACCTTCTACAAAACCGGAAAAAGACATCACAAGAAAACTATTGAGCAATATCCCTTATGAATGTAGATGCAAAAATTCTTAATTAAATACCGGCAAATAGAATCCAGAAACATATTTAAAAAAAAAAAGATTATATACCATGACCAAGTACGTTTTATCCCAAGAGTGCAATGATGGTTTAACCTATGAAAATCAATCAGTGTAAAATACCATGTTGACAAAATAAAGACAAAACCCATATAAATCAACTCAGTCAATGCAGGTAAGGCATTTACAAGATACAACACTCTCATAATAAAGAATACACAGCAAGCTGGGAACAAAGGGAACTTCCTCAACTTGACATAGGATATATATGGAAAAACTCACCACTAGTTTCATACTTAACACTGAAATACTGAATTTTTTTCCTCTAAGATCAAAAACAAGACACAGATATCCATTATTGATTGTCACCTCCATTCAACTTTGTACTGAAGTTTCTATCCAGGGCAATTAGACAACAAGAAATAAAAGCCATCCAGATTAGAAATGAAGAGGAAAAACTATGTCTATTCACAGGTGACATCATGAATTTTATTTTATTTTTTTTTTTGAGATGGGGTTTCATATCACTCAGGCTAGAGTACAGCGGCACCATCAGGGCTAGCTGCAGTCTCAGCCTCTTGGGCTCAAGCGATCCTCCCATCTTAGCCTCCCAAGTAGACGGGACTGAAGGCACATCCCACCATGCCCAGCTAATGACAGAATCTTATATATAAAAAATACTAAGGAATCCCAAAATAGAAAATATGTATATTAGAACAAATGAGCTGAACAAGGTTGAAATATATATGTGTGTATATATACATATATATTACAATTAATAAACAAGCTGAGCAAGGTTGAAAGATAGCAGTGAACAATGTCAAAAGGAAATTAAGAAAGCAATTCCATTTTATCATCACGTAATAAAAACAAAATGCTTAGGAATAAATTTAAAAAAAGAATAACAAGAGTTATACAGTGTAAACAACAAAGCAATGTTGAAAGAACTAGAAGGAGACCTAAATTGATGGGTGTACATTCCATGTTCATGGATTGGAAGACTTAATTTTGTTATGACAATACTGCTGAATTTGATCTACAGATTCAATGCAATACCTAACAAAATTTCAACTTCGTTTTTTGCAGAAATTGACAAGCTGATCCTAAAATCCACATAGAAATGCAAGGAATTCGGAATCACAAAACTATCTTGACAAAGAACAAAGTTGGGAATTTACATTTTCTGGTTTCAAAATTTATTATAAAATAGCAGTAACCCATAGAGTGTATCACTGGCATAAGGATAAACATATAATTCAACCAAACAGAATTCAGAGTCCAGAAATAAAGGAAATATTCTTTCCTTTCAATGAGGAAAGAATAGTCTTTTTAATAAATAGTACTGCAACAATAAAATATGAAAAGATTGAAGTTGTTTCTCTACCTCACACCACAAGCAAAAATTATAGACTAAATGTAACAACTAAGATTATAAAACTCTTAGAAGACCTAGCATTCAATCTCCATGGTCTCAGATTAGGCAATGGATTCTTAAATATAATACCAAAACAACAAGCAACAAAAGAAAACAGACTGAACTTAATGTTAAAAAATTTTGTGCTTCAAGGCACTTTAAGGTAGTAGAAAGCCCACAGAATAAGAAAATATTTGCAAAGTATACGTCGGATAAGAACATTATCAGACATAGCAGATAAGAATTAATCAGACATATACTTTCATACAGAATTTATCATATATACAATTCATACAACTCAACAACAAAAGGACAAAGCAGCTCATTAAATATGGACCACGACTAGAATAGACATTTTTCCAAAGAAGTTTTTTAAATGTCAATAATGAGGAAAGAAAATAACAGGCCAATATGCTTACTGAACATAGATGCAAAAATCTTCAACAAAATACTAGCAAAGTGAATTCAACAACACATTAAAAGGGTCATTCACCTTGACTTAGTGGAATTTATGCCTGGGATGTAATGATGGTTCAACACACACAAATCTATACATGTGACACATCATTTTAACGGACTGAAGGACAAAAACCGCATCATCTCACTAAATGCAGAAAAAGCATTTCACCAAATTCTACTTCCTTCCATGATAAAAAAAAAAACTCTCAAGAAATTAGATACAGAAACAAATGTATCTCAATACAATAAAGGCTATTTATAGACCCTACAACTAATATTATACTAATCAGTGAAAAACTGAAACCCTTTTATCCAAGATCAGAAACAAAACAAAGATACACATTCTCACCACTTCAAATTCAACATAGTATTGGAGGTCCTTACCAGAGCAATTAGGCAAGAGAAAAAAATAAAAGACATCATCCAAATAGAAATGAAAGAAGTAAAATTGTTGCTGTTTGTTAATGACATGACCTTATATACAGAAAACCCAAAAGATTCCATCAAAAATTGTTAGAAATAATAAATAAAGATAGTAAAGTTGCAGGATATAAAAATCAACACACAAAATTACTAGTGTTTCTATATATATGGATCATTCTGAGAAAGAAATCATGAGAACAATCCCTATTTACAATAGCTACAAAAATATTTAGAAATAAATTTAATTAAGGAGGTGAAAGTCCTGTACACTGAAAACTACAAATGTTAATGAAATAGAAGACACAAATAAATGAAAATACATCTTGTGTTCATAAATTTAAAGAATATTGCTAAGATGTCCATACTATCCAAAGCAACCTACAGATTCAATGCAGCCCTTATAAATATTCCATTGTCATTTTTCATTGAAATAGAAAAAACTTCTAAAATTTATATGGAACCACAAAAGAAACCCTGAATAGCTAAAGCAATCATGAGCAAATAGAACAAAGTTGGAGACATCACACTACCTGATTTCAAAGTATACTATAAAGCAATAGTAATTAAAACAGCATAGTACTGATGTAAAAATAGACATATTGTCCAATGGAACAAAGTAGATAGCTGGGCAAGGAACCCACACATGTATGGTCAATCAATTTTCAAAAAGTTGCCAGGGATACACAATGGGAAAAAAAATAGTCTCTTCAATAAAGAGTGTTGGGAAAACTGGATATCCATATGCAGAAAAAAAAATTGGACCCTGGCAGTGCTTAAATTGTAGCAGTGTCCCTATTTTAACCACAATATCCCTTCCCAACAGGGTGAACAGCAGCTTGGTTCTGTAACAAACTCCTGCTGGAAGATTTGTTTTTCAAATCATCAGGTTAAAGAAGGGGCAAAATGCCTGACTTTATTTTTTTTCTTCCATTCCTACAACAGTCGTGGTCCTAGTGGAGCATTTTCCCACATAAACAGTAAGGACAGGGTAATCAGCCCTGTATAAAAAAGAAACTGAATTTGTGTACCCATTACATCCAGAGTTACCTGGGGCTCCTCAGTAGTAATGAATGTTCCTGGACAGAGGCAGTGAGGAAGGCCCTGGGCCCCTTCAGTCTTTAGCTAGTTCAGATATCTCTGATTGTAGAGTGTCAGATGTATGTCTCTGACATTATGTGGGCCATTGCACTACTCTGAATGTTTTCCCTCCATAAGTGATGGACCTACTATGACTCCCTTAATCTCAGGATGCAATACTCAGCTATTTTGCCTCCTACCAAGTGAAATAAGCTTCTTCATCCTGTAACCTTTATGAAAAAAGGGACCCTGCAATGTAGCTTAAAACTATTAACAAAGTCCGGGGTTTGTTTCTACAAACAAAAATTATGGGTTCTCATGAAAAAAAAAATACATAAAACAGAAGTCCCTTTCCCCACTCTAAGAAAAAGAAGTAATTCTGCACTACTGCTTTCCCCACAAATCATCAATAAAACGAACATAGAGGCCAGACGCGGTGGCTGTAATCCCCTGTAATCTCAACACTTTGGGATGCCAAGGCGGGCAGAAAACCTGAGGTTGGGAGTTCGAGACCAGCCCGGCCAACATAGTGAAACCACGTCTCTACTAAAAATACAAAAATTAGCCAGGCATGGTGGTGCATGCCATAATCCCAGCTACTCAGGAGGCTGAGGCAGGAGAATTGCTTGAAGCCAGGAGGTGAAGGTTGCAGTGAGCTGAGATCATGCCACTGCACTCTAGCATAGGTAACAGAGGGAGACTCTGTCTCAAAAAATAAAATTAAATAAAATTTTTTTAAAAATGAACATAGGAGGGTTCTAACCTCCTGAAAGACATTTCACCGTACAAACAAAAACCTGTCTGTTGCATGGATTTGTCTTGCACTCAGCAGCACCTAAATGTCCTGTTCCATAACCAAGTTATCCTATCATGGGAGACTTCAAGCAGCAGGTGCCCTACTGGCTTTTAACTGCCCAATCCATGTCTGTAAATGATGGCTTTGATAAAGAAAGAGAAGGAAAAATAAATGCCAAAATTTGGGCTTACCTCCTGGCTGGCTCACCAAAATATGTCAGCTAGAAGGTCTTGACTGTGAGTTTTCCAGATTCTTGGCGTGTTGCACAAAAAATCGAACAAAACACACAAACAAAGCAACGGAAGAGCAAAGCAACGAAAGACAAACAATGTAACAAAAGAACAGAGTAACAAAGACACAGATTCTTTGAAGAAGCAAAAGTACAATTCACAGAGTAGGAGCAGGCTCCAGCAAGCGGCCCAAAAGCCTCTGAATTGCAATGCTCCTGAGGTTTTTATAAAGCCAAAAGAACTTAACAACACCCCCAGGTGCCTTTTAAAGGCCTCCAATTGGTTTCACCCTATGAAGGATTGACCTGCAACCAATCTGAGGCTGAAGTGGAGGCTTGGCCTACAGTCAATCAGAGGCTAAAGTGGCAACTTCTGTCTTGTTATCACAAGAGCAAGGATGGGGCCTATATGCTGCCTAATCTTGCCTAGAACTGTCTGCACCTGCTATTCTTTCACTTACGCGAAATGGCTGCACCTGCTTCCTTAACGCTTTCCTCTTCCTTAACCCTTGGTTCTTTTCATCTTCCTTAACCCTTGGTTCTTTTCATCTTCCTTAACCCTTGGTTACTCCAACTCTCTATTCTCCTGCCTCAGGAGGATCACTTGAGCCCAGGAGTTTGAGGCTACAGTGAGCTATAATGGCACTACTGCACTGTGCCTTGGGCAACAGAGCAAGACACCATCTCTTTAAAAAAGTGGAGAGCAAGGAACTTGAATAAACATTTCTCAAAATAATAAATAGAAATGGCCAAGAAATATATATTTTTTTAATCTCAGCATCACTAACCATTAAGAAAATGCAAATTAAAACCACAACGTGATATAATTTCACACCTGTTAGAATGGCTATCAACAAAAAGATGAAAGATAAGTGTTGGCCAATATGTGGAGGAAAGGGAACTCGTGTGCTGCTGATGGAAATGTGGAATAGTACAGCCATTATGGAAAGCTCTATGGAGGTTCCTCAAAAAACTAAAAACAGTTTTATCATATGATACAGCAATCCCACTTTTGGGTATTCACTCAAAACTTTTGAAATCAGTATGTCGAAGTCATGTTTACACTCCTATATTTTTGGCAGCATTATTCTCAATAGCCAAATTATAGAATCAATCTAAGTGTCCACCAACAGGTAAATGGATCAAAAAATGTGCTATATATACACAAGAGAATACTATTCAACCTTAAAAATAAAGAAATTCTGCCATTTGCAACAACATGGGCAGAATTGGAGAGCATCATCCTAAATGAAATAAGCCAGGCACAGAAAGACAAATACCTCATGCTCTCACTTATATGTGGAACCTAAAACAATCAAACTCATAGAAGCAGGGAATAGAATGGTGATTACCAGAGGCTGGTGGTGGAGGGAATGGGGATATGATATTCAAAAAATACAAAACCTTAGTTATATAGAAGAAATAAAGTTTTTCAAATATCTATTACACAGTATGGTAAATATAGTTAATAGGGTATTATAAATTTCAGAATTACTAAGACAGTAAATTCCAAATGTTCTCACCAAAAGAATACGTATATTAGATGATGGATGTGTTTATTATCTTGACTTAATTATTTCACGGTGTGTTCATGAATCATAACATCACTTTTTACTTTTTATACAATTTACATATTGTATAAATATATACAACTCTAATTTGTCAATTTGCAATACAAGTAAAAAAATAAATAAAATTAAACATTTTCAAAAGCTTAATGTTTAACATTCATATAAAAAGATGCTCAACATTGTTAGACATTGGAGAAATGCAAGTCAAAAGCATAAGATACCAGTTCACACCCAATAGACTGATTAAAATACAGCCAGACAATAATAAGTGTTATAAAAGATGTGAAGAAATTGAAGTTCTTATATATTGAGGATAGGGTTGTAAAATGGTGCAGCCACTTTACAGAACAATTTGAAAATTCCCCAAAAAGCTATAAACAGATTTATCATATGATCTATCTCTTCTACTCCTAAGTATTTACCCAGGAGAATTGGAAATGTCTGTCCACATAATACCTGTACACAAATGTTCATAGCAGCACTATTCATAATACCCCAAAAGTGGAAACAATGAAAATGTCCATCAACTGATGAATGGATTAACAAAATGTGGTGTATCAAAACAATAAAATAAAATTTAGTCATAAAAATAAAGTGTTGATATGCAGTATAACACACATGAAACTTGAAAAGATTATGCTAAGTGAAAAAACTAGTCACCAAATGCCACATATTATATGTCTCCGTTTATATGACATATCCAAAATAGGTAAATATGTAGAGAAAAAGTAGGTGGAAAGAAAAGAAGGAATTAGTTTAGTCTGTTAAATGAAAAACAATAATGCATTTCACAGTTTCAGTGAAAGTGTCACCAAGATCAGATACTCTATTGATATATTAGTACCTTATTTCTAAAACTAATGGAAAAATTGAACTAGTGTGTCAATACTGTGAGAAAAAGCAAAAGGATATTGGATTCTACAAGGGCAGGAAATGTGCATTAGCCATAGAGATATGTTGAACACCCAAAGCTGATACAGTGACAGGCAAAGAGAACATACTCAATAGGTTTTCCACATGAACAAATTCAAATTGGCTACAATAACAATCAGAAGCCATTGTTTCCTTTGGGATAATTTATTTCTCTAGTCTTTCAGATGGACATTTGAGAGGTTCCCAAATTTTTCCTTCCACACTAGTATTGCTATAAACATTCCTGTACGTGTCTCTTATTCTGCATGCAAATGATTTCTCATGGTATAAACCTAGAAGGACAATTGCTGGGTCTTAGAGCATGAGAATTTTCAGCTGTACAAGATAATGTCAAAGTGCTTTCCAATAGGTTGTTCTAAGTCACACATCCTCCAGTAAAGCACAAGAAATTCTCTGGGTGGAAGAAAGGGGCAACAAAAAAATTGTTTTCTCTGTTCTTCAGGGAAGTCCCATCCACCCCACCTTTCTTCTCTATCCTCCCATTCTACTTCCCTTTCTTATAGTCATGGAGTGTGGAAGCTGAAGATATCTTAAAAATGTTCTGGTCCAATCCATTTGGCAGATGAGGCAACAGGTTTACCAAGGATAAAATGGCATGCCCAATACGACACAGATAATTGTACATAGCACCATGTGACCAGAGTAAGAAAGTAGGTCTTTTCCTCTTCAAGGAGAACTACAAACCACTGCTCAAGGAAATAAGAGAGGACACAAACAAATGGAAAAACAGTCCATGTTCATGGAAAGGAAGAATCAATATTATAAAAATGGCCATATTGCCCAAAGTAATTTATAGGTTTAATGCTATCTCAATCAAGCTACCATTGACTTTCTTCAGAATATTGAAAAAAACTACTTTAAATTTCATATGGAAGCAAAAAAGAGCCTGCATAGCCAAGACAATCCTAAGCAGAAAGAGAAAAGCTGGAGGCATCATGCTACCTGACTTCAAACTATACTACAAGTCTACAGTAAGAAAAACAGCATGGTACTGGTACCAAAAGAGACATATAGACCAATAGAACAGAACAGAGGCATCAGAAATAACGTCACACATCTATAATCATCTGATCTTTGACAAACCTGACAAAAACAAGCAATGAGGAAAGGATTCCCTATTTAATAAATGGTGCTGGGAAAACTGGCTAGCCATATGCAGAAAGCTGAAACTGGATCCCTTCCTCACCTTATAAAAAAATTAACTCGAGATGGATTAAAGACTTAAATGTATGACCTAAAACCATAAAAACCCTAGAAGAAAACCTAGGCAATACCATTCAGGACATTGGCATGGGCAAAGATCACATGACTAAAATACCAAAAACAATGACAATAAAAGTCAAAATAGACAAATGGGATCTGAGTAAACTAAAGAGCTTCTGCACAGCAAAAGAAATTATCATCAGAGTGAACAGGCAACCTACAGAATGGGAGAAAATTTTCACAATCTATCCATCTGACAATGGGCTAATATCCAGAATCTACAAAGAACTTAAACAAACTTACAAGAAAAAAACAAACAACCCCATCAAAAAGTGGGCAAAGGATATGAACAGACACTCCTCAAAAGAAGACATTTAGGCAGCCAACAAACATACGAAAAAAAGCTCACTGGGGAGCATTCCAAGATGGCCGAATAGGTATAGCTCTGGTCTGCAGCTCCCAGTGTGATCAACACAGAAGATGGGTGATTTCTGCATTTCCAACTGAGGTAACTGGTTCATCTCATTGGGATGGTTGGACAGTGGGTGCAGCCCATGGAAGGCAAGCTAAAGCAGGGCAGGGCATCACCTCACCCCGGAAGCACAAGGGGTTGGGGGATATCCCTTTCCTAGCCAAGGGAAGCCGTGACAGACTTCCTGGAAAAAAAGAATACTCCCGCCAAAATACTGTGCTTTTCCCAAGGTCTTAGCAACTGGCAGACAAGGAGGTTTTCCCTGTGCCTGGCTCGGTGGGTCCCATGCCCACGGAGCCTGGCTCACTGCTAGCACAGCAGTCTGAGATCCAACTTCGAGGCCACAGCCTACCTGGGGGAGGGGCAT
Organism: Homo sapiens; assembly: GCF_000001405.40. NCBI lineage: Eukaryota > Metazoa > Chordata > Mammalia > Primates > Hominidae > Homo > Homo sapiens. The sequence goes on along the minus strand of NC_000003.12, from coordinate 34,471,943 downwards.
CTGCCACTGCTGAGGCTTGAGTAGGTAAACAAAGCGGCCAGGAAGCTCGAAATGGGTGGACCCCACCACAACTCAACAAGGCCCACTGCCTCAAGACTCCACCTCTGTGGGCAGGGCATAGCTGAAAAAAAGGCAGCAGACAACTTCTGCAGACTTAAACATCCCTGTGTGACAGCCCTGAGGAGAGCAGTGGCTCTCCCAGCATGGTGTTTGAGCTCTGGGAACAGACAGAGTGCCTCCTCAAGTGGGTCCCTGACCCCCATGTAGCCTAACTGGGAGACATCTCCCAGTAGGGGCCAACAGACACCTCATATAGACAGCTGCCCTATCCCAGGAAAACAGGGTCTGGATTGGACCTCCAGCAAACTCCAATGGACCTGCAGCTGAGGGACCTGACTGTTAGAGGAAAACTAACAAACAGAAAAGAATAGGATCAATATCAACAAAAAGATCATCTACACCAAAATCACATTTGTAGGTCACAAACATCAAAGACCAAAGATAGATAAAACCACAAAGATGGGGAGAAACCAGAGCAGAAAAGCTGAAAAATCAAAAATCAGAGCATCTCTTCTCCAAAGGATCGCAGCTCCACACCAGCAATGGAACAAATGTGGACGGAGAATGACTTTGACGAATTGACAGAAGTAGGCTTCAGAAGGTCAGTAATAACAAACCACTCTGAGCTAAAGGAGGATGTTCAAAACTATCACAAGGAAGCTAAAAACCTTGAAAAAAGATTAGACGAATGGCTAATTAGAATGAACAGTGTAGAGAAGAACTTAAATGACCTGATGGAGCTGAAAACCATGGCATGAGAACTTCATGATGCATGCACAAGCTTCAATAGCTGATTTGATATGGTGGAAGAAAGGGTATCAGTGATTGAAAATCAAATTAATGAAATAAAGCAAGAAGACGAGGTTAGAGAAAAAAGAGTAAAAAAAAAGAACAAAGCCTCCAAGGAATATGGGATTATGTGAAAAGACCAAATCTATGTTTGATTGGTGTACCTGAAAGTGATGGGGAGAATGGAACCAAGTTGGAAAACACTCTTCACGGTATTATCCAGGAGAATTTCCCCAACATAGCAAGGCAGGTCAACATACAAATTCAGGAAATACAGAGAACACCACAAAGATATGCCTCGAGAAGAGCAACCCCAAGACACATAATTGTCAGAATCACCAAGGTTGAAATTAAGGAAAAGTGTTAAGGGCAGCCAGAGAGAAAGGTCGAGTGACCCACAAAGGGAAGCCCTTCAGACTAACAGTGGATCTCTTGGCAGAAACCCAACAAGCCAGAACAGATTGGGGACCAATATTCAACATTCTTAAAGAAAAGAATTTTCAACCCAGAATTCCATATCTAGCCAAACTAAGCTTCATAAGTGAAGGAGAAATAAAATCGTTTACAGACAAGCAAATGCTGAGAGATTTTGTTACCACCAGGCCTACCTTACAAGAGCTCCTGAAGGAAGCGCTAAACATGGAAAGAAGAAACTGGTACCAGCCACCACAAAAACATGCCAAATTGTAAACACCATCGATACTATGAAGACACTGCATCAATTAATGGGCAAAATAACAGCTAACATCACAATGACAGGATCAAATTCACACATAACAATATTAACCTTAAATGTAAATGGGCTAAATACCCCAATTAAACGACACAGACTGAAAAATTGGATAAAGAGTCAAGACCCATCAGTGTGCTATATTCAGGAGACCCATCTCACATACAAAGACGGACATAGGCTCAAAATAAAGGGATGGAGGAAGATCCACCAAGCAAATGGAAAGCAAAAAAAAAGCACAGGTTGCAATCCTAGCCTCTGATAAAACAGACTTTAAACCAACAAAGATGAAAAGAGACAAAGAAGGCCATTACATAATGGTAAAGGGATCAATTCAACAAGAAGAGCTAACTATCCTAAATATATATGCACCCAATACAGGAGCACCCAGATTCATAAAGCAAGTCCTTAGAGACCTACAAAGAGACTTAGACTCCCACATAATAATAATGGGAGACTTTAACACCCTAATGTCAATATTAGACAGATCAATGAGACAGAAGGTTAACAAGGATATCCAGGACTTGAACTCAGCTCTGCAACAAGCAGACCTAATAGACATCTACAGAACTCTCCATCCCAGATCAACAGAATATACACTCTTCTGAGCACCACATTGACCTTATTCTAAAATTGACCACATAGTTGGAAGTAAAGCACTCCTCAGCAAATGTAAAAGAACAGAAATCACAACAAACTGTCTCTCAGACCACAGTGCAATCAAACTAGAACTCAGTATTAAGAAACTCACTCAAAACCACACAACTACATGGAAACTGAACAACTTGCTGCTGAATGACTACTGGGTAAATAACAAAATGAAGGCAGAAATAAAGATGTTCTTTGAAAACAATGAGAACAAAGACACAATGTACCAGAATCTCTGGGACAAATTTAAAGCAGTATGTAGAGAGAAATTTATAGCACTAAATGCCCACAAGAGGAAGGAGGAAATATCTCAAATCGACACACTAACATCACAATTAAAAGAACTACAGAAGCAAGAGGAAACACATTCAAAAGCTAGCAGAAGGCAAGAAATAACTAAGATCAGAGCAGAACTGAAAGAGATACAGACATAAAAAACCCTTCAAAAAAATCAATGAATCCAGATGCTGGTTTTTTGAAAAGATCAACAAAATTGATAGATTGCTAGCAAGACTAATAAAGAAGAAAAGAGAGAAGAATCAAATAGACACAATAAAAAATTATAAAGGGGATATCACCACTGATCCCACAGAAATACAAACTACCATCAGAGAATACTATAAACACCTCTCTGCAAATAAACTAGAAAATCTAGAAGAAATGGATAAATTCCTTGACACATACACCCTCCCAAGACTAAACCAGGAAGAAGGTGAATCTCTGAATAGACAAATAACAGGCTCCGAAATTGAGGCAATAATTAATAGCCTACCAACCAAAAAAAGTCCAGGACCAGAAGGATTCACAGCTGAATTCTACCAGATGTAAAAAGAGGAGCTGGTACCATTCCTTCTGAAAATTTTCCCGTCAATAGAAAAAGATGGAATCCTCCCTAACTCATTTTACGAGGCCAACATTATCGTGATACCAAAGCCTGGCAGAGACACAACAAAAAAAGAGACTTTTAGACCAATATTTCTGATGAACGTCAATGTAAAAATCCTCAAGAAAGCACTGGCGAACTGAATCCAGCAGCACATCAAAAAGCTTATCCACCATGATCAAGTAGGCTTCATCCCTGGGATACAAGGCTGGTTCAACATATGCAAAACAATTAATGTAATCCATCACATAAACAGAATCAATGACAAAAACCACATGATTATCTCAATAGATGCAGAAAAGGACTTCAACAAAATTCAACAGCCCTTCATGCTAACAAACTAGGTATTGATGGGACATATGTCAAAATAATAAGAGCTATTTATGACAAACCCACAGCCAATATCATACTGAATGGGCAAAAAACTGGAAGCATTCCCTTTGAAAACTGGCACAAGACAAGGATGCCCTCTCTCTCCACTCCTATTCAACATAGTGTTGGAAGTTCTGGCCAGGGCAATCAGGCAGAAGGAAATAAAGGGTATTCAATTAGGAAAAGAGGAAGTCAAATTGTCCCTGTTTGCAGATGACGTGATTGTATATTTAGAAAACCCCATTATCTCAGCCCAAAATCTCCTTAAGCTGATAAGCAACTTCAGCAGTCTCAGGATACAAAATCAATGTGCAAAAATCACAAGCATTCCTATACACCATTAACAGACAAACAGAAAGCCAAATCATGAGTTAACTCCCATTTACAATTGCTACAAAGAGAATAAAATACCTAAGAATCCAACTTACAAGGGATGTGAAGGATTTCTTCAAGGAGAACTAGAAACCACTGCTTGATGAAATAAAAGAGGATACAAACAAATGGAAGAACATTCCATGCTCATGGGTAGGAAGAATCAATATCGTGAAAATGGCCATACTGCCCAAGGTAATTTATAGATTCAATGCCATCCCCATCAAGCTACCAATGACTTTCTTCACAGAATTGGAAAAAAATACTTTAAAGTTCATATGGAACCAAAAAAGAGCCTGCATTGTCAAGACAGTCCTAAGCCAAAAGAACAAAGCTGGAGGCATCATGCTACCTGACTTCAAACTATACTACAAGGCTACCATAACCAAAACAGCAAAGTACTGGTACCAAAACAGATATATAGACCAATGGAACCGAACAGAGGCCTCAGAAATAACACCACACATCTACAACCATCTGCTCTTTGATAAACCTGACAAAAACAAGAAATGGGGAAAGGATTCCCTATTTAATAAATGGTGCTGGGAAAACTGGCTAACCATATGTAGAAAGCTGAAACTGGATCCCTTCCTTACACCTTATACAAAAATTAATTCAAGATGGATTAAAGACTTAAATGTTAGACCTAAAACCATAAAAACCCTACAAGAAAACCTAAGCACTACCATTTAGGACATAGGCATGGGCAATGACTTCATGACTAAAACACCAAAAGCAATGGCAACAAAAGCCAAAATAGACAAATGGGATCTAATGAAACTAAAGAGCTTCTGCACAGCAAAACAAACTACCATCAGAGTGAACAGGCAACCTACAGAATGGGAGAAAATTTTTGCAATCTACCCTTTGACAAAGGGCTAATATCCAGAATCTACAAGGAACTCAAATTTACAAGAAAAAAAAACAAACAACCCCATCAAAAAGTGGGCGAAGGATATGAATAGACACGTCTCAAAAGAAACCAACAGACACATGAAAAAATGTTCATCATCACTGGTCATCAGAGAAATGCAAATCAAAACCACAATGAGATACCATCTCACACCAGTTAGAATGGCAATCATTAAAAAGTCTGGAAACAACAGATGCTGGAGAGGTTGTAGAGAAATAAGAATGCTTTTACACTGTCACTGTCTGTGGGAGTGTAAATTAGTTCAACCATTGTGGAAGACAGTGTGGTGATTCCTCAAGGATCTAGAACTAGAATTACCATTTGACCCAGCAATCCCATTACTGGGTATATACCCAAAGGATTATAAATCATGCTACTGTAAAGACATGTGTACACGTATGTTTATTGCGGCATTTTCACAATAGCAACGACTTGGAATCAACCCAAATTTCCATCAATGATAGACTGGCTTAAGAAACTGTAGCACATATACACCATGGAATACTATGTAACCATAAAAAAGATGAGTCCATGTCCTTTGAAGGGACATGGATGTAGCTGGAAACCATCATACTGAGCAAACTATCACGAGGACAGAAACCAAACACCGCATGTTCTCACTCATAGGTGGGAATTGAACAATGAGATCAGTGGACACAGGGTGGGGAACATCACACACAAGGGCCTGTCAGGGGGTGGGGGGCTTGGAGATAGCATTTGCAGAAATACCTAATGTAAATGATGAGTTGATGAGTGCAGCAAACAAACATGGCACATGTATACATACCTATGTATCAAACCTGCATGTTGTGCACATGTACCCTAGAACTTAAAGTATAATAATAATAATAATAATAATAATAAAAAGCTCATCATCACTGGTCATTAGAGAAATGCAAATCAAAACCACAATGAGATACCATCTTATGCCAGTTAGAATGGCAATCATTAAAAAGTCAGTAAACGACAGATGCTGGGGAGGATGTGGAACAATAGGAATGTTTTTACACTGTTGGTGGGAGTGTAAATTAGTTCAACCATTGTGGAAGACAGTGTGGCGATTCCTCAAGGCTCTAGAACTGGAAATACCATTTGACCCAACAATCCCATTACCGGGTATATACCCAAAGGATTATAAATCATTCTACTATGAAGACACATGCACACATATGTTTATCGCGGCACTGTTCACAATAGCAAAGACTTGAAACCAACCCAAATACTCACCAATGATAGACTGGGTAAAGAAAATGTGACACAGATACACCATGGAATACTGTGCAGCCATAAAAAAAGGATGAGTTCATGTCCTTTGCAGGGACATGGATGACGCTGGAAACCATCATTTTCAGCAAACTAACACAAGAACAGAAAATCAAACACTGCATGTTCTCACTCATAAGCGGGAGCTGAACAATGAGAACACATGGACACAGAGAGGGGAACATCACACACAAGGGCCTGTCGGGGGGTGGGGGGCTTGGGGATAGCATTTGGAGAAATACCTAATGTAGATGATGGGTTGATGGGTGCAGCAAACCACAATGGTACGTGCATACCTATGTAACAAACATGCACGTTCTACACATGTACCCCAGAACTTAGAGTAAAATAAATAAATAAATGCAAAAAAAAGAAAGAAAGTAGGTCTTTTGATTTCGAGTCTATTCTCTTCTGTTTCCCTCACCCCTCATTTCCCCACTTCCTTTCAAAGTGCAAGTGATAACAAGAGGGTCAAAAAGAAAGAGCCATATTTCAGAAATCAGAATTCTCTTAGTCACAGTTTTCAGCTGACTTTTCCCAGGAGAAAGAGAATGAGAAGCACCTCATAACCTGCCTATCTCCTGGAACCTCTGGAGTGGGGTGTGAAAACACATCCTTAGATAACAATAAAGTTATGCTTTGCATTGTGTTGCCCAATTTTTAAAAAGATCTTTTTTCAGAATTTTATGATGTATAATGGCAACTTGAGAGAACAAGAATTTGGGTTTTCGAAGGTATAGTAGCCACATAATTTTGCGTAGGAAATGCTAAACAGAAATCAGAGGATCTATTTTGTAGAATATGGAAAAATCTCAAGTTAAAGGAAAGTTGCTGGTCAGCATCAAATGAAATAGTCAGAACTTATAGGAGAGAAAAAGACGAATAAGGCTAGAAAACATGCAAAAATGTGGGAAGGTTTGTAGTATTTTAAACCACAACACTAAAGGAAGCCAAAAACACGGTAGCGGTCTGATGAAATAGGATTAAAGGTCTTAGTCAAAATTCAAAGGCATTATAATAAGAATTACCACATGCAAATAAAGTGTAAAAACAGAAAGAGAAAAAGACATGGCCATATGTTCTATTTGGCTTCCTCTTGGGAAAAACTCTGAGGAGTTTGGAAAAAGGTTGTCATTTTTTAAATCACATCGACAATAAGAAGAATGTGACATATATCATGATAAATTTGTGCCTGTGCTTCTCCACCAGACTCTGCTCAAGTCAGTGCAAGTGGTAAGTCAAGCAGCTGCCCATTCATATTGACTCACCTGCTCCACTGTCTGCATGGCACTCTTGAAGGAATGCTAAATTGGGAAAAGATAGACACCCCCTTCCCAATGTATGAAAGTTGACTACATGGTGGCGCATCATAAGTAGCCTACCCTGGGTTATTTTTACCACCTTTATTCTCACTTCAAATATGAGAATCAACATGTTCCACAAAATTCTATTTTATTAACATCCCTTAATCTTACCATCATTGGCTATAACCTTGTTATTACCAATGTTCATTAAGTTGTACAAAATGGTCCAACAACACATTGATCATGGGATAGAAATAAAGTTTAATACATAAAAAATCAAATATTTCCATTCAATGAGAGGAAAATTCTTTGTCAGATGCTGTGCAGGAAGCTTTGTTACAAAATGTCATTTCTTCCTTCGTGGGTTACAAACATCATTATTTTTGTTAGACAAATAAAAAAGCCAAGGCTCAGAGATATTAATTCATCAAAATACCGCTTTGAAAAGGAACATTGCTAGAACTGAATCTCAGCTTCCTTCTGATTTAAAAGCTTATCTTTCTCCTAAAATATCCTAGCCCATAGGTGAACCAAAAGTGAAAGCATTTTGTACAAAGTGTTATTTAATTATTATTAGGACTGGTTTAGAAGAAATACAACCAACTTTGATGTATTTTTGTCCCTGCCTTATGTTTTACATACATATATGTGAGTCATATATGTTGAAAAAAGTAGCATTTTTTTCAAATTGGATGTGAAACCACAAAATATTCTAGTTATAATCTGCATGGGTTTATATACGGTAATCAAATCAATCATCTTCAGTAAAGCCTGATAATGATTTCCTTGATTGTTGGGATGGCCCAAACATTGGAACAGCTCCTCTTGATTTTATGGCTTTAATCAAATAAATGTGATCTCTGATTTCTGCAAAATGACTCAGCTCAGAGCCCATTCTGTATTTATGAGGTAGTACTGGAATAAGGAAGAGTTGGGACAGTTAGGTAGCCTCTCTGCCCTAAGATTGTTCATCTTTAAATGAAACAAATAATGCAAACTGTGCAGATTTTAGTAAGAACTAAATAAGATCAGGCATGTGGAATATTTAACATGGAACATGGCCTGCAGCAGGCCCAAAGTATGTTGTAGCTGTCTGTTTGGAATTTGTAGGAAGCCGGGGGATGGGGAAGTAAAGAGGTTTATAGGTTACTTTGCTTCACTCCTTTCTATTTTTATATTTTATAAAAATCCAGGTCTCTTGGTGGCTTATTCTCAATAATGGCATTATTTCTCACTTCATCTTTCTCTAGACATAGCGATGTTCAGGTACACCACTTCCATACCAGAGAACCTGTTTATACCAGACTGGCCACCTTCTACACATACAAATCAGCCCTCGACGGAATTTTCAAACCTGCTTTTGCTAAGATGACATGATCCAGACTCACATCTATAACACTCCTAAAGGGGAATTCACTGCAGCTATTTCTTCCTCAGCTAAATTAACAAGTTTAAGGACTTTAGTCACCTCGAAGAGCTAGACTATTACCTAGCTAACAACTAGATTCTCTACAGGAATTAGACTGCAGATGGGTCACATTAATTTATTCCTCTATGATGTCAAACAAAACCTCTTTCTTAAAAATAAAAACATGAATAATGGGGCTGCCAGGATTGTGGACAGCTCCTATATGAAGGTTCCCAGCACCCCTGCTGAAATTAATATAAAACTGGCAGTTCCTACTGTGTGACAGTCTTAATGGTTCCTAAACCCTATTAATACAACAATTAACAGAGTCCACGAGAAGCTTCACCCAGAGATCTTTCCAAATGAGCCAACCCTGGAAAACGTTGGAAAAGGCAGAGAAGGGATCCACAGGTTGAAAATGAATGCTTGTTGAGAGGCTACTAAGAACAATTGATATTTTCTTTAAAAAATCTTTAATACAAAAGACATTTAAAACAAAATGAGATGTTGAGAGAATATCATATAAACCATGAACACATCACTCAACTTCAATAATTATCAACATCTTACCAATTTTGTTTTATCTATGTCTCCCATGCCTTTCTTTCTTTGGTTATTTTAAAACAAATCCCATATATCAGGGCATTTCCCTGATAAATCTACAGTGTGCATCTCTATATCATTTTTGTTTACATTATAAAACAACTGATAAAATTAAAATAATTTTTTGACATTATCTAATATGCAATCCATGCTCAAATTTCCTTATTTATCTCAAAAGATCCTTTTTACAGGTGATTTGTTTGAATGTCGATCCAGTAGGATCCACATATTGTATTTGATTATTATAACTCTGCTTTAGCAATCTCCTACTGTATAATGACCACTTCTAAATTCAGTGGCTTAAAAACAAGAATAATTTATTAGCTCTGTATGCCACAGGTCAACAATTTTGCCTGGGCTCAGATGAGTGGTTCTTCTGCAAATGTTGCCTAGGGTCCTTTATGTGGTAGCAGCCAGCTGGTAGCTTTAGCAAAAACAGATAGTCCAAGATGGCTTCATCACCTATCTAGTGAATGATGCAGCTGTCATATGGGTCTTTCTCTCCACATAGTCTTATCCTCAAGGAAGTTAGCCTGGGCTTATGAAGTAAAACAGTCTCAGGACTCCAAAAGTTGAGCCAGGTGTGGTGGCCTGTAATCCCAGCAATTTGTGAGGCTGAGGTGGAAGGACAGCTTGAGCCCAGGAGTTAGAGACCAGCCTGGGCAATACAGTGAGACCCTATCTTCCAAAAAAAAAAAAAATTAGCTGGGCATAGTGGAGGACACCTGTGGTCCTAGCTCCTCGGGACTCTGAGGTGGGAGGATTACTTGAGCTCAAGAGGTTGAGGCTGCAACAAGACATGATTGCACCACTGCACTCCAGCCTGGGTGACAGAGCAAGATCCCATCACAAAAAATAAAAAAAAAAGACTCTAAAAGTGCAAGAATATAATCTATAAGCCTTCTTCAGGTGTAGGCTCCAGAACTTGCACACTGTGAATTCTGCTGGATTCTATTTGTCAAGGCAAGTTACAAGGCCAAACCAAATACAAAGAGTAAAACAATAAACTCTACTCTTTGATAAGAAGAAAAATCACGTCCCCTGTCCATGATCATTTTTGCAAGTTATCCAGCAAATTTTTTAAAATTTTCTTTAGTCTTAACCAATATTTACCCTTTTTATGACATTGATTTGTAGAGAAATAGTCGTTTATCCCAAAAAATTCTGTATTTTTCTGCTGTCTTTTAGACTGTTGATCTTTCCCTCATGTTTACTATAAATTGATAATTAGAAGAATGATTAGATTTTAGATTCAATTTTTTAGGTAAGAATACTTCAAAGGTAATATTAAATATAATAAGCCACTTAATGATATGTCTTTTTCAATTTTAGTGATGCTAATATTGGTCAATAGGCAAGTGTTGTTAGCCTGATTTCCCCATTAATCTTTATAAAATCTTTATAAAAATCCCATCAACCTTTCTACCAATGGCTTTTCACCTAATTGCCTAAATTCATTAATTCATTAAGAATTGCAAAAGTCTGGGTAATGGCAGCAATATAACAGCATATGAGGTCTCCTGCTTGTATCCCCTCACAGCAACAATAATTTGGCACCCATCCCCACATAAAAGTGCCTTTCCAAGAGCTTTGGGATCTAGATAGGAGTTTACAAATCCCTCGTGAAGTCTAAGACCAAGGAAAACCTTTTTGAGAAAGCAGGCCTGCACCCAGGTCCAGGTTCACTGACCATAGTTCTGACTACAAACCCAGAAGTTGCCTTATCCCACTGGGGGCTTGGCTGTAGCCCAATTTGGCCTTCATTTCATCACCAGCAGCATTAACCAAGAGATCTAAGAGCCACACTTTCCCATGCATCCTGTAAGAGGCCCACCAAATTTAATCCCAGCTCTGGACCCTAAAGTAGACCATGACCTGGCTTTGGCCCCCGTACATAAGCAGTCCTGCCCACCCAGGGTCCTGGAAGGGGACACACTTGTCCATGTTTCTAGAGGCAGGGCTGTTGATCTTAGTCCAACTCTGAAACTAGAAATAACTCTGTAACTCAGTTTTGGCCCTTCTCAGCTGTGATGCAAGAGCAGCTCTACCCACCCAAGGACAAGGCAGGAGACACACTCATCTGTAGGTAATCCAGCACATTGTCTGCATATGCCCCCAGAACCAGGCCTACTAACCTCAGTCCAAATAAGGATCTTGAAAGAGCCCAGTAACTTAATTCCAGCCCCATTAATCCTCAGACAATGATGTGTCCTGCCTGCTCAAGGACCACTTCTTGAACTGGAAGGAGCCCTCTCTGGGACTTGGCAGGAGCCACACCCATCTGCACATGCAGTAACGGGCTCACTGTCTTCTAACTGAAGACCATGAAATAGATCCTTGTCCTAGCACCAGCCATTCTGGGCAAGGTACTAAAGGCAGTCCAGTTCACCTAGGGATGAGACAGGATCATTGATGTTCAGGTCCCTGGTAACAGGTCCACAAATCACAGACCCTACTGTGGACCCAGCAGTAGCTGTGCAACCTAACTCTAATCCTTCCTGATTGCAACTGAGGAGGTTATCCCATCAGCCTAGGAACCCAAGATAAAAAGATCTTTAACTACTAAAAATAGTAAATAAAAACTGGAAGAGACGGTTTCTACTTCAAAGGCACATATACCATTGCAAGGCTACACTGATCATGAAGAATCAAGCAAACATGACCCACAGAAAAACAATAAAGCTATAGTAACCAATGACAAAGAAAAAAAAATCAAAGAATTTTCTGACAAAAAAATTTAAAATAATTATCTCAAGGAAGTTCAATGAGATGAAAAAGAATACAGACAGACAACTAGACAAACTTACAAAAATAATACAAGAACAAAATGAAACGTTTAATAAAAAGTAGAAATCATAAAAATGAATCAAATGAAAATCCTGGAGCTAAAGAATGCAATAATGGAACTTAAAAAACCTAATAGAGAGCTTCAAAAGTAGACTTGATCATGCAGAAGAATCAGCAAAATCAAATAAAAGTCATTGGAAATTAGCCAGTTAGAGGATCAAAAAAACATGAAAAAAGTGAAGAAAGTATGAGATCTATGGCATTTCATTAAATGAATGAATATATACAATATGAATTTCTCAGAAAGAGAAGAGAGAGAGAAAAGAACAGGAGATTTCTTAAAGAAATAATGAATGAAAAATGTCCAAGTCATGAGAGGGATATAAGTATCCAGATTTATGAATCTCAAAAGTTTCCAAGCAAACTCAACACAAAGATTGCCCTAGACACATTATATTCAAATTGTAAAAAGTCAAAGAAAATGAGATAAATTTGAAAGCAGTGAGAGAAAAAGGACACTTCACATACAAGGGAAAAATAACATAAGGTCATCCAGCAGATTTCTCAGCAGAAACATTGCAGCCTAGGAAGAAGTCGTATAATACAGTCAAAGTGCTGACAGAGGGGAGAAAAAAGCCTGTCAACCAAGAATATGATATTCAGCAAAGCTATTACTTAGAAATTAAGGAGAGATAAAGATATTCCTAGACCAAACAAAAGCTAAGGGAGTTTATCACCACTGGACCTACCTTACAGGAAATGCTAAAGGGAGCTTTTTAAGTTTAAATTAAAGTATACTAAGTAACAGTGTGAAACATGAAAGTATAAAGCCTAAAAATAAAGATAAGATCAAATTCAGAATATTCTAATTTTCTAATAGCAGAGTGTAATCACTTTTAACACACATAAAAGTTAGAAAACAAAAGTATTAAAAACAGCTAAACTACAGTAATTTGATACTTGATAAAAAAGATGTAAAGTGTGACATAAATAGCACATAATATGATGGAGAGAGTATAAATATAGTTTTGTATGCAAAAAAATGAATTAATTTGTGTGCTTAAAATTAGACTGTTATCTCTATAAGCAGTTTTATATAAGCATTATGGTAATCACAAGACAAAAACATATAGTAGATACACAAAAATAAAGCAAAAATTCAGAGAATACTACTAAAAAAGGTCCAGTGACTCATAAAGAAAGACAGCAAGACAGTAAGAAAGGAGTGAAGAAACTTTAAAAATTGTGAGAACACAATAAAATGGCATTGCTAATGCCTTCCCTATGAAAAAGTACTTTAAATGTAAGTGGATTAAATTAATAAGACATAAAGTGGCTGAATGAATAATAAAACAAAAATCAAACTATGTGCTACCTAGGAGACACTAATCTTGGTTTCAAAGACACACAAAGGGTGAAAGGGCAGGAATGGAAAAAATATTCTATGCAAATAAAAACCATAAGAGAGTAGTGGTGACTACATTTATATCAAGTAAAATAGAATCTGAGTAAAAAAATGTTGCAAGAGATAAAGATCATTATATAATGATAAAGGGATCAACTGATCAAGAGAATATAACAATTGTAAATATATATTAACTCAATGTCAAGTTCCTAAATATATAAAATAAATATTAACAACTGGAGGGAAAGTAGACAGCAATATAATAATAGTAGTGGACCTCATTATCCCACATTCTACAATAGATAATCCAAAAAAAATCGATAAGGCTATATTTGACTTAAACTGTACTTTTAAACAAATGAACCTAACAGACATATACAAAGCATTCTATTACATAGCTGAAGAATGCACATTCCTTTCAAGTGCACATGGAACATTCTATGGAATAGATCGTATATTAGGTCACAGATGAAGTCTTAACAAGTTTAAGATTGAAATTATACCAAATATCAAATTTCTTTTCTGGCCACAATGGTATGAAACTAGAAATACATAACAGAAAAAAAAACTAAAAAATTCACAAATGTATGGAAATTAAGCATGCTTCTATAAAAACACTGGGTCAAAAAAAGAAATTAGAGGAAAATGAAAAATAACCTTGAGACAAAGGTAAAGTAGAAAAAAAAATACCAAGATTTATGGGATGTAGCAGAAAATAGCTATGAGTGAAGCTTATAGCAATAAACACCTACATCAAAAAAATAAAGAGTAAATGACCTAAACTAACATCTCGAAAACCCAGTAAAAAAGAGTGAACTAAGACAAAAATCAGCATAAGAAAGAAAATAATAAACATCACAGCAGAAATAAATAAAATAAAGACTAGAAAAGCAATAAAATGGTCAATAAAACTAAGAGTTGGGAAGTGGGGGCTGAAGCACATGCTTGCCACTACCTGCCAACCACTGTGGCCAATGAAAGCAAATCCACCATCCCCAGCAGAAGGTGAGCAGTCCAGCTGCAGCCTCCCTCACCCAAGCACTCTGCCGGGTGCCTGGGGATCACCCCACCCTTACACACCACAATTAGCACCTATATGTACCACTGAGGGGCCTGGTGACAGATCCACTTGACCTGGCTTAGCCCCCCATGATCAGTATCTGAGCATGCTGTCTGGGGGCCTGGGGATTGCCTTGCCTCATCCACCCCTATTGGCACCTGAACACTCCTCCTGGCTCCTGCGTATGGGCCCACCCAGCCAGCAGATACCATTACAGTTGGCATCCACCCCCATGCACCACTTGTGGGCATGAGGAATAGCCTGCTCAGCACATCACAGATTCTGCTAACATCAGTGTGGACAACTTGGGAGCCAGAGGGTTATAATGCCACAGCTACTACCATTGCCCACACCATGCCTGCTACTCAGAGGCCCAAGGACCCACCCAAATGCTCAGTCCATTGTTGCCACTTCTGGCACCCAAGCAAACTTCTTGGAGGACAAAAAATCAGCTCATCTGAACCTACTACACCACCCTGGGGCCCAACAGTCACACTTGGCCCACTGCTGCCCCCACTGGGACCTGAGGATTGACTCACCTGGCATTTCCATTTCCAGCAAAATTCACCACAGCCTCCACAACCACCACAACCTACTCCACCCAAAAAACAAAATAATAATAAAAATTAAAAAATTTAAAAAAATTACAGACACTAGTGACAGTGTTTATAGCCAAAGAAATAGTACAAAAACAACACTACTGCATGCACCCACAATCACAGCCAATGTACCGTATCTGACCCACACCTTAGATAATTCTTCAATAAAAAGTACTCTGCTTAAGAAAGCAAATCCCCTCAAAAATGGAAGAAGCATTAATTACACCAGATGCACAGATATCAAGAAGAGGACACAAGAAACATGAAAAAACAACAAAAATTTGACAGTTCCAAGGAACGCAAAAATTCTTCAGCAACAGAGTCCAGTGAAAAATAAGTTTACAAAGTGCCGTAAAAAGAATTCAAAATAAAAATATTAAGTAAATTCAGTGAGGTACAAGAGAACACAGATATATAATAGAAAGAAATCAGAAAAACAATCAGAATATGAATGAGAAATTTACAAAAGAGATGGATATCATAAAAATAACCAAACAGAAATCCTGAAAATTAAGAATGTATTGAATTACATAAAAAATAAAAAGCTCAGAACTGGATGGCTTCACTGCTGAATTGTACCAAACTATTATATTAAGTGAAATAAGCCAGGCACAGAAAGATCACATGTTCTCAGTTACTTGTGGCATCTAAAAATCAAAATAATTGAACTCACAGACATAGACAGTAGAATGGTTACCAGAGGCTAGGAAGAATAGTAGGGGAGGCAGAAGGGGGGAAAGTGGGGATGGTTAATGGGCACAAAAAAAATTAGAAAGAATGAATAAGACCTACTATTTGATAGCACAATAAGGTGATATAGTTAACAATAATTGTATATTTTAAAGTAACTTAAAGAATATAATTGGATTGTGTGTATCTCAAAGGATAAATGCTTCAGGGGGATTGATACCCTATTCTCCATGATGTGCTTATTTCACATCACACGCCTGTATGAAAATTTCATGTGTGCCATAAACATATACACCTACTATGTACCAACAAAAAATTTTAAAAATAAATGAGCTAATACAAATTCTCCTCAAACTATTCTTAAAAACTGAAGAAGATGCAATTCTCCCAAAATCATTCTATAAGGCCAGCATTACCCTATGCCAAAACCAGACAAGGACACATACAATAAAAATAAAACTACAGGCCAATAAGTCTGATGAACATGGACATATGTATTTTCAATAAAATACTAGCAAGCCAAATCCAACAGCACATCAAAATATAATATACCATAATAAAGCATAATTTATACCAAGGATACAAGAATGGTTTAACATACATAAATCAGGCCGGGCGCAGTGGCTCACTCCTGTAATCCCAGCACTTTGGGAAGCCGAGGCAGGCAGATCACGAGGTCAAGAGATCGAGACCATCCTGGCTAACATGGTGAAACCCTGTCTTTACTAAAAATAGAAAAAATTAGCTGGGTGTGGTGGCGGGCACCTGTAGTCCCAGCTACTCGGGAGGCTGAGGAAGGAGAATGGCATGAACCCCAGAGAAGGAGCTTGCAGTGAGCCAAGATCGTGCCACTGCACTCCAGCCTGGGTGACAGAGTAAGACTCCGTCTCAAAAAAAAAAAAATACATAAATCAATAAATGTGATATATCACATCAACAGAATGAAGGACAAAATCCTACAATAATCTCAAAATATGCAGGATAAGCTTTTGATAAAATTGAACATAACTTCATAATAAAGACTTTCAACAAACTAAATATAAAATGAACATATCCAGAATCTACAAGGAACTTGAACAAATTTAAAAGAAAAAAACAAACAACCCCATCAAAAAGTGGGCAAAGGATATGAACAGGTGCTTCTCAAAAGAAGACATTGATGTAGCCATCAAACATGAAAAAAACTCATCATCACTGATCATCAGAGAAATGCAAATCAAAAAAAACCACAGTGAGATACCATCTCACGCCAGTTAGAATGATGATTGTTTAAAAGTCTGGAAACAACAGATGCTGGTGAGGATGCAGAGAAATAGGAATGTTTTTACACTGTTGGTGGGAGTGTGAATTAGTTTAACCATTGTGGAAGACAGTGTGGCAATTCCTCAAGGATCTAGAACTAGAAATATCATTTGACCCAGTAATACCATTACTGGGTAACTGGGTATATACCCAAATGATTATAAATCTTTCTACTATAAAGACACATGCACACGTATGTTTATTGCAACACTATTTACAATAGCAAAGACTTGGAACTAACCCAAATGTCCATCAGTGATAGACTGGATGAAGAGAATGTGGCACATATACACCATAGAATACTATAGAGCCATAAAAAAAGAGTGAGTTCATGTCTTTTGCAGGGACATGGATGAAGCTGGAAACCATCATTCTCAGCAAACTAACACAGGAACAGAAAACCAAACACCACATGTTCTCACTCATAAGTGGGAGTTGAACAATGAGAACACATGGAACACAGGGAGAGGAACATCACAAACCAGGGTTTGTCAGGGTGTGGGGGACAAGGGGAGGGAGAGCATTAGGACAAATACCTAATGCATGTGGGGCTTAAAAGCTAGATGATGGGTTGATGGGTGCAGCAAGCCACCATGGCACATGTATACCTATGTAACAAATTCAGTACATGCATTCCAGAACTTAAAGTAAAATAAAATAAAGGAACATATCTCAACATGCTAAGGGCTATATGTGACAAACTCATGGACAACATCATACTGAATGGTGAAAAGCAGAGAAACATTCCTTTAAGACCTGGAACAAGACAAGATACCCACTTTCACTACTACACACCATAGTACCAGAAATTTTAGCCAGAGCAATTGGGCAAAATAAAGAAATAAAAGGCATCCAAATTGGAAATGAAGAAGTCAAATTGTTCCTCTTTACACATGACATCATATTATATTTAGAAAAACCAAAAGACTCTACCAAAAAAACTCTTAGAACTAATAAACAATTCAGTAAATTTGCAGGATACAAAATCAACATATAAAAATCAATAATGTTTCCATATATTAATAACAAACTAGCTAAAAATAAAGAGGGCAATCTCATTTACAATGGCTACTAAAAAATGAAACACCTAAGACTAAATTTAACAAAGGAGGTTAAACGTCTCTACAAGGAAAACTATAAAATGCTGATTTAAAAACCTGAAGAGGATACAAGCAAATGGAAAGACATCCCATGCTTATGAATTAGAAGGATTAATGTTGTTAAAATTACCATAATACCCAAAGCAATCTATAGATTCAATGCAATTCTTATCAAAATACCATCATCATTTTTCACATAAACAGAAAAAAAAATCTAAAATTCATGTGGAACAACAAAAAGAGCCCAAATAGCCAATGCAATTTTCAACAGGAAAAATAAAGTTGGAGGCATCACACTACCTGACTTCGAAATATATTACAAAGCTATAGTAACAAAAACTGTATGATCTTGTTATAAAAACAGACACATAACCCAGTGGAACAGAATAGAGTCCAGAAATAAATCCATGTCTTTACAGCCTACTGATTTTTGGCAAAGGCACCAAGAACATACACCATTTCCAATAAGTGGTGCTGGGAAAACTCAATCTGCATATGTCGGAGAATAAAACTATACTCTCATCTCTCACTATATACAAAAATCAATTCAAAATAGATTAAAGACTTAAATGTAAGATTCAAAACTATAAACCTACTGGAAGAACATCTAAGGGAAACACTTCAAGACTTTGGTCTAGGCAAAGATTTTATGACTAATTATCTGAAAAGCACAGACAACAAAAGCAAAAATGGATAAATGGGGCTATATTAAACTAAAAAGCTACTGCAAAGTAAAAGAAACAATCAACAAAGTGAAGAGACAACCTGTTGAACAAGGAAAATATTCACAAACTAAGAAGCTGACAAGGGATTAGTATTCAGAGAACATTTTTAAAAACTCAAAAAACTCAGCAATAAGAAAACAATCCCATTAAAAAGTGGGCAAAAGGATGTAGTATTTTATATATGCAGATGTGTGGTGATGCAAAATAAAACACAAACTTGTTTAAACAGAACAATAAATTTTGCTTTAATGGCTCCAGAAGGCAGGTAGTCTTATTTTCTTTTTTCAATACACTGGTTCTGGCAGCAAATTGTATTATTCATTTCTGTCAAAATGTGCCCTGAAAGCTTATATTTTCAGTTTATGTGTGTCATTTGAATCAGAGATTAGACATTTTTTTAAAAAAATTATCCTCAATACCTTCAATAACTTTCCCTACAGAAGATTACAATATTAGTGAACTCAAGGTTTTCATTAGTAATAGTATTTTATAATTATTTTTCTTCAGTCATGGTGAATTCTTTTAATTTTCTCTAAAAGAAAAGCAATGAAAACACAAGCAAACCCTTTAGGATCCCATTTTCACATCACATTTTCCAAGTAGTAAAATTTCAGCTCTACATGTTGATAAAATGGAATTTCAAATTTTTCCAATTAGATTTTAGTCATGTCAACATTAAAATGTTTCTGGATTTACTTGGATTTCTGAAAAGAAAATTTTAGTTATCAAATGGAGGAAAAGGATCTGTTACACACTGTTAGTGGGAATGTAAATTGAAATTTCTCAAAAAAACTAAAAATAGAACTACTATACAATCCAGCAATTCCAGTATTGAGTATTTATCCTAAAGAGAAAAAACCAGTACATCAAAGAGATACCTGCGCTTCCATATTTATTGCAACACTGTTCACAATACCCAAAATAAGGAATCAACCTGTGTCCCTCAACGGATGAATAAATTTTTTAAATGTAGTATATATACACAATGAAATGCTACTCAGCTACAAAAAAGAATATAATCCTGTCATTTGCAGCAACATGGATGGAACTGGAGGGTATTATATTAAGGGAAATAAGGCAGACACAGGGAGAAAAATATCACATTCACATTTGCACTCATGTGAAAGATAAAATGTTGATCTCATGGAGGTAGAGAGTAGAAAGGTAGATACTAGAGACTGGGAATGGTTTTTGGGTTAGAAAGGGGAATAAAAAGAGATTGGTTAAGGGTACAAATCTACAATTAGATAGAAGAAATAAGTTATAATATTCAAAAGCATATTAAGGTGACTACAGTTAACAATGCACTGTATATTACAAAGTAGCCAGAAAAGAGGACTTAAAATATGCCTAACACATAAAAATAAAAAATATTTGAGGTGATGGATACCCTAAATCTCTAACTTAATTATTAGACAATCTATGCATGTAACAACATATCACATATACTCCATAAATGTGCATCAATAAATAAAACTATGCATTGTTTTTTGAAAAAATAAAGTGACAAAACTTTTGCTAGACTGATGAAGAAAAAGAGAGAAAACTTAAATAAATGAAATCAGATATGAAAGAGGAGACATAATGACTGATGTCACAGAATTGTGAAGGATTATAACAGACTACTATGAACAATTATACACCAAGATAGATAACCTAGTAGAAAAGAATACATTTCTTTAAAAATGTAACCTGTCAAGACTGAATCATAATGAAATAGAAAATCTGAACAGACCAATAATGAATAAAGAGATTAAAGCAGAAGAGACTAATAATGAGTAAAGAAATTGAAGCAGAAGAATGTCTGGGGAGGGAGCCAAGATGGCCAATGAGAAGCAGCTACAGTGCATAGCTCTCACGGAGAGGAATGAAAAGGGCAAGTAAATACAGCACCTTCCACTGAAACATCCAGGTACTCACATTGGGATTCATTAGGGAAACAGCTCAACCCACAGAGAAGGAAGAAAAGCAGGGCAGGCAATGGCTCCCCTGGGAGTAGCATGGAGCCAAGGTGACCTACCCCCCCAACCCAGGGAGGCAGTGAATAAATTTGCAACCCTGGGAAACCACACTTCTCCCACAGATCTTTGCAACCTTTGGATCAGGAGATTCCCTAGTGAACCCAATGCACCAGGGCCTATGGTCTGACCCAGACCTGTGTGGAGTCTCAGCAGAGCAGCTGTTTAGGAACACATGAAGACCCAGGAGCTTTACATACTCTGGTTCTGTGCTTCCCAGCAAAGGTGACTGTAACTCAGGCAAGGTGGGAGGTTGGATTTCTGTACCTACCCCTGGGAAGGGGGTTGAATCCAGAGGACTGATCAGCAAGTCGGTGGGCCCCACTTCCATGGCACCTCATAGGAGAAGACCCACTGAATTGGAAGTCCAACCAGCCCCCATCAACAGTGTTGAGCCTACCCTGGAACTGGATGGAGAGCCTGGGGAGTAGGGCGGGCTGCAATTGTTCCTGTTTGGGTGACTGAGCAGTTCCAGTCTATGGGCTTTGGAGAATCCAAACTAACCAGGCATGGAAGGGATCCCCCAGCACAGCACAGCTGCCCTATCAAAACGTGGCCAGACTGCTTCATTAATCAGGTCCCCAATTCAGTCCTACTCACTGGCGGGACCTCCCAACTGGAGCCTCCAGCCACTCCTGCCCGTTTTGTCTGGCCCAGCAGAGATTTAATTTCTCCCTATACAGAGTTTCCAGAGGGAGGGGCAAGCCACCATCTTTGCTGTTTGGGAAACTTAGATGTTCCAGCCTGCGGCCTTTGGAGAGCCCAAGTCAACTGGGGCAGAAGTGGTACCCCAGCACAGCACAGCTGCTCTACAAAAGCATGGCCAGATTACTCCTTGAGCAGGACCCTGATCTGTTTCTCCTCACTTGGCAGGACTTCCCAAGCAGCACCTCCAGGCATTCCTGCCAATGTTCTCTGGCCAACAAAGATTTGAAAAGTTCCTGAGACAGAGCTCCTGGAGGGAGGAATGTGCTGGCTTTTTTGCTATTGTTCCAGCCTCCAGCCTTTAAAGAGTCCAACCTGACCAGGGGCAGAAGAGGTACCCCAGCACAGCACAGTAGCTCTATGAAAGCATGGCTAGATGGCTTCTTTAAGCATGTCCCCAATCTCATTTCTCCTGATTGGCTGAGACCTCCCAACTGGGGTCTTTAGCCACCTCCTACAGGAGCATTCAGGCCAGCAATAGGTTTGTATCCCCCTGAGATGGAGCTGCTAAAGGAAGGGGCAGGCTGCCGTCTTTGTTTTTTGCAGCCTCATTGGTGATACCTCCAGGTATTGGAAAACCCAACGTGAGTATGGACCACCATCAAACCACAGAAGCTCTACAGAAAAGTGGCAGACTGTTAAGAGGAAAAAAAGAAGACCCACCCAAAGGTCAACAACCTCAAAGACTGAAGGTAGATGAAGCCACAAAAATGAGGAAGTGTCAGTACAAGAACACTGAAAACTCAAAAAGCCAGAGTGTCCTCTTTGTTTCAAATGACAGCATCCACTTCTCCAGCAAGGGTTCAGAACTGGGTTGAGGCTGAGATGGCTAAAATAACAGAAGAAGAATTATTTATGGACAAAAACGACCTTCATGAAGCTAAAGGAATATATTGTAAAATGCTAAGGAAGCTAAAAGCCATGACAAAACATTGCAGGTGCTGACAGACAAAATAGCCAGTATAGAAAAGGACATAACCAACCTGATAGAGCTGAAAAACACACTACAAGAATGTCACAATGCAATTGCTTGCATTAATAGCAGAATAGACCAAGTGGAGGAAAGAAACTCAGAGCTTGAAGACAATCTTTCTGAAATGAGACAGGCACACAAGAACAGAGAAAAAGAATGAAAAAGAATGAACAAAGCCTCCAAAAAATATGGGATTATGTAAAAAGACTGAATCTATGACTGATTGGTGCACCTGAAACAGATGAGGAGAATGGAACCAATTTGGAAAATATATTTCAGGATATCATCCATGAGAACTTACCCAACCTAGCTAGACAAGCCAACATTCAAATTCAGGAAATGTAGAGAACTCCAGTAAGATACTCCATGAAAAGATCGTCACCAAGACACATAATCATTAGATTCTCCATGGTTGAAATGAAAGAAAATATGCTAAGGGCACCCAGAGAAAAAGGCCAGGACACCTACAAAGGAAGTCCCATCAGAATAACAGCAGACTTCCCAGCAGGAACCCTACAAGCCAGAAGAGATTGGGGGCCAATATTCAATATTCTTAAAAGAAATTCCAACCCAAAATATCATATCTGGCCCAACTAAGCCTCATAAACAAAGGAGAAATAAGATTTGTTTTAGACAAGCAAATGCTGAGGGAATTCATTACCATCAGACCTGCCTTAAAAGAAAGCACTGCCTGAAGAAAGACCTGCCTGAAGAAAGCATTAATATGGAAAGGAAAAATCATTACCAGCCACTACAAAAACAGTGAAATACAAAGACCAGTGATACTATGAAGCAACCACATAAACAAGTCTGCAAAATAACACCATGATGACACCATGATGACAAGATCAAATCCACATATAACAATACTAAGCTTAAATGTAAATGGACTAAATGGCTCAATTAAAAAACATAGAGTGATAAGCTGGATAAAGAACCAAGATCCATTGGTATGCTGTCTTCAAGAGGCCCATCTCACATGCAATGACACACATAGGCTCAAAATAAAGGGATGGAGGAAAATTTACCTAGTAAATGGAAAACAGAAAAAAAGCAAGGGTTACAATTCTACTTTCTGACAAAAGACTTTAAACCAACAAATATCAAAAAAGACAAAGAGGGACATTATATAATGGTAAAGGGTTCAATTCCACAAGAAGTGCTAACTATCCTAAATATATATATGCACCCAAAACAGGAGCACCAAGCTTCATAAAACGAGTTCTTAGAGGACTCATTCAAAAAACCTTAGACTCCCACAGAATAATAGTGGGAAACTATAATACCTCACTGACAATATTAGACAGATCATCAAGACAGAAAATTATCAAAGATATTCAACACCTCAACTCAGCTCTGGATCAAATGGACCTGATAGATATCTATAAAACTCTCCATCCAAAAACAAAAGAATATACATTCTTCTCATTGCCACATGGCACCTACTTTAAAATCAATCATATAATTGGAAGTAAAACACTCCTCAGCAAATGCAAAAGATCTGAAAATATAACAAACTGTCTTTGACCACAGCACAATAAAATTAGACCTCAAGTCTAAGAAATTCACTCAAAACCACACAATTACATGAAAACCTAATAAACTGCTCCTGAATGACTTTTGGGAAATAATGAAATTAAGGCAGAAATCCAGAAGTTCTTTTAAACCAACGAGAACAAACATACAGCATACCATAGTCTCTGCAACACAGATAAGGCAATAAGGCAATGTTAAGAGGAAAATTCACAGCACTGAATGCCAACAGCAAAAAGTTAGAAAGATCTCAAGTCAGCAACCTAACATCACAAGTAAAAGAACAAATAAACCAAGAGCAAACAAATCCCAAAGCTAGCAGAAGACAAGAAATAACCAAGATCAGAAAGAAACTGGAGATACAGCACTAAAAATGATAGAGAAGATAAACTAATACCAGGAGCTGGATTTTTGGGAAAAAATAATAAAACAGACTGCCAGCTAGACTCATAAAAAAGAAAAAAGAGAAGATTCAAATAGACATAATCAGAAATGATAAGGGGGATGTCACCACTGACCCCACAGAAATACAAACAACCATCAAAGAATATTACAAACACCTCTATGCACATAAACTAGGAAATCTAGAAGAAGTGGATAAAATCCTGGACACATGCACGGTCTTAAGACTGAACCAGGAAGAAATTGAATCCCTGAATAAACCAATAATAAGCTCTGAAATTGAGGCAGTAATAAATAGCCTATGAAATGAAAAAAAGCTCAGGACCTGACAGATTCATAGATTAATTCTACCAGAGGCATAAAGAAGAGCTGGTACCATTTCTACTGAAACTATTCCAAAAAATTGAAAAGGACAGAATCCTTCCTAACTCATTCTACCAGGCCAGTATAATCCTGATACCAAAACCTGGCAGAGATAAAACAAAAAAAAGAACTCTTCAGGCCAATATTTTTGATGAACATCAATACAAAAATTCTCAATAAACTACTGGCAAACTAAATCCAGCAGCACATCAAAAAACGTATCCACCATGATCAAGTAGGCTTCATCTCCAGGATGCAAGGTTGGTTCAACATATGCAAATAAATAAATATGATTCATCACATAAACGGGACTAAAGATAAAAACCATGTAATTATCTCAGTAGATATAGAAAGTCTTTTGATAAAATTCAAATTCCCTTTATGTTAAGAACTCTCAATAAACTAGGTATTGAAGGAACATAACTCAAAATAGTAAGAGTCGTATGTGACCAATTCAAGCCAAGATCATACCGAATGGGCAAAAGCTGGAAGCATTCCCCTTGAAAAACCGGAATGTATTAGTTTGTTCTCACACTGCTGCAAAGAAGTACCTGAGACTCGGTAATTTATAAAGAAAAGAAAAAGAGGCTTAATTGGCTCATGATTCTGAGGGGTATACAGGATTCTGCTTCTGGAGAGACCTTGGAAACTTACGATTATGGCAGAAGGCAAAGAGGAAGCAAACACCTTCTTCACATGGCAGCAGAAGTAAGAGAGAGAAAAGGGGAAAGTGCTACACAGTTTCAAACAAGATTTTGTGAGAACTCTATCATGAGAAGAGCAAGGGGGAAGTCTGCCCCCATGCTTCAGTTATCTCCCACTAGGCCCCTCCTCCAATACCTGGGGTTACAACTCGACATGAGATTTGGGTGGGGACACAGAGCCAAACCATATCATGGCAGAAGACAAGAATGCCCTCTCTTAACAGTCCTATTCATAGTATTGCAAGCTCTGGTCAGGACAATCAAACAAAGAAAATAAATAAAGGATTGTCAAACAGGAAAAAGGAAATCAAACTATCCCTGTTTGCAGATAACATGATCCTATATATAGAAAACCCTATTCTCAGCCCAAAACCTTCTTTAGCAACTTCAGGAAAGTATCAGGATACAAAACTCAATGTGCCAAAATCACTAGTATTCCTGTGCATCAACAGTCAAGCTGAGAGCCAAATCATGAATGAACTCCCATTCACAATTGCCACAAAAAGAATAAAATACCTAGGAATACAGCCAGCAGGGGAGGTAGAAGTTCTCTACAAGGAGAACTACAAACCACTGCTCAAGGAAATAAGAGATGACACAAACAAATGAAAAAAAAAATCTATGATCACAGATACAAAGAATTAATACCATGAACATGGCCATACTGCCCAAAGCAATTTACAGATTCAATGTTATTCCCATTAAACTACCAATGACATTCTTCATAGAACTTGAGAAAACTATGTTAAAATTCATATGGAATCAAAAAAGAGCACAAATAGCCAAAGCAACCCTATGCAAAAAGGACAAAGCTGGAGACATTACGCTACCCAACTTCAAACTATACTACAGGGCTACAGTCCAATACAGCATGGAACTTGTACAAGAACAGGCATGCAGACCAATGCAACAGAATACAGAACTCAGAAACAAGACCATACCCTACAATTATCTGATCTTTGACAAACCTGACAAAAATAAGCAATGGGGAAAAGATTCCCTATTCAATAAATGGTGCTGGGAGAACTGGCTAGCCATATGCAGAAAACTGAAACTGCACCCCTTCCTTACACTGTACACAAAAATAAACTGAAGATGAATAAAAGACTTGAATGTAAAATTCAAAACTACAAAAACACTGAAAAATAACTTAGGAAATACCATTTTGGACACACGAACTGGTAAAGATTTCATGACAATATCAACAAAAGCAATTGCAACAAAAGCAAAAATGGGTAAATGGGATCTAATTAAACTAAAGAGCTTCTGCGCAGCAAAATAAACTATCAATAGAGTAAACAGGGAGCCTACAAAATGGGGGGAAATTTTTGCAAACTATACATTTGACAAAGATCCAATATTCAGCATCTATAAGGAAGTTAAACAAGTTTACAAGAAAAAAACAAACAACCCCATTAAAAAGTGGACAAAGGACATGAACAGACACTTCTCAAAAGAAGACATACATGTGGCTAACAATCATATGACAAAAAGCTCAACATCACTGATTATTAAAGAAATGCAAATAAAAACCAGAATAAGATACCATCTTATACCAGTTAGAACGGCTACTAGTAAAAGGTCAAAAATAACAGATGCTGGTGAGGTTGTGGAGAAAAATGAACACTTATACAACATTGATATGAGTGTAAATTAGTTCAACTATTGTGAAAGGCAGTGGAGCAGCTTCTCAGTAACCTAAAGACAGAACTACCATTTGACCTAGCAATTCCACTACTGGGTATATACCCAAAGGAATGTAAATCATTGCATTATAAAGATACATGCAAGCATATGTTAATTTCTGCATTATTCACAATAGTGAAGACATGGGATCAACTTAAATGCCCATCAATGATAGACTAGATAAAAAAAATGTGGTATGTATACACCATGGAATAGTATGCAGCCATAAAAAATGAGATTATGTCCTTTGCAAGGACACAGATAGAGCTGTGGGCCATTATCCTTAGCAACCTAGTGCAGGACCAAAAAAACAAATAAGGCATGTTCTCAGTTGTATGTGGGAGCTAAATGATGAGAACACAGGGACACACAGAGGGGAACAACACACACTAAGGCCTTTTGGAAGGTGGAGGGTGAAAGGAGGGAGAGTGCTAGGAAATATAACTAATGGATACTAGGCTTAATACCTGGGTAATAAAATAATCTGTATAACCAACTCCAATGACATACATTTACCTCTGTAAGAAACCTGAACTTCCTGCACATGTACCCCCTGAACTTAAAATAAAAGTTAAAAAGAAAAAATTGAAGCAGTATTCAAAAACTTCCCAACAAGGAAAAGACTGGGACCAGATGCCTTCATAGGTGAATTCTAAACATTTAAAGAATTAATACAAATCCTTCTCAAACTATTTTAAAATATATGTAGAGGAGGGAAGACTCTGAGCTTATTCTAAGACCTAGACTATGCTCTTACCAAAGCCAGACAAAGATACTACAAGAAGAGAAAATTACAAGCTGGTATCCCTAATAAACATAGATGCAAAAATGCTTGACAAAATACTAGCAAACCAAACTTAACAGCACATTAAAAGGATCATTCTCCATGATCAAGTACTCCCTAGAATGCAAGGATGGCTCAATATACACGAATCATTAAATATCATACACTTCATTAGCAGAATTATGGAAAAAATCATGAAATCATCTCCATAGATGCAGAAAAAGCATTTGACAAAATTCAATATCCTTTCATGATAGAAAAAAAAACTGTCAATGAACTAGGTATGCAATAAATGCACCTCATCATAATAAAGGCCATACATACAAGCTCACAGCTAACATCATACTCAATGATGAAAAGTGACAGCTTTTCCTCTAAGATGAGGAACAAGACAAGGATGCTCACTCTTGCCACTTTTATTCAACAGAATACCGAAAGTTCTAGCCAAAGCAGTTTGGCAAGAAAAAAGGCATCCAAACTGGAAATGAGTAAGTTAAATTCTCTGTTTGCCTGTAATTTTATAGAGAGAACACCCTAAGGACTCCACCAAAAATTGTTACAAATAATAAACAAATTAAATAAAGTTTCAGGGTACAAAAGCAACATGCCAAAATCAGTTGCGTTCTTATACACAATAACAAACTAACTGAAAGATAAGTTAAGAAAACAATCCCATATATAATAGCACCAAAAGAATAAAATATTTAGAAATAAGTTTAGCCAAGGAGATGAAAGATGTGTACACTGAAAACTACAAATCATCCATGAAATAAATTTAAGATGACACAAATAAAAATAAAGATATCCCATATACATGGATCACATAAGTTAATATTGTCAAATTTTCCATAATACCCGAAGTAAGCTATAGAGTCAATGCAATCTCTATCAAAATTATAATGATGTTTTCACAGAAATAGAAAAAATAATCATAAAATTTGTATGGAACTATAAAAATAAAACTAAATAGTTAAAGCTTAAAGACATTATACTTTCTGATTTTATAATATTTTACAAGTCTATTTAATCAAAACATGGTGCTTGCATTAAAACAGCCTCATAGACCTATGGAACAGAATAGAGAATCCAGAAATAAGCCTACACATATATGGTCAACTAATTTTCGACAAAAGTGCCAAGAATACACATAGTGGAAAAGATAGTCTTGTCAATACATAGTGTTAGAAATTGTCAATACATGGACAATCCATATGTCTACATGCAAAAGAATGAAATTAGGCTCTTATCTCGCACCATACACAAAATCAACTTAAAATGAATTAAACAATTAATGCATTTAATTAAACCTAGAGTCATAAAATCCATCGAAGAAAACTTATGGGAAAATACCTTGTTGGTGGCCTTGGCAATAAATTTTTGGATAGGATACCTACCAAAAGCACAGGTAATGAAAGGAAAAATAAACAAATAAGACTACATAAAACTAAAAAGCTTCTACACATCAAAAGAAACAGTCAACAATATGAAAAGGCAACCTACGGAATGGAAGAAAATATTTGCAAGCCATGCATCCAATAAGAGGTTAATAACCAAAATATATAAAGAACGTATACAATTCAATATCAAAAATCAAACAACATTAAAAAACTAAGCAAAGGATGTAAGCAGAAAATTTTCCAAAGAATGCATACAATGGCCAAAAGATATATGAAAAGCTTCTCAACATCACTAATCATCAGGGAAATGCAAATCAAAACCATAATGAAATATCACCTGAAACATGTTCGGATGAGTATGATTTTAAAAAACATGAAATATAACAAGGGCTGGTGAGGATGTGGAAAAAAAGAGAACACTTGTACACTGTTGGTAAGAATGCAAATTGACAGAGTCATGTGGAAAACATATGGAGAGACCCAAAAACTTAAAATATAACTACTATAGAATCCAGCAATCACGCTTCCGGATATATATCCATTGGAAATGAAATCAGTATCTTGAAATGATATCTGTACTGTCATGTTCATTGCAGCATTATTTACAGTAGCCAAGGTATGGAAATAATCTAAGTGTCTGTCAATGTATAAATGAATAAAGAAAATATGAGCGAGAGAGAGATCGATGATTCTCAAGAATATAAGAATCAAACAGTTTTGATAGTTTATACACATACACACACACACTCAGAGACAGAGAGAAAGAATAGAATATTCCATTTTGTATCTCTGCAGAAACTTTCTGTAGAGATACAAAATTGAGTAATAAAATAAAGAAATCCTGCCATTTGCAACAACTTGGATAAATTTGAGGGACATTATGTTAAGTTAAATAAGCAGACACAGAAAGACAAATACTGTATGATCTTTCTTATACGTGGAATCTAAATAGTCAAACTCATAAAAGCAGAGAGCAGAATGGTGGTTGCTAGGGGATTGGAGGGGCATAATAGAAAGATGGTGGTCAAAGGAAAACAAACCTCCTTTAAGATAAGTTCTGGGGACCTAATATATGTTGAAAATATTGTATTGTACACTTGAAATTTGAAGAGAATAAATCGTCCTCACCGCAAAAACGTGGTAATGATTCAAGGTGATGCATGTGTTAATAGCTTGATTGTGTCAATTGTTTAACAATGTTTACATATATCAAACTGTTACACTGTTTGTTTCAAATATATACAAGTTTTATTTATCAAATATAACCCAATAAAGGTAAAAAAAAAAAGAACTGCAAAAGTCTAATTTCTGTAATTCTATCATTCTTTCTGCAAGTCCTAGTAGTAATAATTCTCTAAGGAAGTCTTCCTCATAAACTGTGTCATGGAATCTGAAATACAGTTCATATAGAAGAGTCTGGATGAATGCTTATTTTGCCTTAATAATAAAATCCAAAAGTAATCAGTTTGTGCTTTAGTAAACTCTTATGATGACCGATGAGTTTTTTTTAAATTAGTCTTTGATTTTTTACTATAATTAGAAACTAAGATTTTTATATATTTTATGTGCTTCATTCCATTGCAATCATTATTCATTTTGAAGATCAAATTGTTGCATCTTGGGCCAGTAGGAGCTCCCTTAAGTTGGCACCTATTTTGTTTTAAATGATCTTACTTGTCTTTGTTAGTTTTTAGTTTTCTACTACAGTAAAATGCAAAGACTCGCCTTGCATATTTTCTTTCCAAAACCTGGAATCAATCATATCTGGAGAGTGCTGCTTCCGTTATGCTTAGACGCCACAATCTGCACCTTAGGGGCGCTCATTACTACTTGGTTGTCATTGATTCTAGGCCATTATAAAAGCCTAGACAGATTAGTGGACAGGTTAAGAATGAGATAAGATGAAACAATCAGCATATCATGAGATAGTTCTGCTTCAAATTTTATATCATAGAGTTTTTATTTCATTTATGTTTACTTGTATCTCTTTTCTCTTAGGCCAAAAAATCTTGATTAATTACATCGGCACAATTACTTATTACCATGACAGCAGAAGGATCCATGGGCTTGCCCCTTTACCAAGTCAGTCAGGCTAAGGAGAAACCTGTTCTGACCTGAATTTCTTGGGAATGTGCCTGTGAATGTGATTTAATAGAGGAGAAACTTTGAAATTAGTGTG
Organism: Homo sapiens; assembly: GCF_000001405.40. NCBI lineage: Eukaryota > Metazoa > Chordata > Mammalia > Primates > Hominidae > Homo > Homo sapiens. Next base: position 34,440,186 of record NC_000003.12, on the reverse strand, counting down.
TAACATAAAAGAAGTGAGATGAATATCCATCAAAGATTTTCTCCACCAAATGGCAACTCTGTTAGCCTCATGCATGAAAATGAGATATCCCACCCAGAATATGTCTCTGAAACCCAGGAAAGGTGACTAAAAGGGCTATGCCTTTGGGATTTCATGTAAGACCTGCGTGTGGTTCTCTCTGGACCAAGTCCAATGCTCAGAGCAGGGTACGATTCTGCATCCAAGAGGCCTGCTGCTTTTGACTTCCCTCAACTTGTCTAGGGTACTAGCACTTGCCAAGCAGTTTATATCTAAATGCCATACCCACAGTTAGATTCAACACTACCCTGGACCACTACCATTCCAAGGCACTAGTAATCTCACAGAGATATGTAAAAAAAAAGACAGGGCTTTTGAATGGGGATAGGTAAAACATCCTGCTAGCCTGGTCATTTAGATATTTGAGTACTAGATCTGGGGACTCTACTGGGAGGAAAGTACTCTGGTTTTGACACAAACTCTAACCTTAACACAAAATGAGTTTCCTATTTTCTTATTCCCACATGGGCAACCTAATGGCTTCTTTCCATAGATTTGCATCACCCTTTCAATGAGCTGAATTAACAGTAATATACACAATAATCATGGAAGAAGAAAAAAGAAATTAAAATCAAAAGTCAAGTTTGATCATATCCCTTTCCCATCTAATTGTCCTATGACCCTGGGTGTGCCTCGCAAACTCTTTAAAATACTATTGCCTCAACCTTCATCATATGGAATATGTCACTTCAAACGTTTGCTTTAATGATTAATGAGATAATGTGTATGAAATACCTGCACATACTGAGTAATCAATAAATTTTCACTGAATCATGATCTTCCCTCTACATCTGTTTGTGGCTTCTCAAAGAAATATTTTGTTTGGCAATTTTAAAAAAATCTATATCTAGGGCAGATTATTCTCTGAGGGCAAGTGTTTGCAAACATTATATTTCTCTTCCAACATTTCTTTCCCATGAAGAAAATACCTATGTTTTTCCAGTGGCTAGGTTAAACTGCATCACAGGGTCTTTCTCATACCTCTGACATAAACCCTTGCATTATAAATATTTTGTAGGAATATAAGAATCGAACAGTTTTGATGGCTTCATTTACAATTTAAGTAGCTATATCATATTCCCTAGGAACTAAGATGCCACAATGTGTACCATATTTGTTATTTGAAACAAAGCTAAAGACTTAGTCAATAGCTTTCGAATAGGCCCAATTTATAATGTAAATGATGCATGCAGATGCTGTAAAAAGTAATAATAATTTAAAACCCCTATATCCTGTCGTATATTTTGATAGCAGCTACAAGGAAACTGCTAGCATAATTCTCTTGATGGCTTTCTGTGAATGTATTGAACCAATCCATTAAGCCTCGATAATAAGCCAATTAATTGTTTAGAAACATTACCCCAGCTCTTGTGTGTGGTTTTCCTCACACAGAGACAGGTGCCTATTTATCTCACAGGAGAAATGACCAAGTTAGATATCAATACTCTCCATGAGCGAGTTCTCTAAAATGGATTTGCTATCGATCTGTCCATTCGCTATTGTTAGCAAACTTGCTCTACACCATGAGGCCTCTGAATTTTTTACCCCTACTTAGTACCATGAATCATTCTTCTTCTAACCAACCAAAATAAAATTAGAGTTTGCATGTTTATATATAGGGTTTTTTCCTACAAGTGCAATATTGATTTTCCTCAAAAAGTATACTTTTCTTATGGTTTAATTACATATAGATTTTTGAGGATTTACACGTGCTATATAAACTAATGTCATTTCTCAATAAAGTTTAATTTGACTGCAAAATAATGAAGGGAGGAATTGTATCCTTCCTCTCATTTTACAGGTAATAAGACTGAGGCTCAGAGAGACCAAATGATTTGCAGTAAGACAGACCTGTGTGAAACTCTGGCTCTGACACCTGCCATTAGCCAAACTTGCTCTTCTTAAATCACAGTTTACTCACTTCAAAATGGGAACAACTCTAGTGTTCACCTCTGCTAGTTGTTATACAAATTAAGTGGTTTATATAAAGCTCTCAGCATATAATAAGGACTCAGTGTTACTACTGTGAGGCACAGATCTGTAATTACTTCCCTACCTTGGTTCTTACACGTAGCACATTGAATCTCATGCAATGTCTGTTTGGTTTTTGGAAATCAAAAATCATACAGGTATAAGATTTAACATCACTGGGGAGGCATGACCCCAGTCCAAAATCTGTGGCTCACATTGCCAAGCTGCAAAAGGCAAAAGCTAAAGAAATTCCACTAAACTTGGTTAAATGTATACTGTTGAGGTTTCTGTATATAAAAATAATAAAAATTCTTTTTCAAAATATGTCATCAGATATCAGCATTTCTATATGGTTCAACCTAAATTCTTTTTTTGCTCATTGAGAAATAGACTGAGATTTTGAGGGCAAGTATTGTATCTTCTTCATCTCTTTACAATCCAAGAGCCTGGAACACACTAAGCGCTCAATGAAATGTAAATAATATATTATAAAACATGCATAATATAGCACTTTCATTCATCTCCAAATCCCTGATTGTACCAGCTCATCACAGACTTTTTTTTTTTTTTTTTTTGGTATATCCTATTTCCAGGAGAAAAAAAGTGTTGCATATGTTGGTTGTGGTTAGACTTTTTAACGTAAAAGTCATAAAATACATAAAGCATGTATTTTATGTGCAGGCTATTCATGCTCAGCTGAAAAGAAAGCAAGGAAAGGATGCCTGAGTTGTGAAAGACTTTGCACAGTTCTCAGAGATCCTCACACTACCAAGCTCGAGAACACACGACTATTCACACAAGCTCCAGAACTCAGCACTCTGGGCTTCTTTGTGTCAAGAAGAGACTGTGCAGTAGCAGATCGAAATTATCAGTGACTCATAAAGTCAGGTTCCATCATGGCCATCCCTGCTGCTCTTACAAAGAGGGAGTCTTGTCATGGGACCAGAACTCCAATCACAGGCACAAACTTAAAGCTGCCCCAGTGACATTAAAAATCAACTGAGGCCAGGCGCAATGGTTCACGCCTGTAATCACAGCACTTTGGGAGGCTAAGGCAGGTGGATCACGAGGTCAGGAGTTCGAGACCAGCCTGGCCAATATGGTGAAACCCCATCTCTACTAAAAATACAAAAATTAGCCAGCTGTGGTGGTGGACACCTGTAATCCCAACAACTCAGGAGGCTGAGGCAGGAGAATCACTTGAACCTGGGAGATGGAGGTTGCAGTGAGCCAAGATCATGCCACTGCACTCCAGTCCAGGAGACAGAGCGAGATTCTGTCTCAAAAAAAAATCAACTGAAGAAATAGAGTTGCATTTACCCTCCTCATTTCATGGACAGTCCACAGCCCTGAGCTCTTATTACAAAGTCACCCTTTTATACCTGTAAAAAATAGTATAATTTCTACATTTCAGAATTGTGAAAATTAAATGAGATATGCCAAAAAGCATGGACAAAAATTGAATCAGTGTGTGAACCAGAGGCCAATGTCAAGGAAAGATGTTTCCTCCTACTTCAGAGCAAGAGTGGGACAGAAATATAGAGGACTATGAATGTTCTGGAAGTCTCTAGACTCAAGACTTCCCTCCCATACTACCTCTCATACCCACTACCAAATGTAACTCAACCAGAAATTCGATGTGGCAAAGATTTGGCGTTTGATCTTAAAAAGTAGACGTGAGGCTGGGCGCGGTGGCTCAGGCCTGTAATCCCAGCACTTTCAGAGGCCAAGGTGGGTGGATCAACTGAGGTCAGGAGTTCATGACCAGCCTGGCCAACATAGTAAAACCCCGTCTCTACTAAAAATACAAAAATTAGCCAGGCATGGTGGTGTGTACCTGTAATCCCAGCTACTCGGGAGTCTGAGGTGGGAGAATTGCTTGAACCTGGGAGGCAGAGGTTGCAGTGAGCCCAGATTGTGCCACTGCACTCCAGCCTGGGTGACAGAGTGAGACTCCATCTCAAAAAAAAAAAAAAAAAAAAAAAGAAAAGAAAAAAAAGAAAGAAAAAGAAAAGTAGATGTGAGAAAATATTAAGACTCATTGACTTTAAAGAGTCATTTTATTATAATTCGCAGGCCAGACAGAATTTTCACTGTCTCTAGGTATCCCCAGCACATAGACATTCTTCTGTTACAGAACATACCATACCCATGTTTAAATACTTCTATTTATCACTTACTGAAATCCAACTTTGGGCTACATTCTTTGGATGTCACATTACATTTAAGTTTCACAACAATTCAATTAGATATCTTTACTTTCATGTTAAAACAGATCAGGAGTTTTGAGAGTTCTTAGAGTTTTCATAACTTGACCCAAGTTCACACAGTTAACATACAACAGAGCTAGAAGGTGAGCCTATGAATGTTCATCACCATAGTCATGCCTTTGCCACCATGGCAGAAAAAAATATCTTATTTACAGGCTACTTTTTGAAAACAGGTCTGTGTCTTATTTGCTATTGTGGCCTCATTGCCTAGGTACTTAAATTCATTAAATACTGAATTAATTAGCAATCAACTACTAATTTCCTTGATTCGAAAGTACCTACAAGGCTCACAGGAATAATCACTCTTACCCTAGGACTGCCTCTAAGGAGAAGACTCATAAAGTTAGGTCTTATTAGGGACAGGGTTAAGCAAGAACCTCCAGGATATGGGGTCTCCTCTTCGTTTTTTACCAAAAGATGAATCCAGTCACGGACTAGCTTCCATTTGACTTCATGCTTTCCTGAACAAATTCCAGTCAACTGAGTTCAGTACAATAGGAAGACTTAGCTTCTGTGCCCTGGGGTTGTAGTAACGTGGTCTTGGATAAGTGATTTTTGTCCAATATGCGCCTCAGCTGCATCAAACGAAAAATGAATTGATGAAACACACTCTGATCTCTGGAAACAGGTGCTTATCTTACCTACTAGACTGTGCAGCCATGAGGCAGTGCCACACAGCAGTCAGGGTTTAGGCACTGGAGCCAGGCCATCTGGCTTTAGAACCCAGCACCAGGTGTAACTAACCATGTGATCTTTGTAGATCACTACCTCTCCCATTATGATCACTATTTGCCTCTCATTTCTCAAAGCTGTATTTTGTACATTCATAAAGAAAACAATGTCATTAAGCATCATGAGATATTAGAAAAGATTTCTAGAAATATGAATAAAAACTCGTGGTAAAAAGGGATGTTTGTTTGTGTATCCCCCTTCCTTTATCCTTTGTCTTGGTATCCTTCATTTGGTGGTAATGGGGTAAGAAGAGCCATCCTGCCCTGTGTATTTAAATTATGAGAGATATTTTCCACATGAATTCAAGTTTTAGCTCTATGCACTTCTTAACACTGTGTATTTCTTAACAGAGCATAAAAAAATGGTGTTCTCCATGTGCCATATTTTATCTGGTTTTCATGAAATGTCATACCTTTTAATGGGTAATAATTGGTTAAGAAGCTTATTGTAGTTCAACAGAGAATATTAAAGTTTATTTAGTGAGTGTATTTATTTAGGATAAAATCACTATTTGAAAGTTTTTAACCAAATTAGACATCTATACTTATTCATTCTTAACATGCAAATTTTATGAATAATTAAATGGAAAAACACTCCTTTTGATTAAACTGAAAACAACAGAACAAAAAGTAAAAGAAATTGAGCACAGTAGGTATTGATAGTCTACCAGTTAAGCAGGATTATCTAATGACAAGCTTGTTTTTCATAAACTTGCAGAAAATTTGAATTCTACCCATGGTGAGAGACCATTTTTCTCCATCATATTTCATATTAGTTTATTATTGCTGCTGTAACAAATTGTCACAAATTTAATGGCTTAAAGCAACACAAGTTTATTATTTTACAGTTTTGTAGATCAGAAACCTGACACTGGTCTCATGGGGCTAAGGTCAATGTGTCAGCAGGGCTGTGTTCCCTTATGAAAGTTCTAGAATCCATTTTCCTTTTAATACTTTAACTTTTATATTAGGTTCAGAGGTACATGTGTAGGTTTGTTATATAGGTAAACTTATGACTCAGTGGTTTGATGTACAGATTATTTTATCACCCAGGTACTAAGCATAGTTCCTGACAGTTTTTTCTTTTTTCTCCTGAACCTCTCCCTCCTCCAAACTTCTTCCCTCAAGTAGGCCCCAGTGTCTGTTGTTTCCCTCTATGTGCCCATGTGTTCTCATCATTTAGCACTCACTTATAAGTAAGAACATGCAGTATTTTTTGTTCCTACATTCATTTGTTAAAATTAATGCCTTGGGGGAGGAGCCAAGATGGCCAAACAGGAACAGCTCCAGTCTATAGCTCCCAGCATGAACGACGCAGAAGACGGATGATTTCTGCATTTCCAACTGAGGTACTGGGTTCATCTCACTGGGGAGTGTCGGACAGTACGTGCAGGACAGTGGGTGCAGTGCACCAAGCATGAGCAGAAGCAGGGCGAGGCATCGCCTCACCCAGGAAGTGCAAGGGGTCAGGGAATTCCCTTTCCTAGTCAAAGAAAGGGGTGACAGACGTCACCTGGAAAATCGGGTCACTACCACCCTAATGCTGCGCTTTTCCAATGGTCTTAGCAAACGGCACACCAGGAGATTATATCCCATGCATGGCTTGGAGGGTCCTATGCCCACGGAGCCTCACTCATTGCTAGCACAGCAGTCTGAGATCAAACTGCAAGGTGGCAGCAAGGCTGGGGGAGGGGCGCCCACCATTGCCGAGGCTTGAGTAGGAAAACAAAGCGGCCAGGAAGCTCGAGGTCAGTGGAGCCCACCGCAGTTCAAGGAGGCCTGCCTGCCTCTGTAGACTCCACCTCTGGGGGCAGGGCATAGCCAAACAAAAGGCAGCAGAAACCTCTGCAGACTTAAATGTCCCTGTCTGACAGCTTTGAAGAGAGTAGTGGTTCTCCCATCACGCAGCTGGAGATCTGAGAACAGACAGACTGCCTCCTCAAGTGGGTCCCTGACTCCCGAGTGGCCTAACTGGGAGGCACCCCCAAGTAGGGGCAGACTGACACCTCACACGGCTGGGTACTCCTCTGAGACAAAACTTCCAAAGGAACGATCAGGCAGCAACATTTGCTGTTCACCAATATCTGCTGTTCTGCAGCTTCCAATGCTGATACCCAGGCAAACAGGGTCTGGAGTGGACCTCCAGCAAACTCCAACAGACCTGCAGCTGAGGGTCCTGACTGTTAGAAGGAAAACTAACAAACAGAAAGGACACCCACACCAAAACGCCATCTGTATGTCACCATCATCAAAGACCAAAGATAGATAAAACCACAAAGATGGGGAAAAAACAGAGCAGAAAAACTGGAAACTCTAAAAAGCAGAGCGCCTCTCCTCCTCCAAAGGAGCGCAGCTCCTCACCAGCAACAGAACAAAGCTGGACGGAGAATGACTTTGATGAGTTGAGAAAAGAAGACTTCAGATGATCAGACTACTCTGAGCTAAAGGAGGAAGTTTGAACCCATGGCAAGAAGTTAAAAACCTTGAAAAAAAATTAGATGAATGGCTAACTAGAATAACCAATGCAGAGAAGTCCTTAAAGGGCCTGATGGAGCTGAAAACCATGGCACAAGAACTACATGATGAATGCACAAGCCTCAGTAGCCAATTTGATCAACTGGAAGAAAGGTTATCAGTGATGGAAGATCAAATCAATGAAATGAAGTGAGAAGAGAAGTTTAGAGAAAAAAGAATAAAAACAAATGAACAAAGCCTCCAAGAAATATGGGAATATGTGAAAAGACCAAATCTACATCTGATTGGTACACCTGAAAGTGACGAGGAAAATGGAACCAAGTTGGAAAACACTCTGCAGGATATTATCCAGGAGAACTTCCCCAATCTAGCAAGGCAGGCCAACATTCAAATTCAGGAAATACAGAGAATGCCACGAAGATAATCCTCGAGAAGAGCAACTCCAAGACACATGATTTTCAGATTCACCAAAGTTGAAATGAAGAAAAAAATGTTAAGGGCAGCCAGAGAGAAAGGTCGGGTTACCCACAAAGGGAAGCCCATCAGACTAACAGCGGATCTCTCGGCAGAAACTCTACAAACCAGAAGAGAGTGAGGACCAATATTCAACATTCTTAAAGAAAAGAATTTTCAACCCAGAATTTCATATCCAGCCAAACTAAGCTTCATAAGTGAAGGAGAAATAAAATCCTTTACAGACAAGCAAATGCTGAGAGATTTTGTCACCACCAGGCCTGCCCTAAAAGAGCTCCTGAAGGAAGCAGCAAACATGGAAAGGAACAACCGGTACCAGCCACTGCAAAAACATGCCAAATTTTAAAGATCACCAAGGCTAGGAAGAAACTGCATCAACTAACAAGCAAAATAACCAGCTAACATCATAATGACAGGATCAAATTCACACATAACAATATTAACCTTAAATTTAATGGGCTAAATGCTCCAATTAAAAGACAGACTGGCAAATTGGATAAAGAGTCAAGACCCATCAGTGTGCTGTATTCAGCAGACCCATCTCACGTGCAGAGACACACATAGGCTCAAAACAAAGGGATGGAGGAAGATCTACCAAGCAAATGGAAAACAAAAAATGGCAGGGGTTGCAATCCTAGTCTCTGATAAAACAGACTTTAAATCAACAAAGATCAAAAGAGACAAAGAAGGCCATTACATAATGGTAAATGGGTCATTTCAACGAGAAGAGCTAACTATCCTAAATATATATGCACCCAATACAGGAGCACCCAGATTCATAAAGCAAGTCCTTAGAGACCTACAAAGAGACTTAGAGTCCCACACAATAATAATGGGAGATTTTAACACCCCACTGTCAACATTAGACAGATCAACCAGACAGAAAGTTAACAAGGATATCCAGGCATTGAACTCAGCTCTGCAACAAGCAGACCTAACAGACATCTACAGAATGCTCCACCCCAAATCAACAGAGTATACATTCTTCTCAGCACCACACCACACCTATTCCAAAATTGACCACATAGTTGGAAGTAAAGCACTCCTCAGCAAATGTAAAAGAACAGAAATTATAACAAACTGTCTCTCAGACCACAATGCAATCAAACTAGAACTCAGGATTAAGAAACACTCAGAACCACTCAACTACATGGAAACTGAACAACCTGCTCCTGAATGACTACTGGGTACATAACAAAATGAAGGCCGAAATAAAGATATTCTTTGAAACCAAAGAGAACAAAGACACAACATACCAGAATCTCTGGGACACATTTAAAGCAGTGTGTAGAGGGAAATTTATAGCACTAAATGCCCACAAGAGAAAGCAGGAAAGATCTAAAATTGACACACTAACATCACAATTAAAAGAACTAGAGAAGCAAGAGCAAACACATTCAAAAGCTAGTAGAAGGCAGAAATAACTAAGATCAGAGCAGAACTGAAGGAAATAGAGACACAAAAAAACCCTTCAAAAAATCAATGAATCCAGGAGCTGGTTTTTTGAAAACATCAACAAAACTGATAGACCACTAGCAAGACTAATAAAGAAGAAAAGAGAAAAGAATCAAATAGACGCAATAAAAAATGATAAAGGGGATATCAGCACTGATCCCACAGAAATACAAACTACCATCAGAGAATACTATAAACACGTCTACGCAAATAAACGAGAAAATCTAGAAGAAATGGATACATTCCTCGACACATACACCCTCCCAAGACTAAACCAGGAAGAACTTGACTCTCTGAATAGACCAATAACAGGCTCTGAAATTGAGGCAATAATTAATAGCTTACCAACCAAAAAAAGTCCAGGACCAGATGGATTCACAGCTGAATTCTACCAGAGGTACAAGGAGAAGCTGGGACCATTCCTTCTGAAACTATTCCAATCAATAGAAAAAGAGGGAATCCTCCCTAACTCATTTTATGAGGCCAGCATCATCCTGATACCAAAGCCTTGCAGAGACACAACAAAAAAAGAGAATTTTAGACCAATATCCCTGATGAAAATCGATGCAAAAATCCTCAATAAAATACTGGCAAACAAAATCCAGCAGCACATCAAAAAGCTTATCCACCATGATCAAGTGGGCTTCATCCCTGGGATGCAAGGCTGGTTCAACATACGAAAATCAATAAACATAATCCAGCATAGAAACAGAACCAACGACAAAAACCACATGATTATCTCAATAGATGCAGACAAGGCCTTTGATAAAATTCAACAACACTTCATGCTAAAAACTCTCAATAAATTAGGTATTGATGGGATGTATCTCAAAATAATAAGAGCTATCTATGACAAACCCACAGCCAATATCATACTGAATGGGCAAAAACTGGAAGCATTCCCTTTGAAAACTGACACAAGACAGGGATGCCCTCTCTCACCACTCCTATTCAACATAATGTTGGAAGTTCTGCCCAGGGCAATCAGGCAGAAGAAGGAAATAAAGGGTATTCAATTAGGAAAAGAGGAAGTCAAATTGTCCCTGTTTGCAGATGACGTGATTGTATATCTAGAAAACCCCATCGTCTCAGCCCAAAATCTGCTTAAGCTGATAAGCAACTTCAGCAAAGTCTCAGGATACAAAATCAATGTGCAAAAATCACAAGCATACTTATACACGAATAACAGACAAACAGAGAGCCAAATCATGAGTTAAATCCCATTCACAACTGCTTCAAAGAGAATAAAATACCTAGGAATCCAACTTACAAGGGATGTGAAGGACCTCTTCAAGGAGAACTACAAACCACTGCTCAATGAAATAAAAGAGGATATAAACAAATGGAAGAACATTCCATGCTCATGGGTAGGAAGAATCAGTATCGTGAAAATGGCCATATTGCCCAAGGTAATTTATAGATTCAATGCCATCCCCATCAAGCTATCAATGACTTTCTTCACAGAATTGGAAAAAACTACTTTAAAGTTCATATGGAACCAAAAAAGAGCCCGCATTGCTAAGTCAATCCTAAGCCAAAAGAACAAAGTTGGAGGCATCACACTACCTGACTTCAAACTATACTACAAGGCTACTGTAACCAAAACAGCATGGTACTGGTACCAAAACAGAGATATAGATCAATGGAACAGAACAGAGCCCTCAGAAATAACGCCGCATATCTACAACTATCTGATCTTTGGCAAACCTGACAAAAACAAGAAAAGGGGAAAGGATTCCCTATTTAATAAATGGTGCTGGGAAAACTGGCTAGCCATATGTAGAAAGCTGAAACTGGATCCCTTCCTTACACCTTATACAAAAATTAATTCAAGATGGATTAAAGACTTAAATGTTAGACCTAAAACCATAAAAACCCTAGAAGAAAACCTAGGCATTACCATTCAGGACATAGGCATGGGCAAGGACTTCATGTCTAAAACACCAAAAGCAATGGCAACAAAAGCCAAAATTGACAAATAGGATCTAATGAAACTAAAGAGCTTCTGCACAGCAAAACAAACTACCATCGGAGTGAACAGGCAACCTACTAAATGGGAGAAAATTTTTGCAATCTACTCATCTGACAAAGGGCTAATATCCAGAATCTACAATGAACTCAAACAAATTTACAAGAAAAAAACAAACAACCCCATCAACAAGTAGGTGAAGGATATGAACAGACACTTCTCAAAAGAAGACATTTATGCAGCCGAAAGACACATGAAACAATGCTCATCATCACTGGCCATCAGAGAAATGCAAATCAAAACCACAATGAGATACCGTCTCACACCAGTTAGAATGGCAATCATTAAAAAGTCAGGAAACAACAGGTGCTGGAAAGGATGTGGAGAAATAGGAACACTGTTACACTGTTAGTGGGACTGTAAACTAGTTCAACCATTGTGGAAGTCAGTGTGGTGATTCCTCAGGGATCTAGAACTAGAAATACCATTTGACCCAGCCATCCCATTACTGAGTATATACCCAAGGGATTATAAAACATGCTGCTATAAAGACACTTGCACACATATGTTTATTGCGGCACTATTCACAATAGTAAAGACTTGGAACCAACCCAAATGTCCAACAATGATAGACTGGATTAAGAAAATGTGGCACATATACACCAGGGAATACTATGCAGCCATAAAAAATGATGAGTTCTTGTCCTTTGTAGGGACATGGATGAAGCTGGAAACCATCATTCTCAGCAAACTATCGCAAGGACAAAAAACCAAACACCGCATTTCTCACTCATAGTGGGAACTGAACAATGAGATCACATGGACACAGGAAGGAGAACATCGCACACCGGAGCCTGTTGTGGGGTGGGGGGATGGGGGAGGTATAGCATTAGGAGATATACCTAATGTTAAATGACAAGTTAATGTGTGCAGCACACCAACATGGCACATGTATACATATGTAACAAACCTGCACGTTGTGCACATGTACTCTAAAACTTAAAGTTAAAAAAAAATAAAATAAAAAATAAATAAAATAAAATAAAATTAATGCCTCCAGTTCCATCCATGTTCCCACAAAGGACATGATCTCATTCTTTTTATGGCTGCATAGTATTCCATGGTGTATATGTACCACATTTTCTTTACCTAGTCTACTGCTGATGGGCATTTAGATTGATTCCATGTCTCCACTATTGTGAAGAGTACTGCAGCGAACATATGTATGCATGTGTCTTTATGGTAGAATGATTCCTATTCCTTTGGGCATATACCCAGTAGCGGGATTGCTGGGTCAAATGTTAATTCCACTTTTAGTTCTTTGAGGAATCACTACACTGCTTTCCATAATGGTTGAACTAATTAACACTCTCACCAACAGTGTGTAAGTGTTCCCTTTTCTTTGTAACCTCACCAGCATCTGTTATCTTTTGACTTTTTACTAATAGCCATTCTGACTGATGTGAGATGGTATCTTATTGTGGGTTTGATTTGCATCTCTCTAATGATCGGTGATATTGAGCATTTTTTCATATGCTTGTTGGCTGCATGTATGTCTTCTTTTGAAATGTCTGTTCATGTCCTTTGCCCACTTTTAATGGGGTTGTTTTTTGCTTGTGCATTTAAGTTCCTTGTAGATTCTGGATATTAGACCTTTGTCAAATGTATAGTTTGCAAAAATGTTCTTCAATTCTATAGGTTGTCTGTTTGTTGATTGTTTCTTTTGCTGTGCAGAAGCTGTTTAGTTTAGTTATTTTGTATTTGTCGATTTTTGCTTTTGTTGCAATTGCTTTTGGCGATTTTGTCCTGAAATCTTTGCCAGTTCCTGTGTCCAAAGTGGTATTTCCTAGGTTATATTTCAGTGTTTTTATAATTGTGGGTTTTACATTTAAGTCCTTTATCTATCTCTAGTTGATATTTAAATATGGTGTAAGGAAGGGCTCCAGTTTCAATCTTCTGCATATGGCTAGCCAGTTCTCCCAGCACCGTTTATTGAACATGGAATCCTTTTTCCACTGCTTGTTTTTGTCAGCTTTGTCAAAGGTCAGATAGTGGTAGGTGTGTGGCTTTATTTCTGGGCTCTCTATCCTGTTCCCTTGGTCTATGTGTCTGTTTTTGTACCAGTACCATGCTGTTTTGGTTACTGCAGACATTTAGTATAGTTTGAAGTTGGGCAATGTGACTCCTCTAGCTTTGTTCTATGCTTAGGATGACTTGGCTATTTGGGATCTTTTTTGGTTCCCTATACATGCATTTTAAAATAGTTTTTTTTCTAAATTTGTGGAGAATGTCATTGGTAGTTTGATAGGAATAGCATTTAATCTTTAAGTTGCTTTGGGCAGTATGGTCATTTTAATGATGCTGATTCTTCCTATCTGTGAACATGGAAGGTTCTTTCATTTGTCTGTGTCATCTCTGATGACTTTGAGTAGCGTTTTGTAATTCTCATTGTACAGCTCTTTCACCTCTCTGGTTTACTGTATTCCTAGGTATTTTATTCTTTTTGTAGCAACTGTGAATAGGATTGTGTTCCTGTAGATGCAATTTTCTTGCCTTTTTCAGCTTCTACAGGGTTCCTGTATTCCTTGGTCCTCTTGTATTTTCAGAGCCAGCACTGGTGGATTGAGTTATTTTCACATTGCCTTACTTTTACCTTTTTACCTCCCCTTTCCACTTTGAAGGATGCTAACGATTAAATTGAGTTCATTCAAATAACCCAGGACAATCTCTCCATCTCAAGGTGCTTAATTTAGTCACATCTGCACAGTCCCTGTTGCCTTATAAAGTAACACATACACAGGTTCTAGAGATCGGGATATAGACAAAGGGAGGATCCATTATTCTGGACCCCAAAGGGGGCTCCATTATTCTGCCAGCTGTACATCTACAATTTAATCACATCTGCACAGTCTCTGTTGCATTATAAAGTAACATATACTCAGGTTCTAGGGATTGAGATATAGACATCCTTTGAGGTCCATTATTCTGCCTACTACACATCTCTTTTGAAACTGTCTATAGTGGTTAAGAGCGTTTACATAAGGTTTTTACCTGTCATATGATCATAAGCTAGACACCTAACTTCTCTGGCCTCAATTTCCTCATCTTTAAAAGAATGTTAATAATTCATGTGTGCCCTGTGTAGTTTTTGAGAATAGTAAATAAGTTAATAAAGTAAATGGGACATGTTAAGTTCTACACAATAGTTAACTGTTAGGAAATATGGGTATACAGTCATGTGCTGCATAACAACATTTTGGACAATGATGGACCACGTAATACAAAAATTGTTCCATATGATTATAATACTATATTTTTCTTATACCTTTTCTATGTTTACATACACAAATACTTACCATTGTATTATAATTTTCTACAGTATTCAGTACAGTAACATATTTACAGGTCTGTGGCTTAGGAGCAATAGGCTAAAATATACAGCCTAGGCATGCAGTTAGATTGTACCATCCAGGTTTGTGTGAGTACACTCTATGATATTAGCACAGTGATGAAATCACCTGACACATTTCTCAAGATGTATCCCCATCATTAAGTGATGTATGACTGTATTGGCTAATGTAGGCTTACTTTTATAACATGCAAACTCCCAAATTTTGGTGGCTTAGTACAATATAATTACTTCTTACTATGAAAAGTTCAATAAGAGTCAGAACAGATGGGGCAGGCTTTGCACTATGTAGTTATTTTTGTTTCCACCCTTCCCTAGGGCATCTGAATCCTCTCCCTTCAGCCATAGGGAAATAAAGAGAAAAAATGAAACATCTCAAAGGAGGTTTTTCTGAGTCAGGTCTGGAAATTATTTATATCACCTTCCATTCAGCCACTGCAAAGCAGGTTGGGGAATCTTTAACTATGTTCACAAAAAGAAAAAAAAAATGGATTTGTTGAAGAGCTAGGCAGTCTCTGACACAGGGAACCAGAAGGTAAGCATAAGGAATGGAGTTCCAGGGACTCCTGGCGCCTTTTGCAAAGCAAATCAGCCATTCAAACTAAAAAACACTTTGATCAACTTATGAGAAAAAAGACTTCTGGAGGAGACAGAAGACTGGAGTGAGAGATTTGTACAGCTCAGACTACATACTTCTTTGGACAGTTGGGAGCCCAGACTGTGGATAAGAATCAACAGCTCCAGTGTAGACATAGTTCCCTGATTTCAGAATGAAGCAAAGGCCACCGTGGGGATGACCAGCAAGCCATTAAATAAGCAAACCCAAAATTAGAAAACAAATTTGGGTTGTAGATGTGCATCTAGTCATTATTGGCATATAGATGATAACTGAAGTCAAAGGAGTGCATAAATGCAGGTAGGACCAATGAAGAACCTAAGAAGAGGAAACCATAAGGAGAAGGAACCACTGGGGAGGTAGCAGGAGAAAAGGAGAGTGGAGTGTAGCAAACAACAAAGGAGAAGATAACTTGTCAGCAGTGTCAAATGCTATCAAAAAATAAAATGACACTAGCCTACTGCCTTAAAAAACTTGAAGTCAGTGGCATCTCTACCAAGAACAATCTCTGTAGAGTGTATAGTGGAAATGATGTTGCTGAACACAAATTGTAGTGTGAAAGTGAACGAGTAAGAAAGAAAAGTGAGGGAGAGGAGGTGAATACAGACAACTCTTTCAAGACGTTTTATTGTGAAAGAGAAAAGAAAGGAGATTGGTGAAATATGATGGTTAAAATTTTATTTTTTTTTAATATGGAAGAGGTTTGAGCTGTTTGCAAGCTGAGGGGAAAAAAGCAGTGCAAGAAGTGTTGCAAAACAGTGAAGACAGGGATGATGGGCAGGTAGGAGGTATGGAGTAAGCCGAGAACCCCAAAGTTTCAGCATTTGCAGTTCCATTCTTATTGAGATCTTGTGAAGGAATGAGAGGACAGAAGGGCTCACCCCTGCAGTATTTGGGGGCCTGGAGAACAATGCAAAGTGGTTCAGTCTGAAAGTCCCTTCCAAGGACATGCAGAGTTGATTTTATGTCACTGGGTACCTACCAGTAATGGTGAAAATGAGCAAATAGCCCTATTCACATTCTGCCTAAATAAAAGGCAACTTGCGTTTCCATTTAATACCCTTACACTTCTCACTGTACAACAGAGAACAGAGAAGATCCCAATACTAATTAGGAGACTCTTTCATTAATTTATACCTGCTTTTACTCAAAAATATTTAAGATAATTAATTTGTTAAAAAATTACCCAGATATTTCACTCCTTCCCTAAGATAAGCATTTAATGCCGGAGTAATTACAGCAAGCAAAGGGCATAGAGCTATTGTACCCTCAAAACCAGTAACCAGAAAGCTGTATGGAGAACACAACCAAGCTTTTCTGTGCCTGAAGCAAGAAATTAAATAAATATTATTCATATTTTAAGGGATAAGAAAAATCAGTCCTTAATTAAGCTGATGTGAGAGATTTAGTAGAAGTGTTTATGAGTATTGAAATCTAGTTCCATAATATTGATGATAGTGTTTATAAATCACAATTGGTAATAAATCAATAATTATTCTTTTTTTAAAACAGAAAAAATGAACTCTTTATGATATTACATATAGGATGGCTAAAAAGGTTCAAAAAGCCTTGCAAAGTCACCAGTGTAATTATGAACCCTAGGCACCAGACTTCAGATGGAGGCCATAAGCTCAAGTCAAGTCACAGTGCATGAGAACAAAGGTAACCTGGCTTTGCAAGTTCAAATCCTAAAAGAAAAAATTGTAGAGTTTGAAACCACTAGGTCTCATGAGCTATACTTCCTCCATACACCTTTTTCTCAGCCATCCTCCATACACCTTCTTTCAGGATTTACTTTTCTCCATATTACTAATTACAATTCAACATACTAAACGTTTTAAATGGTTTTTGCTGTTTGTCTCATGAGAATGCATGCTCCATGAGATAAGAAATTTTGCCTGGTTTGGTCAACGTGTTATTGTCAAAACCTATTAATAGTCTCCACACATGGTAAGCACTCAGTGGATACCTTTTAAGTGAAGGAATGAACAAATCAGTAGAAGCTGCTTATATTTTAATCTGTTACTATCTACCACTTCGGCTTCATTCCCAGTGCTGCCTATGCTCCCAAATGTTCTCTATTCTCGTGTGGTCCCTGCTGTTTCATGCCACCGTGTCTTTCCTACACTTTCCCCATGGATTTGGCATCTCTTTATCCATACCCCCCCCACTCTCACAACACATGCACACAACCATCCTCATCCACCCCAATACTCAATATTCAGACATCAGGTATCTTAGCTCAAATATTTTTGTCTCAGCATAGCCTTAATTCACCACCCTAGCATATTCCCTTATTCTTTCACTCAATATTTATTCATTCAACTGATACTGATTGAGGGTTTTCCATGTGCCTGGCACTGTGATGGGTGTAAGAGGAAAAGATTGCAAGCAAATGTACATATGGATCCTGTGCTCATGGACTGTACATCACCATCATTGTATCTTTCTCATTCAGCAAACTACAATACAATTATATGTTTATCTCTGTTTCCTCAACTAGACTTGAAGTCTTGCAGGCAAACATCATTTCTTACTTGTCTCCATCTCCTCAGTACCTAGCACAGTGTTTCCTGCTTGACAAATATTTAAATGAATGAAACACCTTAATAACCAATGGAAACAAAGGATACTATCTCTACTTTTCATGTTGGCGACTTACTTCTTTTCACTCCCGGCACTGAAGAATTCTGTGCTATTGCTGTGGATGTTATTTTTACTTATGGTCTTTTTATCTTTCTTCCTCTCCAGTGCCTAATAATGGATATGACTCATTCACTATCTGCTTTGTGCCAGGCACTATACTCAACACTATACAATGTATAATATCCTGTTTAATCCTCACAACAGCTCTACCAAGCAAATATAATTGTCCTTATTTTTAAAAAGGTCTTTCATTTCCTCTTTTCCAGTCCCCCTCCCTTTGTAAATGTCCTCTATGCCTTAGTTTTCCAAGGGACACACAAGCCACTCAATATTTACAAGAAAGATCCAGATCCTTTTATCTGCTTTGCCCCTCCTACTCTGTTGGTAAACTTGCCTTTGACCATAAATAGTCCAATACAGATCCTGGCGAGGTAACAGTTCTAGACTATATTGATTTCCTTGACAAGTGACAAATAGAATATCATGATGAGTTATTTCAGTAAAAACAGAAAAAGTTACAACTTAGGACAGCTGTCACTGAGCCCAGTGCTACCTAGAGATTAATACCTGGTCCTCTTTCTTAGAAAAAGCTAACAACAGTGAATTCTCCTCCTCAAGCCTGTGACTGACAGCATTTGGACATTCACATTATATGGCAGCATCTACGGTGGTCAGTACATCATAGCTTACAAACCAAAGGGGCTTAGTAATTAAGGTATGGGAATGACCTAATTATACCCTGGCATCACTTGTAACATAGTACATAAAATGAAATCCCAGTCTGATTGTGTGAGAAAATTTCAGGGTATCTTCAGGCTTTGGATTCAATAAGACATTTTTGGAATCTCAACTTCTCCATTTGCTGATTATGTGACTTTCAGAAAGTTATGTAATCTTAGTATCTTCTCTTGTATTAGGCTGTTCTTGCATTGCTATAAAGAAATACCTGAGACTGGGTGATTTATAAACAATATAGGTTTAATTGGCTCATGGTTCTTTAAGCTTTACAGAAAGCATGGTGCTGGCATGTGCTCAGCTTTTAGGGAGGCCTCTGAAGCTTACAGTTACGGTGGAAGGTGAAGGGGGGAGCAGGCATATCACATGGCAAAAGCAGGATGAATAGAAAGATTCGGGGAGGAGGAGCCGTCACACTTTACAACAACCAGATCTTGCAAGAATTCACTCACTATCATGAGGATAACACCAAGCCATGAAGGATTTGCCCCCATGACCCAAACATCTCCCACCAGGCCCCACCTCCAACATCAGGGATTACAATTCAACATGAGATTTGGTGGGGACATGTAGTCACAATGTATCATCTGCCTTACTTGTAAAATCAGAAAATACTATCGGATTACATAGGCTTTTTGGAAATATTCGATGAAATACTATTAATAGAGGAGCTAGTATTTTACAGTAGATATAAATTATCTTCCCTTCTTTTGTTCTCTTCTGTTTCTTTCACTCTACATGATGAAAATCTAGAATCTTAAACTATAAGGGAATTAAATACTATCAATGTCAAACCCGCAATTACTGCAGAAAGCATTCCATGAGAGATCATCTGGCTGCCAGGGCTCAAGTCACCCACAAGGACTGAAAACTTTGCTACTTTACAAGGCAAGTGATGTTGAATGAAGGAATGAATGAGTGAAGAAATGAACAAAAGAACGGAAACAAAACACATCCCAGTTTTTTTGTGCTTCTTTGGCTATTCCCCCATTGTCATCAGTAATTTAGACCTGTCTGTTTTAATACTAGCCTTTTCTATTATGTGCATTTGTCTCCCTCACTAAACTGAGGACACTTTCATCATAAGGTCCATTTTTCTCCAACACCTAGCAGAGTGTCTGATATAGAAGATTGACTTAATAAACATTCAGATGAAAGATGCATGAATGAGATATTTGTAGAGTTCTGTAAATCCTTCTTTATGTAATACTTCTTTATGTAAGCAAACATTTTACTAAAATGACCCACCCTTCTGCTGTTATGCCTGTATATTTTATATAAAGCTACTAGGCTGGCTGTGCTGTGATCATTCTGATAGGCACATCACATCTATTCAGCACCATGGACAAGGTTCTAGCCCACTAGAACTGGGTGGAGTATTCCTAGAAGGGGATGGACATTCTCCATGTAAGTCACAGGAATAAGTAGTTGATCATCAGTCAAGACAGTGAAATGTGGATACTAAGACAGCCTAATACAGTATAGGCCTCTGCACAGAGTAGGCACCTGATAAATGCTAATTGACGACTAAAGGAAAAGGAGAGAAATTCCATTGTCTCTGATCTAAATTATACATTCAGACTGTCCTGGTTTTTTGGGACTGATAATAAATGAATTAAAAAAAAAAACAGTTTGGAGCATAAAGTCTTAAATGAAGAGATTTTCTTCCTCTAAATCCTTCTCTAATCTTTTTTTAAGTTTTCTTTCCTTTTTAGTGATAAAATCTCAATTCCACATGGTCATTTAAAGGGCTAAGCAGAAAATATGCTCTGTACTATTTATCAAACATATATTATTGCTCCAAACACTGAGCTAGCCTCAGGGATTGGCAGTTTGAGGGAAGGAAGGTTCCTTCCTTCATGAGCTGTCAGGTTCATAGGATAGACAGATAGAAACATAACTGTATTTTGATTCTGTAAAAAATTGCCACACAATTGGTGGTTTAAAACAACAAAAATTAATCTCTTATAGTTTTGAAGGTCAGATGTCCACAATCAAGGTTTCAGCAAGGCTGCAGTCTCTACAGAGGCTCTAGGTGAGAACATATTCTGTGCTGCTTCTGGTTTCTGGTGGTCGCTGGCTTCTTTGGCCTGTGATCACATCACTCCAGTCTTTGTCTATGTATTCCCATTGCCTTCTCTGAGTCTGACTTCTCCTTTGCGTATGCGGTATAAGAACACTTATCGGAGGAGGAGCCAAGATGGCCAAATAGGAACAGCTCCGGTCTACAGCTCCCAGCGTGAGCGACGCAGAAGACGGGTGATTTCTGCATTTCCATCTGAGGTAGCGGGTTCATCTCACTAGGGAGTGCCAGACAGTGGGCGCAGGCCAGTGTGTGCGCGCACCGTGCGCGAGCCGAAGCAGGGCGAGGCATTGCCTCACCTGGGAAGCGCAAGGGTCAGGGAGTTCCCTTTCCGAGTCAAAGAAAGGGGTGACGGACGCACCTGGAAAATCGGGTCACTCCCACCCGAATATTGCGCTTTTCAGACCGGCTTAAAAAACGGCGCACCACGAGACTATGTCCCACAGCTGGCTCAGAGGGTCCTACGCCCACGGAATCTCGCTGATTGCTAGCACAGCAGTCTGAGATCAAACTGCAAGGCGGCAACGAGGCTGGGGGAGGGGCACCCGCCATTGCGCGGGCTTGCTTAGGTAAACAAAGCAGCCGGGAAGCTCGAACTGGGTGGAGCCCACCACAGCTCAAGGAGGCCTGCCTGCCTCTGTAGGCTCCACCTCTGGGGGCAGGGCACAGACAAACAAAAAGACAGCAGTAAACTCTGCAGACTTAAGTGTCCCTGTCTGACAGCTTTGAAGAGAGCAGTGGTTCTCCCAGCACGCAGCTGGAGATCTGAGAACGGGCAGACTGCCTCCTCAATTGGGTCCCTGACCCCTGACCCCGAGCAGCCTAACTGGGAGGCACCCCCCAGCAGGGGCACACTGACACCTCACACGGCAGGGTATTCCAACAGACCTGCAGCTGAGGGTCCTGTCTGTTAGAAGGAAAACTAACAACCAGAAAGGACATCTACACCGAAAACCCATCTGTACATCACCATCATCAAAGACCAAAAGTAGATAAAACCACAAAGATGGGGAAAAAACAGAACAGAAAAACTGGAAACTCTAAAACGCAGAGCGCCTCTCCTCCTCCAAAGGAACGCAGTTCCTCACCAGCAATGGAACAAAGCTGGATGGAGAATGATTTTGACGAGCTGAGAGAAGAAGGCTTCAGACAATCAAATTACTCTGAGCTACGGGAGGACATTCAAACCAAAGGCAAAGAAGTTGAAAACTTTGAAAAAAATTTAGAAGAATGTATAACTAGAATAACCAATACAGAGAAGTGCTTAAAGGAGCTGATGGAGCTGAAAACCAAGGCTCGAGAACTACGTGAAGAATGCAGAAGCCTCAGGAGCCGATGCGATCAACTGGAAGAAAGGGTATCAGCAATGGAAGATGAAATAAATGAAATGAAACGAGAAGGGAAGTTTAGAGAAAAAAGAATAAAAAGAAATGAACAAAGCCTCCAAGAAATATGGGACTATGTGAAAAGACCAAATCTACGTCTGATTGGTGTACCTGAAAGTGATGTGGAGAATGGAACC
The DNA here is from genome assembly GCF_000001405.40 of Homo sapiens. Classification (NCBI taxonomy): domain Eukaryota; kingdom Metazoa; phylum Chordata; class Mammalia; order Primates; family Hominidae; genus Homo; species Homo sapiens. The sequence continues at coordinate 34,417,752 of NC_000003.12, read as the reverse complement.
AAGTTGGAAAACACTCTGCAGGATATTATCCAGGAGAACTTCCCCAATCTAGCAAGGCAGGCCAACGTTCAGATTCAGGAAATACAGAGAACGCCACAAAGATACTCCTCGAGAAGAGCAACTCCAAGACACATAATTGTCAGATTCACCAAAGTTGAAATGAAGGAAAAAATGTTAAGGGCAGCCAGAGAGAAAGGTCGGGTTACCCTCAAAGGAAAGCCCATCAGACTAACAGCGGATCTCTCGGCAGAAACCCTACAAGCCAGAAGAGAGTGGGGGCCAATATTCAACATTCTTAAAGAAAAGAATTTTCAACCCAGAATTTCATATCCAGCCAAACTAAGCTTCATAAGTGAAGGAGAAATAAAATACTTTATAGACAAGGAAATGCTGAGAGATTTTGTCAACACCAGGCTTGCCCTAAAAGAGCTCCTGAAGGAAGCGCTAAACATGGAAAGGAACAACCGGTACCAGCCGCTGTAAAATCATGCCAAAATGTAAAGACCATCGAGACTAGGAAGAAACTGCATAAACTAACGAGCAAAATCACCAGCTAACATCATAATGACAGGATCAAATTCACACATAACAATATTAACTTTAAATATAAATGGACTAAATTCTGCAATTAAAAGACACAGACTGGCAAGTTGGATAAAGAGTCAAGACCCATCAGTGTGCTGTATTCAGGAAACCCATCTCACGTGCAGAGACACACATAGGCTCAAAATAAAAGGATGGAGAAAGATCTACCAAGCCAATGGAAAACAAAAAAAGGCAGGGGTTGCAATCCTAGTCTCTGATAAAACAGACTTTAAACCAACAAAGATCAAAAGAGACAAAGAAGGCCATTACATAATGGTAAAGGGATCAATTCAACAAGAGGAGCTAACTATCCTAAATATTTATGCACCCAATACAGGAGCACCCAGATTCATAAAGCAAGTCCCGAGTGACCTACAAAGAGACTTAGACTCCCACACATTAATAATGGGAGACTTTAACACCCCACTGTCAACATTAGACAGATCAATGAGACAGAAAGTCAACAAGGATACCCAGGAATTGAACTCAGCTCTGCACCAAGCAGACCTAATAGACATCTACAGAACTCTCCACCCCAAATCAACAGAATATACATTTTTTTCAGCACCACACCACACCTATTCCAAGATTGACCACATAGTTGGAAGTAAAGCTCTCCTCAGCAAATGTAAAAGAACAGAAATTATAACAAACTATCTCTCAGACCACAGTGCAATCAAACTAGAACTCAGGATTAAGAATCTCACTCAAAGCCACTCAACTACATGGAAACTGAACAACCTGCTCCTGAATGACTACTGGGTAAATAACGAAATGAAGGCAGAAATAAAGATGTTCTTTGAAACCAACGAGAACAAAGACACCACATACCAGAATCTCTGGGACGCATTCAAAGCAGTGTGTAGAGGGAAATTTATAGCGCTAAATGCCTACAAGAGAAAGCAGGAAAGATCCAAAATTGACACCCTAACATCACAATTAAAAGAACTAGAAAAGCAAGAGCAAACACATTCAAAAGCTAGCAGAAGGCAAGAAATAACTAAAATCAGAGCAGAACTGAAGGAAATAGAGACACAAAAACCCCTTCAAAAAATCAATGAATCCAGGAGCTGGTTTTTTGAAAGGATCAACAAAATTGATAGACCGCTAGCAAGACTAATAAAGAAAAAAGATAGAAGAATCAAATAGACACAATAAAAAATGATAAAGGGGATATCACCACCGATCCCACAGAAATACAAACTACCATCAGAGAACACTACAAACACCTCTACGCAAATAAACTAGAAAATCTAGAAGAAATGGATACATTCCTCGACACATACACTCTCCCAAGACTAAACCAGGAAGAAGTTGAATCTCTGAATAGACCAATAACAGGCTCTGAAATTGTGGCAATAATCAATAGTTTACCAACCAAAAAGAGTCCAGGACCAGATGGATTCACAGCCGAATTCTACCAGAGGTACAAGGAGGAACTGGTACCATTCCTTCTGAAACTATTCCAATCAATAGAAAAAGAGGGAATCCTCCCTAACTCATTTTATGAGGCCAGCATCATTCTGATACCAAAGCCGGGCAGAGACACAACCAAAAAAGAGAATTTTAGACCAATATCCTTGATGAACATTGATGCAAAAATCCTCAATAAAATACTGGCAAACCGAATCCAGCAGCACATCAAAAAGCTTATCCACCATGATCAAGTGGGCTTCATCCCTGGGATGCAAGGCTGGTTCAATATACGCAAATCAATAAATGTAATCCAGCATAAAAACAGAGCCAAAGACAAAAACCACATGATTATCTCAATAGATGCAGAAAAAGCCTTTGACAAAATTCAACAACCCTTCATGCTAAAAACTCTCAATAAATTAGGTATTGATGGGACGTATTTCAAAATAATAAGAGCGATCTATGACAAACCCACAGCCAATATCATACTGAATGGGCAAAAACTGGAAGCATTCCCTTTGAAAACTGGCACAAGACAGGGATGCCCTCTCTCGCCGCTCCTATTCAACATAGTGTTGGAAGTTCTGGCCAGGGCAATCAGGCAGGAGAAGGAAATAAAGGGTATTCAATTAGGAAAAGAGGAAGTCAAATTGTCCCTGTTTGCAGACGACATGATTGTTTATCTAGAAAACCCCATCATCTCAGCCCAAAATCTCCTTAAGCTGATAAGCAACTTCAGCAAAGTCTCAGGATACAAAATCAATGTACAAAAATCACAAGCATTCTTATACACCAACAACAGACAAACAGAGAGCCAAATCATGAGTGAACTCCCATTCACAATTGCTTCAAAGAGAATAAAATACCTAGGAATCCAACTTACAAGGGATGTGAAGGACCTCTTCAAGGAGAACTACAAACCACTGCTCAAGGAAATAAAAGAGGACACAAACAAATGGAAGAACATTCCATGCTCATGGGTAGGAAGAATCAATATCGTGAAAATGGCCATACTGCCCAAGGTAATTTACAGATTCAATGCCATCCCCATCAAGCTACCAATGACTTTCTTCACAGAATTGGAAAAAACTACTTTAAAGTTCATGTGGAACCAAAAAAGAGCCCGCATCGCCAAGTCAATCCTAAGCCAAAAGAACAAAGCTGGAGGCATCACACTACCTGACTTCAAACTATACTACAAGGCTACAGTAACCAAAACAGCATGGTACTGGTACCAAAACAGAGATATAGATCAATGGAACAGAACAGAGCCCTCAGAAATAATGCCGCATATCTACAACTATCTGATCTTTGACAAACTTGAGAAAAACAAGCAATGGGGAAAGGATTCCCTATTTAATAAATGGTGCTGGGAAAACTGGCTAGCCATATGTAGAAAGCTGAAACTGGATCCCTTCCTTACACCTTATACAAAAATCAATTCAAGATGGATTAAAGATTTAAACGTTAGACCTAAAACCATTAAAACCCTAGAAGAAAACCTAGGCATTACCATTCAGGACATAGGCGTGGTTAAGGACTTCATGTCCAAAACACCAAAAGCAATGGCAACAAAAGCCAAAATTGACAAATGGGATCTAATTAAACTAAAGAGCTTCTGCACAGCAAAAGAAACTACCATCAGAGTGAACAGGCAACCTACAACATGGGAGAAAATATTCGCAACCTACTCATCTGACAAAGGGCTAATATCCAGAATCTACAATGAACTCAAACAAATTTACAAGAAAAAAACAAACAACCTCATCAAAAAGTGGGCGAAGGACATGAACAGACACTTCTCAAAAGAAGACATTTATGCAGCCAAAAAACACATGAAAAAATGCTCATCATCACTGGCCATCAGAGAAATGCAAATCAAAACCACTATGAGATATCATCTCACACCAGTTAGAATGGCAATCATTAAAAAGTCAGGAAACAACAGGTGCTGGAGAGGATGTGGAGAAATAGGAACACTTTTACACTGTTGGTGGGACTGTAAACTAGTTCAACCATTGTGGAAGTCAGTGTGGCGATTCCTCAGGGATCTAGAACTAGAAATACCATTTGACCCAGCCATCCCATTACTGGCTATATACCCAAATGACTATAAATCATGCTGCTATAAAGACACATGCACACGTATGTTTATTGCGGCATTATTCACAATAGCAAAGACTTGGAACCAACCCAAATGTCCAACAATGATAGACTGGATTAAGAAAATGTGGCACATATACACCATGGAATACTATGCAGCCATAAAAAATGATGAGTTCATGTCCTTTGTAGGGACATGGATGAAATTGTAAACCATCATTCTCAGTAAACTATCGCAAGAACAAAAAACCAAACACCGCATATTCTCACTCATAGGTGGGAATTGAACAATGAGATCACAAGGACACAGGAAGGGGAATATCACACTCTGGGGACTGTGGTGGGGTCGGGGGAGGGGGGAGGGATAGCACTGGGAGATATACCTAATGATAGATGACACGTTGGTGGGTGCAGCGCACCAGCATGGCACATGTATACATATGTAACTAACCTGCACAATGTGCACATGTACCCTAAAACTTAAAGTATACTAAAAAAAAAAAAAAAAAAAAAAAAAAAAAAGAACACTTATCATTAGATTTAAGACATATCTGGATCATCCAGGATGATCTGTCTATCTCAAGATCCTTAACTCGATTACATCTACAAAGACTTCTTTCCCAAATAAGGTGACATTCACATGTTCTGGGGATTGGGATGTGGACACATATTTTATTTTTTCAGGGTTACTATTCAATCTACTATAGTAACTACCCAGGCAGAGAGTCATTGTATTCATCTGAAGGGCAGAAACTGAGGTTTTAAAGGGTTAGATAACTTGTCCGAGATCACTAAGGGCTGGGACTGGCAACCAGGTCTGACTCAAAGGCACCTACTCTCTATGTCTCTCCTCAATCATGAGATTAAAATACAGTATCAAATGCAGTCCCAAATGGTCATGAGATCTAATTCAGATCAAATAAGGCAGGATTGTAAAAAGCCATGTGAAGGTTTGTCTTGAAAAATGAGTAAGTAGTAAAAATGCTGTCTTTAAGAAGATGATGATGTATACATTGATATGAATCAAATACCACCTATGTGGAGTCTGCAATAACAAATGTCAAGTGCTTTGGGTGAAGTGCTCTGAGCATGACATATTTCAGAGGAATAAGGGTCATTATTAGCTGGAGAGAAGAGAGGAGGTAGCTGAAAAGGCTTCTTGGCTGGATAGCGCTTGAGAGGGAACTAAGAGGAAGAGTGAGATTTAGATGTATGAAGAAGAAGATACCATAGACACTAAGAACATTAAGATGAAAGCATGAAGGAGAGAAGACATGGGGCCTGCTAGGAATCTGGAGAAATATAATGGGGCTACAGTGTAAGGTAAGCAAAGGAAATTATTGAGAGATAAGGTTGTAGGCTTGATAAAGCATTTGACCAGGCATCTTACTAAGGAATTTAGACTTGGCTTCAAATAGTGAAAGCTGCTGAAGATCAGTCAAGATACATAGTGAAAGAAGCTGATGTAAAATAGAAATAAAAGGAAATGAGATTTGCCTCTGGTTCTTCCAGTTTCTCTTTTGTGCCTTCATTGTGTGTGTGTGTTTGTGTGTGTGTGTGCGCACGTGCGTGTGCATATATATATGTGTGTATAGCATATATATGTATGTATATATGTATGTATATATATTGCACAGTTTATTAAACCATTTTAGCTCTTGTTCTGGGGAGGGATGCAGTAAAAGATAGACTGGCTCTGAGATACATCCAACACTAGGAGGTTTAAATGGTGCAATATCAGCCATTCCTTCCTAGTAGAACAAGAAGTCAATTGTTTCTGGTCCCAGGGCAGAAACTTGAGTATCAGCCCCTTTAAAATCTGGAATGAGTGGTTTGTTTTCCACTGGCCATTTCTCAACCAGCAGATTTTTTATATCTGGACACTGAGATATACTGAGGTCTACTGAGGTCTAATAGGGCTGGAATGTCTAATGAAATTGTCTACAGTGTTTGATCACAACTTGTGGGTCAGGAAGCCATTTACCTTTACTAGAAGGGCAAGTCCAACTCCCTATTGCTACACGTCTTCAGCCATGATGGGAGTGGAGAGCAGAATAAAAGGGCTGCTCACTTCTGATACCACATTGGCTGCTCTAGCAGCAGTTCATAAGGTCAAAGCCAAAGGAAGAATCAAAAACAAAAATCTAAATAATAAACCCTTTCAGCACACATTTTCATTCTCCTATCTCAAGAGTCAATCCATCTGCTTCTCTCATCACCTTTTTCTTACTTAGAAGTTATTCATAAGAGAAAACTGACCTGCTGCTGCTTCAATGTAGATTAACATTTGAAAACAGAAGAGACTGGTCTCAAATGAATCTTAGAAGGCTTTACAGTATAGGAAAATATTAATTATACCTAACATTCGTAGAGCATATTATAAAACATTTTTGCATGCATAATTCCATTTTATCTTTACAGAGTTAATGAAACAATACATAAAACATGCTTAGAGTTGTGCCTGGAACATAGCAGGTGTTCAATAAATATCATTCTCCTCCTCATTTACCACTGAACTATTTCTGCTGTCACCACTTCAGCCTGCCCTAGGCTGTCACTTCCCATTACTCTCTGTGGTGAAAACTGGGGCAATATTGCTCTTTTCTTTTCCTGCTAACAAACAGATTCTACCAAATCCTTTTAAAATGAACCTGCAGAAGTGCAGAGTGGCAGTTTCTGCAAATCATTTTTATGGGAAAAAATTATTTCTCTCCTCAATATAAACACAGCCTGGGTCTGGCAAACTAAAACAATAAAATGGGAGCAGCCTATTTGGGCTGTGCTAACAACCAAATCTCAACGGGAGATTTTAAGTCCAGGTGATTGCCACATGATAAGTTTTGCAGATGATCAGAAATATTAGTATAATCATGCTGTCATGGCTTTCTCTATGTCTTGCAGGTAAGAGGTTGGCCTTTAAGCCCAAGTCACGGAAAACTAGTGATAAACATCCTATGGCTGGCCAGATATGAAATAGTTCTCTTTGCATCTCAGTGACTCTTTCCTACACATACATACACAGACACAGACACACATATATGCACACACACACATATTATCTATGCGTACTAACCTACAGACAAAACTATGTATGAAAACAATTGAAGAATGTTGCTTCCTGTTTTGTATTGGTTGCCCGCAAAGATAAATCTAGCTCCTTTCCTTGTTTATCAACACCATGCTCATCCCTCAACATCACTTCCATATCCCCTGCTGTCAGAATTAACACCTTGTCCTGGGCTCCCAACACTAGGTACAGGAATAACTAATTAGCCCTAATTCTTTCTGCAAAGTGCAATAAATACTTGTTTGTTTATATGCTGGGCTCTTCTGCAAGAATGAAACTAGGACAAGGTCTTCTTTATCTTTGTAATTTCCCCAGGGTCTAGTGCGGTGCCTGGCACTTGGTAGGTGTTCAGAAAATGTTTGTGGAATTTAAATGAAAGTCAAGTAAAGGATACAGAGCAAATAAACACAATCACTTCTTCAAATGATTGGAAGACCCCATGTTGTTAGAGCCCTCCAGGTTCAAACACATGGAAGCTTCATGGGGAGACCAGGTTTCTTGTCTGACAGTGTATTTTCAACAGGCCCTGTGGCAAAGAAATCTTTCTTGATATTATACTGATGATTAAGGCATGCATTACATTGGCTCCCAGGTATTGTGAGACCTTTGTAAGTTATAAATGAGAGAAGGTTTAATTGTACTCAGCCTGAGAATCAAGATGATCAGACTCTATAAGGAAAGAGTTCCAGAGCCATTGCACTGATATGTGTTAGTCACACCTGCCAATCAGAAAGCATCACTAAGTTTAGGAAGATTTCATGTGCTCAAGTGAACTGAAGATCACATTATCAATAGAAATGAAAGGAACTAGAGCCAATTCCCAATGTTCTGTTGGCCAGAGCCATTGACAATATTCTAATGTTACAGAACCCTTGGAAATAAAGGTGCTATGGCTGCAACAATTTCTCCCCTTACTTCAAGATTCCAGTCAAATAGGAAGTATGATGTCTTGTCATTTGGGGACAGTGTGATGTGATTGTTAAAAAGTGATCCTTGTGTCTAGTAAGGCCTGATTCAAATCCCAAATCTACCGACAGACAGGTTGTGATATTGTGCAAGTTAATGAGATTATCTGGGCTTCAGTTTTCTTCTATAAATGGAGATAATATTAAAATGGGGATAATAAGATCTTCCTCATTTAAAAGGTGTTCATTTCCTTTCCGTCTGTGGCTTCATATTACCCACTCTAACCTAAATACATAAACAGGAATTTCACTCACTCATTCACTCACTCTGCTGTTTCTGGTGGTCTTCTTAAAGTGCATAAAAATATTACAACACAGGAAATTGGCATGTTCATGCGGTGTCCAAACACTGTGACCTATGAAGCCAAGAAGCATAGACAGATCATTAGCACCGCTTAATGTAAAAACAGATGACTGCTGTTACAGGTTAAACAAGCTACCCTCTTTCACAATGCAGGGCTAAGTCAAGGCTCTGAGTAAAGGGGATCTGGGCAGAACATCTGCCATATCCACTACACATAGATAAATTGTACCTGGCTGAGAAATATTAAAGTATGATGAGTATGTGCACCCCTCATGGTAACCTGGACCCCAAAGTAGTCTATCCCACAGTGTGGCAGCCTCCAGTTCTAACCTCAGATGATAATTGAGCCTGACTATCCATGAATTATTACACATAAGTAGATGTTGTTAGTGTTCCACCTCTATTTCTTTGCACTCATCTTGCTAGTACATACATGTTGCAATTTAAAGCAAGCCCAAAGACTTTATTTTGCCACCCACAAATTGGGCAGGCCATAAGTTCCACAATTTTGGTGCTCCCGGAAGGAGCCCTCAGTAATAACAAGTGGAAGCTGGAGGATAAATACCAAGCTTCCTCAGCCTTCAGGTGGCATACTTGAAGGTGAGTTCTGCATCATCTCCCAAAGCTCCCCAGTAGGGTTGAGCCCCAATTGCCCATGGTGTAACTGACTAAAAGGTATATATTTTGGGGCTGTTTTTCTCTTTCATGTCTTGTCTTTGAATGCTTCCTTTGATCACCCTTGAAATAAGCTACTTGTTCTCAAATCCTTATCTCAGAGTCTTCTGGGAAAACCAACCTAAGACCACATTTAACCACTAAGACTCAATAGCTACGTTCCCAACATAATCTAATTCTTAGAAAATTTGTATTATATTAACAAGACGCATGATAACTCTTTGTTATAACATTATTTAACTACAACATATTTTCCCACAGGGCTGAAAAATAGTTAACTGTACTTGCGTGCACACACACACAGAGTCTCAGTTTGAATATTATGCAAATGGAACAAGGCTTTTGAAGCATATAGCTGTCTGACATTACCCAAGGAGCCACAACTGACATTTGTATACCCCCACCTTGACTTCTGGTACTTTCCTCAGCACCAAAGCTCCTCCACTGATGAGTAGAATCTGACCACCAGCCTTCCTCCTCTTCCTCTACTTCCTCCTCCTCCTTTTTCTCATTCTCCTCTTCTCTTCCCTTGCTTTCTTTTTTCCAAGTATGATCATTACAAAATACCAAGACATTTTGAATTTCCATTATTGCTACACTAGCAAATCTGAATTGTAAAGTAAAATAAGTCCTGTAAAATGAAATAGACCTATTATTTCTTGTACTGCTCCATGAGCTGAGAGAGTGACAAATGGGAGACCAAAACACCAGGGCAGTTGGCGTTAATTAATACTAAATTTACTGAATTAAACAATGAATTTTAAAGAAATAATTCTAAGATGTCATTTCAATTAAGGCACTGTCACTGAGATAATGGATGTGGGTGGTGTCCAGGAAGGTTGATGATGGCACTGTTACAGGAAGAAACCATTAACTCCAAAGAAGCAAGTACATGAAAAAGAGAGAAAATAAAACCAAGTTTTCCAAGGCTTCTAGAAGAAACTGTCGAGCTGTTAAGCATCAAACTTCTCTACCTTTTCAACAAAGAAAGATGTATCTTGATTAAGCTCAATTAAGCTCAATAATCCTGAACAGATCAGTTTAGTAGTTCCTCAACTTTACCAAGGCTGAGCAAAAATAATTGCTTCCCTGGGTTTAAGGGAAAAGCAGGAAAGATTATTTAGGGTGAAAAGTTCTAAGTGACATAAACCTTGGCTTTCCTCCCAAAAATGATTTCCTCTGCCAGGCTCAGAGAAAAGAACTGTGAACCTAAATATATCTGAGACAAGTCTCTATCAATTTAGAAAGTTTATTTTGCCAAGGTTAAGGATGCACCAGTTACATAGCCTCAGGAGGTCCTGACGACATGCCCCCAAGGTGGTCAGGGTACAGCTTGCTTTTATACAATTTAGGGAGACATAATACATCCGTTAATACATGTAAGATTTACATTGATTTGATCAGGAAGGATGGGACAACTTGCAGTGGGGGTGAGGGGAGGCTTTCAGGTCATAAGTAGGTAAAAGACAAAAGGTTGTATTATTTGGGGTCTTTGGTCAGCCTTTCACTAAATACACAATTTACATGTGAGAGGCGGGTAGAGGAATAGTCACTTATGCCTTAGTCTGGCTCAGTGAATCTGCATTTTTACATAAACAGTGAGGCAGAGGAAGCAATCAGATATGCTTTTGTCTCAAGTGAACAGAGGGATGACTTTAAGTTCCATCCTTTGTCCCACACCTGTGAAGATAAGCTGTTAATTTACATTGCCAGGGTGAAATTCAACAGAATTATTTTAGGGTAAAGATCTTAAGGCCCACAAGGAATTTTCTTGTGGGCAAATTGTGAGGAGGTATGTAGCTTTTTAAAAATCCTTGTAGCCATCCTACTTGGGAATAAAATGGGAGGCAGGTTTACCTGGCGCAGTTCCTAGCTTGACTTTTCCCTTTGGCTTAGTGATTTTTAGGGTCCCGAGATTTTATTTTCCTTTCACAGAACAATAGCATCTTTCTAATGTTTGGAAAGCTGGTACAGGAAGAGGGAGGAATCACAGCCACAGACTTCAGAGCTAGAAGAAACTTTTTAATTGTCATTGAGTTCAACTACAAAATTGTCCAAACAAGGGTAAGGATCCAGAAACTGGAGCTTTGCCCAAGGCCACATAGTCCAGACCCCAGACCTACAGCCTGTTTATTTCTTCCTCAACATCAAAGTGGTTCTCTATCTGTGCTGAGTATAAGGAAACATCCTGAAGAGGTCCTCCGACTAAAAATGAAAATTAAAAATTATAATGAAAGGAATAACCAAATATGTCACTAACAGGCAAACACATCTGTCGATCTCAGTTTGTTCATCTATAACATGGATATAGTAACTACTAATTAAAGGTTCACTACCTGTAGGAGCACCCTGTTTTCTCATTTTATGTATTTAATACATGTCTGTCCCATTATTTAATTTTGAAGAACTCCAGTATGTCTGGAAAAGGAAATGTATGTGTGCACATTAAAATGCTGGCCAGAGGCAGGGAAGGGGAGTAGGGGAGCAAACACTCAGGACTTGTCCTCAAAGCTCCTTCCCTCACAGGGTGACTGACAGTTTCTGTGTTCTCCACGAGTAAGCCATGTGGAGGGGATGGAAGGGACACCATCAGTCTAACTGTGAGGAATAACTGTGAGTCCAACTGTGTTTTACCAACCCTCAGATGGCTTCCATTGTGTTTTCTGGTTTGTTTTTGTTTTGTTCTGCTTTGTTTTCCTTCTCTATCTTAGAATTTTTCTTAAAACAAATAGCTCTTCTGGCCCAGGACACCCCTGGGGATTTTTGTTCACCGTCACACTCTGAAAAAAAGGACAATTTCATTTTTAATTATAAATATTCATGTGTTCAGCTGAGACTGTGCATGTCATTATGATTCCCAAATTAGTTCAGAAAAAAAACTGACATTTTATTCAAATTTCTTTATTCTCCATTGAAGCAGAATAGGGTGACATTTTGCTCATGAAAGAAAATGGAAATTTTTCGTTGTGTTTGTCACCTGAATATTTACCATTCTCAATGATTTCCCATTTGCAAAGCTTCCTTTCTGAGTTACAAGAATCCGAGGGATCAAGAGAGTTAGGGCCCTTCAAAGTTTACGAGAGAGGAACTGACTTAGACAATTTTAAAGCAAACTGAAGGTGACAACATGAGTCATGCAATGTCCTCACCACTAGCCTATTATTATCCCTCACTCTACACATGGAAAAACTAAGAATCAGAAAAGTTCAACAGTTTGCCTAAGGTCGTACAGCTCTTACATAGGAGAATAAATGGAAATGAAGCTCTTTGGATTCCAAACCTAGTTCTCTTTCCAATCCACAACAGCTGCCCAAACATTGTAAAAGCCTCTGACCAGCCCAACTTCCAACTGAGTGCCACTTAATAAGCCAGCTGACACACCAACCAGAGTTATTCATGTTTCACAGATGAATGAAGGAAGGCAGAAGGAAATTAAGTCATTTGACAAATTTTTTTTTAATTTTATTATTATTATACTTTAAGTTTTAGGGTACATGTGCACAATGTGCAGGTTTGTTACATATGTATACATGTGCCATGTTGGTGTGCTGCACACATTAACTTGTCATTTAGCATTAGGTATATCTCCTAATGCTATCCCTCCCCCTCCCCCCACCCCACAACAGTCCCCGGTGTGTGATGTTCCCCTTCCTGTGTCCATGTGTTCTCATTGTTCAGTTCCCACCTATGAGTGAGAACATGCGGTGTTTGTTTTTTTGTCCTTGCGATAGTTTGCTGAGAATGATGGTTTCCAGTTTCATCCATGTCCCTACAGAGGACACGAACTCATCATTTTTCATGGCTGCATAGTATTCCATGGCATATATGTGCCACATTTTCTTAATCCAGTCTATCATTGTTGGACATTTGGGTTGGTTCCAAGTCTTTGCTATTGTGACGAATATTATACAAAGGCACCTAAAGGTTCTTGTTCTTGAAGATTCTCACCTAAAAAAATTCAAGTTTAAGTAGGAACAAAAAATGGAAGAAATCATGTGTAGGACCACTGATCAACCACAAAAAGCGGAGTGTAAATTCTTTCCACAAACACAAGGAATATATTAGTTTTTTAGGCTAACACATTTCCACTAACTTAGAAGCTTAAAACCCATTTAGTATCCCACAATTTTTGTAGAGCAGAATTCTGAGAACAGCTTAGCTGGGTCCTCTGCTCAGTCTCACAAGGCTGTAATCAAGGTGTCAATCCAGTCTATCGTCTTATCTGAGCTTAGGGTCTTCTCCCAAACTTACATGATTGTTAGAAGAATTCATTTACTTTTGGCTGTACAATCCAAAGCCATGAGGACAATTTGTCTAACCTCTAGGAAGGCCTAGGCCTTCCTTTTAAGGGGCTTTCCTGATTAGGTCAGGCCTACCCAGGTAATCTCCCTTTTGATTAACTCAAAGTCAAACTTATTAGAGGCCTTAATTACATCTATAAAATCTAATTATCATTCCCATATAGTGTAACATAATTATGAGAGTGACATACATAATATTCTTATGTCCTGCCCACAATCAAAAGGAAGAGATTATACATGGTGCATACACTGAAGGGTAGGAATCTTGGGGATCATCTTAGAACCCTGAGTATCACGGAAGCAATAAAACTTTCTAACTTGTAGCTCTCACATTCTACTGGTAATCCATACATCAATGTGGCACTGCCTCTGGGTTCTATACAGCCCTTTTAAATGAATGCCAGATAATTACTCATTTAGGCAAGCCAGGATGAGTACCTACAGTCATGCCTGACACAAAACAAAGAAGTCCAGAAATTCCAAAGCAAATAAAAACCAATCTTTTCTCACCAGATACTTCTAATTTAAAGACAGCTTGAAATGCTATTTATAAAAATTGGTAGGTCACTTCTACAGGCACAGGCCAAGTTACCAATGATGAACATGGGGAGTCAAAAATAAGGGATCCCAGAACAAATAGAGGAGCCATTTCAGGGTCTTTAAGATGAGATCCAAGAGTAATGCAGCCTTTGTAAGGTTTTGCTGGGATCCAACTTTAGAAAGAACTGAAAAAATAAAACCCAAAGAGATCCTGGGCTAAGCATCTAAAGACTTAGAATGTGGCCCTAACCTGCACCATCCCCTTTGTGACATGAATAACTCTCTTCCCATCTATGGGCCACACCATCCTTACCTATAAAATATGAGTGACCTGCCCAAGTTGAGATGATGTCTAAGGTTTTCCTCCTCAAAAAAAATACTATGATAATATTAATGATTCACGAGCTCAGGCATAGTCAATAGCATTTGTCATATGACTTCTCTCTTGTCATATACACTTGTATGTCCATGGACAATTTATTTAACCATCTAAGACTGTTTGTTGTTTAAATGGAGATAATAATGACCACTCAAGGTGGTAGTGAGAGGGTTAACTGATGTGATGTATAAGTCAACTACCCAGCAGGGTTCCTGGCACATAGTAGGCACTACTGGCCTACTCTTAGCATCCTCCATCCCCTTAAGAAAGCAAACTTCCATGAGATTACTTGTGAAATACTAGAGGCTATCTGCCTGCTATGTGAGTATACAGAAAATTCAGGTCTGATAGTCAAAACTAATAATGGTATTCAATCTAATTTTCCAAGCCAAAGGAGTGGAATGCTGAACCATAATCAATCTTTAGAGGTCAATTCACAGGGGATTTACCAGTTGAAGGCATGATGCTCCCTTGTGCAGAAAAATGCCACATTTTTTTCAGCCCTGTGTCCACACACATACTTTCAGCAAGATGCCATGTGGCTCTCTTAGACACTTGAAAACACACCCACCCTCTCGCATGACCTTATGTACTCAACTGTTTTTTGATATCAATTATTCCTTTAGAAATGATAAACTGTTTGATTCATTTTAAACAGGGTTCATTTACCTTGCACATAAAACAAATATCAAGAGTCTAGCATCAGTCTTCTTCCCACTCCTGAGCCCAGAGAGCCATATCCCTTCCCCAGAGGCAAACATTGTTGCCAAATTTCTGTGAACCCTACCAGAGATTGTGTGTGTGCACATATATAGGTATATACATAAATATTCACATACATGCATATACATTCCTCTACAAATGATAACATACTATATGCACTAGCACCTTGATATTTTTCTACACTTTGCTTTTTTCTGTACCTTACTTTTTCACATATGTTGGAGATCATTCTTTAACTGTACATATCAAGTTCCCTTATTTTCTTAGTGACTGCATAGTATTTCATTGTATGACTAAGCCATAATTTGCTTATACAGTCTCCTTTTGATAAATGTATGTATATAAGCATATATTCTTTCCCAAACTTTTCTTGTTCAAGTAAGCTATTGCTATTTATGTAATTAATAATCTCTTATTTACATTGGCTTAAATTATTGTGAGTATATTTTTAGGATAAATTTCTAGGAGTAAAATTGTGTCAGTTGTTGTTCCAATCATTTTACATGTATTCATTCAAAAATGTTTATTGAGAATCTAGTTAGGTGCTGTGAATATATCAGTGAACATAATGGACAGAATTGATCTTGTGGTGTTTTTATACTGTAGTAAAAATAATTAATTTGCTTTTCACAAAAACTGTTTTTGGATAGGGGCTATTATTCTCACATTTTACAGATAGGGAAACTGAGGTACAGAAGATTAAGCAAGTTGCCCAAGAGCACATAGGTCGTGTCAGGGATTAAAACCAAGCAGTCATATTCCAGAGTTCAAAGTCTATGCATCTTAGCACATGCTACACTTTCACACCTCTCTTAAATGTTACTCTACAATTCAACTTAATCTTACACAACGACCCTATTTATTTTTAACTTTTAGGTTCAGGGGTGCATGTACAGGTTTGTTGTACAGGTAAATCACATGTCACTGGAGTTTGGTGTACTCATTATTTAATCACCCAGGTAATAAGCCTAATACCGCATGGGTAGCTTTTCAGTCCTCACTCTCCTCCCATCTTCCAGCCTCAAGTAAGCCCCAGAGTCTATTGTTCCCTTCTTTGTGTCCATGTGTGCTCAGTGTTTAGCTGTGACTTATAGGTGACAACATGTGGTATCTGGTTTTATGTCTGTGTGGTAGGACTGCTTAGGATAATGGCCTCCAGCTCCATCCATGTTGCTACAAAGGACATAATCTTGTTCTTTTTTATGGCTGTGTAGTACTCCATGGTCTACATGTACCACATTTTCTTTACCTAATCTACTGCTGATGGACATTGGATTCCATGTGTTTGCTATTGTAAATGGTGCTGCAATGAACATATGTATGCATGTGTCTCTAGGGTAGAATGATTTACATTCCTTTGGGTATGTAACCAATAGATTGCTGGGTTTAATGGTAATTGTATTTTAAGTTCCTGGAGAAATCAACAAACTACTTTCCACAATGGCTAAACTAATTTACATTCCCACCAACAATGTATAAGCATTCCCTTTTCTCCACAATCTCACCAGCATCTGTTATTTTTTTAACTTTTTAATAACAGTCATTCGGGCTGGTATCAGATGGTTTTACATTGTAGCTCTGATTTGTATTTCTCTAATGATTAGTGATGTTGAACATTTTTCCATATGCTTGTTGGCTGCACTTATGTCTTCTTTTGAAAAGTGTCTGTCCATGTCCTTTGCCCACCATTTTCTCTCATTTGCATGTTTCCCTGACTCCATTATTGACTTCTTATGTCTATCGTCCACACTGCAACCAGAGAGTTATCTTTCTAATATGCAGCACTCATCTTGGTACTCTTTGGTTGCTTTAAACCTTTCAATGATTCCTATTCCCTTCTTTATAAAGTCTGCATTTCTTGCATGGCCAGGAAGCAGACACCTATTGGTAATCTCTGTACCCTCTATGCCACTCTCCACATACCCCATCCCACTAAACACACGCCATTGTTCAATCCAATTACGTGGGGGACCAAACTCTAGCCTCTTGACTTGTAAGTCCCACCTCACCTTTGTCAAAATCTTCTCAGCCTGGACTTCTTCTGCCTTAGGGTAGAGTTGGTCTGTTGCTTCATACGGATCTCAAAGCCCTTGGTAAATATAGGAGCTGGTCTCCAAAGATGCACCCCCCCAACACAACAAAGAACAATGCCTCTGTCAGTATTTGTGCTCTTTTATAGCCCCACCCCTTGAATCTGAGCAGGATTGGGACTCACTGGTAACAAACAGAATGCAGTGGAAGAAAAACTGTGTGGCTTCAGAGGTTTACTAAGAAAAAGCCTTGCAGCTTCCAACCTTGTCTCTTGGAAGGTTTAATTCAAGGGAAGCCAGTCACCAGAAATATTTATCTACATGAGACTGTCATGCTATAAGAAATTTTAAGCTAGCCATATGGAGAATCCATGTGAAGAAAGAGATATCTGTCAGACTATCTAACAATGGTTCCATTCATCCCAGAAGCTAGATGTGTAAGTAAAGAAAGCCTCAGATGATCTTAGTCTCAACAACCATTGGACTGCAAAAACACAAGAGAACCCTAGCTGAGTCCAATACCTCAAGAATCATAAGAGATAATAAAACTACTGTTTTAAGACACTAAGTTTAGGGTAATTACTATTCAGTCATAGATCACCATAAATATTCCTGAATTGGTATATAGACTACTGTGTAATAATTATTTGTCTTTCTATTTTCCCAACTAGGTCATCTGGGATTAAGGCTGTCCAGAGATAAGTTCATATCTGAGTCTCATAACACAGTATATTGACAAGAATATAAACTCAGGAAGTGTTTGATAAATAAACCAATGGATGGGGAAAGAGTGGGATTTTGAGGAGGATGACTCCTTTGTACCCTGGGCCATCTTCAGTGGGTCCACCATTATTGCTTCCACAAAAGTTTAGTTTTACAAGCATTTACTGGATGACTACAGTGTTATCCGTGAGGCCCTAAACATGAGCTTTGGAGTCAGATAAACCTGAATTCAGATCTCAGCTTCATCACTTGCAAATTATGTAAACTTAGGCATTTGATTTAAACTCTTACTTGCTCATTTTCAAACTTTGGATGATGAAATGCCTAACTTCTTGAAATTGTGGTGAAGATTGCATGATATGATTTTTAATCTTCACAGTATATGACTCAATGTTTTTCATGAATGTGTGTTAATTTGACAGCATGTGTAAAATACTTAGTCCAGTCATTAGTAAAAGAACTAATGAAATGGCCAATGCACTTAGTATAGTCTAATTAGGCTAGGCATGTTCCTTCCTTTATTCTGTTTCCTTCCCATAAAGTCAAAGGGGCAGCTTAAACTAAGACTAAAAGATCCACAGTACAATTAAAAAATGGTAGTGGCCTGGTTTAGTTTTGAGTAGTTATTACATGCCCAGAATTGGCATCAGCAACAATGAATCCATGTCCATACCTGCAGTCAATACCAAATTTCAGATTATAAACCAAACTTTTCTAAGAAATGAGCATCCTTACAAGTAATAAATTCTCCCTCTGGCATTCTCCTGTTTCATCCTTCCAAGAAACGTTGAGAAGACCGTGTTCCAGCCACCACTTTGTCGAGTTTTGTCATTTGTTTCTCTTCTTTAGTAAAGAAAATTATTGAAATAGAAGGGCTCTTGGCCATTTCTCCAAAAAGAGAACCTTTCAGGATGACATTTATGTGTAGTGGGATGTTTATCAGCAAAGAACATTTCTGCCTAAAGCAGAAAATGATTCCGTGAGGTAAAATTATAGGTGATCGATTACTCATGCCAAACAGGAAGGGCAAAATGTCAACATTTATATCCAGAGGATTGGGATTCCTGTAACATATTCTTCCCACGGTGCACTTAGTGTGAAGGGCTGCTTCTACAAGCCATTTCTGGGGCACTTTACCTGGAGTAACACAAATATCTTATCACCATAAATAGGGAGAAAATAACAGGGACTTTGATTTCTCCAAAGAAATATACTCATTATGATCAAGGAGAGGAACATTGGACTGATTTAACATACATAAATTGGCTGAAGACCTGTCTAGTGGCAAATATATCCTCTTCTCTCCATTAGCCTGTGGCTGTAGGTATTTAAAAATCCATTTCCACAGTGCTGCCTAATAATAAATATAAAATAGTTCGGTAAATCTTCTTTGCCAGCAAACATAGAAAAACTTGTCTCCTGCCTTGGGCACCATAGTTTGTCCATATAACTTGTTTTCCTTTCCCAATATTGAGCCTAGCACATGCATTAAAACTTACGTGAGCGTACCAAACAATTGCCCTCAAGAAGACAAAATGTAGCACTGAAATACATCAGAGGCTCAAAATTTAGAAGGCCTTAAGAACATCTATTTTCTCTCTTCAGCCAGCTGTCCTCAGGCTTGAGAAAGATGTCCCCTTTCTTGAACAAACTCTATATGAGGTGTCCTCCTCATACTCTTGCCATTACTTATCCTTTAAGTAACATCCTTTAAGAATCAACTCAGCTGTGATCTCTGCAAGAATTCCTCTTGACACCGCAAGTTTGGTTACAGATACCATTGTGTGTCCCTATCCCTCTGTGCTTACTTTTGTCACACTGCTATAATTCTTCATATGTCTCTTTCTTTGAAGAGATGCAGATTCCTGCACAGTAAGGCTGGGTTGCATTTATCTCTATAAACCTAGCAACTAGTACTGGGCCTGGAATGTAGTTGGAGCTCTGTAATGCTGAATGAAGCAAGGTGGATGGGAATAATCAAACCATATACCCCTCCCAGAAGAGTCCTTGGGTAAGATATTGTCCAAGATTCTAATTTCGTGGATATAGTTATGAAACCTAAAGTAGACTGAGGGAGTTGCCCTAGATCATACAGCATGTTGGTTTTAGAGAGGGAACCGAATTTAGTCTTCCTAAATCCAAGTTCAGGACTCCCTTATTTAAATTAAATCAACAATATGTATTAAGTATGAGGAATTCCACAAGGAATTTATATTTCAAGAACAAAAAGAACTATGTGATACATGAAACATAGATGAATGCAAAATGAGCTCTCGCATATGTACAAATAAAATGGTATGGGAGAATGGTGATAACGTGAAATTAATTCCAGGGGAACTGAATCAGATTCTTGGTGTTTTGAGTTACATCACTTTGAGTCACATGACGTTGTCCCATCTCTCATTTCAGCTTCAACTCTGTTCAGCCATGCAACCTCACTCTCACGCTAACAAGCATCTCACCTTTAACAAGCACTTTACATTTTCCTCTTCAGGGCCTGCTCCAGTGTTGGGACACCCAGCATTTATGCAAGCCCTGTGGAAGAGAATTTACAGCCTCTAGGAGCAATGCTCAACAAATGGAGAACAGAAGTCAGTGGATAAATATCCCAGCTGCCTATCCTTCAGATGTCCAGGAATACTGGAAGGCATTCTATGCATCTTTAGAAATGGAGGTCCTGGTGAAACTGAATCATGTTGCCCACATCAATGACCTTGAGAACACATGCTTTTATTGGCTTTTCCTCTTTCTCTGTCTCACCCCAGACCCTCACATCTGTTTCTTAGATAACTTCCCAAAAAAGCTGCCTGTAGAGCCTTGTCTTAGGTTCTGCTTTTGGGGAAACCAAAATTAAAACAGAAAAATGGAGATTCAGGATTGCTTTATAAGTGTCATAGGCCCTGAAACTTTGGCTTTCATGGGCCCCTTCTTCCATTGAAACAAACTAACTAGGCAAAATAGAACTAAAAATTATATTTTACCACAAACATTGATATAAAGATGTATAATCCATGGTGGATTTATTACTAGGTATTTATTATTAGTATATTTATCTTTTCCTTCTGATTTTAAAAGCATTTAAAATGTTAATGTTTTCATGGACCCTTGATACTGTACTTACTGTGCCTAATGGATAAATCTCCCCTAAGAGGTGAAAATACAAGGGAATAATATCATAGATAAAATATCATTGGACTGCCACTTGACAGGGGCTTCAATATGGCAGACTAGAAGACATCTGGCACTTACCTCCTCTACAAAGAAATAAAATAGCAATTAGATAATGTCACTTTTAATACAGCATCTAAGAGACAACACTGGAATTCAACAGAGAAGTGAGGAAATACCTGAGGCACAGAAGCAGAGGGAAGTGAGGCAGCCAGATTGGCCAAGCTTGGCTGGGAGCCTAGAGAGCCTCCCCCGTATGGGAAAAAAGAAAGTGACAGATCCCCAGCAATCCATATGTTTACCATGAACTCTTGTAACCCTAGCCACAGGAGAACTTCTTGATCCTCATGGGCCCTATGACTAACATAGGAAGCTGCTGGGGACTATGTGATGGCTTTACTCTACAGAGGGAGCTTATGCTGGATCCCAAACACCCCCTATGGTAAGTGCCAGATGTCTTCTAGTGATTCATATTGAAGATCCTCCCAAGTGGCACTCCAATAACATTTAATCCATGAGATTATTCCCTTGCTGCACTAAGCAGATGCAGCATGGTGCCATTTTGAGAGTCCAACACCCACTATACTGCATGCTTCCCTGGGACCCAAAAGCTCTTGCATTGCTATATCCCTGGAGCCCCACTAACATCCTCTCACATTCACCTGGAGGGCTGCATTAGCACAATGCTGGTGGCACCCGGTGGAGTAGTAGGGTCCCCAGAATTCTAGCACAAACTGAGTCTTACTCCTTGGAGAGACTTCCCCCAGGACAAAGGGAACCAAAGTGCACACTCCCTAGAGCCTGAGAACCACTTGGGCGTTGCATAAACAGCAACCCTCATCCTCAGCAACAGGACTGCCACACACAAGCCCGAAAAACAGGCTGTGCAAATGCCCACTGCACTGCACCCACTGCTGAGGTGGCTATGGGCCAAAGAAGAAGGGCCACTGTTCACTTGAATGCCCCCTGAGGACTGGCTTTTCCCATTGCTGCCACTGCTGTTGCCATTGCCACTGGCCCCAGGGGCTGAAGTTTACACTCCCCAGAACCTAAGAACTGCCTGCCTGTGGCTGCAGCCAAGATATCTCCACATCTCCCCACTGGCAGCAGAGCTGCAGCACACTCGCTTATGCCCCTGTCTTTACAGGCTTTCCCCACCTCAACTGCTGCAACTGTTGCAGGCACCCAAGCACTCCACCAGGGGGTCTAGGGATCACTCTATGCTGACCACTACAGCCAGCACCTGAGCACACCAACAGAGGGCCTGAGGACAGGCCCACCCAGCTGGACACTACCTCCTGAGTGACTAAGCACAACATCCAGGAGCCTGGGAATTGCCTCACCCCGTACACCACTGCTAACATCTACACACTCCTCCTGAGGGCCTGAGGATGAACCCACATAGCCTGTCACTACCACCAAAGCAAGCACCTACCAGAATATGCCATAATAGAGCCTGAAAACTGGCCTGTCAAGCCCATTGCAGCTACCATTAACACCAACATGTGATGCTTCAAAGAGTTGTCCCACCACTGCTGCTGCCATTATCCAGGCTATGCACACCATCCAGGGGACTAAAGACCTGCCCACCTGCTGAGTCCAACCCTGCCACTGCCAGGACCTAAGCAAGCCAAGAATCAACCTGTTTGGAGTCACTGACACCCATGGTCTCAAAAACAGGAGAGACTGGCCCATGCTTCCACCACTGGGGCCTGAAGACTGGGCAGCACAGCTTCCACTAACAACCACAGCCTACAACACAAAGGAAATCACAGACACAACTGACACTGTTTACAGCCTAATAAATCATACGGAGAATAAACTACTGCACACACCACAAATCAAAGCTAAAGTGTTCCACCCAACCAAAACTATAGATACATCTTCATGAAAAAAATCTTCCGCAAAAAAAGCTAATCCAAAAAAGTGGGAGAAGCCACTGTTATACCAGATGTCCAGGCATCAATGTAAGGACACAGACACACATACACACAGACACACAGACACACACATGAAAAAATAAGAAAATATGACACCTCTAAAGGAACACAATAATTTCCCAGCAATAGATTCCAATGAAACAGAAATTTATGGGAAGCCAGAAAAAGAATGCAAAATAATATTAAAGAAGCTCAGTGAGATGCAACAGAGCACAGATAAACAATACAAAGACATCAGAAAAATAACTTAGGATATAAGTGAGAAATTCAGCAGAGAGAGATATATAAAAAAGAACCAAACAGAAATCCTGGAACTGAAGGATTCAATGAATGAAGTAAAAAAATTATCAGGGACTTCAATAATAGACTAGAACAAGCGAAGAAGGACTCTTAGAACTTGAAGACAGGTCTTTTGAAATAAACCAATTTTTAAAAATTTGACATTATATCAAATATTTTCTCAGACCACAGTGGAATAAAACTATAAATCAACAACAAAATTAATTTTGGAAACTGTACAAATAACATGCTCCTGAAAGACCAGTGGGTTAATGAAGAAATTAAGAAAAAAATCAAAAAAATTCTTAAAACAAATGAAAATGGAAAAACAGCATACTAAAAACCTATGGGATACAGCTAAAACAGTCCTAAAAATAAAGTTTGCAGAAATAAATGCCTATATCAAAAAAGTAAAAATATTTCAAATAAAGAACTTAACGATGCACCTCAAGGAACTAGAAAGGCAAGAACAAACCACAAAAATTAGTAGAAGAAAAGAAATAATAAGGATCAGAGCAGAATGAAACATAGGGGCTAAAAACATACAAAGGATCAATGAAACAAAAAGTTGGTTTTTTGAAAAGATAAACAAAATCAGTAAGCCAATAGGTAGACTATGCAGGAAAAAAGTAGAGAAAGCCAAAATAAAATCAAAAATGAAAAAGTAGACATAACTGATTTCACAAAAATATAAAAAGTTATCAGAGAGCATTATTGACAACTATATGCTAACAAACTGAAAAGCCTAGAGGAAATTGATAAATTCCTAGAGATTTACAGCCTACCAAAATTGAATCAGAAAGAAATAGAAAATCTGGACAGACCAATAATGAGTAACAAGATTGAATAATAATGAAAATACTTTCAAACAAAAAGCCCAGCATTGATTATTTTATTGCCCAATTCTACCAAACTTATAAGAAAAATTAGCACTAATTCTCCTCAAATTATTTCCAAAAATTGAAAACTATAGACCAATATCTCTGATAAACATAGATGTAAAAATTCTCAACAAAATACTAGCAAACTGAATTCAACAAGACATCCAAAAGTTAATACGCCATGATCAGATGGGATTTATACCAGGATTGCAAGGATGGTTCAACATATGCAAATCAATAAACATGATACATCACATCAATAGAATTAAGACTGAAAGCCACATGATCATCTCAATAGATGCAGAATAAACATTTGATAAAATCTAAAAATGTTTCATGATAAAAACCCTGTTACAACCAAAGCAATCAGGCAAGAGAAAAAAATAAAAGGCATACAAATTAGAAAGAGGAAGTCAAATTGTCCCTCTTTGTAGACAACGTGATTATATATTTAGACAAACCTAAACACTCCAGCAAATAACTTTTAGAATTGATAAGTAAATTCAGTAATGTTGCAGGATACAAAATCCAAATACAGAAGTTGGTATTGTTTCTATACACCAATAATGAACTAGCTAAAAGAAATCAAGAAGATAATCCCATTTACAGCAGCTACAAAAAAAATAAAATACCTAGGATTAAATTTAACCATGGAGGTGAAAGACATCTATAAGTAAACTTAAAAAACACTAATGACAGAAATTGAAGAGGAAACAAACAAAAAGACATCCCATGCTCATGGATAAGAAGAATTAATACTGTTAAAATGGCCACATGACCCAAAGCAATCTACAGATCCAACACAACCCTATCAAAATACTAATGACATTTTCACAGAAATAGAAAAAAATCTTAAAATGTATATAGAGCCAAAAAGGAGCTCAAAAAACCAAAGCAATCTTGAGGGAAAAAGTGGAAGCATCACACTTCCTGATTTCAAAATGTTTCTGAAAGTAACATTTTGAATATTAACAAGTATCACAAGGGTATTAACCAAAACAGCATGATCTTGGTATAAAAATAGACATATGGATCAATGAAATGGAATAGAAAACCCAGAAATAAATCCACGTATTCACAGCCAACTGATTTTCAACAAAGTTCTCAAGAACATACATTGGGAAAGGGACACCCTCTTCAATAAATGGTGCTGGGAAAACTGGACATTCATATGCAGAATAATGAGACTAGACTTCTATCTCTCATCCTATAAGAAATTCAACTCAAAATGGATTAAAGACCTAAATGTAAGACCCAAAACTATAAAACTGCTAGAAGAAAACCTACGGTAAACATTATAGGACATTGGTTTAGGCACGTATTTTATGACTAAGACCTCAAAAGCACAGACCACAAAAACGAAAATTGATAAATGGGTCTATATTAAACTAAAAAGCTTCTGCACAGCAAAGGAAACAATCAACAGAGTGAATAGACAATCTTTTGAAAGAAGAAAATATTTGCAAACTATTCATTCAAGAAGGGGTTAATATCTGGAATATACAAAATACTCAAACAACTCAATAGCAAAAAAAAACAATAATCCCACAAAAAGTAGGCAAAGGACATAAATACACATTTCTCAAAAGCGGACATAAAAATTGCCAAAAGGTCTATGAAACAATGCTCAATATCACTAAACATCCAGGAAATGTAAGTGAAAACCACAATGAGATATCATCTTACCCTGGTCACAATGGCTATTATTAAAAAGACGAAAAAATAACAGATGCTGGTGAGCATATTGATAAAACATAACTCCTTATTAAATTTTTATTTCAATAGCTTTTGGGATACAAGTGGGTTTTTGTTACACGAAAAAATTGTATAGTGTTGAATTCTGAGATTTTAGTGCACCCATCACCTCAGTAGTGTACATTGAACCTAATGTGTAGGTTTTTTTTTTTCAATCCCTAGCCTGCCTCCCACATTCCCCATTTGGAGTCTCTAAAGTTTATTATATCACTCTGTATGCCTTTGCTTACTCATAGCTTAGCTCCCACTTATAAGTGAGAACACATGGTTTTTGAGTTTCCACTCCTGTGTTGCTTCACTTAGAATAATGGCCTCCAGCTCCATCCAAGTTACTGCAAAAGACATGATTTCATTCCTTTTAATGGCTGAGTGATATTCCATGCTGTCTATGCACCACATTTTCTTTATCCACTCATTAGTTGATAGGCACTTATGTTGGTTTCACATCTTTGCAATTGTGAATTGTGCTGCTATAAATATACATGTGCAAGTATCTTTTTCATATAATGACTTCTTTTTATCTGGGTAGATACCCAGTAGTGAGATTGCTGGATTGAATAGTAGATCTACATTTAGCTCTTTAAGGAATCTCCATACTGTAGAAAATGTAACTCTTATACACTGTTGGTGTGAATGTAAATTTCTATAGCCATTCTGGAAAACAGTGTAGACATTTCTCAGATAAACTAATAACAGAAATACCAGAAAATCCAGTAATCCTTCTACCAGGTATTTATCCAAAGGAAAGGAAATCAGCATATTAAAGGGATACTTGCACCTTCAAGTTTATTTCAGCACTGTTCACAATAGCAAAATTATGGAATCAATCCAAGTGTCCACCTTTGGATGAAAGAATAAAGACAAGGTGGTACACATACACAGTAGAATACTCTTTGGCCATAAAAAAAAGACGAAATCCTGTCATTTGCAGCAACATGGATGAAACTGGAGGTCATTATGTTAAGTGAAATAAGCTAGGCACAAAAAGACAAATATTGCATGTTCTCACTCATATGTGGGAAATAGAAAACTTGCTATCATGGAGGGAGATGTAGAATGATAGTTACCCAATATTGGGGAGGGTGTCTGTGTGGAGATTTGGGAGTGGGAGCATGAAGAAAGATTGGTTAATGGGTACAAACGTACAGTTAAATAGAAGAAATAAGTTCCAATATTTGATAGCAGAGTGGGGTGACTATAATTTTTAAAATATATTATATATTTCAAAACTGCTAGAAGAGGGGACTTGAAATGTTCCCAACACATAGGAATGATAAATAGTCAAGATGATTACTATAAATACCCTGACTTGATCATCACATATTCTATGCATGTAGCAAAATACTACATCTATACCATGAAAAGGTACAAACATTATATATTAATAAAAATGTTTAATGTTATTAGAGCTAAGCCTTAAAGAATGAGCTTAATTTGAACAGACATGAACAAAGTTCCTATAATTTCAACTCAGATTATTTGTTTTTTTAATATTCATTTTATTACATAAGTAAATCATGTTTATTACACGGAATGTGAACAATACAGAAATATTGAGATAAAAATAATCGTCTTTTTAAATTTAACCAACCAGAATGAATTCAACGTGAACACATTTCCAGCAGGTGTTCAGTTTTTGTTTTGGTTTGTTTTGGTTTTTGCATCATTTGCATTAGTAAGATATGTATTCACACAATTTTGCCTCAGTGCCCTGCAGATATTTTTATTTATTTCCTGTTTATTTCCTGGTATCTATTACTGATAACAACAGTCTGCCTTTTGTCTGATACTGACTTTTTAAAATAATCTGTCTCTTCTGCCTGATAACTTTTAGAACTTTCCCATGATACATGAATGTTGTAATTTCATTACTGTGTGTCTAGGGTGAAATTTCAAATTCTTCCATTCTTCAACTTCTCTTTCTTAGCCCTCAACTCTTTTTCTATCTCTGCTGTATTCTGGATGACTTCCTCTGATAATCTTTCTGTTTTACTTATTCACTTCTTAATCCTGTGTAGTCTGCTGATTAAAGTGTCCTTAAAGTTTCCTCCATACCCATACCAATATTTTTTGTTTCTGAAACTAGCTATTTTTCCCCAAGTTTTTCCGTCCTCTTCCATTATCTCCATTTTTATGGATTCTATCCTTTTTTAAACTTTCAATATTTTCAACATACTTATATTAAAGTACTTTTTCAGCTGATTTTATTACTTCTACTTTCTTGGGCATGAACGCTCTATTTGTTGCATCTGCTAGACTTACCTCTCATAGTGGTGTTTTTCAGTGTTTTGTGATATTTTCTCCTCAGCTTATCTTCAATTGGAATTTTCTTCAGTGAGCCCTGGGTTATGAAGCCCTCCTTGGGGGGATGTTTCCTAGAGACTTTCAGCTGGGGTCATGTGCATTCACCGGTTCTGGACTTTCTCATTTAGTCCTCAGCTCAGGTTTCCTTTGCCACAGGGCAATTCTGCTCAGGGCATGGCCTCACTGATAAATCTGAGCCCACCCTAGAAAAGAATAGGCAGCAAATTTTCTGCCAGGACTGCACAGTCCACCATTCTGACCAATATATTTGCATGTGTTTAAATTTTCCATCCTGCCTTTTATCCCTTAATGTTTGCAACATGAGTATTTAAATAGCGGCCCTTTTACCTGGAGCCTCCGGAACTTTAGGACATAAAAATAGGATCAGCTAAAGTTTGAAAATCTTGTGTTTTTGCATTTTTCCTGAGGCAAGAGTCCAGAGCTTTCATCACATTCACAAAGAGATCTAAGACTGAAGAAAGCTTGAAAATAACTATTTTAAACAGCCTTGAATGTCTCCTAAATTCATTTTAGCCCCTGGTATTATATCAAGAGCTACAGATCTAAGTTTTGAAAAATTCCTTCCACGTATTTTCTAGTGTAGGTCAGAGCTGAGAGAAAAATGTTCCAGCTGGTGTGGGTGGTACCAGCACATGCTTCTCTGAGAAGATTTCTTTATTGGAATTCATGCAAATATATTTTGGGTTTGAGGGAGCTGGGAGAGAGGATGTCTAGACAGTCAGCCCAACAAGTGTGGACGCCTTAACCAAGCAATAGGTAACCAGAGCCCTCCCCTTCTCTATACCCTTCATCCTATACCCCTAACCTCATGAAACCTAAAAGCACAGAAATACTATCAAATAAATGGAATATATATATATGTGTTTGTGTGTGCATGTGTGTGTGTGTGTGTGTATATATATCAGCACATAAAATAACATCACAAAAAATAATTTCAAGACGAAAAGTATGACTAGAGAAAAAGGAAGTCACTGTCTAATGATAAAAGGCCCAATTCGCCAAGTAGAAATAACAATTTCAAACTTAATGAACCAAAAAATTACCTCACGATATTAAAAAAAAACAAAACTTGACAGAACTACAAGAACAATTTGGCAAATCCATCATCATAAAAAGAGGTTTTGACAATTGAACACCGATAAGTGGCATCTATAATTGTGCCTTCACAAATAGTATCTGACCACAGTACTGATCACAAATGGAGGTTCAGTGAAGGGAATTTTCCCAAAGTCACACACAGCCAGTAGGTGGCCAAACTTTGATTCAAATCCAGGCTCACCTGACTCCAAAGTCAAACCACTTTCCAGTAGAGCTTGCTAGTAAGAACTAGGAAAGGGATTGCAAAAGAGATATTATACTTTAATATACATAATTCACTAGGTTGACTATTTTTCCTCTCCTCAGCAGCAGTTACTTGCTATTTTTCCCCACCTGTTAATTACTCGGGTTTGTGTGGGGGCGGATTTGGCTTCCCGCGGCAGCCCAGGCAGGTTGTCACACTGTCAAGGATTCCTCCATTAACAAGCTGTCAATGCACTGCCAACAGCCACCATTTGGTTTGTTCAGGGAGAGGGAGCTCTGGTGTGGAGACTTGGCTCTATCATTTAGAGGAATTAAAAAAAATAAGGCAAGAGGCAGATGTCTTCCAGTCTGTTCTTCCACAACAGATTCAGGGATATGGCGTGGGTTTGCACTGGGAGGAGGAGAGAATAAGGCTTTTAAAATAAGTGCCAAGAAATAAAAAGCTAAGCATAAAGGAATGAAAGGCGAGAATGATGCACTTAAAAATGTAGTCTTTCCTTTCCTCCAGACTTCCCATAGGACGAGTTTCTAAATAACACTAAAAGTGGACTTTTCAAACTCAAACTTTAAAAATGGTTAAAAAGCCATGGTTTAGATTTTTAAAGTGAAAGGTGCCATTTGCCTGCAACCTTTTCAAAGTCACCCTAATGAAATATTGGGAAAATTTTCCAGTCCACAGAGGCACTTTCTGAAGCCTCTGTCCTTTCTGTTAATTAGCACAATTAACCTCTAAGCTGGCAAGCCCCTCTGGCTCGCCACTAACAGGCCCACAGAAATGTCAGATTTTCAAAGGGCTTCACATAAGTGAATGGCAAAGTCCACCTTTTGAGCAACTACATTTAGAGCTGGGGGTCTCCATGAAAATCTTTTTTCTGCACCTGTAGACTGCACTCCTGACTCCTTACCTACAACTTCCAGCACCTGTGCTCACTGACATGCACTTGAATTCTCTCCAACCAATGAGATTTCACAACCAGCTCAGCAGAAAGCTTGTTTCCAAAAATTATATCAAAGCTGCCTTTGTTGTAAAAGTGAGATTTCAGTACTTAGATTACAGAAAATTAAGAAATACATCCACCTTTCCCTTTCTACTCCCTTTTTAGTGCACTGCGAGAAATAACATTATTGTTCAGGCCCAATGAGTCAGTCAAAACATAACATTAATTTGTGGTGAGGACTTTAGTTGGCTTAAGAAAAAAGAAAAGTCAATTAACCTGGCCTAGACCATCACTGAAGATATAAAAAAATGGTCTTTCGGCAGAGGAGTGGGATGCATGTTTGGAGGTTATATAGACATCATGAGCAATGGGAAAAAGGGAAAAGACTTGAAGATCTCCAAGCATCAGCATTGATTCAGCAGGATTCATTCCAAGCATCAGAGAGACTCCCCTCAAAAAGAACCTGAAAGGCAAACAAACAATTCAAGTTTTCCCCACATCTCAACTCTAGCTGTGTGCTATCTCACCCCCACCACAACCCCTCCAACCCACAGGCTGTCTCCTTGGAAACTCCTATTGGATTTTCTCCTATGGGATTTTCAGTTCCAAGCAAAAAAGAAAGCAAAGTGTTAGGTTTCAATCAGGCAGTAACCAAAGGTGGTTCCCCTTTAGCAGTGAGTGCTAAGAATCTTAAAAGCAACACTTTCAGAAATATTATTCCAGTGTCTTCTAATCTCAGCTATGTTATAGAACAGAGATTGGAAAACTAAAGCCTATGGGTCATATCTAGTCTGTCACCTAGTTGTGTAAATAAAGTTTCATGGAAACACAGTCATACTCATTTGTTTACATATTGTTTATGGCTGCTTTTGTCCTGCAACAGTAAAACTAATAGTTATAACAAAGACTATATGGCCTACAAAGCCTGAAGTATGTACTACCCTTTACAGGAAAAATCTCTGGGTTCAAAACACCTGTAAACTCTGGATAAAATGCTCAAAATAAATTTTTAAGGGAGGGGTGAGATGGCAAGAAAATTAGTCAAAAATGACCCCCCAAAAAAGAAGTCACAAAAGTGAGTGAGCACTTAAGCTAGTGAATGGCCTTGACGATACAGGATCGTCATACAAAGAAACCTGCAATCAGTGACACCCACAAAACCTGGAGCCCTAAAGAGTGACAACCCCACCAGGCAAACTAGCAAAGAACCTATCTCAAAAAGAGTGACAGTAAGGAAGTTTGCCTCATTTAGCCTTGTTTCTGAGTAAAGGGGAAACAAGTCGCCCCTAAGAATTTATAACCACTACCCAACCCTCAGGCAAAATTGGAGCTAAAATTCACACTGTCAATGTGGCATAAAAACAACCAAGCCAAAAGTTAACTTAAACTAATCAAGATTGGTAGTATCCCCACGGCTCAGCAAGAGCTCATGCAAGTCCTCTTTGGAGGAATGCACGTTACATACAAGCCTTAAGAAATTTCAACTTATAATGTTTGATAATAAGGGATATGAGCTCACAATCAGAATTACTTAACACATGAGAAAAATAAGCCACTTGGGGTCAGTAAACAACAAAATCAATTCTACCAATAACAGCAGCAATAATAATAAAAACAGCTAACACTTGTATAGGTTACTCTGTAGTGTGCTAGATACTTGTCTTAAGAAATTTATATTTATGGAAGCATTTAATCTTCAAAATAATCCAGTGAGTAACAATTACTTTATCTTTATTTGCCAAATGAGCAAAGTAAAGCACAGCATCTTCAGATTTTAGAATGATTAGATTCACATAGAATCTAAAACATATGTGTGTAATACATTTGAGGAAATAAATGTCATTAAAATCATGTCTCAAAATGACCCAGCATATTTGAAAGACTCAAAGAGAACTTGTAGAAATGAAAAATACAATAAATGAAAATAAAAACTCAGAAGGTAGTTTAAATCACATATTAGACCCAGTTGAAGCATGAATTATTGAACTAGAAATAGTCCCAGAATGACAAGAGAATTACTCAATTGAAAGATAGATGCCAAAAAAAAAAAACAAAATGAAAAAACCTACAATGTAGCATAGAGATAAAAAGTATAATCAGAGATAATGAGACCTAAGACATGCCTAACTGGAATTTTAAAAGGAAATAATAGGCTGGTAGATAGATAATATTTGAAGGGCTAATGACTTAATATTTTACAGAATTGATAAAAGACATAAGTTCTCTAATCATTAATTAGGATAAATAAAAAGAGCCCCATGCCAAGACACAATGTAATGAATCTGCCAAACACCAAGAAACAAACAAAGTCTTTAAAGGTACCCAGAGAAAACCAGATTACCTCCAGAGTCATGACATCTAGACTGATGGCTGACTCCCAGTAGTAATGGTGGAATCCATTTAAAGTACTAAAATAAAAGAGCTGTCAATGAGGAATTTTATAACCATCAAGGCAATATTTTTTAAATGCAGGTAAGATAAAGACAGTTACGGACAAACAAAACATGGGTTAGCTTCCAACAGACATTTAATAACATAATTCCTAAAGAATATACTTTAGTAATATTTATAATATTTTTAATAAAGTATATTCTTTAGAAATAAGAAAGAAGAAAATAATTTCAAATGGAAGGTTAGAGATCTACTAATGAATAGTGAGCAAAGAAAATAATTAAAACGTGGATAAATCTAAACACATTTAATTGTAAAAACAATGATAGCAATGTCCCTTTTGCGTGTTAAAATGTGAATAAAATACAAAAAAGTTTTTAGGTAAAAATATATAGATTCTGGGAGAGTATTTGAAAATTAAATATTTCAAATTTTCTACATTTTGGGGAAAAAGGCAATTTTAAAATTTATTTTAGACTTTATTAAATTACATACATGGTAAAAACTTAGAGGTACCAATTAAATAAAATAAATGGAATTTTAAACCTCCAAAATAATTCAAGAAAACTAAGGAAATCATGAGGGTGGGGGGAACCTCACTTGATTCAAAGGAAAAAGAAATTTAAAGCTAGACAAATGGAAAGTGTAAAATAAGAGAATGGGAATAAATCCAAATATATCAGTAATCACTGTGAATGGAAATTGACTAACCCTACCAGTTAAAACATATAGTAAAACTAGATAAAAATATACCTAAAACATGAGGGTGAAGAAAAGCTGTGAATTAAATGTATAAAAACAATGTATTAAGCAAATATCAGCACATAAAACAGTATCACACAAAATCAGATTTAAGGTAGAAAGCATTATTTGTTATCAAGGAGGTTGCTTCATAATGATTTTTAAAAACTCAATACTCCTTCCAAGAAGATATCACAATTTCAAACTTTTATACACTTAAAAAACATAGGCTCAGAATATAAAACTCAAAATTTGATAGAACTACCCAAAGAATTAGATAATTCCAAAGCATGAGATTTTAACACACCTCTTCCCATAATCAACAAGTAGGAAACAAAGTCAAATAAAGAAGATTACGACATTATAAATAACAAATTTCATCTAATGAACTTATAAAATGGATTTACATGTAATACACATGGAAGACATTTATAATAAATTTATTATTTATGTGCTACAGCCCAAAACTGACGTACATACATTGTTTTCAAGAATTGTTTCACTGGCAGTTAAATGGTAAGAGTTCATCTGTTTAAAAAGATGTTGAAAGTAATTGCAGCAGAAAATTATGATGGCTAGAATTAACATAGTGGTAATGTGGACAAATAGAGGTGAACAATTTTAAAAGAGATCAAGGAGGAATATTCATAGGACTTGGTGATTGATTAAATGTTGAGTACAAGAGACAGGAGGAGACAAGGAAGAGATCCAGTCTCCAGATTGAAAAAAAATGTGCAGGATTTTGTTCTATTCTCTGAGGGAAAAACAGAAGAAATACATTCAGAGTTCCAGGGGTGAATTCCATATGGGATGTGATAATTTTGAGGTCCAAGAAGCATAGCAAAGATTCAATAGGCAGTTGGTTTTATAGTCAAAGAATCGGCTAAATATTTGCTTTGGAGATATTGTTTTATGGCATTTGTTGTTAGAATATTTGTATTAATTTAAATATTTGGATAAGAGGATATGACACGGTAACATGAGTAGATTGAGAAGAAAACACTAAAACGGAAGAGACAGGTGAAATAGAAGGCTATATTAGTTATCTATTGCTACATAACAAATACTCCACAACCTAGTGACTTTTATTTACTCATACTTTGCAGCTTGGCAATTTGTGCCAGGTTTATTCAGGTGTTTCTTCCACTGATCTCACTTGCAATGACTCATATAGCTACAGTGGATTGGTGACTCAAATGGACGGATTCATCTAAAACAGTCTCCTTTCATCTGGTTATTAGGAAGTCAGAATATCCTAATTCCCTTTCATGTGACCCTACTAGCAGGTTAGCTCCATGCAGCACATCCACCCTATGGGTTCAGAGTTCCAATCAGTCAGAGGAGAACAAACCTATTGTGCAAGCACTTTTTAAGTCCTTGTTTGCATCATATTTGCTAATTTCTCTAAATCCTATTTGCTAATTTCCTTAAAGCAAATCATGTGATTATGATCAGATTAAATGGATACAGAAATAAACTCCATTTCTTGATTGAGGATCAACAAAGTTGCATTGTATAGGGACAAATGCACATGGATAAGAGATATTATTGAAGTCGTCTTTGCAATCTACCATAGAGATCCAGCAAAGAACTACTAAGTTGGAGAATTGTATGCAGAAAGCCCAAGAGCATCTTAATGCACAATCCAAGGGACAGAGTTTGGAGAATGATGAAGTGGTTCCCCATGTCAAATACTGTCAAAGTGTCAAGTAAGACAAATCTGAAGATAAGTCACAGGATTTATTAACAAAGAGATTGCTAGTGCTCTTATCAGGAACAGTATGCAAGTGTTAAGGGCAGAACCGCAGAGGGTTGAGGAGGGAATTGAAAGGGAGTAAATGCAAACAACTCATTCAGGAAGCCTAGTCTTGAAGAAGGAGTGAAGACTACACAGTAAGAGAAAGTAGGATGACCAAATGGTCTTGTTTCTCTTTACTATAAGACATACACAAAACTGAGCACCATTAAGAGTTAATTGGAGAGGCCAAAGGAGAGGAATATCAGGTGCAGCTGCAGGAAAGAGAGAAGTAAAAATGATGATTGACCTTTAGCCTTTTCTGTAACAAGAAGAAAGGTGAAAGCTATCAGAAATTGAAGGTAACTAAAAGCAAAGAAAGATGTAAGTGCATACCCACTTTCACACTGTCCTATGCAAGGGCCCAGTGTGTGGCTTTTCCCCACAAGTTACAGCGCAAATAGAGTTTAGTTGATATAACATAAGTTTGGAATAAAAACAAACCTGACCTTAACACACATTAACTGAGCAGCCTGGTGAAAGTAATTGAACATTTCTGATAATCTATGTTTCAGCCCATGCATAGAATCATAACAGACCCACACTGTTTGTGGAGATTATATGTGATAACATATCTGAAGATAACATACAACTTCAGTTTTCTCATCCCTCAACAGCTCCAGCTAACCGAATGGGTTGCATGGCATCAGGCAAATTGTGACACCTTTCTGAGTTCTTGTTTCTCCATCTATAGAAGTGCAGACTGACAAATGAGCTTTCCAGGCTCCTTCCAACATTGATGTTTTAGATATCTTTACGTCTCAGGAATGGCTTCAGCCTATAACCTAGCAGGCATTTGGAAGCACAAGTTTATATGATGGCAGAGAAAAGGCCCAGAGTGGACATCCTGGAAGTTCCTGGAAACCATGAACAATGCTGTGCAGGCTTTGAATGAAGAGGCAAGAATCACAGAGCCTGGTGAACAAAGAAGTCTATGTGGTAACTTGATGGCAACCTAACTGAGTGAAGTACTTTTCTAGAAATTTTACAATCCTCTGGAGCTGGCAACCTGACAGCTGCCAAAGCTCATGCCTCTCCTCATCCAGTAAATATTTACCAAATGCCTATTATGGGCCAAGCATTCTGCTAGACATTTGGGGTATAATAGTGATCAAAGGCATCATTTTGAGCAGCTAATATTCTAATAAAATATATGTTATATGGTAATAAGTACTACAGAGAAAAAATAAAGCAAGGAAAGGGAGAGGAGGAGCTGGTGGATAGATGCAGGTGTTACTTTAAATAAAACTGTCAGAGAAGGCTTCACTGAGAAGGTAATGCTTAAGTAGAGACCTAGGAATGATGAAGGCAACAGCCATTTGGACATTTGGAGAAGATCAAACCAAGCAGAGGAAACAGTAAGTGTCAAGGCAGGAATGCATCAGGTATGTTCAAGCCCAAATTCAGGAACAACACTTGTCATGGCCACGATACACAACATTATGAGACTCCTTTCTAGATATTTGCATAGAGTTCAGTTGATA
This sequence comes from Homo sapiens, assembly GCF_000001405.40. Classification (NCBI taxonomy): domain Eukaryota; kingdom Metazoa; phylum Chordata; class Mammalia; order Primates; family Hominidae; genus Homo; species Homo sapiens. Next base: position 34,380,942 of record NC_000003.12, on the reverse strand, counting down.
TAATAAGTATTAAAAATCAAATAGATTCAGGGTCCCACAACTCTGACCCCAGCTGTCCCCTTGCTACACACAGCCATGAGTTACTTGCAATGCACCATGATATCTACACTGATTTATAAGTTCACACAGTCTGTAGATATGGTTTCCTCACCAACCATACTTTTCTTCTTGTTATATTAGTTTCCTTTTCTTTTTAAAGGATAAAACTATTAGCTGGGAAATCTATTTTGTTCTGCTGTGAGCCATTTCCCTATTAACATTATCCAAAACATACTTTAAGATTAAAGCTTTTTCCTTTGGAGAATAAATTCCACATTTCAGCATAGCCATCCAGTTGCCAGGATTATTTATTCCCACATAGCAATGACCCCCTAACTTGCAGTTTCTCTCTCACATTCTTTCTTATGCCCCCAATTTTATTTTTGCTTCTATGTGATAAATTTCAGGCAATCTGGAGCCAACGAGAAGCAAATTTTGAGATAAGGATGTAAAGGTGTTAAAAGCATTTATTATGAGCCCAAGGGTGTCTACTTAAAATGCTGATGTTCTGTTATCCACCTGATATAATTGAGAAGCTGAGAATCTGGAGTGGTGAATTTCATTCCATGGCTCTTCACAATTTTCAAAGCCTTTTCATATGCCTTAATTTACTGTCACGTCATTCCCTCCCTCACTATTGACCTCCTAATTGCTAAATTCCATGGAAATTCTGGGTTTACACTGACCTTGGCCTCCCTGCAGCATTTGAAGCTCTTGACACATTTGCTGCTATGTTCTCAGCAGTGTGATTCGATCCAGTTTCTTCCCATCACTTTCTTTACTAGACCTCATTGGTAGACATCTTTCTTAACACACTCCAGTTTTGGAGTTTCCCTGGGTTCTGGCCCAGCCCTTTTTATTGTAAGATATCAAAATCCTCTTGAGTCCCCTGCCTTGTATATGCCAAGGATTCCCAAACATAGCCTCTAGTCCTAATCACTTATTCTCCACTCATCTGGCTCTGAGTTTCCAGTTGTCAGAAGGACCTGGGGGTCTCACAGGTGCCACAAACTCAACAAGTCAATAACCAAATGGTTTGTATCCAGTGCCTTTGCACATGATGTTCTGTACTGACTTTCTTTCTCTCATTCCCACTGTGGCCCCAACTAGTACATTTTCACAACCCATTCCCTATTCAGACTTTTGCTCAGACATTGTGTCCTCTGTGATCCTTCCCAAAACAATAATCAATTTCTCCTTTATACTTCTTCTGCAATAAATAACTTTGTCCTATTGCTGCAATGAACATCTATCACTGCATATACACACTGTGCTGTTACTTTTCTTGCACTAGGATTTTTAAAGTCATCAATGGTTTTGTTGATCCATATTTCCCCAGTGCCTAAAACTGCAGTCAATAAATGTGTATTGAATAATAAAAGGAAGAAGGTGAGGAGGGAAGGAAGGAAAAAGGAAAGAAGGAAGGAAGGAAGGAAGGAAAGAAGGAAGGAAGCGTTGACAGAAAAGAGAGGGAAAGAGAAAAGAAAGGAGAGTGTCCTAATCAATTTTGGTTGCTTGTAACAGAGTACCTTAAACTGGGTAATTTATAAAGAAACAAAATGTATTTCTTACAGTGCTGGAGGCTGGGAAGTCGAAGGTCAAAGAGACACATCTAGTGGTGATAGCCTTCTTGTTGGGTAGGACTCTGCAGAGTCCCAAGGTGATGAACAGCATCACATGGCATGAGAGTTGAGTGTGTTAATACGCTAGATCAGGTCTCCCTCCTCTTATAAAACCACTACTGCCACTCTAATGATAAACCATCAATCCATTAATTCATTTATCCATGAATGAATTAATCCATATATGAGGGTTCTACCCCAATCACTTCTTAAAGGCCCCAGCTTTTAACACTGCCATGTTGGGGATTTTCAACGTGAGTTTCTGAGGGGACATTCAAACTGTAGCAGGAGTTCTCAAAACATGCCTTAATTTATATATAGAAGAAAACAGATACCGGGGAATTTTAAAACTTGCCCAAATCCCCATGGCCAGAAACTGTAATTCCCACACTCAGATGCAGCCTTTTGATTTCAAATGACCAGCACTTTCCTCCTACGCTACAGTAGCCTCAGCTGCCATTTTTCCTTCTGTTTTGCTAGAAAATAGCATGGGCATTTTTAAAAAGATAAACCAGGACAGATAATTCTTTTGGCCTACAACTGGGACAGGATTTTTCACCCAGCCTTCCCTGTGCTTCTGCAACTTAAGAGAGAAAAAGTATGTTGATCTCAGCAGTCAGCAGGAAGTCATCAAAGCATTTCTCAGACAAATCCTACAGGACTGAAGGTGTCCAGACACATCTAACCCCGTGATTGTTTCATAGTATGCAATCCCAAGTGAACAAGTTGGGAAATGAAAGGTTGTGAGCATGGCTCTCTCCTGCCAACCCTGTCTCTGGCATTGCAGTCGCACTGCTTTTAGAGCTTTCGGAGCCCCTTGATCCTCTGTCCTATGGAAGCACTCCATCCAATGCCAGTGAAATAGCTAAATCCAGTGGGCAAAATGAATACACTGGACATTTCTGTCTACTAGAGTTTCCTTGATAATGAGTGAGCATAAGAGGATGAGGATGAGAAGAAGAGAAGGGCCTGGTTCTGTCCTCACTCCTCACCAGGCAGCTTGGTCCTGGCCTGCTTCAATGCGCACAATGTGTCAAGTGAAACATTGGCCAGGATTCCTGACAAACTCAGCCTTTTGCTCTCAGAGTCCAGATTGTGGCCCTTACTTCCTCATTGGCAGGAACTAGCTACAACGGAAGGGGAGCAGCGCAGCAGGGCGACTGCCAGAGGGCAAAGGCTTCTTTAGAGCTCAATGCTGAGTGAGCTTCTCACTCTCACCAGGCCCTTCCAGTTATGAAAATTTGCCGCCATTTGGAGATTGTGGCAGCAGTGAAGGTACATAGCTCAGCTCCCTCACTTCGAGAAAGGGCTTTCCTTTCAGCTGCAAGGACTGCAGTTACCTGATGGCTTCTAGCTGTCTAGTCCTCTGATTTCACCTCGGTTTCAAGGAAGGCTGTACTCTTCCAGGGCAGCCCCCAGCTATGGACATAGAACCTATGTCCAAGTTCTAGGACTTGGACATTTCAGTCGTATGCAGGACTCCTCCAGTGGATAATCCTTGCCCTGGGGCTGTTTTTGGGTTGGTCAAGGCTTTATGAGATCAGCACTACAGTCAGAGTTTCCCTCCCTCCTCCACACTCTGTCACAGGCTTTGCACTCCAACCCCAATAAGTCTTTCGCACTCCTAACTCTGTATCAGCACCTGCTTCCAGGAGAATCTAAATGACACAGTGGTCTTTCCTGGGATCCTGCCATTTATCTGTGCTTCTCAGTGATGTTTACTCTTCTTTTTCTATTTGGCGATATTTTTACTCTACCTATCTAATGATATTTTTGCCCTGTTTGTTACTATCCATTCATCAGTTGGAGGTTGACTGTGGCATAACTGGGGAAAGAAGACATCATTTTCAAGTGCAACATTAACTTTGTGTAATAAAAGAGAAATTACTTCACTAAGGATAATTACTCCGACTAATATTCTAGCCTCAACACCCATTGTATGGCTTCCAGTTTATGCACTCATGGACACAGGCCTGAGCTCTAAAGGACTGTACTTGTCCTGCCGCCACTTTAAAAAGTTCTAATTGTCAACTCTCCTAACTTTATCTGGGCATTCAAACATTGATTCTTAAAATGACAAATTACTGGCACAAATAAAAAAGATTAAATATGAAGACAAATTTGGGTTTTTTCCTTTCCAAAATATAGTCTATTTTTGCCTCTTTAATCTTATTACTAGCTGGGTAGGGACTTTCAGTTCACAGCCCATTCCCCTGAGGGGAAGTAAGAGAGGAGAATTCCTTTGGTGGTAGGAGGGGGCGTTAGAAAGTCGAAGGGAAGAAGGAGGATGGAAAGTATCCTATGAGTTAATTCATAACTGATTTTTGTAATGGGAGCTGTTGGGGTTCCTCCCTGCATCCTTTCCCGAGCCAGTGCCCCCATCCACGGATGATGTGAGTACTGGCTGCTTGTGACTCACTGACCCCTGCCCCCTCCTCTGAAGAAATGACATAGGCTGACCTGCAGCTGACCTACCACCACCCTGGGCTATAATCAGTGACTTACTGAGATGGAGGCCTGAATAACTGGCCCCCATTCCTAAGGTAAGTTTTTTTCCTTCAGTCCAGTTCTTTGTGTCCTAAAAAAACTTCTCTACAAAATAGTCACTGTGGTAATGGCCGTGCTATTTGTGAAATTGGTAAGAAATAGGCATTGTGTTTGCCTTAATTCACATAGAAAAAAAGGTTAATTTATTAATCTATCCATTTACCCCACATTCACTTAAGATGTACTCTCTACATAGCTCTATGCTATGTTGATCTCAACATTTATGGCTTAAAAACTTAATGGCTTAAAATAATGATAACCTTTATTTTTCTCATGAATCTGAAATTTGGGCAGAGGTGTCAAAGATAACTCATCTCTGCTCCACATGACATTAGTTGGAGCAGCTCAAAGGCTGGGAACATTCTCATCCTTTCAACGTGGCAGCTGATGCTGGCTGGTGGCTGAGCCCTCCACTGCGACTGAAACTACCACACATAGCCTTTCACCTGGCTGCTAGGTTTTCTTACAGCATGTTGGCTAGGTGCCCCAAGAGAACCAGGCAGAACTTGTATCACCACTATGACAACCTCAGAGTCTCATAGCATCCTTTCCACCATAGTCACTGGCCTATCCAGATTCAAAGAAAGAAACTGACCAGTGGAGGCATGTCCATGTCACACTGTAAAATGTCATTTGGAATGGGATATATATATATATAGATATAGATATAGATATAGATATAGATATAGATATAGATATGCAGCCAACTTTGGAAAATACAATCTTCAACAAAAATATAAGAGGTGCACCCAAAGCCAGTTGACCTTTATAGCCACTTTCATAGGGTGATGTGAGTATAAGCCAGAAAGCAAGAGTGGGAGTGAGCCCAGGGAAGTATGGTACCAGCATGCCCAGCCTTCCTAGGCTAGAGCAGAAGGCCAAAGGGATTGTCATTTTCATAACATCCTTGAGAACACAGTACCCACTGGCTGTGTACATCAGATGCTATCTTCTCTCCGCTTTTCCAATCATGGCAGAAACTGTTGTAGCCAGTTTTATGGTTGATTTTATGGTTGACTCCCTTTTTTTAGGTAAAGGAAAAATACCAGGTGAAATTAAATTTAATTAAGGATTCTTGAACAGATAGAAACAAGGAAAACGAAATTGAAAACCCTTGCAATATCTTATTATAGAGAAGCAATTGAAGTTTGCATTCCTTTAATGTCCAGGATTGCCAAAAGTAGTAATTTTTTTCATTATCCCTCATGTTTCTTTATTGAGCATATTTCTTTAAAGAAATCAGAGCCACAAGAAACAATTTGGTCTGTCCTATTAGTCCTGATATCTATGTAGTAGGCAGGGGGCAGAGAAAATAAATTACAAAGGGCGTGATCTTCAATGCCAGCAGAGCTTGGGTCCAAATCCTAGTTTTACTGTTTATTAACTTTATAACCCTGGACAAGTTGCTTAAACTCCTTGAGCCACATGCAGCAAATATTTATTGAGTGCCTATGCAAGCCAAGCAATGTTTTAGGTACTGAAGACAAAACAAACCAAACAAACAACATCAAAACACAAAGTCCCTGCCTTCACGGAGCATGCATTTTAGAGGGAGAATAAACAGAAAGCAGCTTATGTCAGTGGTGATAAGTGCTATGCAGAAAAAAATAATACAGGAGAGAAAGAACAAAGCATGAAGACAGTAGGGTAAAACTGGACCAGTAAGACCTCTCTTACGACAACCTGGAGGAAAGGAGGGAGACAGCCACATAGATGTCTGAGGAAAGAACATACCATAAAGAGGAAACAAATGCAAAGAGCCTGAGGTTCCATTGTGCTTGTCATGTTTAAGGAACAGTGACAAGAAACCCCAAGGAAGTCAAAGTGACAAAAGTAAGTAGAATGGAGGGGAAAGATGGAAGAGGAGATTGGGAAACAGAAATGTATACAGCCAGACCATGGAAGGCTTCATAGACCACAATAAGAATGGCAGGTTTACTGCAGAGTGTGGCAAGCCATTGGATGGCATTGGACAGAGAAGTGATATGATCAGACCTCAGTGTTTTTCATGAATCACTTTGGCCACTGGGTGGAGAGCAGGGAGTCAAGGGTGGAAGTAGGGATGCCAGTTAGGAGACTATTAAAGCAGTCCAAGTGAGAGATAGTTGTGGCTTGGATCAACAGGCAAGTAAGGAAATAAGAAATGGTTTGATCCTGGTTATATTCTGAATATAAGAGCCAAGTGAATGTGCTGATGGAACAGAAATAATAAAAGTATAGGAAGGCTGTTATGAGAATAAAACAAATAATGTGTGAAGTACCTTGCATACTGCCATATTCTCAGAGAATACGATTTGCCAGCCCACTTCTGCCCCACACTCCTACATTTCTTACAAGTAAAGCAAAATCCCTGAGAATTCACATGATATGTTGGAATGATAGGAGGGAAGAGAGGGGAGAGGAAGTTTCTGCTTTAGGGAGCGCAGACACAGCTGCCTTCCTTCCTCCCAGGTTGCCAAAATCCATTCCACCCTGGAGTGTCCTAGCTAAGAGGAAACTAGAAATCCTACACAGGTCAGCTAGAAAAATTGCAAGTGTTCTCTCTCTACCTCAGCCCTTTGCATATGCCACTTCCTCCCTCTCAAATCCTCCTTTGCTTTGGTTCTGCATCTGGGACCTGCTACTGATCCTGTAAGACTCAACTTGTAATTAGAGAGCAATTTTCAGGACTCCTACCCTCACCTTGTCCCTTTCCTTCTATGTCAGATACTGTCTCTGTCGCTTCCCCATCAAGCAGAAGCTTGCCATTACTTCATACTTTATGACATGGGGATGATGGCAGGATAGAAAATCCATCCACATTACTTTTTTTGTCTACAAAGACAATGTTGTTTCTTCGTTTGTTCTGTGACTGGTATGTTCTTCCTCACAAGCATCCCTCAGGTGAGTAAAATAAGAAAACTAAATTTAGTTTAAGCTGTGATTCTTGGATCTGATTCTAAATGTAAAGACTTGTTGAATTAAGCTAAATCCTCAGAGATCCTCAGAGTCTCTGCCATGTCTAAATCTACACTTTTGGTAGGGTCACCTCGCCTCTCCCTACAGGCAAGTGGCTGTCCCCATGGCAAGTCTCTCCTCTCAGCACACCTCCTCTCCCTTCCTGAGTTATGTTCATGCCACTGGAAAACCAAAGGTAACTCAGGGTTGCCAACTCCATCCCATCCACAGCTCTGGCCATTGGATTCCTTTATCCCCATTTCCATCTCCCTCCCTCCTTCCACATCTGCCAGAACTAGACAGAGTGGATTTTCCTCCCTGGTTTTTCCGGATTTGCAGTGACCTCCCATGCACAAAATTCTATGACCAACTCTCTTGAGATTTCTGAAGCTCTTCTCATAGGCTCTATCTCATCCCCCTGAGTGTATTATCAGGTGGGTGGGCTGTAGAGAAGGGAATCTAGTGTCCTTGAATTGACCTGGTGCCCTATGACTCTCTTCTGGCTTAGGCTGTGAAGAGGTAGGGCTAGGCTGTGCTCTAGAGTGTATTCCCTCAGGGGAGGTCAGTCCCACCCCAAGCATTCAGCCAGAAGCTGCTATGATGTCCCTGGCTGGTGTGACTAGCCTCTCTGTTTCTTCAAGAGCTGGAGGTACTATTCCTCCCTTGGACTCTCCCTGATGCCTCTCAGAGATACTCAAAGTCTCTGCCATGTCTAAGTCCATACTTGCTATAGGGTCATCTTCCCTCTCCCCACAGGCAAGTGGCTGTCCCCATGGTAAGTCCCTCCTCTTGGCACATCCCCTCTCCATTCCTGAGTTCTTTTCATGCCACTAAAGGAACTAAAGGTAATTCAGGGATGCCAATTCCATCCCCATTCACAGCTCTGGCCATTTGATTCCTCTAGCCCCCTTTCCATCTTCCTTCTTCTTCCCACATCTGCTATAACTAGAAAGAGCAAATTTTCCTCCCTGTCTCTTCCGGATTTCCTGTGACCTCCCATGCATAAAATTTTATGACCTAGTCCACCAGACCTACTTCTGCTATGTTAAATGGGAACTAAAATAATTTAGAACACTTTCTATCTCAACGAACACTGTACTTCAAGCCTGTGTCTGTCATCTAACATCACAATAATGCTGCATAACAAACAACTACAAAACCTTAGAGTACTCTAAATGAGCACTTATTTAGCTCATGTATCTGGATGTTGACTGGGGTCAGCTGACTGAGGCTAGATTCCATGGAGGTGGTTCAGCTGGGGTGATTCTGTCCATTTGTTTCTCTTCTCTCCCCTGTGACAAGCAAGCTAACCCAGGCACATCATTCTCAAGGTGGTGGTGGAATAAAGGAAGAAGCCCAAATGAGCAATGCTTTTCCTTGCTCATGATCCAGCAAGGCTGGTGGATCATGAAGTCAGGAGTTCGATGCCAACCTGGCCAAGATGGTGAAACCCTGTCTCTACTAAAAATACAAAAATTAGCAAAGGGTGGTGGTGGGTGCCTGTAATCCCAGCTACTCAGAAGGCTGAGGCAGGAGAATTGCTTGAAAGCCTCTACTGGCCTCAGGTCTGCTGATATTCCACTGGCTAAAGCAAGTCACATGGAGTAGTGTAATATGCTCCCCTCAAATTAAAGAGCACTTTAACTTGCATGTGTAAGGTTGTTTCTGATGAGGAAGTAAAAAGCAAGGACATGAACATGGACATCTGGAATATTGACTATTTTAGAATGACTCTTCTACAATCCCTATTTCCATACCTCCACGAGACTGATGATTATTTTGGACCAACTTGAATTATTATCCCTGTTATAGAATTAATCTATTAATCAGTTTCTCACCATTAAGTTGCAACCCCTCTTAAGGTCAGGGGCCATGTTTTATTTATCTTTGTAAGCCCTGAGTGCCTCGATATAGTATCTGTAATGGATAACATAGTTGCCTTCTGTTCATAGAGTCCACACTTCCCTGTTGCCTGCCAGTCATATGCTTTGGATGACTTTGAGCACACTTCCAATTTTAGGCATAGACACTATATTAGTTCATTTTCACACTGCTGATAAAGACATATCTGAAACTGGGAAGAAAAAGAGGTTTAATTGGACTTACAGTTCCCCACGGCTGGGGAGGCCTCAGAATCATGGCAGGAGGTGAAAGGCACTTTTTACTTGGTGGTAACAAGAGAAAATGAGGAAGATGCGAAAGCAGAAACACCTGATAAAACCATCAGATCTGGCGAGACTTGTTCACTACGACAAGAACAGTATGGGGGAAACTGCCCCCGTGATTCAAATTCTCTCCCACCGTGTCCCTCCCGAAACATGTGGGAATTATGGGAGTACAATTCAAAATGAGATTTGGGTGGGGACACAGAGTCAAACCATATGATTCTGCCCCTGACCCCTCCAAATCTCATGTCCTCACATTTCAAAACCAATCATGCCTTCCCAACAGTCCCCCAAAGTCTTAACTCATTTCAGCATTAACCCAAAAATCCACAGTCCGAAGTCTCACCAGAGACAAGGCAAATTTCCTCTGCCTATAAGCCTGTAAAATCAAAAGCAAGCTAGTTTCTTCCTAGATATAAAATGGGAGAAAATAGCCAAAACAAAGGGGTTATAGTGCCCATGCAAGTCCGAAATCCAGCAGGGCAGTCAAATCTTAATGCTTCAAAATGATCTCCTTTGACTCCATGTCTCATATCCAGGCCACTCTAATGGAATAGATGGGTTACCATGGTCTTGGGCAGCTCTGCCCCGTGGCTCTTCAGGGTACAGCCTCCCTCCTAGCTGCTTTGTGGACTGGTGCTGCATGTCTGCAGCTTTTCCAGGCACATGGTGCAAGCTGTCATTGGATCTACCATTCTGGGGTCTGGAGGACGGTGGCCCTCTTCTCACAGCACCACTAGGTTGTACCTCAGTAGGGACTCTGTGTGGGGGCTCTGACCCCACTTTTCCCTTTCTCACTGCCCTAGTGGAGGTTCTCCATGAGAGCCCCACCTCTGCAGCAACTATGCCTGGGCATCCAGGCATTTCCATACATCTTCTGAAATCTAGGCAGAGCTTCCCAAACCCCAATCCCTGACTTCTGTACACTCTCAGGCTCAACACCCACATAGAAGCTGCCAAGACTTGGGGTTTGCACCCTCTGAAGCCACAGCCCAAGCTCTACACTGGCCCCTTTCAACCACAGCTGGAGCTGCTGGGATGCAGGGCACCAAGTCCTTAGGTGGCACACAGCACAGGGACCCTGGGGCCGGCCCACAAAACCACTTTCCTCCTCAGCCTCTGGGCTTGTGATGGGAGGGGCTGCTGTGAAGACCTCTGACATGTCTTGGAGACATTTTCTCCATTGCCTTGGGGATTAAAATTGAGCTCCTCGTTACTTGTGCAAATTTCAGCAGCTGGCTTGAATTTCAACTCAGAAAATAATATTTTCTATTCTATTGCATTGTCAGGCTGCAAATTTTCTAAATTTTTATGCTCTGTTTCCCTTTTAAAACTGAATGCCTTTAACAGCACCAAAGTCACCTCTTGCATGCTTTGCTGCTTAGAAATTTCTTCCACCAGATACCCTAAATCATCTCTCTCAAGTTCAAAGTTTCACAAATCTCTAGGGCAGGGGCAAAATGCTACCAGTGTCTTTGCTAAAACATAACAAGAGTCACCATTGTTCCAGTTCCCAACAAGTTCATCATCTCCATCTGAGACCACCTCAGTCTGGACCTTATTGTTCATATCACTATTAGCATTTTTGTCAAAGCCATTCAGCAAGACTCTAGGAAGTTCCAAAGTTTCCCACATTTTCCTGTCTTCTCCTGAGCCCTCCAAACTATTCCAACCCTGCCTGTTACCCAGTTCCAAAGTTGCTTCCACATTTTCGAGTTTCTTTTCAGCAATGCCGCACTCTACTGGTACCAATTTACTGTATTAGTCCATTTTCATGCTGCTGATAAAATACCCAAGTCTGGGAGAAAAAGAGGTTTAATTGGGCTTACAGTTCCACGTGGCTGGGGAGGCCTCAGAATCATGGCGAGAGGTGAAAGGCACTTCTTACATGGTGGCAGTAAGAGAAAATGAGGAAGAAGCAAAAGTGGAAACCCCTGATAAACCCATCAGATCTCATGAGACTTATTAACTACCATGAGAACAGTATGGGGGAAACCGCTCCCATGATTCAAATGATCTCCTACTGTGTCCCTCTCAAAACACGTGGGAATTATGGATGTACAATTCAAGATAAGATTTGGGTGGGGACACAGAGCCAAACTATATCAGACATATCCCTCTATAAGTTTGTGTGAGAATATGTCAAGGGCAAAGATAATCAGTGAATGATATTCCCCCTGGACACAGAGTTCAGGGATGGTTTTTTCAAAGTGAAGCTCAGAATTCCTGTTAGCTTATACAAACTAACACCTAACTGCCTTGACATAAATGAGAAAATAGACTGGTCCACATAGCCCTGGTCCACTGGCAGCCAAATTGCTCCCATCAGGAAAGCCAGTCTAGCACAAAGCAGACCTGAGAGAATCACGGATGAAAGAAGATGGAGAAATAAATTGGGCCCTGCCTCTTAAATTTTCAGTTAAATACTTCACACTCCCATATCCCTACTCCTTGGCATTCTCTGTGCCCTTCATTCTGCTTAGTTTTTTCCATATCACTTATCACCTGAAATATTGCATATGTATTCATTGAGATGAACACATTAATTTGTTGTTTCTCTATCTTCACACACTAGAAGGCAAGCTCCTCGTGGCTACAGACTGTTTTATTTACTGTTCTATCCTCAGCATCCAGAACATGTCTGAAACATAAAATGTACTCAGTAAGAATTTGCCAAATAGATGAATGAATGAGTGGATAAATTAATGAATAAATTATTTAGGTCAATTTGAGTTTTCCACGAATTACCACTAGAAGACTCCTGATACACACTGTTCAATACACACTTGCTGAATAAGTGTGTATTGAATCCTGACACACACGGTTCAATACACACTTATTCAGCAAGTGTGTATTGAATAGTGTGTATCAGGATTCTTTTAGTGGTAATAAATGGAAAACTCAACCTAAATTGACCTAAACAATTTATGGATGGAATAATTGATGAGAGCATGAGACACAAGAGCTGTCTTCAAATATTGAAAGGCCATGCTGTAAAAAAATTAAAAAGAAGCATTAGATTCATTTAATTCATTCATTCATTCTGTGTCATTTCAGAAGTGGAAGTTGTATTAAGGCTCAATATAAAGAACAGTTTTCTAACAAGCTGTTCAAGATGGAATGTGTTGACACAGTAGGTAATGAGAATCCTGTCACTGGTGGTAAAACAGGTGAACCCAAGCTACTGATAGAAACTATAGAGAGTATTCTTGCAATAGTGACAGGCTAGATGCTGGATCATTTTCAATATTGATAATGTATAATTCTAGACTTCTTTCCTGGGCCTCCAGGATACACATGCATCTTAAAATGTGAACAGGTGAGAATGTCTCTTCATTATGTAGCTGTCATTTGCAAAGATTTTCTAGTCTTAGCTATGACATTTAGAGTCCTGTGACTTTGGGAAGGTCAGCTTGCCTCAGGGAACCTCAGTTTACTTATCTGCAAAAGGAGGGGATAGGAGTGAATAAATGAAATATTTCAAAATTATATTTGTGAGGACTCTTTGGCAGCTCGATGCTGTACTAAAAGCTTTATAGTAGCCTTGGTTTAATGTGATTTTAATAATTACAGAAATCTTTACACTGTAAGGGACACAGTACTATTAACCTCTTTCTACAAATCAAGAAACAAACACTCAAAAAAAAAACACTAAGTAGTTTTTCCCAGGTCACAACACAAATAACTTCTGAAACATGGAATCTGAATTATTAATCAGGACCCCAACTTGTTGATCTAGAGCTTTCAAGTCAATCAAGATTGAGAAAACTCCTGTACTCTATAATACCCAGGTAGGCTCTTCCATCTCTGAAGGTCTGGGATTACAATCTTCTCCCTCAGGCTGCATACTAAGGATTCAAAACTAAAATCAACACAGGGCAGCAAGAAAAGCAGCCTCATCCTGTACTGCTGGTTCCTCTGGGCTAAATATCTCCACATACCTGGATACCAAATCAATTCCCTAAAAGTTTGTGTTTCTCAAACATACCCTACCTCTGTCCCTTCAAGATTTCTTGACCATAAGTAGACACTCTGAGTCAGAATTTTCCAATTAGGGAATCAGGACCAATGCGGGTAAAAAGGATAATATTATTAGCATCTCCATTTTACAGATAGAAAAACTGAATTTTAATGAGACGTTATAACTTGTGCCAGGTCACTCACAGCTACTAAGTTCCAAGACATTTGAACTCAGCAGTATAGCTGAGTCTAAAAAGTCCATCCTCTTCTCTTTCTTTTTCTCAAATATTGTCCTGGAAGAGATATAAATAATAGTTCAATCCACTTTATTTATACTTTTAGAGAAATGTAACTTCTTCTCCTAATTTGAATTGTTGGAAGAATTATTAGAGGTATTACTTATCCACCTTCTCTCTAATGAATGGCCAGATAAATTATTGTGCAGAAACATTGTAAAGTTTCCTATTCCGACCTTTGATTAATGATCAGTTAGCTACTGCCACAGTAATGCTGTGTAACAGAACACCCCCAAACTCAGGAGCTTAAGACAATGATCATTTACTGTCATGGGTATAGGGGCCAGTTGCAGGCAGCTTGGCTTCAAACCACTGCATCTGACAGTTGCCTGACATAGGCTGGGTTCAGCCAGGTACCTCTACTTCAAGCTGCAAGGCTATACTCCATGTGTCTCTCATTTTCCTTGAACCGCCTAGGCAGAGTATGTTCTTCTCACAGTCACAGGTTTAAGAGAGCAAGTCAAACTACCCAGATGTTTTTTAAGTCTCTACTCGATATATCAAGTCTACTAACATTCCACCAACCAAAGACTATTCTATCACCAAACACAAAGTCAGGGGATAGCAAAGTACACTCCACCCATCAAGGTGGCATGGTACACTAGTTTGCTAGGGCTGCCATAATGAAATACCACAGAGTGGTTGGCTTAAACAAAAAATATGTATTTGCTCACTCTTGTAGAGGCTGGAGACTGGAAGTCCAAGTTCAAGGTATCAGCAGGTTTAGTTTCCCCTGAGGCCTGTCTTCTTGGATTGTAGATGGCCACCTTCTTGTTGTGTCCTCAAAGGGTTTTCAATCTATGCATGTGAATTCCGAGTGTCTCTTCCTCTTTTTATGAGGATACCATCATATTTGATTAATGCCCCACCTTTATGACCTCTTTAATATTAATTGCCTTTTTAAAGGCTGACAGTCACATTGAGGGTTAGGGCTTCCACATGTTAGTTTGTGCAGAACACAATTCAGTTCATAACATGGGGTTAGTAAATTTGAACAATAATGCTTGATCTCATTTTAAGTTTTCTACAGCTTGGAGTCTGACTAACCACAGTTTCAAATTCTGACTTCACCACTTCATAGCTGTGCAACCTTAAAAAGACTATGTGTATTGCCCTACTTGTAAAACTGGAATAATAATAGTAATTAACTCATGCATTTGTTAAAAGTTAAACAATTTATAAAAAGCATGTAGCACAGGATTTTGCACAAAGTAACTGCTCAAGAAATGGTGCTTGTGTTATGGCTCTTCATAGTTAAGAAGCTTTCACTTTATTCAGGGAGATTGCACGGGCTGTAGCCTCAGTCACATGCCTTCATTCTCAGGACCTGGATTCTCTCCTGTAGCAAATTCTATTCCCCCAAATCCATCTTCCTTCAATCTGTTTCTGCAATATGGTGATGCTTTAAAAAAAATCCACTTAACATTTCTCTGCCAATAAATTAGAGACCAGAAAGAAAGAAGATGGTACACACTTGTCTTTCTAGATATTTTGCAGATGGCTTGTTTGAAGCCATGTCATAGCCGCTGAGGCCTCAGCTAAGTGCTGGACTCTTCACAGCTATGTGAGAAGCCTGTGGGCTCAGAGGACAGTGCATGCATTAAGTATTGTCCTTTGGGAGATTCTCTTGGGAGTTCTTTTGGGATTAAGGATGTATGATCCAAATAATTTTTTTGATAACTTTACAGTCACTTTTCAGGATCAGGTTTGTTATTTCACAAGCTGCAGGCCACTGAGAAATCAGTAAAACATCTACTTCCCATATCCTCTTAATGCCTTCTCAAAAGAACTGATTACCTGCCCTCCCAGGATCAATTCCTTCAAAAATTAATTATTGTGTACAGTGGTCTTTAAACTCTCAAATCCCACCCCAAATTCAGCAAGCAGTTGGGCTGGGAAGCACAGATAAGGGTGCCAACATGTATTTCTTCTCTATATACCAACTTATTTAATGATCACAATCTGCCCAAAAAGTAGTTACTGTTTTCCACTTTTTACCGAAAACAAGATGTTAAAATTAAGTTTTGAGGAAGGCACCAAGACGCAACAGGTGTACATGCCGAAGTTAGATGCCAGACAAAATGCTGGATATAAAAGGAAATGTTTGAGAACTATTTCCACATGGATTGGCTTCTATAGGCAAATCACAGATATGAAAAAAGGTTAGAATATGGAAAAAGAACATTTCCTTTGAAATATATCTACAGAGAAATGATATTCAAAATGCAGCCTCCAGACTAGCAGCATTAATAATTTAGCAACTTATTAGAAATGTAAATTATCAGACCCCACAGCAGACCCACTGAATCAGAAACTCTGGGAGTGAGGCCCAGTAATTTCTGTTTTAATAAGCCTTCAGGTGATTCTGATGCAGGCCAGAGTTTGAGAACCACTGATCTAGAAAAAGCTATGTTCTGACTACCTCCTTTCCCCAACCAAGAAACATCCCTAGACTGCCAAGAGTAACCATTTGAGACCATCTGGGAAACCAGGGTCAATTCAACAAGTGGCCTCCCTCACTGCCAGCCATTTTCCAAGACTGGTTTACTCTAGTCATTTGTGGGGCATTATTCACGAAGCCAGGGGATTTAGAAAAGACAGAAATAAAACCAGGCTGTCTATGAGAAGACTTCCAAGTTTTCTAAAGACGTGTGGACTGGTGAAAAGTCAAAACCCTAACCCATCCTCTCTTCATTTCTGTGCCCTCATAGAGCTTGCCACACTGACTTTTGCTAATCCCTGGAAGAACAAAAGATGAATCAGGGACTCCTGGGGAAGTTCCTCAAAGTCCCTACAGGGAACAGAGAGAATTGGCAGACCAGTTTCCCTTACTCACTCAAGCATGCAGACTCAAGTTCAGTGATGAGGAAGGTCTTTGTATGAATCACTCAGGAAGGCTAATATGTGTCTCCTGGATAGTCAGTGTACTGAAATATGACCCTTGTCCTCTAAATAGTGGAGGACAGGGAACACAACCTGGCAAGTCGATTTAGTGCTTTCTGAAGTTCAGTGCATTAGTAAAGGTGTGCATTTGCAGGTTTTGTCAGTGCAAAGGATATGTATTTTCCAGGCACCCAACAATAGTGGTATGCATAAAACAGGCAGCACAGGCTCCTCTTAGGCACTGTATTAGTTTTCCAATGCTGTGTAACAAAGTATCACAAACTTAGTGCTTTAAAATGCCATTCATTTACTAGCTTACATTTCTGCAGGTCAGAAGTCCAGGCACAGCATAACTCAGTTTTCTGTTCAGGGCCTTAAGGAGCTATAATCAAGGTACCAGCTGAGCTGCATTCCTTTCCAGAGGCCCCAGGGAAGAATCTGCTCCCAAGCTCATTCAGGTTGTTGGCCAAATTCAGTTACTTGCTGCTCTAGAATGAAAGTCCTTGTTTCCTTGCTAGCTATCAGCTGGGGCTGCTCTTAGCTCCTAAATGCCACCCACATTACTTACCACATGGCCTCATCCATCTTAAAAACCAGCAACAGAAAATCCCTCTCACACTTCAAATATATGACTTCCTCTGTCTCTGACCTCTAGGCCCAGATTTAAAGGGTTTGTGTGATTAGATGCAGCTAACTTGAATATTCTCCCTTTTGTTTAACTCAAAGTCAAGTGATTGCAAAAGTAACCTATACTTAAGTACAAAGTCAACTAAAGAATTAACATTAGTTGCATGTGCAGATCTTTTTTTCCCATGTAGTGTAACAATCACAGAAGTCATATCTCATCATAGTCTAAGATTCCACTCACTTTCAAGGGGAGGGAATTATACAAAGGTAAAGTTTATTTATGGTCATTTTGGGATTCTGCCTACCATAGACCATTTTTTAAAACTAGAGAGGTAAGTGGGCCCCAGCAGGTAGGAGATAAAAGTGGATAACAGCTAGGGATCCTCCTTGGAGGTTAAGGATTTTGCAAAAAAGGATCTAAGCAAAAGGAATTCCCAAATAGCTCATGAAAGTGTCCTTTGAGAGAGAAATACAAGGGGGCTCTAAACTCTGCCAGACCTCAAAAGCAAGGAGCCAGAGAAGGAGAACACCAGTTGTCAGATGCATAAGAACTTTCTTGTATCCTCTTTTGCCCTCCACGCTCTATAAATTTTCACCCTGGCAAGGGCAAAACCTCTGCTAGCCAACAAGGGAAAGGAGTAAATGCTGGGACAAGAAAGAAATGTCACGTCATCACACTCTCTTCCCTGAAGGCAGGTGGCCATGAAATGTAGGTCTTCCCCAGGCAGGGGAAGTCTTATATTTGAATGAAGATTAAAGTCATGATTAACGTCTGGGCTGGACTTGTTGTTCCAGAATTACTAGTGTGTTTTATTGTTCATTTCGTATTCCTTTATTTAAAGTAGACACAGGTTTTCTGAGAGTGAACAGAAAAGCCATGGAGACTCCTGAGCTTTTGTATAACGGCATAGAAAAGCCCTTCTCCAATAAAAAAAAAAAAAAAAGTTCAAAAGAACAGTATAAGACGAGGAGGAGGAGGCAGAAAAACTGCTGCACCTTGATTATACCCCAAGCATTATGGTTATTCCACATACTAATTACATACATGTGAGACAACTGAGACGATTAAAAAGTGAATTGACTTGCCCAAGATACACAACCAGTGAGCTAATGAGTGACTGAGCTGGGATTGGAAATCGAGTCTTCCTAACTCTATAATGTATTCCTTTATTATCATGCCAAGTAGGAATTTTGACAGCAGGCACATTATGAATCTGAAGGACAGAAAGCCACAGAGGAGCTGCACAGAGATACGAGCCCACGCCCACTATGAGTAGGTATTTACCATCTCTTTTGTCTCCACCTGGCTTCTTTTCAAGCTGCAGAATCCAACATGATCTTCACTGTAGTGTCTCAGTACCTTTAAGAAGCCTTAATTAACTGTTCTTCCTAGATGAAACTCCAGACATTCAGACTTTCTAAAAACAGGAGGTAAGGACTCTGTTCTGAGAATAATCTAGTACCTCCCGGATAATCAATCAGTGTGATCTATTCATGACCACAGAATTTAGTTCACTTGAGATAATTCTTTCTCAGTCTTAGTGGGAAGAAAAATATGCAACAGTCTCAAATTTTTGTCTTCCAACCAGAATAACAGTAGAAGTTTTCTGGGGTGACCATACCCCAGTGTAGTGAGAGAGGAAGGAGCGCTCTCACTGAAAGAGAAAGTGCACTCAATGTGGTTTGTGTCTTCTCTTGTCAAAGCAGCAAATTGCTTCAAAAGAGGAAACAATGACAGAGAACAAAAATCACATGTACCAGCTCATGCCAGCAGGAACTGAGGAGCTGGGACACGCATAGGACACCGGGCAGTTAAACGAGGCTCAATAAGGAAACTGAGAAATGAGGTCACAGAGCACAGTAGAGTAGAAACAACAAGGACAGAGAGCTAGACAGCCTGTGATGTGTGCAAATGTGGGATTCTAGACATGCTTAACCAGCCCGTGTGAATCTCTTTCCCTCATCTGATAAACAGGCATGCAGCTCCCTAGAATTGCTCTAGAGGATGAAATGAAATAACATTTATACAACTGGTACTTAGTTGACTTGACTCTTGGTTCTTGCCACAACCAATACTATATGTTTTGGCCATTGACCTAGGAAATTGAAATTTTTAGAGAAGTCTTCGAGATTTATATAAATAATATAGTTCAAATCAGTTATGATATTTGTAATCAATATGGACGTCCACACAGCCTGTGCTCCTCCATTCACCAATTCCTTAGTTCTATCTGGTAGAGTCCATCACAAACATTTGTCATGAGGCTGGTGGTCAGAGCAGACTCTCAGAGGGAAGATGGACCTGACTATTCCCTCCCTTTTCAGAATCAGAGATGGAGTGAATGAAGAAACATAAAGCAGGAATAACTGTATTCTAACCTTGAACATGAAATCTGAGTGCTCTGCTAATATATTTCCACAGCACAAAAGAAGGGAAAAGAGAACTATAGCAGAAAACACAAGGTACAAACAGGCAGCCAATCTTCAGTGGCTGACTTTGCAACCCACCCGAGCTGATAAAGCTGCAGCCACGTAGGAATTCTCTTATCTGATTGTCAGCCAAGATGAGAATGTGGCACTGGGCCTTGAAAACTTTAGCTGTGCAAGAACTTGAAATGCCCTTACTTGAAATTTCATGAGAAATGTCTTCACTTGCCTTTCTTAGTTATTGTACTTTTGCTTGGTGTTAAGAATGCCTAGATAACTAGTCAACATCCTCATCCACAAGGAACTCACAAATAACAGGAAAAACAGATATCATATTAATCAAGGTAATTAATGCCATCTGCCCAACATACCCAACATTTTAGTGGCTTAATACATTACAAGTTTATTTCTTGCTTACATCATGTCCAAGTGTGGGTTGAGTGGCCTTCCTTCATCCTGTAGTTACACAATCTGAGGCATAAGACCTTCAAGATCAAAAAGGATGGCTGGTAGATGGCAGGAGGATCACGTGGGATGATTTCAAAAGTCGAGCTCGCAATTGGTACACATCACTTCTGCCCATACCTCACTGGCTAGAACTCAGTCATACGGAGCCGACCTAATGGCAAAGGGGTCTGGGAAATATAGAGGAACACACAACACACTGTTGCTGAGTCTTAACAGTTTCTGCCATGGAAAAACAAATTTATAATGGCAATGCAATGAGTTAAGTGCAAATATGGCATAGGTTTGTGATGACACAATGAAGGGAGTAGTAAATTCTGCTTGGGCGGATCTAAAAAGGTTGCATGGGAAAGAAGACACATGATATGAGCCCTAGAAAAAGAACAAGAGCAAGATAATTGTGGGAAAGAAGAGGGGCATTTTAAGGCAGAGGCATGGATGCATGGATTAGTGTGGCAAGTTTAGGAACTGTAAAAAAATGGGATGCCTGGAAAAGAGTGTGGATAAGAAATGCATGGAGTAGAGACTGGAGCTCTGAGTGAGAACTAATCCTGAGGTTAGGAGGAAAATTTCAGAGACACAGTAAATGCATCCTTGAACCTAGGGTTCTTACCAGGCATCAGGAGAAAGTCTGGACTCCAGGTATGATCAGATATGTGAATTGAGTCCTTGCAGACCTTCAGCCAATAAGCAAGTGAAGCCATCTTCACAGGGTTAACAAGAATTATGAACAGAAATATGGTTATAATTAAACATCAATCATGCTGCACTTGGCCCACTTCCTTGCCAAAATCACATAGCACTAGATAGTGACAATTTGCATCCCCATTGCTGCTGTAGACAAGATCTCTGACAGAATTATAAGGCTTTTGTTTAATCATCACTTAAGATGTCTTTGAGATCCCAAATTCCAGTGGAATGGCTGAAGCCAATCAGTTGAAAGACCCCCACAGAGGAATCAAATCAGAATAAAAATATAGTTTCTTCATCTCCCTGTCCCATGACTTTACCCTGCGCTCTTCAACCAGTCAACATTCTCTACAATTCAGTCCACTCCAAAATCCTTAAAAAACCCTAACCTCAGGGAGAGGGATTTGAGCGTTCCCCCCATCTCCTCATTTGGTGGCCCTATGACTAAACCTTTCTCTGCTGAAACACAGTGTCTCAATTCGTTGACTTACTGTGTGCATCAGGTAATGAACCTATTACAGTTACATAAGGCCTCCTATGTTTCCCTCTTCTGCTACAAAAAGGCAGCATTGTAACAATGATGACTGTAGGCTGCTTTAAGTAGCAATACCAGGCTTCTTTCTTGGGTTTGCAACACCATGCAGAAGGAAGGTAAGTTTGAGCATCAGACAGACCTGGATTCAAATGCTTTTCTGAAGTTACTCTCTAAGCCACATTTTTTCTAGAATGATAATAACAATGACTGCTATGGAAAAATAGCATGTAGAAGAAGTGAAATGCTGTTGTAGAGCCACAAGAATGGCATCCGATGGAGTGGACCTTCCAAATGTATTATTAGCACTTCCCACTCTCTGCCACATCCGCTTTTCTCTCCCTGTTTCTAATGCAGTTTTTGCTCATACAGTTGATGGACTTAGATTGCTCACAGGGAGCTCTTCCTTTTCACAGAGGTGTCTTTGGGCTGTGTGAGTTGAAGTAAAGCTGTTTACTGCCTTAACCCCATGCTCCAACACACCCACTGGGTAAAGTTCTTAGATGTTCCTGGAATCAGGCCGCCTCTTAGTCTCTCCTTGAAGCCTGCCTGACATTGGAGTCTAGAAGTCTTCTTAGATCCATTATCTCATTACATATTGACAATCACCCTCTGCAACAGACAGCATCATTCCCATTTTACAAATGAGGAAAACCACAAAGGGATTTGGCAAACAAGGCCAAATGTATTCCATTTCCTTTAATCCAATTGCCTGATACTCTCCCTGGTATAAAAAAATGACCACTCTTTATTCCTGCCTTAAAAAACAGTAAGAAAAGATGGAGATGCTTTGCCAGGAAATGAGATGGCTCTAAAATCAAAACTTGTCAGACTAATTTCCCCAGTAAAGCACTAAGTAATAAACCTAACTCTAGAGATAAAACACAGAAGGCACAGCTAACGTTGTTTTTAACATATGCTAAACTGTAATAAACTGATCACCAAGTAAAATAGGAGGGCCCTAGTGTGAGTATGTTAAAAGAATGACCCTCCTCCTTTTTGGCTCTATTATTTTACTGAGAAATCACAAAATCCATATATAAGATGTACAAACAAATATACACCTACACCTTTATATGTAAATGAATGTAAACATATACGTTCACACACTCATATACCCTAATTAACACAAACCAGCCTATATATACATTTTTTTCTTTTTCACTTTATTCTGACATAGGTGACCATAGTATAAAAATGGGAAAAAGGACACTTTGGATAATCTGACCCTCCCTCCATCCATCGAAAGGAGTAAACAAAATTGAAAAAGTAAAATGAAGCTTAGAGGGTACAGCATTTCACGGCCAACACCCCTGATTCAAGTAGCTTCATGATGTGTCTTTTCCCTTCTATTGGCTCCCATAGCAGAAAGTATCAGGGCCCATCCAGGGCCTTTCTTGACACCTTGAGGTCACCCACAGTCTGTTTCCATATGCACACTCTCGTGTCCTGGGCATATGCTCAGTCTGGGCTCAGGACAGGCCAGAAGTGCCAAGGAGGTAAGGTCCTGGGGGCCACTCTCAATGCTGAGCTGTGATAGGAGCTAGTGAGTAAATGTCCCAGCTTCCTCACCCCTTACAGGGACAGAATCTGAAATGTGCTCTAAACATCCCCTTATAAGGTCCCCATCAGGATTGACACCTGTTGCCCATGGCAGTGACCTGCTTACCAATGCACCTTTATTGGCCTTCCCCACCCACCCTGTCCCACTTACCCACACTCTTACTGTGCTGCCTGAGATCATTGCCCAAATAAATGACTTACCCAGGTCCCTATCTCAGGATGTGCTTTTAGGGCACTAAAACTACAAAAGTTTCCTAATTCCAAAGCCTCTAAACCAGGTCTCCAACCCCTGATATCAGCATGTCTCCCACTAAATTCCCTGAATCTTGACATATTTTCCAGATAGTTCCCAAGGGATGGTCCCTGCTCTGTGCTTTGATAATTTACATTTTGTCTCCCCTGCTAGTCTGTGGCAGGGATTCTGTCATTTACCAAGTGCAGTGCTGGAACAAGGCAGGTGTTCCATAAATGACTAATGAATCATCATGTCCTCTCTCTCTGAAAAGCACACGCCCATCTCTAACACTTCTGGCCTGACTCTGCAGCCCCGGAGTCAGTCTTGCGGAGTTGCTTAGAGGCTTGCAGAGGTGTCTGGCTTGAGATCCAAGAGCACCACGGGAAGCCCATCAGTCAGCTCTGGTAATATGCCTTACTATAACTGCAGACACATAGATGGGCAAATGGACAGGTCCCTGGCCACTTGTGCTCTGTGCTGGCATTATGTGTGCCTAAGGGGGCTTGCCTTGTTCTAGAGCAAAGAGAGTGGTGGCAGATCACTCCCGCCACCCACATCACTCCCACCAATTCCCAGCAGCTCCTCTCGTACCTCCCTGTAATGTCCCTATTTCTAAAGAACACATTCTTAGCTCCTCAGGATGAGGCTCTCTTGAAGCTGGACTCTCTCAAACAAAGCCACCCTACATGTTCTGCCAGCAGATCCAGTGAGCAGGAAAAGTCTCATGGATATCCCAGAGGGAGTTTCACCAGCCAGAGAGGGATGAAAATCCCGCGGCTACTCAACCTCAGTGTGAGTCCTCCCCTGCTTTGCCCAAGTTGCTCTTCAAGCTCATCCTCTGATACCCATGACCTTCCCCAAGCCTGAGCTCCCACAGAAAAGCTGGCACCATACACTGTATGGTAATGTCTTCCCTTCTGGACTTCTTGAGAACAGGAAGAGTTTCTGCATTCTTGTCCCCACTGCCTATCACAATGCCAGTTACACATAAGGCATTTTATATGTGTGTTGAGGACAAAAGTAAGCAGAGCTTTCCACACCAGGCAGAAACAGGCCTTAAAAATGTATATATCCCTTGGAGAGGGAACACAGTAATACACATTCATTCAGAACACTGAGACTTTGATGTGTAAAGGGGGATCTTAGAAGAGGAGAAAAGGTTTAGAAAGGAGAAACTTGAGGACAACAGAGGCATGCTTTGCTTAATTCACACAGAGAATGGATGGGAAGGATGATGCCGAGAAGGGAAGAGGATACCATCCCCTCTCCGTGCAGCATTTCTTTCGATATTTTAAAAAGAGCAAGAACTCTGAAGATAGAATTTGATTTGCAGCCTAGCTTTTCTGAGATTGTTCATGAAGGACTATGAAAATGCCAAAACACAGTAGCAGAGGAGTCTCGGGAAATGAGCTCAGGCCTGTCAGCATTTCTGATTGTTAACCAGTCACACTTTGAACTTTATTTCAAGCCTGTTTGAGGCCAGTGGAGAAATGAACAGGCCATAGCTACACCAATTACTTTCCAGATGAAGCTTCAACAGTGTGGAGGGAGGTAGTTTCTATTTGTTGACTCAACCTAGAAAATGGTTTAGAAAATTTCCTGGCAGGTATTAGCAGGAACCTGATCAAGGAATAACTCTAGGTAGGGATTTTTTAAATGAAATTCAGAGTAAACACTATAAAGAAAGTCAGCGTCGCAGTGAGAGAGGGATGCTGGCATTCCAACACACCTGGTGGAGACTGAACCTGGCGAGCAGCTCACAAAGCTGGCTCTCAGACATTTGAGACCCTCACCACAGATTTGGCAGTGCTGGAGAAGATGCATTCAAGCCCTGGCCTGGGTGTCATGGAAACCAAGTTTCATATGCACGCTCATCCAAGGTCTCCTAATTTACTGTCTAAAGCAAGCTTCCTCACCATTCTCCATCTGTTTCCATTTCTACATTTCAAAGTTGGAGATAATCCTCTTTAAAAAAAAAAGTGGAGAAAGTGAGTGCTTATAGAATACCCACTATGTGCCAGGCTCATACTAGGTGTTATACATGAATTACTCCATGAATCTTCACAACAGCCCAAAGTAGTTAGGTAGGGTGAGGTAATGTATAGCAGTCAGAATTCAGGTTTATATTTCAGAATTCTCTTAAAAACCACTTTGTTTTAGAGAAATGGATTAATACAGAGAGTATTAAATACAATGACTAAAGACTGAAGGCTGGTGAGAACTTCTGCTAGCTTTGAAGAAATTAGAAAATATTCGAACCACAGGAAGCCCCTGCCAATGATCTCATCTGCATGTTACACTGAAGTAGGGTTTCACAGAAGTTCACCTGGAAGATACTGTGAATTTCATGTTCATTACATGTCTACATGGCTATTCTCCAAAACAAGAGAGCAACAAATGCTTCTCCTCTTCTGTCTTAAAGGGCCGCTACCTACATGTCCCACATTGGAAAAACTAAACCAGAACCCTGTTGACCAGGGGTCCTGGAAAATGTAGTTTTCAGAATTTTAGCCCCTAAAAAACAAGAAAGAGCTTAGAATCAACAGTCAATATCCAGCATTGAGGAATACTATTGTGTTTATCTTATTACTGAGGCAACTAAAATTTCAAGAAGTTAAATAACTTTTCTCAAGTTCTTTCTGCTAGTTTGTGATGGAGATGGAATATTATTATAATAAACCTGGGTGTTTCTCCCTCCAAAACCTAGGAGAAATAATGGAATTTTGATTCATGCAGAGGCACAAATTTGTTCAATTGCATCCAGAGAGGATATTTCTGTGTTTGCGTTGCTGCCTATCCACTAACCCTGTCAGCATGAAGGAGATAAAAAAGGCAGGTTTCCCCATAAACCATGCAAGAGTCTATGTGATATTTGTCCATAATAATTAGGAAGAGTATGAGGGCAATAATATTAATGCCTGAGAAAAAAACTTCAAGTGCAACCAGGGGAATGCAAGTTAAAACCACAATGAGACACTGTGTCACATCTACCAGATTAGCAAACATGAAGTGCTAGCAAGGACATAGAGCCACACCAACTCTCTGCCACTGCTGGTAGACATAATAGATTGTTACAACCATGTTGGAAAACAATTTTCCATTACCTCTTTTTGAGACAGGGTCTCACCTAATCACCCAGTTTAAAGTGCAGTGGCTGAATCTAGGTTCACTGCAGCCTCCACCATCAGGCTCAAGAGATCCTCTCACCTCAGCCTCCTGAGTAGCTGGGACTACAGGCATGTACCACCATGCTCTGCTAATGTTTTGTATTTCTGTAGATATGAGGTTTTTCTATGTTTCCCAAGCTGGTCTTGAACCCCTGAACTTAAGTCATCAGCCCACATCAGCCTCCTAAAATGCTGGAATTACAGGTGTGAGCCACCGCACCCAGTTTTCCATTACCTCTTGAAGTTAAATGCATTTACAGACTATGAGCGAGGAATTTCACTCATACGAATATATCCTAGAGAAATTCTGGTACCTGTACGCCATAAGATGAAATACATACATAAATGTTTATAGTAGCATTATCCATAATAGATTAAAAACTTAAAGCAGACCTAATGGCCATTAACAGGATGAATAAATAAATAGAGTATATTCATACAATGGAATATTG
The DNA here is from genome assembly GCF_000001405.40 of Homo sapiens. Classification (NCBI taxonomy): domain Eukaryota; kingdom Metazoa; phylum Chordata; class Mammalia; order Primates; family Hominidae; genus Homo; species Homo sapiens. Next base: position 34,354,335 of record NC_000003.12, on the reverse strand, counting down.
TAAAGCAATAGAAATACATGAAGTACAATGAGATGGAACAAGATGTATGGACTTAAAAGGTTTAATGCTGAGGAAATAGTCTCTATTCCATTCATATAAAAGATAAAATACAGACAATACCAAATAATATACTGTTTAGACTCCATACATATGTCACAAAACTATAAAGAAAAGCAAGGCAAATATTAATTAAATATGAAAAATAATGAGTTATTTTAGGGGGAGACAGAATGGAGTAGAACTAGGGAGGGACACTTGGAGGAACCTTCTATGGTCTTAATAATAATCTAAGTGGGATGGTGAATTCAAGGGTGTTTATTATTATTCCTTACATTATAAATATGTGTACTCTTTAATATGTATATTTGTACACACATTTCTTTGTATATTTCATATGCAAAGAAAGTTAACGTCATAGTGGAGATTTTCTGTCAGCCTCTGCCTTTCTCCAGCCCCACTCAATTGCAGTTTGGTGCCGGGGTAGTGGATGTACAGCCTGTCCATCCCATTCTGGGCTTTCAAATTCAGCCCACTCTGAGACGATATAAGGTCTCCTGTGGTATATGAACTCCATCCCCAGAATTCCTCCTGACCATCTCTCACTTGACAGCTTTACAGTATGAATAAATCACATTGATTAAGAACATGAATTTTAAAATCTGTGTTTGGTTCCCAGCCCTGTCAATAAACAGTGTTGTGACCTTGGGATCATCATATAACCTCCATGTTTCTCAGCCAGTCAAAAAGTACTTTTCTCCTGGGATTGTTGTTATGAAGGTGCAATGATTTAATCTACATAAAATACTTAGAAGATTGACTGGCATACGGTGACTATAATTTAATTGTCAGGTTTTACTATTACTTCTTACTTTTTCTCTTGACAGATTTGTTGATCACCCCATCTTTCTTGCTTGACTCCACATCTCAGTAATTACTATGTACTTGGTCCCATTCCTAAGAACAGGGATCAGCAAACTATGGCCTGCAGGTCAAATTCAGCCCACTATCTGTTTCTGTAAATAAATTTTTATTGAAACACAGCTATGTGCATTCATTAATATATTGTCTGTGACCACTTTCATGTTACAAAAGCAGAGCTGAGTGGTTGTAACAGACTATGATCTGCAAAGACTATCTGGCCATTTACAGAAAATGTCTGCTGACTCCTCCTTAGAATATGGTTGAACTCTGCTCTCCTGGCTTTGATCTTGCCCATCTCCCATAACCTTTCTGCTGCAGACAGGATTCCACATATCTGTACTCCAACCTCAGGCACAGTGACAAATGAAGCCAACATAACTTATGTTCTTGGGCTATAGGGACCATGAAATCAAGTCCACTCATTTTTGGCCATTTCTCATCATTGATAGAAGGGGTTAGACACATCGAGTACCCAAGGCCACTCCTGAGCAAGGCAATGGCATGTGATAGCCGACTCTGGCATAAAAGGCTCACTACCTCCTACTAGAAATTTCCAACAGCATAGCATGTGATTACCTCACCTTGAAATAGAATATGTAGAAACATAATAAATATGCCAGGTTACATATTTATAAACACGTACAAAGATAAGCATTTACTGTCACCATGACCTGGCCATTAAAATGTTTTAACTCCTGAATATTACATCCCCCTAAGTAAGATAAAGCCATTAAAGCAATAATTGTGAAGTCATATGATCCTCTCAATGGGTCTCAGGAGGAAACAAGTCAATATAAAATAGGTGTCTATTTTTTTTAATGTAATCCCTATTCTGCTGACTTTGTCCCTATGACCTCAGCCACCAAAGATAACACACCTACTTCACAATTCTAAATGAGAAGTCCTCTAATAAGGGTGAAGGGTGACAAAAAGACAAAATCTAAAAAAGGAAACCACAAAGACTGGAAAGACAAGGAGTTTCAGCAAATCACCCATTCCCACCCAGGGAAAGAAAAAAACAGAAGTGCTCTCCTTTGTGTGCTATTTTGGTCACATGTGATTAATAGCCTGTCACACTGTCAGGAGAACCCAAACTCGATCAAATCGACACATGGCAGCTCTGTGCACTAAGGTGGGGCACATTTCTGCACAAAATGTGCCAGAGGGATGCACTGTGTATGTGTATATATATATAGAACACATACCTGCCACTTGCATCCCTTGATCCTGAAATACTGCTGAAATTCCTCTCCCTACACATACTCCCAGAGCGTTGTGTGTGTGTGTGTGAGTGTGTGTGCACATTTGCCCATTTCATTCAGCAAGCAGCTGTGAAAGCTGTTATACTGCCTACATAGCATCAGAAAAGGATCTGGTAAGTGTTTAATGAGGGGGAGGTGTGATAAAAGGGATAAGGCAGTTAAATTGGGTAACTTAGAAAAGAATGAGATAAGATAATGAATGTGTTGCCATGGAAACCAGGTCATAGGCGTAATCTAATACTGCTCTCTATCTGTAACATTCTATATTCTGAGAAATGGGCAAATCCTATTTTTTTTACTTATGACTATTATCTTTAGAGGGATATTAATAGTCTAGTCAGTGTCTTACTTCCCCACTCATTAGTGAAGCAATACATAAGTGAGATACAAACATGCCCTCTAGACTAGAAGAATGCAAAAACCCTTTGTGAATCCTAAAAGGACTCGCTATGATTTATTTTTGTTCCTTTTTAAATTGACTGTCACATTTCTCTTTACTTCCCATAAACATCCTATCATCCAAGCTTGCTCTTTACTAAAATATGCACAGGAGAATGCCCAATAAATTGATACATTTCTGTAAAATTTGGCTCCAAAACCAAATGCACCCCAACTGTCTGTATCAAAAGAGCCCTTCAAGCAATCATCCTGGAAGTTCTTGGGCTGGCTGATTCCCCAGGGTGAATATATTTATAACTCCTCCTTTGGCACATGGGAATTAAGGTGACTTTAAAATGCATGTTAAAATACTAAAACATAAATAAAAATGAAAATTTAGGACCCAAAAATGAAAATTTAGGACCCAAGAATGTAAATCTAAATGAAAGATCAGCATGGGGGCAAGGATGGTGCAATACATATTCACAGCCCTTAATGTCCTATGTGTGCTAGTTGAACTAATGTTTTGAGTGTGTCTTCTGGTGGTCAAAGCAAAAAAGAAAGCATGAAATAATAAATAAATGAGTAAACTAAAACATCCCTCAAAATAAGCCAAGCTTTTCTTAGAACTCAGTATTGAAAGAAATTTCTTACTTGGAGGTTCATACATGAACCACTCAGATATATTGTGCACAATAACCCAAATGCAAATGCAAGAATAGGTTTCATTAGGACCTTCAGCCGTGAGACCAAGATGCAAATTATGAACGCAATCTCGAGGGGTGGAGAGAGAGATGTAATGACACGGAAAGGAAGGGAATAATATGAAGAATTTATGGAGTATTTTTATTTGTCCTGCTTGGTCTAAGAATTATAATACTTTCAAAGAGAAATCCCCCCTATTCACTTCCAAATATCTCTTAATTCAGCTAACCATTAGGTAAGAATTAGAAAGCAGCATTTTTGTCCTCTGACCTAGAATGCAGATCTACTCTGGGTTTAATGATGATCATGATGATATATGGGCCAGATTTACCATCTTTTATGAAAATAGAGGGCTAATTCAAGACTCTCCAACCAATTCCCAGGTGATGGTGTTATTGCAAAGGCATTATTAGAATGAAGCACTCTGGAGATGGTTCTAAAGAGTTAACAGTGCAACTGGGTTATCCCGGAGAACTTGGTCCCATTCAGACTCCAGCAAAGGCAGAAACCATTAATGCTCATCACATCTCCATGGCTTCTCTGCATCTCCCAGCTCCCTTTACAATTAGGTTTGGACTATATAACAAAGTTTAAACCAAAGGAATGTGGGAATAAATGCTGTAAACCCTTAAAAAGTCCACAGTAACCTTCCAGTTACTTTCTTCCCTTGAAATGGCAAACTTAGAGGCCGTACGTTCCAAGTGGGGTGGCTCCATAAAGCAGTAATATGAGCAAGAAATAAACTTAAAGCACATGCTAAGCCACTGATATTTCAGGGTTTAGCTAGTATGAGTAGTCATGGATTACCCAAATGACTAATAATATAAGTCATTATATCCCATTATATTGGGATTACCCAAATGACTTAATAATAAGACAGCCAACGAACTGTCTTTACCATACTATCTGTCATTTTTAAATCATGTTTCAATAATTTTATTATAGATATTATATATTTTCAGCTTAAATACTCTTGTAAAAATATAGAGAAAAATTTGCAAGATATAACTACTGAACCATCTTTGAATGTGTACCCTTACAGACCCAATTTCTCTCTCTCCTCTCTCTGCTTCATTGCCCTCTCACCTCATGCCTTCTTAACATAGAGATGTAGAAATATAGTTAGAAAGATATATAAACAGTGGATGCCAGATATAAATAAATAAGTAGGTAATAAAGAAACAGACAGACATTAGGCTTAGATATGCTTCTGTAAGTTTCAAGTGGGCATGTTTTCACATAACCTCAACAGGTGATTGTATAAAGGCAACCCCTGTTAATTTATAAATGTTGGCATTGAGTACTGAGAAGTAAACTGAGATTAGCAGTTAGTGGTAGGAGAGCATTTTAACTCAAATAGTTCTACTTCAAAGCCTGCATCTGAATCACTACTTTTTACTGGCCTGAGTTAATTGATTATCTTTCATTCATTCCCTCAATTTTTCCAACACCAATTGTTGCTTAACTAGTAAGATAAGGGATAAGGTCATTATTGTTTCTTTCCTGTCTCCTGACAACTTGTGTTTCCTTTTCTGTCAATTGCCTGTTTTTTTAAGGATTATGTATATATTTACTGATTTGTAACAGCTCTTTATAAAGATATTAACGTTGTAACTGCCATATTTGTTCAAAAATATTTTTCCAGTGTTCTTTTTTTTAATTTATAGTGATTTTTCTTTATTTCCTTTCAAATCTTTCCTTATAATTTCCATTATAGTTTTAAAGCTCTTGTCACTCCAAACTAACATAAATATGCACTTATACTTTCCACGTATGCTAATCATTTGTTCCACCATTACATCCTTTGTCTACTTGAGAGTTATGCTTATATAAATGCTTCAAATCCTCCCTAATTTTGTTTCCTTGGTGTTTTCATTATTCATAGTTTTCCAAACAATATTATTGAATATCTATGTTTTATCCTATTGATTTGAAATGCTATCTTTATTATACGGTATATGAATTGTGATGTAGCAGGGAGAACAGACAATCTTGACAATCTTGACTTGTAAAGAACATGACTCTAGTGTTTGCGTTTCAAGTATGATGCTAAGTGCTTTGTCAGATATATTTTTATTACATGTATAAACTACTCTTCTAGCCCTATTTTACTTATAATTTACTTTAATCATGAATAGATAGCCATACGTTTTCCCTTACTAACATAATGGATTATTATAACATACATATATTTTATTAATAAGCCATCATTAAAATTCTGTAATAAAACCTACTTAGCCATAGCACATAATTTCTTTAATATACTAGAGTTCATGCAGTCACCATTTGTTTAGAATTTTTCATTTCCATTTCTAAAAGAAATCGATCTAAGTTTCCTGTAGTTAAATCAATTATAAGAAAAGAAAGAGGGAAAACTTACCTTTTATTATCAAATATTTCAACTGGCACAAAAATTTTGTGTTATATAATGGTTTGAAAGAACTCATTTCTAAAGCCTTATGGGTCTATCATTTTTTCACTGGTTATTTTTAGATACTTTTAATAATTTCTTTCAAGCTCTATTCAGCTTTTTTCCTACTTATTCTATGATTGATTGTTTTTTGTATTATCCTTTAAAATTATTCTTTCATTCATGTCTATCTATATTGGCATATATTGACATAGAATTCTATTTTTTCTGTTAAATGTGTTAAAATGTAAACAAATAATGATTTAGTTGCATCTTCTTGATCATTCCTAATAAACTGTATGGTTATTTATTTTTCTTTCCCTGGTCATGTTTATGAGATTTTGTCTATTTTAGTGGTCTTAAGTCTTTTTTAAAAAACATACAAAAAACCTCTAATATTTATTATTTTATTATTTTCAAACATTATTTCCATTTGTGCTTTTATTTCTTCCTTGGATGGACATAATTCAAATACAACCATTAAACACAACTCATTAATCCTATTGCTGATTTATCTTTATTCTGTTATCTACTTAGTATACAAAATATTGCATCTTATTATCCTGACTTTTTCAATTTTTTTTTATTTTGTACATTCCTGTGTCATTCATTAGCTAAAGTTTTGTGATTGTTTATTTTCATTTGGATTTTACCATTAGCAATGTAGACTTTGTCCCCCTTGAACATTTTATATTTTTTCATAAAATGTTACTTTTTTATATCAATCCTTTCTGTCATGTGAGGACACAACATTTGTCGCCTTTTATCCTTCACCTTCTGCCATGCGAATATGCAGCAAGAGGGCCCTTGCCAGTGCCACACCTTTGATCTTGGACATCTCGGCCTCCAGAACACTGGAGAAAAAATTTATATTCTTTATAAATTGCTCAGTATCAGGTATTCTATTAGAGCAGCATAAAATGGACTTAGGTGCCTACTGGAAACTCATGTAGTTGAATTTCGTGTTACTCTAATAGTTTTCACATTTACATTTCACACGTTTCATGTTCCTAAACATCTTACAACCACATTATCCTGCAAGACAATTTCAAAGTGTGGGAAATATCAATTAAAATCAAAATGGAAATGGTTTGTGGGCATATATGCTCTGCATGCATGTTTGTATACAATTGTATATGTGTGCACACATGTGGGTGAGTTCATGCATATATGTAGTGGGTGTGTGGTCTGCAACCAAAGATGACCAAAGAGACTGAAAAGTCATCTGACCAATAAGGACTAAGTAAAAAAGATTAAGTATCTCCAAGAGCATGTTCATTAGCTTCTCGACTCTTTACAAAGGGTTACAGTCCCACATAGCAGCGGTAGCAAGATCCCATAAAACATGATGAGCTATCATATTTCCTATGAAGACAGAGGCATATGGGCAGCACAGGGGAGACAAATCAAATTCAAGAGATTCAGAAAGACAGGTGAAGGCTAATTTAAATGAAAGTTTGAAATCAAGGCTTAATGACAGGATAATCCCTCTAGGAGCTACAGAATTTTGCTTCATATCCTTGTGCATATAGGTTGATAGTGATAATATCTGAAGAAACAATTACAGATTGCCTGATCTTTGAATAATCAAATTTGTAACAGTGTTGTGATATTTCTGTCAACTTCATGTAAGATCTCAAAATAATTTCTTCATGTTTAAAGGCTCATGCTGGCTACCACTATGGACTGCCTGAACCCCGCAAAACCCTCCTCTCCAAGTACTGCGCTCAGCTAGCTCAATTGAGCTGCTAATTCATCTGAGCCAAAGACCCAAAAGGACCTCCCCAACGCAGGGTCCTGGCCAGCTGCCGGATCCTGGTGACTGGGCTTAGTCAATCAGGTGCTTTTAGAGAGAGTGGCAAAACCATACCCTGCCAAAAAGAAGAGGTAAAATCTGGACTTCCTGAAATGTGTCACTGAAACATGCTGTTTTGGAATTCACTATTCCACTGAGAAATTCTCTCTCCTTCCCACAGAGAAAGACTCATGAGGGTGGAGAGACTAGGAGCCAGAATCCACCTGCTCCCCACTCATTTATTCAAATTGAAAATAGATCCTAAAGAACTATATGATTTTTTTCCCTGGGAAGGTATAAAAATATGTCTCTGTTAAAAGAAGAATCATTTTAATACAGCCTTGGGATGATCACACAGGTTTTTGAAAGTGAGTTCAGCTCATCATCTTTATTAACAAGTATTTATCTTTCTTATCTTTCTTGGGCAGCCTCCCTTCCACTTTTTATGGCCTACAGGTTGAGCTCACCTTCTCCATCATCATACAGTATCGGGGGGAAAATGCTTAAATACATTTCAGATGTAAATGAGCATCTTGGGAAGGAAGCATCATAAGTAAAGAGCCATCTTCACACACCTGTTGCCTCCTGAGGGCAGTTGCTCCATGGAGTCCACTGTGACCTTGTTGGCAAGTATCCTGATGATCTAGAAGAGGACACAGATTGATGCTAGCCCATCTCACCTGCATCATGCTATTAGCAGCCCAATTCTATACTCTATCCAGAACTACTTTACATACTAATCTCTCCTTCTTAATTGTTTTATTACATATACAATGTAGTCAACATGAAAACCAAGAAATATGATAAATAAGGAATAAATGAGGCACAGGTGTTCCCTGCAGGTCTCATCACAGCACAAAAAACCAACCCATTAAAGAGGCTCAGCTGCATTACTTTCTCCTTGAGCAGATTTTTATGGCCCCTTACACCTACATGTACAAAACAGGAAGAATTGGGAAGTCAGATGTGCATTCCTAGTGCTACCTGGTTAGCAGGCCCTGGAGTAAGTAAAGCTTGTGTTTTTCCAGGGAAGTAGCCAAAGAGACTTTCTTGTGCTTTTCCCGGTGAACCTACAGGCAGCAACCCCACATGTCAAAAGTGCAGACTGATGACATTGCCAAATGTTTCACACAAAGCCTGATGTGCTACCTCTTGTTTGTGTTATCATCCCTCTTCTGCAGTCAGAGCCTGTTCAGAGCTACACAAACCTTCCCTGGTTCCTTGAACCCCAGGCACCGGACAATCCCAATATGCAGCTTAATCCCAGTTTTGAAACACCAAGATCAGATTCCAAGATTCTCGTGTAACATGCAGACATGCATGATTATGTGGGCACGTAGTAGGTGTATATATTTATGAGGTACATGAGATGTTTTGATACAGGGATGCAATGCATAATAATCACATCATGGAGAACAGAGTATCCATCCCCTCAAGCATTTATCCTTTGTGTTACAAACAATCCAATTATACTTGTTTAGTTATTTTTAAATATACAATTACATTATTATTGACTACAGTCACCCTGTTGTGCTCTCAAATAGGCCTTATTCATTCTTTCTCATCACTGTTTTTGTACCTACTAATCACTCCGAACTCTCCCGAGACCTGCCCCCACCCCGCCCCGCCCCTACCCTTCCCAGCGTCTGGTAACCATCTGTATTGGTCCGTTCTCATGCTGCTAATGAAGATACCCGAGACTGGGAAATTTATAAAGGAAAGAGGTTTAATTGACTTGCAGTTCAGCATGGCTGAAGAGGTCTCAGGAAACCTATAATCATGGCAGACAGGGAAGCAAACACATCCTTCTTCATGTGGCGGCAGCAAGGAGAAGTGCCAAGCAAAAGGAAGAAAAGCCCGTATAAAAACATCAGATCTTGTGAGAACTTACTATCACAAGAATAGCATGAAAGAAACCACCCCCACGATTCAATTGTCTCCCACTGGGCACTTCCCATGACACATGGGGATGATGGGAACTACAATTCAGGATGAGATTTGGGTGGGGACACAGCCAAGGGATATCACCATCCTTCTACTCTCTATCTCCATGAGTTCAATTGATTTGATTTTTAGAACCCACAAATAACTGAGAACATGTGATGTTTCAGAATATGCCATGTTTTTCTTTCTCTGCCTGGCTTTTTTTCACTTAACATAATGATCTCCACTTCCTTCCAGTTGTTGCAAATGACTGGATCTCATTCTTATTTGTGGCTGAACAGTACTCCATTGTGTATAAGTACCACATTTTCTTTCTCTATTCATCCGCTGATGGACACTTAGGTTGCTTCCAAATCTTGGCTACTGTGAACAGAGCTGCAAAAAACATGGGAGTGCAGATAAGTCTTTGATATACTGATTTCCTTTCTTCTGGGTATATACGCAGCAGTGGGATTACTGGATCATATGGTAGCTCAATTTTTAGTTTTTTGAGGAAACTCCAAACTGTTCTCCATAGTGATTGTACTAATTTACATTCCTACCAATAGCATATGAGGGTTCCCTCTTCTCCATATCTTTGCCAGGATGTGTCATTGCCTGTCTTTTGGGGATAGAAGTCATTTTGTTATAACTGGTGTGAGATGATATCTCATTGTATTTCATTGTAGTTTTGATTTTCATTTCTCTAATGATCAATGATTCTCTGATTAATGATGTTGAGCACTTTTTCATATGCCTATTTTCCCTTTGTAGGTCTTCTTTTGAGAAATGTCTATTCAAATATTTTGCCCATATTTTTATCAGGTTATTAGATTTTTTCCTATAGAGTTGTTTGAGCTCCTTATATATTCTGGTTATTAATCCCTTGTCAGATAGGTATTTGCAAGTATTTTCTGTCATTCTTTGCATAATGTCTCTTCACTTTGCATGATCATGCTTTACCTAGATAGTAATGTTCCTGGTGGTTTCTACCATCCACTCTGCCAGCTGTGGCTAGTTAGAGTGCCAGGTTAATAAGGCCAAGATCTCTCAATTTCCACTTCCAAGGAGTTTCAAGAGAGGATGCTGATTCAGGTCTCTAAGATTTGTCAGAAATCTTCATATAGGTATTTAGCACAGATGCTTCAAGGAGAAATTTCACATGTTATGTGGAGGATATAAATACTTTAGCCTCAATGTTCCTCCAACTGAGATGCCGTGAATCCACACGTCTACAATAAATATATTAATCTTCTCATGGAATCTATTTCTCCATCTCAACTAAGGGGCTTAGATAGGGCAAATATAGCTAGGTCAAATTAAAGTGTAACTAGAATTCATGTAACTGGAATGATTAATGGAAAGTTTTACCTTCTCTCTGGTCTTGGATGGTGAGACATGTTTTCACACAGAGCATAAGATAATGAGAATTTCTAATCTGGACTCTCCTCATTATTAAAGCACATCACTCAGAATTACCTCAGTAGGGAATCTTCCGTGAATGAAGCCTTATGTCACTAAAGTCATTAATATTACTTGTTTCAGGCATGAATGAGACCACTACATAAATTTTGCTTTGAAAAATGGGGAAGAAGGGAAAAACAAAAAGTCAGTATGTTTTTCTTACGTTGGTTATTATGATCAGCAGCAGCACCAACAATGAGTGAGCTCTGAAATTAATAAACATAAATGCAGAAAATATAAACAGCCAGAGCTATCTTCAGCCAAAGATCAATCAAGCAGCAATCTCCTGATATTGTGCAACTCTAGGGGTATGCCTCAGAGTGGATTGATTGCTTGCTTTTTGGAGGCATTCTTCCTGTTTGAGAAGGAACTGTAGGATAATCATCAGACAGGTTTTTGCAGCCTGAAATGGGGTCTCTCTATAGCTTGGTTTTGTTTTGTTTGTACAACTCCTCAGTAAAAGTTACCAAGAAGGTATAAAATGACACCGCACAGCTCTGTTGCACCATAGTATTCAGGAAATCAAAGTGCTGAATGTTATAAGACATAGAAAGGAAATGAGAGGCATTTGCAACAGTGTGGATTCAAATCCCAGCATTGAGGCTCTGCTCTTACAAGCAATTTTTTCAGTTCAAATTTTAATCAAAGAAAGTGGCTCACTTAAAGTTTCTTTAACAACACTAGATGATCAGTATATCTAGACTGATCAGACAAAATGCCAGCACTCTGTCAAGCTACAGCTGCTTGCCATCTTTCCCCAGGTTGTCTTGAAAAAGAAATCAGGAAATTTAAGGTGAGGCTTCCTTGGAAGATAATTTGCATTGTGATATTTAATTGCCAAAAAACAGCTATTTCAGAAACCTATAGAGAGAATTTTAGATGTACAGTGAAAAAGGAAAATAAGCAGCCTAGGAACTTGTTTGCCACAATTCCAACATTCAGGATAATATAGTTAATTTAGAAATGAAAGGACTGAGACCCAGAAAAGAGAAATCTGAAAGATGCAGAACTGAAGCCATTGGAAATTTAGAATACAAATGGAAAAGAAATGAATGTAGTTTATTTAAAAACTATCTATCAGAGTGGCTAAAATGAAAAAGACAATACTAAGTGAGTGTAGCAATGTGGAAAAACTGGAACTTTCATAGCATATGCTGCTAGTGGTAGTGTATATTGGTACAACCATTTTGGAAAACTGTTTCGTGATATCTACTAAAGTTGAGCAAGTGCTTATTCTATGACCTAGCAATTCCACTCTTAGGAAAGTATACAGAAGAAACGTATAAACATGTTCACCAAAAGGCACGTACTAGACTGTTCAGAACATCATTATTTGTAACTGTCAAAAACTGAAAACCCTCCAAAGTCCATTAAAAAGAGGCTAATAAATTGTAATATAATCACACAATGGAATACTATGCAGTAATAATAATGAATAAACAACTACCCATAGCAACATGGATAAAACTTATTTATGTATCATTGAGTAAAGTAAGTTTGAAACAAAAGATTACATAACATAATGCCATTTATACAAAGTTCAAAATCAAGCATAACTAATCTCTGGTATTAAGAGACTGAATATTTGTGGACACAAGAGAGACTTTTGGAAATCTAATAAGGTTGAATTTTTTAAACTGAGTATTGCTTACATGAATATGCTCAGCTGGTGACGAGTCATCAAGCTACACACTTAAAATTTGAGCACTTTTCTGTATGAATATAGTACTTCAATAACATTTTGATTTTTGTAGCTGGTTATAGAGACGGTGATGGATATAGAAGATAAGAGAAATTCATCCCACACAAAATTGTTCTTGATGAACAAATGATATATAAATTCAATTATTAAAATACAGAAACTTTTTCAGACATAAAGAATTAAATTTGTAGATGAAAAGGGTAGTGACCTGCCCTTTCCTCAATTAAAAAAAAAAAAGGTAAACAATAATAAGCATTGTAATTAGATCCTACCAAAGTCACTGAAATTCAATGTTAACAAACCACCTTGGGAAGTTCAGCTTCCGGTAATGGTGAATTATATAATTCAGAACAACATTCCCACTGAAGATAGCTAGTAGAAAAGCTGGAAAACCCCCTTTTTTAAAAACATGCTGGAAGACACTGAAAAGCAAATAAGGTAGTAAAGAATTGCAATCACAAGAACTAGGAAAAGTCAAAGATGTAAGGTGAGCCCTCCATGAGAAGCCACTTTTGGTGTGGGGATTTTGCAAGTCCTGAGAAGTCAGTGGAGAGTGCAGGCAATGCGCTGTTTCTTGACCTAGGCGAGGCATACATAGGTGCTTGTTTTGTTCTTTGCAGATTTTCTATATGTGTGTGATAGTTTGCAACACAGAGTTAAAAAGGAAATATCAAGCTGTCATTTAAATAGAAAAAAAGAGTTAATTTTAGATTTATGCAAAGCAATACTATCAAAGCCAGAAAGCAGTAGACAACTGGTCCCAGTGATCTGAGGAAAAAATAACTGACAAGTAGTCCTTCAAGTATAAAGTTTAAAAGCAACAAACATACATTGTTTAGTATGCAATAACTTAGAAAAGCCAGCACTTCCGGGCCTTGCTTGAATAGAGTACTAGAGGATAAAATTCTGCTAGCAAACAGACATATCAAAATATAAACAATAGGAAGAAAGAAGAAACATAAAATGAGGACTGGTGGTTAACATTAAATTCATTTAAATACAAAACTTGATCTAAGCAACTGTGAGAATTATGAGATCACTGGTTCTTTTAATTCCACTGCAAATTTATCTCTGCTAAATTAAAGAAGGATTATGTTTAATATGTTCAATAAAAATAGCATGTGCTTTATAATTCCAATCTTGATAATTATGTTTTCTCTCTCTCTCTCCCCCAACTATATGTACTCCATATGTATATTAATAAAGAAATATCTAGAGTTGTGTTTATAAATGTTAAAAACAGGGCAGTGGAATTTTAGGCAATTTTTTTCTTTTTGAATGTCCGATTTTTGCATTTTTATTCAAAAATGAATGTGTTTGTGAAAAATAATAGTTATCATTCTTTAAAAAATAAACTGGGAACAATATACACAATATACGCAAAAATTAAGTCTATACACAAAAGTCAGCTAAGAAAGTGTATTTCCCTTAGCAACACTGAAGGAGATATTTAAATATAATCAGCATTCAATGAACACACAATTTAGTAATCAAAAAAATAACTGACAGCGTGTAAATTATTCATATTTTAATTTTTCAATTGTTTACTCTTTTCAAATATTTATTTCTCCCTTTAAAGCAAACACATTTATTCAGGAGAATAAAATTTAAAAGGAAGAAAATTTTGTATCAAACTGAGTTTAAATTACATATTGGAAATTTAGGTTCCACAAACGAAAGAAACTTCCAATAGTAGAAAATCGTCAAAGCTATCTTAAATGCTTACAGTACTAAGTCCTTTGTTAAATTCAACTTTTATAGAATCACTGTTTCTACCTAAAATTATCCCCCTGCCCCTTGTATTTCTGCTCCTTGCACATCCAGTCTTCTGAACCAAGCCAACAGGTTCCACCACTTTTGATGTTCTCTTCTGCTTTACTCGTGACATCCAGTCAAGGGCTACTTTTGTAACACATCCTCCACTCCATCCATTTTCATTGCCTCCAAAGTCAAGCCCTAATTATTTAGCATCCAGACTGCCTACCTATCCAGTGGCCTTACATCTAATCTCCCCACATTCATTCTTTCCTTAGATTACTTACGAAACCCACTTAAGACACCTAAACCCACTTGGGACACTAAGCTCAGGAACCCACTTAAACCCACTTGGAACATTAGGCTCGGACTTTGGAGACCATGGAATGAATTTCTTTCCATCAATTAGATTAAAATCCCACAAGGAGACAGGCAAGCAAGTAGTGTGCATGATACAGCATGGTAAAGGGATGCAACAGGCCCCAAGAATGAGGAATTATCCATATACAGAAGTCCAAGAAAACTTTCCCAAGAAGTAACAGGTGAAACGAACCTGAAGCATATGAGAGCCAAGTACAGAAAAGGGTATTTCAGGTGGAGACAGCATGGGGATGTTTGGGGAAATGTCTAATTGTTCGTTAAATCTGACGTGTTCAAAAAGAGAAATCTAGAGAACAGCAAGGCGGCTGTGGCGGCAGCCCACCAGCCAGAGCAAAACATATACGAGATTGAAGAGCCACCAGCTGATGTAAGGGCTGGCATGATTCAAACTGAACAGCACTGTCAGATAATCTTTCCAAAAAACATAACTGATTTTCTTCATTTGTGTGCTTTAAACTTTTCACCAGCTCCTCAATTAATTATAAGCACCTTTGGAATAAATGACAATCATTTTCTCATTTCCATGCAGGAAAAAAAAAGGCTTAAATATGCCCCATTGCTTAAAGGAACTGCAATCCAGTCAATTCATATAAATTATTATACATTCTGATTTACTGGAAGCAAAACAACCAAGCAGTAATTCACTATTCAGTGATCTTTCCATTCATTCATGTGCTGAAGATACAATGATGAACAGGAGGCAGTAGAGTCTCTTGGGGGGGACTCAAACATGAGCCAAAGCAAAAGTATGATTAGAACTTTAATAAAGATATGTACAAGGCACCTTGGGAGCCAAGCTGATGCATCTTAAGTCTGTGTGTGGATATTCTGAAAGACTTCCCCAAGAGGATGGAGACTGGGCTGAACCTTGAAGGATGAGTGTAGTTCTCAGCTGGCAAGGGCAGAAATGTTTAAAAGGTGAAAAACTCAGCCTGTCTTGGCCACAGAGTGAATGGAAATAAGAAACATGTAGAAAGACAAGTAGGATCAAATGACAAGCCTGAGAATATTTTTGGTTTTGCCTTTTTTTTTTGGAAAACTTAATATTTTTAATTGACAAATAATTGTATATATTTATGGGCTACATGTAATGTTTCAATATATGTACAATTAGTGTAATGATCAAATCAGCTAATTGACATATTCATCACCTCAAATATTTATCATTTCTTTGTGGTGAGAACATTTAGTATCCACTGTTTTAGCAATTTTGTAAAATATATTATTATTAACTATAGCCACCATGCTGTGCAACAAATTACCAGAATTTATTCTTCCTAAGTGAAACTTTGAACTCTGTCCAGCATCCCTCCTTTCCCTGTCCACCCTACCTCCTCAGCCTCTGTTAATCGCCCTTCTACTCTCTAGTTCTATGAGTTCAACTTCTTCAAATCCACATGTAAATTAAATTATGTGGTATTTGTCTTTCTGTGACTGGCTTATTTCACTTAGCATAATGTCCTCTAGATTCTTCTATGTTGACACAAATTACAAAATTTCCTTCTTTTTTTAAGGCTGAATAGTATTCTATTGCATATTTAACACATTTTGATCCAGCTGTCTGTTGCTAGACACTTAGGCTGACTCAATATCTTGGCTATTGTGAATAACACTGCAATAAAAGTGGGAGTGCAGATCTTCCTTTCACATACATATTTCCTCTCCTTTGGCTATATAGTGGGATTGCTGAATCATATGGTAATTCAATTTTTAGTGTTTTGAGAAACCTCCATACTACTCTCCAATATGGCTCTACTAATTTACACTTTCACCAACAGTAGGCAAGGGTTCCCTTTTCTCCACACCCCTGAAAACACTAATGTTTCATATTTTTGTCATAGTCATTCTAACAGGTGTGA
This sequence comes from Homo sapiens, assembly GCF_000001405.40. Lineage (NCBI taxonomy): Eukaryota > Metazoa > Chordata > Mammalia > Primates > Hominidae > Homo > Homo sapiens. Next base: position 34,337,780 of record NC_000003.12, on the reverse strand, counting down.
GGTTATATCTCATTGCAGTTTTGATTTGCAATTTCCTGATGCTTAGTGATGTTGAGCATTTTTCCACATATCTGTTAGACATTTGTATGTCTTTTAGAGAAACATCTATTCAGGTCCTTTGCTCATTTTTAATTGGATTATTTGTTTTCTTGTTATTGAGTAGTTTGACTTACTTACATATGTTGGTTTTGCGTTTTCAAAAGTTCACTCTGGCAAAAGTGAGGAGTCAGGACAGTAAGAGATAGAAGTGAAGGCAGAGAGACCAGTTAGAAAGTGTCAAGGTAAACCAGGTGAGAAATGATGAGGGCCTGACCTAATGCATTTTTATAAAGTATTTGGCTTCATTCTCTCTCAGTAGGGCTTGTTGATATAAATAACAAATGTCAGGAATGATTAAAATCAGATAACCTGTGTTCTGATATTCAATTCTTTATTTTCTGGGTGAGACCTCTACTCAGACAATGAGCACTGGGAGGCAGGATAAATAGGTTCTGCTGGTATCTGTGGCTCTGGTAAACACCATAGAGATTACTAATCTGTTTTAAGTCAATTATCTCTAAAATCTGCTTTTAAAAAAGCTATGAACCTTCCTCTCAAAAATTATATACACAAAATTTTGATGTGTCCCAGTGTGTCCAAAGGTAATGAATACTCAGTTTCTATACTTACCTTGAATATTTGGTGGACTTTGCAGGAAACACTTCGAATTGATAATAGAGCAAAGGTCTCCTGCAGATGTTCATCTTGTAAATGTGGGCCTGACAGTGTGGGATAGACAGATGTAAATTGTGGGGCTAGCTCCTGAAACCCAAAGTATCAAGTACATCAAATATTAACTTTGAAGGTAGTATTCCGTAAAAGAAGGGATCTTACCGTTAAGAAATAGTATTGGGTGAATCAGCTAAGTCTACATGATGCCTTTGAGAGAAAGGTGTTTCAGTACAAAATTGCCTCCATGTGACAACAAAATAATACGGGCTTAAACTAGGTAGAAGTTTATTTTACTTTCACATAAAAGTCAAAGCTGTTAAGAAATTTCTGTTTTTACAAATTTATCTGTGATCCAGGCTTCTACTGTCTCATTTTCTGCCATGGATGTTTTGTCCACATGGTTTTTAAAATGCCTCATCATTATATCCACACTCTGAAAAGCAGGGTGGAAGAAAAAGGAAAAGGGTGTGTACCCCTCACTTCCAAGACATAGCTCAGAAATTTCACATAACTCTGATTCCAGCATCTCGAAATTAATCACATGGGTAAAACTACAGGCATGGAAAGTGGGGGAAATACACCTGATTAAAAATTATTGTAGCAGGGGAGAAATTCAGATGTTCATTTATGTTTTCTTTGAATTAGCTTCCACATTTGATGAGTTGAGAGCTATATTCAACAGCTTCCACATTTAGTGAGTGGGGAGCTATATTCAACTGCAAGATTAAGTGAGTAAAATTTAAACTTTCCAAAATTCAGGAGATTTATATCAGCAATACAATGGAATATGAGATATTAGCCTTTATCTGTCCACAAAAAATTAGATAGAAGATAGATATCCACAAACCAAAATAGCACAGAGAGGACTCAAGGACCCATTAAAAAATTTGCAGCAACACGGTGGAGCAAAAACCCAAAGAATATTTACACAGAAAGAATCATTGGTGAATTCAGCGCACTTGAGATACTAGGACATGGCTAGAAAAAAGGAAGAAAGGCAAAGGCTCTTGGCATCAGTCATATGGCAAGAGCCACCATGGTCCCCAGTGGCCTGCTTTTCAGTGAACACTGGCATCTTTTGCCCCTGAAGTAACAAACAGCCATTCTCACTGGGGAATCCGAGAAAGGGAAACACAGCTGCACTCCCATCCCCCACCCAAAAAGCACCCTCTGTTGAGCCACTTCAGGAACAGAGCTATCACCTCTCTCAATCCCAGAAATACTCTGACCATAAAGACACAGCCACCCCATGAATGCGTCCTCCTACAGACCCGGGCTCTGTGGCAGCACTACCCCACCAACGTCTCAAACACTGGAGCCATTGTCATAACAAGCTACTTCACACTCCAGGGCCCACAACCAGGTTCTTACTTTGTATGTCCATAGTCTGGGCACTGGCTCTGCCACCATAGAGAGCTAGGCCCCACCTTAACCCCAGAGCACTCTGATTGTATGAAAGCCTATGCTCCCATTCTCAGCTCCCTGGCTGCTTCACAAGTACCTGTGCCTCACATAATGTTACTAACAAAGTAGCTGGGTTTGGGGGTGCCTGAACCCCAGGTACTAGATCACCTTTCATAGAGAGTTAGGCCCTGCCCTGACCCTGGAGCTGCTCTAACTCTGTGTAAGCCTGTGCTCCTTTTATCAGGTCCCTGGATGCTTCATAAGTATCACTGCTTTGCATACTGTTACCACCACAGTAGTGGAAGTGCCGACACCCCTGGTTCCAGTACCATTACTGCCTCAGATCCAGGACCTATAATTTCTCCATGCGTGCTTTGGATTCAAATCTCAGCAACATGGCTACTTTACGGATATCGCTTATCAGACACCAGAGCCATTGCCACCATGAGTGGCTCTATAAGCCAGACACAAGACTAGGAAAAATCTCCTCAACCACAACTTTCCCAGTGGGAGAAAAAGAGATCAGGAAATCCTAAGCAGTCATCATCACCAAAGACCCCAAAAACCCTCATTGTCACTTTGAACAAACAGAGTCATGACCTCTGAGGATCCCTGAAATCACTGTCAATGCCCATATCAGCTGCCAGAGCTTTCACTGGTGCCAGAACCACTGTATCATAACCAGCAAGCACGCTCACACACACACACCCCATAGGGGAAGGTCTTTCTAAAATAAAAAAGTCCATCAAGTCTGGAAGAAGTGACTGCTCAAAAAAATGGCCAAACATCAATGTATGGCAACAAGAAACATTAAAAACCAAGGAGCTATAACACTGCCAAAAAAAAAAAAAAAAAACCCACAATAATTTTCCAGTAGCTGACCCCAAAGAAATGAAGATATAGAACATGACTGACAAAGAATTCAAAATGATTGCTTGAAGAAAGTTCAGATAAATTCAAGAAAATACAGAGAAATTTTTTTTTAAAAAAAGGAAAACAGTAAATGGGGCCAAAATGAGAAATTTAACAGTAAAATTATAATTTTTTAAAATCAAATTCTGGAGAAAAAAATATAATGAGTGAAATGAAAAATACAATAAAGGGTGTCAACAGCAGAACTGATCAAGCAGAAAAAGAATCTGTAAACTTGAAGACAGGTTATTTGAAAATATATAGTGAGAGGAGAAAAAAGAATGAACAAAGCTGATGGTATTTGTGGGACAGTATCAATAGCACAATTATTCAAATTATAGGTGTTTTTAAAAGAGAGAGAAAAGAGGTCAGAAAGATTATATAAAGAAATGTTATAGAAAAATTTCTAAATCTGGAGAAAAATACAAATATCCAAGTATAGGAGCCAAAAGTCTCCAATCAGATTCAATCCAAACAAAACTATACATCATGACATATAATGGTTGGTCAAAAATCAAAAACAGACAGCAGACCCTGAAATCAGAAATAGAAAAAAAAAAAAAAAAAAAAAAGCAAATAACATACGAGGACGTTTCACTAAGGTTAGCGGATTTCTCAACAAAAAAACCTTACAGGCCAGGAGAGAGTGAGATGACATATTAAAAGTGCTAAATAGGCCAGGCATGGTGGCTCATGCCTGTAATCCCAGCACTTTGGGAGGCCAAGGCGGGCAGATCACAAGGTCAGGAGATCGAGACCATCCTGGCTAACACGGTGAAACCCCATCTCTATTAAAAATACAAAAAATTAGCTGGGCATGGTGGCGGGCACCTGTGTTCCCAGGTACTCAGGAGGCTGAGGCAGGAGAATGGCATGAACCCAGGAGGCGGAGCTCGCAGTGAGCCGAGATTGTGCCAGTGCACTCCAGCCTGGGTGACAGAGTGAGACTCTGTCAGAAAGAAATAGAGAGAGAGAGAGGGAGAGATAAGAAAGAAAGAAAAAGAGAAAGAAAGAGAGAAAGAGAGAAAGAAAGAAAGAAAGAAAGAAAGAAAGAAAGAAAGAAAGAAAGAAAGGGAAAAGAAAAGAAAGAAAGAGAGAAACTGCTAAATAAATTTAAAACTGCCAACCAAGAGTAGTTTGTCTGGCAAAGGTGTTCCTCAGAAATGAAGAGATAAAGACTTTCCAGACAAATAAAAGCTGAAGGAGTTTATGACTATCAGAACGGTCTTGCAAGAAATGCTAAAGGAAGTTACTGAAGCTGAAGGAATGCACACTAAGTAGTAATATAAAATATATGAAAGTAAAAACTCCATGGTAAAAGTACAGATGCAAATTTAGAATGCTCCAATACTGTAATAGTGGTGTATAAATTATCTGTATTTTTGGTATAAAGGTTAAAAGATAAAACTATTAAAAATAAGAGTAATTATAATATTTAAGAGATATACAATATAAAATGATGTAAAATGTGCCATAAACATAAAATATAAGGGGATGAAGTAAAAGTATAGTTTTTTATGCTGTCAAAGACACATTGTTATCAAAAAAGACACATTGTTATTAGCTTAAAATATCTTATTGTAACTATAAACTGTTTTATGTAAGTCTCATGCCACAAAGCAAAACTTATAGTAAATACACAAAAGTTAAAAACTAACCAAGCACAGTGGCTCATTCCTGTAATCCCAGCACTTTGGGAGGCCAAGGTGGGTGGATCACTTGAGGTCAGGAGTTCTAGACCAGCCTGGCCAACATGGTGAAACCCCACCTTTGCTAAAAATACAAAAATTAGCCAGATATGTGGCAGATGCCTGTAATCCCAGCCACTCAGGAGGCTGAAGTGGGAAAATTGCTTGACCTCGGAAGGTGGAGCTTGCATTGTGCTGATATGGTGCCACTGCACTTCAACCTGAGCAACAGAGTGAGACTCCATCTCAAAAAAAAAAAAAGGAAGGAAGGAAAAAGGAAGGGGGGGGGAGGCAGGGAGGGAGGGAGGAAGGAAGGAAGGAAAGAAGGAAAGGGAAGGGAAAGGAAAGGAAAAGGGAAAGGGAAAAGGAAAAGGAAAGAAAAAAGAAAAGAAAAGGGAAAAGAGAAAGATAAAAAGTAAATAATCAAAGTATTTCAATAGAGAAAACTGCCTGATCAAAAAAGAATATAGCAAGAGAGAATAAAGGAAAAAAAGATGTACCAAACAATCAGAAAACAATAAAAATGGCAGTAATAAGTTCTTACCTATTAATAATTGCCTTGAATATAAATAGATTAAATTATCCAATCAAAATATATAAAGTCACTGAATACATAAACAAGACCCAACTATGTGTTGCCAATAAGAAATGTACTTCACCTTTAAGAACACACATAGATTAAAAGTGAAAGGATGGAAAAAGATATTCCATAAAAATAAAATCCAAAAGAAAGTAAGGGTAGTTGTATTTATGTTAGATAAAACAGACTAATTTGAAACTGTAAAACAACACAGAGAAGATCATTCTATATGATAAAGGGGTCAACTCATCTGGAAGATATAATTATAAATATATATTCATCCAAAATCAGAGCATCTAAAGATGTGAAGACAATATTAATAGACCTGAAAAGAGACATAGACTGTAATACAATAACAGTAGGTACTCCAATACCCAACTTTCAACTATGGACAGATCATCCAGACTGAAAATCAAAAAAGAAACATTGGACTTGAACTACACTTTAGACTAAATGGATCTAACAGATAAATGAACATTCTATCCAATAGCTGCAGAATGCACATTCTTCTCAAGACACAAGAAACAGTCTCCAGAGTAGATCACGTTAGGCCACAAAATAAGTTTAAACAAATTTGAGATTGAAATTATATAAAGTATCTTTTTGAAACACAATGGTATGAAACTAAAATCAGTAATAGGAGAAACTTCAAAAAATTTACAAACATGGAAATTAAGCAACATGCTCCTGAACAACCAATGGGTCAATGAAGAAATTAAAAGGGAAATACAGATATTTCTTGAGACAAACAAAAATGAAAACACAACATCCCAAAAATTATGGGATGTAGCAGAAGCAGTTCTAATGGGATATTTTATAGCAAGAAATACCAACTTGAAAAAAGAAGAAAGATCTCAAATAACAATCAAATGTCAATCTCAAGGAACTAGGAAAAGAAAACCAACTAAGCCCAAAATCAGCACAAGGAATAAAATAATTAAGATCTGAACAGAAATAAAAAAATATAGATTAGAAAAACAACAGATAAGATTAACCAAACAGTTGGTTTTATAAAAGGATAAACAAAACTGAAAAATATTTAACTAGACTAAAAAAGAGAGGACTCAAATAACTAAAATCAGAATCTTAAAAGAAGACATTACAATTAATACCACAGAAATACAAAGAATCATAAAAGGCTCTTATGAACAATTATAAACCAACAAACTGGATAATCTGGAAGAAATGGATAATATTCTAGACCAAAACTAAATCAGGAAGAAACAGAAAATCTGAACAGATCAGTAACAAGTAAGGAGATTGAAAGAGTCATTAAAAATTTCCGATGACAAAAGAAAACCCCAGGACCTGATAGCTTCACAGCTGAATGTTACCAAATATTTAAAGAATACCAAGCCTTCTCAAACTGTTTCAAAAAATTAAGAGCAAGGAATACTTCCAAACCCATTTTACAAGTCCAGCATTACCCTGCTACTACAGCCAGAGAAGGACACTATAAGAAAAAAAAAAAATTACAAGCCAATATGCCTAATGAAAGTAGATGCAAAAGTTTTCAACCCAGTGCCACAAACCAAATTAAACAGTACATTTAAAATATCATTCACCATGATCAACTGGGATTTATTCCTGTGATCACTGGATATATGCAAAACTATGAATGTGATACACCACATTAACAAAATTAAAGAAAAAAAATGTGATCACTCAACAGTTGTGGAAAAGGTATTTGACAAAATTCAACTCCCTTTCATAATAAAAACTCTCAACAAGTTAGGTATAGAAGACATGTACCTCAACACAATAAAGCCCATATATCAAAAGCCTACAGCTAACATCATACTCAATGGTGAAAAGTTGAAAGCTTTTTCTGTAAGAGCAGAAGCAATACAACAAGGTTGCCCACTTTTGCTACTTCTATTCAACATAGTACTAGAAGTCCTAGCCAGAACAATCAGGCAAAAGAAAGAAATAAAAGGGATTCAAACTGGTTTAAAAGAAGTAGTTAAATTGTCTCTGTTTGTAGATGACATGATCTTATTTATACAAAGTCCTAAAGACTCCACCAAAAACTGTTAGAATTCATAAACAACTTGCTTACTAATTTTTGCAGATACAAGATCAGCACACAGAAATCATTAGTATGCAAACTATCACTACATTACGCTAGCAGCAAACTATCCAAAAAAGAAATTCTTTAAAATATCATTTACAATAGCTATAAAAAAACTTAGAGATAAATTTCACAGTGTACAGTGAAAGATCTGTACACTGAAATCTATAAAATGTTGATGAAGGAAATGGAAGAAGACACAGATAAATGGAAAGAAATCCTGTATTCATGGATTGGAATAATTAATATTGTTAAAATACTACTAAAAGTGGTCTAAATATTCAATGCAATCCTTATCAAAATTCCAATGATATTTTTCACAGAAATAGACAAAACAATTCTAAAAGTCATATGCAACCATAAATAACCTTGAATAGCCAAAGCAATTCTGAACAAAAAGAACAAAGACGAAGACATCATACTACCTGATTTCAAAATTTACTACAAATCTGCATTAATCAACACAGCATGGTATTGGCATAGAAACAGATACATCGAATAGAGAGCCCAGAAATGAACCCATCCACTTATGGCCAATTGACTTTCAGAAAAGATACCAAGCACACACAATGGAGAAAGGGTAGCTTCTTCAATAAATTGGTGATTAGAAAACTTGATATCTACATGCAGAAGAATGAAATTAAACCCTCTTCTCAAACTATATACAAAAAATCAATTCAAAATGAATTAATAACAAACATAACATCTAAAACTGTAAAACTACTAGAAGAAAACGTAGGAGAAATACTACATGAAGCTGGTCTTGTCAAGGACTTGTTGGATATGAACTCGAAAGCATAGGCGACAAAAGCAAAAATAGACTGATGGGATTACATCAAACTACAAAGCTTTAGCATAGCAAAGAAAACAATCAACAGAGTGAAGAGACAACCTACAAAATGGAAGAATATATTTGCAAACCATACATCTGATAAGGGGTTAATATTCAAGATATATGAAATTCAAACAGCTCAGTATTAAGAAAATAAAACAACAGATTAAAAATGGACAAAAGGCCTGGACAGACATTTCTCAAAACAAGATACACAAATGGGCAGCAGGTATATGAAAAGGTGCCCAACATCACTAATTATCAGAGAAACCCAAACTAAAACCATAATGATCTGTCACCTCATAGCTGTTAGAATGGATATCATCAAAAAGCCAAAAAAAAAAAAAAAAAAAAAAGTGCTGTTGAGGATACGGAGAAAAGGGAACCCTTGCACACTGTTGGAGGAAATGTTAATTAGTACAGCCATGTGGAAAACCATATGGAGGTCCTGTCAAAAAAATAATAATAAAGCTACCATATGATCCAGCAATTTCACTTCTATGCATATATCTAAAGGATCTGAAATCAGACGTCAAAGAGTTAACTATACGCTCACGTTTACTGTAGCATTATTCACAATACCCAAGATATGGAATCAACCTAAGTATCCATCAACAAATAAATGGATAAAGAAAATATGGTGTATATAAACACAATGGAATACTATCCAGCCTTAAAAATGAAGAAAATTCTGTCACTTCCAACAACATAAATGAACCTGGAGGTCACTATGTTAAGTGAAATAAGCCAGGCACAGAAAGGCAAATACCACCGGATCTTACTTATATATGGAGGGTAAAACTCGAATTCATAGAAACGAAGAGTAAAATGATGGCTACCAAAGACTGGGGAGTGGGAGAGGGACGTTGGTCAAAAAAAACACTAAATTTTAGTCAGACAGGAGCAATAAGTTCATGAGATTTATTGTACATTCTTGATGTCTACAGCTAATTGCAATATGTTGTATGCCTGAAAAGTGCAGAGTAGATTTTAAATGTTATCACTGTAAAAAATAAGTATGTAATGCATAAGTAGCTTGATTCAGCTATTTCACAATGTATACACGTATCAAAGCATCATGTTGTATACTATAAATATACACAATTTTTACTTGTCAATTAAAAAATAATAATTAAAAAATTAAACTCTCAAGCTTACCTTGTTTGAGAACCACAAAAAAAGGTTCATAGCACCAGGTATCAAAAACCCTAGTCTCTTGGGCCAGAGTATCAAAAAGCACCAAAAGTGACCAAGGTGACATTGGAGAAAGTGCAAAGAGGGATGACTAATAAGCACATGAATTAGGACATGGTTGTCATACATTATCAAGAGCAACCACAGGAGAGAGGGCAAGGCACGGGATCCACAGCTTTCAGTGACTACTGAAACTACTTGATAAATATCATCAAGAACAAGAACAAGGACAAGGGCAAAAGTCAGTATTGGCCCTCAAGAATGTAGTAGTTGCCCTGGGATCCATCAGGGAAGTGGCATTGGTGTCTGAAGATTCAGCCAGAACACTACTGAAACTTTGAATAAGGATTATTTTTGTTGAAAATAGCAATGCTTCCAGCATCTAGATGATGTGGATGATGTACCTGGAGTTATCCATGTGTGAAGAAAGCAATAGAAAAGAAACCTTTGAGGAAGGTCTGAATTAAACTAATGATTCTCTCACTTAGTCAGAACATATACACCTGCTTTCCTCGTGGAATTTTAGGGTTAAATGTTACCTTTATTCCAAAACACATACATTTTGTTTCTTAGCAGGTTGGCGGTATATGAAATTATGAAAACGGTCTGAGAGATTAGATTTCAGAGTCTGACTTCCTTTCTTGCTGGCACTGCAGCCTCAAGTAAGTTATTTACAATTTCTAAACTTCAGCTTTTTCCTTACAGTAAGTGTATAAGTTACTTGGGTGAAAATTAATACCTTCACAGTGCTAAATCTTCTCATTCACTTTGTATCTCTTAGTAAAGTTTTCCTTGTGCCACATTTCTTGTTGACTATATATTCCTGGATGTTATATAATTTTCTTGCTATGAAGACAGAGATATTTTTCCTAATAATATCCACAAGTATGCAATAAACCTAATTGTGTTTTATATGCATATTTTTCTAACTAGCCACTGTAGGAAACTCTTTTATTAGTCCTACTACTTTTGCAGTTGATTTTTTTAGTTCTTTAGGAAAATAATAATACAACTTAGAACTTACTAGAGTCTAAGTTCTATGAACATGCAGATTCGTGACGGCTAATTTTCAAGCACCAGGCAGAGTAACTGGAACATCCTAGGAACTTTTATTAGTCAGTTTTTTCTTTGTTATACTGCTGAAACAGGTAACTAACTGCTCAGTTGATTTAATCAACAAGAGTTTATCTCAGTCACATTATGTGTTGGCAGCAGGTAGGCTGAAACTCTGTTCTACAGCTGTAGGTCTCTTTATATCTTTTTTTAAATCCCAGAATCCATGCTGATAGAGCAGATCCTTTCTAGGACATCTTTTCTCCTGGCAGAAAGGAAAGAACAATAGCAGAACCACAGGTAAAGCTCATTCTTAAATCTTCTGCTTAGATGTTGTACACAACACTCCTGCTCATAATCCATTGGCCAAAAGAAGTCATATGGGTAAGCCTAAGAACAACAGGGAGCCATGTTTCTCCTACAGGGAAACACTGCAAGTCACAAAGCAACAAGCAGGGATGTATTAATCCTTTTTCGGGTAGGGCAGCAATTTGGGAACAACACAATTCATCACAGTACTCAGGAAATGCTTGCTGAATAAATAAATGATTGCTTACTTTTTATTTTACCTTTGTCTTGTATGGACATGTATTGGATTTGGATTTTGGTTTTTCTTTATTCCTAGAATTTCAAAATATTTTTAGGCTATCTTGGGGAATGAGTGTCTATTTATTCATCTTGTCTAGACCTTAGCGAATCTTTCATACCTCTAGATTTGGTTTTGGTGGGATTGTATTTTGTTTTAATCTTAGAGAAATGTACTTTTACACAGTTGTCTCTTATTTTCAGTTTTACAGTCTGCTCTTTCTCTAAGTTTTGTTGTAAGTATAGTTGATATCCTACATCTGTTCCCCACATATCTTTTCTTACAAAGTTTTAATATCTTCATTTTTCTCTGAGCTCTGGGAGTATTTCTCTTGCAGTTACCAGGCTCCTAAATCTGTTTCCTGTGAGGGGCATCATTGTTCATTATTTCATGTAACTGATTTATTTAAGTTTTCTTTATGACTGTCTTACCTTAGAAGGATCAGGGAAAAAAGAAAGCATGTGTCAGCCTCCATAGAGCATTTTTCAATAGATTAATACATGTTTTTCCCTCAAAAGAAAATTAAAATTAAAATCACATGACTAAGTTTGTGTTGGACATTGTGTTTTGGTCTGAAATGTGTGATAAATCAATGAAACCTGGGTAGACATATGTTTTTATTTTTATTATAGGTAAGGGACTCATTAATCTCATTTTGCCCATTTTCCTAGCACAACTAATTGTTCTTATTTTAACTCTTAGAAAGGGTCTGGTTTGGAAAATACATTACGTGGTCACTCTAATCATTAGTCAACTTTTGTTTCCTTAAAAAACAAAGAAATTAAGAATAATTCAACCCCACTCTTCTGGATATTCTTAGGAGGATATCAGTTGCTGAAAAACAATTTCTCACTTCTGATGTTACATCCTTGAGGAAGTGCAAATCTGAGCCTGTTTTGATAAACAAGTACGGAGAAAAGAAATGCTATAAAAGGGCTGGTCTGTAGACAAACAACGGGATTACTGCATTTGATTAATATATCCACACTTCCCTGGTCTCTGCAGATGATAAAAAGCAGAGTTCACAAGGAGCAGGTTCATGGCCACGCCATATCCATCATTAGGGAAAGTATTAGCTTTCTCTGGTATTCACCTGGCCAGAGACTGGAGCAAACCTTCTTTCTGTGTTCACAACACCAAACAATTGAGACTCTTTTTCTTTTGGTAAATTTGTTTTATCTGAGTTCTAGCTACATAAGCTTTTGGGAAGGCTAATGGAAAATGAAATAAGAAACAGATAAATTATTCAAGTTAGTCCAGAAGTCCTACTGCAATAGACTTCTTTGAAGATCTTTTTTTAATTCCAATTAATTTTTTGTCTCCAAGAACTTTTTCCTATTTCCATGAAAAATTATTGTTTCATGATTCTCTACTTTTGTTTTATTGACTCAATCTTCTCTCTGATCTCATTGAATTATTATTTATTCTTTTAATAGCAATAAGTTCTTTTTTAATGGACTATTTGTCCATACTGGTATCCTTGTTATTACTATTTTTATAGATAGATGATAGATAGATAGATAATAGATAGATAGATAGATAGATAATAGATAAACAGTTACAGATACTATATATAGAAATATTGGTGAAGGTTTTTATGTTTATTCATTCTTATGTGATGGTAGGATATTTATGTTTGTTTAGTTTAAGGACCTATGTGCTATTGAAGGTTATATGGAGCAAATATAATAGTGTTCAAATCTTTAGGAAAAGACTGTGAGAAAAAGAAAAAATTTGAATTTATTGAGAAATAGTAATATTTTGAGAGACAGTATGGGTATGGGTGTATGTTGGTGAATACAGGCAGAAGAAACCAGATTTGAACAGAAACATCCTTTGGGGCTAAACATTCTTTCCAACTCCTAAGCCTTTTCTCCCTTCCCCAAACTTTCTACCTAACCAAACAGAAGGAAACCCACTGAGACAAGAATCCCCGCTCTAAACTAGCCTAGTATTCTCATGACCTTCAGTTCAACATGCACATCTCAGGCCATTTGGGGTGCCACTGCAGGATTATTCCCACTCTGTATAAATCCTTGAACATTGTATAGGGTTTGTTGGAAGCTCTAACATGATTATAATTTGCTCCTCACATATATTCATTGCCAGTAACTAATCCTCATTTCTAGGCCCTGTTTGTTCAGTCAGGAGGAATTTATCAAGCTTTTTGTTTGGTTGGTTTTGTTTTGTTTGCCAGGGGTCTTCTTAAATTCCTAGGTAGGCAATTCATCTCTATGAGGATAATGGAAACTAATCCATTCTTTTTTTCTTCATTCTTATCTCTACTGTTTCTTCCCATAAATCTCTAAAGTTTTAGGATGATACCATTTGCTAATTCATAGCCATGATATAGGAATTTCTTTGTTAATAGATCACATTCATGAAGGTGTGAAAGAATGAAAGAATTAGTGCTGTGGGCTTAGATGGCTGTATAGAACAGAAGTTGGGAGAAGTCTATTACTCTGTTTCAATGTGCTTAAAATCGTATGTCCAGTTCATTCCAGTATGCAGATATTTCGGTGGGTTTCAAAGTAACCCCATGAAACATTCTTCAGTCACATGAAATGGCAAAGTGATCCTTCATCTGAGTCCTTCAGCAGACATCCCTTCCTTCTATAGCTTTGCCTCGTATCTCCAAGGCCACCAACAATTAAACCAATATGGGATTAGCAAGTTTAAATCACCAAATAATTGAATTGACTTTCCCAAGGTGACAGAACTGGGTATTCCCCTCTCAGTCTTGCCCTGGTTCTGGAGCCAGGCTGCTCTCTTATTTAAGGTACTGAAGCTACATAACTTATTTGTTGGAATTTATGCTCTAAGAAGCTCATTAGTGTTACACCCTTTTTCTCAGCATGTGATCCAACATTGGAATCATTGCCAATAAAGATTCCATCATACTTTTGGTGCTTTATGTATGTAGGTAATTATTATCACGTTGCTACTATGTGGTTTAGGGAGGTTGGTTTTAGGGTGAGGGGGTAGAGGCACAGTTTAGTTATTAGTGGCACCACTGTCTCTGTTTATAGTTCTGTTTAACCACTCAGCAAAACGCTGGCTATTTAAGAGTTTCAACTGAACAGCAATTTGTGAAAAAAGATATGTGAGTTTACTGGAGTTATTTTTAACTTTGAGCTCCACCTACACACACCTGCTAAAATTGTGGGCAAGATGGAAGACATGTGGTAACAGTCCTTGGGCTGAAAAAAATCAGAGGAATCTAAGAGAAGCTTAAGGGCTCTGGGATCCTCTTAAGGGAATTGCAGAGTCTGTGAAAATGTTTCATCCAGGTGTCTTCCCTCTATTTTGAAGATTCAAACAACCAGAAGAAGAACAAATTGCCGATTTGAATTCCCAATAGGAAGCATTAATGTGTAGACCTTCAGAACAGACTGTCCTCACCTGAAAAGATCAGTAAGTCATGCATATTAATAAAGATGAGATTAAGGCCTAAAGAGGTTAACAGTTTTATTTTCAGTTAGGTAAATAGTGGACTTGGGTATTCTAATTCCTAGCCCAGAGTTCTCATCACCACCCCACACACACTACGTTCAAAGGTGTGTGTCCATAATGGTCTTGGCAAGTAAGTGACACTTCATTCAATAAGACTGATCCTTGGCTGGGCATGGTGACTTATGCCTATAATCCCAGCACTTTGGGAGGCCAAGGTAGGGGGATTGCTTGAGCTCAGGAGTTGAAGACCAGCCTGGCCAACATGGTGAAACCCATCTCTACAAAAAAATGCAAAAACTAGCCAGGTGTGGTGGGTGTGTGCCTATAGTCCCAGCTACTTGGGAGATGGGTGTGGGGGCTGAGGCAGGAGGATAGCTTGAGCCTGGGAGGTCAAGGCTACAGTAAGCCATGTTTGTGCCACTGCACTCCAGCCTGAGTGACAGAGTGAGACCCTGAAAAAAAAAAAAAAAGACTGATTCTTAATTTCCAAAAAAGACACCTATACTAAAAGCTTTCAGCTATCTCTGATTATCCTCTCTCTTACACTTCCGATCACTGAGGGGGGACTGTTCAAGCTTTCATATCCATATCTACCCTCTCTTTTCCTGCTCCACAGGTGCTGTTTTACCCAGGCCTTCAGCATTTGGGGCTCAGTTCTTGTGATGGCATCTTAATGCACTCCTTTTCTTTTACTCTCTCACTTTCCAGGTCTCCATACAACCAACAGGTGTGTCTTCTTCCTGTGTGATTTGGACCACTTCCTTCCTGAACAATCTGTTCCAGATTCTCATTGTTTACACAATCCCATCAAAAATCCTTAGCACAGCTTCTCAGGGTCTGAACCTAAAAGGATTATGCTGCTTCATCTCTCACAATTTCTGTTTACCAACTCTATGCTCCTGACACAGGGGCCTGCCAGACTTTTCCAGGAAAAAAAAGCCATGGATTTTGACTTCCTTTCAGTGCCCCAGGTCTTGATACATACTATACTTCTATCTAGAATACTATGCTTTTCTTTGCAAATTATCACAATTTGAAACAATGTATTTAATTGAATGTGGATGAACAAAATAGTTGAATTTAGTACTTATTCATTCCACTTTGTTTATATTCCATAATTTACTCCTCCAATTCCTCTAGGTTAATAGCTCATTGAGAATCAGAACCATAGTACCCTACTCCTATGTCAAGCACCATGTATTCTTCACGGAGAAGAATAGTTAGTTACCCTGTTATGCCCTTCTTATGTGTTCCTGCTGCTGTGATGTCCCACAAGTAAGTCTGCTGCCAGGGCATCCTGACCTAATTGGTATGTGACCTGTATATCCCACTTTCCTATCATGGCATGCCCAGAAAAATGGAATATAATCAAGGCTACTGTTACAATGACGGTCTGGTCCATACCTAGCTGCTACCACTGATCTCCCCAAAGCCAGATGCATACCAAAATCAACGAGAAGGCTCTTGGTCAAATGTGCACAATGCCAACACAGGCCATGCCTGGCCAAGGACTGAGGCCTAATGATCTGGCTGGCAGTTCTTAGGAAGGGAAATTGTCCAAAAATTAGATGCTAATTTCCCCACAGGGTCTCCTGAGGCCACTTTTCAGAGGAAGAATCCTTGAAAAGCAAGAGTTCTGATAGAGGAATAGTTCTCTTAAAGTTACTAAGGATTGGCCCGGCATGGTGGCTCATGCCTGTAATCCCAACACTTTGGGAGGCTGAGGCGGGTGGATTGCCTGAGCTCTGGAGCTCGCGACCAGCCTGGGCAACACAGTGAAACCTCGTCTCTACTAAAATACAAAAAATGAGCTGGGCATGGTGGTGCGCGCCTGTAGTCCCAGCTACTCAGGAGGCTGAAGCAGGAGAATCACTTGAACCCAGGAGGCAGAGGTTGCAGTGAGCCGAGATCACACCACTGCACTCCAGCCTGGGTGACAGACTGACACTCCATCTCAAAAAAAAAAACAAAAAAAAAAAACAAAAAAAAACTTACTAAGTATCTTTATGCAGAAGGGAGACAAGACTTAATGGGGAAAATGTCGTCCTAGGGGATGAAGGACATTTTCCCTATTTCTCGGCAAGGGGATTAGTCTTCATGTGGGAAAGGTCCTCATTGGAAAAGATCCTTATAGAAATAGGGTCCACATGGAAGAAGATTTCTCATGGGTAGAGGAACCTCAGGAAGAAAGGGTTCCTAAAGGGAAAATGTCCTCATGAGAAAGTGTCCTCGTAGGGAACAGTCCTCATGGGGAAAGGTCCTTGTACAGGAAGAATCCTCTTGATTTTAGAATCCCTATAGGAAAATGTCTTTGTGGAGGAAGAGTTTCTGTCAGTAATCTTTTTGAGAACTATTCCTCTACCAGGACACTTCTTCTTTCCAAGAAGAGTGGGAAATGTAAGGATGAGGCTACTAGTGTGCATGTTTGGAAGAAAATCAGTGGACCTAATAATAGCAAAGTTTCAATGAACTCATCATACTGTGTACCAGGCACAGCATGGTACCCTTTACAGTAGTAGCTCGTTTAAACCTTAATAATACCAGGAGGTAGGTACTATTATCATATCCATTTAATGAGGATAAAACTGAAGAACAACAAGGATAAGTAACTTTCCTAAATCATACAACTGGAACATGGTAGAACCAGAGTTTGAAGCTAGAACCCAGTTTCTGGCCATTACACCATTCTACAATACAGCCAAAGACCTTACATTAATCTGCCATCAGAAAAAAGTCAAAGATTCTATAACCCTGGATCAGGATTCCACAGTTTATTAGACTTTATTGCTTTCCCATTTTGTTAACTCTGAAATAACTCCTTCCCAGAAGAATAAACAACAAAATTCTTAAAACACAAAGGTTTTAGTATTTGTTTCAAAGAAGCTGAAGAGACTGAGTTTCTCTTACTACTAAGTTTTGAAAGAGGAAAATCCAGTGTTGTAGTGCAAATTGGCTACTATTGAGAATAAAAAGCAAAAGAGAATAGGTCCTTGGAGGATTGGTTCGAGGAAAAAGTCAGCTCAAAGAGCCAGTTTGGGGCTGACTAGAGAGAGCTTCCCACGGGTTCTTGACAGTTATCAGCATATCCGATGGCATGCAGAAGTCCAATATGAACCCAATCCTAAGACACTGCCTGAGGCCTCTCTGAAAGAACACCCATCACTTGCAGCTGGGCATCAGCCCAGGAAACAAGCATCTGCCTTTAGATTTAGACTGTGCTCCTGCCCAAGGGCCGCCTAAATTATAATTCCAGGTGTTGCAAGAACAGTACACCAATTTTTTTTTCAAGTCTGGCCAATGTGCTTTCTGAGAGCCCTAACCAAACAAGACTTCCAGACGTGAAGCAAAAAGAAAGCAAGTGGGAAGGACACAAATGCCAGATAATAACCCAGAAAACTAGTGAACTAAAGGGAATTTCTGTGGGCCATACTGAACATTAACTTTCAATAGCTAAGGGCAAAAATTAATCCCAGGGTAAAGCAGATTACTGATTAAATGACAGAGTGTTTAAGGCTACAATCTTGAATTCAAGTCATGGATAGCTTTGTGTCAACCCTTACACCAAGTTGCTCCACACACAATAACTAGTTGATCCCATGTAAAGATAAGCTACAAATAAAAATGGACCAGCTTCAAATCTACTCATTAAAAAATAATAATAAAGAAGAAAAAAGGAAAATAACACAAGATAAAAGGCATCCATAAGGAAATAGAAGACTCGTGCAAATAATTCTTCAAAGTCTCAAAGAATTACATGAAACTCTTTCTTTTAAAAAAGGACTTCAAGGCTAGGTGCAGTGACTCATGCCTGTAATCCCAGCACTTTGGGAGGCCGAGGTGGGCAGATCACTCGAGGTCATGAGTTCAAGATCAGCCTGGCCAACATGGCGAAACCCTGTCTCTACTAAAAATACAAAAATTAGCCAGGCGTGGTGGCGGGTGCCTGTAATCCCACCTGCTCAGGAGACTGAGGCAGGAGAATCTCTTAAACCTGGAAGGCAGAGGCTGCAGTGAGCCAAGCACACCACTGCATCCCAGCCTGGGCAACAGAGCAAGACTCTGTTTCAATAAAATACAGAAGTAAAATAAAATAATAAAATAAAAATAAAAAAGGACTTCAAAAAGAGAACTAAAGGTTCAAAAGCTTCAAAAGAGATTATAAGATAATAAAAGGAGTAATAAAGTGAGCTGATAAAGCTCAAGTAGAAATGTAAAAGAAAAATGAAAACATTGCAGAGATTAAAGCCATATTAAAAGCAGAACTCTATTGACTCTATCTATCTATATATATAATTAAAACACAGCCAAGACCCTAACAGGGTTCAGGTAATTATTCAAACAGTCAGAAAAATAACAAAGATATTCAAATTATTTTTAAGAGGACTGATAAACTAAAAGCAAAGAAGAATCAACATATATATATATGTATGTATGTGTATATATATATACATATATATACACATACATACATATATATACACATATATATAAAAATATATATATACATTATATATATATATATAATTGGTATCCTGAGAAAGAACAAAAAAATTAACAATAGTAGAAGTAAATTTGCCTAGAATAAAGAAATATTACATCCTGAGGGGGAGTAGTAGAGGTAATTGATTACAGAATATTCACCGACAATTCTATCGTAATGAAAGTATCAAACATCAAGAATAAAAATAAAATAAATTAGAAACTCAGGCTTCCACTTTTGATAATAACAGAGTAGGTACTTCAGGCCAGTTCTCCAACTGGACACTCAAGAATTAAAAGCAAACAGAAATAAGGAGGCAAGAAAATCTAAACTAAAACACAAACAAACAAAGAAAAAACCAAGAGAAACAAGAAGCAAGTAAAACACCTTACAGAAGTTTAAGATAATGGAGTTCCCAAACAAACTTAGAATAACCATCCTTAATATATTCAAGGAGATAAAATACAAGATTGAAGATTTTGAAAGATAATTAAGAATTATGGAACTAAACCAAATCAAAATTCTTGAACTGAAAAATACAATTAGCTAAATCAAGAATATTATGTACAGGTTTAGACACTGGTGAAAAAAGAATTATTGAACTGGAAGCAAGTTTAGAAGAAAATATCAAACGTGAAACATGGAAAGATAAAAGGATGAGAAATACAGGAAAGGGGTTAGAAAAAAAGTAAGAAACACTGACATCATAAAATCTCAGAATGGAAGGATTGTACGGAAGCAATATTTGAAGCAATTATGGGTAAGAACTTTTTTTTTTTTTTGAGACACAGTCTCTCTCTGTCGCTAGGCTGGAGTAGTGCAGCGGTGAAATCTTGACTCACTGCAACCTCCGCCTCCAGGGTTCAAGCAATTCTCCTGCCTCAGCCTCCTGAGCAACTGGGATTACAGGCACGTGCCACCACGCCCACCTAATTTTTGTATCTTCAGTAGAGGCAGGGTTTCACTATGTTGGCCAGGATAGTCTCGATCTCCTGACCTTGTGATCCACCCACCTCGGCCTCCCAAAGTGCTAGGATTACAGGTGTGACCAACTGCACCCAGTAGGGTAAGAGCTTTTTTAAACACTGATGAAAAACTTTAAGCTACAGGTTCAAGAAAACCTAAACGGAGTAATTAAAAAAAAAAAGTTAAGCTTCTCATAATAAAATTGATGAAACTAAATAAAAGAGAGTCTTTAGAAAAGTGTTATGGTCCCTTACAGAGGCAGATGGACCCCAACCCAAAATTTGGTTCACATGTCAAGACTGAAGGTGCTGCACACACATTAAAAGAGTATGAAGAGGTTTATTATTTACATAATTGAGGTCTCTGGGGAGAGCAGAGCAAGCCTCTCAAGCAGGTCTGAAATGGCTTGAGAGAGCAAGGAAAAAAAATACTGGCCTAGGTTTTTACTGGGTTTAGAGGGTGGGACAGGGTGAGAGTTTCCTCACATGGGCAGAGACTCACATGGTTTGAGTGCGGCTGGTGCCAAAAGAGGATGCACTCAAGCTTTCTTATCAACTTGTCCAAATGTGGGGCAGAAAGGAAAGAAGATGGAGTGAGTCTTAAAAATTGTTAGCAGTCAAATATTTTTTAATATGGCATCAGACTCCTCATTACAACGAGTGACTATCAGGCTGATAGGTGACTAACATCTCATTAAAAACAACAGAATGAGAAGACAACTGACACATAACTTCAAAGTGCTGAAAGACAACAGTATCTCTTTAGAATTCAATACTCAGCAAACATATTCAGAGAATGAAGGTGAAATAAAGACAAAAATTAAAAGAATTCATTAGCAACAGATCCAGACCACATTTAGGGAAATAGCAAAGGATGTTCTTCAGGCAGAAAGAAAATGATCTCATATGGAAGCTTGGAGATGAAGAAAGAAACAAAGAGCAACAAAACGCTAAATATGTGTCAACCTAAATGCATATTTTTGTGTTTTATATGGTTTAAAATACAGAGAGAATGAAAATGTGCAACAAATACAACAACTCATATAAGTTGATAAGATGTTAAACAGAGTTAACATTTTTAACATTGTCTAGGAAGAAGACAAAAGCTCCAAATAACAATAGACTTTGATTAAGACAGATATATATGTTATTATCTCTAGAGGAATCACTAAAATAAATATATATAAAAGGGGAAAGACTCAAAAGGACATCTAGACAGAAAGAGAAAGTTATATATAGACTTATGGGGTGTGTGTGGGTGGGGGGAATGTGAGTGTGTGTGTGTGTTGGAAAGGGATTTGGTGAGGTTTTTATTGATCTCAGCTTTACCCAAAGCAACATTTAGTATCAGTAGAAAATGGTGCAATATGCATAAATTCTAAGTAAAAGAAGGTATGACAATAATTGTATACATAGCCAAGTGATTATTCAAATTCAAATGAAACTGAGAAATATCCTGAAATATTCAAGAACTCAGGAAATCCAACACCTATGAGCCCTGCATGAAAAGATGTTATTAGAATAATAAAATATGCATAAAAAGCAATAAATCAAAATAAAGAAAAAAGAATGGAAATGCCAAGGTGAAGCTGATGATCTGTTTAAAAATAGAAGAAAAATTGACAATTGTGGGAATTACAGTTAGAAAAAGGGCTTTAAATATTATAAAACTTGACAATATTAAAATAACTAATAAAATTAGAAGTGCTGAGGAAAGACAGAAAAAAATATGTTTGCTATTTTTTTCATCTTTTTAGCAAAGATTTCCAAAGGTACACTCCAAAGTCAAATTATGTGGCTCAAATATTATTCCAAATTCATAAAAGTTTTCATAATTGTTTAGAAATATGTTTTATAATAAAGAAATATTTACCTTGAGTGCAGCCATTTTAATTACAACTTACCTTGTACTTTTTAGGTAAATTTCTAAACCTCTACCTACATACCTAGTTGGTTATCTGTGTATAAACATGGAGAGATATCTGAAGTAATTTTCATCAGAACTTTGTTGATTACTTCTAGGTTTTGTTTTTTGTTTTGTATCTGGGAAGTGGAATTTGGAAGAATTTTTACCTTTCTATGATCTTCTCTGTTGATTAAATGTTTTATGAAGGGCAAGTAGCATTTTTTAAATAATAAAAGTCATTCTTATAAAATAAACAACAAAATTGGAGAACTATTTGCAACATATATGACAAGCAATAGTTAATATAGAGCAATCTAAATAGCAACAGGAAAAAGACAAATACCAGAGAACATGGGCAAAAGACATGAAGACCCACAAGCACAGCCAACCAAAGCAAACATGGACAAATGGGATCACACCAAGTTAAAAAGCTTCTGCACAGCCAAGGATAAAATCAAGAAGGTGAAGAGACAACCCACATAATGAGAGAAAATATTTGCAAACTACCCACCTGACAAGGGCTTGATAACCAGAATATATTAGCTTGGTGCAAAGTAATGGCAAAAACTGCAATTACTTTGTACCAACCTGATATAAGGAGTTCAAACAACTCTGTAGGAAAAATACTTAATAATCCAATCCCAAAATGGGCAAAAGATTTAAATAGACATTTCTCAAAAGAAGACATACAAATGGAAACAGGCATATGAAAAGGTGCTCAATATCACTGATCATCAGAGAAATGCAAATCAAAACTACAATGAAATATCATTTCACACCAATTAAAATGACGTATATCCAAAAAACAGGCAATAACAAATGCTGGCAAGGATATGGAGAAGAGAGAACCCTTGGACACTGTTGGTGCTAATGTAAAGGAGTACAACCACTATGGAGAACAGTTTGGAGGTTCCTCAAAAAACTAAAAATTGAGCTACCATATGATCCAGCAATCCCACTCCTGAGTATATACCCAAAAGAAATCAGTATATCAAAGAGATATCTGCACTCCTATGTTTGTTGCAGCACTGTTTACAATGGCTAAGATTTGGAAGCAACCTAAGTGTCCATCAATAGATGAATGAATAAAGAAAATGTGGTACTTAGACACAATGGAGTACTATTCAGACAGAGAAGGAATGAGATCCTGTCATTTGCAACAACTTGCATGGAACTGGAGATCATTATGTTAAGTGAAATAAGCCAGGCACAGAAAAAAAAAAAAAATCACATGTCCTCACTTATTTGTGGGATCTAAAAATCAAGTCAATTGAACTAATGGAATAAAGAATAGAAAGATGGTTACCAGAGGCTAGGAAGGGTAGTGGGGTATTAGTGGGGAGGTGGGGATGGTTAATGAGTACAAAGAAAACAGAAAGAATGAATAAGACCTACTATTAATAGCACAAGAGGGTGAATACAGTCAATAACAACTTAATTGTATATTTTAATATAACTTAAAGAATGTAATTATTTGTAATTCAGAAAATAAATGCTTCAGGGGATGTATACCCCATTCTCCATGATGTGATTATTACACATTGCATGCCTGTATCAAAACATCTCATGTCCCACATATATATACATACTATGTACCCACATTTTTAAAATAATAAAAATAATAATAAAAAGATATGAAGAGCCAACACATGAAGAAAAAAGAGCAAATATCTATAAATAAATAAACAATATGATCTACTCTATTAATCCAAGCACAAAAAATAAAAACAGAAGATACAAATATTTGTTTATCAGTTTGGTAAAAAATTGAAACACTACTGGTCTACTTTTGGTGAAGGTATGTAAGTGACCTACTTGTGCATTATTGGTGTGTGACTCCTAGTTCACTTTTACATCCTATAGGCATCTTTTACATCTACTTTGCATCCTATAGGCATCTTTTAGGCATCCTATAGGCATCTTTTACATCTACTTTTACATCCTATAGGCGTATAATTTAGAGAAGACAAAGTGTGTTGTGTATTTTTAAATATAGGGAATTTTAGGCAAAACAGGACATTTAAGAGATATCATATGGCACAATAAATATTCATGCATAGGAACTCTATTCATGTTCCAGTTCCCTTCCAAAATATTCAATCTTGTCTTTTCTCTCATATTCCACGAATAAGTTTCTGCCACTTCACAGTGATTTCCAAACTAATTTTATTACCTTGAATCAATAAAAACAACCAGAATTTTCATACACAACTATTGGGAGTGTGAAATGGTATAATCACTTTAGAGCACTGTTTGGCCATTTCTAATAAAGTTAAAATACATGTTCACTACAACCCAGAAATTCCACACCTAGCTGGGTACTCAAGAGAAATGAATTTATATGTCCATAAAACCTTACACAAAACTATTTATAACAGCTTTATTTATAATAAACAAAAACCCAATGTCCATCAACAGGAGAACAACTAAATTGTGGTTTATTCATACAATGAAATATTACTCAACAATTCAAAGGCATGAGCTACTAATATGTACAATAACATGCATGAATCTCATAAAACTTATTGAGCAAAAGAAGCCAGATGCAAAAGAGTACACATTTTTTGCTTTAATGTACATGAAGTTCTAAAACAGGCACAATTTATCTATGGGGGAAAATGTCAGAACAGTGGTTATCTTTGGGGAATGGAGCATTGACTGGGAAGACATGAGATAATTTTCAAGGGTAAGAGAATTGTTCTATATCTTGATCTGGGTGTTGGTTACAGATATATGCAAAGGTTAAAATTCTTCTAGCTGTACACTTATAACTTTTGCATTTTATTGAAATAAATTAGACCTCAATAAAGTACTGCTGGCTTGAAAGAAAGGCTATTTCCTCTACCTAAAAGGAACTGAACTCTAGTTGCTACTCCCATCCTCCAACCTTCCTAGTACCTTCTCTCCCAACACTTAGTAGATTCCCGCTTGCCTGGAAGTCACTATGGGCTGAAGAGGATCTGAAGAACTGTGTGGATTCAATCCAAGGAGAGAAAGGGGTGACTGACCTCATTTCATTACTTTGGATGAAGCTGTGTCTATGCTGTTCGGTAAAACAGCATAAATGTAAACGAGGTGTAAACTGCTTTCACATCTCATTTAGGAAACAGATGAGGCGTGAAATGCATTTCACAGGCACAAGTACTGGAGGGGCATGCTTAGCATGGTGCAATGTAGAACATTTGTTCCTCTTCCCTCAGGGATACTGGATTATTTCTGAACATGGCTACTGTAGAGGTAGGAGGAAAAGCCGGTGGGTGTAAGCGCAGGAGGAAAAAGATGCGATCTGCTCTCTTCTATCCTTATAATGCCTTCCTCCCTTTCTCGGCCTGCCTACCTCTTACACACCTGTTAAAGTCTAGCTCAAATATCACCTCTGTACTCACTACTCACTCTAGCTGATTCAGTGGTTCTATCTGGTCACTCAGAGCCCTTGGTTCAGCATTCAAATATGTTACTTACTTCCATCTATCTTGCCATCTATAATGGCACAGAATGCGTATTCTTTCTGTAATCAAGTGTTTAGACTCAGCAATTGCTCAATTAATTTTTTAGGAATTAATGTGAACTGAGGCAGGGGTGATAGGGAGGAAGAAAATGTATCTAGGGATGGCATTTTAGCAGTAAAACCTTTTCCAGACACCCAAAAGAAATATAAAGTTCCAAAGGCTGTTTAAGCTTTTAAGAGCTTAAAAGATTTATATCATTGTATATTTTTCAAAGACACACATGTACACAATCTTCAGGGCAAGGTTATTTGTAAAAATAAATGTGGGAATTATGTTTTTTGATCTTTGAAGCAATGTTTTGCCTCTTTTGTGAGAGGAAATTTGATATCCTAGGTTTATATTATTATGTCTCTATCACCTATTCCAAAATATTTGACTGGTTTTGTAGGCTTTTGCTCAATAATAAAGGCAGATGTTTTTGAAGAGAAGAGTTTGGGATTTTGTTCCCAATGTCATTGCCTGATAATAATTGCATACGTCTCCAAGTAAGTTGCAACTTACATATTAAACGTCAACTCTTTATTTAAGGTGACTAAAACAAGGATGATTCCAAGCTAGAACACAATGAAGCTATCATACTAGAGACATTTTACTTAGAGAATTTCAGTGAAGTCAGGGAAATTGAGGTGGTAGCATATTGTGAAATAAACAGTACACCGAGATTCAGACCTGAGATCAAGACTAGTGACAAACTTGACCTTAAAAAATTGCTTAACATCTCCAGACCTCCATTTTCTCCTATGTAAAATATGATCAGTTCTGGAATGTAATTTGTACTTGTTCTGTGATCTAATGATTGCTTTCCTAGAAAGATATTGCAGACAGGTACCTAAATTCAGATGCACCAAGATATTCATCCTCACATTGCTTATAAAAGCAAAGAATTAGAAACAAGCTGGATGCTTATCAATGTGGGCATGGATAAATTACATTTGCACATTAAATAGACCCACATATCCTAATTAAATTGGTCTCAAAAACAAAAGATTAGTGAAAATAAAAGATGCAGTCTGGGATTTATAGCACAAAAGCATTTAGGCAATCCCACTCAACAAAGAGGGGAATGAGAATGATTATTAGAGATAGAGGAGACAAAGATAATATAAAATA
Source organism: Homo sapiens (assembly GCF_000001405.40). NCBI lineage: Eukaryota > Metazoa > Chordata > Mammalia > Primates > Hominidae > Homo > Homo sapiens. The sequence continues at coordinate 34,311,326 of NC_000003.12, read as the reverse complement.
TTGAATAAAATAAAAAGGAACTATATATGAAGTAATGATAAACTAGATATTAAATCTTGGTTTACCAAAGCAGACACAGACAAAGATAAGCAACTATTTCTAAGTGGGCAAAGTTTTATTTTCCCTGCTTATCTCATGTCAGAGCCCCAAAACCCAAGATTTTCAATAGCTTTAAACATGGCTTCACATTCTCATTCAGTCATCTACTGCATTTGCAAAGAGGTTAGGCCCCTTCATGTTTAAATAACATATGCTGTACATTGTAAGTGGTAGATTGTCACAGATTTTGCTCAATATTAGCAATCAAGGCATCTTTTATTGTTAGTGTGATGTTAATTGGGACCATGCTAACATTCAATTAATTTTAAGCACAATAGATCATTTGTCAACAAAGGGGGGTAAAAATATTAATTGAAACATATGTGAATGGTTATTTGCTGGGTGTAGGAAACATCCCACAATTAAAGTTAATCACAGTGTGATTAATTGATTTTAATTGATTCAAGATGGGTTCCTGTGGCATAACATAAGTCTGTCAATAAAACTTATAATGAAGCCTCATTATGAGAAAGCAAAGTTATTGAGTCAAGCAGTGAAGGGGTAAAGCGGAGGCAGGCTCTTTCTTTATAATGCAGAAGGAAAGAAAGACCAGCAGCCCAGGGAGGACAATAGTGACACAGAGACTCAGTGTTCTGGGAAGGTAGAAGAGACTCAGAATAGTCTTCAGCCAAATATGGGAGCATACTTAGGCCTGGGAAATGGAAAGTGATTGATCAAAGCTTTGAAGATGAAAGGGTTGGGCAAAAAGCTGAGTCCACAGGTGGATGGGGAAGGTCAGTAGGACCAGCAGCTCTATCCATCAAATATAGTAATAAACATGGCTCATGTACCCCATGGGGTGTACAGACACATGGAGCCAGGGTGTACTAGAGGCTCTAAAATGCACTGGAATGGGCAAGACCTCTCAGTCCTAGGAGACAAGAGTGGACTTTCTCTACTAATAAAGATTATGTTAGATCCTTTGCTGGTTAACATTGGCAGGGCTCCCAGAGCCTCCCGGGCCCTGGATGTCAGTCTTGACTGTTGTTCCTAACTACAGATGCCCATATGGCATCTAGGAACTCTTATTCAGGATTCTCACTTCAGCATTTGCTGATAGGTATTCAAGGACAATACTTTCATTCAATTATGCCAAACCTAGAAAATCAAAGTAATTATCACTTGTTTTCACTGTACACATGACATCTAAGGCCTTCCATGATGGAGTTCCATCAACTTCTATGACTTCTCCCTCAATTCATGAGGAAAGCTTGGAACCTGCCAACTAAGTGCTTTTATCTAGGTGTTGGGTGTGGGTGTAAAAACTTCGTGTTTTAGTTTGAATTCCACCCAAAGTAAAACTGTGGTATAATACATAAATCTAATTTTTGTCCTCAGTTCCTGGTATAGAATTTCAAAAACCCTTGGAATTTCCTGAGCGATAGGGGTATCTTTGTTATTCCAATGAGATGGCATATGGCAGGGTCCCTACATAGGTTCAGGATGTGGGCCAGTCACTAGGAAGACTAATCACATGATTAGAGGGTTAGAACTTTGACTCAGCCTAATCTCCAGGGAAAGGAGGGGAAGCTGGAGATTGAGTTCAATCATGTGGCAATTAGTTTATCAATTACACCTGTGTAATAAAACGCCAATAAAAATTATGGATGCTAAAACTCAGTGGAGCATTCTGGCTGATAAAAACATGAATGTGCAGGGAGAGTGGTACACCCAGATGCCACCAGGGAAGGGCATGGAAGCTTAGTGTCTCCTTTTCCTAGATCTTGTTTGATATGGTTTGCCTGTGTCCTCACCCAAATCTCATCTTGAATTATAGCTCCTATAATTTCCACATGTTGTAGGAGGGCTCCAGTGAGAGATAATTGAATCATGGGGGCAGTTTTCCCCATACTGTTCTCATGGTAGTGAGTAAGTCTCATGAGATCTGATGGTTTTTTAAGGGGAAACCCCTTTTTCTTGGCTTTCATTCTCTCTTGTCTGCCACCATGTAAGATGTGCCTTTCACCTTCCAGTATGATTGTGAGGCCTCCCCAGCCACATGGAACTGTGAGTCTATTAAACCTCTATTTCTTTATAAATTACCCAGTCTCAGATATGTCTTTACCTGCAGTATGAGAACAGACTAATAACATTGTCCTATGCATCTTTTCTATTTGGCTGTTCCTTAGTGGTATCCTTCATAATAAAACTGTAGTCATAAATATAGCACATTCAGTGAATTCTGTGGAATTTGTTCTAGCCAATTATTAAACATGAGGGGATCACAGAACTCTCTGAATTTATAGCCAGTAAATTAGAAATATAGGTGATCCCTGCGACTCGCAATTACCATCTGAAGTGAAGGCAGACTTGTGAAGGACTTTGGCCCTTCACATGGGGTCTGTGCTAATACCAGCTAGTTAGTGTCAAAATTGAACTGAATTGTAGGACGCCCAGTTGGTGTCAGAAAATTGATATAAGAACATGAAATCTTGAGACAAGAACTTGGGTGCAGTTCTTAAGACACAGTCCCAAGAATCAAAAGCAAAGAAGTGGGAAAAGTGAGACAGAGAAGGGAGAAAAAACAATATGGAGTATATTAATCGCTGGTTACCTCTGTGGGCAACTAAGACTTAGTGCTGTTGGAGATGATTTAAGGAACTATGAAGAACGCATGCCCAAGGACAGAGACGCCAAGACACTCCTCCACTGATTCTCTTCTCTAGTTAGTTAAGAATTGCTCTAGGAAGGTGGATTGTGATTGTTATTTTCTCTACTGCTCTGGCTGTATCTAGCAAAGCTAAATGGTTTTCTTGGCTTCAGAGAAATTCCTGAGTAAAGCATACATATATATATATATACGTATATATATGTGTGTGTGTGTGTGTGTGTATATATATATATATATATATATATATATGGTGTAGATGCCAGAAACATACAAAAATCAGGGGGCTCGAGAGAAAGTGGCTTGGTGCATGACAAGTACCTGCTGCACTCGTGAATCTCAATATCCTCCATAAAGTACTCAAGCTGCTTTTTCAGACTAGATAATAAACAAATTATTTGTATGGCAACACTGAAGCTTTAGAGTATCTCTCCCTCTCAGTTTCATCTATAGTCCCTACAGAGGAAACAACACTAGCGCTTACTTGAAAATAAGTCACCATGCTCATGCTATGTGACAATTGTCCTTTTGCAAAAACTGATTGGATTAGGAATGATACAAGTGCTCAGTAAGGTGATCTGTGGGCCAACCAGTGGTCCACAAATGTAATGAAGGAGAGGATCATGCTGTCAGTGTTGGAGCTAGAGTAGAAACAAAGGGTTGCTAACTGAGTCCTGATAATGAAAGAGTCCTGATACTGTAAGGATATGCCAAGATGGTCTGAGGCAAGAGCTACCTTGGATAGAGCAAATTCCCAAATTACATTCCAGTATCCACAGAGTCCCATGCTATGGCTGTACTCCTGCAAGAGGCCTGGGTTTTTCACCGACAATATTGCCATAGTTGTATTATAGAAGCTAGCCCAAATGATTGTTCTATTCCTGGCCAGGACAAGAACCATACACAACAGACTCCCTCCAGTGGGGGCTCCCAGATTCCCAGATTGAAACCTGCTGTGGCCACCAGAATCAGCATTGTCCACATTGAAAGCTACTCTTCTCCATCCAACATCGCTCTTCTATCCTTAAGCCAACAATTATTCCAACAAACAATATCCCAGAGACACTTATTGAGACAGGATGGATGAAGAAACCACAGGGAAAAAAGACTCCATTCAAATGTGAGTAAGCTAAGATGCAGGGGGACTTGTCAAGGGCAAAGGAAAAAGCACTGAGCAGACATACACTTAGATAAGTTCTGGAATATTTTTTGAAGTACATACATCTACTCGGGCATTGAGGATGACATCTAAAATAAAATCCCCTTCCTAAGACAAGTCACCAATTTCAACTTGCCTTTTGTGGCTACAGCAATAGTACTTGCTTATAAAAGGGTCAATGTTAATAACGTGGGAAAATTGAATCATACATCCTTACTTTTTTCTTTTCTCTGCACATTGGCATCATTCTTTTATATGGCAGTCAGATTTTCACCATATATTGGGGCACCTGAGCAAACTCACATTCTTCCAACTTTGGGACCAATTATCATGGTCAGGGGGATATAATAATAATATTATTATATACTATCTGAGTCTGAGTCACTTGCCCAACCCTTTGGCTGGAGTAAAGGATATGGACCCAAAATAAGGTGTGTGGGGAAAGGAGGGGAGTAGATGTTCAGGTCAAACAAACAATATTCACTACACGTATGCATCATATGCATCATTTTATCCCCACATATTCATTCCATCAGTATATTTAATACCGACTATGGACCAGACACTACACCAGGTACTAAGATAAGGTAAGCAAAACAATATAATCCCTAGTCATGGAACTTACAATTCAGCATTTCTAGCTAAGTTTGGGGGCAAACTATCTAATCACTCTGAACTTCAGTTACAAATATCATCTGTAAAATTAAGATGATATTTCCCAGAAAACCAAATACCTCATGTTCTCACTTATAAGTGGGAGCTAAATCATGAGAACACATAGACGCATAAAGGGAAACAACCGACACAGGGGTCTACTTGAGGGTGAAGGGTAGGAGGTGGGAGAGGATAAGGAAAAATAACTAACGGATGCTAGGCTTAATACCCGGGTGACAGAATAATCTGTACAACAAACCCCCATGATACCAGTTTACCTATGTAACAAACCTGCACATGTACCCCTGAACTTATAAGTTAAAAAAATAAAAATAAAAAGAAGATAATAATATTTGCCTTTCATTGCTCTTGCAGAAAAAATTAGACAAGGCATCCAGTGTTCAGCATTAGCAGTTTAAGTTGTGTTCCCAGGGCAGCAGCTGTGGTGTTCCCATTGCTTCCAATTCTGCAGTGAGATTTTAGGAATTGTTTCTGGCTGCACAGCTTCCAAATCCTGTTCATCAGCTTTGCTGGAGATTCTGTGCACAATCTAATATTCCCTAATAAATTGCCCTTCTGCTCAAACCAGTTTTGATTGTGTGCTACTAAAAACCTTAACTGATAAAGAAAGTGCTTAATAAATGGTAACTATAGTTACTAATCCCTTAGCTTGTCCCTTTATTAAGAAAAGTATAGCTGAGACCCATGCAAGGTGGAATCCTGAAGAAGCATCCCTAAGAATTAAATCTGACCTTAACCCTGGCCATAGCAGGGGTTGAAAGTAGCTCCCAATTCTAATGGACAAGCAGGGTGAGGAGTCCTTTGTCATTTTCCAGAGACTAGAAGAAGGAAGGAGGCAATTCTGCCTTCCACATATAGAGGTAAAATCATGATTTCACTAAAGGGGTTTTCATGCATTGCACTGATTAAAAGTAATAACATGCTGCTGCTTCAACTCCAGATTTAATTTCAGACATTTAAATGTGTTATGGCCTTTCAATTGAGTTCTGTGTGTTCAGTGGAGCAGAAAGGTAGGGAATCTTAGATTTTCCTTGTCATCTGGCAGACATTAAGGGGAGCCACGTCCATATTCCTGACCTTCAGAGAACGGATGCAGGACCTGATTATCCCATTGACCCACAATCTTGAAGGTGGTGGGGAAGAGGTGGTATCCATGTGAGAAAACATTTTAGGAGTTTGTCAGACAGAGCCAGGGGTGATCAGACAGCCCTTGAAGGGCAGCTGGGCCACTACTCAGAAGTCTAGGTGAGTCGCTGTCTGAGCACCTGAGAGGAAATGCCTGTCTTCCCAGAAATACATATGAATGGCAGTCTAATTGTGTCTAGAATTGATTCCTTCCGGTGGGTTCTTGGTCTCGTTGACATCAAGAATGAAGCCACGGACCCTCACAGTGATTGTTACAGTTCTTAAAGGTGGCGTGTCTGGAGTTGTTAGTTCCTCCCAGTGGGTTTGTGGTTTCGCTGGCTTCAGGAGTGAAGCTGCAGACCTTTGCAGTGAATGTTACAGCTCATAAAGGTAGTGTGGACCCAAAGAGTGAGCAGCAGCAAGACTTATTGTGAAGAGCGAAAGAACAAAGCTTCCACAGCCTGGAAGGGAACCCTAGTGGGTTGCCGTGGCTGGCTCAGGCAGCCAGCTTTTATTCCCTTATTTGCCAACCCCCCTGCCCCAACATCTGCTGATTGGTCCATTTTACAGAGTGCTGATTGGTCCGTTTCTACAGAGTGCTGATTGGTGCATTTACAAACCTTTAGCTGGACACAGAGCACTGATTGGTGCATTTACAATCCTTTAGCTAGACAGAAAAGTTCTCCAAGTCCCCACCCAACCCAGAAGTGCAGCCGGCTTCACCTCTCATAATGACTTTGGGATTTATGTGGTCTCATTTCTCCTGCTCCACCCTCATCCAGCTTGAGATTCATATTACCCCAGGGGCTGCCACTTACATCCTGTGATACTTCGAAGTTAACCTTCCTTAGGCTCAGTTTCCTCACTCTTAAAATACAATCATTTTATCTAACATATTGTATTTAAAACACAGGTTATTGAATGGAACATCTACAAAATGCTTAGATTGTATAAATTGGTTAGCCATAATTTCATATTAAAAGACCAATAATTGCAACTAATTGCATACTTACCCTCAGTTTACCAGAAAGCAGGGCAGAAAGATCTGGGGTGGCAAGTATAACTCTTTCTGATGACTTGGCCCCATGTCTCTGTCTCATCTCTTTGCTTCCGTATCTTCCAACAGAGAGATGAGAGAAGACCAGTAACAATGACTATGCTGCCACAGCTCACAGCCTCAGGTAGTTTGCCAAGAGATGTTGGAACCCCTTGTCCTGGCCCCAGTCCCAGAAATGGAACCCATTGATATTCCTCCTCTGGGCTCCCAGTGGCTGGTCCAGTAATGCAGAGAGAGATATATCTTATCAGCACATAGAGCTGTGACCACCCTCATGGTGACCCCACCCTCCAGTATGTCAGAAAAAAGACTCAGGGAGTCTGAAATAAGAGCATGAAGACTTCCTCAATACATTTCTGAGTTTAGAACTCATTTGGTGGTTCGTATGGAAGCATGAAAGATTTTGGAACAGAGAAATAGAATGGAAAAACCAAGTTTAAACTCCAGCAATTAAATTGAGGTGAGAATGATCAATATTACCTCAACATTCTCCTCAGCTTGACTAAACTTTAGACAGGCTTCTTCTTGTCTATAAGCCCCTGACCCTGCTTTTCTTAGAGCAGTCGCTTTAGAAAACTTTCAATTGTAAATTTTTTCTCTGACCCTTTGAGATGTAAATCTTTTCTCAATTTTTGCTTGTTAGTTTTATAACCCAGGAATATCTTTCTCAAGTACCTAGGAGCCATTCCTTTGAAATGTAATCATCAAGAAAGATAGGGCCCCATCTCCCAGTCTCTGTGAGAAGGTAGAAGCTTAACTTTCACAAGTGCCAAAAAGCAAACACAGATCACATCAACCAACCTCCTTCCTAATGTCCTCCAACACTTTTCCTCTAGCTTACCTCAATGCTTAAAACCCCTCCACCCTTTTGTTTCAGCGGAGTTTAATCTCTCTCCCCTATTGCAATCCTGTTGAATAAAGTCTTCCTTGCCTTTATAACTCCATCCTGCGCAACTTTTCTTTGGCAAACATGGTTAAGAGAACCATTTAGAAGCTGTTATAACTTTCCAAGAGAAAGAGGCAAAGATAGCAGAGCTAGAAAGCATGGTTTGGATTTGGAAGAAGGGAGTAAAAGACAATTTAAAAGTCAGAGTGACTTCCTGCTACTTTTAGCTTCTGGGCAATAGGACTGCTACCCCATATGTGCCAAAGGTCAGGAAGTAAACTGGGCTGGAATAGAAAGACAAAATGGTAAGTTCTTTTTTAACATGTTGAATTGAAAGTTCCTCTGGAAAAGACAGAGATACAGCACAGAGGGCTGCAAATGAGGCAGGGGCCAAGGTACAATATTATCTATATTTCTTTTCTCCAAAGTAAGATGTATTTTTTAAAAATCGTTCAGAGGTACTACATAGATGTAGTAGAAAGCTGGGGCACAGATAATTACAACGTAACAAAGCAAAACAAAACCCCAACCAGAACCTCCACAAAAATAGCAGCCACTCTTTCCATTTAGAGGTTGTCTGTGCCTAAGGCACTGATGGGCTGAAACAGGAGAGGTAAGAAAAGGAATCGTTGTAACTAAGGCAATTATCACTATGAATGAGTATTAGGCAGAAGCTATGGGAGGATAGGAGGGTGGGCAATAACCTGAAAGGGGATGAGGGAAAAGTCATCAAATGGGTGACATTTGAGCTATACTTTAAAGTATGATGATTGTAAAGTAAGGAGCTTAATTTAAAAAGTAGAAAGACAAGCTATTGCCTGGGAGAAGATATTTGCTCTAGAGCACCTATCAACTAATATCCACAATTTTAAAGAACTTCTACAAAGCAATGTTTTAAAAATGCAGACAACCTAATTTTTTTAAATGGCTGAAATACTAAACAGGTACTTCACCAAAAAGGTATTTAAGTGGCCAGTAACCATATTAAAAAGGTGCTCAACTTTACTGGCTACTGAAGAACTGTAAATTAAGTCCATAATCTTCTATTAACACACACTCTCCAGAATAACAAAAATTAAAAATGCCAAGTGTGGGTGGGGCTGTGGAGCAATTAGACCTAAAACTTTTTAAGTAGGAGTATAAATTGATAAAGCATATAAATTGATAAAGCAACTTTTTATTTTTATTATTTTTTTTTTAAACAGGGTCTCACTCTGTCACCCAGTCTGGAGTGCAGTGGTGCGATCTCAGCTCACTGCAATCTCTGCCTCCTAGGTTCAAGCAATTCTCCCACCTCAGCCTCCAGAGTAGCTGTGATTACAGATGTGCACCACCATGCCCAGCTAATTTTTGTATTTTTAGTAGAGATGGGGTTTCACCATGTTGGCCAGCCTGGTCTCAACCTCCTGGCTTCAAGTGATCCATCTACTTCAGCCTCCCAAAGTCCTGGGATTACAGGCGTGAGCCACCACACTCAGCCTGATAAAGCAACACTAAAAACAGTTTAGTAGTATCTACTAAGGCTGAATCTATGCCAATCTATGAAACAGCAATTCCACTCCGATGTGTAAATCCAACAGAAAGAGGATGTATATTTACCAAAAAGCATATAAAAGAATGTTAATAGTGGCAAAATGTATAATAGTGTCAAACTGGAGAAACCCAAATGTCCATCAGCAGTAAAATGAATAAAATGTGGTATGTTCATTATACAGAGAAGAAAACAATGCAAATGACCAACTACAAGTACATGTAACCATATGAGTAAATTTCACTAACATAACATTAAGAAAAAGTAGCCACAAATCGTATGTACTGAATAATTCCATTTCTATCGAGTTTTTTAAAAGTCAAAAATAATTAACAGTATTAGAAGTTAGGATAGTGGTAACTCCTAAGGGTGGGAAATTACTGAAAGGGGGCACTAGGAGGTTTGGGGTGCTGTTCATGCTCTGTTTCTTGAGCTGGTGCTGGCCACTCCATTTGTTCAGTCTGTGAAATCTCCTCAAGCTGGAAATATACAATTTGCGCACTTTTCTGCATGTGTGTTACACGTCAGTAACATTTACATTAAGCAAAATAGAAGTGAAAGGGGCTTATTTTGTCTGAAATGCAGATTGCCTGGGAGAGGAGTAGCTCTAGGAACTAGACCCTGTGTTTGATGACTGCCTGCACAGTCTCCTCTTAAAAGCCAGACTGGAAAGAAAGGAGGTGTATGGAGGAGCAGAGATCTGCATTCCTCAGAGAGGAACAAAGAACAGGGGGCCAGAGAAGTAACAGGAAAGGAAAAAGAAGCAGTTGAAACAAAGAAACAAATGCTTACAAAGGCTGCAGACTAGAAATTGACACAGTGAAGCAGGCAATGACTTGAAAAATAACAGCTGGAAAATTTGTATCTAAAATATAATACAAGCAAGAATATTTAGAATGAGTAATTCTGCAAAAAGCCTAATTGCTCTCACCACTGTCCACCTAAAAGAAAGAAACTGAGGCAAGATTAATATAAGTAGGGGGTTTATTTGGGCCAGTCTTGAGGATTGAAACTTCAAAGCACAGATTAAAGTTATCCTGAATATGTAGTCCGGTCCCACCAGCAACAGTTACAAATGGATTTTTAAAGGAAATAAAAGAAAAGGCAGTTCCTAAGTTGTTTAGCAATAATTAACATATGAAAATAACATAAGCTATTGATCTGGCTATATGTTGTTCTTTGTTTCCTAAATTACAAGAAACGGAAGATAATGGGTGAGGCAGCTAGTTAGGAACTAAATGCTTTTAAACAATTCCCCCCACCCCCCACCCGTGTGGGTCCTGTGAGGGAGTGGGAGCATGACTGAAGTCCCATACTCACGCTGGCCCTGATCAAGTTTTCATACCTCACATAGCTCAGCCTGCTCTGAGTTGATTCTTTTTTATTGCTTTGATTCATGTGGAGTTGACACTGCATTCTGAAGCCAAGTGGAGTTTCTCATTACTTTTGCCCAACAAAGCAGGAGAGACTTCAAATAAGGGTCCAGAATTCTTACACTGAAGAAGAAAATTTTTCCATTGTTCTCTAACCTTCCCTCCTCTCCCACTCATAATCTTACCCTCATCTCTGCTTCTCTCTGCTAAATATGGAAGCTGCCACACCCACCCTGATGCCTCTGTCCTTCCTCCTCACTGCCTCTCAAATGTCTCCCTGTCACTCCAATGCTTTGACAGGAAGGGCCAGAGGACACTGGGTTCAGGGACCAGAGTCTTCACCCTGCAGGCTTTGATGGAATTTGAGCAGAATCCAGCATCGTTCATCACTGTCAGGTCTGGATGGCACTGAGTTATCACTACAGCAAATGCAAATCCAGCCATTCAGATGTCAGAAAGGCCTTCACAAATTTGCCTTTCTATTTCAGATTCCCAGGAAGGTGACTGTTCTCTTCTCAAGTTAGAAGATTTCAGGTCAGAGGCCAGAATATGGGAGGAATGCCTGTCTCTGCAAACCCACATGGCTCTGGATTAGTTGGGACGGGACCCCAAGGTCATGGTGAGGAACAAACTGTACTCTTCAGCCAAAGTGTGGCGCTCACTCTGCAGAGGTCCCTATAAAATAATAAGCTTCCTTTTGGCATCTGGATATTTTCTGCCCCTGCTTGAGCCCATGGATTTCAGAAAGACCTAACTGTTGGCTTACAACAGTCCAGCATCTGGGTCAAAAAAGGGGAACTCTAGGCTAGCGGTCCTCAATGTATGGTCTGCAGGACAAGTTGCATCAGCATCATATGGGAACTGGTTAGAAACTCAAATTAATGAGCTCTGCCTTAGAACTACAGAACCAAAAACTATCAGGGTAGAGTTCAGCAATCAGTGTTTTAACATGATGCCTTAGGTGAGTCTGATGCAAGCTCAAGTTTCAGAAATACCACTCTTAAGTCTAAGAAGATGAAGGTTCTAGGACTTCAAAGTACTCTAATGCTTCTCCTATGGTAGAGCTAGCAGGAGTTCATTTATTATTCGTCCAGATGCTGATTATGCAGTTCCAGGAATTTGAGTCAATGCCAGAGCAGTTGAGGTAGAGCAAGGAGGAATAACAAAAATGCTAGGATATCGTGGTGTTCTGAGACAGGTGAGCTTTTCGGAGCCTCCCAACTTGTCCCCTAGTGCTTAAAATTTGGCACAGATGCTACCATCAGCCATGACATGGATAGAGGAGACTCTCCCCTTTATGCTGATGTATACACCAAAACGAGTCACAGAAAAAGCAGGCTTCCAAGATTTTTCAGCTCCCGTTGTTCCAATCATCTTCTATGATTCTGTCTCCTAGACCTGTAGCCTTAAAGCAAGCTTATTTAAAATAAATCTGCCAGTCTGTTTCAAAGAGATTTGTTCTCCTAAATTTGTCCCAGACTGAAAACTGCACACGTCCAAAGTTTAAGAGGTTATGTTAGGAGAAATTGAACATTATGTTTTCCTACTGCTACTTAAATTTCCAGAGGCATTTACAAAAATTAAACATCAATGGGAAGCCAAGTCCTTTATGAAGCTAGCAATAGACATTGATCCTGTGATAATGTTATTATTTTTCTTATTGCTCTTGTCAGTATGCATTTCATCATCGCTGGGTTGGATGAGTATAGGGCAGCATGGGAAAACAATGTTTATTGACTTGCAGTTTCTAGGTGCTTTAAAAAAAGTTATGCACAGGTACATATGAGCATATTAAAGCTCTTAATTTGTGTTTCTAATAATTTCTTCTTGAATCTCTAAAATTATGACACTACGATTAGCATTTTATTACCACATGTACAATCTATCCAGTCACCTTGAAGTTAGATTAGATGGCATTCAAGTCACTCAGCACAGGTGAGTCAGACGGACTTTTGACCTCTCTGTAAAATAGGAAAATAAAGACAGTGACTTTATTTATAAGAAAAATGAACTTGGCCAACAACATTAGAGAATGCTTACTCATTCTGTACCTAGACACAGAGGAGCTTGGAACAGACCAGGAGAAATGAGACCATTATATACCCTATAATTACAACTTGTCTAATTGATCCAAGGGGAAGCAGAGAAAGTTAACTGTAGGGCAGCAAGATGTAAACTTGGGAAGTCAGATAAGAATGGACCTTGAAAGGGACCTTGAAAGGTATGCAGGGGGCCTGGGCACAACTGCCAAGCATAATCAGACACTGTGTGAGAAGAGGAAGTAAGTCTAGTCCCAATCACTTAATAAGTACAGATCTCTTAGGAAGAGGCTCTGGTACAGTATCCTTCCCCCGTCTTAAAGGGACATGGAGTCTCAGCCTCCCAGCAGGAATGTCTAGAGAAAAAGTATCTAGCTAATTTTGTGGGCAGGGGTGAGGGAAGGAGAAATATTGTCTGGCTTAGTAAGAGTGTGGTCTCCACAGTAACACAGATCCCTGATGTGACATTTGAGGCAGCATCCTTTCTGTGTCAAGACTGGTTCCTCCTCCTGCATTCTGGATCCCTTCCCTGGTGTCTTTTCAGGGCATCAATTACCCCATCTCTCTCTTATCTAGTCAACCCTTTCCTCGCAATCTTCCCCAAAACACTTAAACAGGCTCAAGCTTTCCCCACCTTAAAAATATCTTCCCTCTACCCCACACTTCCTGCAGCTACAGCACTCTCTCCTCCTCCTCACACCCAAAGTTTTCCAGAAAATTATCCATCCTTGCCATCTCCATATGCTCCCCTCCCACTCCTCAATTCACCTCGCTCTGTCTTCCACTCCTGTCACAGGCTTTAAAAAGCCACTGCAATCATTAGGTGACCTGTCTATTGCCAAAGTCTCAGGACATTTTCAATTCTACCTTACTTGAAACCTCCGCAGTGTGAAGGTCACTCCTTCCATCTATGCTCCTTCCTGGGTTCTTGGGGCTCCACAATCTCCTGGGCTTCCTCCTACCCACCTGCCTGCTTATTCATTTATTCTGCAGGCTCCTTCTCCCTACCCGACATGCCAGAGTTCCTACAAGCTTCAGGAGTCGTCCTTGACTTCTCCCTCTTCCTCACCACTCTCCAATCCAAAACATCACCAAATCTTGTTAATTTGGGTCCTTTGGTATTTGTTTATTCTGTCGGTTTTTTTCTGTCTTCACTCCTCTCATTCTCTAAGAGCTGCTATAGCCTCCTTCACAACAAAGAGAGAGAGCTGCCTAAAGTCACCCAGCTAATGAATGATGACTAGGAGTGGTTCCCAGATATTTTATCCCTTACTGCTGTGGAGGTTCCTCATCACCCTAATAGAATCACTCTTTATTCACAAAAGTAGAAAATTAATTTTGGATACATCATTTATTATCAAGATGTTGTTGAGGAAAAATAGGGTCATGTAAGGTGCCTCTCAGCATCTTCCTTCAAGTTGCAAGAATTAGAAAAACAGAGACAAGATTCTATGTGTGTCCTCAGAAGACCTTCCTGAGGACCATTCCCCTAGGAACTTAAAAAAATTAAGCCTCCAACTCTTTCCATCTTAACTGTGTAACAGAGGAAGGTGATGACAAGAGGAAGGAGACAAGCAAGAGTCAGACTTCGAAGGCTTGGCAGCCACTGTCAGCAAGAGGTGAGAACAGCAGACAAGACAGCAACACTCCTGAAATAATCAATCCATACGGACTGCCATGTGAAATGTGGAGCAGACTAGTTCTAAATGGCTCCAGGAGGCAAAATAAGACTCAAGAGAAGTTACTGGTAGATTTCAACCCAATGTGAGACAGAAAAATCTGTTGGAACTGTCCAGGGTGCCAAGAGGAGGAATGGGCCAGGAGGGACACTTACGTCTTAGGCTGCGTACAACTTTCTTATGGGTTTTGTCAAAGAGACTCTTGCACTATGATGAATAAGATAAAGTAAGATCTGGTTTTCATACCAGACCTCACAGGTAAGATAGTGTTCTGTGGTTTGACCTTCTCAACAACATTAAGAGACCAGTGGGCAGATACTATTCCCTACTTAGATAAAAGTTAGGTAAATCATCTTGATCACACAGCAAACTAATAGAGGATCCAAGATTCATCCACCCCACACTATCTTATGGGACACTATTACATTATACAGACTGTGGTAGGCATTGTAGATGAAATTGGAAAAGTAATCTCATACCACCAAGGAGATGATTAATAAAGATGATACTCATGCAGGCCCATTAACATACAGGGAGGTAAGATAGAGGTTAGAAAGTCCAGGAGGCTTACAGGACATGGAGGAAGTACACTTAGCAGGCTAAAAAGGAAAGAAGTAGTCAGAGAACGTGTGGCCAGGGCCAAGTCTTGAAGAATCAGTGAATAGAAGTTAACGAAGCAAATTTCTTCAGGTGGCTGGTATGCTGCTGCTACTCCCTGCAGATGTCCTTTACCAGGGCAGTAGTCCCACTGTCAGGAGCTTCAGGTGTTGGCTGCTATGGTTCCCATCTGCCTCCCTTCTCCAGACAATTGCTCCTGGCAAACTGGTGGCAACTCACCTTGGAGGTTACACCCCCCACCTACAGAAACATCCTACTTCCAACAGCTGACCCACATGGGGGTACTGGAGCCCCTGCTTCAAAGTGAGACAATCTCTATAGTGCAATTCACACTCCAGAACTCCCTGAGGGATCAATTAATATCTCATTCTCCTGTAATTCCTGCCCCTTACCCTATCCTGGCTCCTTCCCTCCCCTTCTCCTGAGACTGCTCCCTTGATAAATCATATAAATCTCTGTCTTCATCACTGCTTCTAGGGAACACAACCTAAGTCAAGGGGGAAGGATGTTCAAGGCAGAGAGGAAATGGAGGTGAGAAAGCACAATGCAATAAAAAACAGCAGTAGGTTGGAACAGAGAGGTGACCTGCAGTATGTCAAGGAATAAACTAGGGCAGATGAACAGGGGGCACAGTCCTACCTCCAGACATCTAGCTCAGTTACATTCAACCTCTCCAAATTGACCTCTGATATTCCACATGGCTCCAAGCTGACCTCTGATACTCCACATGGCTCCAAGCTGACCTCTGATATTCCACATGGCTCCAAGCTGACCTCTGATATTTCACATGGCTCCAAGCTGACCTCTGATACTCCACATGGCTCCAAGCTGACCTCTGATACTCCACATGGCTCCAAGCTGACCTCTGATATCCCACATGGCTCCAAGCTGACCTCTGATATCCTACATGGCTCCAAGCTGACCTCTGATATCCTACATGGCTCCAAGCTGACCTCTGATATCCTACATGGCTCCAAGCTGACCTCTGATATTCTCCATGGCTCCAAGCTGACCTCTGATATTCTACATGGCTCCAAGCTGACCTCTGATATTCTCCATGACTGCTTTAGATGCTATATTTCAGAGCACATCTAGGCCATGAAGTGAGTTTATAGAGGAAACGAGTGACAAATAAATTCCTTGATTTATTCAGTGGCATTTCACAGAGCAGGAACAAAGATGAGCTCCCTGGAATTTCCTGATTCTCAGACCTTATTACAGCTAGGGAACTTGCCACAGAATCCTTTTGAGGGAGAGCAAATTATCTCAGTAGGCTATTTTGTCCTCCCTTGCCTCTCCAGAAATGGCAACCTCCCCCTGCCCCTTTCATTGGCTCCGTCTGCTTTTCCTGCTTTCCTTTCTGGCCTCTATTCATAAGGTCATGCCCCTGGGTCTCCGTTAGTATTGGATTTTAATTCTAAATGTTCCCAAAGCCAATGAAGCTCTTTAATCACAAAATTGGGCTGCCAAGGAAAGAATGTTAATTGGAAACTTATTTCTAGAAGTCCTGGGAAGTTTAGACATGGATATTTTTCTTTTGTCTATCATGCCCTTAGCACAGAATAGACTCAGGGAAGCAAAAAATAAAATGTGGCCCCAAATATGAGAAATTGACCTGAGAAATATACAAACTCCTAAGAAAATGAAAGACCTCTGGATTTCAAATACTAAGGATAGTGACCCAGTTGGAGGCACCTGAAACCTAGTTATATTTTCCTAGGAAGCAGAGGACTGGGCAAAGGTAGACAGAAAAAGACCCCAAGAACCCAATGAGAGCTCATAATTAGGGTCAGGCCCCAAGCAAGGCCCAGCACCTGCAGCACTGCTCAGGTTCAGAGTATAATCTTCCTCTTTCACAATCACACAGGTAACCTGCTATGTTCCAAGCCCCTTGCTGGTCCCTGAGCCATAGACAAGAATAAGACACAGTTCTTGTCCCCAGAGCCTAGAAGGAAAAAGGGAAATTCATGCAAATATTCACAGCAGCATTGCCTGAGGAGACAGAATACACCCCCTCTGGGGGTGGAGGTAGAGGGCAGGGTAGACTTTCCTTTAATGGACTATGCAGAAGACTCACTCCCTTCCCAGATATGATATCCCCACAAAGCCAGAACACCATCCACCATCCACATACCAAGATTGCATGCTCTCACTGTTTCTTTGCTTATACCAACAGAATGACCCTGGCTGACATAGGCCAAATAATAATATGTTTGAAGACTTTGTGATGGTTCACAGAATACAAGAAGTGGTTAAGGGACTAACCTTGGACAAAGCTGGGGCCAGAGCAGCTTTGGGGATTTAGGTAGCAGATGTTAATACCAGCTGGAGGTGTGAGATGATTTTGCCAGAGGAATGGAGGGCAGATGACCTTAGGATCCAATATGGGGCACACAGGCTCCATGGGCCTACCTGAGATTTTCAGCCAATAACTGCTAAGTTTTCAAAAGCCATTTGTGGATCTGCTGCATCACAGGAGTCCTTATTTAAAAGGTAGAAATTCAGCTGCTTCACTGAATACAGTGACTAAATTCCTAAATATGGCCCAAGAATCAGTCTCTTAATAAGCAACTAAGTGGCTCTATCAACATAAGATCACTGAAGCCAGACCATCTCCTGACATACCCACTAATGAGTGAGTCTTCCCTGAGACTCTTCAGGTGTTGCTGGTTATGGCTAGAACTCTTCAGAGTGATCTTGCTCCCAAACCTACTGGACTCCCTGCTTCATGTCCATCACCTAGAACGGTGGCTGTTCCACGTTAGGATCTCTGTGTATTTAGTGAAGGAAAAGAAGGGAGGAAGGACAGGAAGGGGGAAAGAAATTTCTGAGTTATCCACTACAATTCAACTAGAGAACTAATCTACTGAGTACCTTTTCACTCAGTAAATTAACTCCTTAGGAATTAGTAATTTCCTGAGTAGGGACTCAGGAAAAGCAGACCAAGGGAACCAATACATCTGACCAAAGCAGCCCCTGAATTCAGAAACATTATAGTATTTTAACCTGTGGATGTTAGAGAGGTTCTATTACTCTTTATTAATACAAACAAACAAACAAACGCTTTGTTCCTAAAACGCTTTAAAAATGGGCTGGACCCTTAAAAAAATTTCAAAACCAATCAGTGCTAGATTATTTATTGTTCATTACTGCATAGGGAGGGGATTGGTGGTTAAGAAAAAGCCCTTCCCCGTGGTCCTGTCTTCTGAGTTAAGCCACAATGTAGACTGGGGAAAGTGGGGGTGCAATTTCAAGATTTAACAATGGTATCCAACTGATCTTTGCAGGATTGCAAATAAAGGAAGTTGTATCCTCAGGAGTGCTATTAACACTAAGGTCTCTCAGCTCCTATTGTTAAAGAACATTCATTACCAGGCTCTCATATAAAATCCTGAGAAAGAAGCAAATATGAGTCTGCGATGTTCTCAGTAGTTCTTATGCAATTGCCTCTTGGGCCTAATTAGAGCTGCTTGGGAGATTGGCCACCCCAAGTCAGGGTTTTGTGCTGATACTGCAAGTCTACCTAGTGACCTGAAGCTGGTGGTGATCCCTTCAGTGGCCATCTTGTGGCCAGTGGCCCTCAGACACCTGGAATAGCTATCCAATTTGCTAATTGTTTTTCTGTTCTCTGCTGATTGGGTTAAAAGATAACTTTGCATATTGTGTCAGGCAGCACCTGCTTTTTCTCAGCTAATTTATTTTAAATTGGTTTAGTACAGACTTTTTACCCCATGATGTCTACAGAGCTATGAATTCATTTCCTCATCTACCCTCTTGAATTTGATTAAGGAATGCAAATAGCTATATAGCTTTATGGTGAGATTAAAAGAACAGACACAGAGAACCCAAGCCAAGCTAATGCCGAAACTGGAAAACAAATATTTCAAAAGGTTTTTATCTGTAGTAGGAAATAGCAGGACAGTAGTTACACAAAATCTAACATCTGATAATGTGGAAGAATATATTGTACTAATCTATTGAACCTCTGTAAAATATCTAGCCCTTTACATAATTTTTCCCTTTTCATGTAAGCCAATGGGGACAGATATCTATTAATCCTATTACAACAACAACAAAAAAGAAACTAAGGCTTACGGAAGTTAAATAACTTGCCCAAGATTACTTACCCGGTAAGATTTGAACCTAGGTCAGTTCAACTCCAAAGCCAGAGACCTTTCTACATTATCCATATTTTCAAATCCCTTTGCTTTGACCTTCCAGACAGCTAAAGCAGGAGGTGATTTCAGGTGTTACAAAAGGATTCTTTACTTTCCAAAAGGATTTGCAACAGGGTTCCTTGAAATAGCCAATCCCCCTATTGTGCTGAAAATATAATTCAAGCTACAAAATTTCTATTTACAAGAAACATTTTTGCACCACATCTGCTGTGTAAAAGCAGAGTAGAGTTTGACATAGCCACTTTCCTTTTTTAATGGAAGCACCAAAGATGTAGGGCCTATAAGGGCAAGTATCATGAGAATGTAAATTTTTTGATGACCATAATGTGTGGCACATGCTAAACACTCAAAAATGTTATCTGCCATTGCAATACATTTTTCAGATGTCTCAAAATGCAGTCCGTGATAAATTGCAAAAATGGCCATAAATTCCTTTCCTCCCATAAAGAAATGGAATCTATTTCTTCACCCTTTGAATCTCCATGTACAGTGTGATTTGCTTTGGCCAACAGGACATTAGCAAACTTGATGTGATCAGAGGCTTGAAAAGTGCTTGAGCATTCTGACTTGCCAACCTGCTGAGCTTGGGACCCTGAGTCCACCATGTGATTCAGTCCAAGCTAGCCTGTTAAAGGAGAACCGAGGCACCCCAGCCAACAGGCATCCAGACCCTGGCTGCCAGCCTACCAACCACTAGACATGCAAGGGAGGCCATTCTAGATCAGCCGGCAGATCTGCCAGCTGATGGTAGCAGCATAAGAGAGCCAGCCATGATCAAGCTGAGCCAGCCCAAGACAGAAGAACTGAATGATCCACAGAATTGTAAACTAAAGAGAATGGCTTTTGTTTTAAGCCACAAAGCTAAGGGATGCTATCTTACACAACAGAAATTAACCACCACACAGTCCTGATGCATTTTTTAATCTGTTATATACCTAAGCCATACAAAAAGACAAGAAAACCATAGAATGGCAAGAAGTAAAAGCTAGCAAAGAGAGAGAACAAGGTGTCCAAAGTATGAAAGAAGTCATTGGAAAGTTAAGGGACTCAGAAAATCACATTTATGGTTAGCATTCAGCAATTTTCTCTCCCAGTTCACTGATCTTTCCACTACACCAATCTCTTTCTCTGAATTTTTGAGCCTAACTGGACCAATTCCATGTCCCATTGTAGTCTCCAGCCCTGGGGGAAGCAAGTCAATTGGAGTTTTAAGTTAATAATAAATGAAGAATTTTTCCAGTGTGCTTCTTCATTTCTCCTTCTCTCTTCAGATCTCTTTTGCAGGTTACTCAAGTCAGCGAGCAAACTATGGGGGAAATGGATAAAAGGACAGACAGGAGCTATAGTAATGTTGTATGACTAGAGGGTGTTTTTCACCTTCAAAGCGCATTGACCATAAATTCCAGGATATACTTTCACGGTTCACATTCCTATATAATGTCTACTTTTGAGTTCCTTAGCAGGGAATGATGTTAGTTTCATTTTTGTTTATTTGTAAAAATAAAAAGGTATAACACGAGAATAATGAATGATGTGTTCCCCTCGCTGTAAGGGGAAGGAAGTAGGATATTCAGAAGCTATCAGTTGTGCTTGTCAGTGGTCGAGCTAAGCATTCCACCTTTCACATTGAAAAGAGTGGGGAGTCTATTCTGATAAAAGGTGAGAAGGTGGCCTATCGCCTCCCTCAACCATAGAAACCCACACAGTTACCCAGCAAAAATTAATTGGTTATTCAGGGTTAAGCAATAAAATTCAGCACCCACCTCCAGAAGCCACTGTTTAGAAATGAGAGAGACATGTAACCACAACTAATATTCAGCAGGTACACACTATTATAAGCTATTCAAATATGTAAATATCTCCATATTGGCCAGTAAATAGTAAAACTGCCATAAATGGTAGAATTAATTAATAATGTAAATTCTAGCACATGTGGTTTATCTCAGAAACCACACACTGCAATGTCAAGAGACTCTTCTATTTTGGGTACTGGATCTGCTGCAGTTCATTGTTTTTTTTTTTTTAAATGAGCTGGCAATTTGCCTCCTGGTTCAAAAGGTTTTAGATGGGAGAGGGAGGCTAATGGGACAAGGTGAGGAGGGTCTATACCCACCCATTAGAAACATCTAACCCTGCCAGGCCTAGGTGGTGGCTGAAGAGATGGTCAGGTCTATGGGCTGAGATAGATGTCAGTACAGGACTCCCAGGTGAGCCTGGGGAGCCCTACTTTATTTGACAATCCATCCCCCATGGGGAGCGGCCATCCCTGACATTGTGAACAGTCTTGGAGGAGAATTCTGCCCTGGACATCCCAGCCAGTGACCAAGGGAGCCTCACTGCCTCTTGAGTAAT
The DNA here is from genome assembly GCF_000001405.40 of Homo sapiens. Taxonomy (NCBI): domain Eukaryota; kingdom Metazoa; phylum Chordata; class Mammalia; order Primates; family Hominidae; genus Homo; species Homo sapiens. The sequence continues at coordinate 34,289,947 of NC_000003.12, read as the reverse complement.
CTCTGGGCAGAGAAGCCTTATGCCACCCAGTGCTTCCCACCACACCCCACCCTTCCCACAGCCAGTTGAGCCAACCCAAATAGGCCATCAATATCCATGAGGGCCTCTTTCTTTTATGTCCACATTTCTTATTGTCTCTCCCACTCTGCCTTTTTTTCACTTCATAGAGAGCACCCCAACCAGCTGCCTCTTTGTCAATGGTGCCCACTCTCCTGTGACTGGCCAAGGCAGGGCACACAGTCATTCACAGCCCTCTCCATCAGAAAGGCAAACCAAAATGCCAGATCCTGGCTCCTGCAACAACCAGGAGAAGCCAATTTGCCCCTCCCTGGCTATTCCTTTCCCCTGCCTCCTTCCCTCTACGTATGGCAATTCCTTTTGATCCCTGCCCTCAAAGAAGCAGCTGATATGAGGCCAGAACATGGATGGTACCAATCTGACCAACTGTGGGGGGAAGAGAAGATAGAAAGAATGGAGGCCTAGAGATCATCAGAAAGCTCAATGCTAAGATGGGGGCAAAGACACAAACCCCATTCAGGTTCTGTCAAGAATCTCAGTCTTCTAATGACAATCAAGGGTGGGAAGGGGAAGTGTGTCAGAAGCATTTGATGCAACTGGCAAGCCATGGTTCTGACAGGGTGCCATTTAGCTAGTGAATGCTGCATCAACCAAAAAAGCATACTGGCAATTTCCAAAAACCAACAAGCAACTAGGAAATTATATTGATGTGACAAAGGATTTCTGTTAGAACATATGGCACTTTGAAATAAGTTTTTAAAACATATAATGTTTAGTTTATACATAGTATAACCACAATAAAAACATAATATAGCATAATATGTAACACAATAGTAATATAAAATATATGCAGTATATGTAGATATAATTTAGACGTCATATATATAGTTTAATTATAGAAGAGGAATATATTTATTTTCAACTCTTATATTACATACCAGTTTTCAAGTACTTTAAATATCTAGACAAAATTAAACCATCTAATTGATAATATACAAGAGATAGTAAGATAAGAAATAACCATCTTGTACCATCACAGATATGGTAACTTTAGTATCATGATGACTGATTCTCCAATATTCAATTTGCTCCAAATAATTAGTGTAAGACTATCACGGTAATTCCATCCTTTACTAGTCAGTGATTAAAGAATGGCATATAACCTAATTCTAGCCAACAAGAAATAATGAAAGTCTCCTGGGATTCAAAGAAAAGTCTTCTCCATGTAAAGAGAAAGCCACAAGACAGACAGTCCTTCTCTCTGGTGCTGTGGTGGCAAGATAACCTGGAACTACTGATGTCACCAAGCTGCCAGCCTGATGACAAAGCCCACGCATTGAGGAAGGCATAAACTGAAATTCTGAGGAAACCAGAGCCATCACAAATACATCAGAGACTGCGTCTGTGGGAAATAATGCCTCCTTCTCCCTTAACTGTTTGTGTCAAGTGTTTCTATTCCTTGGTGCAAAAGCATCTCCTCTGACACAGGATCTCATGCCTAACTTCCCATGGAGGCCGAGGTAGCCATCACCTCAGGAGAGAGAGAGTACCTCCCAGACCCTCACCTTCACTCTTTTTTTTTTTCTCTCTTTCTGTGCGTTAAGCCTCCTTTCTCTTCCCACCTCGGTGCCACTTCTCTTGGTTGTGGCCTCCGGCAGGGATGGACAGTCCCTACCTGTTTTCACTGTTGTTGCTGACTTAAAAGAGGAGATGTTCCATATTGTGAGGTAGAGGAGGAGGGAAGAGGCTATTATTCATGTGGGATTTGAGTGCAGAATGTCTAAAGCACACTCAGACAACGTCATGCTGTGGGGAGTGACTATTTCCTTGCTAGCATGCCTCCCCTACCTGATTATGCTGAAGGCAATGTCTGTCTGCTTCTTAGGCCTGAGTTACCTTGTAAAAGCTCTCCTTACCTCCCAAAGAAGGGCAGGCTGGTGGCAGGGGTGCGAAGAGGAGGGTACCATCCAGCCACATAAAAAATGAAAGAAAAAGTATCTCCTCATGGCAGTCTCTGACAAATATGATGAAACAAACCTAATCTCAAGAAGAAAACCAACACAATTTTTCCAGCTAGAAATTATCAAGATGAAATTAAAGACATTTAATATTGGTCTGTTATCAAGTTCTCTGTCTCCATTATTCCCTGAGTTATGTGTTCTAGAAAGAGATTCTTGTTCTCTCCAAATTCTCCAGAGACTTAGAAAAAAACAGACACTGAAACAATGTGTTCAGGGGCAACTGAAACTTTTTAATAGCATGTATAACAGCTGTTTGGGTCCCTGGTACCATCTGAATTTTAACAGCTTTGGAGATTTGTTCTAATATAACTATAGCAGTCACTAATGAAGGTGAGACCATTCGAGATGATTTACATGAACGGGCCATTAGTAGGGGACCCACACAATTTCTCCTGGGAGAGTTTGTGAATGGGGATAAGCAATTTGAAAAGTTCAAAGAGGGGCTAGAAAGTTGGAATTATTTAGACACGATTTTTTTAAAAGATAACATAGCTATGACCTCCTCTAAATTATGTAACTGTTATTGATGTCAGGGAGCATTATGGTTAAAAGGAGACAAATGCTCAGATGGCTTTCCAAATAATAATAAACAATATATTTCGATTTTGTCTTTAAGTTCAGGGGGTATGTGTGCAGGTTTATTACAGAGGTAAACTTGTGTCATGGGGGTTTGTTGTACAGATTATTTCATTACCCTGGTATCAAGCCTAGTTATTTTTCCTGATCCTATTCCTCCTCCCATCATCCACCCTCAGGTAAGCCCCAGTGTCTGTTGTTCCCTTCTATGTGGTCCACTGTTGTCATGATTTAGCTCCCACTTAGAAGTGAGAACATGCAGTATTTGGTTTTCTGCTCCTATGTTAGTTTGCTAAGGATAATGGCCTCCAGCTCCACCCATGTCCCTGCAAAGGACTTGATCTCACTCTTTTTTATGGCTGCATAGTATTCCATGGTGCATCTGTACCACATTTCCTTTATTCAGTCTATCATTCATAGGCATTTAGGTTCATTCCATGTTTTTGCTATTGTGACTAGTGTTGCAATGAACATATGTGTGCATATGTCTTTATAGAATGATTTATATTTCTTTGGGTATAAACTCAGTAATTAGATTGCTGGGTCGAATGATATTTCTGTCCTCAGGTCTTTGAGCAATCATCACACTGTCTTAATTCAACAGTATGTTAATGATAAATATTTGAAGAGTCATGAGATGTTCTGTTATAAACACCTAAGGAAACCCATCAATAGTAAAAGGAGATGCCTCTGTCTACAGAAATAAATAGAATTCAATTCAGTTCAGTCTGAATGGTGACATGCTAAGTTTAAGATGCTGAGAATTATGGGTGTAAAAGTGATAATCCATAACATCTAACATACTCATTTTCAAAATCCTCAACCGCTGAGTTGTCTTATTCCTACCCACTTCCAACATATTGCCAGTCTCCAGAAATAGGAAGGGGGCATATCTTAAAGAAACCATTTGTGGGCTACTGCATAGTACACAGGTGTCCTTGTTTCAAGCTTCTCTCATCTGGAGGAATAAGAAAAAAACAGAAATGTAGAGTCTCAGAGAAGGCAAACATTTAACCTAGTTCTCAGACCCTGACATCTGTAGTAACAGGGTTATGGGCAGTTTGCCCACTCCTTGTCAGGTCTTCCTCTGAGATATTTTAATAAAGTGAGGCTTGGATTTACCCAGCAAGATAAATTTCCTCACTTACTGCTTGCACATGGCTAGTGGTAGCAGCAGCAGCAGCAGCAGCAGCAGGAGTGGAAGGAGTCTAGTTTCCCAAAATCAGTCCAGGAAAATTGTCCCCAACCCTCAGATTTAGAATGACCTTTAGAAACACTGACAATGTGCACACGTTTCAACACTAAGTTAGTGTTAAAAAAGTATTTCACTGGCACCATGTCCCTGCCAGTACCTACTGCTGATAAACATGAGTAAGAGAAGGAATTGTTGTGCTATCTCCCCAAACGTAGCTTTCACCCAGCAGCTCTGACATCTGAGAGCTGGGAGCTCCTCACAGGCCTCATGTGAGTAAAATTTTGAAAACAGTCAAAGATGATGATGCCACTATAATGGCTCTCTTTAAGCAAAGAAGGGTGAAAATAAGGACTGAAATATGGCAGCCCTGGTGGTCATAAATCTCATCAGAAACCTAGCAGCAGGAACAAACTACATTGATCAGTCAATCAAGAGAAAAGACACTGCTAGGCCACAGTCAGAACATTTCCCTCTTGCTTGAGAAGCCCTCAGGGGACAAGACACTCAAAGCAGAGACAGGCTGAGATCAGGACTGATGAATGTAACCTGTGTGTTTTACTTTTCATTTAAAGCCTCACAAAGTCTTCAGACCTCAGAACCCTGCAGAGTTCTCTGCAGTGGAAACTGCAAGACTCAGGGCACGAATACTAAGTAAGCTGATAACAATAAAATCTCTAGGGATGACCGCCTGTATCATTTAGGGTAACACCAGCTGCTATAAGCCGAAAAACAAACATTAGAAGCACAATAGAAGGTTATTCCTTATTCACATAACAGTGCTTGGTAGAGAACCAATTTTTCTTTCCATGGTCATTTGGGGACCCAGTTGATCATAGATCTTTGACACACAGCTTCCAAGATCGCCTTGGAAGTCATCTTCACTCTAGCAGTGGGAAAGGTAAAGAGCATGAAGGAACGTGCTTGGGGTTCTATGAGCCAAACTTGGAAGTGGTACAAATCATTAACTCCTCAATCCATTGGCTAGAATTCAGTCACGTGCCCATATTAAACTGCAGGGAATGCTGGGAAATGTAGTCTAGCTCTGTACTGAAGACGAAAAAGTATTTTCATACATAGTCAGTGGTCTCTGCCTCAGGGCCAGTCTAGTGATAATGATCAGCTCAAAACTTCTTAATATTACTCTTCCAATTTGGTGCACCCATAAGAGGAAAGAAAGCCCTAGACACGAATCCAGTTTTCATATGTTGTCATGTCTCCATAAGAGGGAGAGACTATAGTGGTTCAGATCTTGCTAACTTGGCAACACCCTGTCCAGTGAATTCTTAAAGTTCATTAGCAAGTGGCTCAGGGGTTCAAGTCGTGTGTGTATGTGTGTGTTCACAGAAAAATAATATAGACACATTGAAATATTTTTTCATAAGAAATGGAAAAGTACTATAAAACATACATTTCAAAGTCTGACAATACTGAATGGTAAAAAGCAAACGCAAGAAATGGCATTGTCCAAATAGAAATACAGTGATACTTATCTTTCAGGCAAACACTATAAACCTGCTATAGATTTGTCATGATAGCAAGCGGAAAGGCCAGGTGGAACATTCTTTCCACTGGAACCATCTAGAATTTTTATTTAAATTTGCAGCATGCTACAGTAAGAAGAATTTAGATTTTGAAAAAAAGACTAGACTCTTAGTTATCAGTTGTGACCTCAGCCTTCCTATCCGTAAATATGGGAGTAAAATTATAATCAATAATAGGTTACAAAAACACCCAAGTCAGTAGCAACTCCACTGTAGTTACTTGATAGATGCTAGAATTAGCGGTGGACATAGGGAAGTAGAAATTGCCATTAGAAGGCCCCTTCTCTTGAATTTGCAAGGTGTGAATGTGTTAGATAAAACAATTTTACCTAAATTTGAAGGCAGGGAGCAGACTATGTGTTAACAATGGAAATCTCTTTCCTGGCCCCTTTTTCAAATGGCAAATTCTTACTTGTCCTGGAAATTCAGGCATTACCTCCTCCAGAAAGCTTCTGTGACCCCACTAAGACTGGGTGGGTGCTTCTGAGCTGTGATTCCACAGCCCACCCTCTAACCTGTGTCTTGTCACTGTCATTACCTCATCAAGAGGGAACCCATAATCACGTATTCATCTCTACAGTGAGGTCATTTTAGGGCAGGATTGTGTCTTATTTATTATATCCCTGTCACCTCACAAAACACATGGCACTTAGTAGATCATACATGAATAAACAAATAAATGTCCAAGCCCAGTGACGCCTGAGGGATATGCAGGCAGTTGCCAAGAGAAAGATGTTTATGCTCTGTGTAGCATTGCAGATCTTGGGGGAAGAAAGCAGTGTTCATGCCCATAACGCTGGTTCTTTCCAGACCAATCATTAAAGTTCCCATCAGAAAGCTTTTAACTAAGATGTCTGACAGCTTCCTCCAGGATACTATGGTATAAGACTCAGGGCTGGATTGAGAAAAGCAGGGAGGATAAGAAAGCTGCCATTTCTTTTCATTGATGCTATTGAGAAAGAATCTGGTTCAATGAAAAAAATATATATGTACGTATCTTGAATGGAGTTAATTTGTTTTTCCTTTTCACACAAAACTGCAATAGGGTTATTTTCTTAATAGCTTGTGGCAGCTTGTTTTCTATAGCAGCTCTTTAAATTGAGCTCATATGGTAATAATTTACTTCAAAGCAACTGAAACAGTTGGAAAAAATACTGGATGAGGGAAATGAAGAGAAAGGCACTGGCCAGAAGAGCCAGTTGAATCCCTCTTGCTCCCTTTTGAGATTGTTTATCATTAAAGCACAATATCTTTCTTCCAGACCTGGATGATTCGAACGAAGACACAGTAAGCCAGCAATCAGCTGAACAATACTCTAAGCTAGAAGATGTATTTCTTATGGTAAATGTGATTTGAATCACTGAAGTTTTTAAATTCACCTCAGGATGCTCTCAGGCCATGCTGGCAGTAACAGGAAAATTCCAAGCTATTTGGTATTCTCTCCCAAGTGAATTGGGCATCATTATTACATGATCACTGTTGTTATTTAACATTCAGTGAATATCTACAGGAGTTAGGCACTGTTCAGGTTCCATTAAAGAGAGCTCTTGTCTTCAACCTGTTTGCATCCTGGAATGACAAGAGAAAGAAACACACAGAGTGAAATATAGGATTCTAGGATTCTTCACATGGCTTGCATGCTTGGTTGAGCATGGCAACTTCCATCAGGAGAGAAATTTCTCTCCCAAAATACAGGTGACCCCAATACTCAAGCCATCTTACAAATGAGTATGAGAGGCCAGGCAGGTACTGCATTCTTACTCCCAGAGGTATTACAAGCTAGCAATAGTGTGGGACCTTGAATCACTTTAATTTTTTAAAGGACCTTTTTCCTTTGCTTATGGCAGATAAAATGACCCCTTAGACTTAGCATTGTGTCAATACAGATAGCTAAACAAGGCAATCTAATGATAAACAAGACAGTGGCTAGATAGAATCCCAAACCAAGCAGAGGAGGAGAGCCTTAGTTACTTACCATGGGGTCACATATCAACTTAATGACAAAGACTGTCCAGGTCTAGAATTCATAAACAGCTACTCCTCTAACTTCCAACCACCAGCCCTCCACTGATGACACCTACCAACACACACACTCTAAATAAAAAAGAAACAACATGAAGATTAGAAAAGGAGTTAGAGGAAGTAGCAATTTGGAAGACTTCATCCATATGTTTGCATTTCTTGTCTGTGTATTTGGTCTCTGAACAGCTTGGGAAAAAATGAATTTAGTCCATCCTCCGTTAGCCTTACCTCATTAAGATCCCAAAGTGGTCTAGAACAGGTGTCTCTGGGTCTCGTTTCATCTCATTAAAATTCCAAAATGATGCAGAAAAGTTATATACATCTCTAGACTTTATCTCATTAAAATCTCAGGGTAATCCAGAACAGAGTGGCTCCAGAAGAAAAGGATTTTCTGAAGTCTCAGAGGAGATACTTTGTCCCATTGAGGTATGCATGACCACTCTAAAAAAATGAAAAATAATGAGTGGAGCCACAGGGGCAAAGTTGGAGAGAGGAAGGCAGTGGGCTCCTTTCTTGTTACATAAAGTTCTGTAATACAATCCTCAATTTGGAAAGATATCACCAATTCTAGGGTTCGTCCTTTCTTTTCTGCACGTTAGCTGAGGTCACTTTGTTTTGGAAAATCAAATAAAATTGTCTTGATCTCATCTGACATGCCGTGGGAAACCCATGCCCTGCTCAAGGTCTCACTGAATTCTCTTACATCTTTATTGTTCTCAAAGTCACATGAACCGTGATGGCTAGCAGCTCTCCACCTAACTCTCACCACACTCTCTATGCTTTCTACTTTGACCCAGGGGTGAACACTTTGACTTCTCCAAAGCACCATTCCTAAAACATTGTGTGTACATTGTACGCTTTTACTGATTCTTCAGAGTAAAACCAGGTGAGTATTACATTGCATCTAAGTACTGACTAGCAGACAAACCTGGTTGTTAGACAGCTTAAACAGTGCCTCAGCAACACCAGCTACATGCCCAACACCCACATACCTGTCACAGGGGGTTTTCTCCTCAAGCCCATTGGAATCTTGTTAGGCTGCTCTTTCATTTTCCAAATTATTTTTGCATCTATCTATTAACAAGGCTACCTCCAGCTCTCCAAATGGATTTTTTCTTTTTTTAAAGCTTTATTGACTGGGCGCGGTGGCTCATGCCTGTAATCCCAGCACTTTGGGAGACCAAGGCAGGTGGACCACCTGAAGTATGGAGCTCGAGACCAGCCTGACCAACATGGAGAAACCCCATCTCTACTAAAAATACAAAAATATTCACTGGGCGTGGTGGCGTGTGCCTGTAGTCCCAGATACTTGGGAGGCTGAGGCAGGAGAATCACTTGAACCTGGGAGGCAGAGGTTGCAGTGAGCCGAGATTGTGCCATTGCACTCCAGCCTGGGCAACAAGAGCGAAATTCTGTCTCAAAAAAAAAAATACATTGAGGTCTACTTGATACACGAAATAATGTACATATTAAATATTTATGTTTTGATGCATTTAGACATATACCTACACCCATTATTGTAATAAAAGTACTAAAAATAGCTATCCCCTCCAAAAATTTCCTTATTTTGTGGTGTGTGTGTGTGTGTGTTAAAAACTCTGAATATGAGATCTATACTCTTGACAGTTTAACATGCACAATACTATGTTGTTACCCAGAGGCACTATATTGTACAATAGATCTCTAGAATTTATTCATCGTTCATAACTAAAACTTTATACTGAATTATTTCTTTTCATTTTTAATACAGGGCAGTTAAGCGGCCTACAGCTTTCCCCTGCCACACCAGAGGGCCCATTAGGACATTATCATTAACAGTTCTGAAGCAATACATTTTTCTCTCAACCATACAATCTCCATTTCCCAATCACTACCCTAGCTCACATTTTCATTATTTCATGCCTAAGCAGGATTCTTCCCTGCTTCCAGCCTTTTCCTCTTTTAATTTAATCTGATGCTAGCAGATGCATTTTCTGAAAACCTGTTTTCATGCGGTCAACACTCCCCCCCTTTCAGACACCTTCAGTCACTCCTCACTGCCACTCTCATTTTCAAAACTTGATTTTCTAAAGGGAAATCTTGAAAGGCATGAAAATATGCCTCAATATATCACCACCAAAAGAGAATCGATGCTGATCAAAAAATAAAGCTACAATTAATGCACCATTAAACAGGAGCTGTTAAGTGCACAGAGGTCAAAGAAATCCAGTTATGTTTCCCATGCATAATAATAAATAACACAAAATATCTGTGGCACTTCACATGCTTGGAACACTTTATAGACACAGGCTAATTAATTACACAGATGAAGATATTGCAGGTCTTTCTTTTGATATCAGTGGGTTCATTAAATTTGACATTTGGTTAACAAAGTAGTTTTTTATACTTCTGCACTCCTGAGTCACAGAAATGTCAAACAAGAGTTAGCTTTCGTCCTTCCTCCACTTTCTAGGAACCTGTAGGAAAAAAGTCTGTGAGGGACACTCAGACACTCATGAGTCATTTCCCTTAGAAAAGAGAATTTGGGAAGGGCTGCCCCAGTTTCAGCCAACCTCTACCTTAGAGCTCACAGCTGCCACCCTGACATCAAGCCCCTGGATGTAGACACCACAGCTACCCCTGCCCAGGACACCACAAGATGGGGTAGAGGTCTTCCCATAGAGGTAATGATCCGGGGGGGGGGGGGGCGGGGAGGTTGAGACCCCTCTGTGTGCCCTGGTTATCAAATAACTCCCCAAAAGAGAAAATGCCAGAACCCACATGACAGGCCCAGATCTCATTTTATTCATTGTCTCTGACACACCGTCATCCCTGCCCAGCACACAAACCTGTGCTAGGATTTGAACTTTCTTCTGTGAATTCACTCAGGAACCTTGGGCCTGGATGTATCACTTTGGAAATCTAGCTCTACCATGACCCATGAGACAGGGGTCTCTGGTCCGCCTTGGGCGCTAGGCCCATAGAAGCCTAATTTACCTATTAGACTAGACCTGAAATCTTGCGCATTCCTAATGAAAACTGTTGGAGACAGTCTTCTACCACCTTTGCCTAATTACCAAGCAGTGTAACAAGGCTTATGCAATTTCAATGCAGTGTAACAAAAGCACCACAAGGGCCAGGCGTGGTGGCTCTTTCCTGTAATCCCAGCACTTTGGGAGGCCAAGGTGAGCAAATCACTTGAGGTCAAGGAGTTCCAGACCAGCCTGGCCAACATGGTGAAACCCATCTCTACTAAAAACACAAAAATTAGCTGGGTGTGGTGGCGGGTACCTGTAATCCCAGCTATACAGAAGGCAGGAGAATGCTTGAACCTGGGAGGCAGAGGTTGCAGTGAACTGAGATCAAGCCACTATACTCCAGCCTGGGTGATGGAGTGAGACCTTGGAAAAAAAAGAAAAAGAAAGAAAGAGAAAGTAAAAGGAAGAAAGAAAGAAAAAGAAAGGAGGAAGGAAGGAAGGAAAGAAGGAAGGAAGGAAGGAAGGAAGGAAGGAAGGGTCAGCAATGTGGTGCAGGTTGGATCATTCCATGAACTTGGTCAAATTTTAACAACAACTTCTGTCAACTCTAAGAGCCAACATCATGTTATGGAAAAGCTTGAACTCTGTAGCCAATTGACACTGGGTTCAAATCGCAAGTCTGCCAAGATGAAAGGAATAAATGAGTTTGAAAGTGCCTGGCATATACTAACTAGTAGGTAGGGATATTTCTTTAGTGTTATAAGGTCAGTTGCCCTTACTGTTACACTAATCAGGACTGTAATCATGGTACCTGCCATCCTAAGATACTACTAAAACAGAGACTTTGGCAGAGCATATTAAGAATTAGTTTTATTTTATTTCCATGGGAAACAAAGGAAAGATTTTGACAAGGTATTCTCCAATTTTTTTTAATTCAACCCTAATTGCTCCTGTAATTCTACTGCTTCCCAGTACAGCTCCACAATCACCCATGTGGTCCTTTAATTTTCTAAGAATGACAAAATCAGATTCTTGGACACCCTTTTCCAGACTTAGCTTTTGTTACAGAGACGGTGAAAGAAGTATTTTTTTTTTAAGAAAACATAAGTCATGGTGTAATTGGCAGATTTTCTCCCATAGTTCTTTTCTTTAATTTTTCATTTTTGTTGGTACTTAGTAGGTGTATATATTTATGGGGCGTATGAGATATTTTGATACAGGCATGCAATGCATAGCAATCACATCAGGGTAAATGGAGTATCCATCACCTCAAGCATTTATCATTTCTTTGTGTTCAAACATTCCAATTATACCCTGTTATTTTTAAATGTACAATAAATTACTGTTGACTGTAATAACCCTGTAGTGCTATTAAATACTAGCTCTTATTCATTTTATCTAATTATATTTTTGTATCCAGTCACTATCCCCCCTCCTCACTACCCTTCCCAGCCCCTGGTAAAAATCATTCTACTCTCTATCTTCATGAGTTCAATTGTTTCAATTTTTAGCTCCCACAAATGAGTGAGAACATGCAAAGTTTGTACTTCTGTGCCTGACTTATTTCATGTATCAGAATGTTCTCCAGTTGTGAAATGGATAATCTTGATCACTCCCCTGTACTCTTGCCTACAAGAGGCCATAATTGGATTCAATACGAATCAGCAGGAAAGGGATGGCATGGAGGAACTTCATTCTTCTTTTAAAGTAACAACTCCTGAAGAGTTACTAGGGGTGGAAGCAAAGATTTAAAGTTTTCTACCTGTTCTAAGTACACTGAAAGTGATAGATTAATATAATACTGGACCTGTATACTATGACAAACACTACTACTCAAAAGCACAGCATCCTCATAAGATGAAGTTTTCAATTCTTGTTTTACAACTGGGAAAACTTGGGCCCAGAACAAGGATTCAAAAGAGATCTGAAGAGTTTGAAGCCCAGTACTTAAACACTAGATTATAGGGAAATAGTTACTTGGCTCATCATCTCTCCTTTAGAGAAAGCCAGGTATGATCAGAGAGCATTTCCTAACCCGGAGCATCGGTGGTCTGGGTGCAGGGGATTAACCGCATTCAGAGAGGAAAAGATGAAGCAAGAGCCATGAGTAAGCCCAGGTGCTGCTGAGAAAAGTTCTTTCCCCATGTCCCAGCTTTGAGCTCCATGAGAGAGGTCACCTAGCACAGACAGAGGAGCTGGTGGCAAAAACAATGCTGTTTTTCACCCACTCCTCTTCTTTTCTTCTCAGAAATGCAGCTAGACATTTCCAGGCATACCCTGCAGCTAGGTGGAGACATGTGATTGAGTTCTGTGTGGGCAGAATTTATATAAACCACCTCTAGGTGGGATCCATAAGGCCACCTTCACAATCCTCTACACACCTTCTCTCTTTGTCTCCAAGCCAGAGGATCCAGTGGAGATCTGAGGATAGAAGAATCCTGTGTTCCTGAATGACTGCATGGAGCAGTACGTTACCATCCTGGCACCTGCACCGGACTATGACATGAATGAGGATAAACCTATACTTTGTTAAGCCAGGGATATTTGAGAGTTGTATATTATAGCACCTAGCACACCCAAATGCAGACCTTCACTCTTTATAATTTCACCACTTAGACAGGGGTTTTGGCCTCTTTAGCCTTTCTTTTCACCCCTCTGATGAGCCCTTGTTGTCTTTCCATTGCTCATTAGCACTCCTACCACAGCCTGTGCTGAGAAAATTAAAGAAGATGAAATTTAAATCAGTCAATTTTTTCCTTGTTAGCAGCTCTGGTCCTAAGAGAAAACAAAGAAAAAAATATTAAAAATTCAATGGAATCAGAGAGGAGGTTGAAATTGTTGCTGAAGATGAGGCTTGAAAATTATCTGTAGATTTCAGTTTTCTGTTTCTCTTCCCTTAATTAATCAACAGCTGATTATGTTACCAGGTAGCACAGTGTGAGGGTCACTGCTTTCTGAACATTTGTCTATGCTCCTTCTGGGCAGTCTGAGTCTTCATCCCCCATGAAACCTCTCCAAGATGAATGTTGACAGCCACCAATCATGGGAAGATGTCTCCACATGTCACTTCTGCCTCAGCTTCAAAGCAAAGTATCATATGATGCCATCAATGACAGAGTGCTAGAAATCATACTCAGTCATTTTGCATAGAAGTAAACCAGAAACCCAGAGAGGAAAATTGATTTTCTCACAGTCATACAGCAATGTCTAAGACCAGGTCTCCTGCTTCCCAAGTTAAATGTTGAAAATATAATTTCAACTGTTTATTCAAAATGTTTAATTTCAAATTTTGAAAATAAAATTTCAAAACCTGTGGAAAAGATGAGAAAATAAATTTACTGTGTATTAAATGGCAAACAAAGAATACACTAAAATATCAGAGAAGGTCTGGAAAAGGGCCAGGCATCTCTGCAAATAGCATTGTTCAGATATCCGGGAAGGAAGGAAGGAAGGAAGAAAGGAAGGAAGGAAGGAAGGAAGGAAAGGAGGGAGGGAGGGAGGGAGGGAGGAAGGAAAGGAGGGAGGGAGGGAGGGAGGAAAAAGAAGGGCAAGAACATTCTGTTTCCCAAAACAGCTACCCCCTGTAAAGTCCCGGCCCCTGTGTTGGCTCCCCTGTGGCCTTCAGCAGCAGTACCATGAGAATGTCCTCCTCCTGTGGACTTTGTGCTGAATCTAGAGCATGAGAGCAGGGCCAGGTTATGCTGTGTGGGTTTGACTGTCCCCAGTGTTATTATCCACATGGAAATTGGCATCAAGTGCATCTTGAGCCAGAAATGACACTCCAGAAGCAGCATCTACAGGATACATATGGACGGAGGACCCCACACTTCACTCTAAAGTGGGGAGTTTAAATTATTTAAATTTAAATTTAATCATTTAAATAAAATCCACCCTAAAGACAGCCCTGATTAGGAATCATATCTGAGGGTGCCAATGGGTTCAATTTAACTGACCAAATCTAAGAGTCAAATCCACTAATATTTAGAACCTTTTGCCCAGGACCAGATAATATCACTCAACTCTATCCCACTCATCTTCACATCCAAAAGTGCTAGGCATAAATATTGGAATACTGAGGAAATGACACTCCCAGGCCTCCTTTTACTCCTAGGTTCCATTTTTTTTTTCCAAGAGAAATGTCACTTATCCAGTTTTTAGAAAAGAGTAGGGAAGGAGGATGACTCTTAGTATGGGGCTAAACTAAACAAATTCTGCCTCCTTCAGGGTCCCTTTAGTATCTCCCTGAATCACCAAAATTCTCATTCGCCATCTAGATTCCCAAAGACCCTGGATTCATTTTAGATGGATGGTGCAGATCAAGAGACTTTATGAAGGGACCACTTACAGAGGTGTGGGAAAGGCTAAAGAAATCAACAAGAAGTGTTGTAACATTCAGAGACTAGCAAAGCAGAACACCACTACAAACCCCTAGGGCTGTCAAGGCGAGAGATGAAAATTGTGTTACTGGAGCTCAGTGAGAGCTGGGTTGGGGAAGGGCCACACAATAGGAGGTATGGCCATGGAGTGCACAGCTACATCCAGATGCTTGAGAGCGGAGGCAAGAAGAAGGCAGAAAAAAATAATCTGGCCTTTCCCTCCTCCTGTTCTCCAGGACAGGGTTTACCCATTGTCCCCACCTAACTGGAAGCCAAAGGGCATGGGAGCCCACTAAGACAGTTTATGTAGATCAGCATCCCAGGGCAGAGAGCAATACAGAGAAGAGGGGACAATGTGGGAGGGTAAAAAGAACCATCTGAGATCCCTACCTCTTTGTGCCTCCCAGGCTCATTGCTTCCCTTTCCAAAGTCTTCCAGATCCAAAATTACCTGTTTCTACTTCTCCAATTTAAAACTCACTTTCCCCTTAAAGTGGAGGACCCCAGCTATCTTGAAGAAGAAAGTAACTAATTCAGGCTAAGATACGAGAATGCTTTGTTGCATATTTCAAATACAATTCTGTTTACCATGTTTTCAAAAACTGTAAATGGAAACCATGGTGCTTTACTGCCATTACTTCAACCTCCAATTCTCGTTATAGACACCAATAATCAATTACAGTTTCCTCTCATACTGAGTCTGAATACAGTATCAGAATCCTTCCCAACACAGTACTCCAAGCAGTCACTACTAATTGACTGCAGTGTGTATTTGAGTTTTTAAGTTTAGACCTACTGGACTTCCTTGCTATAAATAATTGATAGAATTTTAGGTCCGCTGCAGTAAATAATTTAAGATTTTGAATGAGACTTATTTTTTGGATGTACAACTGCTTGAAAAGAGAAGCCCAGTTTCCTAGGACTCCTTGGACAATGACGAATGGGTCATCAGATGAAATTCATGGAGGACATCTTGTTAAGTGTCCTCCTCCCACCATCAGCATTTAATCTTAGAAATGCTTCCTTCACTCACAGCCGCTTATGTCCTCTTTTCCCTCCCTAAACTGGTCTCCTCCTCTCCTCAGGGATTGGACTACAGAAAACTGTGAGGCTTTGATCCAAAATCTCTACATTCCTTTGCCGTTGTCCAAGAAAGCCATCTTCACAACCAGCCTTGCTCTGAGAGATCTAAGTGCCGCTATCTTAGCATCCCCCACTCCTAACAGGACATGAGCAAATAACAAGATGGATAAAACCTCAGGACCAGAGACTGCTTAGCCTCTCCCCAAACTCAGATCTTCCTCCTAGGCCCATGGGTAGAGTTTATCCCCAGCATCTCCTGTCCTGGCATATGACTGAGTGATACCCAACAGAATAGGAGTCGAAGATGTATCCCACACAAAATCATCCAAAGCATAACTCTTTTTCTCACTTTCACAGTCATCTTGGCAGAAGTGTTGAAGACAGCAGAGCCAAGAGAGGAAAGGAAACTGGGCCCCTGAATTGTTACTTAAAGGAGAGTAACCCACCAATGAGGATCATCCATTTGGACTTCACACTTATGAAAAATAATCTTCTGTCTTATTAAGCCTGAGACTAGATGAATCTATCTGTTATCACCACTAATGTATCTTAACTAAAACACACGACCTTCTCAGATACATACATGTCAACCAATTGAATTCTGGCCCTGTATACTCTAATTTCATTATATGCTGACTGGGAAGCACAGTCCACTTATCAGAAATTAAATATTTGAGTAGTTTTAGAGGGGCTTTGCTTTCTGCCATAATTCTTAGGTATCAGACAGCCAACCCAACTGAAAATACACAGATTTTTAAGAGAAGAAAACCCTTTATCCTTGGGATTTTTGTTGCTGTGGCCATTTTGTAAAACGTCCTAATGTTGGTTTCCTCTTCCTTCAGGAAGAGCCTCATTGGTGGGTACCAGTGGCAGGAACGGCAGTAGGCGGAGAAGCAGAATCCATCCTCATCAATTTCAATTTGCATGACCTGGAGGCTCCATCCTCAACTCCCAGAGGGGTGTGTAACCAAGGCCTATGCACTAGACACACTAAGTGCTTCAGTAGGGAAGCTATAAGCTAAGCTGGTTCAATCAGATTGAATCTCAAGACTTGTTGGAAATGCTAAGAGAAACCGTTCCATTTTTCCAACTGGACTGGACCTTAGGATGATGTGGTCCATGGGCCTCTGTACAGAAGTTAAGAACTGAATCAACCCAGATGAAGCAGCACAAAAGAGTGGTCCTGGTAACATTAGTTACTCTAACCCCTGAATCAAGATGAACCTGAAGACTGTGCAGTTATATGCATCAGAACTTCCTTTCTTTGTATCACCAGTTGAAGTTGGGAGTTTTGCTGCCTGCAGCACTGCAACAGAATGACGCTAGCTGACTCAGGTGCCTTCTCCTCTTGACGAACAACCATCCTTTACTCAGCAAGAAGGATGAAGCTGAATGGCTCTTATTCTAATTAGGGTAGCTGAGCAATCTTTAAATTTGACACCTGGAATCTGCATTTGTTATTGTTGCAGAAACATCATAATATTGGGCTTCAGAAGGCAATTGCTTCTTTATTATAACTGCAATTGACAATGGAGAGGAATTGATTTACAGCAAAGAAATGGACAAATATCATGGGTCTACTCTCTGTCCTGTGTTGAGAGATTTACCTTAACATAATCCTCACAAAATTCTAGACAGGCAGTTATTATTATCCCCACTACATGGATAAGCAAACCAAGTTGATGACAGATCCTCCAGCTAAAGTATTCATTTTATAAATGAATAGATACTATCAGAGACTCAATACTCAGAGTGGAAGGAGAACTGAATAGAAATCACTAAAACAGATTTAATTCCAGCTCTGCTATTTTTATTGTTTCAACACTAAAGTGGTCACAGGAGCACTGCCCTGCTACCTCACGTGGCTCTTTGGAAAACTGAGTATTCTGATGGTACCAACATGGCAGAGCCAGGATATGGGCACCACACATATGGGCTCCTTCACCCCCATTGCTAGTGAGACACTATTTTGAAAACAGCTTTACAAATACTGGCAAAGGAGGATAAAGTAGGCCCTATCTCCTCCCTCAGCCTATGCCTTACCATAGGGCACACATGTACAAGTGGTTCCCACCTCCCGACTTGTCTGTCCTTTTGTACAGAGAAATTGCAATGGTGCAGGAAGGCCAGATCTCCATGGGCTTGAAATCTCTCCTCAGAGTACTTCACAGATTTGTTTTCAGCCATTTTTCTCAAAGAGTGTAGAATCCAGTGGGAGCCATGCAATAAGCAAATAGTTATACAAAAAAAGTGATGATTGCCATGGCCTGGTTGGGTGTCTATCTAGGAGACCTGATATGATTGGGTAGAGTTGAGAAAACGTTAGCCACCCTTAGATTAGTGGTAGCTTATGACTTATCACACTGGGGAAGAAGAGAGTGGATAGTGGATAGCAGATACAGTACCTGAGTCAATACCCAGTCCCTTTTAAAATAGGACTTTCAAGTTCCTATCAAGGCAATTGTCATATTGACAGGAGACACATTTTCTATATTTCTTGACCCCAAGGGCTGGGAGCTGAATTTTGCCACAAGCCAAAGGAAAGAGAATAATTCAGGATATAATAAATCCCTGCCACATGAGAAGTACCAACCTTTCTGGTTTTATGCCGAGCGCGAAGAGAAAGAGATGGAGAAGAAAACAGTCAAAAATATGTGCCCTGGCTTCCCTCCAGCCTGACATCCCAGAAAGTTTGTGCATGGTAATAATCTTCTAGTTGGAGACCATCAGGCTAGCATCTTCCTAGATCATAGTTTGAGCAGGGAGTCCTCCACTCAGCATGTCACAAAGTCCAACATGGCAAGAGAGTGATGGTGTAACGTGGATGGAGGGAGTTATCTAAATACATGGCATGAGGTAGCAGCTTTGACTCTTTGAGGTTGGTGTGCAGTAAGCAGGGGACACAAAAACTTTGTGTGTCCCGATGAGAGGATATGGAGGTACCAAGAACACTTGTAGACCAATTGAGCTTGGTAAAAACAAATGGTTATGGAGAACCAGTACTTTGCAATAAGACTTCAGCTTCAGGGAACGGCATGCACCCTGAAAAGTCAGATGAGGTCACCCATAACCAAGTAGACATCTCCCAGTAGCTCAAGAATTAGCCTGATTATCCCAGTTTCGTGGCAAAGGCCAGGAAGAACCCAGGAAAAGTACAACGCATTGGAGGGTCTCTTTTCCAACACTATGAGGACATGTAAACTACACCCCCCTCAAAATACCTAAATACCATCTTTGGAAAGACAAAGAGAAAGGGGGACGTTAATAGGAGCTGGCCTATTCCTAGAAAACACTGAGTTACCTCAATAATATAGTTTAAACAGAGACTGACAAGGATCTCTGACAAGTGTATTTTGCATCTCTAGCAATGGATAGGGAGAGGGGACAAGGGTGCATGATTAGCATGAGGTCAGTTACAGAATAATGAAGATGATGCACCCCCTGCATATTTGAATAGAACTGTGTGCATGCACTAACCCATGACCAATGTCATCATACCCTTCCTTCCCAGTATCACAGAGGTCTCGTTGATTCTTTTCATTGTGTTCTAATTTCACACGTTCTACCATAGTCAGCTGTTATTATTTCATGTACCTCAAGTCACTTTCTTATATTCTTTTTTTGTTTGAGGAAAACGCTTGAAGTAATTATGTTCAAATTAGCTACATGGGTGGTAAATATTTTGAGCCCTTGATTTCTCAAAAATATCTTTAACTGAAAGTTTGGATGGAGACACATTCATGAGATTTGTCATTTTATTCCAACAAAAAAAGATATTTCTTTACTCTTGCCAGTGAACAGTCTGATGTCAAGCTGATTCTTACTGCATCACAGGTAACCTGCTTCATATTTACAGAAACTTTTGGGACATTCTTTTTATTCTAAGAATGTTCCACTTAGCAACTATTTTGCTTCTAAGTGTGGATCTCTTTGTTCAGCATCCTGCTCAGTGTGATTTAGGGCATTACACACAATACTGTCTTACTTCACTTCTGGGGAACTTGCCTCTATTTGCCTTTTTTTTCTCCTCACTCCATTATCTCTGTCCTCTTTCTGAAACTCTTAATGGATGAATGTTAAACTCCTCATTCCTCATTTGTCTGTACACTTTTTTTTTACTTTCCTAATAGTGAAAACTGGATATGACCTATACTTTTAACAATAAGGGATCGATTAAATCCATCATTACACATTTGTTGGTGAGACATGCAGTAGTTTTCAAAATGATGATTTATAAAATGAAATCTACGTGGATACACAATTTAAACAACAAAAGATAGTAAATCACAAAATAAACAGCATCAGGAAAAAGAAAATTGTAATCTCAGACTAGGAAAGGACTTTCTGAATATAATAAAAATCCAGACCATTAAGGATAAATTGGTTAATTTGAACACATGAAGTTTTATATTTGTTTCACTTTTTGAAGGTTAAAACATATAAAAGTATACATTAAAAATGTACACAACTGTACACATTGCTGAATTTTTACAAAGCAAACCACCCACATAGCGAGCTCTTGAAGAAAGAGAATGTCACCAACACAGAAGGACCCTCATGCTGCTTCCTGTCACCACCACCCCAAGGGTATCTTTTGACTTTCTTGGCTTTTAATGCCATAGGTTAGTGCTGCCTGTTTTTGAACTTTATGTACATGAAATAACACAGCATGTGCTCTTTGTAGCTGGCTTCTTAAGTTCCCTAACTTCATGCTCATGAGATTCATCCATGTTGTTGTGTATAGTTCTAATATGCTTATTCTCATTGCTGTATAATAGTCCACACATAAATACATTCAAATTTATGTCCATTCTACTGTTGATAAGATGCTCTCTTTAGCTTTTGTTTTTCATTATGGGAGATGTCCTTGATTTATTTGCCAACTTTGGTCTTTAACCTTGGCTTTTCCATTTCTTTGTTAGTTCTATGATATCTTTTTTCCATTGTATAAACACATTTTTAGTTTCTAGGGATTCCTTTTTTCACTAATGCTTGTTCTTTTTTTCTTTTCTTGTACTTTGTAAAAATAGAAACAATATCCACCTGTTTCTAAGGATATTAGAACTTTTAAGTTCTTTTATTATTTCTCAATGATTTCTGTTTTTTCAGAAGATGGCTCTGGTTTTATTGTTGTTGTTTGTTTGTTTTACAGAGTGATCTCATTTAGCTATCACAGCTCACTGCACCGTCAACATCTCAGGCTCAAAGGATCCTCCCACCTCAGCCTCCTGAGTAGTTGGGTCTACAGGTGCACAACACCATGCCCAGCTAATTAATTTTTAAATTTTATGTAGACACGAGGTCTCACTATATTGTCCAGGTTAGTCTCGAACTCCTATGCTCAAGCGATCCTCCCGCCTCAGCCTCCCAAAGTGCTGGGATTACAGGCAAGAGCCACCACGCCCAGCTGTTTTTTTAATCTTGATCTTTCTCTTTTGTGTTCTTGGTT
Source organism: Homo sapiens (assembly GCF_000001405.40). NCBI lineage: Eukaryota > Metazoa > Chordata > Mammalia > Primates > Hominidae > Homo > Homo sapiens. The sequence goes on along the minus strand of NC_000003.12, from coordinate 34,268,710 downwards.
TTCCTTAAACGTCTGGTGATTCTTGGTTGAGAGTTCATATTCATAAGAGCTAAATTTCCTTTGCATTCAGACAGTTCTGTTTCCTCAGCAGGCTTCCCTGTAATTGGGACAACTGAAGGCAGGCTTCTCGTGGGGGCAGGGCGGGGGGAATGTGGATGGAGATGGTTGCTGGTGACAAGCAGCCTTCCCTGTGGGGTGCATGTGTAGGGAGCTGTCTGCAGGCTGAGTCTTCATGTAAAGAGAGCTTGGATTTCATAACAGAATGCTTTCCTGGGTGAAATTGCTTCTTGGTGTCCTTGTTTCTCTCTTTCTAATGTTAATTCTGCTGAGTTCATTTCTGATCTGCTCAGCTTTTCTTCAGATCCCCCAAACTGCAGAAGGATACCTTCCTAGAAAGATCATACACATTTTCTTTAGACATTAGTTCCTGGATTTTGTTCTGCTCCTACCCTGACTCATATGCTCTGTGCATAAGGAAACATGAGATAAAGAGGGACACTCCCAGGAGACTCAGCTGTTCTAATTTCAGTGTTTTAAAAGCCAAGAACCCTGGTGATCACCCTACAGCCAGCAGTGTTTATTGGTTGGCTTTGACCTCAGAGCTTCTTCTGCTCCCTTATCCCTGGTGTTTCAGGCTGAAATTTCTCCCATTCCGTCAACTCTGTTAAACTGATCATACCTGTCTTTTATCATCCAGGATTTTCTTAAACTTACTCTTTTACTATTGGCTTCTGTCTTTGTCTTCCAGCACTATTGTGTTTAAATTATTGTTTTAAAAATCTCCCCTTGTCCTTTTAGGGGGCTTTTGGGAGACAGGAAAACTAGCTGTATCAGTCTGCCCTCTTAAATCTGAAACCAACTCTGCATTTTTATAGGTCACTCCAGTGGAGGTGAGTAGACTAAGTTGGAGAGGGACAAGAACAGCTTCAAGAAGGCATGATTATAATAATTCGGGCATGATAAGTCAGGTCCTTAGGTTAGAATGAGGGCAGTACAAATTTAGAAGAGTGGAAAGATTTAATAAAAATTATGGGAGTGAAATCAACAGGATTTGGTGAGGGATTACACATGGGAATTGAGAGTAAAGCTTCAAAATGACCCCTGAAGTCTGGAGAACCAGCAGAGAGAGACACAACATTAACTGAGAGGCACTTAATAGGGAATGTAGTAGTTACTGTTGCAGCTGTCACTTTATTATGAAGAGGTGACATTTTAATATATCAAAACATTCCTGATTATAACTTAAATATTCCATAAACTGAAAGGTACAAAATATTCAAGTTGAACCCAGTAGAACAGCTTTTGCATTTCCAGAGTCATCCTTGCTGATGAGATGCAACCAGGACTCACTAGAGATTTTACCAGTCAGGCTCAGAAAATAGGCAGCAATAAATGCCAGAAGGCTTAGACTTTGAATTGTGTCTTGGGCTACTAGACTGTTTAGACTACATCTCCTGAACAAGTTTTATGGTAACTTGTGTAAATTTTGAGAAATGGAACATCTTGGGTAAAAGTTTAATCTTTTTATTTCCTCTGGTGTACTCCAATATAATTAACTTCATGTCAATAAATGCTATACTTTTATAGCATACAAAATCTGGACTGTTATATTTTGATGCTCTTGGCACTCCATATGGAGGCGGTCTTCAAAGAAGATGCTAACATCTGATTTCAAGTGGGAAGGAAGAAATTAATAGTATATTTCCAGAAGCAAGAAAAAGTGAAAACTGAACTCAGAAGAGGTAGTCTCCAAGCCTGGAAGTCTTGGCCTCATCACCACATGCTCCATATCCCCCCTTCCTTGAATGCCTACCAGCTCCTTAGCTGCTGTGTGATCACAGCAGACTGAATGGTGACCTGAGGAAGAGTGATTCTACAGCAGCAAATGCCTTATGAAAGAAATGCTGAGCACACAAGGGCTATTTATAGAAAAATACTGGGGTTTATTTGCAGTATCTTGGTTGTAACAACACAAAATCGTATTGCAGAATAAGCCAAATCAAAAGACTGGACACATTTTGTTTTTGTGTTTGAATCTAGATTTCGAGCATCTAGGATGATTAAAGTACCTATAAAATTCCAGCCATATTATAGCATTGTTAGATCATATTTATGTCCTTTTCTTGGTCAGATTCCTGAGGAAAATGAATTCCAAGAGAGTCAGAGTACCTCAAAGAAGACATAGAAAAGAGATGAGACTTTACTGGCAGGGAAAAAAAAAAAGCATCAAGTGCTTGGTTGGGAGAAAGGAGGGAAGAAGGGAGGATGTTTAATAAATGGAGAAAGAAGTGCTCAAGACCAGGGCTGAGGCCCTGGAAAATGATACCCACCTTTCTCTCAGTACTTTATAAGCTTATAAAGCACTTTCACTGCAATAATTTTATCTTTGTTTTCTGGGACACACAAGAGAGGGTATATTATCTCCATTTTATGGGAAAATAAGACAGAGATTTTAAAGAAACATGCCAAGGGTTTCATAGCTGGCAGTTGAGGGAAGTCCCAGGACTCCAAAATCCCAGCTTTGTGTTCAGTTTTGTGCTATTGAAAGACTGCAGTCCTTCATAATTTTGTACAGGCTACAATCATTCAAGCAGGCCAATCAGCCTTCAGTCTTATTGATGTTATTCTCTGCTAAAGGATAAACCAATGATCTGTTTGGTTCAGTCCATCTAATTGAAAGTTGACTTTGCATAGATGGGGAGGCAGGGAGACAGTAATTTGAACTTCCAGCTAAAATGTTATGCTACATTTAAAATTGCTTTCTAATCACACTGTGTTGATTACCTCAAAGTAATGTCTACAAACTAATGAGACTCAGTGTAACATGAAATTCATAACCATTGATGTGGTAGTCAATGTGTCGTTTGTATATGCACATAATAGAAGGACACCTGGATTACCTTATCACCATCTGCCACACTGCTTTGGTTATGGTGTGTGTGAGAATGTTGATGATGGTGTACAGGTGAGAATGTGTTTGTGTATCTGTATAGATCTGTGTGAGTGTGTGAGGGGTGTTTCAATGTGCTACGAGGAAATCAATTTTGAATGTAGGACTGCCCTTCTCTAAAATGAAAAGGTGATACAAGAAAACAAAATAAGCATATAGCTTTGCTCAAATTCCCTGGAAGCAGAGTCTGACATAGGGATGCAGATGCATGAGATTTATGGAGGGGGTGATCTCAAGATGGGTATGGGAAGGAGCTGAGCAAGGCTGTGGTCTCAGCTGGAGATGAGCTTCAGGCTTATCCTACTAGGAGCTCTGGAGCATTAATTGCCTCAGCGTCCCACCTTGAAGCAAGAGGACAAGCTTTCTTTACCCCCATATCAGTCAGTCACTGGCTGTGGGCTCTGGGAAGTAGGAAGAGGGCATAACATCTTGGGCCAGGCACAGACAGCTCTTGCTTGACTGAGGGCCAATTTTCCGGAGAAGAGGGAGCCATAAGCCAGTAGCAGCCAATACTCACAGCAGGTGAGAAAAGACCCCAGTTCTCCCAAATTCCAGCTCTGTGCTCAGTTTTGTGCTCTTGAAAGACTGCAGTCCTTTTTACTGGGCACTGGCCCAGTAAAGGTGATCTGGCCAGAGCATTAATAGCATCCACTATGTATTGCATTTGTTTTTATTTTTTGAAAAGCAAACTCATCCAGAGAACAGTTTGTGTGTTCTGCATTTTTTGATCAGCAGCTATTACCCCAGGGGTTAGAAACCATTTTGATTATGAACCAGTATCAAGGCTACACAGGTTATATAGTCCACTGGTAGCTTCATGCTTTAGTAAAAATGGTCTGGGACAAAAGCTGGTGAAATCTGAGTATGATCTGTAGTCTAGTTAATTATATTGCGCCAATGTCTATTTCCTGATTTTGATAGTTTTGTAAGATGTTTCCACAGGGAGAAGCTGGGTGATGCAAAGACAGGAAGTCTTTGCACTATTTTTACAACTTCTTGTGAGTCTATAATTATTTCAAAATAAAAAGTTTTTTAAAAGTATAAAATCTTTTGAGTCTCGGTTTCAGCAGCAATGAGCTGAGCAATCCGTTAGAGTTTAGATAGAATACTTTGAGGAGAGCTATCATGATTTACTGGTCTCCATATTTTCTGTTCTGTCACAGGGCCTGGGCCATAAAAAAATATATATTATGAAAGAATAAATCACTCAGTGATTCAATTAATAAGTGAGTGAATAAATAGTTGACCTTCAACAGATTACTTAAGCTCCCTGAGCTTCAGCTTCTATATCTGTCTACGGGGTAATTGCAAGGATCAGATGTATTCACATACAAACAACGCTCTGTGCAATACAAAGTTGTTTTTGGTCAGGCACAGTGGCTCACACTTGTAATCCCAGCACTTCAGGGGGCTGAGGTGGGAGGATCACTTGAGGCCAGGAGTTCAAAACCAGTCTGAGCAACAAGCAAGACTCCGTCTCTATAAAAAATTTTTAAAAATTAGCCATGTGTGGTGGCACACACCTGTAGCCCCAGCTACTCAAGAGGCTAAGGTGAAAGGATCACATAAGCCCAAGAGTTTGAGGCTGCAGTGAGCTGTGATCATGCCACTGCCCTCCAGTCAGGGCAACAGAGTGACACCCTATCTCAAAAATAAATAAATGAATAAATAAGGAATTTGTTCTTTTTTGAGATGGAATCTCGCTCTGTTGCAACCTCTGCCTCCCCAGTTCAAGCGATTCTCCTGCCTCAGCCTCCTGAATAGCTGGGATTACAGACGCGCACTACCATGCCCGGCTGATTTTTGTATTTTTAGTAGAGATGGCGTTTCACCATGTTGGCTAGGCTGGTCTCGAACTCCTGACCTCAAGTGATCCGCCCACCTTGGCCTCCCAAAGTGCTGGGATTATAGGCGTGAGCCACCGTGCCCAGTCAATAAGTTGTTCTTTATATGATCAAAGAACAGGACAGGCTGGCAGGCTTAGAATCACCTGGGAAGAAGCTTAGAAATCCAGACTCTCAGGTCTAATTCAGAATATCTGGGATGAGGCCCCTGAATCTATAGTTTTAATTAGCTTATCCAAGTGACTGGTGATGCAGCCAAGCTTGGGATCTATTTATGGAGAAGAACCTAGTATGCTATTAAACTGCTAAGCTAGAGGGAAGCAAAGGAAAAAGGAGGAGAAAGAGAGAAGGAAAGAACTAGAAGGTGATGAGAGATGAGGTGACAGCTGCCAGCATCCTCTCCAGCCTTCCTGGTACAGATTGCTGCCAGGTCTGTAGCAGGCATGGAATTCACAAAGAGAACTGGTGAAGCAATTTGCAGCCCAGTTGTCTAGGAGCCCAGTAATTAAAGGATGTCGTGGACCCCTTTCACCGACCCCCGAACTTACCCAATATAAAGTGACTTAGATTTTGATTCCAGAAGAAGTTTTAAAAATATCAGGCAGTGCTGTTTCTATATATAAAAAGTCTGTCGTTAAGGAAACATGTCTCAAATAAAGCTCCTTTTAACAAAATAAAAGTCCTCTGCATTCACCAGCAACATTTCATAAAAAGAGAAGGAAACAAGCTGTGAGAAAGATGATAGCTCTGGGGGAAAAATAAAATGTGCATAACCTTTGTACCCAGATTAGCATGCCACTGCCACATTTCTAGAATCACCAAGCAAGTTTTTCCCTCCTTCTACCAGGCTCAAAATCAGAATTTCTTGTTTGCATCATAAAAAAGTGGGGATTAGCCTTTGAAAATGACATTTTCCTTATTTTATGTATTATAGGCACCTGGTAAATGGTCTTCACTAGCTGTCAGGGTCTTCTGGAATATGGATGTGTATATCTGTGTCTCTGTGTGTGTGTTTGTCTGCATCTGTGTGTCTGTGTGTGTGTGCCAAAGAATGGTTCTTTGACTACTCATAGAACGAGAAATATGGCAGTCCTCTCTCTCTCTGAGAAAATGATTTCTCTACCCCAGGACTAAGATGACCCTGGTTCCTTCCTTTTACACCCTGGGATGCCTATTGGTACCTGCAAGGATGTAGCAGAATAGCACTGGGCTTGGAATCAAAAGATCTGGATTTCAGGCTGTGTTTGCCGGTGGACAAATCACTCAGCCTTCTCATCCCTGCTTTGGGAAAATTTTACTTGTCTTGATCTCACAAGGAAGTCGTGAGGACACCATGAAGGTATAACTGTGTGCTTTGTAAACTCCAAAGCAGGATGCAAGTGTGTTATTTTTATTGCTGGATAAATTGTGTTTTACTGTCTCAAACACTTTTACCCTGAAGGGTTCTCATCCCCTGTGACAATTTGAGGAAACCTTCCCTGGGTGTCCCTAGGCATCATTAGCCATAGGATAACACGTATGGAAAATGTGCCAGGCACTATGCTGAGTGCTATGTTCATTTACCTCATTTACTTAAAACAGCCCCGAGATAGGTCTTGTGATCTCATCTTTCAGAGAGGAAACAGACTCAAGAAGGCTGGGTAACTGTTCCCAGGGTCACGTAGGCAGTAGGCAGATGAGAGAATAGTGATTCTTATTTCTGTGATTCCACAGCTGGTGCTGTCCCCATGAGGCATCATGGTCTGTGCTCATTGTCACCACTTTGTAAGGTACTTTCCTGAGGGCTTGTCTGCCTTCCCATGGCTCTTGCCTGGTTATTCTTAACCTTTGAAGGCTGAATCAACATATGTGCTCAATTAATTGTATTATCTCATTCAATGTGTGAGGAAGAGTGGATTTGTGGGCTGCCACAATGAGTCACTTTTCATTGCCATTTTCCACACTCTAGAATGCCCATAATGTGATGCAGAATTGTTTTCCCAATGCAGTCAAAATTCTCAAGTGTGTGTGTGTGTGTGTGTGTGTGTGTGTGTGTGTGTGTGTGCACGTGCGCATGCGCGCGCACGCGCTATCAGACTGATTGCTATGTTCATCAAGGTCATTGATTCTCTCATCTATCCAACAATTGACGTAAGATTCTAAAGAAGCACCCCTTTGTTCTAGAAATACAATTTTATAAGTCTGAAAAAGCCAGCATTTGCATGGTGTTAAACTTAAAAATCTCTGTAATCAATGCTAATTTGACATGATGAAATGCAGCACTTTCCATCTCAAAGCTCTTTGCAAAAATTAATTACCAATTAATCTAAAACTTTAGAGCATTATTTATTATCTGTACACTCAGAACTTGAAAATATTTACATTTCAAAGCATGACATGTAAAACTATTCTATTATGTTTTAAAGTGGAAAAAAAAGTTCAAATTCTCAGAAAAGGACAAATCACAAGTACATCAGTGAAATCAAACTACCAGATTATTCTGAGAACTGTTAATATCTCCCTGGAAAATGCTATACAAATATCCAGTTGGAATCTTGCTGAAGGCATTTCTCTGAAGTAATAATGCTAATCAGTCTAGAGCAGTGAACTCTGACATGAGACAGTGAGCTGCTCTGCCCTTCCTTTCAGAATCCAAGGGGTTTTATTCATAGCTACTCCCTGAAATAGTGCTTGGTGGAAAGGAGGCAAATTGGATTGTCTCAACAGATAAATGAATCATTACATCAGAATGAGGGGGCGGTAGGGCAGGAGGAAAAAGAGAAATGGAAGGATGGGAGGGAAGGAGCAAGGAAAGGGAAGAAAAGAAAGAAGTAAGAAAAGAAGGGAGAAAAGGAGGAAAGAAAAGGAGGAAGAAGGGAAGAAGGGGGGACAAAGGGAGAGAAGGAAGGCAGGAAGGAGGGAAGGCAGGAAGGCAGGTTGCATAGAGTTGGTTTGAGATTAAAGGTACAATGCTTAATACTCTTAAAAGCAGGGACCATTTCTGCAGAAGAAATATGAACTGCAAAGACTTACTAGGTCTTAACTTTCATTTTAAGATATTAAAAGTAAACTCTTTTCCAAGACAACAAAATAAGTCTGTGGACTTCTGCCTCATCCAAAACAAGCCTCTCTTTAGCCCCACCTGGTGGCCCTTCTCCCTTCAAACTGTAAGTTAGGCTATGAGCTATAAAAATTTGCAGAAAATCCATGTACAACAACCCTAGGCTTGAGGCACACAATTACCTGGGAAGATTTTTCTAGAAACTGATCAGAGAGCATATTTGTCCACAATTCAGCTATCTCTCTGTTGCTCCCTCCATTCCTCCCTCACCACCTCCCTGTGCTACAAATTGTGGTTACAATTTATTTCGAAGCTGACAACAGAGCTAAAAGCCCAGATGACACCCCTAACACCTCCTTATGGGAAGGTGGTGCAGTCTGAGCAGGCATGAATTCATAGCACAGTGGGAACAAGTCTGTCATACCCAGGCTGTGAAAAATCCTCTGAATTTCCACAACGGAGGGAAGCAAACTGGCTGAACAGAGGCATAAAATGGACTTTGAAAGAAGAAGGTGCATCCTAGCTCTGAGATGGAGTACTGGGACAGCTTTCAGGGAGGATGTGTCTTAGCAATAGTAGCTCATGTGTTATTAGGGGCTTTCTTAGGTAGACATATTGATTGATTAATATTTACCCACAGGATCTGTACTGCAGTTAGGAGAAAGAATGGAGAAATTCACAGAGTTTCAAAGGTGCCATTCCTTCCGGAAACATCAATACCTTAAACTGTGTAACCCTGGACCTCTAGAGGGTCCCAGGTCTCGGAGGACAAGGTGAGGGTATGACTGCTGGCTATAAAAAGCTTGCCAGCTTCACCATGAACTTCCACACTGTTGCCCAGCCTCTATGTCCCTGGCCAGCTGACCCTGCAGGCCTGCTTCTCTTTGTACTAAAGCTCTGTCAGCAACACTTCTGTGCAGAGGGAGCTGGCACAGCAGCGAGCTGACAAATATCATTTTAAATTAAATAGTATATTTTAAAATGTGTTTCACATGTTAAAGGCACAGATGGTGAGGTGTCCATGCCTTAGGAGACAGCTGTGCTGAGGAGAAAACAGGTGTGGATTGCGGTTCATCCTCACACCAGCTTCCTGGCATGGTTTCCTCTGAGCAGCCAAGCTACCTGATCCACCTCCAGGCCCTTGGGCTGGGGATCTTGCTGGCAAAGATCTAGCCCACCTGGACCATACCAGAGGAGTTTCTGGTCTTGAGCTGGGGTTACTTCCAACTAAAAATACGATGCAAAACCATTTTACAACACCAAGGATACAGCTTTGTTCTTACTTATCTTTTTTGTGATGCTTGATATTATTGTTTAGGATCATTTTTGTTGTTGTGAATTTTTTTATTGCTTTGGTTAGTTTTGCAAGAAGGATACAAGTGAAAAAAGAGCAGGAGCAATGTGATATATATTCAGCTGATCAAATGTCCAGATTTTTCAGAGATCCCCAGCCTTTGGGGATCACTGAAGCCAAGTTCCCCTCCTTACGTAATCCCCATATTAACCTAAAGTGGCGACTCTCAAAGTGAAGGTCCCTGGATCTATGGCATTAGATGTTGGAAATGCAAATTCTCAGGCCCCATCCCAGACCTACTGAATCAGAAGAAACTCAGGAGTGGGGCCCACCCATCTGTGTTCTAACAAATCCTCCAGGTGATTTTGATTCTCTTCAAGACTGAGAACCACTGGCCTATGCTATCTACTGCAGGTTTGTTCACAGGGAGACAGGGAGATAATGTCCTGGCCTGGCCTATTCCAACACCCTGAGTTTAAAGGGATCTATTTCCTATAGTGAAACTAACTTACTGATTCAGTTCCTTTGTCTCTTGGGAGCTCCTTGGCATATTTGCATCCCTGGAACTCTGGTTCATGGCTGGGTCTGTATTTCTGCATTTGTAGGGGGAGGGCCAGATCTGAAATTGTGATGAGGGTACCAAGGTAATGCCATCTTCTAACTCAGTCCTAAATGCCTTCTTCCCAACTTATCCCACAGCAGGTTCTGTGCTCATAGAGAACAATGAGTCAGGTTTGGCCCATGGCTCAGTGGGAGTTCACAGTACAGTGGCGGAGACAACCTTGGAAACAGACTCTTGTAATGCAAACTGATTAGTGCTGTAGAGAGGCCTGAGCCAAGTGCCTGGGCACATAAAATAGCCCTAGGGAATACAAGAACACAATTCTCCCTTAATTTCTCCAGCCCTGGCAGAGACCCAGCATCCCAGACAGGCAAAAGGTATAGAAAATAAATATCTTCCTACATAATATTGTTCTCTGTTTCTTCTTTGTGAAAAGGACAGCTACAATGCCTAGTGTGGGGCATGCCACCTGGACCCCGGGAAGCAGTTAAGCAAAGGAGGCAAAGCAGCCTCCTTAGCTATCCCAGCAGTGCAATCTAGCTCTCTCTGAAGCTCCAGGGGGTACATTTGCAAGGAAAGGGAAAGCTTATCTATTCCTTTTTTACCCTTAAGAAGCAACAGTTGAAACCAAATTTCTAGAATTCTATGACAAAAGTCACCTCAGCCTGAGGTCTTACCACTCTCCTTTTGGCATGTTTCTTAAAATTCATCACCACTACTGTATAGTAATGACAAAGCCAGGATCCCTACCCATGCTAACCTCAGCAGAGGGGCCCATCGCCACCACTCTGACCTCTGCCAAAGGCCAGGGAGCTTTTTCTATCATCCACATTGACTCACCTGAAAGTGTCCAACACCCAGAATTCCACAGGACTCTGCCTGGGAGCTCTGGGTCTGTGACTCTGGAGGACTTCTATCTTCCCCGTTCGGGTTCCACCATTTATGAGCAAGGGCCTTCACTTCTCTGAGCCTCCCTGTATCTGCACTGAAAATGGAGCAGTCCATTCCTGCCAACCTAAGGGCAATGTGGTAAGGATATAATGAGACATCTATAGTATGGAGCCTGGCCCTGGTGTGGTTTGGTAAATGATAGTATTAGGAAAGCAATTTACAATGAGGATGTTGGTCTAGAGACTCTCTAACCAATTTAAAAGATTACATGGGATCATGGCACTGTGTCCTCTGTCTGGCAGTGCAAATTCTCTGTTCTCTGCCTGATGATCACCTGAGACACACTGCTTCATGACCATAAGAAGCTCCAACTCAGGGCAAAAACAAACAAACAAACAACTAGAACTAAGGAATGGTGAGCCAAAACGGCAATAAGTCCAAAGTGTAGAAGAAGAAACCAGCTCTGACTGTGGCATGGGGAAGTTATCTACTTCACTGATTTCATCTCACCATCAGTGAACAAGAGCACAGGCTGCACTTCGTCTTGCGCTGGCTGAGCAGAGGGTGGAATCTAGCTGCCCAGCCTCATTCTGACCACCAAGGCTCTTTAGCATGTCCAGTGCCTACAAAATAGTAGTATAGAGGACTACGAGGGGCCAAGAGGGGACTAGAGTTGCTGTGGCATCAACTTCTGGGCATGAAACCCCATCACAATCGCTGACCCCTTTACAATGGCTAAACCAAGACTGACTAAAGCTTCATAGTCACCAAAGAGACAGTGTCATGTTGCTGGGGCCCAGCTGGAGGTACCAACCCAGTGCTGGAGAGAGACCTTATTCCTGGAAGCCTAGAGAATCAGACTGTGTAGGAAAGAAACCATAGACTCCACAGTCACCCAGGGAACTCTCCTGGAAAGTTACGAGAGAAAGCAGGAGAAAACAATGCACTAAGGACTCTCCTATGCTGAACAATACTGTCCAATTAGTACTATTACTATCCCTAGTTTACACCTGAGGGAGCTGAGGCTGAGAAAGGTCAGGCAATTGCCCAAAGCAACATAGCTGGCAAGCGACAGAGGCAGAGCCCAGTGTCCTAAGTTTCCATAGAGACCACCAAACTATCCCCTTTCCTGCTGCACTCAGCAGAGTCAGTAGAAAGGTCGTGATCCCATGCCCTTTTAAAGGAAAGCAGCCCCTAGGAATACTCTGGTGCCTGGATGGGTGAGAATGTGCTTGAAAGATGGATTAAGAAGCCAGGACACTTTGGGCTTAAAACTCAGCTCTGCCACTTACATTCCTCATTTCTTTCTATCCTGGGTCTGCCAAAATGTAAGAAAAGTTTTCACATTTTTTTACCAGTTTTTCTCACCCATGACCACCCTGTCTCAAAATGATTATGCAACAGCCCAGAGTCCCCCATTCCAAAATTCTTTGCAAAGAGCAAGATTTCCCTCGCTATTTCTGAATTCATCCACACCTCTATTTCTCTCTCTTTCTCTAATTCTCCCTTCTCCCTACTTCTTTTTTTTCTCCCCTTCCTCCCTCAGTGGTTTTCTTTATTCTTCTTGCCACCATCTTCATCATCTCTACCCCCATTAGCTCCCTTTCCTCTGCTTCTCTCTTTTGCCACTCTCTCCCCGCATTTCCTCTCCCTTACTCCCTCCCCGTGTTCACTCATAAGACCAAGAGCTAAAATAAAAAGTCAAAACAACCCACAGTGTCTCAAATGACCTGGAGTGCCTCATCCTTACACATAAGCCCTCACCATAAACCTGGACCTGGTTCCTTACAGCTGCCCAATTAAAGCACCAAGGGAGGTTTTGTCTGGAGATGGTTTTATAGTGTTTGCTAAAGGGGGTAGTTGTGTTTTGTCTCCATGCCAAAATGAAGCAAACCTTTTTGGAACAGGAAGTCCAAAATAAAAATCCCAGCCAGCCCCTCTTAGTATTGTTCTGCATGCCAGCAACTTGATGCTTTTTCAGTGTGGGAGGAGAGAAACTACAAATGCCACCCTCCATACTGGCGCAGGCTTCCTCCTGGCCAGCGTACTCAGCAAGGTAAGGGCAGCTTTGAACAGGAGACAGCAAAACAATAGGAAAACTAGGCTTGGAGCCTTCGACCCAGACACAGAGGCTAAAAATGACTTCTACCCACACAGGTAGTGTTATTCAGCATAAAGGGGACGGGAGGGAGCTGAAGGCTTTGTAAAGAGATGGCTTAGAAAAGGGGGAGGAGTGAGCTAGGGAAAATTTTTATCTATTTCTGAAGCCCACAGCCTTAGGAGCCACCTAGGCAAAAAAAAAAAAAAAAAGAAAAGAAAAGAAAAAAAAGAGAGAGAAAGAGAGATGTTCTTAGCATTTGCAATTTCATTTCAGAAAACAGAATTAAATCCCAGGTCTGGCAGAGAATAAGATTAGCTAGTCCCACCCCTTATCTTTTCAGATAAGGTGACTGAGGTCCAACAACTGCAGGTTCAATGCCCAGGTCACCTCTACTGAAAGAAGAGGAGAATAGCACACTTCAAATCAGCCCTCAGCCTTCTACAACCTCCCACATCTGCTTTGTAAACAGATGAGCAATATCGCCTGGTCCTTGGAATTTTCATCAAAAGGGACTTGAAACTCAGCCCCATAGATGTTTGGGGCCCCAAGTAGCAGTAGCAGTCCATGCCACTAAGGGCAGAGCACACATATGCATGCTTTGAAGAATCTGAATTCTCTTTCATAAACTTGGCAAGAGGATAAGGATATCTGTCCCTCCATTTCATTGCATCATTTACCTCCAAATATTATACTCTCAGACTATGTTCTCTAATTCTCATCCTCATATGGGTAGCTGCTGGGAGATTTTTTCCCCCCAATATTTTATTAACTTCCATCTCCACCATTTCCTGGTGTCTTGGGTTTCCTCTGAGCGGAAGCACAGGTTGAAACAAGGTTTCTGGTGCACACAATATACTATGGGAGAACTCTCAGGGAAAGGGAGGAGGGAGTAGGATAAGGCAAAGGAAGGAGCTAAGCAAAGCTATGGTCTCAGAGTCTAGACTTGACTCAATCCACAGAGGGCTCTGAAGATAAATTACAATGCAAAGTATTCGTCACCTTTAGGTGCAACCTTTGTGCCCCCATAGGAGTTCATTATTGACTGTAGGCTTGCCCAGAGCAGGGCATGTGCAACGTCCAGGACCAAGCATCTGAGGACAGTTCTCTGGAGAATGGATGCATCTGTGAGCCTTCAGCAGCCCACACTTGCAGCAGCTGGGGGATGGGTACTTCAGCATAATAAATGGTACTGAACAAGGTACCAAGCACATCCACTACAGCTACCAGACTGGACTTAGAAATCTTCATATGGTTTTTAATGCATCCTCCCTCACAATACCTTCTCCTGGACCCCTAAGTCAAGCAGGATCAGAAGTGACAGGGTGCTATTCCTTTCTGTCTACTACCCAATGCCAGACCCAGTAGGTCTTGTCTTTACCTCTAGGGCCCACTTCCTAGTGTAGATTTCATCAACTCTTACCTGGACAGCTCATCAGCTTCTTCACGAGGCTCTCTGCTTCTAGTCTCAACATCTCTAACCCATTCTCCTGCCAGCTACCAGAGAAAACTGGGTAATTAAATGTAAACTTCCTGCATTAAACCTTTCAATGGCATCCCATTGTCCTCAGAATAAAGCCCAAATTCCTTAACATAGCAAACAAGATTCCCCAAGGCTTGGCCCTTGCCTACCACTCTGGCCAAATCACATGCTTCACCCCCTCATACTTTATTCTCCAGCTTACTTGCTTTTTTTTTTCTTTTTCATCCCTTCTTTCTTTTCTACCGTTTTACATCTCTGTGCCTTTACACAGTGCTTTCACTACCTGGAATACTTTTTTTTTTTTTTTTTTTTTTTAAAGGAGTTTTGCTCTTGCTGCCCACGCTGGTGCAATGGTGCAATCTCAGTTCACCACAACCTCCACTTCCTGGGTTCAAGCAATTCTCCTGCCTCAGCCTCCTGAGTACCTGGAATTACAGGCATGCACCACCAGGCCTGGCTAATTTTGTATTTTTAGTAGAGACCGGGTTCCTCCATGTTAGTCAGTCTGGTCTCAAACTCCCGACCTCAGGTGATCTGCCCACCTCAGCCTCCCAAAGTGCTGGGATTACAGGCGTGAGCCACCGTGCCTGGCCTGGAATACTCTTATCCCCATATCTACCTGATTATCACGTGTTCATTTTTCTAGATTGAGTTTAAAGGTTTCCTCTTGACTTGAAAATGGCTAAGAGAGTAGATTTTTAAGAGTTCTCACCATACACACAAAAAAGACAAGTATGTGAGGTAATGCATATGTTAATTAGCTTAATTTATCCATTCCACAATATATACATATATCAAAGCCTCAAGTTGTATACTATACATATATACAACTTTTATTTGTCAATAAAAAATAAATGCCTGATGCCTTTTCGGACCTCACAGCTATCACTTCACCTTGTACGAGTCTCTACATTACAATTTCCACATTTTGTAGAAGTTTCATTTTTTAAGTTAGTATCTCCCACTGGATCATGAGTTTTCTAAGGGTTTGACCCATGCCTTATCTATATTAATATCCCCATCTACTTTAATGCCTAACCTATAGTAGGCAACCACGGATCTTCCTTGAAAAAATGGACAACTCTATTCAAGGACCTGAGTGTTATTTCATCACCAATCCTAAAGAGTTAGGAAATAAGTTTCCCAGGTGGTTAGCATCCCTTTCAAAGATACTTAACGACTGAGCAGTTTTCTTATTTCATACTAATCATGCTGTCTATAAGCATTTCTATCTCTAAGTCATTGCTTAAATGGCCCAAGGCCTTGAAACATTATTTTTTCCCCTCTATGACATTATTGGGTCATAGTCTAACCATTATCCTACCAGAAGGGTCTTCTACCAAATATTATATTGGCAATTTTATTTTCCTTCATTAGACAGAGAAAATTCAAGTTGTACCACAAGCTTGGTACAAAAAGCAAATCTCTTTTTAATCACTGGAATAATGTCTGTTTGAATGGTAAGTGCAGAGTGAGTAGTCTTGGTTTTTCCATAAGAAGGAGAACCACCAAGCTGTTTTCTCTTGGTAGTTTGTGGTAAATATTATCGGTGTTCCCCAAAACCCACTTTTCCTCCACTTCCTGAGGACCTGAAAGATCATGCTTCACAGGCCCTTCTAGTTTTCTGGGCCATATGACTAGATCTGGCCAGTGAAAGGAAAGCAGAGATGAAGCGCGTCATTTCAGAGCTGAAGCGCGTCACTTCAGAGCTGAAGCAGAAGGCCTGTGTAAAACTGTTACTCCTCTCTATTCTCCTGCTCCAACAATCCTGGAGGAGGCCTCTTGTTGAAAACAGTCTGATATTCTCAGTGGCTGCCAGCAGGACAGCTGCCCTAGGGAATCACCTGGACCTGCTGAAGACTTTGCAAGGAAGGTAAGTAAAGTTCTTTTGTATTAAGTCACTGAGACTTTGGGATTGTTTGTTCCCGTAGCCTGTCCCTTCCTGACAAACAAGAGATTTGAAAAAAAAAAAACCACCCCATTACCTGTGTAGACAAGGGTAACTTTGAGTCATAAAGAGGTTGACCCCAGCAGTGGTCTTGATCCAGTGCTCCCAAGCTGACTGTGTCCTGATGAATATATCTGTGTATAAGATAAAGAAGCCCAATCCAGAGAGTCACAGATTTGGGCACCTAAGGCTGTTTTACATTCTTACTCAAGCTTGGCATAGAAGAAGTGAGGTTTTTTTTTTGTTTTTTGTTTTTGTTTTTTTACGTGAAGGATCATTGGTATCTCTGCTGAAAGCTGAACTAGCCAAAACTCACAGCAGGAGTGACCAGTCATCTACTGGAGTAGGCAGGATGAGTATGAGTAGTGTAAGCCAACTCACATCAACATTCTTGAGTTTACATGAGGACAGCCAAGCTTCCCCAATATAAAGCTATGCTCCTTATTTTGTTTCAATCCTCGAAAGACTAAAAAATCCAAATCATTTCCATCTTTGGCGGGCTGACAACAACTGTCTTCACCATGTTCCTGCTGACCCCTTGCACATTGTTGTCAGGCCTTTGAAGGTCCTGGAATGAACCAGACTCCAAAGTCCACCAAAGGGCGGCCCAGGCTCTAAAGAATTACAGGAGAAAAGCTAGTCTTCAAGGGGTCAGAAAGTCCCAGATCATGCCCTGCCTCTCCACAATGTGGGAGAATAATAGCTCTTAGTCCGTTCAGGAGTAGATTAACTCTGGAACCTGTGATTTAGTCAAAAAAACATTTACTGAATGCCTATTGTGATGTAGATAGTATTCTCGATATTGAGAATTTAGCATTGACCAAAGACATAATCCCTGACATCATGAAACTTATTTTCTAGGGTTGGGGAGACACATAAAATAAACAGATGAACAAATTGTGCATATCAGTTAATGTCAGATTGTGCCAAGTGTCATAAAGACCGTAAAAAGATGGTGTCAAAAACAGGTAGTTGAGTTAGGTATGACTGCTTGGATTGAGTGGTCAGGAAAGGCCTCTCAGAGTAACTTTGGAACTGAGCCTAAATTACAATAGTAATAGCTAACATTGATTGAGGCCTTTCTTTGTGCCAAGAAATGTTCAAAGCATTTTACATGTATGGATATTCTTAATCCTCTCAACAACTCCATGAAATTAGTACTATAATCTCCGTTTTACTGATGAAGAAACTGAGGCAGAGAAGGGCTTGGTTTGTAACCTAACCTCACACAGCTAGGAAAAGGGGGAGGCAGCCTTCTAACCCAAGCAGCCAGGCTCCAGCATCTGCTCTTAACTATTATACTACACTGTCTCTTAACAAACGCCATAAAAAATAGAAGTATGTTCTGGCCAGGCATGGTGGTTCCCAGCACTTTGGGAGGTTGAGGTGGGCAGATCACCTGAGCTCAGGAGTTCAAGACCAGCCAGGGCAACATGGCAAAACCCTGTCTCTACAAAAAATTAGCCAGGCGTGGTGGTGTGCACCTGTGGGTCCCAGCTACTTGGGAGGCTGAGGTGGGAGGATCACTTGAGCTCAGGAGGTCAAGTGTGCAGTAAGCCAAGATTGTGCCACTGCACTTTAGCTGGGTGACAGAGGGAGATCCTGTCTCAAATACATATATATATATATAAACATATATTATATATATATATATAAACATATATTATATATATATATAAACATATATTATATATAAACATATATTATATATATATATAAACATATATTATATATATATATAAACATATATTATATATATATATAAACATATATTATATATATATATATAAACATATATTATATATATATATATAAACATATATATATATATATATATATAAACATATATTATATATATATATTTATATATATATATATATATATATATATATATATATATATATATATGTCCATGTTGGTCAGACTGGTCTCAAACTCCCGATCTCAGGTGATCTGCCTGCCTCGGCCTTCCAAAGTTCTGGGATTACAGGCGTGAGTCACCGCACCCAGCCTGGAATATATATATATTCTGAGATTTCAGTAAAAACTCCAGGGCCAAGGTTAGAGCAAGTAAAAACTTCCTGTTTGCAAAGCAGACTTCTGGCCCCCAATAGTCTCTACTGGGACTACTCAGTTATTTCTAATTCTGATCTAACCCAAAACAACTGCTAAAATCAGGATAATTTCCAAGTCTGCTCCCTATGACGCCCAATAACCTCCAACAAAATATTGCACAAAGAAGATGTTGCATATTTTACATGATCTTGATATCAGGCCCAACATAATTGCTCTCTGAAATATTAAAACTCTGCTATGGCTCCCACAACCATCCGGGACCTTATAAAATCTAATTTCATCTAGGCAAAGCTTCTTGCAAGATAAACACAAGCCTATTCAAGGAAGTCTTAATTCAATGGTATTCAAAATATGCCAGCAGCTGATCAAGACAGACCTACAGGTCTGATAGAGGCTTGATGTTTTGAGCCATGTCCATTCAATAGATAATTTATTAAGTAATCCTCAGTGTGCAAAAACTGTGCTGAACAAAGTGGAGGTACACAAATTAGAATATTAATGATAATATTTAGGATCTCTACTTTAAATATTACAACTGTAGCAACTTTTGGTGCCGTTCTTGGCATAGTACTTTTCCCCAAATTCTAAAGAGGTGATAGAATTTTGGAGCTGGAAAATGAAGGAAAGGCTGGCATATGCCCTGAATCTCTGATCAGGGAAAAAGCTCAAGACTATTAAAGTGTTCAGCAATAGTGAAAAAGTATTTTTCTCTCCATTTTGGCAAAACACAATCATTTCAAGGACTGACAGGATATAAAATGCAAAGTAAAAGGAAAACTACAATAAAGTTTATGCCCCATTATCCAAATGCAGGGCTGTAGGAGGGCTGAAAGCAAGGCTTCCTCCTCTGCAGGCTGAGGCCTAGCCAAGTGCTGGACACCACAGGTGTGCCTGGGAATACACAGGTGAGAAGAATAAAACACTATCACCGGGACATGATAAAAGTTCCAGTACAGGCTAGGCATCTGTTGGGGATGTGGGTGGAGATTTCGAGTGACTTCTCAGTCTCAAAGCAGGTGGGCCATATCCAGAAAGCAGGCCAAATGTGAAAGTAGGTCATATCAATGAGAGTCCAGATTCTTTTGACCTGTGGTTCTCAAACTCACATCTGCATCAGAATCACATGCAGGGCTTGTTCAAACACAGATTTCTCTCCATCCCCAAAGTTTTTGACTAAGTCGGTCTGGTGAAGCCTAAGAATTTGGATCTTTAATATATCCCAGATGATGCCAATGCTCCTGGTTCAGGAACCACACTTTGAGAGCCACTACTTAGTGAAACATGATGGGAAGGCAGAGGAAAGGGGATTTTCAGAGGTACATCAACTTTTGGAGTCAGAGAGAAGCAGCGGGGAGCAAAGAACTGGGAGCTCCATCCTTGATGAGTTGTCCAGAACGGCCTCTGCATGGGACTTCCCACCAAAGGCACCTCTCTCTTGGGGAAGGAAGGAAGTAGTGCTTAGAGTATAGGCTGTGTGCAGGCACTATTGCCAAGGACCTCCATAAGAGTCATTTTACTTAATCCTACAACAACCCTATGAGCTGAGTATCATGTTCCCATTCCAGATGTGGAAAATAAAGCCCTGAGAGGTAGACAGATAAATCAGAATTCAAATACAGAAAGACAGGCTCTTTTCTGCAGCACATTTAGCATTCAGGCACTGTCTTTTGTGACATTTCAAACAGATACATTAATAAACTACTAAGGAATATTACCAAGGTAGTCACCATGCTTAGTAAACAAGGCCCTATCTGGTAGGCAGGCTTGTTTGTTCAGAGATTTAGGAGGCTGCTGATGTCTTGAGGACTATCAAAATGTTGCTTTACTGGGTCCCTGAGAGGCTGCTGTCAAAAAACCTAAGGATGGAGACACCCAAAAATCTTCAGCTCACCCATGAAGACGCTGCCACCACAATCACCACCACATTCACCTTTACTTTCATTTTCAGTGTCACCTCCAGGACCACTACAGGGTGCACCATCCATTAAAGCTAATAAGTAACAACTGGCAGCTGTTACTTCTACAACACTAAACCAACACATACACACACACACACACACACACACACACACACACCCCTCACATAATAAAGCCCTGGCCTAAGTTTTTGTGACACAGCCCCACCCCCCACCCCCTGCTTTCTATCTATTTATGAACCCCGGGAAAGTTCCACTCAAGCGACTCCTCCCCTGACCACTGCAGGATGATAAATGATGTGGTCCATTTGAGTACCTATAACCCATTTTCTTCCTTTCAAGCTGTTCAAATATGTACTGCCTTACAAGTTTGCTTAAAGCCAAACACTGTGTGTGGCAGAAGATACATTATTGAGTGAAATGACCAAGACACACCACAAATTCTCCATGGGACAAGGGGAGATAGGCTCCAGAGACCATTGGGGTTCCATTGAGCTCCCCTCTCTTCTCTTGTCCCTGATACACCATTTTCAGGGGCCTTGGCCCCACCTGTGGAGTGCAACAAAGACAAGAAGCCCTGAGGATGGAATTCTGATGCTGAAGAGGTTTCTGGAATCCCATTTCAATTAGAAACATTTCGCAGTTTTCCTAAAACTGGAAGCTGTCACTGAGAATTATCCATACCCTTGTGTTCTTTGAGCAATCTAAGCTTGTGGTAAGTATTCCTCTAATCATGATTGGCAGGACCCCAGGTAGCAGGAAAATCCTGAGACTGGCTCTGTTATAATGACCCAAATGAGGTGGCATCATAAGTGGGCAAAGGAGGAAAGGCCAGGATTTTGGGGAGTGTTTATATCTCACTCCACCCTTTTCCAAGGATATATATGAACATATTTTGACCCATTGTCTTTTGTTAAACAAATATGTCATAACTTTTAGAAGGCAAATTGACAGTGAGAATCTAAAATCTTAAAAATGTTTATAGCTTGGAATCCAGTAATTCCACTCCTGGGAATTTAGCCTGAAGAAATAATTATAGTGCATGAAAAAGCTTTATGTACAAAGGTATGTATCATAACAATGAATCAGTTGAAACAAAATATATGTCCAACCCCTGTAAAAAGTAAAAGTCTGATACTCCGAGTTTTCAGTTGATCTTTGTTGGGAAGGAATCCCTGAACCTGTATATCTAAAATACAAATATGGAAATCAAGGCACATCTATGCTTTGAAGTGTATAGCCAGTAAAAATGTTTCAAAGTGTAATAACATATAACATGCTTAACTTTATATATGTTGAGAAGCAGGTCATTTTCCTGGAATGTTTAGAAGCTGCCATATTCTCAAACAGTAATTATTTTGAAATCTCCTAGTGTGAATCTCAGAAAAAATGGTAGAAACTGTATATAAAGCTATGAAGGCAGCTGTGCATAAAGATAATAGATCGAAAACATCTGATTTTTCTTCTTTTCAAAAACTCTATTAAAGCTATAGTGGGTTTTTTTAAAAACATAATTCCACTAGGATAAAAAGAACAGGGTAGAAGATAACAAAATGTTGAAAATTGCAAAGCTAGTGGAAGATGGACAAGGGGCAATTGATCTTACAAACTAGAAATCTGAATTTTAAAATCGCAGTAGAGAATCCAAGGCCAACCGAAGTAAGACAGCAGAATCCTCAAAAAGCTTAGGTACTGTGAGCGGCAAGAACAGGTTGAGAATCCCTAATCCAAAATTTCAAATGCCCCAAAATCCAAAACTCTTTAAGCACTGACTCCAGGTTAACCTGGACACATTATTTTTTTCACTATATTAATGGTGTGTCATACTTTTATTGTTAATTATTTCTGTGTGAATAAATATAAGAAAATAATTCCTGATAAGCAGCACACAAATATAGAGTCAGGAGTGATGGCGATGCCAGACAAACACAGATTATCCCCATGAGTGGCTGACATGACACCTTCCTTTTCTGATCCTTCAATTTATACAAACTTTGTTTCATGCACAAAATTATTTAAAATAGTGTATACAATTACCTTTGGGCTATGTGTATAAGGTGTATATGAAACATAAATGAATTTTGTGTTTAGACTTGAGTCCCATCCCCAATATATCTCATTATGTAATATGCAAATATTCCAAAATCTGAAAAATTCCAAAATCAACACTTCTGGTCCCAGTGATTTTGGATAAGGGATACTCAACATGTATCTCTGGAAATGAGGCGAGAGAAAGAGGAGCCAAATTTAAAAGGATGGATGAAAACTATTCAAGAAGCAGGTAGATCTCCAGGTCCCGTCCTCATTCCACACTGCAGAATGACTTCCCACCTGGAAAGTCTAGAAGTTTCTTTCTGAGAAGCTTAGGCAGAAAGTCCCTGGCCTGGCACAGATAAGGGTGAGGAGTCATCCAAAAGCAGTGGAGTTAGATAAAGCTAAACATGCTGAATGCAGAGGCTAGCCCCCTCCCTTCTCTCAGCTCTCAGCCATGCCTTTACCCTTGGCCCAGCCAGGGAGGCAGGACCTGAAGATACTGACATTAGGGGTTCCACACTCAGACTACCCTACAGTGATGCTTGCCACCGTCCAGCCAACTCATTTGCTCGAGGTTTCCAAGATTTTAGTCCACATACCTTATACATGAGTACAAACCAAGGATCACCAGCCTTCTAAAGAAGCAATCCCTAACACAAAAGTATGAGAATCAAAACAAATTTTCTTAAAAAAGCAACTCAGAGCAAGCAAAATCTCTGCAAGAATGAAAACTTCCAGGAGATATGCATTGTACATCACCTCAAAGAAATAAAATGCATCTATAAAACAAGAACAGGATACTAAAGAAAAGGAACATCTGAGAACAAACAAGAGATCATATACATAAAAGCACACAAGCAAAAATTTAAAACACCACTGAAGAGTTGAAATATAAAGTTGAGCAAACATCCCCCAAAATAGATCAAAAGTAGAAGAGAAAGAAAAATAGAAAGAAAATATAGGAAAATGAGAGAATGAGTCCAGGAAAACCAATAACCAAATGGAAAGGAGAAAGGGAGGGAGAAAAAAACAATGAAGAAAGGAGAGAGAAGAAGAAAGAAAAAAAATTAGATAAAGAATTATTAATAGAATTATTTAAGAAAAAATTCCATAAACAAGGGATATCATTTTCCAAATTTTAAGGGACTACCAAGTGCCCTGCATTTCACTGTGAAAGTTCAGAAGACCCAACAGAGAGAAGGTTTTATGGGCTGCCAGAGAGAAGGCAAAAACAAGTCACATGCAAAGGATCAGGAATAAGGATGGCTTTAAATTTCCCAACAGTATAATGGAAGCAGGAAAACCACAGATCAATGCCTTCAAAATTCAGAGGGAAAGTTATTTCAAATTTCTAGTTCCAACCACATTTTCAATCAAATAGGAAGGTAGAATGAAGACTTTTTCCCCTTGGGAAAAAAAAAATGGCCACAAATGACCAGTGGTTGCTTGCTGGCATAGACAGCTTATTTGAGCCCTTAATTTCAGTAGGCTTTGCAAAGCTTGTAAAGGGATTGCCTGAACCATAAAAAAAGGGCACCACAAAAAGAGATGAAAAATCCAGAAACATAAAAGAGGAGCAGCAAACAGCAAACTCGGCAGAGTTCATCGTTTTCCCCAGGACTTCCTTGCTTTTTTTAACCCATGATTCTGGTTTGGGCCTTACTCTAAATTCCAGAAGCTTAATAAATACACCCTTCCTATTTGATATAGAGGTCACAGTCCATACACACCTACATTCTATTTATGTCACAGTCCATACACACCACAGTCCATAGAAGCCCAACATTCTATTGTTATAAACATTATAATCCGCTCTAGCCAGTTTAGGCATAAACTATTTTATCAAAAGATACCATGTAGACACAGATGTAGAGCAATCAGAACATTCATTCAAATCTATCGTACAGTTTCTATCTAGCAAGGCATGACCTAATGTTTCAGGTTGTGTTCTCCAGAAGCAGATGCTGAAATGGAGTTTGGTATACAAGATATTCATTAAATGTCACACTGTGGAAGGCGAGGGTTGTGGGGCATAAAGGACTGAGCTGAGGGAGAAGGTGGGATATGGTACAGACGCAAGAAAGCCTTGGCCAGCCCCACAGTTGCTCTGGAGTAACTGTGGTGTGCTGCAGTTGTTCCCCCACTACATTGGCCTGTAAAGGCTAGGTCTTAATAACCCCACCTCAGTCAGTCACTGATGTGGTCTACCCCAGAGAGGGCATTCCCTCAGGTGAGGCAGCTCGCTGCAGCTAAGGCAGACTCCGAAGGACCTGAAAGCTGGGGCAACAAGTCCTTCCTTGAAGGGGATTCTGGATGGTTCCTGTCTGTGTTCACCACACCTAGAAATTCTACCCCTACCAATAAACCCAACAGAAATGTGTATGTGCATTTTCTAAAAGAAATGTACGCAATGTTCAGAGCAGCACTATCAACAGTCACTCCAAGTCAACTACCAGATGCCCATCAACACTAGAACAGATAAATAATTTGTGATATACCCATACAGTGGAGTGCTATACAGCAATGAGAACAAATTAGAACTATGTGCAACCATATGGATGAATCTTACAAAGATCATTAAGCAAAAGGAGCCAGGCCAGAAAGAACATATATGGTTCCCTTTATATATAGTTCAAAAACAGTCAAAACCAATCTAGGCTGTTAGATGGTGGAATAGTGATTCCCCTTGCACAGGTAGTGACCAGAATGAAACACAACTCAAGGGCCTCCTGGGTTTCCCTTTCTTAATCTGGACACTGGTTACACAGTGTGTTCTCTTTGAGAAAAATCATTGAGCGGCACATTTATGATAGCTGAAACTATCTCTAAATATCAGTAAAAAATTTTAAACATTAAGTGGCTCACAAAAATATAAGATACTAAGTTCACAAAATCTCTGGTGGTGAAGGGGCCAGGAACAAAGTGACCAGCGCTATTGCAGTGGGTGAAAATATCCAAGCAGACCACAGAATCGTTTAATGAAAACCTGTCTACAGCTGAGTGCTCCTCCACACCCAGGACAGTGGAGACTGGATACCAGTTTCTCCGCCAAACCTGGCCCAAAAGAATCGGCAGCCTCTGCCACAGGTTTTACCGGATCAAATCTGCCTGGCATGACTAGTGCCTCACATTGTTCTTATCTGCCTCCAAGCTCACTGCAGGCCCAACAGCCTGGCTGAATTCCAGTCACGTGAAAATCGTAGAGGAAAGGGAGTTGGGAAAACGTAGTTTTTAGTCTTCAAAAGCCGGGAAATGGGTGCTGATGAGCTAGTCTACATTACTAGCTACAAATAGTGCCTTTACTACAATGATAATATCATATCTTTTGAACTAGACCCCACGTGTAATAATAATTTTTTAATCTCTATTGCCTGTATATCACCAGGCAAAATTCAACTTCAAATTCCATCTCTCTCATAGAAAATATAATTGACTTTCAGCAAAATCAATCATGGACATGAAAGATTTCTGAGTACACTTAAAATTCCCAGGAAGTTTTCTCTGATTTCTACCTAAGAAAATTAGCACCCATTGGTAAAATAGGGATAGGCTTTTCTGACTCCTCATACTTTTTCCCACTGCCTTTGCATTTCCTCCACATTGAAGAGTCCCAGAAAATGCAAAAGTATTCCTAGCTGAAAGGCAATATATCACTTCCTGCAAATTTGGAGGACTTAGGTGATATGACTGTGAAATACAAGTGCTGTATAGATGGAGTATCAGATGTTTACTTCAACAGGTGGCAAATGATCCTTGTAGAATCAGTAAATCTAGGAGAAGTGGAGTTTGGCTATGGCAGAGAACAACCAGTAACTGGAAGTTCATGACAGACTTCAGCTGCTTTCTTTCCCAGCCCTGCTCAGCCCAAAGACACCCAACCTGGTCCTGCCTAAATCGTAGCCCATCTGTACAAGGCCATAAGGTGCATGAGCAGCCCCAGCCACACCATTCAGTGGGGATCTGGATTTAATCACATTGCCAAAGGCCTAAAATCTGATGAGCCAGGGCCAAGCCAAGGATATTCAAATCATCACAGAGCCATATTTTCCTCTGCCTGTGCCATTCTTGTCCTAAAGACAGGCATGGATGTCTGATTCCATTTGGCCACTCCTGCTAGAGCCCCAACTGCTTTGGCTTAGCTACATCCCAGCCCCTGCCCACCCTCAGCTACTTTCCAGGGTTTTCTCGTAACTGCTGGTTAGTGATACCATATTAGTTCCTAGCCACATCTTAAATATCATCTGCTTGTTATTGTGTCTTGCTGACAAACTGAATCAGCCAGGCCAATGCCACTGCTTTGAAAACACACTGAGATCCAGTCCTTTAGCCTGATCAGACAAACCTGTGATTTGTCTTCCTTCTTTTTCCCCATGAACCCATGAAACAGAGGTCTCAGCAGTCATCTTGAGCACTCCACTTGACTATGACAATAGAGTCATTCAGCCTCTCAATGACCTTGCAGGGTCACATCTGACAGGAATGGATGAGATATGGAGTTAGCACATGACAGACCTTCATGTAGGTTCTTTCCTCATGTTGAATAGCAGTAGCAGTAATAGCTCCTATTTATACATAGTTCTGTGTAAGGCATTGGGCTATACGCATCACAGAAATCAATCCACCCATCCTCACGGCAACCCTTGCTTGGTCAATATGATTACCTCCATTTTATAGATGAAGAAACATGATCAGAGAGGCCAAATCACACGCACAAAGTCACACAGGAAGTTGGAAGCATTTTTGTGAAAACAACAATATCCTGCACCCTATGTTCACATCCCTTGGATGAATATATAACATCCCAGGAGATATGTATTCTATAGGAAGTTGACAGGATTTCCACACTAAGGCCTGCAAAGTCACTGGGTTAGGGGTGCTCCCCAGGAAGAAGGCTCATTTCTCCCCATACCCATTTCCTAAGAAATAGATGGGTCCTCACATAGGAAATAGAAACCCCAGAGACAAGCTAGAGAAAAACAGAGGCTTTCATTCTCTAGCCGTTTTCTCTTGGACCTAGATTGGATCATTCAGTAGGGTGTGGATGAAACAGGCTGGCTTCTTCACCACTGCTCTACATGGGAGCACTGCCTTCCTTCCCACCCCATTGTGCCTTTTTGCCTACAACAATCTCCATTTCATCCACCTATGGAAAATTACTTCTTTTGAGAAGCCTGATCTTCCATCTCCCTTGGCCCAGTAAGAATTAATCATTTTTTTTCTTTGTGCTCTCTCAACACAATGCTGTATTATAAGCAAGTGTTTACAAAGAGGTAGTATCATATTGTGGGAAAAGCTTTGAAACAGGAGTTCTATGACCTGGATTCTGGGGCTGTCATTTACTAGCTCTGTGATCTTAAACAAGGCTCTTGTCCTCATCTGTAAAATGCAGATAACACTGCTTCATCTACTTTGCAAACAGGGCTAAATGAGATGTTTGTGAAAGTGCTTGTAAATTCTCAAGCCTAGTGCCTGGGTTGGTGATTTTTCTTTTTGTTTGGGTTTTGTTTTGGTTTAGTCTGACTTTTGCTTCTTCCCCTAGACTGTGAGGGTGGAGACTTGTCTTAAGGAAATTTGTATTCCGCTTGGAGCCCACAGAGAGCCTGCCTGCTATAGTGCTCAATGGGAGTGGGTTCTCAATAAATGTTTATTGAAATTAAAATAATACAACTGTGAAAGATGGAATCTCTCATTCTCCATACGGATTTAATCACCACACCTCTCTCTTTCCCTCCCTGCATGTGTATGTGTGCCATTCTTGATACCATCCTTTTTTCTGAGCTGTGGCATCCCAGCCCTGCAGAGAAATTCTGAGGCTGATTGACAGAGCCACACAATGACTGTGAAAAGAAGTCTTTTCTCCAGATTCACACTGCCAGCAGGATTTTTTTTTTAATTTGAACCCACTGCCACCAGCCCTGCACCTTTCAAATTGGGGCAGACCCATCTTGGTGTGCAGGCTCTGGAGAGCAGCACAAGCAAGACCTGATGGAGATTGATACCCTAGCTAGATGGGTCAGCTCAAAGCCAGACTCCAGGAGCCTCAGCAGAGCCTACACACATGGCTTCTGTGCCTAAGAGGGGACAGAGTTCACAAAGACTCAGTCATTCTTTTCCCATGCTCTCTTTGGAGTGATTTGGAGAAATAGCTGGCACTGTGCAACACGGAATGGGGCCCTTCCAATTCAGGACCACATCACAAAGTACAATAACTCCAAAGTCAGCAGATGTATAAGTGGGTAATCTGCAAGATACAATACACAATTTTCAGTGTGGATGACTTCAGGACATTGACAATAATTCTTCTCCCTCCCACTGATACAAATTCATGGTGAGGCAAAAAAAAAAAAAAAAAAAAAAAGGAGTTACTGAGACAGACCTGGATTCTAGTATGAGCTCCATATACATGTTCTTAAGTGAGCTGTTTAAGCTCTCTCCTCTTCCTTCTCATTTCATAACTACCTTCCATAAACTAAGTAATTACTGCACTAAACACTACAATAGACTGGAACAAGACACAGTTCTAAGGTGAAACTGCCTCAGCCTAGTGAATGACTCTGTGTATAAGTGTCTAGCTACACATGTAGCAGTGCTCATGCTATAATAGGTTTGTTTTCTTTCTGTTCATCCCTGTCTCCTTTATCATAATCCCAAGCAGTTATCTGATACTTTGCTATTAAATCTTTATTTTTTAATTTAGGAGTTCAAACTTTTCATCATTCATACTCATTTTTAATCTTCCTCATGAATCACATCTCTGGTGGGTTTTTGAATAACAGATGTTTGAGATTTATAAATTATTCTTTAGCACATGTTAACTCAAATCATCATGCCGGGTTGATAGAATTAAAGTTCAAACCAAGAAACTTGATTTATCTGCTAAATGGCTGTTTCATGAGTAAGTGTTTTTTAAACTTAAAAACAGCTTAAGGATCCCCTTTACTATCTACACAAAATCTTGGGGTCCAAGTTCCCTAGGCTGGAAACCATCACCATCTGTGGCTCTGTTTCCTGGTAATATACATTCATCCCTATAAAAAGCATTCCTTCCTCATATTCGTTGCCTACACCTTGGTGTAAATCGGTTTATGATTCTCACCTTCATAAGGCAACAAGGGTCATACCAGGTTAGGAGTGGGTGGTTAGAGCTCTCGGAGCAGGCAATGGGACAAATAAGCGGCAGTGTAACCCTAGTTAGCAAATTTTAGAGATATTGCCTATGGCCAGCTCTAAGAACTTACTGAAAAGTTTCAGATATTGCTACTTAGATGAGCTGTTTATGCTTATCCAAAAGGTAACCACGATCATACTTACCACTCTAAGGTACTGCCCAATACAAAAAATCCTTCAAGAGAAAAGCTTACACGTACACAACAGAAAATGTGTATGGACCTGTACTTATTCATATATATTTCTAAGGCTTATCAGAGTGCATATAATGTTAAGATTGAGAGTCTTTCTGCCTAAAACATCATTACCTCATTATGCCACCAATGGAATGACAAACACAGATAGGCATTAGATGAAGTTTCCTTGAATGTTAATGGTCTGGAGAACATAATTTGAAGAGAAGTAAGAAAAGATGTGCAGAGCCCCCTGATGACTTCAACTTCTTCCAAGATGATTTTATTTAGAGACTTATTTCCCAAGTCATACTCCAGTACAGATTAACCTCTCCAATGAAAGTTCTAGAGTTCCGTCCATCCCCCAGGCAGGTAAGAAAGTTAGGGTTTGTTGTTAACCATGGAGTTGATTTCCCCATCTTTAATGCTTTTACAATGTCTTCTGGTTGGGACAATCAGAAAGCCTTGGTCAGGTACCCATATGTGCCAATTTGCCCCTGGTTGTCTCTGCTTCTGCCCAGTAGGAAAAAGTGGTAAAACTAATCCTTTTTCAAGGACAATATGACCAACTCCAGGTAACTGTACAGTCCAGTTATAACTAATGAGAAGGTCAAGTGAAATTGCAAGACGACAATAGGAGAGAGATAAAAGAAACTTTCATTTTCATTTCTGTTGAAAAAATACAAATAATCTGTATCTATCAGACTTCTTTCTTTGTTCTCCTTTATTCAAACAATAACTGAGAAAGGGGTGTAGAGATTGGGCTGGGACACAGCATATTCTTATTATTTTTAACTTTATTTTCATTGGGGGCATTTTCAGTGAAACTACATTCTACTAATCTTTTTTTCTAATTTCTTTTCTCTTATGAAAAGTTTTCTTTTATATTTAAGCCAAAATGTTTGTGAAGGTCCTTTTAAATTCAAATAAAATGAAGTCTGGCATTTTTGGTGCAGAGAGCAATTCCAGACCCAGTAGGGGAGTGCTTATAACTGAACAAAAATTCTTCTTTCACACAAAATGTGAGCTCCCTGCCTGGGGTTCACACATTAATGACTGTATGACTCATTATTATATATGCCTCCAAAGCTGAGGTTCTCTCCTCTGCTAACCCGCTCTGTACAACAGATGTTGAAATGTTAACTGAGGGACAGCAGATGTGGTTGGAGTTGTTTTTCTCAAGGTCTTTTCTCCATCACTCTTCCAAGCCCTTGTGATACAGCCAACACCAAGTTACAAGGTTACCCAGAGGCTTTAACTGATACCTGGCACAAACTCCACTGTCATTAACAAAATCACAATTCTTCCCAGAGGTGCCTCTTTCACCTTCTTCTGTCTTAGGGAGTAGCTGATAGTAGGTTTCCAAATGTCAGATGGCTTATAACTTCTGGTTCTGTCTCTGATTTTCTTCTATGAGCACTATGTGTTTCCCAGGGGCTGAACAACCATGGGATTTAGATGAAAACTTCAATTTGGAAGAGTAGAGTTGGAAAAGCATAGACTTGCTGGATGAAAAGACCTAGTTTCAAATCCCAGTTAAATCTTTAAAAGATGTTTGATGGTAGGCAAGTCACTGAAAAATCCCTCAACATCAGTTTTCACATTATGAAGTAGAAGGAAATTTATTTTGTAGAAGTGTTGGGGAAAGTGGGAGACATGAACAATTGGTGGAAAAGGCTTGGCATAGTAACTACACACAAGCAAGGAACTCCATACTTTGCATAGTAACCGCATGCTTTGGATAAACTGATATTTTGGCTACAATTTTTGGCTCTCCACCCCCGCCCACCCCCAATTCCATACTCTTTGTCATGTGATTTTGCAGTACTTTCCACCTGAGACAGAATAGAAATCTTTGTTCCTTGATTTGGGCTGTCATGTGACTTGTTTTGGCTAATAAAAGCTGGATCCAGGTGTGCCAATTCCAAACCTAGGCATTAAGAAGAAAAATGTGTTTCTATCATCTCTCTTGCACGTCTTTTATTGCAATGAATACAGCTTCCTCAGATACTCAGCTTGGGCTCTAGAATAAAATATAGACAGCAGACCTGAGTCCAATCTATAGTAAGGAACTAAGCCTGGTCAGACTGACAAGGAAAGAAAGGCTGCCCAGCCAAACCCAGCTGGGGTAGTTAATGCTTAGAAAACCACAAATTAGCCAGAATTATTATTATTATTATTATTATTATTATTAAAGTCATCAAATTTGGAGATGTCTTGTTACACAGAAATAGCTGAATGTTATAATACTCACAAAAATGAGTTTTCTGGTTTGAAGTGACTTTTGGCTGGCAGCCCCAATACATGCCTTTTCCGTCTATCTTCTCACTGAAATATCAGTGAAAATACAGCAAAGGGTGAAGAAACTTCACACTATCACATAAATTTAGGCTAAAAGGCAATCCATGAATCCACAAAGAATAGGTATGATCCCGAGAAAACTACATGTAAAAATTAATAACAGAACTAAAAATTGAAGAGCAACCTCTCTCTACTTTCTATCTCTACTCCCAACTATTCTATAATGAAGATAGAATATTAAATCCCTCCCCAATGAATGCAGAATGTTAGCCCCCTCCCCTACTTATTCACCAAATGTTTCATAACCAAGTATCATTTTTCTACATGCAAGATGAGATTGTAATACTCAGAAATTACCTGAACAGGAGTTAAGGCAACATGTGTTTGGGTAAATTGCTTGTCTGGGGCCACATGAGCTCTATAAGAAAATTACCATAGGTAGGAACAGAAGCAAGGAGTCCATTGACAATGATGCATTCTAGGAATTAAAGATTTTCACGTACAGCATTCAGGGCCCAACAGTGTGGGTAAGAGAGAAAGGCACCACCCAAATAGAGAAAGTAAAATCCTGCAAAGAATAAGAATGTGAACTATTAACTATGCATATTTATTTTCCTTTTAACTGAACAGCTGTGATAAACTGCACCAGTGGACAGAGAACATAACCAAAAGATTGGCTGTTGAAAAAGGCTGAGTCTGACCTGATAGAAAATATAACAGAAAAAATAGATCTTATTTCATGACAAATCTAACAAACCTAACAAAATTACATAAGCAGTTTCCCTTTGATTCACCAATCCCATATCTCAGAATCTACCCTGACGATACTCCTCCAAAATACTAGACAATATGTATTCAAGCTTGTTCAGAGGACTATTAAATAAATAAGGCTATCTCCATTCAGATAGTTTCACTCTGCTGTCACACAGAAAGAATGAAAAGTCTATGTACTGATGTAAAGTGATCTCCAAGATATATTGTTAAGTGACAGATGCAGGATTCACAACAATATCTAGAGTATGATAGCTTTTGTGTTAAAAAAAAAAAAGCAGGACATATCACCACACACACACACACACACACACACACACACACACACACACAATTATTTTCCCAAAAGACATATTGGAAGGATAAGCCACAACTAGGAAAAATAGTTACCTATAAAAGTCAGAGATAATGAGACGAGTAATGGAATGAAAGGGAGGAGGGTGGTAACAAGAATTTTCCGAGTATTAGTTTGTATATACTTTGTACTCATGAACCACATTAATGTTTTACACATTCAAAAATAAGTTAATCATGGAAGGAAAAAAGCAAACATTAAAATTAAAAATAGAGACAATAAACACTTCAACTGACATTTGAAAACAGTATTTGGATTGCATAACCTATAGAATAATACAACACCAAAAGGCAATGTATAAGCCTTTTTTAGGATCCTGATCAGGCAACCCAACTTCAAAAGAAAATTTGAGACAATCAGGTAAATCTAAATATGAAATAGAAACAAGGTAATACTCGGAACTTGTTATTTTTGTTAACTGTCATAATGGTATGGTGGTTACATGGGAAAAGTTCTTACAGATGCATGATGAATTATTTAAGGATGAATTGATGTGATGTCTGGGAATTCCTTTGAAAGCTGTCAACACGGAAAAAACTGTGGTTGGGATATGGGGAAAGATGAGTAGAGCAAACAGATTGGCAAAATACTGATAATTGTTAAAACTTGGTAGTGGGTACATGCAGGTTCACTTATTAATCCATGTACTTTTATGTATATATGAAAATGTAATAAAATGTCTTACAAAAAAGTCATTAAACATGGGAGAGTATAATTCTTGAAAAAGAAGATTAAAAAGACATAACAAAATGCCATGTGCAATGTATGAACCTTGATTCAATTCTGTTTTGGAGAAAACTATAAAAGACCTTTTGAGGATAAATATGAATGTGCACTAGCTCATAGTAGAGAATTATTCTTAATTCTTTTAAGCAAGATGGTAATACTGAGCTTATGTATGTATTCTTAAGAGAATTAGGCCAAAGTATTTGAGGATGAAGGGTCATGAGATATACAGCTTAATTTCAAACAGTTCGGCAAACATATTATAACATGCATGAAACTTTCCTATTTGGCTTATAGTGCTCAAAATATAAACTTACGGAAAATATTCATAACTGTAACAAGAAATTGAAAAAACTTTAAAACTCTCAGAACATAAATGCAGTATTAAATAAATGGAAAGATACCCATTGTGCTGAGATAAAAAGATGCAAAACTGTAAAGATGCCAATTCTCCCTGAACTATTTTGTAATATGGTTCTAAATCAAATAGCATTAGTTGTGTTGTTGTTGCTATAGAGATGGACATTTGGAGGGTGAGGCAAGAGGGGACCTGGAAAAAGTGATTCTCTCTTATAACCTTCTGAATGGGGTATAAATTAATTCAACCATTAAAGACAGCTCTTTGGTGACCACTAGAAAGGTTGGAGGTGTACATGCCTAATGCCCAGCAAATTCACTCCTTGAGAAATCTTTACATATATGCGCCAGAAATACTCAAGAACATTCACAGCAATCATATGGGTAATAAAACATTTTTTTAAAAACATGATCTGGAAACCATCCAAATGCCCATAAACAAAAGATACCAATAAATTGTGATGTATTTATATAATGGAATACGAACAGCAGTACAAAATTAACATAGATGAATACCATGAACATAATATTGAGCAAAACACCAAATCAAGAGGAATTAGTCAAATATAATGTAGTTTATACATAGTTCAAAAACAGGTACAACTAAACAATCCCTTGTCGTATACGTAGATATGTAAACACATCTGGAGATGAGATAGGAAAAGGGCATACAGAACCTTCTACGTGCTACTTCTAGGAAATGTTCCATCCCTCAGGCAAGTGGGATCACTGGTGTTTAGCATTATTTGCTACTTACATTTATGATAAAATATTAATTTATATCATTCAGTCTTTAATTAAAATATTTTAAATTATATTAAAATTCACTAATAAGTAAATGTGCATATTTAAGCTGGAAAATAATGAAAAGTATATGTAATGAAAGGGAATAGACATACCATATTAGTGAAAAGAATTATAAGCTATAACAATTAAAAGTAATTGGTGGCCGGGCACGGTGGCTCACACCTGTAATCCCAGCACTTTGGGAGGCCGAGGCGGGCAGATCACAAGGTCAGGATTTCGAGACCAGCCTGCCCAACATGGTGAAACCCGTCTCTACTAAAAATAGAAAAAAAATTAGCCAGGCGTGGTGGTGCATGCCTGTAATCCCAGCTACTCCAGAGGCTGAGGCAGGAGAATCGCTTGAACCCGGAAGGCAGAGGTTGCAGTGAGCCGACATCATGCCGATGCACTCCAGACTGGGTGACAGAGTAAGACTCTGTCTCAAAAAAAAAAAAAAAAAAAAAAAAAGCAATTGGTGCAGGCAAAGGAATACATGCAAAAAAATGAAAGAATCTAGAGTCCATAAATGACATTAAGATTATTTTTGAATTTAGAATATGAAAAGATGGCATATTTTACCAAAGATGAAAATAGTATTGGGACAACTGGCTTACCATTTGAAAATAAAATGAAAATTGATTAATACTCCAAACCTTACACCAAAATATATTTCAGAAAAATTGACCATTTAAAAGTAAAAAATACAGAAGGCTCATTTTTCCCTGCTTTTCTATTTTACGCAGTCATCCCAGTGTGCATATAATTTTATGTTCTATATTTCATATATATTGTACATATCTTGTATACTCTTATGGTATTCATATTTATAATACAATATATATCCAGAGGGTTTACCCTAACTTCCTTAACATTTCCCCAACTTCATAATTTGAGGTTACTGTAAATTTACAATATACTTTGAAAATAAACTGTTTTCTACAGGAAAAAATAAACAAATAAACTAAAAGTAAAAAATAAAGCTTAGACTGGGAGTGGTGGCTTACACCTGTAATCCTAACACTTTGGGAGGCTGAAGCGGGCAGATCACCTGAAGCTAGGAGTTCAGGATCAGCCTGGTCAACATGGTGAAACCCCATCTCTACTAAAAATACAAAAAATTGGCTGGGCATGGTGGCCCACGCCTGTAGTCCCAGCTACTCGGGAGGCTGAGGCGGGAGAATCACTTGAACCTGGGAGGCAGAGGTTGAAGTGAGCCAAGATCGAGCCACTGCACTCCATCTAGCCTGGGCGACAGAACAAGACTGTGTCTCAAAATAAATAAATAAAGCTCAAAAATTACTTTAAAAAGTCATCACTCATTTTTTAAATAATCTTGAGTGAAAAGGCCTTTGAAATTGAAGATAAATTAGAAAGCTGGAAAAATACTTTTACAATGCATTTAAAAGACAATGGGCTGGTATTTTAAATATTACTTCATTATTAATATGACTAACGACTATTTAGCTCTAACTATGAATCAAGTACTATGGCAAGTGCTTTACATGAATTACCTATTTTAAGTCTCACAAGAAACCTAAATGATAGATATCGTTATTATTTGCATTTTACAGATAATGGAACCAAAATATAGAAAGATTAAGTAGCTCATACCAGGTCAAACAGCTGATAAGTGTTCAGTCAGGATATGAAACCACACAGACTAGCACCAGAGGCCCTGCTTTTAAACACCACTTTATGCTGCTTTGAGCAAGTTATTTAAAATCAATAAGAAAAAGATAAACATCCCCGCTTAAATAAAAGTAAAGGATATACGTAAGCAATTCACAAAGCAATAAATATAAATAACCAATAATCATATAAAGATGCCAAGCAAACAACACTGAGACAGTAATGCCTATCAGATTGGCAATTTTAAACAAATGATAAAACCAAAGTTTTTTTAAACCAAGTGGCGAAAGAGGCATGGCCATTTTGTTTTGGTTAGATTGTGAATTATTGAAACTTTTTCAAAGACAATTTGCCACTACCTACCAAAATGTAAAATACACATGATCTTTCCTAAAAACTTCATTCCTAGAAATATACAACATGTTCAGAAAGTCACGATGGTATGCATTGTGAAATTTATGTTATAGAAAATTGTTATACTAACACTTCGAAATATTGAAATATTTGACAGTAGGGAAATTAGTAAATCAATTTTGGTTGATCCATATAATCGAATTCTATGGAGTTCTTACAAAAAAAGGTAACAATTCTGTGTATACTGACCAGGGAACATCTTCAAAATATAAGTGAAAAACAAAAATATGTGAACAACGTTAATAACATTATTTTATTTATGTAAAATATGTGCTTGTACACATGCAGAAAAATAATTTCTGGTGCATACGATGAAACTTTGAGTAGTGACCACCAGAGAGCAGTTAGGTCGTAGGAGAGGAGATTTACTTTCCGTGTTTGTTTGTTTTTTGTGAGATGGAGTCTTGCTCTGTCGCCCAGGCTGGAGTGCAGTGGTGCTATCTCAGCTCACTGCAACCTCTGCTTCCCGGGTTCCAGTGATTCTCCTTCCTCAGCCTCCTGGGTAGCTGGGATTACAGGCACCCACCACCACACCTCGCTAATTTTTGTATTTTTAGTAGAGAGGGGGTTTCACCATGTTGGCCAGGCTGGTCTCGAACCCCTGAACTCAGGTAGTCCGCCTGTCTCAGTCTCCCAAAGTGCTGGGATTACAGTCATGAGCCACCACACCTGGCCGAGATTTACTTTCTTATTTACATTTTTCTATACTGCTTGATGTTTTAGCTTGTGAATATATCATTTTACCAATATTATTTATTTATTTATTTGAGAGAGAGTCTCACTCTGTCGCCCAGGCCAGAGTGCAGTGGCATGATCTCAGCTCACTGAAACCTCTGCCTCCCAAGTTCAAGCGATTCTCCTGCCTCAGCCTCCCCAGTAGCTGGGACTACAGGCGCATGCCACCGCACCCGGCTAATTTTCGTATTTTTAGTAGAGATGAGGTTTCACCATGTTGGCCAGGATGGTCTCGATCTCCTGACCTCGTGACCCACCCACCTTGGCTTTTCTGATTATAAAGTGAAAAATACATATGATACTTTTATTTTTAAGATCTATTACGTATACAATAATAGTATCACATTACATATGATACTATTATTTTTAA
The DNA here is from genome assembly GCF_000001405.40 of Homo sapiens. Taxonomy (NCBI): domain Eukaryota; kingdom Metazoa; phylum Chordata; class Mammalia; order Primates; family Hominidae; genus Homo; species Homo sapiens. The sequence goes on along the minus strand of NC_000003.12, from coordinate 34,230,790 downwards.
AATCTATAAAAGAAGAGAGAACACTCAAAGTTTGCACAACGTCTTTGGAGATAATCAGTCAGTCCAGAATCAAATTTCCTAAAAGTATTAGGTGACCATAAAAGGAGAGAGGGGAAGCATGGTCTCATCACAAGGTGGGAAAAAGTTGCAATCAAAATTAGCAGCTGATAAGGGGACAGAAAAGATGTTAGGAGAAGAATTCATTACAACATAATTTAATAAAATTCAATAAAATATATTGAAGGCAGCAAGAAAGAAATCCAATGTTACATAAATTTCATCTGTCTACAAAGGACATGACCTGAAAAGCTGAGGAACAATTCTGAAATATAAAGAAAAAAAAGAAAATGTGAATAAATATCAAATATACATAAGTAAAATAGGACAACTCACTAAATACTGGGAGATAAATAATATCTTCAGTTTTTAAGGGATCGTGTCGGAAATTCTATATACTATAGTAGACTGATTTGCTAAAATGGCAACGAGCATCTCCTTCTTTTATGAGTCCCCTTTTCCAATGTGACTTTGCAGCATCTCCCATTAGGAGGTGGAGTCTATTTTCCTGCTCCTTCAACCTGAGCTGGTGGTCTCAGATCCTTGCTTTGGACAATAGAACATGTTAGACGTGCTGCTGTGCCAGTGGCGAGCCTAGGCCTTGTAACTGCATGTAATTTGCATGTTCTGTGCTTTCTCTTGGAAGCCTGCCAAGCTGCCATGTGAACAAGGCTGGCCTCGCCTGTTGTAGAATGAGTCCACAGAGGACAGAGCCATTCCAGATGAGGCCAGGCCCTAGCCAACCCAGCAGCTACCACAGATACATGAGTGGGACCATCCTAGACCCGAAGTTCCCAGCAGAGCTCAGCCCAAAATGGAAACCCGCAGAATTCTGAGCTAAATAAAAGATTATTGTCTTAAGTCTCTGACTTTTAAAAAATCTTTTTGACAAGGAAAAATTATATTTATGGTGTACAACATTATATACGTACATATATATACCTTTTTACACATACCTTTATATATATAAATATTATATATTATATATATACCTTATATTATATATAATAGGTATATATAAAAAAGTATATATATCTTTTATTTTATTGTGTATATATAATAAAAGGTATATATATTATATATATTATATATTATATTATATATATATACCTTTTTCGTGGTAAGAACACATATAGGCTATTCTCTTAGCAATATTCAAGTATACAATATATTGTTCTTAACCGCAATCACCGTGGTGTAAGATAGATCTCTTTAACTTATTCCTCCTGTCTAACTGAAATTTTGTGTCCTTTGACCAACATCTCCCCAATCCCTCCATCCCTCAGCCACTGTTAAGTCGTTAACTTTCAACGTGGCTTTTAAGGCAGCGATTGCTAATTAATACATTCACATTGACCCTAGCTGTCATTTATGTGGGAAGGCAAAGAAAGATAATCTCAAGAATAAAAGGGACTTGAAAATACGTTATCTTTTATAAATTACTTGAAGATGGACATGAAACAATGAAAAAAGATAAAGCAAAATTAAGATACCAAGACAGGAAAAATCATAATATAAAATTATTGGTAGAGACTAGTGATAGCAACTAGTACAAAATGACTAAATTATTATAAATATGACTTAAAATAATAAAAATGATGACAATATGCTAATGAAGTACATAATACAAAACTAATTATGAAATTGTAAAAAACTAAATTAAAATGTAAGTCTGCATAAGTAGAAAAGAAAAAGAGTATAAGTAAAAGTATGTACGAATTCTTAAATTATAAAGAGGACTTAAAGGAAACCAATTTTTATATCAAATAGATATATGTTATAACATGTTTGAAAAAAATTTAAAGGATCAAAAATGTGGTGTTAAATAGACTGCAATTAAAATACGCAAACCACTGGAGAAAAGAAAAACAATGAATGCAAATCCATCTAGCATACAGTGAAAGACAGAAACAACAAAAAAAGCAAAGCATGAGTATCAACAACCAAATAAAAACAAAATGACAGAAGTAGGAGCAAATATATCATTTATTGCAATGAACACAGAAAGATTAAAATTCCATATTAAACACAATTGATATAAAAAGAATCCAACTAAGCAAAAGGCCCAAAGTAGAAAAAATATGTCAGACAAACACAAATAAACTGAAAGCTCCCATTGAGTAATAAAATCAGACACTGCTGAATTCAGGGCAAATATATTAAAAGGAATTCTTAATGGTTTTATAATTAACATTTTATAATGATAAAGAATAAAATCTACAGTTACATTGTACATATCCACAAACATGCATCAGTCAACACTGTTTCAATATATAAAAAGAAATATAAAAACAAGACAAAATTGTTAAAAGCACAGTTATAATGCTATTGATGGATCAAATAGATATAAACAAACATAAAACAAAAATTAATCCTGCAGTTGTTCATCTTTTTAGACTCTTGGACCCCTGTGAGAATCTCATGAAAGATCTCTCCTCACTCAGAAGCCTGTGCATATTGCCTGTATGTCAGGGAATTTATAGATACCCTGAAGCCCATTCATGAACTTGCTTGTGGCCCCATATGGTTTACTAATACTAGATAAAAGGATTTGAGTTAAATAATTAATAAAGGTTGGTTTAATAATTACCAAACTTTAACTCTATGGAGAATAGATTTCCAGTGCCCATGGCTCATTCACATAAATCTATCATATATTAGACCACAAAGACAATCTATAATTCTAAAAAGTATATATTATGCAGACCACATCTCTAATCAAAGTGCAGTAAAACTAGAGACTAATAAGAATATATTAACCCTAAAAATAGAGCCACTTTGAGTTGTTAAAAGTCACTCTCTAAAATAACTCTTTGGTCAAAGAGGAAAAGAAAATGATGACTACAAAACAAATTAGCAAAACTAAGAACACTATATACTATATCTTACATATATCTTACATATCTTAGAAATGTAGATGAGTGATTAAGTTAGCACCACATTAGTTATTAAAAGCTAACTCTTTCAATAAATTGTGTTGGGACAACAGGCTAATAAATTGGCACTGAGGATACAAAGGAAGAATAGAATTCATGAAGGGCTAAGTCAGTTTTGAAATAAAAGAGGAAAGATGAGGTGAGGACAGCATGTCATTCTATATGATATTAAGATGTAGGAAAGGCCATTGTGATATAAACAGTATGGACTAATATGGAAAAAGATAAATAGAATAAATGTGGAACAGAATAGAGACCTCAGAAATAGATTTGTTTGTAAGTGACTTTGATTCACAGTAGATGTGACTCTTTAAAGCAATAGGGAAGGGATGATTTGGTTAGCATATAGTGTTGAGAAAATTGATTCCCTAGCACACGAGGAGATGATGCAAAGAAGGGATTCCCAAATGACCAACATGCATATAAAGAGACTCTTACACACACAAGTATATAGAGAAATAAAAACTAAAATGACAATAAGATACCATTGTATATCCATTATAATACAAAAATTAGAAAGATGGTGAAGATGTCAGAAAACAGGCTCATCATGCAGTACTGACAGCCGTATAAACTGGTACTGCCCTCCTAGAAAGGCATCTGGTTGTGTCGTCAATAAAACAAGTATGCACACATCTGTGATCCATAAGTCCCTCTCTTGGGCATACGTGCTAGAGAAATTTTACAGCAGGTTGGTAAAAATGCATTTTAGAAGATATTTTAACGTATATTTTTGGTATTGGAGATAACCTGGTTATCCAACAATTGGGGAATGGGTAAGTTAAAAGTAGAAAATATAACACAACATAATTTAGCCTTAAAAGTAATGAATGAGACAGCATTCAGCACCATAGACAATCATTTAAAACATGTTGTTGGGTGAAAGGTTTTTAAAAAGACAGAAATTTATAGTATAATTCCATTTGCATAAACTTTAAAAAAATTTTTTAAACTTTTGTGGGTACATAGTAGTTATACATATTAAGGGGGTACATGAGATGTTTTTATACAGGCATGCAATGTAAAATAGGCACCTCATGAGGAATGGGATATCTGTTCCCTCAAGCATTTATCCTGTGAGTTACAAACAATCCAATTTTACATACAACAAACTATTTTTCAAAGATAAATGAATTTAAGATTATATATAAAGTGTATGTAACAGATACCTATGGGAGAAGATAAATGAGACAGTGAAACAGGGATAAAGGAGAAATGAAATAAATGGATTCATACAAGAGAGGGGCCTTACATGTATGTATGATTACAATGTACTATGATTAACTCAACATTCTGATCTATTTCCACTTTTTAAAGTATGTTTTAAAACACTAGCTTCCTTCTCCTCTAATTTAGATTCAGTTAGCATTTGCAGAGCATCTACCAGTGCCAAGTACTTTCACATTCTTTCTTTCATGTAATGCTCACAAGAAACTGGGATGTTTGCTATAATTGTATACATTTTGCTAAAGGGAAACAGGCACCTGCATTTAAAGAATTTACCCAAGGTCACAGAGTTAGTACGTAGAAAAGAAAGGATTGAGACCTGGGTCTGTCTGATGCATTACACTCCCTCTAACATAATCTACGGTGTCTGTGTGTGGTGTTACAGTATTGAGATATCATTTAAACTCATGAATCATAAATCATGCTACTAGAACTATAGAACATGAGTTTATAGACTGGATACTGACTCCTAAGAGCAATGAACAAAGATATTGATGCTGCTGTGATGATATCAATCACAACACAACAACACAAGAATGCATAAATCCTGCCATGATCTCTCTTCCCAGTGGGGTTCCTCACCACAGGAAATATACACAAGAAACTAGAAGGGCTTGAAAAATGCATTTGAAGGTATATGGCTCAGGCCTGTAGGCCTACGCTGACTCCCTCCTTTCTGTCCTTGAACTAAAGATAACCAGGCCCTGAGTCTACTTAAACAGAATCTTACCCTCTTTGGAGAGTCATCAAAACATAAGATAGTGATCTTCTCTATCACAAGGCACAACAAGATTTTACATAATAATTCTGTCTTTGAACAGGAGCTTCAGCTGAGACTCCAAGATTTGTAAGAAGTCAACAGAAAGTGTGTCCATTGCCTCAGAAAAATGAGTAAGTGCTTATGACAGGGATCCACTGATATCCATGTCCTCTGCCTCCTCTGGATACAGTACTGGACTACACTTTATAATCTCCTCTTCTATGTAAGGTAGGCCCGATAACTAGCTTTCAGCAATGGAATGTAATTGAAAGGAACTAGTTCACCAACCAGCCATGTCAATTAAAAGAAAAGTTATCATCTTTGTATCAGTGAGTTATTTCTATGAAACAAACCACCCCAAACTTAGTGGCTTAAAATAACAACCATTTATCTATACCACAATTCAGCAGGTCAGCAAGTTAGGTCAAGCTTGTTGGGTGATTGCTGTAGTCTTGTCATGGCTCCCTTTTGTGTCTGCAGTCAGAGGCAGGTCAGCAACCTTCTCTGCTTCTGGAGTTTGGCTAGCTATAGGCTGGGGTGACTGCACAGCTGACCACGTGTCTCTCATTTTCCAGCAGATGAATCCAAGCTTGTTTATTTGGAAGTGGCAGGATTTCAAGAAAAAGAGCAGAAGTGTGTAAAGTTTCCTGAGGCCCAGGCTCAGAACCAACAAAATATTATTTTTAACCACACTTTGTTGGTTTTAACAGACTACCAAAGGAAGCCATGGCATAAAATAAGACCCTTCACATAGAATACAGCAAAGACACTAGTGAAAAAAAGCCTAGATACTGAGCAACTACACAGAGCAGAGCTCCCCTACAACCACCAACCTATTGACCACTTTGGTCAACGACATGACATTTAAAGCCACTGTGGTGTTTGTTATAGCATTTAGCCTATGCTGACTTGGCTCACTAAGCCACCAAACTCATTCAGCCCGTCTTTAACATCCAGCTTACACAAAAGAAGACTTGGGTTAATTAAAGGTGGAATCATTAGAGAAGATTCTTGCCCCTCACCTACCCCAAAACAACTGAAGGAGTTCCCAAAAACTCATTTTTGGAGATTGGCATTGTCAGATAGGAGGAACAAGTAGAAACTTCCTCCCTGGCTGAAGGTTTGTGCAGCCAGAGAATCTTGTGATGAGGTTGGAATGTGAGAGAGCTGTTCAGAGAAATGGACATGGTTTCCCTAGAACCTGGGGAGATATGAACATGAAGGGCTGGCTGGAGCACCGCTTGAGGGCAGAATAGAAATGGAGTGTACCTTGATAATTTGGTGGATCAGTGAAGCCAATTTTTCATGTGGACGCTGTGAAGTTTAGTCCACGCTTAAGCTATCTTGAGAGGACCTCATCGAAGAGCACTGACCGCCTGCTGGAGCAAAGCATTCCTGATGATGTGCCATGACAAGCTAGATATGGGGAGGATTTGTAAGAAGTCAGCAAAGAGTGTGTGCATCGCCCCAGAAAATAGTAAGGCATAGAGACCCTACTGGAGGTCTCTGAGAATGCACAAAAGAGGCTGGGTGTAGTGGCTCAGGCCTGTAATCCCAGCACTTTGGGAGGCCAAGGCAGGTGGATCACTTGAGGTCAGGAGTTTGAGACCAGCCTGACCAACATGGTGAAACCCCATCTGTACTAAAAATACACAAATTAGCCAGGCATGGCATGCACCTGTAATCCTGGCTACTGGGGAGTCTGAGGCAGGAGAATTGCTTGAACCCAGGAGGCAGAGGTTATGGTGAGCTGAGATCATGCCACTGTTCTCCAGCCTGAGTGATAGAGAAAGACCCTGTCTCAAAAAAATATATATAAAAATAAAGTAAAAAAGAGAATACACAAAAGAACAAGCAATTGGACACCTGCCTTTACAGAGGGCTTTTAACAGACACAATAGAGATACCAGTAAGGTTAAAAAGTGACAAACAAAAAACAGTGCCTCCTCCTGTAAACCCACCACTCCATATTCTCTAGATCTTAAAAAGCCAAAATCAGCAGTGTTCGTTGGGAAGTAGAAGGGACACAGAGAAAGACAGACCAGACCACAATCTTCCCCTCTCATCTACCTATCCTCAAACCACCAGTTTCGTCTGACTTTGGAAGAGGGGGAAATCTGAATTGGAGAGTCTGAAGTTTTGGTGTTAGATTAGACTGGACTTTTTAGTTTTACCAATGAAACTATTTTAATTTACCAAGATGACTGGAAAAGTAATGAAATCTGCCTGCAACAGCATGCAACGGGTGGGAAAGAAAAATTCTACAAAAATGTTTGTGGGAGAAAGAATGATTCCTATTTATACCGCACTAAACCCAGTGACAAGAGCAACCCAAGCCAAATAACAAAATCCACCAGAAGGTTAATTCCACATCCTACAGCCCAAAGTTTCCTCCATGCAGTTGAGCTGGCTAGAAGGAGCTGGAAGGCAGTAGGGTTTCATATGGACCTAGCAGATGTACCTTGGCTGTGACCACACCATTGGGAAGAAGATTGGGCCTGTGCCACTCCCAAGATGTTCAGAAGCTTGCAAGATCAATGCATACCTTTCATCCTAACTCATCTCTTCTCAATCTCAGACATTGTCTGCTACCAAAACCTATCTCATAGTTAACAAAAATGTAAAAACTCTGCAGTTTTTTCCTCTGAAACATGTCTGTCACTCCAAATTTCTTGTTGCTCAAGGCATGCTACTTCCTAAATAATACATTTGTCCACTATGTTCTATTTATACCAACAAAATGTATCATACATACAAAATAGCCCCAAATACCAGACACATGATTACATGCAGAAGGCACATTTTCCATGTTACTTCAGCTAATAACTTTAACTGTTTTTATGTGATTAATTATTCTTCTAATCAGCCTTACCCACATTAGCCACATTGATGTGCCAAGATTTGCCACAGGAAAAGGAACCAGAGAAAGACCTGAATTTGTTTGTTGATCTTTAAACCACGTGTAACAGACCCTATAGATGTCCCATCCATAATCCTCAGACCTTGCCATCTTGCTGCATGCAGGCGGACTTCTAACTGCCAGTATCTGCATCTCTTTGCCTGAGATCTTTCTCCAAAACTTCCAGCAGGTTTTTGAGTCTTGGAAATATTAGGAAATTAACATTTCCCAGAGCACCCCTCAACTGATGATTGATGGGATTTGGTGTATAAACACCTCAGCTCCCTCACCACAGGAGCGGGATAAGTTTGAGTTCTATCTTCCATTCTGTTTCCCAGAGCTCCCCTATGTGATTGAACTCCAGTTGCCCACAGTGGTAACTGGCTTCTCAACACGTCCTTTATTGGCTGACTTCTCCCTATCTCCAATTCTTCATCCAATTCTTGAGTTCCCTTCATGTCCCAAATAAAATGTAATTTATACTCAAAATCTTGTCTTGAGATCTGTTTCCCAAAAACTAAAACAGCACAGTAGCCCTGCCTGCTAGTGAAATGTGGCCCAAAGAATACTCTTCCCCTGAGTCTGATTAGCTTTTCCCCCTGAGAAAGTGGTAAGTGGAGATACAGACATGTGAGAGGAGACAGCAGAGAGCATTCCACAGCCCACCCAATGCAGTGAGAGCCCAAACCTCCACTTTGCTTATTCTACATGGAGATATGTCTGAAACTGCCTGTAATCAAGGTTTCTCTGCCTGTATCCCCAGCCATGGAACTCTTCATGCTTTGTTTTAATGAGAGTAGACATATCTGAGGACAAGAGATCTTCTGAAACCAGATGAGTTTGGCCACGTATTCTCTGCATTTTGCATCTTTCTGAAAGCATTCCTTTGAAATTTTTTGGTATTGGTTAATAGGGTGATCATCATTCTGGAGGAAAATGTTCAGAGAGGGAGAATAGATGCAAGCATGTGACTCTCATCTGGAACATAATGCCCCATGAAGCCAAAGGTATGCAAAACACCCAGACTCAGAATTGATTGTGACAGATGGTGCCTAAACATCTGCCTCTCATAGGAACCAGACTACTGCTCCACCTGCTCATAAGAGACCTTGCAATCATCTCCCCCAACACCCTTCCCCGCAAGGAAGGCTTCTCATCCACCAACCTCTTCTCCACTTGCCTTCTTTACTGTTTTTTCCTCTTTTGAACTCATAATCCCATAATCACACCTGTCCTCGGGGGCTTCCACTCCCCTGTAGGGCCATCTGACTTTCCATATGTGTGCTGCATCTCCTTTCTGAAAAACATGGCTTAGTATTTCAACCTCTCCTCAACATGGCACCAAGAGTATATCTACTTTGTTCTATAGTTCTTGAAGAGCCTTAAATCTAAACCATGACATCAGCCAGAGATCATAGGATTACACTGTATCTTCAGTCATTTAAAAATGAGCTTCAACTTGGTAGTTTGCAACAAAAGTCATACTCAATGACGATATTAATAACAACAAACATACATACCAATTGCTATGTGCTGGGCCTGTAAGGTATTATTTTCTCTACTTTAATGATGCAGAAACTGAGGCAGCAGAACTGTAAAAGGACTTGTAAGAGTTCATACAGTAAGTATATGGCAGAGCCAAGATTCAGGGCTGCCATGTATGGCTGTGCAGGTTATGCTTTTCACTATATCAGGAGGTACCATTTGCCTCAGCTGATATACAGCCTGCACAACACTACACACCAGAATCTGAATGTAGGCAGACTGGCTCCAAAGTTCTTATGGACTCTCTAACAAAGGGAGTTAAAGCATAGCAGAACATTTATGTATGAAGACCTTCATCACAGAATTGTTTATCCTAGCAAAAAAAAAAAATATTGAAGCAACAATAGAGGAATGACTAAGCTAATTACATTTAGGCCACTTCACAAATTATTTTAAAACTATTAAAAATAATGTGTACAAAAATGATGTAATATTGAAAGATGCCTTAAATTATAGTAAAAGATGAAAAGAATCAGCATATGAAAGTCAAAAACAGAAACACATCACCCACCTTGATCTCCTGAGATGATACTATACCTTCTGGGGCCAACCGGATACCTTCTGACAAGTCAATTATATTTTACTCCTGTCATCATGTGCAGGAGAGCAACTAGTCCTCAATGGAGTAAAATTGTTTCTAACTGAAGTTTTCTTTTCCTGACATCATGCTTGTTCCTGCACATCATGATGTCCAATCAGGGTATCTCAAACAACATTGCGCCTGGCAATGGAACTCACTTCAGAGTAAAAGAAAGCAGGTAATGACTAATACAAATGGAATTTACCAGGCTTACCATTACTTCATTACCCAGAAGTAATTAGCCTTATAGACCATGAAAATATTTGCTTTCTCAGATCATAAAAGTATTAGACTAAAAATTAATTCTAAAATTTAACTCCTCCATTTCTGACCTGGATGAGCTGGCAGATTCTTGCCCCCTCTAGTCCTCTCCACAATGCACAATAATAAACATTGCAAAAATAACTCAAGAGACAATGAAAGGGGAATTCTGAGAGGTAGAAGACGACAGTGCCTTGGTTTGAGAACCCAGGACTGGAGAAGTGACGCAGTGTCAGGGTATCCTATGTCCTTCCAACCTACGAAAGAGGCGATCCAGGTCCAGCATTTTCTGATCTGAGCCTAGCAACAGAAGGCAGCCCAGATAGGCTACGGTCTCCCCTACATTGAACAGGAGTTCGCCTATACCACCACGTGAGCCCAGCAAATAGAGTGGATCAGAAGTCCAGTTATATACTAAGGGGCAACGGAAGTTTTCTCCTTCCCTGATGGGCCTGAGACTCCCCTCCTCCTCCACCCAGAGATACCATGCAGCTGGAAGGCACCAGAAAGGGAAACACACCAAAATAAGAGAGCATTATGACTAATCGAATTCATTTTGCAGACAATAATGAAAAAGAAAATCCAAAAAGAAGTAATTTTTTTGAAAGCATTCACTTTGCCATCAGACATAAGAAGGTCCTGTTAGGCATGGACCAAGTCTATACAGCCATAACTCATGGCCTAGAGAGCCCCTGGAATATACAGCTGTAGACAGCTACAGATACCCTATATCCTTGCCCCTAGGGACATCAGGAAAATGAGTTTGATCTGCCAGACTGTGTGTGACCATGACTCAGGATTACTTCCCCTCAATCCCCTCAGAGACAAAATGAAATGAGGGTAGAGTCATCCCTGACTTTGTTTAAAACACAGCGTCCTACATAGGTTTTACAATCATCTTAATTTTTACAGCCTTTTTCTGTTATTTTTAAGAAACCCACTACTCACCTATTCATCCCCTGACAGAAACTTCTTCTAAGCTGATGAGAAAGCAGAGAAATATTTCACAACATTGAGGCAAAATAATCTGACTGAACCAAGCTTCATAGGGGAACAGGGGAAAGAGTGAAGAACCAAGCAAAATAGACGAGTCAGGAGACTAAAGTTGTAAAATAGCTTGGTTTTGAATTCTTATTTCTAGGTTTTGCAAAGAAGCATCATAACTAAGAGATTTTCCTCTAAGTTGCTATAAAAAGCAAAAGTGGGCCCAGATGTCACCAGGGAGCTGTCAAGGCTCTCCTGCCTCAAGAAACACCTTACCCTTCCCAGGGAATGACTTTGGAAAGAAGTCATTCTCAGAATGTTTACCAAAAGAAAGAAGGAAGTCAGTAACCCATATTTTTCCTGGATTTGTAATCCCTTGCTCTTCTGCTGGTTTTTAATTTCCATCTGGATATCTGGATGGCCTACTATAGGGCTGCCCTGACCAGATTCTTCCCCAGAACAAGGAGCTTTCAGTAAGTGAGAAGAGAGGAGTGACGAATCACACTCCACTTTCAGAGTGTCTTGTTATGGAAAATTTCCTCGCATCGCATCCCAGAGCATTAACATAAAATAACTGCACTAATGTTAGAAAGAACTTACGAGAACATTGTAAAAGCATCAGTAGAGCACACATTCATTCATTTCTTTAACAAATAAGTATTGAGCAACCTCTACATGCCAGATATTGTCCTAGCCACAGGAAACAGCAATAAAAGAAAAAAAAATCCTGCTTTAGAAAGCTTACATTGGAGTGGAAGAAACAGACAAATAGTTATCGGCATATGACCATAAGGGAAGTTAAGGAAGAATAAAGTAGATTAAGGAAGGCAGAATTAGGAATATAGGGAATGAGAGTACTGTTTTAAATTCTGAAAGATAATCTTTCTGAGGAGGTGACCTTGAGTAGAGACAGAATGAAATGAGGGGAAAGTATGCACAAATGTGGAAGAAAAGCGTTCCAGACAGAGAAAAAAGCAAATGAGAATATGCACATTCATGGAGAGTGAAGAGAGGAGGGTGGATGAAGAGTCTTGTGCTGGCGGTGAGAGCAGGGCAGGTGGGAGCAGCCCACAGAGCACCTACAGCCAATGGAAGGATCAGACTTTCACTGTGTGCAATATGAGAAGCCACTGGAGGGTTTTGAACAGAAGAGCAACATCATCTGGTCAATGTTTCTAAAGGGTCATGTGGACTGCTGTTGCAGGATAGGTGGTGGAAGGGGCAAAACCAGTTAGGAGGCTATTGCTACAGGCAAGACAAAAGATGGAGGTGGCTTGAATCAGGATGGGAGCAGTGGAGGTGATGAGACACGGTCAGATTTTGAACAAATTTTGAAGGTAGAGCTGACAGAATTCGTTGATAAATTGGGTGTATGGACTGTGAGTGGGAAATAGGAATCAAGCCTGACCCCAAGACTGTTGACCCATAAAGCTGATAGAATTTACTGAAAAGCAGAATACTGCAACAGAAGTAAATCAGAGGTAGGTATGAATAGAATTAAGAGTCTGATTGGAGACATATTCCGTTTGAGATGCATGTTACACGCCTAAGTGGAGCTGGCAAGTAGGCAGCTGGACTTAAAAGTTGGACCTTTATGGGAAACTTTAATTGCTGAAGTTACTTTTGGAAGTTATTACCCAGATAGCTGGTACTTAAGCCATGGCAGTGAAGTTTACAAAGACAGAAACCTTCTTGTTCAGGCCCCTTGGATTTCAGTAATTGACCAGATTTGTGCAATAGTCGACCAAATAAAAATAAATAGAACAATAAAAATCTCTGTCTCTAGAGCCTATATAGTCAAAGTAGAAAAGCCTCTGGACCTTTAAGATTTGCAGTTTACTAACTCTGTTCAAGGAATCCAACGACCATAAAATATGTGTGAGCATGTAATATGAGGATGACCAAAGAAGGGAATTTAGACCAAAATCATCAAAAAGTTGTCATAGAATACATCAAAAAGACATCTGATACACACACAAACACATACACACTAAATGCAAGATAGAGATAGATTTACCATGGACATTTATACTTAATTATCCATAAAGGATAGAATCAAGTTCCATTAATTTTAATTATTTCTCTAACTCAAGACTTTCAAACCTCCTCTCTCTTTTGTTGTCCCTTCCTAGCTCGTCTCAAATCAAAATCACAATTTATAAAATCGCTCTTACCAAACCAAAGAGACTTGGGGGGAACAGTCATTTTTACGAGCTAACTTTGGATCTGTTATCGTTTTTAACAGATGACACTTGATTTCTCACCTGATGTACTAAAGAATGGCAGAACGAAAGCCTCTAGGGAGAAAATGAGATTTTCATAGCTTAAACACTAAAAATAACAGCCCCATAACACTGAATCTCATTACCAAGCAGCAAACACTCTCGCCACTCTCGTCAACTGTAGTGTGCACGAGATGCCTTTCAGAAGCCCACACACTCATTTACACTCATCCCTACCAACCATGCCACCCCCATCACAAACAGACACACACACACCCCCCACCAGCAATGATGCTGTTACCTCTGGTAAACTTAGAAAACGTGTCAGAGCTAGAACCTTCTCTTGTCATATTATCATAATTTACTGCCCAGGATATGAGTCTGTGGTTACAGACCATTTTGTTCCTTATGTGGCAGATCTGGCCAGAGCTGGTGAGAATAATGAATGCAGCTGCACGTCCAATGTGCAAGGAGGATAGATATTCAGACCCAGGGTGAATTAGAGAAAGAAAAAACCCCAGCAAGAAGCACGACCCAGCTCACTCAAGCTTTGTCAGTCACTTTACATCATGTTCACCCATAAAATAGATAATGACAATATTTTCCCATATATTTCTAAGCCTCTGGTCTCTGGGGAAGTCTAAAAGTTCATAGTGGTCTTAAAAATATGTACCAAATCTTTAGCAGACAATAAAAGAGGTGTGAAATCAGTATTTTATCAATCACTGGACTAGACTTCCCTATGCCCCAGGCAAGGGACTATTTGCAAGGCTACCAAAAAGCAATGAGCCTTGCCCTACTCCACTGTTTTGCCCTTAAATTCTGTTGTAAGTCTTTTGGGGAAAGCTTTACCTCTGGAATCTTGTCTTAGAGTGTTCTAGAGGGGGAAAAACCAGCATAGCACACCACAACACACCACACCACACAAACTCACCTCTCTCTCTTTCTACACTGCCAAGCCCCCTCTTCAGTGCCTTCAGGAGGGCTGCCTTTCTTATCCTAACATGGCTTGGAATTAGAAGAATACAGGATTAATGCTTTATGTGCTAGGCTTCAAGAACAGTTTCAACATCCATGGGGCATGTTAGAGTTTGAAAATGCCTTCATGCCCTTTACCACAGTGAATACCTCCAACAAGACTCTGGGAGAAGCAAAGTGGGCATTACTCTCCCATTTCACAAATGAGAAGGGAAGGCTCAGAGTCAAGGCAGCACAGAGGCCAAGGTAGGAAAAGCCTTGCAGCAGGATATGACCTGGAGGCCCATGAATGAAGGTCAACCTGCAGGAACTATATTCACTCATCTTTCTTTATAGGAAAAGATTCTGGTCTCAGGCAAACCCAACTGCCACTCAGGCAAACTTATTAATTCCTCTAAGCCAATTCACTCATCTCTAAAGTTGATTTATTACACCTGCAAATGCAATTATGATTAAGGAAAATGGAGAATAGAAAGCACCAGGACCAGGACCTAGCATGTGTTCTGGGGATGTTAGTTTCCTGTGTGTCTCTTCCCCACTCCTCCTGCTCCAGCTTGGATACTCACAAAACTATCATCATCACAATAATTGTTACTCTGATGTGATTACACCTAACCTATTCTCTGTGCTTACTACCTACCAGCCACCCCTATACTTAATTCTTGCCACAACGCTATGAAGTACCACTATTACCCACCTTATTTGAAAGCCTGAAAAATAAAAACTGATTGTCAGTACAGTTGTGCAGAGTTGAGAATCGTTCTCTGGTCTGTCTGAGTCCCATGTCACAATCTCAGCCACTTTGGAACACCACCTGGATGTTCAGGCCTCCTGCTCAGCCCACTTGTTCTCACTGGCTTTGAAAGTCTGCCCTCTGTCTCTCCATTCTCATGCCCTGGTCCTCACTTGACCTAAACAACCTTGTGACTAGAACAATAAACAGCTTGTAGGACCTGGCCCCTGGTGCTATTCACAAGTCTCTCATCTAGGTTTGCCAGATACAGTAAACAAAAATATAGAACTCCCAATTAAATTTGAATTTCAGATAAATAACCATGTTTAAGTATAACTAAGTCCGAAATATTACATGCTATGCAGACTTGCATGAGACATATTTGCACTAAAAATTATTCGTTATTCATCTGAAATTCAAATTTACCTTAGTACCCTATATTTTCTCTTGATAACCCTAGGCACTTCCCAATCCCCAGTAGACTCTGCTATTCTGTGTTTCCCATGTCTATAAACCCTGCTGTAGTGGTTATTACATCAGTGGATTTTGAAAAATCACACCTCCATTATTCACGTCTTACAGAGTTCCCTCCCTTTGAATCTCAACTGATCTATGATTTGAGTCAGTAAAACTGCAGTGGCAGTGTCTCTTCTAAGCCTAGGTTTTAAGAAGCCATAGAAAATAGTGCCGGGACATGTATATCAGTTATCTATTGCTGCATAACAATTTCTGATTTTACACTCTTGTAATCTCTGAGATCTCAAATAAGAAGTCTGACTACTCTGCTGGAAAGACTATATGTATTACTTTACTTCACAAGGTTTTTATGAAATGCAAATGAGAATAGGATGATTTAGATCAGCTTCCTCAGAAGTAGAACTCAAGACCAGGACATACACACACACACACACACACACACACACACACACACACACACACGGACATATACATATATAGAGAGATATATGTGGACATATACATATATACGTATGTGTGTGTATATACATATATATATACACAGAGACAGAGTATAAACTCTCTCTCTCTCTATATATATATATAGAGAGAGAGAGAGAGACACCCTGAAACTATATGAAGGAAAGCAGTCAACAGCAAGGCCAAACCTCTGATCCTAGTTATCCTAGTTGAGCTATTTCAGCCACCCCCAGCCATTTGAACCATGGTATCAAGCATGAGTGAAGAAACTGATTTGGGCATTCCAGCCCCAACAGGCACCAAGTGAAACAGAGATATTTATCCCGACTGTGCCCTGTACAAATTTCAGACCCTCAGAATCATGAGAAAGTAACAATGCTTTTTTTTTTTTTTTTTTTTTTTGAGACAGAGTCTCACTGTGTTACCCCGGCTGGAGTATAGTGGTGCGATCCCAGCTCACTGAAACCTCTGCCAACCAGGTTCCAGCAATTCTCCTGCCTCGGCCTCCCAAGTAGCTGGGATTACAGGTGTGTGCCACCACGCCCAGCTAACTTTTGTATTTTTAGTAGATACAGTGTTTCACCATGTTGGCCAGGCTAGTCTCGAACTCCTGACCTCGTGATCTGCCCACCTTGGCCTCCCAAAGTGCTGGGATTACAAGTTTTGAGGTAGTTTGTTATGCAGCAATAGATAACTGATATATATGCCCCAGCACTATTTTCTATAAAGCTTTGGGGTTAACATCATAAGCATCTAGCTCAATCCATTTATTACCACAGAAGTCTCACAAACCAAACTTACAAGCTCTGATTCTAGATACGAGCTGCCTCTGTAGTTATAACTTTAAAAGCTGCTGGAGTCCAAGTAAGTCCCCATATTTCTCAGTTACAGTTGGAAACTAAGACATGACAGGGCACAGCAGGCAGTTATCTTGTTGTGCTGCATAACAGAAGCAGCACGAGGCCAGCCTACACCCAGGGAGACATTAGCAGAGCAAGGCTGAGAGAAGATTGTCCAGCACCTGCCTGCTCTCAGCTGGGGCTCCCGCCAATCCCATTAGCTTTATGCTTACATAATCACAAAGTCCACCTACATAGCTTTCAAAAGAAAAAAATTCCAGGAACTGTGGGCCATAATATTTGTCTGAATTATTATCTGGGTCGGTACACTGAGAGTTGATAAAAGCACAGCAAGGAAAATATGCTAGCAGCATCAACGGAAAAATACAAGAGGTTATAATATTGATCCACAGTTTAAACAATAATAATGCCATCATTTGACCCCAAAAGTGGTTAAATCCTATCCTGAGCATTACTCATGTTTGATGTCCAATATAATGATCAGGCTTGATTTTAGTGGAAGACTTCTGCATAGAAAATTAGGAAGAGGAATTCATAATTCCCCAGAATTAGAGTTGATGTCACTAGGGCCTTAAAATATGTATATCATCTGAAAATGAATCAAGGGTAAAAACCTTATGATAGAATTAGTTAATGTTGCTGGAAAGGATAAATCAGAGGATAGACACTAAATAGAGAGAACATTGGCTTGGAGTCTTTGCATTAAGCTGTAATATAGGTACTAGACTAACTCAAGGTATGGCAATTCTTCTTAAGGACTTAGAAAATCCCTTAATTTTGACTTAATTTATTTATCCAGAGTGGACTTTTTGTGAAGGAAACTGCCCTGTGGCTGGTTGTTTAATTGAAAGTACATTTGTTTGAGAGCCTATTATGTGCCAAGTACCACAATAGGCTCTGGAGATTTTGCAATTAGTTGCACATGGCTTGGGTCCCGGAAGAGCTTACTGACTTGTACAGAGCCACAGGCAAAAACAGACTCTTGAAGTAGAGCGCTGATACACGTAGGAGGTAGTTAGGTCTGAGAGTCCAGACTTTCTTAATTCCTGTGATTCAGTTCAGGAGACAACTGTCTACATAACCTTGAAAAAGAACCTGAAATTCTGAAACCACTGGCTAACTTCATGTAAATGCTGATTGTTTTTCGGGGAATTCAGTGCATTGGAGTCAGACATAGCTGGATTTAAGTCACAAGCTACAGATACATTATTACCTTTTGAGCCTCAGTTTCTTCATCTGCAAAAGGGGGATAATAACACTTCACAAGGTTTATATGAAATGCAAATGAGAGTGGGAAAATTTAGATCAGCTTCCTCAGAAGTAGAACTCAAGACCAGGACTCATGATTCATATACAAGTAATTTATTTTAAAATATGCTTCCAGGGGGACCAGTAGGGGTGTGTGTGAAGCAGGAGAGGGAAGAGGAGGAAGTCAACACAGGAAGGCTGTGATCTCAGGGAAAGTCCCACGAAGAGTGGCCTCAGCCTGACCTGGCAGGGCAGCTCTGGTGTGTAAGTCAAGCCTCAGAGTTTTCTACTGGAGGCAAAAGAGCTGGGCATTCATATTCTTGCATCTATCAGTCACTAGCTAAAAGCTTCCCGGGGCATCTAGAAGGGAAAACTAAACTTGTAAGAACTTTAAATTCTCTGCATATGTGGGTAAAGCAACTCCAACAGCCAGAGCACAGGCCTCCAAAGAACAGTTGCACGGGGCTATTTGGGAGCAAATGCTCACTGAAGCTGGGCGAAGTGGGAATAGGCATGGTAAAAGATCTGAGGATGTCTGGGTGGAATACCAATGGCATCCACTCCAGTTTATAGTTCTAAGCACATAATAGTTAATAAATTTATGCGCCTTTTCCCTTTTACGTAGAATGTGGGGTGGCAGGAATCATCCCAGCCTTTCACACATTGCAGTCAAGACATGTCTTTCAGCTTTCTCTCACTTGCAGCTCAGAATTGTGTTCTATAGCAATAGACTGAAATTCCCACGTGTGCAGGGAAATCCACCCAGGACCCAGGAAGAAAAGGGAATATGAATCGCTAACACTCTCTAGTGGGCTATGGCCCAACAATCCCTCAGTTTCTTCTCCAGCAGCTCCTTATTAGACCAGGAGAGTCTCTTTCACCCCTGTCTTACTTGCAAGACAGGAAGTAACTAAACAAGGGATAAGGGGACAAGGTGGGAAGTCTTGGTCACATCCATCCTAGACACTCAGCAGTTTCTTGCCCCACTGAGAGGCGCTGGTGTCGTGTACTACAGTGGCTGAGTTTTTGTAGCGAGAGGTGCTCTGAACTCCCACTCTGTACAGGGACAGTGGCTGAGCCTAGACATTTCTCTCAGGGGCAACCTCCCTTCCAAAAGCTGGACCAGACCTATCATATCTTGGGAAGAGTTTGTGCCCTTGGTGCCCAAATAAAGGATCTTTAAGAACCACCTGGCCTAAGCTACCACATAGTTCAAAGGAACTCTCTGCCCTCCACAAGGAGGAAGGAGGGGGTCAACACAAATCTGGGGCCAAGGGGCCTGAGTAAATCTATTGTCTGTTGAGAATCTGATATAGGCCATGATCTCCATTATTCAAGATTTTACAAACTCATTTTAATAGCTGGAACCAAGTATCTTCTTATGAGAAAATAATTTTTGCTTAAGGAAAATACTTTGCTAGACTGCACTGACCGGAGAAATGGAAACCCCAAAAGTTTGGTGCATAAGAAGACAAGGAAATTAAGATAACTCAATTGTTCTACCTAATAAATTAAGTTTTTGGACATTAGAGTGAGTACAGAAAAGATGGGACAAATCTGAAATAGGGAGAGAGAGAAGATAAGATACAAGTCTAGGAGTCTATTCCTCTCTAGGACTAATGTTAATCTATTAGTCTCTTTATCTTTAGTCTCTTCTCACAGAGACGGCTTCTACCCCTAATGCTGTAAAAATGACCATCCGCCTCCCAAGAAATTCCTGCCCAGCCCTGCTTCCACTTTAAGTCGTAGCCTGATGTTTCCTATTCACTCCCCACTGGAGCTCCTTGAGTCACCCCTGAGGCAGCCCAGGCCCTGGGCTTCATTGTATCTGGCCAGGATGCCTGAGCTGCCCATCACTCCTAAGCACTGTCAGGAACCCCACAGTATAAGGTTCTGCAGAGTCAAGTGGCCTTCCAGTTATCCAAGTCCTCATCTGTCACTCTTGACATCTGATGAATTTCCAAAGATGCCCCAGTCATCAATGAACAGGGCAACTGCCTCCCACCTCTAACATCACACCAGGCTGAAGTATCCATAAAGGCCTGTCTTATCTCCTTTCAATAGCACCGTGAGAAATGACCCATGTCCAAGGCCTCCTGCAGACAAGCAGCCTGTGCCTATCTTCCTGCTGACTGTCTAGTATTGAGGGTTATTTTATTCTTCTTTGCTTTAAAATGAAGTGTTTATAAAATGTTGCTAAACCCAGGACTCTAAACTACTTGAGAACATGAAATGTGTTGTTTTCATCTCTCCCCGGCTACAGCCCTCATGCTGTCAGCAAGTGACGCTGCTTCCAGGGCAAGCCACAGTTCTTGCCCTGTTCTAAGTAAGTGGAGTCACTGATCAAATTCACATCTTCTAAATTATAGTTCCATCTAATGGTGATAATGTGGGGATACGGGCATGACCAAACACAACTGGTGTCAAGTGAATTATTTACCCTCCTTAGAGGTACCAGCAATAATAATCAAGAGCCCTGGTGTCCATGCCTTTTAATCATGTAATTTTACTTTGTACCTAGAGAAAAGCACAAAGTTTCATGTGTAAGAAAATTATCATAAGAAAATATTTGTAATATTTGGAAATAGCCTATATGTCCAAGATTTTAATATATATGATGAAATATTTTGTAGTCATAAAATATTTCATAGGTATTGAAAAACAAGATTTGAAGAGTAATTATTGATATGGGAAAATGTTCATTTTATATATATGAGTATATGTGTTTGTATTATAATTTTCTCTCCAAAAGGATAAATGCACTGAAACACAAATTTATGAATGATCTTTTTAAATTTTCCTTATTTCTTACAACTATAGTTCACATAATATTGCTTCATAATTAGAAAACATAAATAAATATATCAAGTTTTTAATAAAAAAAGCAAATGTTTGGGTCAGAGTCATTAAAAGGCCTGACTATTATGATATATTTATTACATAGCCAATTATCAAGCAGCTCCTACATAACCAGGCACTGTGGTTGAAGCTGGAAATTCTAGGATTATTAGAACTCACTTTCTATTTTTAAAACTTCAATCAGTGTAGTGGGGGTTTATTTGTCATCTGCCAATGACCATAAAATATGGTTAGCTAATGGGAGCACAAAGGAGGGAATTCTGGCTTTGTTGGAAGAAGGATTTTAAACGTTTCATAGAGGAAGTGATACTACTTCAAGTATCCTCATTCACTCATTCATTTATTCATTCTGTCAACAACCATGTTTCAAACACCTACCATGTCCCAGGCACTGTGCTAGATGCTGGATGATGAACAAACTAACCACTCCTCCCCTCAAGGACAGCCCCATGTAGTGTACGATTCAATGTCTTGAAGGGTGAATGGTCTTTTGTCTGATTGCAAGTCCCTGGTTAGTGTCACCTGCCTCAGTTCTTCCCATCACATCTGCTTTTGTATACAGGCTTCCTTCTTGGTATCTGAACTTACCCTCCTCCATGTCCTGTTTGTCTAACAGCTCTTGTCAACAACAGCTCCATTCCCTCAGGTCTCATTTAGAATCCTGGTCCCTAGCTCTAGGAAGCACTTTAGGTCTACATTAGAGATATAGTCATGCCGTCTTTCTAACCCTATTCAACCTCCTGAGAGAGTCACCTCCCACACACCTGCTGAATGGGCAAAGGGCACAGGATTCCACCCCCTTGTTATATCATATTGAATGTAAGGGGACCCCAAATAAGAGCTGGGCCAATCAGGTTCTTTCTTCCAAGAGTTTGGGATAGAACACACAGGTTGGTCTTTGAATACAGATCCTTGAGCATGCTATCCTGCGAGGTCTGAAAGGGCCTTTTTAGGCCTGAAACACTGAGTGTTGGAGAAAGCAGGTCCAAGGAAAGAAAGAAGACACTGAGGTAGATGTCAAGGGAGCACAGCACCTGGTAGAAAAACATATACTGAGCTGCTATTTTTGCAGCTCCTGCCTTTGTATTTTGGAAAATTTCCCCCATTTCCTTTCTTTTACTGAAATTTGCTTGAATGAGTTTCTCCTTCCTGCAAATAATGCTACTTGATTAACATAATCTTCAAGAGAAGTCTTACTGGACCTTAGGTGAGTCCATAAACTTACTAGAGATATCCTCTGTTTAGATCAAAACTGGGTCATTCTCTGAGCCTTGCACAAGTCAGATGCTGAATGAATAATTATTATTTCAACGAATGCAGAAATAAAAAGCTGCCCCAAAGGATCTTTCCTGGCTGCCAGAGAGTCATCATTTACCTGTCTGATACCCACAGTCACAACAAGGAAAGTGGTCACATGGGCCCATGCACAGCTTGGATTTTCTGTCTCAAACTTGTTCCAGTAGTCATTGAACACCTGTTTTCTTTGGCAGTCCTAGTTCCACTGAGCCATTGCAGTGGATATTAGAGTTCTTCCCTGTTCCCAGACTCTAATGAGTGATGGCTTTTGTGACAAGGAAAATACTCAGTGTTTCTCTTGAGTCCCATCAGTAGTCAGGGTTGTAAGGATAAAAACACCGAATCAAGCACAGACAGGCCACTAGTGAAGATTTAGTTCATGGTTAGCAGGAACAGATCTTCCCAAGCAGTTCTGGAAATGAGGTCAAACCCATTTGTTTCCACATGGTCCCAGACAACCAAAAAAGGAGAAAAATTTCAAAGGGTAATGGAAAAATTTCCAGGCATCATATGGTCATTCATCACATCTAACTGGCACCTTCATTCCTGAAATGCTGGATAAATCTCCCTTGGAAGTCAGCCATGTAACTGTCCTATATATGTGGACTTTATTTTTCAAAGTAAAGCAATAACTTTTTATTCAAGGATTCCTAAGCCATGTCCTCTAACCAAATTAAATATTCTTTCTCCACTGCAAGTCATTTATGTTATTAGCGGTATTATTTTTCTTTCTTGTATTATTCATTTAACAATATTTGTGGAGCACCTACTATTCACTGAGCTTCTTTTCTGGACACAGCAATAGAGTACTGAGCAAAACAGTCCCCTCCTTTCATGGAATATATATTCTAGTTGGGATTTGGGTGAGACAAATAATAAACAAAAAAAGAAGTAAATATATACAACATATATTACAGTATATATATATATAAAAATACACACACTGAATATATAATATATAATGGTGATTAGGGAGAAAAATAATTGAAAATTGTGGGGACACAGAGTTCCAGTGATGAGAGGTGTTTGCTATCATACATACAATACTCAAAGAAGGCCTCACTGAGCTTGTGACATTTAAGCAGAGAGCTGAAGGAATTGTGGAAGTTAACTGCCCATATCTGGGAAAATAACGTTCTGGGCAGAGAGAATGCAAGTACAATGGCTCTGAGGCAAGAAATGCTTGGTATGTCTCAGGAAAAGGAAGGAAAACAATGTCTCTAGATTGGAATGAGTGAAGGGAGGAGTATAGGACACGAGGTCAGAGAGGTGAACATAAATACTTGCTACTAGACTTCAAGTTCTAAAAAGTGAGGACCACATATTACTCATCTTTATACCCTCCCTAGCTCTTACTAAAGCAACTGGCACATAGAATGCTTTAATAAAATGTTCATTGTAGTTATAATGAATGCATAGTTTATTTATGTTTTATGTCATTTCTAGTGCATTCCTTTTATTACTATAAAGTAAATAAATTGGCCGGGCACAGTGGCTCACACCTGTAATCCCAGCACTTTGGGAGGTCGAGGCGGGCAGATCACCTGAGGTCAGGAGTTCAAGACCAGCCTGACCAACATGTCGAAAGCCCGTCTCTACTAAAAATATAAAAATTAGCTGGGCGTGGTGGTGCACACCTGTAATCCCAGCAACTTGGGAGGCAGAGGCAGGAGAATTGCTTGAATCTGGGAGTCAGAGGTTGCAGTGAGCCAAGATCACGCCACTGCACTCCAGCCTAGGTGACAAAAGCCAAACTCCTCAATAAAAATAAATAAATAAATTTAGTTTTCCTTTCTATTACTATTTAACTAGGTTTAATTTGGGAGTCAGTGGATGTAATTCTGTTAGATGGATGGGTGGGTGGGTGGGTGGGTGGGTGGATGGATGTGTGAATGGACCAACCGACTTAGATATACAGATGTCAGATTTGAGCAAAACCCTAGATCCTGGCCACGATTATACATCTGTATCCATGGCCAGGATCTAATGGGCCTCTCAATTTATCCTTAACTTGCTTATTTGCAATTTTATCCATCAAGTGATGCCACATGAGGAATTTTAAATATCCAGACTAAGTGAGAGAGATCATAGTTTGCTAAAGTGCCGCTGTCCCAAGCTCAAGAATGTTATGCTGTTATAAGCCCAGTTCTAGGCATCATTGTCTCAGTGGCCTTGAGACATTAGCAGTCTATCTCAGAGATTCAGACTTGTCTCCTGATTGTATCTCTTTTTCTCACTTCCTGGATGATTTACAATTACTTTCTGTCTATTCCAGCACAACACTAACAAGTAAGGGCTCAGCTGACTTAGTAGCACATGAAGTCCATGACAGCACTGCAAGCCATTGATATCCACTGGGTTCTGGATCAAGCTTTTGTTCCTTTTTTCATTTACCTGGTGCTAGTCAAGCCTGAGGCCACCCTTAACTAATATGGGACCAAATTAAATGCTAAATGAATAAATTAATGAGCAAGGCTTAGACCTCAGTCAGATCTTGCAAGAAGGAAAGAGAGACCATCCATTAAGTTGAAGTTCAACAAATTTTAACTTTGTTGTAAAATTTTTACTCTAGTATTTCAAGAAGTAAGCAATTGGTTCTTGGCACATACATGCAGTTGTTTCTTTTTTTTTTTTTTTTTTTGAGACGGAGTCTCGCTCTGTCACCCAGGCTAGAGTGCAGTGGCGCAATCTCAGCTCACTGCCAGCTCCGCCTCCTGGGTTCACGCCATTCTCCTGCCTCAGCCTCCTGAGCAGTTGGGACTACAGGCGCCCGCCACCACGCCCAGCTAACTTTTTGTATTTTTAGTAGAGACGGGGTTTCACCGTGTTAGCCAGGATGGTCTCCATCTCCTGACCTCGTGATCCGCCCATCTCGGCCTCCCAAAGCGCTAAGATTTACAGGCGTGAGTCACCGCGCCCAGCCAGGTGTTTCTATGAGGTTGGTAAACCCATTTTCCCATGTTATTATGACAGATCCGATGACATTAATTGATCTGTTTCACTAGAATGTGAGTTCTGATAAGGATGTCAGAGATAAATACAACACATTCTCCTTCAAATATACTTTGGAAATGCCTTGTCTGTCTCACATATGATATAAATTCTAATTGGTATCTTTCACCAAGTATTCATTTACACCA
The DNA here is from genome assembly GCF_000001405.40 of Homo sapiens. NCBI lineage: Eukaryota > Metazoa > Chordata > Mammalia > Primates > Hominidae > Homo > Homo sapiens. The sequence continues at coordinate 34,205,269 of NC_000003.12, read as the reverse complement.
TGCTGTTTATGGCAGAAATTCCCTATATACTGTAACTGTTGTCCAAATATAAGACTTCTCATGATAAATTTCTCTTGGCTTTGTATGCTAGAGAAAGTTTGTGTCTTCTGTGTAACGGTCTACATATTTTCATCTGACAATAACAACTAGACAAACCACTAGATTTCCCTTTTTCTGTCTTGTCTTCTAAGAATTTCAAAGTTTGAGCATTAAGCTCCATTTCATTACCCCTCACTCCAGATTCCTAGTATATATTCCTACTGCTGACACTGCATGATTTCTGATCTTCATTTAGCTTTATTTCAGCTCTGCCATTGTTATGAGCTTTACATTGAGGTTTGGAGAAATTTGAGGGATGCGTCCATGAGAAACAGGAAGAATATATATTAGCAAAGAGATATGTGACTTTACTGCTTTAAGAGATTTTAAAGTCATGTAGACTTGAACTAAAATATCAGCTTCAGTACTTGTTAAAAGTGTGAACCTGCTTGAGCAATTTGCTTAAATTAACTGAACTTTAGTTTCTAAGAATAAAATTTGGTGAGAATTAAGGTAAGATAATGCATAGAGAATGCTTAGAACCCCATCCAGCACTTTGTATTTGCTTAATAATATTTCTATGTGAACAAATAAAAGCCATTGAGAGACAACTTTATACAAATGATTAAACAAGGAGTGTTTCTTGAATATAATAGAGTAGCTAAAGGTTCAGACTTAGGAATCACGTTATGTGGGTTCAAACCCCCACTCCATTATTTGCTATCTATAACCTTAGGCAAGTTTCATTATGCTTCATTTCTTCATATTAATGACAATAAAAATAAAATCTACCTCATAGGGTTATTTTAAGGAGCCACACAGTATAGGTGCTTTAAAAAGTTTCCAGCACACATAAGCACATAATAAATGCTATTACCGCTGTAACTAGGTTGACTCTAGATTCAAACTAAATTTTTAGAGATTTCTACTCCATTTTGGCCTCAAGAAAAACTGCAAATAATAAATAATGAAAACTGAATAGGCCTGGGAAACAAAGATATTTTTCCTGGGTTTATTTTCACTTCCACATTGAGAGCTATATTGATAATAACTTTAGAGGTAAACATTTGTATGGAAGTAAATGTGCAACATAAGCCCAGGAAGGTACACACTGTAACTTTTCTATAACAGAAAGGAATTGTTGGGGATAGTGTATTTCTTTTGCACTTCTATGAGTTAAAAACCAAGTAAACTGATCATTATTGATTCCTTGTTTTTATTCATTTTACTCTTTGCAATATGTTTTCATATTTAGCCATATATTTTTGATCCTCAGAGTGAGCCAAATAAAAGGGCAGGACAAGTACAGTTATTGTCAATGATAAAGTGAAGAGTCAAGTGAAGTGACCATTCAGGGCCACCCAGCTAGCAAGTGACTGAGCTGGATTCAAAACCAGCTATCATCTTCTTTCCTCACACTACACATATTGCCCCAAGTCAGACTTCCACATTGGAACTGTTTCATCTGTTAAAAGAAAGGAAAAGAAAAAACTGATTCTGCAGTGACGAGTAGGACATCTAAACTGAAACCTCACCTTACCCCCCTCAGGAGACAGGGCCATTGGAAGGTCGGAGTGCCCCTTTCCTGTTGTTCCTCCTGCATCTGGATTCTGCACACAGCCCTGTCATCCCCAAGCTGTCCACTAAACACCGCCATCAGCAATAAAGGAGTTACCATTTAATCTCTGGTACTTAAAATGGAAAATTGAAGCATATAATCACAGGATTAGAAACAGCTGAATCTAGGGACTCTGAAAAACCCTTTAGAACAAGTTGCCAAATAGTTTTGCTCTTCGCCAAAATATCTTTCCTCTTTATTTAAACCTGAGTTGTAAGAGAAATGTAATTAAAACCATGATATTCTCTACTAAAATGAACAGCTTCTGCTGTCTAAGAAAAAAAGGAAAGACTCAAAAATATACCTGTGACTATTGTAGCTCCTGAGAGAAGGAAAAGCCCTCTTGAGTCATCCAGAGTCAGGCCACTTGGAAATTGACCATACACGTACGTTGGGAACTAGGCTGGTTATTAAGCTACTTTATCTTAGCACCGCCCACCCTCCTGTTCTCTGTTATATGATTTGGAGGCTGGACTCCACAAGCAAAATTTCTCCTTTGCCATCTGGTTTCCTGTTAGGCTCTGCCAATAAAGGGTATTAGAGGAAGACTGCAAACCTAGAGGATAGCAAAGGGATTTGCCCCTTGCTGTTTGCTTTCTGTGTCTGTCAATATCCCCTCAGCAATGGTTCTTCACCCTAGCAGCAGCATTTGGGTCTACGTCTTTTTTTTTCTCCGTATTTCCAGAATCAGCTTCACTGGAGTCCCAGCAGAGACACCAGCACCAGCCAGGTGGCACCTCCTGCTCCATGGTCTTGTTCTCAACTTTATGGAGCCCTTTATCCAAGCTTCTAGGTTCTACTCATCCACTCTACCCTTTGCTCCCCTGCTCTAATGGTGAAAGATATTTCCTGTAGTTTCTATATCTTTCTGCAGTTACAGTTTTCCAAACACCTGTTTAGCAATTCAATTCCCTATATTAAATTATTTCTGTTAAAATTACTGGTATGGTTTCTGTTTTCCTGATTGGACCCTGAGGGATACAGGATCTAACTTTATTTGTATTTCAGATATAGGTTGGAATGGTCACTTTTCCAAAACTTTTATTGATTTATTCATCCAAGAGAACATATTATATGTCTGACATTCTGCTAAGGACTGGGAAAAGAAATATAAGTATCTTCCACTAACTCAGTCCAACAAACCATAGGCATACCCAAATAAATACAATGCAATCTGATGTGCTAAAAGAGAGATATATAGAAATTGCTGTGGACTTTTTTAAAAATAAAGGAGTATGCTATAACAAAAGCATCTTAGAAAAAAAATTTTTTAAACAAAAAAGGAACAATTAATTTTGTTAAGGAGGATTCAAAGACAGATAACCATACTGAAAAGATTGAAAATGAAGGTTTTTAACACAGACACAGGGAGGAGAACAACACACACTGGGGCCTGTAGGGGAGAGGGGAGGGGGAAAGAGAGCATTATGAAAAATAGCTAATATATGTTTGGTTTAATACCTAGGTGATGTGTTGATAGGTGCAGCAAACCACCATGGCACATGTTTACCTATGTAATAAACCTGCACATCCTGCACATGTACCCTGGAACTTAAAATTTTTAAAAAAGAGAAAGAACAAAAGAAAAAGAAAAATATAAAAGAAAATGAAGGTTTTAAAGGGCCATGTGAATTTACTGTAGCAAAATAGTTTTAAAACAACTATTAGCACTCTCAATTTTCATTAATTATATCTATAATTTAAAAACTATTAAATCAATCTGGCCTGTTGAATCACTGCATAATTCTTCCAGGCATTAAGATTACATTAATTTGTAATACACCACCTTCCACAGGAGTTGTATTTCATATTTTATAACCCTCCCCAAAACACACACACACACACAAATGCTAAATTTGTTAACTTTCTTTTCAAGGAATGCACACTTTTACAACATGGATTACACAATTATAGAGCAAGCCCATGAAACCTAAAGTACATTCCATGATACATTACTTCACTGGGGGCATTAGTAGGTAGTCCATGAATAAAGGGCACAATATATAAATAACTTTGCGAAACGCTGGACTGAGCAGATAGTTTTACTTACTGCAGGATTTTTCAAAGCTTTTAGTATCCTAATATGTTTGTGAATCCCAAATTGCAGCCAGCCCTCCAGATCACATTTGCTTCATCTTTCATTTATCCATCATATCTAATCAGATATTTAAGTTCCCTCTAGCTTCTTCCTCTTCCTTCCTTCCTCCTCACTGTGACCAGCCAAGTCTTAGTCCTGGTCCTTTTAATCTACCAGCCTCCTACCTGACCACCTTGCCTTACTTCTCATCCCCCAAGTCAGTCTTCCATAACAGGGGTCAGAAAACTGCAACCCACAGACCAATGCCAAACAGTTCCCTGTTTATTCATAGTTGATAAGCTAAGAATATTTTTATATGGTTACATTTTAAACAGTTACATAAGCACCTAAATAGTATCCTCATTTTGTGTCTTTTTGCAAAGCCTAAAGTATGTACTATCTGGCTGTTTAAAAGAAAGTTTGCTGAGTCCTGCTTGACACCCCTGTCAGATGCATTTATCCTAAATCGCCTGTACTTTTTGTGGTTTCTTCTCACAAGTTATAATGGCTCCTGCTTGTTTAGCCTCAATGACAGAAAACCATGAACAAGGAAAATCCTCTCACTCACCAAGCAGGGAAGTGAGGTCCTTCTTTTGATTTTGGTAAAGAGAAAAATTGTTGTCCTCTGCTGACTCCAGTGCAAAATTAAGGTACACTAAAAGTATAGAAAGTCCCTTTCTGGGGATACAAAAATGTGCACCAGAGAGTGGTAAACAAAGCATGACCAATTTTGTCAAAGCAGAATTACCAAACAGGAAGCAGAAAGTACAGGCAGTGATGCACTGACAAATGTCTCACAGCTGGCTTTCCACTGAGATGCAGGAAAGATTTTAATACCCTAATTAGAGGTGAGAAGCCTCGATGTGTATCATTGCTAATTTCCATGGTGTAAATGCTCCCACCATGCTGGTTTCAAGTTACAAATAAGACACCATGGAACAGAGTTGGGAAGAGATACACTTAATGGGCTTTTACCCTAGTACAGCAGGAACAGAGCAGGAACCAAAGCAGGACCAAAAGAAGCAGGGTCCCATTTCTCTGGGCTTCTGCACCCTGATCACTCAGGAGAAAGGCCAAGCCACCTAGGATAGTGGTTAGAAATCAAGTCGACAGCCAATCCTTGAGACCAGCCTGAAGTTTGGGAAAGTATTTCATCTGCTCCCTTTATGATTTTTGCCTGGGGGCTGGGGAGGTCCACCTTGTTCCTATGCTGAAATTCCTTCAATTTTTTCCACAATGAAGAAAGTTCTTGAAAAGGAAAGCAAGGAAATACACTTATCCACCCCACAGGCCAAATGCCTGATGTCAGACCCTTTCCTTGGGTCTGAATTTGAGAACTATGTAAGAGAAGGCATCAGAAAGAGAAAATTAGAAGAAAGGGAATGAGCTATTATCAAGTGTTTTTCATTAGACAAGAGGTTCAGGGTTCCATAAACTTGGAAGGAATAAAATCCATCTTTATTTTCACTCTTCTTTAACAAGTATTCGGCATTTTCTTCATTTACAAACGTAGGTTATAAACCCACAATGTGATTTTGTCAACAATAGAAATGACAAATATTTCCATGTACAGTATTACAGTTTGGCAGGTAAATCAAAATATCATTTATGTGCTTCTTTACCTCAAATTATAGTAGTTATCAGACCCTCAGCTTGATCTCTTATTTTTTAATACATGAACAAAGAAACATTACATTCTAACACATTTATTTTACCAAAACCTTTTGATAAATGTATCATAGTGTTGCTTTTGTAATTCCACATATTTTGTTTTATAAGTTTAAAAGTAATTGTTCTAGGGGTCCATAGGCTTCACCAGACTGCCAAAAATATATATAGTCAATAAAAGATTGAAATCCCATGGAAGACATTCTAAATATGTTAGTTTATCTAACCATCAAAATGATGCTATGATAAGTTTTCTTGTTCTGCTTTCACTGGTGAAACAAAAATTGAGTGTTAAAGAAGTTAAATGATGACCCCAAGCTTATTCTGTCATTACATGGCAGGGCCAGTAATTGAACTCCAAGTGGCTTGACGCTCTATTGCTCTTCCAGGCCCCTTCACTCTTCTGCTTGCTCCACTGGTAAAAGGAAGGAGGATTTGCTCAGTGGTCTTGATCAGGCCCCAAGTCTCTGAAAAGGTCTCTTGGCTGCTACCAAGTCAAGAGCCCCAGAAAGCAGGCCAGCAGGATGTTACAGAATGGGCAGAAAAGTAGACTCCCAGTGCTATCATTATCCCTCCTGGAGTGGCTCAGCTAAATTAAGCCAGGCCTCAGGGACCCCATCCTCCAGACGTGCTGCAGGGACCTAGCCTGACTATGTGCAGAGGCCTGAAGGGTGTATGCCTCTCCATTATAGAGACAGGTTCCATGGGTTTCGTTGCATACCTCAGCTCAGTGCCAGGGAGCAGGAACAGTATGAGAAGGAGGACTTCCAGGAGAAAAGATGGGGAGGAAATAAATTTTCTCTGGGCTTGTGCCTCTGTCCTGCAGAGTGACTTTACTTCTGTTCAACCATCATCCGTTGGGTCTTCTATGCCAATAATTTGTGAAATACTGAGATGCAAAAACAAGTTGTAGTTTCTACCAACAGGAGCTCATGGCTTAGGGGCAGTTACATGTACTGCTAGCTAATTCCAGGGTCCTTTGATGCTAATTCAGAAATCCCAGGGGGATGCAGAGATGAGAACAATCTCAAGACAGTGAGATAAGAGGAGCAATACAGGGAAGTGCAACAGGATGACAAAGAGGAGTTCATACTGGTTACTTAAGTAAACAACAGAAGTTTCCACCAAGGGCCTGAAAAGATGAATAGGAGTGTTCCCTGCAGGGTGGAGGACTGAATGGTGAACAGGTGGAAATAAGACTGGACTAAAGCACAGCTCACCTTCAGCAAGAGTGCTGAGTTCAGATTCCCCCAAAGGCAGAGCTGAGGCAAGGACTTGAGTGCAGGTGGTTTATTTGAGAGGATATGAAATTGAGGGAGTAGTGAAAGTAAGACAGAGAAGGAAGAAAAGCCAGTATAGAGGACATTTCTGAGTTGTTTACCACCGTAGGCAACAAGGGCTCAATGTACTAGGGGCCTGCTATAAAACCACATGGAACTCATCTCAGCACTGTTCCACTGGGGAATTGGGAGGCCTGAGTGGTTGAGATGAGGTTTGCTCTCAGGGAAATCAACTCCATCATACTTTTCACATTCTGCCTGCATGCAGCTGAGTAGCCTTTGGTGGTTTTGGAGACAGTAGAGAGCCACCCCTCTCTGCACTTGTGTGATGTTGTCTAGTTCATGGAGGGGTTCACCAAGGTGTGCTGAATCCAATAGGCTGAGAGGATGGGAGACATCACAAGAATCTACTACTACCAACATATGGCTTCTCCTCCCTGGACCAGAGGGAAGGAAAAAGAGTAAAAATAGAGGCTGAGAATCACACAGGAACCAAATGCTGCTCAGTCTCTTCCTGAGATTTGGACTGGGAGTTTATAAAACAAAACCAGTCCCTTTTGAGCCTTGTAAGCTGGAAGAAGCTGTTTCAGAGAGTCCTAATGTTTTGAATAGAGCAGGCCTTACCCAGATTTGAAAGTCTGAATGAAAGCCCCCTCCCCACTCCCAAATATTTTCCCCCAACTAAGCCCAAATTTTTCACTTCAGTTCCTGCCAGAAATCCTATCAATTAGATATTTATTTTCATATATTCTTTTTTGATATCAAGCAAATTATCACAATTTCACGTGGTTTCAGAAAATAAGTGCAAAAGGCTCAGGAATTATCCTAAGGAATAAAAATTTTTTTAAGTATAAAGATGTTCATTATAGCATTTTTTATTTTTATGTTTATGTGTTCAATATTCATTTTTAATGAGACAGAGTTAACACACAATAAAATGCACCGATTTTAAGCAGTTTGATGACTTTTGGCAAATTAACACATCCTGCTCTCATAACCACACCACAATCAAGATGTAGAACATTCCATTACCCGCAAAGTGTTCCTATACTCTGTTTGAAGATGATCCTCCTAACTCTGATGCCAGGCAACACTCATGTGCCTTTTATAACTGTAGATTAGTTTTGCTGCTGTAGAATGTCACATAAATGAAATCACACAGTATGTACTGTTTTAGGTCTGGCCTCTTTTATTCAGTATAATGTGTGAAATTTACCCAGGCTGTGGCATGCTTCAGTAGTCCTCTCCTTTTTGTTGCTTAACATTATTTCACTGAATTAATACACCAGAAATATTTATCCATTCAGCTATTGATAGGCATTTAGGTTGTATCCAGTTTTTGGCTATTATGAATCAAATTGCTATGAACATTCTCAAACAAATCTTTTTGTAGAGATGTTTTTATTTCTCTTGGGTAAATATGTAAGGGTGGCATTACTTGGTCATGGGATAGGTGAATGTTTACCTTTACAAGGAACTGCCAAAACTTTTCCAAAGTGGTTTTACCAGTTTTATACCCCCAGCAGCAATGTATGAGAGTCTCAGTGTTTCTGCATCTTTAACCACACTCCATATTGCGCGTCTTTATTTTATTTTATTTTTTTAACAGAGTCTTGCTCTTGTCAACCAGGCTGGAGTACAGTAGAGTGATTTCAGCTCACTGCAACCTCCACCTCCTGGGTTCGAGCGATTCTCCTGCCTCAGCCTCCCAAGTAGCTGGGATTACAGGCACCCACCACCACACCTGGCTAATTTTTTGTTATTTTTAGTAGAGACGAGGTTTCACCATGTTGGCCAGGCTGGTCTTAAACTCCTGACCTCAGGTGATCTGCCCACCTCAGCCTCCCAAAGTGCTGAGATTACAGGCGTGAGCCACCACGTCCAGCCAAGTGTTTTTAATTCTAGCCATTCTGGTGAATATGATCTAGGATCTCTTTGTGGTTTTAATTTGCATTTCTTGAATGACTTCTTATGTTGAACAGTTTTTGTGTGCTCATTAGCTATTTCCGTATTTTTTTTTTTTTTTTGAGATGGAGTCTCACTCTGTCGCCCAGGCTGGAGTCCAGTGGCACGATCTTGGCTCACTGCAAGCTCCGCCTCCTGGGTTCACGCCATTCTCCTGCCTCAGCCTCCCAAGTAGTTGGGACTACAGGCGCCCGCCACCACGTCTGGCTAATTTTTTGTATTTTTAGTAGAGACAGGGTTTCACCATGTTAGCTAGGATGGTCTTGATCTCCTGACCTCATGATCCTCCCACCTCGGCCTCCCAAAGCGCTGGGATTACAGGCGTAAGCCACCGCACCCGGCCTATAATGTTTTTTTTAAAAAATGAAACTACCTACATGGGGCAGGGTGAGGGGGCTCACACCTATAATCCCAGCACTTTGGGAGGCGGGGGTGGGCTGATCACTTGAGGCCAGGAGTTCAAGACAAGCCTGACCAAAATGGTGAAACCCCATCTCTATTAAAAATACAAAAACAAGCCAGGCATGGTGGTGCACGCCTGTAATCCCAGCTATTCAGGAGGTTGAGGCAGGAGAATCACTTGAACCCGGGAGGCAGAGGTTGCAGTGAGCCAAGATCACATCACTGCACTCCAGCCTGAGCGACAGAGTGAGACTCTGTCTCAAAAAAAAAAAAAAAAAAAAAAAAAAACCCTACATGTCAGAAAATAGAGGTTACATATTTACATATACAACATATACAACAGACTTCTTAAGCCTTCCACCAAGATACGGCAAACCATCCTTACCTAATTTATAATTGTGCCTGGAGTTGAGGTTGTTCAGACAGTTCTCATCAATATTCTATAAGTATCCTTTGTTAGCCGTTATTTTCCTCTTTACCTTTATGACAAGTGTCAAGATTTTGATTCTCAGTTTTTGTGATTTAATAATTTTTTTCAAGGAGTCAGTTTCAAATATGTTCTGCGGTTGACATGCTGCAATATATAGTACATACATATACGCATATATATAATTGCTTAAAAATAGCTCATGTGGTCTCATCTATATCATTATGATGAGATAGAGGAGATATTCACATTGGAATCTTGGTGGCTAGACAGATATTCATTGAGTAAGAATGAATTTTTATGTTACTAAATTAAAATTTTCCATTAAAAATTGTCCATAGGGACCAGGTGCAGTGGCTTACACCTATAATCCCAGCACTTTGGGAGGCCGATGCAGGCAGATCACATGAGGCCAGGAGTTCGAGACCAGCCTGGACAACATGGTAAAACCCTGTCTCTACTAAAAATGTAAAAACTAGCCAGGAGTAGTGGTGCATGTCTGTAATCCCAGCTACTCGGGAGGTTGAAGCGTGAGAATTGCTTGAACCTGGGAGGCAGAGGTTGCAGCGAGCTGAGATTGCACCAGTGCACTCCAGCCCGGGTGACAGAGTGAGACTTGAATCTATCTCAAAAAAAAAAAAAAAAACAACAACAACACATTGTTCATAGGATGCACTTAACCATGAACACAAACTACTGACCACTTAAATTAGGACTTCAAAATAACCAGAACTTTGATAAAGAAGAACCCACAGGAAGAGGTCATAACTGGAGATTTTTAAATACATGTTTAAAATAGCGATTTTAGAAATGATATGAGTACCGATGATAATAAGGTCTAGAATTTGCCATGGGTGAGGTAGCTAGAAAGCTGTGTGCTGATAAGCTATAATGAAGGAAATTATTTTTGGAAGTCATCAAGAAACCTGGAGGATAAGGCATTTGAAGTTTTATGCAGGTAGATGCTAATCTTGCACATAATATTTGAAGTTAGAAAAACTGGTCCTTGGTCCCAGATCTGCCTCTTATAGGTTGCATAGTCTTTTTCTCAGCTATTAATATAAAATGGTGATGACGATGATGATGATGGTAGTGTCCGGCAATGATGATATCAGACGATGATTATATTAGTGGTGACGACAAAAATGATGACTGATTAACTTGCCTATTCACAGCCTTAAGGACAGTATCTATGAAAGCAGTTTGTAAACTGTAAAGCTCAATACAAATATAAAATGTTGCTCTTATAATTTGAGGCATCACTTGGTCAGTATATTAGCTGGGGTTCAACCAGAGAAACAGAACCAGCAGGAGATATATATTAAGAAATCTGATTGCAAGGAATTTGCTTATGCAATTGTGGGGACTGGCTAGGCATGTCCAAAATCCACAGATCAGGCCATAGGAAGAGTAAGCTGAACCTTCAGGCACAAGCTGAAGCAGTCCAAAGGCAGAATTTCTTCTTCTGGGAAGCCTCAATTCTGCCCTTAAGAGCTTTCAACTGATTGAATCAGGCCTACCCAGATTATCTAGAGTAATTTCCATTGCTTAAAGAAAACTGATTATGAACTTTGACCACATCTGCAAAATGTCTTGACAACACCACCTAGATTAATGTTTGATTGAATAATGGGGGACTATAACCCAGACAAGTTGACACATAAAACTGACAATCACAGTCACATACTATTTTGTGTTCATGAGTTACTTATTTAGCTTCTTTGAGCCTGGGTTTCTACATCTCTGAAATGGGAATCACTGTCTTCTTCACAGGGCAGTCATGAGGATCCAGTGGTATCCTGTGTTTAAATGAATATTAACCATAGTAGTCCACCTTATCCGCAGGGGACACATTCCAAGGCCCCTAATGGGTGCATGAAACCACAGATAGTACCACACCCTATACTGTTTTTTTCTATACGTACACACCTATGATAAAGTGTAATTCGTAAATTAGACACAGTAAGATATTAACAACAATAACTAGCAATAAAATAGAACAGCTATAAAAATATAGTAGTCCCCCCTTATCCCTACAGGATGGCCTCCCAGACCTCCAGCAGATGTCTAAAACTGTGGATAGCACTAAACCCTAGCCAAGGAACATCAAGGCCACCTTTTCACTTAAAGGAAGCACTCACTTTACAGCTTCTCTTTGGTATATCCAAATTGCCAGCATCACTACTCTTGCACTTTGGGGCCATTATCAAGTAAAATAAGGGTTATTTGAACACAAGCATTGCAGTATTGCAACAGTTGATCTGATAACCAAGGCCACTACTAAGTGGCTAATGGGCAGGCAACATTACAGTGTGGAAACGCTGGACAAAGGGATAATTCTCATCCCAGGCAGGACAGTGTGAGATTTCATCACACTACTCAGGATGGAATTCAATTTAAAATTTATGAATTATTTCTGGAATTTTCCATCTAATATTTTCAGACTGTGGTTGACCAGAGGTAACTGAAACTGCAGGAAGTGAAACCATGGATAAGGGGGGACTACTGTATAAGAGTGAAAATTAAGGAGCTATCAACACCAGGAAATTAAGTTTAGCTAGCTAACTCATAGAAATGAAACCTAGACCCTGGGCCTCCCTGGTACCAGTTCTTAGTTAACAAGAAAAAAAAAAATTACCACCTACCCATGTATCTCACTGATAACGTGTATAAATTTGTCAGCTACCTAAGAGACTGAGTGTGATTGAAAATAGTGTGATTCACACCACAGTTCTTTAAAAAATAATTCTCATGTAAACAATGTTTTAAAATGTTTCACTAACACCAGCCTGTCATCCAAGCTGACACCCTTCTATGGTCCTGGACAAGGCTCAGTTCCCTTGCTTTGTCCTTGGGGAGCTGAGCAGAACAATTGCTTTGAGTCTCACAATCTTCTGAACCAATTCAGCTTCCTAATAATGATATTTAAATCAAACTCACTTTGAGTAGATGGCTGAGCCATCTCCTTTATGAAGGAGAAAAATCCCTAGCACATACCATAAACCCCACATAAACCAAGCAATATCAAATATTCAGATCAAGGTGAATAATATGCAAAATAAAGATTTCTTCTACATGTACAATAATGGTGCTTTGGAATTCATTTTTCAAATTTGCGTCTTAAAGTTACGTTCTCCAGGCCAAAAAATAATTGCAAGTTCATCTCAGCAGGTTGAGAGAAACTCAGATTTTGTCTGAGAAGATACTTTTGCAATTTGTGGAGGATGGCATTTGGGAGGATATTAGGTTCTACAGTAGTTAGGATCAGGCGTTAATAGCCACATGTAATCAGATCCAAAATAACGCTAAAGCTAATGGAAGATACAGCTTTTGTCAATTCTCAAGAATGCCAATCTTCCCAAATAGAATTTCATTCACCTGCCCAATTTTCACTGGGTCAAATCACATCAGATATTTTATAATCACCAATTCCCAGACAGCCAAGCAATTGAATATAATAAAATCCTTAAATGTCTCTCTTGCCCATGTTCTATAGTTCAACTCCATCTTTTCCTCTCTTATTTTTCTATATGCTTTACCCCAAATCAAAGATCAATTGGTCCTAAGTATTCATTTATTTATTATTTTTTTTTTTTGGTACAAAAACCACATATTATTCCCCCCCACAACAAGGTCATAAGTATTTAATCAGCAACAATCTTTGAACACCTACTATGTGTCAGGCACCTTTATAATAAACTGAGATTATAATAAAATATAATATTCTCTTGATTTCAGAGACCAGGGTATGTGACAGATAATTTTAAAAATCTCTATAACATGAGATGTGAAATAAGAGATACATGAAAGTGCTCTAGGAGCCCAGAAGGAGAAATGCCAAATATAGCTGAGCAGGGGGACAAAAAGCTTGAGTTGCTCCTTGAAGGTGGGAAAGTACCTTCCAGACACAACTGACACCTAATGAATATTTAATACATATCCTAAAGTCAGCTGAGTACTTTAAGTGTGTTAAACAGGAACGATAATAATCTTCACTTAAACACAGAGAGGATGCATAACTTGCTTTTAAGGTCAGGTATAGTAGGAAGTGACACTCAGATAGTAACTAGAGTCCACTAAAGGCTTCATTCAGTATAGAAGTAGGTAAAAGATGGAACTAGGAGCATTGTCCAGGCTAAGCAGTAAACAGCAACAAAGAAAGCCCAGCATGAAAGATCACGGACAATTAGGAAGCAATGCTGAACATCTTGTGAGTCCCATTCTCTTGAAAATACAGAGTAAAAATTTAGTGAACATTTCAGTCCTTTGGAAACAATTCAACCTGCTTGTCATTCAACTGAGCTGATATTTCCCATCTCTATGGATTTTTTTCTTAGACTTTACAAAAGCCATCCACTCTATGGACATGTCCACTCTGTCTATCACTAAGTGGACATATCCATGTCATTTAATGCAGATCCACCTATAGGAAACAATCCTTAAGAAGAGAGACCATGTCTTATTGATCTTCTGTATCCCCTGAGGACCAAGCCCAGACATAGAAACAAAACAACATCCAATACATGGTATCTCTCTTTCTCTCTCTGAAACTCAGTACATACCAGCAGAAAAATTATTTCAAAGTATTTTGCCAAATTACTTCATCTTTGACTTTCATAAAGGTCAGAAATAATTGGGAAACAGCATCTGGCTGAAACTGACTCCAAATAAGGGTGTCACAAAAATTTCTCCCAGAAAAGTTTAGGGTATTGTATTTGTTTTCTAGGGCTGTCATAACAAAATGCTACAGACTCCGTGGTTAAACAACAGAGTTTATTTGCTCACAATTCTAGAGTCTGGAATTCCAAGATCAAGGTGTTGGCAGTTTGGGTTCTCCCAAGGCCTTGCTCCTAGGATTGCAGATGGCTGCCTTCTCACTGTGTCCTCATTTGGCCTTTTCTCTTCTCATGACTTTCTCCTCTTATAAAGACACTAGTCCTGATGGATTCAAGCCTCAACCTTATGCCCTCATTTAATCTTAATTATCACTGTAAAGGCTCTATCTCCAATTCAGTCAGGGCTTCAACATATAAATTTTGCAGGAACACAATTCAGTCCATAGTAAGTGCCTTTATGAAAGGAAGGGAGAAAGAACCATTTTAAGGGTCTAATTTGAGGATGTTGCTAGAAATAACTTGTATGTGTCTTTACTGGGGAGCGTTACATGAGAAATTTGGCATAAAACACATTTCATTGTCTATACCGTGTTGTCTCTGTGAAAACAGTTAAATAAAATGAAGAAAATTACTTGTCTTTCCATTCTTCCCTAACCCCTTCCTCAAGATAGATGAGCCATCTTTAAGGAGGCCAGCATCCATCTAACAACTTTTGACTCAGTAAAATCTCTTCTAACCAATAGTGGCACCTTGGGATGAGTGACTTTTGACCTTCCATAGACTCCAATATCCCTCAAGTCATGCATGTCAAGTAATCATATACCCTAAATAAAAACAGTGAGTCTACTACAAGCAAAGAGTTTCAAAATATATTTCCTCTCACCTCTTTCCAGTTAGAACACCACTTTTAAAGCCCAACTGACAGAAAACCTCAAGCCATTGCTGTTTTCAGTCAACTGTTATTCAGAATACCAGACAAGCATTCTGTTCAGAATAGAAGATCGAATGCATGGAGTTATCTCTCTACAATATTCCATCAAAAAATCACATTAAAATTCCAATGATTGTAATAAAGAAGTTAAAAAGTGAACAAATCCATATTAGCACTGACAATGGGGAGGACAGAAGGAGCACCAGCAGATCTGAAAGTTTAGCAAAGTAATGGAAGAGAGAAAGCATATGGAATCGTATCGACAGACAAAACAGGATGAGGAAGCTGCATTAAAAGAGTAACCTCACTTGTGTACATACTCTCTGCCTCATGCCTTTAAGTGAAACCTGTTAACTGCTATGACCCACAGAACTTACAGACAGCAAGAAGAAAAGAAGGAAATTTCCCAGAACGAAGGTCCAAAACACTTGGGATGAAAGGCCCAGGCCCACCAAATGCTGAGCAAAATGAGAAGGACACATCCTCATAAACCATGAGCACACCAAGCAGGGCTATGCCTCTGGATGTACAGGCTTTACTCTGCACAACAGCACCCAGCTGAAGGGGCCAGTGGAGATCAAATCCAGCGCATACTTACCAAGCCAGGCTCTGTGGTGCAGGGCTGCAGGGCTGCACCCACCTAGAGGAAGGACACTTTTTGTACTCCACATCAATATGCCATAACAGCAACCCTACCGCCAAGGGAAAAGAAAGTGTCCTAAATCTTACAGAGAAAGAGAAAAATTTTTTAAACAGGTTTTTATAAGAATACCATGGATCAATGCTATGGTAGACATAGAGATGCGCTACCTTGATCCCCTTTCAAGGAAGACCTGCTACCCAGATGAACGGACTACAGTGAGCACAGAGCCTCCAGCTGTCAGCTCCTTCAGGGTCAGCTTCAGCCACTTCACGCAAGGTCATTCCCTTCCCAGAGCAGCATGTATCTGGTGACAGACAGAGGGAGGGCATAAGCGTTCAACCATTTCTGCCCAGCAAATAATATCCATGAGTATTATGAATACCCATGACCCAGGGCACCTGCCATGTCGGCTGAGGCTTTTTCAAGACTGTCTCCGTTCAACTGCTCAGTTAGCCCAGTCTTCCCGTTGCCTCCTTCCTTTTGCAGGTGTTGATCCTTAATAAAGATTTTGTTCCCTAAACTCCATCTCTGCTTCTGGGGAACTCAACCTGCAGCAAATGGCTTCAAAGCTTGCAGGAAAAGTAATCTTGAATCTCTAGTCTTACACGAAAACTTGTTACTCAAATGTGAAGGCTAAATATTAAATCATGCAAGACTCAGAGATATCTCCTTATACACCCTTACTGAGAAAAAAAATACTTGAGGATAAACTTGAGACCAAAAGAAAAAAGAAAAACACAAAATAGAAACCATGAAAACAATAAGCCAAATTTACTAATACATTTAAAATAAAAACCAGAGAGAGAACTATGCAATTGGCTGTGAAAAATAAAAAGCCCCAACAAGAACATTTAGATAGAGTTCCAAGAAAAAAGTCTCCATTAAAAAGTAGATTCCAGGGCGGGGCACGGCGGCTCATGCCTGTAATCCCAGCACTTTGGGAGGCAGAGTTGGGTGGATCACGAGGTCAGGAGTTCGAGATCAGCCTGACCAACATGGTGAAACCCCATCTCTACTAAAAATACAAAAATTAGCTGGGCATGGTTGTGGGCACCTGTAATCACAGCTACTGGGGAAGCTGAGGCAGAATTGTTTGAACCTGGGAGGCAGAGGTTGCAGTGAGCTGACATCACGCCATTGCACTCCAGCCTTGGTGACAGTGTGAGACTACATCTCAAAAGAAAAAAGAAAAAGAAAAAAAGTAGATTCCAATTTGATAGGTAATGTGATGAAGCAGGAACATCTTTGTAAAATGGTAAAGAATTTGTTTCTTTTCCGTAAGAAAAATGAAAATTAGAAGCTTCAGACAAAAACGGAATCTATACAAAAAGCTACAAATATGAAGCAAATTCATGTGTCATGATTTTGAGGTGCTGAAGCAAATTGAAATAAGCTTGGGTGGTGAGAAGGTGGTGGTGTAAGTTGCACATGCTCTGTGTTATTTCTCATCTCAGAAGGGCCAGTCACTCTACTTGGTTTGGGGTGAATAATATATAATCATTATATTGCTAATGACCCGCATTGGTGCTTGATTTTTGAATCCAAGCTACAGGCAAAGCATATTTATAAAACAGAATGAAAAAGTAATAAACCTTGATGATGTTTAATGATGTTGTTGGAAGATTGTGAGAATTGGTAGGGGGAAAAGTGAAAATTCAGGGCTTCTAATTTCATCTAACATCTCTCATAGCAGCAAGTCAAATTTATTTCAACTTGACAGATCAAGATGTAGCATTTGATGTAACTTTTTAAAATTATTAACATACCAATAGAAGAACCTGGACTAATAATATAACTATAAAAAATAGGATAAGAGAAGAGAAAATGGGACAAGTAAGACAGTCCTTTGCCACTCATAATAGGAGTCTATAGCTGATGTTTAAAATTAATAATTAGAGAAACAGGTTTCACATACTATTTAGAATTACACAGGTAACCACTGGAAGAATTAAAAGTAGAAAGGGTTCACCTGTGGGAAGTGGATCAGAGGAGAAAAGGGATGGGACAAGGAACAGTTGATTTTCATTGTATGTGCTTCTGCACTGTTTGTATTTACATTTCTGTGTGTATGAACACTTCACCTGGCTTCTGTTCTTCCTCTGCCCCTTGGACGAGCTCTCATATATGACTCTCTGTCTTAATTCTGATGTTTCTCTCACCTTCAGAGCAGTTTCCCCTTGTGTCTACCTGTTCCATATGGCACAATCCCAGGACCCAGGAAAGAGATGGCTCAGTCTCTGTTACCCACTTTCCTAGGCACCAGCCTCTGCTTGATAGGAGAGGAGTAGCTAACAAAACCTTGCCTCCATAAGTGACTTACAAGTGCCTTGATTAACTCTCTCTGTGTACCTAGAAAGTCCAGCATAATCATACATGCATGGGTCAATTCTTAGTTCTCTATTGCACTGATTCAGTCACTAGCCATGTGACATTAAGTAGGCCACTTCACCTCTTGGGATCTGTTTCCTCACCTGTAAAATGGACAAGAATAAAATCCAAACTTCTGTGTCAATGACCAATTTAGTCCACACAGGTAGACAAGATTTAAGACATACCCCTTGAAAAAGAAATGATAGATCTTAAAGACATTTCAATATTCACCTAATCACAAGTCCGAGTAAGATGTGAAAAAAGGTTTTTGGCAGCTGGCTAGACACTGGAGCATTTTTCTATGTCCCCTGGAGGATCCAGCAGAGTAAATTTTGCCTGAACTGAACATCTTTGAGCTGTGTGACCTGGAACAGGCCACTTCACTAATCTGGGCCTCAGTTCCCTCATCCACAAGATGACAGAAATATAATAGATGCTCTTTGGAGACCCTAAGCAAGTCTAGGGTCTTGGAAGTCTGCCTGCCCTTAGCATCTCAACAGCTCCCAAGTTTATGGCTCAGCAGTGCAGCCCTGGCAGTCCAAGAAAGAAACCACACCACCTTCTCTACCCCCAGCATTTCCAGGATCTCTACTAAATCTGACCCAAAGAAACAAGATGGTGCTTCTGGCCACTTCTATTACTGATCCTTTGCCTCATGTCCTGGATTTGCTCTTTATCTGCTTCATTGGACTCAGTGCCTTAGTCCATCCCTCCTTCCCTGGCCACCTTTTCCCAGAACAGGAGTGCCAGTTCTGTGCCCTATGCCCTACAGCCTTGGGCCAGCCACAGGGTCACTCTGGATCGTGAAGTCCTGAATAGCCCTACCATTAAATTAAAGTGATTTTTCAAGCAATGAGTTGTAGTAAAATCCCCATCCAAAGAAATCCACAAGTGAAACACTCAATACATAATTGGTATTATCATTAAAGGTCGAAAATCAGTCATCTATGAGGAATGGAACAATTATTTGGAACTAAATCTCCACCAGCACATGGGGACCAGGAAAGGTGTCTGGCACACCATCAGGGAGTCATTTGGCCTGGAGAGCTCATTGCACTGGCAAATGAGAATTAGATCCTAATTATCCCATTGGCAGGTTTCAGAAATTTTTAAAACATATTTTCTACAACTGTCACAGTGTCGAAACAATTATTTGCCTACTTAAGCAGGTGTCAGGCATTGTAAAGTGTATATGTCTTTGTAAAATTAAACAGGAAACTTTCTGAAATTGCAGTGTAATCTGGGTCCCTAATTACAGCATATATAGATACCTAAAGTCAGGAGGCAAAGAGAAAGAACACTGACTTTCCTTTTTCTCTCTTTTTCCCCTGAGGCACTGAATTCTGAGTGCACACACAGGTGAAGGTAAAATATGCCACCTGAATATCAGGGAGGGATTCCAAGCCATTTTGCCTACCATCCTTGCCTCTGAGCCAGCATTGATTATAAACATGTATTAATTTTATCTGCACAGTCTGTAGAGTTAACCTATCTTGTCTCCTTTGACCCTCAACAATAGCCCCTTAAGTTCAGCCAGGCAGCACCTTTGTGTAATTTTATAGATGCACAAACTGACTAATGAGCGGTGCTTCAAGCCTCCTGATTCTAATAAACCTGTTTCTTCTACATCCCCTCCCCTTCCCCCATGTAGCTGCCTTTCTTCCTGGTCCATTAACTAAACCTCTGCTAGAATTACCTTGATGTTCACCTTCCTGTTGCTGTTTCATGGACTCTGAGACTCTTGGACAGGTGGTCAGGAAGTGAAACTGGCAGCCACCAACAAAGGGCCCCTTGAGCTATTCACAAATAATAGACATTGTATTAATGCTGAATGAAAGTTTGACAAAAGTATTAACACCAGGAAAGGCTCCCCAAATACAAGGAGTACTGAACTCAACAGATGTTAGTTTGTAGCCTACTATGGACAAGGCATTGTGTACAATGCAGGGGTATTATACACAAAAGAAGGCAAGATTTCTTCTCTCAAGAAGCCCACACTTGAGTCAGAAAGATAGATATGCTCTTATTTTCTAAAAATTATAGCAACCCTTGTGAAGGTATAAACTGCTCAAAAACCAAAGAGGAAAGGACATCACAGGTTGGGGTCATGAGACTTCATAGGAGATAAAATATGAGATGATTCTTGAAAGACAAGGAAGATGCTGGCAGGTGGTAGTGGGGGAAAATATGGTACTTTCTGCTCAGTGATACACTCTCAATCCTAGTTGACCCCTTCTCAGATGGAAACCTTCCCTGCACCCCCAAGTCTGGGTTAGTTGGCATTCCAATGGGTACTGAGACTGTATTAGTCTGTTCTCACACTGCTATGAAGAAATACCCGAGACTGGGTAACTTATAAATAAAAGAGGTTTAATTGACTCACAGTTTCACATTGCTGAGGAAGCCTCAGGAAACTTACAGTCATGGCAGAAGGTGAAGAAGAAGCAGGCATCTTCCTCACAGGGTGGCACGACAGAGTGAGTGCAAGCAGGGGAAATGCCAGATGCTTATAAAACCAACAGATCTCATGAGACTCACTAACTATCACGAGAACAGGATGGGAGAAACCACTCCCATGATCCGACTACCTCCACCTGCTCCTGCCCCTGACACGTGGGGTTGATGGGGATTACAATTCAAGATGAGATTTGGATGGGGACACAGCAAAACCATATCAGAGACCAAATCCCTGCTCACCCTTCCCATTTTCTCTCCCACTCCGTGCCTCCCTGCAGGTTTCTCTTGATAGCACCCCCTCAAAAAAATCCCATAAACCCAGATCCCTGTGTCAAGATCTTGAATATAAGACATTTTTCTAAGAAGCTCTTCTGGAGCTCCATTTCCTCACCTGTAAAACCCTGTTAATACATCACAAATGGCTGTGAAAACAAGGTGATGTAGTTTTAAGTTCCTTGTACAATTCTGGGCTCAATAAATCATGGCAAAGACTTTTATTCTCCTTTATCTACATTTCAAGAGCATTTCTGGCCTCTGGGATATGAAACAAAGAGACCCCAGGTAGCAGCATCAGGTGTCAGCTGCGGCTGAGGGACCAGAGCAACTAGGAGTTTGTAAATGCAAGAGGCACCAATCAGCCTATGCATACTGATGGGCCAGTCAGGACTTGCGCCAACCAAGTGCATTTTGTACCCAATTTACCACAACTGGTGGGGGCAGGGAGCTGGGAGAGGAGGTGGTGGAAGGGGACAGGTGGCAGGGCAGTGGGGTGCCATTGGAGGAGTTTCAATTTGTAGGTTAGCGTCACTGTTTACCTTTTAAGCAGAAGGGCAAAGAGATCGCCCACCAGATAAAATGGCTGTCTCTGAAATATTGCTTCCTGACTCCACTGTTTCATCTCCATTGGCTTCTGCCTCCCTCTACCCTCTCCTTTCAGGCTGGCTTCCCACAATCACTGCAGGGTGAGCCCGAGCTGATGAGGGCACCTGGCTTTGGCGGCAGCTCTTCAAAGCTAGAGGTCAGGTGTGCTTCTAGGATTTAATTAAGCTAGAAATGAAATCCAGCCCTGGAGTGGCTCATCGTCTTTATTATCACATTTCTTACTGCTTGTCAGGCCACAGCGGCTGCAGGTCTTGAAAAAGAAGAAGCGGCATGCTTCCTAGGCGGGGCTCAGTTAATCTATTTCACATGGCATTTCAGGTACATTCCTCCATTTTAGGATGGGAGAAAAAGACAGTATTCTCAGGGACCTTTCTGGGAAAAGGATTACTTTTAAATGAGCAAAGGTAATTCGTATTATAATATGTGCCCACTATAAAAAAAGTATAAGAAATAACAGAAAGAATGTTAAAAATCACTGTAATCTTACCAGCTAGAGATAAACACGGCTTGTATTATAGTCTCCTTCCTGCCAAGTTACAGGTTGTAAAAGAGAACAAAAGAAAGAGTTCTGATGCTGTAGAAGGGGGGGTTCTGAGTCACTGTATAAACAAATCATATTTTTCACTCATGTATGTACTCACTAACATTAATTTATATAGGATACCCATTCACTGAGATCAATGTTCCCCCACTTTCAAACAATGTGGAACTAGAAAAAAAATCAGGACTTAAAGGAATTTTCATGCTCAGTAATACTAGTCACATTGCAGTCATGTTTTCTATGCCTAATAACATATTCTATAGTCTCTCAGATTAATCAAATGAGATGAGGGGATTTATACACTGCTGTGCACTGAGAAGGGGGCTTAACAATCTCCCAAAGTAATATCATTTGACAGTCGGTGCTATTAGACTGCAACTGCAAAGGGTATTCATTTTTTAGCCTGATTTGTGTTCTGCAGGTGGCAGTCCCCTTCATGTCCCCTTAGTGTGGTGAGGTTTGGCAGCTACAGGGCACTGACCTTTCTCACTCTGGAGATGTGATTGCTTTCACACTGATTGCGCAGAAACACTTAGCAAATCTCACACTGTTAACTCCATCCCACACCAGCAATGTTGGCATTTTCTGACTGTTATGTGGCATTAGCCAGCTGAAAACTCACTAAGATGAGGAAGCTGTGCTGAATTAATAACTTCTGAGACAGTCATTTAGTCAGTTTTCATGAAATTAATAAGTTCCACCTTGGCCAATGGTAAAAGTCACAAAATCATGAACTGTCAAAGATGGAAGGAAGCTTCAAAAACTCCTAGTTCAACACATTCATTTTACAGGTAAAGGGAACTGAGCACTAAAAAAAGGAAGGGATTTTTGTTTTCAAGATCATAGAGCTAGAATGGAGTAGTGGTTTTCAACCTGTGCAGTGACAGCTTAGATTTAAATGGAATCCTGCATGCATAACTGCAACATATATGAAACATCTAAGAAAGAAGGACTGTGACTGAAGTAAGGTGGGAATTCATAGCCTCACCCACTCCTTGTCCATCTCAGCTCTGGGGGAAGCACTGAGTTTCCATGAAGCACAGATCAAACCACCTTCTTACAGCATGCTGGCCTCAGTTACATTTCTCACACCTCCAAATACTCTCTATATAAACAAATAGTCTCTTTTAGACTGATAAATAATTTGAAATGTAAGAGTGTGATCTCACGGTTTTCTCATTTGCTAAAGGAAGACAATAATGATCTCTGCCACAGC
Organism: Homo sapiens; assembly: GCF_000001405.40. Classification (NCBI taxonomy): domain Eukaryota; kingdom Metazoa; phylum Chordata; class Mammalia; order Primates; family Hominidae; genus Homo; species Homo sapiens. The sequence goes on along the minus strand of NC_000003.12, from coordinate 34,182,137 downwards.
AAAGGAAATATCCATTAGAAGTTGAAAAGATAATGAAAACGAGTAGACATTGTGATGGCCTCCCTTAGCATCCATTTCAGCCCTGGTCCACTGTAGAACTGCTATGTGGTTTAGGCAGGGACTGACGCCAGCTCCAGCTTCAAGGATGGTCTAGGACTGGTCTAAAGCAGTTAGCTATAGGTAACCACTGAATTGGCAAATGTCAATAATAGGGTAAGTATGTGATAGTTAATTTTATATGTCAAGTTGACCAGGCCACAAGGATGCCCAGATATTTGGTTAAATGTTATTTCTGAATATGTCTGTTTCTGGATGATAGTAACATTTGAATCAGGAGACTGAGCCTTCATCCAACCTGTTGAAAACTTAAATAAAATAAAAGGATGCATAAGAAAGAATTTTTCCTCTCTCTGTCTGACTGTCTTCAAGCTGGGACATCGGTCTTCTACTGCCTCCAGACATGGACTCAGACTGGAACTTACACCATTGACTCTCCTGGTTTTCAGACTCAGACTTGAAATGGAATTTACACCATCAGCTTTCCTGGTTCTCAGGCCTTTAGTCTCAGAATTTAAGTATACCATCAGCCTCTTGTGTCTGGACTTCTCAGCCTCCATAATCATGTAAGCAATTCTTTGTAATAAATCTAGACAGATAGATGGATACATAGATAGATACCTAGATACATAGAGACATATAGGGATATATACATACATATACATTCTATTGGTTCTGTTTCTCTGGAGAATGCAGATTAATTCAAGAACAAACACTGACCTTGGTTTGGGCAAATCAGACAAGGTTTTCTAATTGAAAAAGTACAGAAGGAAGTCAGAGTGGTAAAAATATACAGCAGAGAGGTCAACCCTACTCTCCAAAGGAATTATAAGCTTCAAAAATTCTCAACAATAGACCCACAGTTGCATATGATAAATTTGAGAGAGGAAGATCACATTAGACTTTCTGGACACCCAACTGCCCTCCTCCATTAATAAGGGTGGACTTGCCCTGCATGTTAGGTAGCCTGAATAAATATTGGGGTGCCCTCATTTGGGTCAGTTGCACACCATTACTTTTGGAACTATACAATTTATGATTAAACTAAAGTTGGTGGCCAGCCCAGTACAAAATACTTGGACATAAACATAGCCCTATTTTTCATTCTCAGCCTTCCCAAGCTAATATAGCCTGGTCCAGTGACTCTCTGAACTAAAGATTTTCAAATCAAAAGGGGCTCTGTTACCCAGGTATCCTTACCAGTCAGACCAAGAGGTCATTGAGCTGCTTGATCAACCCTCACCTAAAGTTGGTACTTATTGCACAAGCCAATAAATTCCCTTTGTTTAAGCAGGTTGACTTGGGTTCTTTGATACTTACAATGGAGAGCACACTTATTGATATGCAAACACATGGAGGCCTCCTAAGTTCATGAAAGCCTGAGACACTTAAATGCTTCCAGTCGTATGAAGATAATTCACTTTAAGAACTCTTCAGTATTAGGCCATAAATTCAATCCTTGACTCAACAATCTAGATCAACAAATATGTGGAAACCTAGTCTGTACTGGAGTCTGTGATGGGCAGTGGGCTAAAAAGAACGAATCCCTGCTCCAAGACAGTAACATCTTACCAAATACTAACAGTAGCAATGAGATTGGAAGGGTCTGCAAGTTATTTTTCAATACTTTGAAAGGCCCAAGAGAAAAACCACATACGTAAGCAGAGTCAGACTGGCTAAATATGTTTGGGCTCTGGTTACCTTTGAATAAGGTTACACTGGTTATTCTAAGGTGTTGAGTTCTGATTGGAAGTTAGAAATGGAAAAACAAATTTAAGACTAAAAAATAAGTTTAATATGTTTTCTTTTAATGATAGATAAATTCCAATACAGATAGATGAAGAAGGAGGAGGAGGAAAAGGAGGAGGAAGAGGAAGAAAGTGGGGAAAAGGAATGAAAGAATTAAATGGGAGGCGATGATTCAATCTGTAATTAAATCACTTTCACACTTGCTAAGGTATCTTAAACTTCATTCTTCTGAACTGCTTCATTTTCACCTCTGCTTACTTGGAAGAAAAGCCACCTTTGAAAACACCAGAACATAAGAAGCTAATAAAGATGAATGAATAGCTTCATTTTCTCTCACTTTACAGCACAAGAACAACATAATTCACAAAGTACAGACTGAGCTCCCAAAAGAGATACTGATTTAATTGCCTAGGGCTGCTGTACAAATTACCACAAACTGGATGGCTTAAAATAACAGATAGCTATTCTCTCACATTTCAGAAGGCCAGAAGATTGAAATCAAAGTGTCAGTAGGACCATGCTCCCTCCAAAGGCTCTTGGGCAGCATCTTTTCTTGCCTGTTCTAGCTTCTGGTGGTTCCTGGCATTCCTTGGCTGGTAGCAGTATCACTCCAATCTCTGCCTCTGTCTTCACATGGCAAATCTCCCTCTCCTTTCTCTTATAAGGATACTGGTCATTGGCTTAGGGTCCACCCTAAATCTAGGATGTTTACATCTGAAGACCTTAACTTAATTCTATCTTCATGGACCCTATTTCTTTCTTTCTTTCTTTCTTTCTTTTTTTTTTTTTTTTTTGAGATGGAGTCTCACTCTGTTGCCCAGGCTGTAGGGCAGTGGCGCAATCTAGGCTCACTGCAAGCTCCCATCCTGGGTTCACGCCATTCTCCTGCCTCAGCCTCCCAAGTAGCTGGGACTACAGGTGCCTGCCACCATGACTGGCTAATTTTTTTTTCTTTTTTTTGTATTTTAAGTAGAGACGGGGTTTTACCGTGTTAGCCAGGATGGTCTCCATCTCCTGACCTCATGATCTGCCCGCCTCAGCCTCCCAAAGTGCTGGGATTACAAGCATGAGCCACCGCGCCCAGCCCAAGGACTCTATTTCTAAATACAGTCACATTCACATTCACAGTTACTGGGGGTTAAGACTTGTGGATATCTTTTTTGAGAGACATTATTCAAGGTTCCAAGTTGGTGAATGCACACACCTGATTTTTACATCCATTTTTCCAATTGCCTGAGGAAATAACCACCTAAACCAACACCAGTCCCTCAAAAGGCATAACTGAAACTGAACTAATTCTGATTCCTCTCAAATGTTTTTCTTTTTCTGTCTCTTACTAGTAATGTCCCACATTGAATCAGTCGCCATACTCTATTTTACCTCTAAAATCTCTCTCACGTGCATTTCCTTTTTCAAACACAACCACTATTTCACATGTTTGTACTCCTTCTCATGAACCAGCTTCACAGTTAGCCTCCCTGACCCTGGCTCCACAATCCCCTACCACTAATCCATCCTCCTCACCACTAAATGATTGATTTTCCTGAAATAACAGTTTGCTCAAAAGCCAGCAATGACTTCCCCCACTTACATCTTGTCACATTCCACACTTACTTCAAGAGCTATTTAGGCTACCCAAGTACAACTCACTCCAAAAAACTTTCTGTAATTTCCCCAAGTAGAAATGTTCTCTTCTCTGAATACCTATAGTTCATCTTCTCCGCCTCATATTAGTTTAGTCATTGGCTGTGTGGGGCAGTAATCTACAGTCATTTCCATTAAAGTCAGACTTATCATTTCTCCCCTAACAAATGCTGAATCACAGTCACATATCGAATCCTTTATTAGTCATTTCTTGAGATTTCTCTTCATCCTTGCTTCTCTGAGTACTAATGCTTATTTTTACTGGGCCCCAACATGATTCTACCTTCTTCACTCTGCCAAAGCTGATTGGACCTGGACAAACTTTGGAACAGTCAGATGCTCTTTCTTGGACTTGAAAATTAAGGCTGAGAAGTTACAGTTCCTTCGGGGACTTCTTATTTGAACAGAAAAGAAATTTCTTTTCATTAATATTCATGCCGGTGTGGTCAGTGGAGGGTTTGTTACTGGTCTCCCACAAAATAAATATAGAAATTGAAACCAAGCATTTAGAAACTTTTATGGAAATTTGAGTAATTTTATGTCTGTTAACTCTCTAATCATGAAAAATGTAGAAACTGTATTTTGAATTTTATTTTTATTTTCTAATAATTTATACTTAATAACTTTTTTGAAATAAGTTAAAACTCACATGAAGTTGTAAAAATAGTACAGAGAGCTCCTATATTCCCTTCACCCAGCTTTTCTCAATGAGAGTATCTTACATAACCATAGTACATTGTCCAAACCAAGAAACTGACACAGTTCTGACAGGTCTGATTCTAATAATTCACTTTTATTGTATTTTACGAAAGTATACATCTGTGACAGATTAGAACAATTTTAAAAACAGGTTATTCACCACAGATACTTCAGAAAGAGCTAGTTTACATCATCTCACTCCAAAAATAATTAAGGTAGCAACAGAAACTAATAAAAGAGTGGAAATGTCAGAGGCTTGGGACCAGCTGACCTGATTAAGCTCCTAATCACTCCTCAGTGTTGTTGTGTGCAAATCACATAATCTAGACCTAGGGTTAATAGTTATTAACTGGAAATTAGGGAAAATAGTCTTTATCACAGAACTATGAGGATCAGATGGTATAACATTTGCAAAGGTACTTTGAAAAATACTTTCAAATGTAAGCTTGTATTCTTTCTATACTAATAAAACAACATTTATGTCCAACTTACACGAGCATCATATTAGTGCACAGACTATGTCCAAATATAGCAAAATTATAGGAATTCCTTATTTCACAAGCACTTAACAATTTTCAAGCCCTTTTCACATGAACCGTAAACCTATTTAATCTCAGCAAAGGTGGTTTTCCCAATTTATCCATGAAGCTCAGGAAGGTTAAATGGCCTGCACAGAGTAAATAACCAGGACAAGTCAGAGTTGACAGAGGAACTAAGACATTCTTTCTCTGAATACAGTTTCTTTCACTTACCAAAATCTGTGAGCATTTGGCAAAAACCTGAAATTATCTCAACTCTTCAAGAATCCAACAAACCAAGAAAAGAAAAAGATAATTTGTGCAGATTTTGTAAGTTACATTGCTAACTCAAAGACCTAGTTGAAAAAAAAAAATACTTAGTGTTTTATGATGATTGGCCTTTTTCATAAATGCTTCCCTTTCATTTATATGTAATTCTGTCCTTTAATTTCCCCTTTCCCAAAAGTGGCACCAGAGAGGTTGCTAAGCAATTGTCCCTGACAAGGTCTCAGCACCTGTCAATAAAACTGAACATTTTCCCATTCTCTGTTCCCTTTTAGTACTAAGGAGTATGTCAATCAAAGAACATCAGTAAATGCTGGATTCTGAGAGAAGGCAGAAAGGCTCTGACAGGCAGGGAATAAAAGATGACTATTTTTAAACTAACAAGTCCTTTCTTAAAGTAAGGCAAGTTGAATAAGAGAAAGACAAGTTTCACTACTCTGTTTGTCTGGGAGGTAAAAGGGCTCCTTCAGGTCAGGCTACCATCTTGATTTGAGAAACATGTATTTTTTGTCCAGAGAGCAGTTTTCAATGGTGTGTTACTGCTCTTTGTAAATCGAAGATAAAAAATTATCAACAAATATATAGTTGAAAATAACATTTTTCCAAAAGATTCGGGAATTTAGAAGACTCTAAAATTTAACTAAAGCCCATCATATTTAACTAAAGCAAAATCTTCAGAGAATGGAGAATTGATGTGCAGAGTGGGTATATTTAAATAGTATCAAACTTATCAACCTATATTTATACTCAATGGATACAATCCAAGTTATTATATACATATATACACATTGGCTGCCATCTTTGTGTACATCATTTGGCTATGTAAAGACAAATGCTTGGAGATTAAGATAAGGAGACATTTGCTCCCCTACAATAGGTACAACTAGTTTAATGCAGAATTAATACCTGGACACAGACCTGTAAGGAGGAACATTTAATCAAGCTACAGATAATTTGTCTTATATTTAAGGTTGAAATAATCAATCAAACTGCTATTCCACCCACTTCCAAAAAAGGAAACTTTCAAATTGTCTTGCCGAAAACTGACCTAGTTCTTCTTATAACATACCTCTCTGTTGCATTAGAATGTGCCAAGTTGCTCTTAAGCTCTTACCTGAATCACTTTTCTGAATAAACTAATTAACCTTTGCTCAAACATATGCATATGTTCCTAGCAGGTGGCAGCGTTCTTCAGTCCCTGGTAATATCAAGATAATTCTAGTGCAAACACAGAAATGTCAGTGTTGCTAAACTTTTTAATTACACAGCCATATTACCTTCATGTGACAGGAAATGGCAAAGTTCTTCAAATAGCCTGCACTGAAAGCAAATGCATAGTACAGTGGAATCAACACAGAAGCCCATGAGGGTAAAGTGGTAAGACAACTTTGACTCAGTGAGGCCATGACAATGGAGGTGGTAGGGAAAAACTGACCAGTGATAAGTGTTTAATTCTCCACCAAAGTGGCAGAGAAAGTATCCTACTCCTCATAACTATGATAAGCCAGAAAGTGTGAGACCAGCCACTGGGGACCAAGAAGCATAGAACTTTTACAATATTTTCCTTAAAGATTAGGTAAAAGATCTGCTTACATACATATTTTTCTGAGTGAGAAACAGCACATTTTCAATAACATTTGTGTTTGGTTATTAGTTTTTAATCTTGCTGGTATCAAGCACCCCAAAAGATTTTGAACCAATTTCTCATTCCCTACTCTCTTTCCAACCCATTCTCCAGTCTCTAGATGCAGACAGAATTTCAAATAACAGGCTGCAGACTCCATGAGACAGCCAAAAAACTGTGAGTGTCCAAAGTGTGTAATGGGGGAAGTCCACCCCCAAACACACATCCTCACGGGGGAACCTGAAGGTCTAGATCACAGAAGAAGGATTTAACCTTACCTGAAGCTGAGATGAATTTAGAGAGCCAAGCAAAATATGGGGTAGAGGAAGCAGCGGGAAGAGACTGTGGGCACTCTTGGTCCCCAGGTATGCCATTTATGACTTTGTCTTACAGGAGTCCTTGAGGAGAGCTGCCAGTGGAATTGAAGAAAGACCACAGGGAGAAGAAAACTTCCAGCTGAACTTTGTAACAATATCAACCAAATGCAAAGTTTCCTGGACAGAATCCAGGGGAGGGGATGAACAGGGACTGCAGCTACAAGCACAGAAGCCACAGCAGGTGGGGAGACATGAAGCCCTGCTTGCTTTCTCAGCAGGGAGGCTTGTAGCCTGGGGCAAGTTCTCAGCCCTGCTCACCAGCTGCCTGGAAACAAACTCAGTGCTGTGGGGGGCACAGTGGGAGTGAGACTGGTCTTTCTGGCTGCTTGGAAGCTGGGTGAGGCCTGTCACTGCTGGCTTTCCCCCACTTCCCTGGTGTCCTATATGACACAGCAGAGGCAGCCATAATCTCCCCTGGAAACATAACTCCTTTGGCCTAAGAACCACACCCCTATCCCCTAGAGTGACCACGACAAGCCCCTCCCAAGGAGAGTCTGAGCTCAGACATGCCTAATCCTGCCCCCACTTGATGGTCTTCTCTACCTGCCCTGGTAGCCTGAGACAAAGGACATAATCTCTTGGGAGTTCCATGGCCGAATCTACCACCTGAGAAACCCAAATACTTATCCAGGCAACCCTAGGGCAAGTTTGTATCCCCCCTATACTACCACTGCTGATGCTCCCTTGAAAGTCACCTCCCAGGTGGAGACCAACCAACATAAAACCAACACACTAAACAAAACTACAACCAAGGACTCTCACAGAGTCCACTTCACCCTGCCACTACCTCCACTGGCGCAGGAGCTGGTACCCACAGCTGAAAGACCTGAAGACAGACCACATCATAGGACACTTTGCAAATGCTCCCCAGTGCCAGCCTGGATCCCAGTAGCTCCACTGGGTGGCTAGACCCAGAAGAGAAATAACAAACACTGCAGTTCAGCTCTTAGGAAGCTCCCACCCCAGGGAAACGGGGAGAGCATCACATCAAGTGAGCACCCCGTGGGACAAAAGAATCTGAACAGCAGTCCTTGAGCCCCAGATATTCCCTCTGACATAGTCTGCCCAAATGAGCAGGAACCAGAAAAACAATTCTGGTAATATGACAAAACAAAGTTCTTCAACATCCCCAAAAGATCACACTAGCCCACCAGCAATGAATCCAAACCAAGAAGAAATCTCTCAATTGCCAGAAAAATAATTCAGAAGGCTGATTATTAAGCTACTCAAGGAGGTACCAGAGAAAGGCAAATACCAACTTAAAGAAATAAAAAAAAAAAATGATACAAGACATGAACAGAAAAACCTCCAGAGAAACAGACATCATAAATAAAAAACAATTACAACTTCCAGAAATGAAGAACACACTTAGAGAAATGCAAAATACACTCAACAATACAAAGTCTCAACAATAGAATCGAACAAGTAGAAGAACTTCAGAGCTCGAAGACAAGGCTTTTGAATTAATGCAATCCAAGAAAGACAAAGAAAAAAGAATCAAAAAAAAAAAAAAAAGAACAAAGCCTCCAAGAAGTTTGAGATTATGTTAAATGACCAAACCTAAAGATTAATTGGTGTTCCTGAGGAAGAAGAGAAACCTAAAAGTTTGGAAAACATACCTGAGGGAATAATCAAGGAAAACCTCCCTGGCCTTGCTAGAGATCTAAACATCCAACTACAGGAAGCTCAAAGAACACCTGGGAAATTCATAGCAAAAAGATCATCACCTAGGCACTTTAGATCAGAATATATAATGTCAAAACGAAGGAAAGAATCTGAAGGACTGTGAGGCAAAAGCATCAGGTAACCTATGAAGGAAAACCTATCAGATTAAGAGCATATTTCTCAGCAGAAACCCTATAAGCTAGAAGGTATTGAGGTTTTATCTGTAGCCTCCTTAAATGAAATAATTATCAGCCAATAATTTTGTATCCAGTGAAACTAAGCTTCATAATGAAGGAAAAGATACAGTGTTTTTCAGACAAATGCTGTGAGAATTCACTACCACAAAGCCAGCACTACAAGAACTGCTAAAAGGAGCTCTAAATCTTGATAAAACCATCTGATTTTCGACAAACCTGACAAAACAAGCAATGGGGAAAGGATTCCCTATATAATAAATGGTGCTGGGAAAACAGGCTAGCCATAGGCAGAAAACTGAAACTGGACCCCTTCCTTACACCTTATACAAAAAATAACTCAAAATGGATTAAAGACATACATGTAAAACCCAAAACTGTAAAAACCCTGGAATAAAATCTAGGCAATATCATTCAGTACATAAGAATAGGCAAAGATTTCATGATGAAAATGCCAAAAGCAATTGCAACAAAAGCTAAAATTGACAAAAGGGATCTAATTAAACTAAAGAGCTTCTGCACAGCAAAAGAAACTTATCAGTAGAGTGAACAGGCAACCTACAGAATGGGAGAAAATTTTTGCAACCTACCCATCTGACAAAGGTCTAATATCCAGAATCTACAAGGAACTTAAACAAATTTGCAAGAAAAAAAAAAAAACAAAAAAACCCATCAAAAAGTGGGCAAAGAATATGAACAGGAACTTCTCAAAAGAAGACATTTATGCACCAACAAACATATGAAAAAAAGCTCAACATCACTGTTCATTAGAGAAATGCAAATCAAAACCACAATGAGATACCATCTCATGCCAGTCAGAATGGCAATTATTAAAAAGTCAAGAAACAACAGATGCTGGTGAGGCTGTGGAGAAATAGGAATACTTTCACACTGTTGGTGGGAATGTAAATTCGTTAAACACCGTGGGAGACAGTGTGGTGATTTCCCAAGGATCTAGAAGCAGAAATACCATTTGACCCAGCAATCCCATTACTGGGTTTATACCCAAAGGAATATAAATCATCCTACCATAAAGATACCTGCACATGTATGTTTACTGCAGCACTATTTACAATAGCAAATACATGGAACCAACCCAAATGCCCATCAATGATAGACTGGATAAAGATAATATGGTATCTATACACCATGGAATACTATGCAGTCATAAAAAGTAATGAGATCATGTCGTTTGCAGGGACATGGATGAAGCTGGAAGCCAAACCAAACACCACGTGTTCTCACTCATAAGTGGGAGTTGAACAATGGGAACACATGGAAACAGGGAGGGGAACAACACACACCGTGGCCTGTCATGGGTAGGGAGCTAAGGCGAAGGAAAGCACCAGGACAAATAGTTAATGCATGCGAGGCTTAAAACCTACGTAACAGGTTGATAGATGCAGCAAACCACCATGGCACACGTATACCTATGTAACAAACCTGCATGTTCTGCACATGTATCTTGGAACTTAAAGTAAAATAAAAATTTAAAAATAAATAAATAAAATACCAAACACGATTTGTGCCACATCGTGTTTAATAAATGCTAGTCTGCTGCTCTCCATTTGAGTGTGAGGCAGATGATTTATTCATCTTTGTATTACCAACAGCACAGAATTTAATAAGTTGTAAAGTGCTCTCCATTTTTAAATATTTTTTCATATTCATTCCCTCCATACTCAACCCATCCCCCAACCATTCCTGCTTTCAATGTAACAGACAAAAACCCAGAAAATGTAGTAGAGTGTTGCTAAGCAGTCATAAAAAGTAATGAGATCATGTCCTTTGCAGGGACATGGATGAAGCTGGAAGCCAAGTGACTCTGGAAGATAATAATAAAAGGAATACATAGATAATGTCATCCTTGACATTAAAAGATGTTTACAGTGATGGTATAATGCCATGTGAGTGACAATATTAAATCTCATGGAATGGTTATACTTTCCAGATTACCAAAAAATAAAAACTGCTTTCTGTGTTGTAACACAGCCATTTTCTGCAATGCTCACTGATTCTACATCACGATTTGTTGTTATGAAAAGGCCAGTAAGTTACCCACAGTTATTTCCCAGCATTCTACAGCTATATCTGTGTATAAGCAGGTGGGGACATTGAGAGGGTGTGATACTGTAGTAGACCAGACCATAAGCAAACAGCATGCCACATAGAAGGTCAAAACACCTGCTTCATTGTCCCTAATGTGACTGCACACTTTGAGCAATACCTCTGTCTTAAAGAGATTTAGAAACACATCCCTAGTTGTCCAACAGACTCCCGAACATTGGGTGTGGGAAAAAGAAGCCAAAATTAAAAACATAAAACTGGAGATGAAAATTACATAAGGTTTCCTATCACTTCTCCCATTCTTAAAATTGTTCATAAGTGTGTAAGTTAAAAGATACCTTTTAAAAGTGCAGATGTTTTTCACTTTGCCCCGACCTGTGAATCAGACTTCTAATGTAAATACTTCTTCTCCTTCTGAAAAATCATACAAAAGCAAAAATGAGAATGTGTGATATCTCAAAACTCCATTTTCAGTGATATTAGGAAACATATAATATGTAAACTCCAAAATTTATGTGAGAGTTCCCAAAAGCACCTAAGCCAAAGCAGACGCTGCACAATAAGAAGTAATGAGAAAAGGCATGAGGTGTGGTAAAAGGCCCAGTAGTGGAAGATCATAGAAAATGCCAGTAGAAAGTACATTTTCTAAAGCTGAGGAACTCATCCTGAAGTAAGCTATGTCTCTTGTTTGTTACAATGAATGGAGGAACTGGGGTAGACAAGGCTGGTGGAAAAAGCCCTTTAGCACGCAATTTGATTTGGGATGGCAGAGGAAATGAGACTACACAAAAAAATATATAATTTAACTTTTAAAAATCACACAGATGAGATATATTTTTAGGAAGTAGATTTTCTGTAGTAGCAAAGACAAAAAAGCCCTTGGATTGTGCAGCCTGGAAGACTAGTCTAGGCATCTTTTACCTCCTTTCCACCATCATCAAGAAACAACTTATAAAGAGCTCATGCAGAAAAATAAAAGTGATTAAATATGAATAATAAAAAGATATAGGTAAAATACTGACACAAACTTACTAAAGAGGAATGAGTAGCAACAGACAAAAACTCTTACCGAAAAATGGTGCCAGGGGGCTGATCAAAATTGTGATCAAGCATTTTACTAGGATTTATATTCAATATTAATAAATTGGTAGGCCAAGGCGGGCAGATCACGAGGTCAGGAGATCGAGACCACCCTGGCTAACATGGTGAAACCCCGTCTCTACTAAAAATATAAAAAAAAATTTAGCCAGGCGTGATGGTGGGCGCCTGTAGTCCCAGCTACTCTGGAGGCTGAGGCAGGAGAATGGCGTTAACCCGGGAGGCGGAGCCTGCAGTGAGCCGAGATCATGCCACTGCACTCCAGCCTGTGCAACAGAGCGAGACTCCGTCTCAAAATAAAATAAAATAATAAAATAAAATAAAATAAAATAAAATAAAATAAAATAAAATAAAATAAAATAAATACCTCCTTGAATGGGAACCACAATGCAGAAATGCATAAATTCAAAAAAGAGATGATGAAATGACAGGAATATTATTCCCATGAGCTCTTTTTAAGGAAATTACTAAAATACAAACCATATAATATAAGTAAAGATACATTTAGCAGTACAAAGGAAATACTTTCTTAATTTTATTGACTAATATGAGACAACAGAGAGAAGAAACAAAGTTTTAGGAAATGGGATTATGCTGCTGTGGTGTGTCCCCTCCAAAACTCAGAAGTTCCTTAATGCTATCACCAAGTGTGATAGTATTAAGCAGTGGGGGCTTTAAGAAGCCATGAGAGCCCTCCCTCAGGAATGGGGTTAGATGTTTTTATAAAAAGGCCTGACAGAGAGAGTTCATTCCTTTTGTCCTTCCACCTTCTGTTATGTAAGGACACAGTGCTCCTGCTTTTGGAGGATGCAGCATACAAAACACCATCTTGGAGGCAGACAGCAGCCCTCACCAGACCACTGAACCTGCTGGTGGTTTGATCTTAGACTTTCCAGCTTCCAGAACTGTGAGAAATAAATTTCTGTGTTTATAAGCTACCCAGTCTATGGTATTTGGTTATAGCAGCTCAAACAGACTAACACAGCTTGTTTAGCTTAAAGCAACTTTTCTCAACCTAGACGCAAATGACACTTTGAGTTGATAATTCTTTTGGTGTAGAGAGCTGTCCTGTGCATTGTAGGATATTTAGCAGCTTCCTTGATTTCTACAACTAGATGCGAATAGCACCCTCTCTAGTTGTGACAATCAAAAATGTTTCCAGACTGTCAAATGTCCCCTGGAGGACAGCATTTCCTCCAGTTCAGAACCACTGCCCTAGTAGTAGAAGAGCCTATGTCTGTGGTGGAACAGCGCTGAATATCTCATGGGAAGTTAAGTAGCTAGTAAAGTATTTCTTATAGAACTTTAGTGTGAAAGCATTCCATGGAGATGCCTACAGCATTTATTCACTCAATTCAGTGTAATCATGATGTAGTGACAGTCCAAAGCTCTCACTAGGGACCCCTTTTCCTCATGCCTTTTAATCATGAGAATACCTAATCCCTCATATACAGGGCCCCCTACCTCAAGAAGGGTTTTTATTTAGAAACGCTTTTCTTATATTTTGTGTTTTTAGCCAGAGTGTTATTTTTCTTGATTATTCATTCCTTCTCTAAGATATTTACATATAACATAATCAACATTTCCACAACACTCCTAATCCAGCATCTGTAAACTGTTATGAGTAATAAGACAGTGATATTCTAATGAATGAATATATTTGCCCAAACCCTTCATTAACAAAGATAAGGCTTCACACTGTGGGGAAATAGACTTCCCTAAAACAGTCCAGTCAAGTCCCTAATCAAATACACAACCAAACAACAACAAAAAGTCCCACAGAGGGTAAAGGAATCAGCATCCAAAACTACTACAATATTTTATCTAAAATGTCCCATTTTGACAAAAAATTATGAGACATGCAAAGAAACAGGAAAGTGTGACTTACACATAAGGAAAAAGTGTGCAACAGAAACTGCCTGTAAAAAAAATCCAAAAGTTGGTTTAAGAGGCAAAGATTTTCAATGCAACCATTATAACTATGTTCAAAGATCTAAAGAAAAATATGTCTAAAAACTAAAGCAAAGGATGAGAATGATGTCCAACCAAACAGAAAATACCAATAAACAGAAAGTGTTCTAAAAACCAAGTAGGTATTCTGGAGTTGAAAAAGTGCCATAACTAAAATGAAAAATTCACTAGAAAGGCCCAACAACAGATTAAAATTGTCATAGGAAAGATTCAGAAACATTGAAAATACGTCAATTGAGATTATCTAGTATGAGAAACAGAAAGAAAAAAGAATGAAGAAAAATGAACAGAACCTCTGAGGTCTGTGGAACATCATTAAGTGTTCTAATACATGCATAATAGGAGTTCCAGATGGAAAGTTGAGAGAAAAAGGGATAGAAAGAATATGTGAAAAAATGATTGAAACTTCCCAAATTTGCTGAAAACATTTATCTACATATCTAAGAAGCTTGATGAACTCCAAGTAGGATAAACGCAAAGTGATCCATATCCAGACATGTCCTAGCAAAATTCTTGATGGCCAGTGACAAAGGGAATAGTACCCTGATGCCAAAACCAGAGATATCACAAGAAAAGAAAGCTACAGACCAATGTCTCTTATGAACATCGATGCAAAAACTTTCAGCAAAATAACAACCTGAATCCAGCATACAAAAGGGATTATATACCATGACCAAATGGAATTTATCCCAACAAGGTAAGGTTGGTTTAGCATCTGAAAATCAGCTAATGTAATATGTCAGGTCATTGAATTTTTTTAAATATTACTATTTTTATGCAGCTATTGATGGTTGCAGAAAAAGTACTTGACAAAAACCAAGACCCTTCATGATAAAAGCCCTCAAGCTAGAAATAGAAGGAAGCTTTCTCAATCTGATAAAGAGTATCTGTGAAAAACTCACAGTTTACATCATACTTAATGGCAAAAGACAATGCTTTCACCTTAACATCAGGAACAAGACAAAAATATCTGCTCCCACAACATCCATCTAACATTGTACTGAAGGTCAGAGCCAGTGTAATTAGATGAAAAATTAAATAAAAGACATCCGTACTGGGAAGGAAGAATTAAAATTATCTCTACTTGCAGATGGCATGATGTATATACAAAAAATCCTAAACAATTCACTAAAAAACTACTAGAACTAAGAAAAGTGTTTGATAAGTAGACAGACAAAAAATGAATACACAGTAACCAATTCTATCTCTATACACTTACAATGGGCAATCAAAAATGAAATAAAGAAGCAGAGCATCAAAAAGAAAAATACTTAATACATTGAACAAAAAGTGTAAAACTTATACTCTGAAAACTAAAAAGTACTGTTGAAAGAAACTGAAAAAGACATAAATAAATGGAAAGACATGCCATGTTCATAGATTAGAAGACTATTTGTCTAAGATGGCAATAAATATTCCCTAAATCGATCTACAAGATTCAATGTAATCTTCATTAAAGTCCCAGATGACTTCTTTGCAGAAATTGACAAACTGATTCTAAAAGTCAAGGGACTTAGAGTAGCCAAAACAACCTTTAAAAAGAACAAAGTAGGTGGAGCCAATTTCAAAAGTTTCTACAAAGCTATAGCCATCAATATAGCCTGGTACTACCACAAAGGTGTCATATAGTTCAATCAGATAGAATTTAGAGTCTAGACATAAACTCTCTGATTAACAGTCAGTTGATTTTCATATATATATATATATATATATATATATTTTTTTAACTTTAAGTTCTGGGATACATGTGCAGAATGTACAGGTTTGCTACATAGGTATATGTGTGCCATGGTGGTTTGCTGCACCTATTGACCTGTCTTCTAAGTTCCCTCAGCCAATTGATTTCAATGAGTCTATCAATGCCAAAATTTGACAAAGATATGGACCAATAGGTTCTCACACCTACTGCTGAGATTATAGTTTGGTACAATTATGTTGGAAAACTGTTTACATTATCTAATAAAGTTGAAGATGACACATTCTACAACCCAGTGATTCTCCTCTTAAGTATATTTCAAAAAAATGTCTAGCAAGAGATTGTTTTTGCAAATAGAGACCTGAAAAAATGCTCAGGAGAGCACAGTCCACAGTTTAAAGAGAAACACTGGAAGCACTTCAAATGTCGATTAGCAGTGGAATGAATAAATAAGTGATTTATTCATGCAATGTATTCATGTGTGCAATGTAAAACTACAGTTTTATGTATCGACATGTGGGAAATGCAAAATGATGATGTTGAGTGAAAGAAGCAAATCACAGAAGCATATATTTAGTATGGGTCTACTTACATAAAGTTCAAAGCAGACAATACCCAATATTACTTAGGGATATTGGTATATTACTTGGGGAATATATCTATATATAAATATAGATATATTACTTAGGGAATTATTTATGCATTATAAAATATAAAGAAAAGCAATGAAATGATAACCACAAAATCCAATGGATTGGGTTCTCTGAGGCAAGGAAGGAATGGGATTTTTTAAAAAGCATCATTAGGAACTTTTAAGGTTCTGAAAATGATTTTTCCTTAAACTGGGTAATGGGCAATAGTTTTCATTACATCATTCTTTTAAGCATACATGTATATGTTGTCCATACTAAATCACAAGATTTAATTTCAGCTTCACTGAAAATTACACTAAACTTCTCGCTTTGAAGACCGGAATGTCAAAATTTGAAAGAACATTGGTCCATGAGAACAGAAAATGCCGCAGATTTAATGAGAAGGAGTTTGGAGACAAGGAGACCAAACAGAAGTAACTTGCTGCCTTAGTTCCCTCCTCTCATTCCACTCCCACATGTTAAGTGAGCAAATTAAAGACAAACAAAATCACTCCCACTAAAAAAGATAAATAATAATTAGAAATAAACAGCATGGGTCATTGCATAAACATTCCAATAAAAATTGGAAGAGCTATAAGAGCAAAAAGCAGGTAAAATACAATTCAGAAAAAGATTTACTCTAGAAAACAGGTGAAAAATCTTCCTGACACATTACTCTTTATTTTCAAATAAAGAAGACAAAAACTCCTTGAATAAAAACAATTCAAAGAAGAAATAAGAAGCAAAAGAAAATATAAGACAACAAAAAGACATGGAGAGTTTACTGTCAGTGATTTGGGGGAAAAAGATAATGGCTTAGAGATTGATAGAATAGGATATTCATAATTCTTGAAGAAAGTTTGAGTTCAAATCTCAGCACTATCATCTACAGTCGTATGAACACTGAGCAAGTGAAATCCCTCTCTGAGCCTGTTTTCTCATCTATAAAATCAGGACAAAATTTATTTCAATGGGTTTTTAAGTATTAAGTATTAAAGGAATAACCTAGTCTAATAATAGCCTCACAGAATTCACTCAATAAATGTCTCTCCTTTGATTCATCCGTTTATCTCTGTTTATCCCTGTCTTTGTCCTCTCCATCTGTCTGTCAGTCTCTTACTTAATTTTTCTCTTTAATAAAAACTACAACTAATTCTTGGTTATTTATGCTAATAGAAAACAAATGAATAGGAAGAAGAATTTAAATCTGCAAAGTAGTCAAAAGACTCCCTCAACTATTAACTTCAATCAACTTTTCTAGCTAGAATTTTTCTACAGTTTATTGCAGAGTCTATGCTGATGTACTAAATTTGGATATTCTACAAAGCCAATAAAAGAAAAAAAGAAAGAAAGAAAGAAAGAAAGAGAAAAGAAAGGGAAGGAAGAAGGAAGGAAGGAAGAAAGGAAAGAAAGAAAGAAAGAAAGAAAGAAAGAAAGAAAGAAAGAAAGAAAGAAAGAAAGAAAGAAAGAAAAAGAGAAAGAAAAAGAAAGAGAAAGAGCATAAATGTGAGCTCAGGTATTTGATTAATGAGAAAATATTATTCTAAAATAATTCAGTAAATGTGACCCATTTGTACTAGCTCCAATCAAAGCACTAATAATGTAAAGAGATGAACAAAGAAGGAAGAGGGTATAAAACATCCTGATGAATTATTCTACAGAATGGACCATTGATTGAATTGCTCGGGTCATTCATTCCTTGTTATTATCTCAACCAGTGCTATCCAGTAGAACATTATGCAATAAAGGAAATATTCTGTATCTGTGCTATCCAATATGGTAGCCAAATAGTCACATGTGGCTATTGAGCACCAGCAGTATTATTACTATAACCAAGGCACTGAAATTTTAACTTTACT
Source organism: Homo sapiens (assembly GCF_000001405.40). NCBI lineage: Eukaryota > Metazoa > Chordata > Mammalia > Primates > Hominidae > Homo > Homo sapiens. Next base: position 34,164,002 of record NC_000003.12, on the reverse strand, counting down.
TAATTTTGCTTTGTTGAAATGTTAATATAAATAGCCACATGTGGCTAGTGGCTATTATTTTGGACAGTGCAGATCTGTACTAATTAAGTCATATCATCTGGTAAGAAGAAATAACTTCATTTAGATTCATTTTCTTCATCTTAAACAAGTCTCTTGTCATTAATGATTATGTCCCTTCATATAGTGACCAATTCACAATAGTAGCAGATCTCACTTTCCATTAATCTCTCTTCTCCTGATCATACCATCATGGAGGGACAAATAACCCTGAAATAGTTAAAGATATAGTGTCATCAATGAGCAAGGCTAGACTATTGGTGAAGCAACATGCTCAATAGATTTTTTGTCCATATTTTGCACTATATAATAAAAGACATCCTCAGGCTTATTCTCTCCACAGCCCCACAAGGTGTTTCCAATGCTGTTTCTCATAATATTCCTCAACTTAGGCTCATGATTCCCTTATAGTACAAATCTTTGAGGACTCCATTATTATTCAGTCCAGATTCATAGCTCTCTTGGGTCTGGAAGGAAATATTTACATTTCAAAAGAAAAAATTAATTGCATATCCTTTATGAAATACATGCTGAATATTGCTTTTCTCAGTTATGATTTTAATAACTATTGGACAGCTATAAATTCCAGAGTGCACTCCTGGAAAGTACTTGAACACAGGCAACTATGTGACCATGTGAGTGAAGAGCATGTGGCCCTGCACAGGTAGTCAAATTCAAAATAGGAACCTATTGGGAAACTTAAGGACCCTAGCAAGAACTTGTGGCCTGAAGGGAATACCCCATGTCTTCTAGGAGGTAAATAGCACTGATTGCCTTCCCTACCCTGACTTAATGTTACTTTATACAGCTTCTGACCTCCAAAATATTTTCACAACGCTTTTGAACAGTGGGGTGTGTTACCCATTTATGGCTTTTGGTGGTAAATCACCCTTTGCTGTGTGAATATTTTATTATGGGGTTTAGAGCAAACGTCCCATAAACAAGAGACCATCTTATTCTGTTTATTCATGGTGCCTAACACCCCCCCGTGTATATAGTGAGTGCTCATTAGATATATGTCAATTACATAAAGAACAACCATAATTGGGATAAGCAGAATTCCAACCATGCCATATTACCTTTGGATGATTTAAAAGAAATTGTTAAAATATGTTTAAAAATAATAAGGCTTAGTTTACATGGGTCCTTCAAATTATTGCCATCCTTAATGAAAATGATACATCAGAAACACAGCTTCTCTCCCAGGAAATATTTCTTCCTGTGTTTCCTCTTGACCAAAATAAAATGCCATGTCAGGCTCTCCCTCTATATTTCATTTCTTCTCTAATTCTTATTTACAGAAATAGTTTCACAAATTTGTCTTATATTAACTTTCTTTCCCTATAAACAATCTCTAGCCAATGAGTTTCCTAATTTTATTTCAAAGCTGACTGTCAGGTCAGACTGTTCAGAGAAGCTTGATGTGCCTATAGTTGACATACACGATGACTACGAGAAGATAGCATCAGACTTTGGAATTTGTGTAAAACCCGAGATTTATACTAATGGAGGAGACTGGCAATGGACATAAGTATCTAATTATCTTGAGTTTTCCACATTCTGGACACTAAAGAGGGCTTATGGGGATCCAATTAAGGTTACTAGAGTGTATATTTTTATAACAGTAGTTTAAAGAATTAAATGACTCTTAAAAAGGAGTAAGAACTATGTGGAGTTTAGGAAAAGTGGCACCAAAGAACAATAATGTTGTAGCAGTTTTCTACCATATGAGAATGTTCTGGTCACTAAAGTGGCACACTCTCTTCTGTGAACTGGAGAAAGTACCCACATGGTCACCTAATTCCATTTCTTCTGAGTCTATTCACTAATCAAACTTAGGTTACAGAGTCTATAGCACAATTACCTTAGTACCAAGAAAAACGTTCTTTGGTGGTGGGCACCATTATTATGTTCACAGGAAATAAAAGCTTTGTTTGTAAATTAATAAATAAATAGTCTATTCTAAATATTAGTCAGTTCCCTGAGGCTCATCAGATCTAGCGCACTGACAAGTTTAGTTTGTGGATTCAGAAAGAAAAGACCCTTGGATTGTGCATTGACATTGTAAACCCTCTCTAAGAAGTCAGGCTGTCTCTTTTTAATATCTCCAACTCATTATCTTTATTCTCAACATTCTATGTCTGAAAACACCTTGACAAGTCCCATTCTTTTCACTACATTTGTGAATGTATTCTTTTCTCGCTAAAAGCCAGAGAAGCTATGGAAGATGGGCATTTGCCAACTGCCAAAATATGTGAAGCTGAAACTTCTCATTTCTTGACTTGTGGATAACTCCTTTGTTTTACCTCTTATATTGGTGTTGAAGCAAAGCATCTTCTACATCAAATTCATTAACCCTACAGAGTTCTGACTAATGTAAAGAGAATACATTTAGAAGATAAACAGATGTGGTTTGAATTTTAGATCCATCATTTGCATTCACTTGCCATTTGAGATTAGACAAATCCTTAACCTCTCTTACCCTCAAAGTCTTCATCTGTGAAAATAATAATACTTATATCACAAGATTAGGAGTATTTAAGGAGTCTATATATATTTAAGTATCTGGAACTTAATGGGTATTCAAAAGTATTCATTTTCTTTTCCTCAGTATAATTTTCTCTGGCTAATAGCTTTGGCATTCAGTAGCATTTGCAGGACCCATAATATCTTAGTGAAAGAGATCATTCCAATTACTATTCCAGCCACTTTTTTCTGAAATTGCCAAGCCATAGTTTATCATCCTATGTCCAATATTAGTTATATCCTTATTACCAGCTGTAATTACAAATGCATGAGTTATATTGTTATTTATAATAAAACTATTTTTCTACAGTCTTTTAAGGGACACTTTGATTTATTACATGCATAGTCTGTGTTTGGACATCTAATACGTGGCTTAGCACAAAGCTAATCCTCTTTCTAATAATTACCATAATAAAGTTGTTAATATCAACAAAATTTACAGGTAGTTGAATATACACTCATATATCACATGACAACATTTTGGTCAAAGACGGACCACACATATATGACAGTGGATAAAATTATGATACTATACTTTTACTGCACTTTTTCTATGTTTGTATATGTTTAGATACACAAATACTTACATTGTGTTTTAATTGCTTGCCTACAGTATTCAGGACAGTAATATGCTGTACAGGTTTGTAGCCTAGGAGCAATAATAGGCTCTACCATATAGCCTGGGTGTGTATTAGGCTACACTATCTAGGTTTGTGTAAGTACATTCTATGATGTCCAGACAAGGATGAAATTACCTAATGATGCATTTCTCTGAACATACTCCCAACATTAAGCAATGCAGGCTGCATATAGTTAAGCCGAAGAGGAAACAAGGGATTTGGCCATTTATGTATATTTATTACAATATTTCCCTTACTGGTTGGTTCCACCTGAAATCTGTTCTATAGCACTGATCCCGGATAGTCTATGCCCAAGTTTTGGATTCCAATTCTAGCTTTTGATTTACAGCCTGTGTCTTTGAACAGAAAAGACTGTATAGAGCAAAATGCATAATAATGCAGACATGCAGATAAGCACAAGCCCAAGATCCAGGGGAAAAGTGGGTTAGAATGGAAAGAAATTGTATTCTGGGGAAACAAGAACATTTCTTGCATTCACTGTTGATTTCGTCAAACCCTGTCCTATCCTTGCTACCAGCTATGTTACCTCTGAGTAAGGCACCAGGATTTGTGGGGAAAGCCAGTAAACATTTTACAAGGTAGTAAAAATACTGGCAGGCCAAAGAATTATTTAATCTATCTGGAAGGCAAAAGAGTCAGACTCAAAGATTTTGAGTGATTTGGCTAAGTCAGTTTTGCACCAGTATCCAAAAAAGATGTAAATAGGAACATTAATCACAAGTATGCACAACCTTAAAAGAAAAAAACTAACCTATATTCAGTTAAACCTCTCCTGACTCTTGCCACTCAGAGATTCAGTTAAACTTCTCTTGACTGCCAATTCCATTGACTGTTAACAGTCTTCCCACAACATCTGCAAGTTCAAAGATTCATTTCCTCCTGCTTCTATTGCCACTGAATTTCTGTCTTCTTTATTTCTTTTTATTGAGAGGCAGGGTCTCATTCTGTTGCCCAGGCTAGTGTGCAGTGACATGATCACAGCTCACTATAAACTCGAACTCCTGGGCTCAAGCAATCCTCCTGCCTCAGCTTCCTGTGTAGCTGGGAACACACATGCATGCATCTATATTCAGATTATTTCATTTTATTTTATTTTATTTTATGTTCTCGTAGAAACAAAGTCTGGCTATGTTACACAGGCTGTTCTTGACCTCCACGCCTCAAATAATCCTCCCACCTTGGCCTCCCAAAGTGCTCGGATTACAGGTGTGAACCGCTATGCCTGGCCCTTGCTTGTCTTTAATTCCACAGCACCCTCAGTCCCTTTACCAGTTTCCAAAAGAAAGACACCACTAAAACAGCACATTTCTTGAATTGGAGAGACTTCCCGAAGACCAGGGGTGACACATGGAGAGAGGTTACCTCAGAGAGCTCACATCCTCCCACAGTCTCCTGGTTGATCTCTCAACATCTCTGAACAACCAACAGAATCTCTTGTATCACCCAGATGAAATCGATTTAGAATATACCCTAATTCCTTGGGGCAAAGGAAAAGGGAGAGCATAGTACCACTCTAAACTCATAAAAATCCTTTCCTTCAGAGACACCTTTCACTTTCTCTGGAGAGTTCCAGTGAACATCATTTTCTCTGGCTCATTACGTGTGATATTCAAAATGGTGGTCTCGGCCAGGAGCGGTGGCTCACGCCTGTAATCTCAGCACTTTGGGAGGCCAAGGTGGGTGGATCACGAGGTCAGGAGTTTCAGACCAGCCTGGCCAAGATGGTGAAACCCCACCTCTGCTAAAAATACAAAAATCAGCCAGGCGCGGTGGTGGGCGCCTGTAATCTCAGCTACTCGGGAGGCTGAGGCAGGAGAATCACTTGAACAAGGGAGGCAGAGGTTGCAGTGAGCAAAAAAAAAAAAAAAGTCAGGAAACAACAGATGCTGGAGAGGATGTGGAGAAATAGGAACGCTTTTACACTGTTGGTGGGAGTGTAAATTAGCTCAACCATTGTGGAAGACAGTGTGGCGATTCTTCAAGGATCTAGAACCAGAAATACCACTTGACCCAGCAATCGCATTACTGGGTATATACCCAAAGGATTATAAATCGTGCTACTATAAAGACACATGCACACGTATGTTTTTTTTTTCTTTTGTTTGTTTTTTTGTTTTGAGATGGAGTCTTGCTCTGTCGCACAGGCTGGAGTGCAGTGGCGCGATCTCGGCTCACTGCAAGCTCCACCTCCTGGGTTGATGCCATTCTCCTGCCTCAACCCCCGAGTAGCTGGGACTACAGGCGCCACCACGCCTGGCTAATTTTTTTTGTATTTTTAGTAGAGACGGGGTTTCACCGTGTTAGCCAGGATGGTCTCGATCTCCTGACCTTGTGATCCGCCCATTGCAGCACTGTTCACAATAGCAAAGACTTGGAACCAACCCAAATGCCCACCAATGATAGACTGGATGAAGAGAGTCTGGCACATATATACCACGGAATACTATGCAACCATAAAAAAGGATGAGTTCATGTCCTTTGCAGGGATGTGGATGAAGCTGGAAACCATCATTCTCAGCAAACTAACACAGGAACAGAAAACCAAATACCACATGTTCTCACTCATAAGTAGGAGTTGAACAGTGAGAACACATGGACACAGGGAGGGGAACATCACACACCGGGGCCTGTCGGTGGGTGGGGGCTAGGGGAGTGATAGCATTAGGATAAATACCTAATGTAGATGACTGGTTGATGGGTGCAGCAAACCACCATGGCACATGTATCCCTATATAACAAACCTGCACTTTCTGCACATGTATCCCAGAACTTAAAGTATAATAAAAATAAATAAATAAATAAAGTAAATTTTAATTAAGTAAAAAAAATTGGTGGTCTTAATCAGAGACACAAACTAACATTTGTGAGTGTTTATTATGTGCCACTTATTTTATGTTTACCACCTACATTCCTCACAAAGCTGACCCCATGCCATCTACATCATATAAAATAGGAAACTAAGGTTCAAAAAGGTTCAATTACACTCCAGGTGTCACAGCAAGTAAATGATGGAACTGAGTTTCTAACTTAACTAGATTGACAACAAAACCTAAGCTCAGCTCCCCAACCTCTAACTTCCTCCACACTTACCCTCTCATCAAAAAGGAGTCACTCACCCAGTTCTAAGTTAATGCCTCAGGCTGTGAAATACCCTGAGCTGCTGGAAAGGTAACAAATGAAGTCCAAACTATAGCAAAGGAGAGAGCCCCTTTCAGCTTTCTTTTCTCTCATCATGGAGAAATCCCAAATTCCAAGTGCTTCTGAGCAACATTGATATTGTCTTGTGAAAGGTTTGCAGAATACTCCAGCAAAGAATGCCAGAAATAGCCTAAGCTACTGATTCTAACAATTGTTAACAAAAAGCAACTTGATTTTTTAAAAAGCAGTAACAAAAAGCAAGGCAGTTATTTTTTACCTTTTGCTTGAAGGCAAAAAAAAAAAAAAAAAAAAAGCTTCATTCCTGAACACACTATTTTAAGTTTCTATTTTATTTCCTCCATTTTAGAGAAGCCAAAGCAACAGGCTAACCAGCCCATTTTTATTCCACATTTATGCTGACATTTTGCATTTACAAAAAAGCATAGGGAATATATTTACAAATTCAACAGTGAGGGAAGGAAAAACTTTTCAAGTTTGGCCTAACCTAGTTTCCACAGCATTTTTAAATATTTCTTTTGTCAGAGGAGCAGATGTTGCAACCCTGTACAAAATCTGAGAAGGCAACAGCCTGCTCCCTTTTGAAAGCATCTAATCTCAAAATCCCATTGTCGAGTTCTGTGGGATTTCCCTGTGTGTTCGTGTGTGTTCTCCCACTGAATTCCTTTATGTGTGCACGTGCGTGTGTGTGTGTGTGTGTTGAAGGAGCGGGAGAGAAGTGAAAACATTTCCTATTAAAAAGTGACTGAGATGTGCAACAGACAAGGAGTTGCAACAACCAACAGCCAGCCTGAACCACTGAGGTACTATCACTGGACGGTGATGCAATGTAATTTTTACAACAGAAGTAAGAAAACTGTAAAGATCCATCAACAAGGGAAGCAATAAACTACAGACAATCAGACAATGAATCTTATGCAATCAGTACAAATAAATTAGGGCTTTATACAGAGGCACAAAACAATTTCAACAATAGTTGGGTTAAAGAAAGTTATAGAATAATATAGATAGTATAATCCCATTATGTTAATATATATATTATATATATTTGTGAATTTTATTATAATAATTATGCATCACATTATATTATATACAAATGAGTCATATGATTTACACTCAATAAAGGAAGTTTGAAAGTTGTTAACAGCATGTGTCATTGGATGGCATTATAGATGTTTTTTGCTTTCTTCTTTGAGTATGTCTGTATTTTCAGTTCATGATATAATGAATATGCATTACCACTTTTAAAAGATATTTTTCCAGCCTGGCCAACATGGCAAAACCCCATCTCTACAAAAAAAAAGTACAAAAAAATTAGTCAGGCATGGTGGCTACCCAGGAGGCTGAGGTGGGAGGATCACTTGAGCCCAGGAGGTCGAGGCTGCAGTAAGCCATAATTATGTCAGTGCATTCCCACCTGGGTGAAAGAATGAGACCTTTTCTCAAAAATTTTTAAAAATAATAAATAAATAATATTTTAAAAGTTATTTTTAAATGAACATAGATGCACATGGGAAGAATTCTTCGGTATTCCAGCAGCATCCAGAATTGAGAGCACATTCTTCAAGGTGTTTTTGACAAACCTGAGTGTCTGTGGGAGGAGATTTCCACACTAGGCAGAAACCCTCCTCAGGTCTCTCAGATCATCCAACCAATTAGGGCCAGTGTCACTTTGATACCCATGGTTAGTGTTTCTGCACAGCTAACAGCAAGCATGAGCTTCAATGGGTAGGGAGAGCAGCGGGCTGGAACTCAAATGACTTTCAGGCACCCATATAGGTTTTGTAACTGAGAATGAAGCTCAACCTCCTAGACAAGAAGTACACATCCTGTCCACGTTGTTCCACTTATCTATTGCAGTATAATGAAGCACCACAAACTTAGTGGCCTAACACAACAATCATTTTATTAGCTCACAGATGCTGTGGGTCAGGACTTAAAGCAGAATATAGCAGGAATGGCTTTTCTCTGTTCCACAGTGTCTGGAGTCTCAGCAGGGGAGACTACAACAACTGGGGGCTGACACATCTGCAGGCCTCTTCAGTCCCATGCCTGGTACTTGGGCTGAGATGACTTGAAGACTGGGCTCCACCAGTGCTGTCAACTGAAGCACTCATATGTGGTCTCTCCATGTGGCTTGCACTTCTCACAGCATGATGACTGGAGTTCACAAGTGTTACAAGACTGAGCATTCCAAGAGAAGCAAGTAAACACTGCATGGTCTTTTGTGACTTAGTCTTAGCACTCACATAGTGTCACTTCCATCATACTCTATTGGTCAAAGTAGTTACAAGTCTGTCTAGAGTCAAGGAGTGAGAACATCAACGCCACCTCTTGATGGGACAGTGTCAACACACTTGTGGCCATTTTTTTTTCTAAACTACCATACACATTTATCAAGTTTCTGCTCCATAACAGCCACTGGAACTGTAGCTTCAAAAAACAAAAAACAGTATTGGGGATCAGAAGGGCTTGATAGCCCCCTTTCCTGATTTCTCCAATAAATCTAATCTCCAGTAACTCTGTATCAGTTATCAATTCCATTTCTCCCTCAGCAAAATAGAAATAGTAATGTTAGGTTGAAACATATAAAATTGCTAATACTTGACCACTTCTAACCTTAAAAAAATTGCAATTTATTTAATCATGTTTGACTTATGCACTTCATAAAAATGTGAGTCGAAAAAGTGATCAAAGATAAACGGTTCTTAAGTGGCAAAAGTATTTAATACTTCTTATTTTCTGAGCTTTCTTTTACAGGCCTTTGTAATGTATCTACTAATTTAAAGAGGAATTTATATTCCCCACTGGCTTTTTTAAAATTACATAACCAATGTCTAGTCTATTGCCGGGATATGTATTCTGTGATTATGATTCTACTCCCCTCATCCTGTGGAATGTCTTTGCTAAAACCTTCTTGGAGTTTCATTTATGATACTATAACAATGTTTACTTTTTACTAACCAAATCCTGAATTCTTGTCAATTTTACATTATGTTTGAATAATGTTCTGTCAAATGTTACATGATACTAGTATGTAGTGTCCTCAGTATTCAACGGGTTACTTCCTTTACTTATTAAACCACATTGGTGGTCATTAAGCACCATCTATACTTACAATCAACCAAGTTCTCTATTGTTATAGATACATAACCACTGAAATAAGTTTGTGTACAGAAATAATAACATATAATAGAATAGAAAAAGAGAGGCAAGAAGTTCTTTTCTGGCCAAAACTAGAAGAGCAAGAGAGGTGAAACGAGGCAAATTACTAAAAGGTAATTTTGTCACAAAATGGAACTGCAAAATAATGAGACTTCATTTCCTGAATGGCCCTAGAAACTGGGTCTAGTGATGAATCCCAAGACTTGGGATTTCCAGACATGTTTTGAACAATAAACTGAGCAACTTCTCAAAAGCAATTTTTCAAAAGGCACAAGCCAATATTGTTAATATTTGGTTTCTTCATTATCCTGTATAACTCTAAATCAGCCTTATTACTCCACTGGTAGGGCAGCTAGTATCCATGTGCAAAATAATAGAAGTCTAAACAAAGCCAATTAACACAGCAACTAAAACAGTGCATATACCAGGGAAGCTGCGAAAAACAAGAAAGAATCCCATCCTTGGATCTGAAGATCCAAAATTGAACTTACTAGTCAGGTGACCAACTCATCCCATTTTGCCCAGAACTGTCTTCAGTTCATCAGCCTACTTATAGACAACTTCGGATAAACCATTTTTCCTTCATGCAATTCAATTTCTTCAAATGTAAAATGATTTAAAAATAAAATCTAATTTGTAGACTTGCTGTGAAAACAATGGAAATAAAGTCTCAAAGCACATTTTTCACTGTCTACAAGCCTTTTGTTACCTGACCCAAGGGTATCTATACAGTTGCCCAGCCCTCTAGTAACCTCATGGTGTGGGCCCTAGACTTTTCATATAAAAAAATTCATAATTAAGAAAAGGATGTTGTTGCCTCTCCTTCTTCCAGAGACCCCTGAATGCTGCCCCAAATCAGAGGAGCCCATAAAACCCAGATCCTAGGAAAGGTGACTTAATGTAATCCCACGTTTTTAAAAAATGTGTCTTAAGAGGACTTGCTTTGTGTTTCTCTTGCCAGATGAGAATCTCAATCATCCTTCATTTTAGAACTACACCCACCTTTCCTCCCACTCAAACAAGAAGCAATAGGAGGAGAGGCAGAGGGAGAAAGTATAAAAACTCCGTCTTCAGCAAATTTTGGAAATATTTTCTTTCAAAGATGTATCAGACACATTTCCTTTTCCTAATGCAAATTAGCAATAGAAGAAGAAAGAAAATGCTTTCAGACTATTACACTAATAAAGAAGACATTAAGCCACTACAGTCAGAAAGCTAAGCAGTAATAATAATGGAATTTTTCCAGCCTATCATTTAATTAAAAGTTGCCAAAATTAGCATATGTGCCCCTCTCTGGGTTCAGTGGCAGTAAGCCCCTCCCTCATTCTTCCCCCACCTGCTGTCCCACCCCTACCATCCCCTCCCACTGTGCCCCCTTTCCTTGTCTCTCCCCAGGTACCTTTTCTTCTCTCCCTGCACCTTTCTCACACCTGGAGACCACAAGGATATGCAGGTCCAAGTGAGCTGAGAAAATGAAAATTACCTTCCTAGAGAAAGGAAAGTGCATTTGACATCCCCCTTGTTCCAGGCCTTGAGAGACTCTGGTATAATTACCTCTGAGAGGCTGCAGGCAGATGGCAGCCTCGGCAGTCCCAGGTCCTCAGTCAGCAGGACACTGCCGAGATGCTCTCTGTGACATTTTGTTCAAGATGTTTCCAGCACACAAAGCCGAGAGCTGGCAAACCAGCAAAGGAGCCTGCAGAGCGTTCATTTAGCCTGGAATTATGGCCATCTCACACATCCACTCTGCAGGTCCCAGCCGCCATACCTCTGCCCAGTCCCATAGGCAAAGATCAGGGACATGACTGATGGCTGCGTACCTTACAGAGAAGCTGAAGTGTGAGCGCACAGGTGGGATGAAGGCACAGCAGAAAAATTGGTGGAGAGTGTGCTGTGCCTGACTCTGGTCCTCCTGAGACATCATTCTCCTCCATTTTCATCTGCGGGAGTCATATAGGATGTCAGTGGAAGCTGTGAACCTCTAGACAGACGTTTAGGATTACTATCAAAGGGAACAATGGAGGAGTAAAGTAGTATAGCCCCACCACCTCTGTAATGTCTCCCTCCCTTGAATTGCCATTTCGTCAACATCCCACCTTTCAGGAATTTCTCTGTCAGTATCCACAGTAGTCAGGGTAACACACTAGCTGCTATAACAAACAAATTCAAATCTCAGTAGCCTAACATAATGGAGGTTTATTTCTCGCTCAAGGCAAAGCCTCATGTGGTAGTCAGCTCTCCTTGGTGCCTCTCCTCCAAGAGGATCCAGCTGCTTCCACCTCAAACACATGGCCTCTGAGATCACTGCTGAAGGGGAAAGCAAGAGCATGAACAATTGCACAGAACTTATAGCCATGTCTGGAAGTGTCCCTTGGATGTGACAACACTAGGAAGTTGCCAGTTGCCTTGATAATAGTTACTGAAGCTGTGGGCGTTAGAAGCCAGATAGCAGTGTGCTGAGACTTCATGATTAGTATTTTAAAAGACAACTAAGAATTCATTAATTTGTTCTACTAATGAGGACTTTCTAATAATTGAGACAAAACTGAGCTTACTTTTTGTCAGCAAATCCCTCCTAGATGCAAATTGGAGTGTGAATCATACAGAACAGGGGGATGCTGGAATACTGAAGAGACCATCCCATTTTCAGCCAATTTCGGGATTCCTCAAACAGGAGATCCTGAAAGCTCAGGTTTAAGTCACACTGTATAACATTTGTCTCTGAGAAGAGTCAAGTTACAGAGTGAGCCTAGGTTCAAAGATGGCCTTGAAGGAAAGAGAAAGTCCCTAAAGGAAGAGTTGTAGTCACAGTGGAGGAGACATGGGTGATGAGTAGAGGCACAGCCCATCAGGCTCACAGTTGCAAGGATGGCATTAATAGGCCAACTTCACTGGTGTGTCTACAGCCTACAGACCTCCTTTGCCCCCACAGGCTGCCTCCCTGGGTCCCTGCCCAGCGGGGTTGAGAGAAGTATAGGAGTCAGAGCCCAGGGGTGGCAGTTGACTAGGGTAAATGGCAGATTAGCTCTGATTTCAGGCATCTCAGCAGCTTATTTATGTGCCAGCAATTAATAAATCGACTTAAAATTTCCCCTGTCTATAAGTTAAATAAAGCAATCTCCTTTTATATCTTTAGTCATTCAGCTGACATTCATTAAGCACAAACCAACCATGCACCAAGCTCCGTGCCAGGTGCTGGGTTGAATATTCAGTTCCTCCCAAAAGTTCCCAGGCTGGGACCTTATTTCAGGCTGCATTGAGTCATTTCATTAAACTGAAAGTGGGGGGAGGAACAGAACATAGGTACTGCCTCTAATTGCAATAGGAAAATAAAGCACTATTAATCACCGTGCTCAGAGAGGCAAAGCAAATTTCTCAAGGTCACACAACTGGGAAATGGCAGAGACAAAATGCACAGTGAAAATAAGAGAACTGAACTTTCAGAAATCCTTTTCATTTCAGACTTTATGGCATGTCAGACACATCTTCCTGCTGTGTGTCTACTCACTGTTTATTTGGCTGCATTTTGTTTTGGGTTTCTGGAGTTCTTCACAACACCCCCTTCAGTCCATATTTACTCCAACACACAGGTTTGTAATTTGAAACTTGCTCTCCTTCTGACAGAATGTCATGAAGGCTAACGAGATCATGTCTTCAAATGCTTTGATCATATAGAAGACAAACTCAAGCAGAAGTTCATATTGTTATAGTGATTATAATGATTATAATTTATACTATACAACATAATAATAAAAACATGTTGTATTTATAATGTGTAATTACAGACATTTTATCATTATTTTCTTCCTAGGCCTAATGATCATGATCATCATTATTAATAATGAACATAATAACCACAGGAAGACAATGAAAACAATGATCACAAACAGCTCAGTGCCAGTTTGGTGTTCTGTAGGGAAGAGTACTCCTTCCAGTCGTCTCTTGCTGGTCAGAATGACTTTGTTAGTTGTGAAGTGATAGCTTTAATTATAAATGACAAGTGGCATTATATCACAGAGGGAAAAAAGATGTTCAGGCCACCAACACATCACTGGAACAGTGCCTGCCCCCCACTCCCTGCACAATTGATACACAAATATTTATACGGCCACAACAACCAGTACAACCTCCAAGCAGGCACCATAATTTATCTGTTCATTAAAAAAAAAAAAAAAAAAAAAAAAAAAAAAAAGAGCTCTGCAGTAGGAAGGCCTGGGCCTGAGGTCCCTGCTCCCCAGTTGGTCTGGTTCCTGGGACCACCAGGGTGCTATTCTACTTTTATCCAGACTTGTGAGAAGACCTGGCATATCTTAGGTGTCATATGAGAGAGATACTTTAGGTTTCAACCAGCAGATAGTTAATATATGCCCATATATATTAGGGCCAGGAAAATGTTAGTTAAGTCTTGGGTACATTCACTGAGTTACAACTGAAGTCCACAAAGGAAATTTACAAGTCATCCAGGAGAGACCAGGATGGGTTTCTTTTGCTGGCAAATGCTACATAATGTCTAATCTGAGCAACACTAAGGCCATGGTGCCTTAGCTGATGAACTCTGTAGCACTTGAGACTTATTGCAGAACCAAAAGTGGGCATCTCCTCTACTCCCGCCCCACTTCAGCTGCTGAGAATCCTTCTCTCCCTCTTTGCTGAACAGACAAGTCACTCTGTACCTCCTACCAAAGAAGTAGAACAGGTGTGAACATTAAAGTGATTACCACCTTCTAGCTCTCCAAAGACATGTCTAACCATGTGGCAAGCTACAGAAAAGGGCAGTAAGACCATTTGTGAGAGGATGGAGAATCAGAGGATGGGGAGAAAGAAAGAGGCAGCCATGCCCAGTGAGAAGAGAAGCATCAACACAAATGCACAGTGACCCCTTGTTCCTGAACACAAACCATCAACCTCACAAATGCTGGAAGTGCACAAACAGAAGTGTCCTCGAAATTCATTCATTCATTCAACAAATATGCATTGACAGTACCAGGCACTGTGCTGGACCATTAGGATAAAGCAGCAGACCAGACACACAAGACCAGCCCCCAAGAAACTCACAGCCTAGAGAAGACTGGCAATAAATAAAGAAGTTATAAATTGTAATAAGTGATCTGAGAGAAGAGACTGAAACCCAACCCTGTAGAAAAACAAACAACCTGAGTATTGGGGGTTTAACTAGTACAGACACACTGTGCCTTAGTGATAGATATCCAAACCTCAATACTCTGAGTTCTGGGTGTCCTGTTTGCAAATAACAAGTCTTCTAAGTATAATTTTTGAAGTAAGTACCAGATGATGTTCAACAAACAAAACCAGCAACAATATCAGTCACAGTGAGCATCAAGCTGACCCCAATGTCTTAGACTTCATGTTGCAAATTGGTTTACTAGCACTGAGACTTAGGGCAGAACTGGTTCCTGGAAATAAGAAGCTGACATTTTTCCCATTCACTGAAGAATGTTTTTGTGCTTGTGAAAAGGCTGAACACTCTGCCATAGCAACAGTCTCATGCAATTTCAACACCCACTCCCCAAATTAACCCCAGAGTTTTGTTGATGATGCTGAAGGAAAACATGGTAGAGTCCACACTGAGACATAGATAAACAATCCCAGGGTTCAGGAGATGAAAAAATCATTGCTCTACTTTGCCATCCATTTGCCCTTCATCCCACACACAATCTACCTTATATGAGTATCCGAGAACTCTTTTATCTGCCTTCTCTTTCTCATTTTCATTCCTAGCCTCTAGCTGTTGTCCTCACCCCAGGTTCTTGGGTCCACTCTAATAAGTGTCTCCTGCCATTTTAAGGGGAGATGTAAAGTTTTCAGTGTCTTCAAAGTGGAACATCTACAAGCGCTTTCCCGTGGTAACGTTGATCCTTTGTTTAATATGATTTAGATGTATTACTATAAGTCTCTGCCTCCTTACTTTGTCTTCTAAGAATGAGGAGAGAAAGAAAATAAGACGAAGACAGAAAAAGAAACCTACCCTGCCACACTTGGTCTTGCAGAGCTACATGAGATTTTTTTTAACTGAAATTAATCACTAATGGGCCTCTTCAATGTGCCCATCTCCAAAAGTTGGAGAAGCTGGAGCCTACATACTCTTCAGTTTGCTAAATAGGCCCTCTGAGATAAGGCTATACCACTCTGAAAGTGTAGACCAGACACATATCTTTATTCTTCGGCGTTTCAGGGTTCAAATCCCAGTTATAGTTAAAGAGGATAAAATTAGTGGGGATTTGGAGGCCAGCATCTATGCTATTCTAAAATCTTAGGAAGGTGCCTGTCAAGCTCTGGTCTGAGAGAAATAGACATTTGAGTTCTTCAGAGGGAGAGAAGGAAGGTGTGTTATAGACTGCAGGCAGCCACTGTCCACCCAACTAATTATCTTCTTTCCACCTCTGGGTCTTTGATCATTGGTGGTCTTTTTGCTTGGACTCCTCTCATGTTTTCCCCATAAAACACCTAGCAACAATTTTAGGCTTGATTTAAAAGATCACTTCCTACAGGAAGTCTTCCCTAATAATTCCCTCATAAACTATATTATAATAGTAACACATATTGAGAGCTTACTGTGTGCCATGTATGTCATGTATTTTTTGCTCATTTGGTTCTCAAAACCACGTTATTAATAATATTATTGTTATCTTTCTCATTAATGCTATCTTTCAGATGAAGCTCAAGTAGGTAATTTTCCTAAGGTCACACAACCAGAAAATGGTGGAGTCACAGCCCTTTGCTATCTGTTATAACACTTGACAATCTGCCTTCTGTAATAGCTACTAGAGTAGATGGCTGTGTATCATACAAACTTGGAAATTTCTGCAGGAAATGCTTGACTTTTGATTCTGTGCTTTATAATTATTAATAACAACCCCACTTCCTGCTCTCACCCCAGTAGAAAACCTTTAATATAGTAAATGCTCAACAAATGTTGTTTTTCATTGAATTGAACTAACATTGAGCAACAAGAAACAGAGTGCTCAAGGATAGAGACGGATGCAGCCCTAGCATGAGTTTAGTCATTGCCTTGAAAGTATGGACTTGGATGGACAACATTTTTCAGTTATTCCACTGAAAAGATTAGGAAGACTGGCTTCCTAATCTCGTGATAATTTTGGAATCAGAGACTAGGCCATACTAGTCATCCAGCCCTGTGGAGACATACTCACAAATAAGAAGAGCCTAGATTGGCATCTAACTGGCTGTGGAAATGTGTATGTGACACCTGCATTCTTGATCCTCATTGCCCTGCCCCTCCTACCAGAAGAGCTAACTTACATAGCCTTGCTTCAATTGACTTTCTAAAAAATAAAATTGAAAATCTGGGCTCAAGTCTGGATTAGTGCTCTATTGCTTTGTAACAAATTACCACAAACTCAGTGGCTTTAAAAGATACCCATGTATTATCTCATAGTTTCTGTGGGTCAGTAGTCCAAGCACAGCTTAGCAAGATCTCTGATCAGGTCTCACAGAGCTGAAATCATGATGTTTACCTGGGCTTTGTCTCATCTGTGTGAACACAACATGGAAATAATCTGCTGCCAATCTCTTTTGGGTTGTTGACAGAAGTAATTTCCTTGTGGCTGTACTCATGGCAGCTTGCTTCTTTGAAGTAAGCAATGGAGAGAGAAAGAGTCTCTGTTGCTTGGAGTCTGCAACTTCAAAGAAGGCCTAAGCCCTCTTTTGAAGGGCTCACCCAATTTGGTCAGGCCCACTTATAATAATCTCCCTCAAAGTCAACTGATGTGGGACCTTAATTACATCTTCAAAACCCTGTCACTTTTGTCATGCAATGTTACATAATCATGGGAACAATTCTGTTAGAAGGAAGCCCCATGTTCTGCCTACACCCAAAAAAAGAGGATTATATAAGGCTTACCACCAGGGAGAGGAAATCACAGGGGCCATCTTAGAATCTGGCCTACAACTTTCCTCCATCTTCCCCCAGAATAGCTTCTGTTGCCTCAAAATAAGAGAATCCAGGCTCAAGTCTGGGTCAGGCTGACATAAACTTGTCTCCCTCAGGGACCTCAATTTCTAAGGTGAGATGTCTTCTAAATTATTGATTCTATCACTCAGGTACTAATTCTTCCCTTTGTTCATCATCAAGACACAAAATTGTTTATTTGGAGTCCTTATTTTCTTTTCCTTTTACTTTTCTTTGAAGATGTTCCCATTATTTCCCAATAATAATTCGAGTCAACTCTGGGTTTCCTCTCCCTCCCTCCTGTTGTTTCTAACACAATAACAATAATGACAATGACAGCACTGGGGATGACAATGTCAGACAGTTCTGACAGAAGGCAATCGTTCTCCCCCACCCCCTTTAAAGACTTCCACAATTGCACATCTGTCAGGGGCTGATGGGAAAACAAACCAAATTAAGTTTAATGTCAAGTTGTATCACCTCCTATTTGTGAACTCTTTCTATTTCTTTGTCTCAGAATCTGTTGAACGTGATGGACAGCAGCAAACCCCCGATTAGCATATTTCCCACTGCCATTTCAGGCAAATGAATCTTCCCTCACCAGGATTTGAGATTCCAGTCAGATTCTCAATTCCATCTGGCTAGTCATTCTCATTATTATGCAAATGTCAGCTTTACCTGAAGGCAAGAGCTTTCTTCTTAATATTTAAACTCCATCTCTTTTTCATTGATCTCTAAACAACAGCCCATCTTTGAACTTCCCTTGGAGAATTTTTAGGGATGAAATGTCCCCTGAGATTGTTTGGTTCCCTTTTTAAAAATAGACTAGGATGACTTGGAAAGTGGTGGATGTAAGTGCCCTTCCTCTGCTTCCAGAACAGGATTTTTGAGTGACTTTGGCTGAAGTCTGATAGACAGTACCCGCTGCTAGGGAAAGGCACTCAGGGGATAAACTGACTGGCAGAGATAGGAGAAAGTCAACATGTCAGGCAAGCCCCAGTTTTGAAGAGGGCCCGGGAACCAACAAGAGGACCTGACTGCCAAGGCAAACAGTCTGCATCAGGCTGGCAGCAAATGGACCTCAACCCTGGGAATCCAAGCCAGCAGGTAGGCAGGCTTGGAGACTGCTGGCTTGGGAACTAGAGGCAGGACTAGAGATGCTGGTTTCCTCAGTCACTATCTGGAGTGAAGAGTGCATTACCACATCATGGTCCCAGTTACCAGAAGCAGGGCCTGCCATGGCAATCTAGTGTCTAATGGATGCCAGTCATCCTCTCTACGAATCATTTTTTCTTCTGCCCAAGTCCCTCTTCTCAGAGTGTCTATTCCCTCAGCAGGTTTGTTGTCAACCTGAACACTTTTGTTTGTACTCATGTGGACACCTGACCAAAGCCAAACCAATCAGATTTTTGTTATATATAAAGTTTTGGTGCCGCAAAAGGAATAGCACTCGAATATAAAATTTTCTTTTTAATTCTCAGCAAGGTAAGTTACTTCTATAGAAGGGTGCGCCCTTACAGATGGATCAACGGTGAGCGCACACTTGGACAAGGGAGGGGAAGGGGTTCTTACCCCTGACTCACATGGCCCCTGCTGCTGTGTCGTTCCACTATTGGCTAGGGTTAGACTTTACAGGCTAAACTAATTCTGATTGGCTAATTTAAAGAGAGTGATGGGGTGAGTACCTTGGCGGGAAAAAAAAATGGTTATGCAGGGTGGAGAATGAGTCAGGGCGGAGCAGGTAGCAAGTAATCTGAATAAGTCAGGGTGGAGCAGGTAATCGGAATGAGGGTGGAGTAGGTAATCGAAAAAGGTTGCTTTACGAGGAAGTTAAGTTTAAAAGTAGAAGGCAAAGAATTGAACGTACTGACATATTGATTCTTTAAAGAGAAATTTAGAACTTATATCTAAAATTTCTAGCAGGAAATGTGAAATTATGGTTCAGAGATAGTTGGTCTCATTCTCTTTCTCTGTTTATCTACTTGTCTATCTTTCCCTTCTTCTCACCTCTCTCCAATCTCATCCTCACTGTTTGAAAAGAAAGTTTATATAAAAACTAACCAATAAGTCCATTTTTCAGCTAGTGTCTGTCGGCACCATAGGCCCTTGGTTCTCTAAAGTTCTTCTAAAAAATCACTGACATTAGGCAGATTGATTAATAGGAGAAAAGGCATACAAATTTATTTAACATGTATACACAGTAGCCATCAGAATGAAGACCCAGCCCAACAATATATATAAGCTTATATCCCATCTTAAGATTATAGAAAGAATGTGGACTCAGAGCATGCCCCAAAACAGGTTTTTATTGGTAAGACAGGTTATAGGAGAGAGAAAGTAAGGGGCTTGGCTGGCAAAGGTGGACTTGCTTTATAGATGAATCCTCCTTCAGAGGTAATAAATGGTAAGTGTATCTCTTTAGACTTGTAAAGTTTTCAGACTCTCAATCTCTCCTAGATCTGGGAAAGGCATAGAAAAGGCCAGGCTACATTCATGGAGATGTTCTACAAATGCACATTTTTCCCCACAAAAGACAGCTTGCAAAGCCACTTCTGTTTGCTGGCTCTCTGGCAGCCATTTCAAAATATGTCAAAGAAATGTACTTTGAGGTAAAATATCTTTATTTCCTTTATGCCTTCTTCTCTAAGAAAATATCTGCAGAGTGAGAGAGAAGCAACCACATGGAGAACTTGAAGGGTGGGGAGAATGACTGACAACTGTTGGCTAGCAAATCCCCACTTTATGGTTAGTTCTGGAATTGGAACCCAGAAACAGGGACCAT
Source organism: Homo sapiens (assembly GCF_000001405.40). Classification (NCBI taxonomy): domain Eukaryota; kingdom Metazoa; phylum Chordata; class Mammalia; order Primates; family Hominidae; genus Homo; species Homo sapiens. The sequence goes on along the minus strand of NC_000003.12, from coordinate 34,143,745 downwards.
TAGGAAGTCAGCAGAGAGCACTCATTATTCTAGAGTGCAGTCTTGATACCCAGCACCACTCTTCATCTTCCTAATTTCCCTCAAAAAATTGGCTCCAAGGGATCAAAGATCCAGTTCCTCAGAGTTTCAATGGCTGCTTCTAAATGTCATCAGTGACAGATTCTTCTCCTTCTACCCCACCTTTAGCTCCCTAAGACATTTTTGGAGACCGGCATAAAAATGGAAAGATAAAATTTTATTTTCATTTTCTAATTTATCTCCAATACAAATGTCAGCATTTTAAACTTTTTGTCAGAAGAAAGAAGTGTTTTCAACTGTTTGAAGTTACTTTGGACGTTTTTAACTTGTCAAACAGAACAATGTTAAACCATCACTTCCACCCATCTCAGCATGAGACATTATGAATACAGGAAGAACAAGGGGGAGAAGGACTACAAACAAGAAGCAGAAAGTTAGGGAGGAAAAAAAGCAACTTCTTACCTACCTGTGCATTTGTCTGAATTTACATTGTGTTACTATAACAGAATACCCAAGACTGAGCAATTTATAATAATAATAAAAAAAAAAAGGTTTATTTGGCTCGTGATTCTCCTAGCTGGAAGATTGGGCATCTGCATCTGGTGAGAGCCTCAGGCTGCTTCCACCCATGGCAGAAGGCAAAGGGGAGCCACATGTAGAGGTCACATGGTAAGAGAGAAAGCAAGAGAGAGGGGAGAGGTGCCAGGCTCTTTTAAACAGCCAGCTTTCAACAAGAACTGATAGAGTAAAAACTCACTCACCCTTGAGGGAAAGCATGAATCTATTCATGAGAGACCTGCCACCATGACCCAACCACCTCCCATTAGGCCCCACTTCCAACACTGGGAATCAAATTTCAACATGAGGTTTGGAGGGGACAAATATCCAAACCAAACCATAGCAATATCGTTCTTGGCTCTTGATGTACATTATTGTTTTAATCTTCTAAACATCCCTATAAGGTAGGTACTGAACACCAGAGGGATTATTTTGGACAAGCACAGGCTCTGAAAACAGATGGCTGAGGATTGAATACCAACTCTGCTATTTATTTAACAACTTTTTTCCTCACTTTCCTCATCTGTAAAATGGAGATGATACAGGTGAAACCTACATGAGTTAATACATGTAACACTCTTAGGATGGTGCCTCTCATAAAGTGGATGCCCAGTAAAACCTTGGCTATTACTATTACTACCATTTTACAATTGAAGAAAACTAAGGCACAGAAGAGTAAGTTTCTTACCAAGGGACACACGGCTACTAAACAATAGAGTCAGAAGTCTACACTATACTGTGCTCTATAACATCCATGCAGCTCTTGTTCCATCAGTGCTCTATTCTGGGCCTTAGGAAACTGGGAGACTCTCAAACTGTTCAAAAGAAAAGGAATAAAGAATTGAAGTGAATACAATCACCTGGACCTTCCATTATAAGGTCTTCTTCCTTTTTCTCTAGGAAGTCACCCCAAAATTAAAAATAGGAAACAGAACACCAAATTCCACCCACAACAAGCTAGAAGACTTTTGAAATTCTGAACCACAATAAAAGAGAAAGAGCTATGAAATCCAGTGTAGAAGTTCACAAGGACATCAGCAGGTGCAGATCTCAGACAAAGCTGTCAGAGCACAGTTGTCCAAACAAGATGGTACACTCTAGGGAGAAAAACACTCTCGCATTTGGAGCTACATTAGGGGCTCGGCAAGCTGTCAGCAAGAGTGTTTCAGGGGAAAGGGGCTCAACAAGGAAACACACAGAATTTGCAGGAAGCAAGCTGTTATGATATAAATGGAAGACAGAGAGTTTCTCAATTGCAAACAACGCTGCACTGACAATTTCTTTTGTGTGGGGATAACTAAAAGCTGAAATAACCCATTCAGTATCAAGTGGATATAACCCTACATTTCATTAGGCCAAACCTAATGAAAAATGTAAATTCATAAGAAACTTGCTTCATTCCAAGATGGTCTAATACAAGAGAACCAACACAGATTTATATAAAGAGACCACATGAAAATGGAAGAAAGACAGACACAGGAAAATATGTAAGAAATAAAAATATTGAGCAGAAAAAAAATTAAAAATTGTTGACAAAGAGCAGGAAAAAAAATTACTAACATCACCAAGCATTTAAAAGTTTATTTAAAAACAAAACTCAAAGCAGAAAAAACAACGGGAAAAATTTTATGACATTGGATTTGGCAAGACTTTCTTAGATATGACACCAAAAACACAGGCAATAAAAGAAAAAATAGACAAATTGAACTACATCAAAATTAAAACTTCTGTGCATCAAAGGATATCAACAGAGTGAAAAGGCATTCCAAAGAATGATAGAAAATATTTTCAAGCCATATATCTAATAACTGGTTAATATCCAGAATATATAAAGAACTCCTACTGCTCAACAACAACCACCTACAAAATGGGCAAGAGGCTTGAACAGAATTCCTCCAAAGAAAATATACGAACAGCCAATAAGCACATGAAAGATGCTCAATATCACTAATCATTAGAGAACTGCAAATGCAAATAAAAGCCACAATGAGGTAGCATTTCTCACACTTTAGAATGGCTATTTAAAAAAAAACAAAAAAAAAACAAAATAACAAGTGTTGACAAGGATGTAGAAAAATGAAAAATTGTACACTGCTGGTGGTGCTGTTAAATGGTATAACTGCTGTGGAAAGCAATATGGGGGTTCCTCAAAAAATTAAAAATAGAATTACCATATGATCCAGTAATTCCACATCTTAGTATATACAAACAAAAAAATGAAAGCAAGATCTCAAAGAGATATTTGTACACAAATGTTCATAGCAATATTATTCATAATAGCCAAAAAGTGGAAGCAATCCAAGTGTCTATAAATAGATGAATGGCTAAATGAAATGTGATACATAGATGCAATGGGATGTTATTCAACATTAAAAAGGAAGGAAATTGCGACATATGCTACAACATGGATGGCCCTTAAGGACATTATGTTAAGTTAAATAAGATAACCACAAAAGTTAATATTGTATGATTCCATTTATATAAGGTACTGTATTAATCCTTTCTCACATTGCTATAAGGAAATACCCAAGACTGGGTAATTTACAAAGGAAAAAGATCTAATTGACTCACAGTTCCATATGGGTGGGAAGGCCTCAGGAAACTTACAATCATGGTAGAAGGTGAAGGGGAGGTAGGCACCTTCTTCACACAGCAGGAAAGAGAATCACTGAAGGAGGAATTTACCAGACACTTATAAAACCATCAGATCTCGTAAGAACTCACTCACTATCACAAGAACAGCATCGGGGACACCACCTCAATGATTTAATTACCTCCACCTTTTCTCTCGCTTGACACATGGGGATTATAGGGATTACAATTTGAGATGAGATTTTGGGTGGGGACACAGACAAACCATACCAGATACCTAGAGTAATTCAATGCATAGAGACAGAAAGTAGTAGGGTGGTTACCAGGGACTGGGGTAAAAGTGAATTCAGAGTTGTTATTTAGTGGGTACAGAGTTTCAGTTTTACAAGATGAAAAGAGTTCTGGAGTTGTGAACAACAATATAAACATACATAATTCTACTGAAAATAGAGTTTATAACTATTTTTAATAACTTAAAAATAGGTAATATGGTAAATTTTGTGTTATGTGTATTTTACACAATTAAAAATAAATTTTAAAATTAAAAGAATTATAAATCTATAAAAGAAATTGAAGAAGAGCTACAAAGTTTCAGCCAAAATGGGTAATGAGTGATAACAGAAGGAGATAAAGCATGAAGTGACAAGACTCAGGAAATTCATAGAAAATATCATAAATGACATATATGAAGTTCATATTAAAAGAGGGAACAAAAGGGAAAAGGTATTAGTGAAACACAGAAAGATAAGTAGGACAAGATGGTAAAAATGATCACAATAAACAAAATTTTAAAGGATTCAAGAAAAAAATGACATAGAAGACAGATAATGGTAATACAACATATGCATAATTGCTATATTTACTCTGAAGGAGAGAACCAAGTAACTGGAAACCAAAACATAAAGAGTTATTTTAGAAAACTTTTTATCAAAAAAATAATAGGCCTATAAATTAGAAATGCCCATGGAGAAATTGTTTACAGGATGGTCAACACCAAGGAATATTTGAGATCTTATACTTCAAAAATAAAGGAGCAGCTAAGCAAAAGATCCAATCACCTTAAAGTTAAGAAAAAATATGATGCCTCAAACTTGATCTCAACTATACTAAATGAAAGAAGACCACGGAAAAATGCTAATAAAGTCCTCAAAGAAAGTGTGACCCAAGAACTTTATATCCAATCATACTTTTGTTTAAAGATAGCAGCAACAGAAAAACATATTTCAAATGTGCAAGAACTCAAGGAATAAATTCCTATGAGCCTTTCTTGCTTTCTTGGAGAAACTACTAGCGAATTTCAAGCAGCTGAGAGATAACAAGAGAACGATAGTAAAAGGACTAATGGTGGGCATTGATCCATTTCACTGAAGGGCTAAGATAAAAAACTGTGAGGATTACATTCAGAGAAGAGAATACAGGTTTTTCACAATGATAAATGCAAAAATAAAATTACTAACAAAAATTGGGAGGAAGTGGAGAGGAGAAAGGCAGAAGGTGATGAAAAGATGCTAACTTTGTCAGCTTTTCTAGGCTGCAGTCTAAACATATTTAAACCTGATAAATCAACTAAGGAGTAGGGTAATTATATTTAAAGGTATAAGTGTAAACTCTAGAAATCTCAGAAAAGAAAGAGAACTGACAAAAACCGAGTACAGAAGGGGCAAATAGAAGAGATGAAATAAAGCAAAAGTGATTCCAGCAAAGTCAATAGAGTTTATTGTTTTTTAAAAAAATCATAAATATTCAAATTAATTGATATAGTAAACTTGGTCGTTGAGAAGATAAAAAACACATATTTTTGCAGGAGCTTGGTTGGCTCAAACCAAAAGCATTAGGAATCACTGATTTTTGCAGACTTAGAGCAGATTAATGAGTTGGGTCTAGAAGATGGCTGGCAGGAGACATAGGAATCCTAATTCTGAGTCCATAGGCAAAAAGCAATGGAATTAAAGAATCACCAGCAGGGATATGTAACCTCCAGCCTTCAGCCTGCTGCTATTCTGTCTGGTAATAGTATTCTCTTAACCTCATGGGCACTACCAGCTCACCTGGAGCCCAGACCACTTCCAGGCCCTACCCAACTCTAGTGAGTACACACCAGGCCTTTACAGAATGGCTCATCCTGCCACTGACCACCACACTCTAGTGCTGATACAGATACAGGTCTGAGGCAGATGGATGCTGGAGGCAGCATTCAACAAGCCATTTGGTTTTGGTTCGGGTTTGGAATGGACAGCAGTTTTGGGGGATGGAACAAATGTTTTGGATTCAGACAAGTGTTTGAACTTCAAACTCTGCCACTTGCAACCCTTATGAGCTTGAATAAGTCACCTAACCTCTCTGAGGCTCAGTTTCATCATAAGTCTCCAGGCAAAGAGAGATGTCATAAAATGGGGGCAATTCACAATTGCTGTCAGGGTTGGAGATAATGAATACAAAGTATCTAGTACATCACCTAACAAGTAGCACATGGTCAGTAAATAGTGGCCATGTGGTCATCACTATTATCCTCAAAAACCTGCCCTGGGAGCTTTTGTGCTGAATGTCAGAAGATCATAGAAAATCAATCAGACTTTCACAGAAGCCAATCAGAGAAAGATGTGAACCAATCTAGAAGGCAAGTTTTTCAGTTCCTTCGTGGTTTATTTCACAGACCAGAAAATGCATGTGTGTGTGCGTGCACACAGACACACACACACACACACACACAAACAAATATACAGCTTCCTAGGGAGCTTTGGTCCAGTAACACTGGGATTGGTTTTTTTTGTTTTCTTTTTTTTTCTTTTTTTTTTTTGCTCATCCAGTAAATGTGGCCAGGGGCTCTCATGGACTACATGCACTTATCTTTGTTTTGCTGTTCTGTTGTTTTTTAATGTTTTATTTTTATTTTTACAGATTCAGGTGTACAAGTGCAGATTTTTTACACGTATATATTGCATAGTTGGTGACATCTGAGGTTTTTTGTGTTTTTGTTTGTTCGTTTGTTTGTTTTCTTGAGACGGAGTCTCGCTCTGTCACCCAGGCTGGAGTGCAGTGGCACAAGCTCCGCCTCCTGGGTTCACACCATTCTCCTGCCTCAGCCTCCGAGTAGCTGGGACTACAGGCATCCACCACCACATCTGGCTAATTTTTTTGTATTTTTTAGTAGGGACGGGATTTCACCATGTTAACCAGGATGGTCTTAATCTCCTGACCTCGTGATCCGCCCGCCTTGGCCTCCCAAAGTGCTGGGATTACAGGCGTGAGCCACTGCGCCCGGCCAGTGACGTCTGAGTTTTTAGTGTACCCATCGCCCAAATAGTGAACATTGTACCCAATAAGTTTGTTTTCAACCCTCATCCACCTTTTGTAGTCTTCAGTATCTATTATTCTACTCTGTATGTCTATTTGTATACATCACTTAACTCCCGCTTATAAGCAAGAATATGTGATGTTTGGCTTTCTGTTTCTGAGTTATTTCACTTAGGATAATGGCCTCCAGCTGCATCCATGTCGCGGCAAGAGACATGATTTTATTCTATTTTATAGCTAAGTGGTATTCCGTGGTGTGTATACCACATTTTCTTTATTCAATCCTCCACTGATGGGCACTTAGGTTGATTCCATATCTTTGCTGCTGTGAATCATGCTGTGATAAACATACCAGTGCAGGAATCTTTGATATAATGATTTGTTTTCCTTCGGGTGTATACCCAGTAGTGGGACTGCTAAGTCAAATGGTAGTTCTAATTTTTGTTACTTGAGAAGTCTCCATACTGTTTCCATGGAGTTTGTACTAATTTACATTTCCACCAACAGTGTATAAGTGTTCCCTTTTCTCTGCATCCTTGCCAACATCTGTTTGTTTGTTTTTACTTTTTAATGATAGCCATTCTCACTGGTGGAAGATGGTATCTCATTGTGACTTTAATTTACATTTATCTGATGACTAGTGTTGTTGAGCATTTATTCATATTTATGGTGGCCTGTATGTCTTCTTTTAAAAAATGTCTGTTCATGTCCTTTGCCCACTTTTTAAGGATGTTATTTGGGTTTTTTCTTGTAGAGTTGTTTGAGTTCCTTGTAGATTCTGGATATTAGTCCTTTGCCAGATGCATAGTTTGTGAATATTTTCTCCATTCTGCAGGTTATCTCTTTATTGATTATTTCTTTTGCTTTGCAGAAGTTTTTTAGTTTAATTAAGTCCCACTTGTCTATTTTTGGTTTTGTTGCATTGGTTTTCGAGACCTTAGTCATAAATACTTTGCTGAGGCCAGTGTCCAGAAGAGTTTTTCCTAGGTTTTCTTCCAGTGTTTCTATAGTTTCAGGTATTACATTTAAGCCTTTAATCCATCTTGAATTAATTTTTGTGTATGGTGAGAGATAGGGATCCACTTTCATTGTTCTGCATATGACAATTCAATTTTCCAGCACCATTTATTGAATTGGGTATCCTTTCCCCAGTGTATGTTTTTGTTGACTTTGTTGAAAATCAGCTGGCATGGGTATGTGGCTTTATTTTGGGGTTCTCTATTCTGTTGCATTGATCTATTGTGTGTGTTTGTATATCAGCACCTTATTGTTTTGGTTACTATAGGCTTGTATTATCATTTGAAGTCAGGTAATGTGATGCCTCCAACTTTGTTTCCTTTTGCTTAGGATGGTTTGGCTAGTTGGGCTCCTTTTTGGTTTCATATAAAATTTAGGATTGTTTTTTCTAATTCTGTGAGAAATGATCTTGGCATTTTGATAAGAATTGCATTGAATCTATATATTGCTTTGAGGAGATTGGTCATTTTAATAAAATCAGTGTTGATAGTTTTCTTTGTAGAGATCTTTCAACTCCTTGGTTAAGTATATTCCTAAGTATTTTTGGCCTATCATAAATGAGACTGACTTTTGATTTTGTTCTCAGCTTGATTGTTACTGGTGTATAGAAATGCTACCGATTTTTATACATTGATTTTGTATCCTGAGATTTTACTGCATTCATTTTTCAAATCCAGGAGTCTTTTGGAGGAGTCCTCAGGTTTTTCTAGGTATAAGATCATATCATCAGCCAACAGAGATAATTTGACTTCCTCTTTTCTTAATGGATGTCTTTTATTTCTTTCTTTTGCCTGATTGCTCTAGGTTGGAGTTCCAGTACTATGTTGAGTAAGAGTGGTGAAAATGGGCATCCTTGTCTTGTACTAGTTCTTAGGAGAAATGATTTCAAAGTTTTCCTATTCAGTATGATGTTGCCTGTGGGTTTGTCATATACGGCTTTTATTATTTTGAGGTATGTTCCTTCAATGCCTAGTTTGATGGTTGTTTTTATCATGAAGTGATTCTGAATGTTATTAAGTGCTTTTTCTGCATCTATTGAGATGATCATATGGTTTTTATTTTTAATTCTTTTTATGCGGTGAATCACATTGATTGAATTGCCTGTATTGAACCATCCTTGCATCCCTAGAATAAAGTCCACTTGGTGATGGTTTATTACATTTTTTTTGAGCTGTTGGATTTGGTTTGCTAGTATTTTGTTGAGAATTTTTGCATCTGTGTTCATCAGTGATATTTGCCTGTAGTGTTCTTTTTTTGATGTGTCCTTACCCAGCTCTGGTATCAGGGTGATACCGGCTTCATAGAATGAGTTAGGGAAGATTCCTCCTCTGTAATTTTTTGGAAGAGTTTCAGTAAAATTTGTACCAATTCTTCTTTGCATGTCTGATAGAATTTGGCTATGAATTAATCTGATCCTGGGCTTTTTTATGTTGTTGGTGGAAGGTTTTATTATGACCGATTTATTTTCACTACTCATTACTTGTCTATACAGAATTTCTACTACTTCCTAATTCAATCTTAAGAGGTCGTATGCTTCCAGGAATTTATCCATTTTCTCTAGGTTTTTTAATGTGTGTGCATAGAGATGCGCATAGTAGACTCTGATAATCTTTTGTATTTTTGTAGTTTCAGTTGTAATGTCACTTTTATTGTTTCTCATTGTGCTTATTTGAATCTTCTCTCTTTTTTCTTGGTTAATCTAACTAGTGGTCTAGCAAATCCCTGGGCAATTTGGTTTGTCTTTTCAAATAACCAACTTTTTGTTTCCTTGACTTTTTCTATTGCATTTTTGGTCTCAATGTCATTTAGTTCTGCTCTGTTCTTTGTTATTTCTTTTCTTCTGCTAGCTTTAATTTTGGTTTATTCTTGTTTATCTAGTTCCTTGAGGTTATGACATCAGGTTGTTATCTGAGATCTATCTTTATAATCTAGGCATTTAACAGTATAAACTTCCCTCTTAGCACTGCTTTTGCCATACCCCAGAGGTTTTGGTATATTGTGTCTCTATTTTCATTTGTTTCAAAACTTTTTAAAATTTGCACCTTAATTTTGTTGTTTGTTCAAAGATCATTAAGGAGTAGGTTATTTAATTTCCATGTATTTATACAGCTTTGAGAGCTCCTCTTCATATTGATTTCTAGTTTTATGCTACTGTGGTCTGAGAAGATGTTTGATGTGATTTTCACTTTTTAAAATTTATTTAGACTTGCCTTGGGCAAGCACAGATGAGAAGAATGCATATTTTGTGGTTATAGAGTAGAATATTCTGTAAATGTCTGTTAGGTCCATTTGGTCTAGAGTCCACTTTAAGATGAACTCATCTTTGAAAGAGCACAAAATCCAAATGACTCTCTCTTGGGAATGTCTCAAACCTCTCCCTTTCTGTCTATTCTGATTTTTATCAGCCTACTTCTACCAGGATTCATTATCTCCATCTTCCCTTTAAAACATTTTTGTTTTGTTTTGTTTTGAGACAGGGTCTCATTCTGCCATTCAGTCTGGAAAGCAGTAGTATGATCATGGCTTACTACAACCTGGGCCTTTTTGGCTCAAGCAATCCTCCTACCTTAGCCTCCTGAGTAGTTGGGACTACAGGTATGAGGTCACTATACCTGGCTAATTTTGTCGTTGTTCTAGAGATGGAGTCTTCCTATGTTCCCCAGGCTGCTCTCAAGATTCTCCCACCTCGGCATCTCAAAGTTCTGGGATTACAGGCATGACTCACCATGTCTGGTCCTTAAAAACTTTTATTTCAAAATGCTTCTCTGACAGCTAGTCATGCAGTTTGGAAATGGTCTTGCAAATAAATATGAGCAGAAAAATTTACCCAGCAAAGTAAAAGATATTCAAGGGTTTTCTGAGAAAGCCAATTATCTTCTCTCACCTGAAGTTTATTGGTCTGTTTGCAAAGGAATAAATATATGGGTTAACAGTGAGGTTGTATTTGGGACACGGATAATAAGAATAATTAACATTTATTAATCACTTACTATAGGTTAAAAGATTTATATAATTTATCCCAGCAACTCCCCTCAATAACTCAATAGAGTACATGGAATTTCATACCAGAAAGTACAAACAGGGAAACTAAGCCTCAGAGAGGCAAAATAATATGTCCAATTAACAATCAGCCTGTGAGTAGCAGAGCATGCATGCTATTCACTATACAGCCCAATCCTTTAATTCCAGGCTATGAATACAGTGGTCATTGGTCTGAGCCTATATCTCTACCCACAAAACTAAGGTTTAGATGCCTATTTAAGAATCTGCCCGAAGATTCTCAATAAACCCAGAAACAGAATATAAACTGTGTTTCTGGCCACAGGCAAGGTTTGAGGTTGTGAATAAACTCCAGGACAAAGACAAATATACTCCTTCTTTGGAAAGAATATTGGGAGGATTATTCCAAAACAGAAGAATAAACAAGGAAATTCCTGAGAAAAGATAAAGTCGTCTGCAAAATGTCAGGGAAATGAAACAAATGCCAAAGTGAATGGATGATGAAAGGTGCCTCTTCCCAACTTCCCTCCACAGAGCCAATTCTCTTCCTCTCACCTACACTTAAATAAAGTTGTGTTTTTGCATGCAGATCCTTCAATCTTCATTTCTTTTTTAAAATGCTTTTAAGGAAGTCCTTCCCTTAGGTCCATATTTCTACACTCAGTTCAATGCAACTATGTAAGGAAACATAGAGCTTGACTCCCACCCATGTTCACAGCTTACGAGGAAGTCAGACAGCCTGCCGGTGCAGCCATCTGCTACATCTGGTACCTCTGAATTCTGATCTGGTCTGGCAGCTGAGGCCTTGGCTCAGTCCCACCTGGGCCACCCTCTCTAACCCTTTGGCCCTCAAATTGAGGTCTCCTCCTTTTCTGACATGCTATTATATAAAGTAGTCTCTTGTCAAAAGCCAAGGTTGTGCAACAGCATTGATTTTTTCCTTTTCTTCTCCATAGGGCTCTCTGGAGATTTCCTCATATGAAGTGCAGTTCTGAGTTTCCCCCTCTCTCTCTAGTCTTTCTTACAGGCCAGGGCTTTAGGCCAGGGCAACCTGCCAGCCTGTGGTCTGAGACCCTGAGTTCTTCCTCTGAAGTTGATGGTTCCTCTGTGACCATGCCAGCTTACAGTTTCCTGACTTTCTGGAATACTAGAATAGCTTTCTGTTATGATTCCCATCACTTGCACCCCACTGAATAGCCCAATTTGATTGATCAGATTGAGGTCCAAAATCTCAGTTCCCTTTGTCACATTGCTCTAATTTTCAGGCAATAATAATAACAGCAATAATGAGAGCTGACATTTAGTAAGTGCCAGACAAGTAACTAAGAACATTATGTGCATTATCTCAGTGAATCTTCACAGAGAACATGAAGTTCAGAGAGATTAAGAAACTTTTCCAAGACCACAAAGCTAATAAATGAGAAAGCTAGAATCCTAAACCAAGTCTGTCTGATTCCAAATTTTTTAATACAAATAATATATACTGCAAAAAGTATAAAAATAAAAATGTAAAAGAAAAAATTGCCCCTGCCCTCTACTCAAGCCTCGAAATAGAATACCACACATTTTGGTATATAAGGAACGTATCAATCCTCAGGGGCTCTCTTCATCACTAGGCTCAGTGGACTTCCAGAAATTAGTTTCTCAGCCTAGCAAGTCAAGAGCAAGATATTTGCCTTATTGTTATCATTCATGTCATGCCACACTAAAATTAAATATTTCCGTGTCTGAATTCCAAACAAGAGTCTGCACTCTTCAAGTTAAGTCTCCATATACACAGTGACTGGCTTATAAAGATGCTCAATAAAGATGTGTTGTTGCTGTTGCTGTTGTTGTTGTTGTTGTTGTTGTTGTTGTTGTTGTTGTTGTTACAACTGCAAGCCCAATGCTATGACCTGCTCCCTGGAATTTCTAGGCATTTGGCTCATTCTGTGAACCCAGGGAAGGGTTAGTGGTTATCTCAATGCCTCTAACAACAGCAGAGTTATCTGATAAGTCAGCTTTTCCCTCCAGCAGCAGTCTGGATGCTTCCTATGACAGGAGATAAAAAGTATTCCAAATATGAAGAAGGAAGGAAAACTCAAATTTGAAGAAATTGTACCTAATTCCAGCATTTTACTACCTCTGCCTATGAGATTGGGCCTCACCCACCAAGCTCTATGCATGGAGCACTGACACTAAGATGAGCCATGAGTCAAATTGCCACAAAAAGCACTGTGATCTGATGAGTTGAAGACTGAGGTTATTGCTATTCCAAGCCATTCTCTGGATCCCATTGGCCACTCCCTGCTAGTCAGACATTAGAGCTCCTGGTTTGCAGGGAAGAACAATAGTTGGTGAAGAGACAAAAGATCAAGATTGATCAATGTACAAACAGAGTGAAAGAGAAGGATTAACTTGGCAAGCCAGATCCACCCAGATTTTATTTGGGTCCTGAAGATAAACCTGTAAGGGTTCTCCTTCAGGCCTCTGCAGCAAAGGCTTCCTGTGGAACACAGGCTGGAGGATCCAGTGTAAGAAGAGTGATGTGTTTTTAATCCTGTGTATCTGTCATTTAGTAGGAATGTCAAGTCCCTCCATCACTACTTAAAGTGGAAATTTTGAGACTTCTCAAGGGCCTACAGACTGAGATAAGAATTAGCTCTCAAGTAAAAGTAACAGGGTCAAAAAGAGCTTCTGCCTCCTAACGGTTATCCTAGAATCAATGTGAAGAAACAAAAAATGTGAACTGAAATGATTGATGCTTTGTTCCTTCTTCAAATGGATTTTGTCTTTTATAAACTCTTGATCAGTTTATAGACTGACAGATCTAGTCCAATCCTATCATCACTACCACCCTCCCAAGTTCACAAATAAGAGAACTGATCCTCTGTGGAATTAAATGACCTCCTCACTACCACATGGCTCAATCAACCTCTTGGTTAAGACTGAAACCAGGTCTCCTGTTTCTCAGTCCCAGAGATTCTTCCTTTGCCTAACAAGGTTTTTTTTTTCAGCATGAATATAAAACTCAGAAGGAAGTGGATTGCAAACTGCAACCTGCTGAAATAGAAAGTAATCAATCATTTGGAGAGAGGGTCTGTGCAAGGTCCCTAAGCAAAACATTGTCTCTCAACCTCAGGCCCATATGCCACTTCCCTTTGCCAGGGCAGCTCCTGAACTGCTGGGTGTCCTTCTGCTCAGGACACTGAGCAAACTAGGTCAAACAGTGTTCAGCAACCTTTCTTAAGCTTTGAAGGTCACCTTAGTGCTCAGCATTTTTGCATCTTTTCAAATAAATAATGAAAATGGAGATTTCTCAATATGGCATAGCTGGGCTGACTCCCTAGGAGCTGCATTCACACTGCACTATGTATTGCTAGCATATGTTTCTCCTTGTAGAGTGGATGCCAGATTGATATCACATTAGGGAATACATTTTCACAAAGAATTAAGGACATTCAGGGTAACTTATTAGAAAAATATACTAGGAAGGAATATGGGCAAAGAGAAATCCTCTTTACAATAACAACACACAATATGGAAGTTTAAGGAGTATAATTAATGAGATAGGGTCTATAGAATTATGAAAGGAAACCTCAAAATGTCACCAGGAGATCACCATGAAGATTGAACTACACCTTACTGATGGATGAAATTTTGTAAAATGCCAATTCTGCCAGGATTCTTTAACACATACTTAACAGACTTCCAAACAAAATTCTAATGCTATTTGTGGCAGGTAAATTTATGGTCCCCCAAATATGCCCACATCATAATCTCCAGAACCTGTGAATATGTTATCTCAAAAGGCAAAAGAAACTTTGCAGATGTGATGAAGGGTGAAGACCTTACAATGGCAGGAATATCCTGGAATATCCAAAGGAGCCTAATCTAATTACCTGCCTCCTTAAAATTGGAGAATCTTTATTGGATGTGTTCAGGGAGAAAAAATGGTCAGAAAGATGCACCATTGCTACCTTTGAAGGTGGAGGAAGGGGTCCATGAGCCACAGAATGTGGGAAGCCTCTAGAATGTGGAAAAAGCAAAGAAATTGATTATCTCCCAGAGCCTCCAGAAAAGAACACAGCCCTCCTGACATCTTGATTTTAGCTAAGTGAGACCAGTGTCAGACCAGTTTTGTCTAACCTATAGAACTGTAAGGTAAAAATAAATTGGCTTTGTTTTAAGCCATTAAGCTTGTGGTATTATTTTACAGCAGCAAAGGAAAATTGATACACTCTTTTCTAACCTGACCAAGTTATGAAATTGTCAAATATGAAATTAGCCAAAGAAGAAAAAGAGGGACATATTTTTTTTAACATACAACTTTTAAGTTCAGGGGTACATGTGCAGGATATACAGGTTTGTTACATAGGTAAACATAGGCCATAGTGGTTTGCTGCACAGATCATCCCATTACCCAGGGTCCCACCCCCAACCCTCTGACAGGCCCCAGTGTGTGTTGTTCCCCTCAATGTGTCCATGTATTCTCATCATTCAGCTCCCACTTATAAGTGAGAACGTGTGGTATTTGGTCTTCTGTTTCTGCATTTATTTGCTAAGGATAATGGCCTCCAGCTCTATTCATGTCCCTGCAAAGGATGTGATCTCATTCCTTTGTATGGCTGCACAGTATTTTTCATGGTGTACATGTACCACATTTTCTTTATCCAGTCTATCAATGATGGGCATTTAGGTTGATTCCATGTTTTTGTTATTGTGAATAGTGCTGCAATGAACATATGTGTGCATGTATCTTTATAACAGAACAGTTTATATGTCTTTGGGAACATACCCAGTAATGGGATTGCTGGGCTGAATGGTATTTCTGCCTCTAGGTCTTTGAGGAATCACCACACTATCTTCCACAGTGGTTGAACTAATTTACACTCCCACCAACAGTGTAAAAACATTCCTTTTTCTGCACGACCTCGCCAGCATCTGTTTTTTGACTTTTTATTAATAGCCATTCTGACTGGTGTGAGATGGTATCCCATTGTGGTTTTGATTTGCATTTCTCTAATAATCAGTGATGTTGGGTTTTTTTTTCATATGTTTGTTGGCCACATGTATGTCTCCTTTTTAGAAGTGTCTGTTCATGTCCTTTGCTCACTTTTTAATGTAGTTGTTTTTTTCTTGTAAATTTGTTTAAGTTCCTTATAGATGCTGGATATTTGACCTTTGTCAGATGGACAGGTTGTAAAAATTTTCTCCCATTCTGTAGGTTGTCTGTTTACTCTGCTGTTAGTTTCTTTTACTGTGCAGAAACTCTTTATTTTAATTAGATTCCATTTGTCCATTTTGGCTTTTATTGCAATCGCTTTTGGTGTCTTCAACATGAAATCTTTGTCCATGCCTGTGTCCTGAACGATATTGGATAGGTTTTCTACTAGGGTTATTATAGTTTTGGGTTTTACATTTAAGTCTGGAATCCATCTTGAGTTAATCTTTGTATGAGGTGTAAGGAAGGGGTCCAGATTCAATTTTCTGCATATGGCTAGCCAGTTCTCCCAGCACCATTTATTAAATAGGGAATCCTTTCCCCATTGCTTATTTTTGTCAGATTTGTCGAAGATCAGAGAGTTATAGATGTGCAGTCTTATTTCTGGGTTCTCTATTCTGTTCCATTGGTCTATGTGTCTGTTCTTGCACCGGTCCCATGCTGTTTGGGTTACTGTAGCCTTGTAGTATCAGGTAGCATGATGGCTCCAGCTTTGTTCTTTTTGCCTAAGATTGCCTTGGCTATTTGGGCTCTTTTTTGGTTCCATGAGAATTTTAAAATAGTTTTTTTCTAATTCTCTGAAGAATGTCAATGGTAGCTTAATATGAATAGCATTGAATCTATAAATGTTTTTATTATCAATATGGCCCTTTTTTTTTTTTTGATGGAGTCTAGCTCTGTCACCCAGGCTGGAGTACAGTGGCATGATCTCAGCTCACTGCAAGCCCCACCTCCCAGGTTCATGCCATTCTTCTGCCTCAGCCTCCCAAGTAGCTGGGACTACAGGTGCTGCACCACGCCTGGCTAATTTTTTGTGTTTTTAGTAGAGACTGGGTTTCACCGTATTAGCCAGGATGGTCTCGATCTCCTGACCTTAATGATGTACCTGCCTCAGCCTCCCAAAGTGCTGGGATTACAGGCATGAGCCACCTCACCCGGCCAATATGGCCATTTTTACAATACTGATTCTTCCTATCCATAAACATGGAATGTTTTCCATTTGTTTTTGTCATCTCTGATTTCTTTGAGCAGTGGTGTGTAGTTCTCCTTGAAGAGGTCCTTCTCTTCCCTTGTTAGCTGTATTCTTAGATAATTTATTCTTTTTGTGGCAACTGTGAATGGGAGTTCATTTGTGATTTGGCTGTCAGCTTGCCTGTTGTTGGTGTATAGGAATACTAGCAATTTTTGCACATTGATTTTGTATCCTGAGACTTTGCTGAAGTTGCTTATCAGCTTAAGAAGCTTTTGGGCTGAGATAATCGGGTTTTCTAGATACAGGATTATGTCATCTGCAAACAAAGATAGTTTGACTTCCTCTCTTCCTATTTGAATATGCCTTATTTTTTTTATCTTGCCTGATTGCCCTGGCCAGAACTTCCAATACTATGTTGAATAGCGGTGGTGAGAGAGGGCAACCTTGTCTTGTGCTGCTTTTCAAGGGGAATGCTTCCATTTTTTGCCCATTCAGTATGATATTGGCTGTGGGTTTGTCATAAATGGCTCTTACTATTTTGAGGGATGTTCCTCCATGCAATAGTAAGCTGAATAAAGAATTAAGACCCATCAGTATGCTGTCTTCAAGAGATCAAATATTTGTTGATCACAATTGTTGCATGGTTGTATCTGTGCGTTTCATATAACAGCCTTGTAAGATGTTCTACTAAAAAGAAAAAAGGAAAAGGAGATGTGTTATAAAATAAGCTTGGTAAGTGCTACATGCTATGTGCCCCTCCAGATTTAGTGTATATTAGCATATTTTTTAAAAATCTCTGAGAAGACTTGCAGTAAATTTTTTTTTAGTAAAAGTAAAACCTGTTTAGTTTTTGTTTAGGAAGAGTTTATCCTACTTATTTGGCCATGAAACTGTAAATATGAGTATGAATATAGCACAAAAATACATTTAGTTTGTCTTATTATTTGGAGATCACCAAACTACAACTTCTCCTTCAGTTTGTTTAGTGGCCCTCTGGTGTTCTGGGAGCATTGGAACAGCTTGAACAATTTTTATTACCAGAAATATAATTTATTTATTTCCAGAGATTAGCTCTGGGAAAGGGAAGCTCTAGACACTATACTGAAAACAAATCTTTGGAAAAGGTCATTCCATCTCCTGAAGCTTCCTGCCTCTAGCAGGCAAACAGATGGTGGAAAAGAAAGGCGGGGTCTCAATCTGCTGTCAGTACTAGGCCTTTCTATCAGGAACATTCACTTTGAATGAGCTTCTAGCTCATGCAGCATCTTTGAGGGTGCTCAGTGCTAAGAAGAAGAAACATGTTCCGGTTATTCCAATCAACTACAAACCAAAGATGCATCACATGTCTGTCTCCAGGAGAAGCAACTCTGAGACTTATCAGAAGCCCTAAAAAGGTAAGAAGCAAATGGTGGGGAATTAAAGGGAAGTAAGATTAAAGATAACAGGGTAAATAATAGAAAAGATGAGTAGAAATGGAAGATGCTTTTAGTGGCTAAAGTCAGAAAGCAAGATAGGTTGTCTTGAGTCATGTTCCCTTGAAGCAGAGCCTGAGATGGGAATTCAAGTTCACAAAATCTGTTGAGGAAGTCCTTTTAGGAAAAGGGGAATGAGGAAAGTAGGATGGGGCAGGGGATGAAGCTAAACAAGAGTGTGGTCTCCAGACAGACAGGCATGGCAAGATGGTCAAATAGAAGACTTCATTGATTATCCCTGCTACAGAAACACCAAACTGAGCAAACATCCACACACTAAAAGCACCTTCATAAGAACCAAAAATCAGGTAAGCAATCACAGTACTTGGTTTTAACTTCATATTATTGCAGGAGGCATTGAAGAGGGTAGGAAAGACAGTCTTAAATTGCCAATGCCACTCTTCTGCCATTCCCTAAAGTAGCCTCATAGTGCAGAGAAAGAATCTGTGCACTTGGAGGAAGGAGAACACAATGATTGCAGAACTTTGCATTGGAACTCAATGCTGCCCTGTCACAGAAGAAAGAAACACCGCGAAAATAGAAAAAACTCAGCAGGTTTTCACAAAAGGCACATATAAACCAGCCCTAGCCAGAGGGGAATCACCCATCCCAGCGATCAGAACCTGACTTCTGGCAAGTCTTGCTGCCATGGGCTAAATGCTCTGGGGTTCCTAAATAAAGCAGTCCAGGCCACAAGGACTGAAATTCTTGACCAAATCCTGGTGCTGTGCTGGGCTCAGAGACAGTGGTGGACTTGGGGAGCATGCTACCCAATGAGACACCAGGTGGAGTGGCCAAGGGAGTGCTTCTGCCACCTCTCTGCCAACCCTCAGCAGCACAGCTCACAGCTGCAGTAGAGACTCCTTCCCTACACTTGAGAAGAAGAGAGGGAAGAGTATAGAGGACTTTGTCTTGCAACTTGGATGCCAGCTCAACCACAGGAGGATAGGGTACAAGGCAGAGTCCTGAGGCCCCCCATTCCAGGCCTTCGATCTTGGATAACATTTCTAGACACACCCTGGGCCAGAAGGAAACCAACTGCTTTGAAGAGAAGGACCAAGTCCTGGAAGGATTCATCACCTGCTGACTAAAGAGCCTTGGGCCCTGAATAATCAGCAGTGATACCCAGGAAGTAAGCCATGGGTCTTGGAGGAGACTGAAGAGATGTGCTGGCTTCAGTTTTGACCCAGCACCTTCCTAGCTATGGAGGCAATGGGGAGAGACTCCTGCTTGATAAAAGGCTAGGGAAGAGTAAGGGAGACTTTGTCTTGCACTTCAGGTACCACCTAAGCCACACTGGGAGAGAGAACCAAGTGAGCTTTTGGGGTAGCTGATTCCAGGCATCAGCTCTTGGATGGCATTTCTGTACCTGCCCTGGACCAGAGGGAAATCCACTGCCCAGAAAGGAGAGTCCCAGGCCTGGCAGCATTCATCACAAGCTGACTGAAGAGCCCTTGGGCCTTGAATGAACACTGGCAGTAGTTAGGCAGTATTCACCACAGGTCTGGGGTGTCCATGAGGAGAGACTCTTCTGCTTATGGAAAGAGGAGATAAGAGTGAGAAGGACTTTGTCTTGTGGCTTGGGTGCCAGCTCACCCACAGTAGAATAGAGTACCAAGTAAATTCCTAAGGTTTCCTACTCTAGGCCCTGGCTCCCAGTCAGCATCTCTGGATCTGCCAGCAGAATCGATTAAGCTGAAAAAAGAATTAGTGAGCTCGAAGACAGGCTATTTGAAAATACACAATCAGAAGAGATTTTTTTAAAAAAAAACAAAAAAGAATAAAGCACACCTACAAGATTTAGAAAATAGCCTCAAAAGGGAAAATCTAAAAGTGAATTGCCTTAAAGAGGAGGCAAAAAGAGAGATAGCATTAGAAAGTTTATTCAAAGGGATGATAATAGAGAACTTCCCAAACCTAGAGAAAGATATCAATTCCTAAGTACAGGAAGGTTATAGAATACCAAGCAGATTTAACCCAAAGATTATTTCAAGACATTTAATAAAGTCCCAAAGGTCAATGATAAAGGATCCTAAAAGCAGCAAGAGAAAAGAAACAACATTCAAAGGAGTGCCAATATGCCTGGCAGCAGACTTTTCAGCAGAAGCATTATAGGCCAGGAGAGACTGGCATGACATATTTAAAGTGCTTAAGCGGAAAAACTTATAACCTAGAAGAGTATATCCAGCAAAAATATTCTTCAAACGTGAAGAAGAAACAAAGACTTTACCAAACAAACAAAAGCTAAGGGATTTCATCAAAACCAGACATGTATTACAAAAAATGCTAAAAAGAGTTTTCTCAATATGAAAGAAAAGGATGTTAATGAGCAATAAATCATCCGAAGGTAAAAACTCACTGGTAATAGTAAGTACACAGGAAAATACAGACTATTATAACATTGTAATTGTGATGTGTAAACTACTCATATCTTGAGTAGAAAGATTAAAGGATGAACCAATCAGAAATAATAACAAGAACTTTTCAAGACATAGACAGTACATAAGATAAAAATAGAAACAACAAGAAGTTAAAAAGCTAGGGAATGAAGTTAAGGGGTAAAGGTTTTATTAGTTTTCTCTTTCTGTGTTTGTTTGTTTCTTTGTTTATGAAAGTAGTGTTAACTTGTCATCAGTCCAAAATAATGGGTTAAAAGATAGTATGTGCATGCCTCAATGTAACCTTAAATTGAAAAACATACAATAGATACACAGAGAATAAAAAGCAAGAAATTAAAACATATCACCATAGAAAATTGCCTTCACCTAAAAAGAAGAGAAAAACAAAGGAAAGAAGGAAGAGAAGACCACAAAACAACCAGAACACAAATGACAAAATGGCAGGAGTAAGTCATTACCTATCAAAAGTAATATTGAATATAAATTGATGGGATCCGTTGCAAGATGGCCGAATAGGAACAGCTCCGGTCTGCAGCTCCCAGCGTGATTGACGCAGAAGATGGGTGATTTCTGCATTTCCAACTGAGGTACCTGGCTCAACTCATTGGGACTGGTTGGACAGTGGGTGCAGCCCATGGAGGGTGAGCTGAAGCAGGGTGGGGCATTGCCTCACCCGGGAAGTGCAAGGGGTCGGGGGATTTCCCTTTCCTAGCTAAGGGAAGCCGTGCCTTCACCAAAGATGGTACCTGGAAAAACGGGATGATCCCACCCAAATACTGTGCTTTTCCAATGATCTTAGCAAACAGCACACCAGGAGATTATATCCCACGCCTGGCTTAGTGGGTCCCACATGCACAGAGCTTTGCTCACTGCTAGTGCAGCAGTCTCGGATTGACCTGCAAGGCAGTAGCTTGGCAGGGGGAGGGGTGTCTGCCATTGCTGAGGCTTGAGTAGGTAAACAAAGTGGCTGGAAAGCTCGAACTGGGTGGAGCCCACCGCAGCTCAGCAAGGCCTCTGCCTCTGTAGACTCCACATCTAGGGGCAGGGCATAGCTGAACAAAAGGCAGCAGAAACTTCTGCAGACTTAAACGTCCCTGTCTGACAGCTCTGAAGATCACTGGAACAGCACTTGAGCTCAGAGGACAGACAGACTGCCTCTTCAAGTGGGTTCTTTACCCCTGTGTAGCCTAACTGGGAGCCACCTCCCAGTTGGGGCCAACTGACACCTCATACAGGTGAGTGCCCTCTGGGACAAAGCTTCCAGAGGAAGGATCAGGCAGCAATATTTGCTGTTCTGCAATATTTGCTATTCAGCAGCCTCCAATGGTGATGCCCAGGCAAACAGGGTCTGGAGAGGACCTCCAGCAAACTGCAACAGACATGCAACTGAGGGACCTGATTGTTAGAAGGAAAACTAACCAACAGAAAGGAATAGCATCAACACGAACAAAAGGGCATCCATACCAAAACGCTTTATGTACGTCACCAGCATCAAAGACCAAAGGTAGATAAAACCACAAAGATGAAGAGAAACCAGAGCAGAAAAGCTGGAAATTCTAAAAACCAGAGTGCCTCTTCTCCTCCAAAGGATTGCAGCTCCTCGCCAGCAACAGAACAAAGCTGGACAGAGAATGACTTTGATGAGCTGACAGAAGTAGGCTTCAGAAGGTCAGTAATAACAGACTTCTCCGAGCTAAAGGAGGATGTTCGAACCCATCACAAGGAAGCTAAAACCCTTGAAAAAAGATTAGACGAATGGCTAACTAGAATAACCAATGCAGAGGAGTCCTTAAAGGACCTGATGGAGCTGAAAACCATGGCACAAGAACTACATGATGCATGCACAAGCTTCAATAGCCAACTCGATCAAGTAGAAGAAAGGGTATCAGTGATTGAAGATCAAATGAATGAAATAAAGTGAGAAGAGAAGTTTAGAGAAAAAAGAGTAAAAAGAAATGAACAAAGCCTCCAAGAAATATAGGACTATGTGAAAAGACCAAATCTACATGTGATTGGTGTACCTGAAAGTGACAGGGAGAATGGAATCAAGTTGGAAAACACTCTTCAGGACATTATCCAGGAGAACTTCCCCAACCTAGCAAGGCAGGCCAACATTAAAATTCAGGAAATACAGAGAACACCACAAAGATATTCCCCGGTAAGAGCAACCCCAGGACACATAATTATCAGATTCTCCAAGTTTGAAATGAAGGAAAAAATGTTAAGGGCAACCAGAGAGAAAGGTTGGGTTATCCACAAAGGGAAGCCCATCAGATTAACAGCAGATCTCTCAGCAGAAACTCTACAAGCCAGAAGAGAGTGAGGGCCAATACTCAACATTCTTAAAGAAAATAAGTTTCAACCCAGAGAATTTCATATCCAGCCAAACTAAGCTTCATAAGTGAAGGAGAAATAAAATCCTTTACAGACAAGTAAATGCTGAGAGATGTTGTCACCACCAGGTCTGCCTTACAAGAGCTTCTGAAGGACCAAACATGGAAAGGAACAACTGGTACCAGCCACTGCAAAAACATGCCAAATTGTAAAGACCATCAATGCTAAGAAGAAACTGCATCAACTAACAAGCAAAATAACCAGCTAACATCATAATGACAGGATCAAATTCACACATAATAATATTAACCTTAAATGTAAATGGGCTAAATGCCCCAATTAAAAGACACAGACTGGCAAATTGGATAAAGAGTCAAGACCCATCAGTGTGCTGTATTCAGGAAATCCATCTCACATGCACAGACACTAGGCTCAAAATAAAGGGATGGAAGAAGATCTACCAAGAAAATGGAAAGCAAAAAAAAAAAAGCAGGGGTTGCAACCCTAGTTTCTGATAAAACAGACTTTAAACCAACTTCCGAGACCAGCTCGGTCATAGGGACCCTAACCCAGCGGCGCTAGAGGAATTAAAGACACACACACAGAAATATACAATGTGGAGTGGGATATGGGGGCTGACAGCCTTCAAAGCTGAGAGCCCAGAAGAGAAATTTACCCATATATTTATTGACAGCAAGCCAGTGATAAGCATTATTTCTATAGATTATAGATTAACTAAAAGTATTCCTAACGGAAAACAAAGGGATGGGCTCTGGCTAATTATCTGCAGCAGGAACATGTCCTCAAGGCAAAGATCACTCATGCTATTCTTTGTGGTTTAGGAACACTTTTAAGCAGCTTTATGCCCTGGGTGGGCCAGGTGTTCCTTGTTCTCATTCCGGTAAACCAATAACCTTCAATGTGGGTGTCATGGCCATCACAAACATGTCACAGTGCTGCAGAGATTTTATTTATGCCCAGTTTTGGAGCCTGTCTATGGCCAGATTTGGGGGTCTGTTCCCAACAACCAACAAAGATCAAAAGAGACAAAGAAGGTCATAACATAATGTTAAATGGATCAATTCAAAAAGAAGAGCTAACTATCCTAAATATATATGCACGCAACACAGGAGCACCCAGATTCATAAAGCAAGTCCTTAGAGAACTACAAAGAGACTTAGACTCCCACACAATAATAATGGGAGACTTTAACACCCCACTGTCAATATTACACAGATCAACGAGACAGAAAGTTAACAAAGATATCAAGGATTTGAACTCAGCTCTGCACCAAGCAGACCTAATAGACATCTACAGAACTCTCCACCCCAAATCAACAGAATATACATTCTTCTCAGCACCACATCACACTTATTCCAAAATTGACCACATAGTCGGAAGTAAAACACTCCTCAGCAAATGTAAAAGAACAGAAATCACAACAAACTGTCTCTCAAACCACAGTGCAATCAAAGTAGAACTCAGTATTAAGAAACTCACTCAAAACTGCACAACTACATGGAAACTGAACAACCTGCTCCTGAATGACTACTCGGTACATAACGAAATGAAGGCAGAAATAAAGATATTCTTTGAAACCAATGAGAACAAAGACACAACATACCAGAATCTCTGGGACACATTCAAAGAAGTGTGTAGAGGGAAATTTATAGAACTAAATACACACAAGAGAAAGCAGGAAAGATCTAAAATTGACACCCTAACATCACAATTAAAAGAACTAGAGAAGCAAGAGCAAACAAACTCAAAAGCTAGCCAAAGGCAAGAAACAACAAAGATCACAGCAGAACTGAAGGAGACACACACAAAAAACCCTTCAAAAAAATCAGTGAATCCAGGAGCTGGTTTTTTGAAAAGGTCAACAAAATTGATAGACTGCTAGCAACACTAATAAAGAAGAAAAGAGAGAAGAATCAAATAGGCACAATAAAAAATGATAAAAGGGATATCACCACCAATCCCACAGAAATACAAACTACCATCAGAGAATACTATGAACACCTCTACACAAATAAACTAGAAAATCTAGAAGAAATGGATAAATTCCCGGACACATACACCCACCCAAGACTAAACCAGGAAGAAGTTGAAACTCTGAATAGGCCAATAACAGGCTCTGAAATTGAGGCAATAATTAATAGCCTACCAACCAAAAACAGTCCGGGACCAGACAGATTCACAGCCGAATTCTACCAGAGGTACAAAGAGGAGCCGGTACCATTCCTTCTGCAACTATTCCAATAAAAAAAAAATAGAGTTAGGGAATCCTTCCTAACTCATTTTATGAGGCTAGCATCATCCTGATACCAAAGCCTGGCAGAGACACAACAAAAAAAAGAGAATTTTAGACCAATATCCCTGATGAACATCGATGTGAAAATCCTCAATAAAATACTGGCAAACCGAATCCAGCAGCACATCAAAAAGCTTATCCACCATGATCAAGTCGGCTTCATCCCTGGGAAGCAAGGCTGGTTCAACATACACAAGTCAATAAACACAATCCATCACATAAACAAAACGAACAATAAAAACCACATGATTATCTCCATAGATGCAGAAAAGGCCTTCAACAAATTCAACAGCCCCCTTCATGCTAAAAACTCTCAGTAAACTAGGTATTGATGGAACGCATCTCAAAATAATAAGAGCTGTTTACAACAAACCAACAGCCAGTATCATACTGAATGGGCAAAAGCTGGAAGCATTCCCTTTGAAAACTGGCACAAGACAGGAATGTCCTCTCTCACCACTCCTATTCAATATAGTATTGGAAGTTCTGGCCAGGGCAATCAGGCAAGAGAAAGAAATAAAGGGTATTCAATTAGGAAAAGAGAAGTCAAATTGTCCCTGTTTGCAGATGACATGGTTGTATATTTAGAAAACCCCATCATCTCAGCCCAAAATCTCCTTAAGCTGATAAGCAACTTCAGCAAAGTCTCAGGATACAAAATCAATGTACAAAAATCACAAGCATTCCTATACACCAATAACAGACAAACAGAGAGCCAAATCATGAGTGAACTCCCATTCACAATTGCTTCAAAGAGATTAAATACCTAGGAATCCAACTTACAAGGGATGTGAAGGACCTCTTCAAGGAGAACTACAAATCACTGCTCAGTGAAATAAAAGAGGACACAAACAAATGGAAGAACATTCCATGCTCATGGGTAGGAAGAATCAATATCATGAAAATGACCATACTGCCCAAGGTAATTTATAGATTCAATGCCATCCCCATCAAGCTACCAATTACTGTCTTCAGAGAATTAGAAAAAACTACTTTAAAGTTCATATAGAACCAAAAAAGAGCCTGCATTGCCAAGACGATCCTAAACCAAAAGAACAAAGCTGGAGGAATCATGCTACCTCACTTTAAACTATACTTCAAGGCTACAGTAACCAAAACAGCACAGCAATGGTACCAAAACAGAGATATAGACCAATGGAACAGAACACAGCCCTCAGAAATAACACCACACATCTACAACTATCTGATCTTTGACAAACATGATAAAAACAAGAAATGGGGAAAGAAGTCCCTATTTAATAAATGGTGCTGGGAAAACTGGCTAGCCATACATAGAAAGCTGAAACTGGATCCCTTCCTTACATCTTATACAAAAATTAATTCAAGATGGATTAAAGACTTAAATGTTAGACCTAAAACCATAAAAACCCTAGAAGAAAACCTAGGGAATGCCATTCAGGACATAGGCATGGGCAAGGACTTCATGACTAAAACACCAAAAGCAATGGCAACAAAAGCCAAAATAGACAAATGGGATCTAATTAAACTAAAGACCTTCCGCACAGCAAAAGAAACTACCATCAGAGTGAACAGGCAACCTACAGAATGGGAGGAAATTTTTGCAATCTACCTCATCTGAGAAAGGGCTAATATCCAGAATCTACAGAGAACCTAAACAAATTTACAAGAAATAAACAACCTCATCAAAAAGTGGGCAAAGGATATGAGCAGACACTTCTCAAAATAAGCCAACAGACACATGAAAAAATGCTCATCATCACTGGTCATCAGAGAAATGCAAATCAAAACCACAATGAGATACCATCTCACACCAGTTAGAATGGCAATCATTAAAAAATCAGGAAACAACAGATGCTGGAGAGGATGTGCAGAAATAGGAACACTTTTACACTGCTGGTGGGACCGTAAACTAGTTCAACCATTGTGGAAGACAGTATGGCCATTCCTCAAGGATCTAGAACTAGAAATACCATTTGACCCAGCAATCCCATTACTGGGTATATGCCCAAAGGATTATAAATCATGCTACTATAAAGACCCATGTATACGTATGTTTATTGTGGCACTCTTCACAATAGCAAAGACTTGGAACCAACCCAAATGTCCATCAATAATAGACTGGATTAAGAAAATGTGGCACATATACATCATGGAATACTATGAAGCCATTAAAAAGGATGAGTTCATATCCTTTGCAGGGACATGGATGCAGCTGGAAACCATCATTCTGAGCAAACTATCTCAAGGACAGAAAACCAAACACCTCATGTTCTCACTCATAGGTGGGAATTGAACAATGAGAACACTTGGACACAGAGCGGGGAACATCACACCCTGGGGCCTGTCGTGTAGTGGGGGGGCAGGGGGAGGGATAGCATTAGGAGAAATACCTAATGTAAATGACGAGTTAATGGGTGCAGCAAACCAACATGGTACATGTATACCTACGTAGCAAACCTGCACATAGTGCACATGTACCCTAGAACTTAAAGTATAATAAAAAAATAAATAAACACAGACAAATAAATTGATAAACTCTCCTTTCAAAAGACATACAGTGGCCGAATGGATTAAAAAAACAAGACCCAATGATCTGTTGCCTACAAGAAACACACTTCACCTGTAAAGACACACATAGACCTAAAATTAAGGGATAGAAAGAGATATTCCATACAAATGAAAACCAAAAAAGAGAAGGAATTGCTATACTTATACCAGATAAAACAGATTTCAAGACAAAAAAATATAAAAAGAGACAAAGAAGGTTGTTATTTAATGAAAAAGGGTCAATTCAGCAAGAAGATAAACAATTGTGAATATATATGTACCCAACACTGGAGCACCCAGACATATAAAGCAAGTATTATTAGAGCTAAAGAAAGAGATAGATCCCAATACAATAATAGCTGCAGATGTTAACACTCCACTTACAGCATTGGACAGATCATCCAGATGGAAAATCAACTAAGAAACATCAGACTTAATCTGCACTATAGGCCAAATGGACCTAATGGATACTTACAGAACATTGCATCCAATGATGCAGAATACACTCTTCTCCTCAGCACATGCATCATTCTCATGGATGGATCACATGTTAGACTACAAAACAACTCTTAAAACATTCAAAAAACTGAAATAATACCAAACATCTTCTCTGAACACAGTGGAATAAAACTAGAAATCAATAACACAAGGAATTTTAGAAACTATACAAACACATGGAAAATAAACAATATGCTCTTGAATGACCAGTGAGTCAGTGAAAAAATTAAGAAGAAAATTAAAAATTTTCATGAAACAAATGATAATGTAAACACAACATACTAAAACCTATGGGCTATAAAGCAAAAGCAGTATTAAAAAGGAATTTTATAGCTGTAAGTAAAAAAATTTCAAATAAACAACCTAAGGGTGTGCATCTTGAAGAATTAGAAAAGCGAAAGCAAACCAAACTCAAAATCAGTAGAAGAAAAGAAATAATAAAGATTAGAGCAAAAATTAACAAAACTGAAAACAATACAAAGATCAATAAAATGAAAATTTGTTTATTTGACAAGATAAATAAAACTGACAAACCATCAGCCAAACTCATGAAGGAAAAAAGGGAGAAGACACAAATAAATAAAATCAGAGATGAAAAAGGAGACATTACAGGCAGTATCACAGAAATTCAAAGAATCATTAGAGGCTACCAAAAGTTACTAAATTTATGAGCCACTAAATTGGAAAATCTAGATGAAATGGATAAATTCCTAGACACATACAACCTACTAAGACTGAACCATGAAGAAATCCAAGACCTGAACAGACCAATAACAAGTAACGAAATTGAAGACATAATAAAAAGTCTCCCAGCAAAGAAAATGTTAGGCCATGATGGTTTCACTACTGCATTTTACCAAACATTTGAAGAACTAAGAAGGGTAATGGGTAGGGGAGTGTGGATGGTTAATGGGTTCAAAAATATAGTTAGATAGAAAGAATAATATCTAGTATTTGATAGCACAACAGAGTGACTACAGTCAACAATAGTTTATTGTACATTTAAAAATAACTAAAAAAGCATAATTGCATTTGTTTGTAACGCAAAGAAAGGATAAATGCTCAAAGTGATGGATACCTCATTTACCCTGATATGATTATTATGCATTGTATGCCTGTATCAAAATATCTCAAACACCCCATAAATGCACACACCTACTATGTGCTCACAAAAAAATAAAAATTTAAGAATCAGTAAATAAGAAAATAAAGCAAATTAAAAAAGAGTGTGGTCTCAGCAGAAGTCAGCTTTGCCATCTCCCATTGGGAGCTTGAATATGAGTTGCTCCACAGAATTCCCTTCCCTCAAAGTGCTGGCTTTTGTTCCCACATGCAAGTCAACCATTAGCTATGTACTCTCCCTCATAGAGTACTTCTCTGGAATTAATAAATCTTTAGCAACCAACACACATAGCAGCTGAGGACTGGCTTCACCAGCCTCCTAAAGAGAATCTGAGCAAGAAACCACAGCATCCACCAAACAGGCTGAGTGTGGAATTAAAAGGAAAGAAATGAAGAAGAAGAAAAAGAAAGGCATGATGTCTAAAAACAAAGAGCTACAAAAAAGAAAGAAAAACATGGAAGAAATGTGAGGGGAAAAAAAGAAAATACAAGGCAGTTTTTTATTTCCAAGGGCTAACAGAAGATATCCTTAAAGACAACATGCATAATACATTTAGATGTGAAAGAAACAAAATTTAAATGAATGAGAAAGGAATAGTTAGGTTAAGCTTCTTGGTGAAAGGGATGGTTTAGTCACCATGGTTTACAACGACCCTGCTGGGCACTGCACTGTGGCAAAATCTGGTATGTTCAAGGCAGCAAGAATGACCTTCCTCCAAAACAATGCTACTTTTCTCAGAACAGGGAGTGAGGGGTAGAGTAACAGTCCTGACCAACCCATTAGGCCACCTCTCCTAAAAGCTCTGGTTAAGAGCCAGCAAGATGAGATGAACTGCCCCCAGAACACTTGAGGTCAGGAGTCTGAGACAAGCCTGGCCAACATGGTGAAACCCCATCCCTACTAAAAATACAAAAATTAGTCTGGCATGGTGGCACATGCCTATAACCCCAGCTACTCAGGATGCTGAGGCAAGAGAATCACTTGAACTGGGAGGCAGAGGTTGCAGTGAGCCGAGATCACACCACTGCACTGCACTCCAGCCTAGGCAGCAAAGCAAGACTACATTGCAAAAAAAAAAAAAGAAAAGAAAAAAAATTATTGAGACTTCCTCCTCCCAACCAAGAAAAAAAAAACAAACACCTTCTAGAAATGAGAAACACTGACACCGGGTAAATTTATTCTGTCCTGGCCAAGCCTTGGAGCTGTCCAAGGGGAAACTTTGTTGAGAGTTAGACTATGCAGATCTGAGGATTAGAACATATGTGTAGGCTAGATTTGTAAGGTTGAGAGTTGCCTCCATATAGCTGGTCTGAAGATTTGGAAAATCACTTGGTAATTACGTATAGAGTGAGGAGAAAAGGCCCAGGAGCACTTTGTGTCACAGAAGCCAAGGTAAAAATGTTCCATGGATAATGAAATGGTTCACTGCATTGATTTCTGCTGCGTCTTATAACATGAGCACAGAAAATGTCACTGGACTTAGTGATGCAGAGGTCATTGAGGATCCTCGCAAGAGCTAGGCATGATGAGGACAGAGGCCAGACTGGAGTGGGTTGAGAAGTATAGATGGGAGGTGAAAAATGGAGACAGCAAGTACACAAAATGCTCTGCAAAGTTTGTATGTGGAGGAGAGAAGAGAAATAGGGCTATATTTGAAGAGGGACATGTGTTCAAAAAAATGGGGAAGAGTTTTCTATTTTAATTTTCAAACAGGAGAAATTTGAGTGTTTTAAATACTAATAAGAAGGATTCCTGAAGAGGAAGAATTTTAAGATTCAGGAGAGGGAAGGAATAAAAGATAGAATATGATTCAAGAGACAAAGGGGAAGGGTGAAACCCAGTGAGTCAAGAAACTGTCCTTAAACAAATCTTGATCTTGGGAGATCTGTCTGGGCTGGAACTGTGAATACAGAATGGATCGGCCGGGCGCGGTGGCTCACGCTTGTAATCCCAGCACTGTGGGAGGCCGAGGCAGGCGGATCACGAGGCCAGGAATTCGAGACTCAGCCTGGCCAACATGGCAAAACCCTATCTCTACTAAAAATACAAAAATTGGCCGGGCGTGGTGGTGGGTGCCTGTAACCCCAGCTACTCGGGAGGCTGAGGCAAGAGAATTGCTTGAACTCCGGAGGCGGAGGTTGCAGTGAGCCGAGATCTCACCACTGCACTCCAGCCTGGGTGAAAAGAGCAAGACTCTGTCTCAAAAAAAAAAAAAAAGAATGGATCCTAAAAGTTAATGACTTTTATAGAGAGTGGCTTCACCCATGGGAGCATGGAGAGAGAGAAGAGAATAGAGGCAACAGCCAAACAGTGGGAGGTGCCAATGCTTAAGCAGAGAGGAAGGGAGCCAACTGGGAGACTGAAAAACAATGCCCAAAGGGATCATAAGAGAGTGAAGCTCTGGTATCATGCAACCCCTCCTCACCTCATGTCTGATTCACCAAAAATAGCCTCCTGGCTGGTTCCCTAACTATTTAATCCATAATATAGTGTCCTCCAGTCTACCACCAACACAGTGAGGCAGAGGATTCCGGAGCAGTTAACACAGAACAGACATTTGATGGGTGAAAGTAACAACTTGAGTTTCCAATTACCTCTGCATTGACTTGCTTTGTAAACTTGGGCAAGACTTTTTTCTTTCAATTTCAGCTCTCCCATGTGTAAAATGAGGACAGCATTTTCTTTAATAACCTCATAGGGTTGTCCTAGGAATTACATGAGTTACTGACTGTGAGAGCATTCTAAAGACTTGTAAATCACAATACAGGTATGAGAAATTATTATTCATCTTGAATCACTATTTGCTTCCTAGTTCATCCTTTCTCAAATAGTTCCACTGGCTCTCTTTCCTGGCTGCCAGCAAGGTAATAGATGGCGCTGTCAGCACCCAAACACCACTGCCCGTTCCTTCTCAGGTCGTTCCGAATCTGAGTCACAGTTAAGCAAATGTAAAGCACTTTGCAGGTAGAGTTGGCAAGATGTGCTCCATTTGCTTTTTGGCCCAGTCCTTTAATTGCACTTCAAAGTAAACAGTGCACTATAGGGTGAAGATTGGATTATAATTTGGAAAAAGAAAGAAAAAAGGAAACTGAAATGGTTCCAGGGAAAAAGGCACATTACACAAACTTAAAATAATTAGGAATATATATGATTTCTTAAGGGCATTAAGAACTGGAGCCTGCTTGCTAGACAGACCCATCACATCCTATGCTCCTGTACCGGGATTTCATGACCCTCTGTGATGCAATCCCAACACTAGTTGCCATCACTTTCATGCACATTATTTAAGTCTCCCTCTTGCCCACCAACATGCCTATTTCTGCCTTCACACCATCCTTTATAAGATGCTTTGCAAGTGCAGACTCTCAGCACTTGTCTGCTCAATTGATATGCCCAGCTCAAGCCTCCTTTTATTCAGGAAGCCTGACCTCCTTTTCTGAAGTTCCCCAGAATTTGGAGCCCAAATGACAGTTTGACACATAACTGTAGTGTCTCCCTGACTCTGCCATTATTTCAAGTGAACTGGCCTTATCTCTCCAACTAATATCATTAACAAATGATATGTTCTGGATGCTTTATAGTCATTATCTTATTCAAGGTGCACATTCTCCGCATTTTACATATGAGGAAATTGAGTTTCACATAAGTAAATTATTTGCCCAAAGTTGGCAGGTGTTGAGGCCTACTGGTTATGACTGTAAAGTTCAGCCTCATATTTCTTTTTTATCTTTCTTGTAGTTCCTACCACAGTGCCAGTTACAGAGGAGACAATTGGGTATCTGGAGAAAAGAATGCCAGTGCAAAAAATGCTGCTGAAAGGAAAGAGGAAGACCCCAAAGATCAATATTCTATTTCAAAAGTCCCTCTAGTACAGAGCTTATCACCATATTCCTGTCCCTAGCACAATAATCCTAAACTGGATTCTCAAATAGTTTGGAGGGGAAATGATGATTTTCTTTTCTGTTCACCATTAGACAGTATTTAATTTGCCAATATTAATATATCTAATGTTATTTTTTAATCAAAGCAGACTGTGATTTTCATTTTAAACAGAACAATACTTTCTGTGTCTTAGCACTTTAGCCTACCAGAGTGTTATTTGTGTCACTGGGAACTAATATATGCAGATTCAACACAATTAGCCATCACCATGGTAATTTTATGCCTTTTGTTTTCAGCTTTTGTTGCATATGCTCATCAAAGATATTGAAGCTTTACTCATGAAATAAAATTCATTACCTGCCTTTGGATTTAAGTGCATCATATTTAAAGAAATGTTTTCAAATCCTGATGGCATTCCATTTCTGTCTTACTTCTCAGGGATAAATAAAACGTGCTGTCTAGAACCAAGCAAGCAGCTTTCACTTCCCCTTCCTTGAACTGGTACTAGCAGAGTCTCCTGCAAAACAGTCATGGCTTTCAGTGGAAACATAGGCCCCTGAGAGCTGGAAGATCCTTCAAAGCCTTCAGGGTACCTTCTATTTGCTTGAATGACTTCAACTGCCGCACATGTTTAAGCTGAGTCTTGCTTTCTACATCAAGCAAAAGGCTAGGTGCACAGCTATGGTAGACTGTCTGCAAAATGGCAGCCAGCAATCTGCCCATCCCAGTACATGCATGACACTCATTCCATCAACAGGTGGAGTCTATTTCCCCAATCTTCATTCCAGGCTGGCCCTGTAACTTGTTTCAACCAATAGCATATGGGCTAAAGCAATGTGGATTTTTGGTTTGCTGGTTTGTTTGTTTTGTTTAGAGACAGGGTGTTGCTCCATCACCCAGGCTAGAGTGCAGTGGTGTAATCATAGCTCACTGCAGCCTTGAACTTTTGGGCTCAAGGGATTCTTCTGCCTCAGCTTCCCAAGTAGCAAGGACTACAGGTGTGTGCTACCACACCAAGCTAATCTTTTCTGTGTAGACACAGGGTCTTGCTGTTGCCCAAGCTTGTCTCAAACTCCTGGCCTCAAGTAAACCTCCTGCCTCAGCCTCCCAAAGTGCTGGAATTACAGGTATGAGTCACTGCACCAAGCTGGCAGAAGTAATATTACACAAATTCTGTAATCTAAGCCTTAGAGACCTAACAGTTTCCATTTTCACACTTTTAGGATCCAGCAGCTGTGTTAAAAAAAAAAAAAACAATGAGGAACCATCTGGAGACAGTAAGCCCTAGCCAGCTGCCAGCCATTCTAGACACCTAACAAACTCTCTTTTGCTGGCTTTGATGAAGCAAGGTGATAAATTAAAGAGGACTGCATGACAAGAAACTGAGGGCAGCCTCTGGCCAACTGCCAACAAGAAACTGAGGCTCTCAGTATAACAGCTCAAAAGACTCTGAATCCTGCCATCAGTCACGTTAAGTGAGCTTGGAAGCAGACTTTTCCAGTTGAGCTTTCAGATGAGGACCCAGTCTTGGCTGGTCCTTTGATTATAGTCTCATGAGAGACCATGAAACAGAGGACCCAGTTAAACCAGGCCCAAATTTATGCCCCACAGAATCTGTAAGATAAGAAATATGTGCTCTTTTATGTCAGTAAGCACTAAATAATTAATGCAAGTATATTGGAGTTTGGGGGGTTCTTGCCTAGGTATCAGTAAAATACTACTTTGGATCCTATTCTGTTATTGTGTGTTTAACTTTCTTGAGAAACCAGTGGACATAAGAGGTGATGAAAAAGGAAAGATTTGGCCATCTGTGGATTCTAATATTTTCAAAACTACATCCTAATCGATATTAAATATTACCCATATTTTAGAGTTGAGAAAACAGAGGATCAGAGAGGTTGTTATTTACTCAAGTTTCTCACTTCTACCAGTCTTCTAAGTCCGAATACAGTGCTCCATCCACTCTAACATGGCTGCCAGAATCATATCATTGCTTCAGAATCATTAAGCACAGGCTCTGATTTCAATAATTAAAGTATAAGCAGTCCAAGGGTAGGGCCTACGTCAGAGATGTTTTTGTTCTCCATGGTAGCAGAGGGGTGGTGCTGGATGGTGCTAAGGCACAGGCTGCATTGCCTTCCTAGCACTCCCACAATCTCCATCTTCCAGACAAACTTCTCCAAGGCCACCTAGCAAGATCAATTACAGGAATCCTTCAATCACTATCCAAATAAAGCAGTTCAAATTGAGAGTGTTTTCTGAATATAAAATGATCCAGCTATTTAACATACATTATTTTATGATATTAATAAAATTGAGTGTTCTGAGAAATGCCTTTTAAGTGAACCCAGTCTAAGTCCAAGGTTGTAGAAAGCTTTTAGTTTAAATGAAAATCCACTGGAAATGTAAAACATGTCAGCATTGAGTATCGAAGCGATGTCCAGCAGAATGTGCAGGACCCAGAACCTAGTACCCTTAGTCCATGCATCACTGTGGTCCATTTTGTCCAGTAGAGCTAGATAAACTTCAAAGGCTTCTGGGTGGAGGCTACGGGAAGCAGGGTGGGAAGCACTAAAAACTGAAAGATAACAGCTGCTTGCCTGCAACTAAACTCAAGAAAGGCTACAAGGTAAAAAGAGGAAGAACCGGAATTTCTTTTTTAAGTAAGTTTGAAACTCAGCAATATGTGACTAGCTATGTGACTTTGGGCAAGTCACTCTCCCTCTCCGAATTTAGTTAGGCAGAGATGATAGTACTTACCTCACAAAGCTCTTGGAAAAGCAAGCAAAAAATAGTGGCCAACCATGCTCCGTGAGCTGTGAGATGCTATACATATGTGAGGTATTGTTATCACCCAGAGCAGCAGCTGCTGCTATAGCAGTAGTGATCAAAATAGCAGTGATAAAACAAGGTAATACTCCTTAGTGGAACATTTTATATTTTGCCCACAGTAATGGATGCTCTCTGATTTAACACTGCTTCCTAAGTATCAGACATGAGGCTGCATCAAGATCCAATCAGGGACAGAAATCACACCAGTTACTCAGACAGAGAAAAATTATTATAAAGAATTGCTATCTTGATATAACAGTATTAACTCAGTAACTGAGGTAGCAACTGCAGGAAGCATCTACTGCTCTAAGGTGAACAACATTCATAACTTGCCTAGGACTGAAGAGGTTGCCAGGATACTGGAATTTCAGTTCTCTAAAACCTAGAAAGTCCCAGGAAAACCAGATGAGTTGGTCACCCTATTCAATCCCTAGAGATGGCAGAACACTGGGAAGATATTGGAATTGTTAAAACTTCAGAAGATTGGAGGAGGAGGCCTTCAGAGATGGGACCTAGACCTCTGAGGAGCAGGTGGCAACTGGCTGGTGTCGATGGCTTCATGGAGTTTCCCCAGTGAGGTTGGTTCTGTGAATGCTGGAAAACCTACCAAGTGTATTCAGCTGCTGCTATGGGAATGAGCTGGCTCTGCTAAGGTGAGAAAGCATTGCCAGGGTACTGCACAGAACAGTAAGGAAACAGGAAGAAGCAAATTCCTTCACCCTCTTCTGCCCCCTACTGGCAAAGCTTAACAAGGAACCAGTGGGCAAGGCAGAAATGTGGTTTGCAGAGACCCAGCCCCAGCATCACCGAACAGAGTTCAGGATGTTGGGTTGGAGCTGAGAGATAATAGCTTTATAACTGGCACAGTTAGCAAACACATGTAGGGAAGAAAATATCTATGGTAAAGGATTTAATCAAAGAACTTGCCTTTTTAGAAATTTTTCCCAAACTCCTGAATTCGGTCTACCTAGGAACTCAGAAAGAAGGCAATTCATGCAAAATGCTCTTCTCTCAGCTCCTGCCCTCTGTCCCAAATGACAGTCGGGTCATTTCTCTCCCCTCCCACCATTGTGGCACCCACCAAGGAACAATCTAGGGTGCTAGCAGTCACAGCAGCAGCCCTGACTCTTGGTCATGTGTCCTGGCCTTCTTCCAAGGAGCCATGTAGTCTGCTTTGCAAACTTTTAGACAGCTGAGCTGAGAGGAGCATTAGGCAGCTTTAAAAATTGATATAGTTCATTATTCTTTTATGAGCCAATGCAAATCCAACAGCACAAGGCCAAAGGCATGCACATGGGAGCGGCTATATCACTCTGCCCCATTCCTTGCAGATTTGACTCCCTAAAAGAGGACAAAGAGAGGGCCCAACAAATACCAGACACCACTCACCACCAGAGGAGGCACACTAGACAATAGTAACAAATGCGTGCCCCATTCTTCTGGCTCAGGACAGACAGCAGCAGCCCCCTCATCCTCCTCACCCTGCACCACCCCTACATACACCCCCACCTTTGGTCCAGCAATGGGAGATGAGACAAATAGCCCATAGGTGCAACTCCCATCTCCATCTCTGCTGCCCTGACAGATGGAAAACCTTGTTCCAGGGGTTTCTGTTCACATCTTTCCCAATTTGCACATTATTTGGCCTTATTTTCTCCTTTCCCTGTTTCTGCCCTCTATTCTTCCCTTTTTCCATCTCTTCTATTTTCCTTACTATTTGCTTCATCTCTTTGTCTGTCCATCTTTCCCTTGCTCCCGGGTCCATCTTCCCTCATTCTGTTTGTCTTTTTTCTTTATGTTTGTACATATATCTGTTTACATGTGCGTGTGTGTGTGTTTGTGTGTGAGTGTGTGTTTGAGTGTCCCTGATGGC
Source organism: Homo sapiens (assembly GCF_000001405.40). Classification (NCBI taxonomy): domain Eukaryota; kingdom Metazoa; phylum Chordata; class Mammalia; order Primates; family Hominidae; genus Homo; species Homo sapiens. The sequence goes on along the minus strand of NC_000003.12, from coordinate 34,105,834 downwards.
TTTCTGTCTCCTATGTCCTCTGTGCCTCTCCTCGGTCACCACTTCCAGCTCCAATTTTTCTGGGTAAAAGAAGAGCAAAGTGTTTCTGTGCTCTGGGGAGGGGAGTACTCAACTTTGTCCCCTTTCTGCCTCTGCCAACGCAAAGAGGGAGCTGGGGCAAAGATTAGTTCAATTCAAGATACAAATATTGAGTCCAAGCCATGTGCCAAACAATGAACCACAGATGCATGGTTCAGCTCAGTGCTTGTTTATTAAGATGCCAGGCCACATGCTCATCACCAGGGACTCAAGGAAGAATCAGATGGAGTATATGTGCCACAGACCCCATGGTCTGGTGAGGGGAGCAGACCTGTGAAAGATGCTACATTGAAGACATCTAAATCTTGCTGGGGAAGGGGAAAGAAGTCAGTCAAGAAAGGCTTCTTGGAGAAGGTGATGCTAAATCTCGAAGAATGTGTACATGTTAACTAGATGGAGAAGTGAGAGAAGGGCATCCGAGGTGGAAGGCATATCATGAGCAAGAGCATGGAAGAAAAACAAAAGAGCATGAGGTATACAGAGACCCACAGGCAGTGCAGGGCACTAGAGCACAAAGACTGATGGGAGTGAAGGGAGAAGGGGCTGGATGGCCAGCAAATACTTGGGTCATGCAGAGTCTTATGAGCCAGGCTGTAGAGGATGCTGCCAGCACCCCCCCCCTTCTCCTGGCCCATTTTCTCTCAGCACTCACTATTCTTCCCAAATTCATCTGCCACTTACTGCCTGAAGGCATTCTCTGGCCACTGGAGCTGCTCAGGCCCTCTGCAGGGCAGATCAGAGTGACAGGTAATTAACACTTCTGGGAACACACTCAAGCAATGACCAATGGGAGTTTTTATGGGGGAAACCTGGGTTACCCTTTGGGTAACATCACTGAGGCACGTTCTAAACTGCCTCTCAGAGGCACTCCTCAGGAATAAGCTCCTATTGCCCCTGTGATATTCTGTCACCAGCACACCCTATATTGGCTGCCTTTCCTTCCCTATCTCACATACCCACCCCCTCTCAAGTTTCCTTCATCTCCCAAATAAGCTACTTGCACTTGGTTCTTTGTCTTAGGGTCTGCTTCGGGTACAACCCGACCTAAGACTCAGGCTAATGCAGCGCCTTACAGGAATGAGGGAGCCCATGAACACCTAAGTAGAGGAGTGGCACAGTAAAATCTATATTTTAGAAGGACACTCTGGTGGTTCGTTTGGAGAACAGATATGAGGTTCAAGACAGAGGACAATGTAAAAGTCCAATACAGTCTAGGATAGAGATGGGGAGAGCTCAGTGGGATGATGATAGCAGAGGTAAAGAGCAAGGGTCAGGTTCAGAAACACAGAGAAAGAGAGGGGTTTAGGATCAACAAGTTGCAATCCCTTCCCCTAATGTGTCAACAGAGTCTCAGAATTTAGTGTAATGGAAACCAAGAAAAATGTGAGGTCCAGCACCAAGAGCCTCAGAACAAGTTGCCTAACCTAGAAAAAGGGTCCAGGAGGAGGTATCAAAGGCATCTTAAGGATGATAATGCCCAGGATGAGTTGTGAAGAATGAGTAAGCGTTAGGCTGGCAAGAAAGTAGGAAAGGGATTTTAGGAAGGAGAAAGTGTGACTGTTAAGGAAACAGGAATAGTCAAGGAGGTTGGGGTATAGAATGAAGCGGGAAGCCCCTAAAATGGGCATGCAGCAAATACCCCAGAAGCCCCCTTCTCTTACTTCTGGTGTTCTTCCTCTTCCTGAGTCCAAGCCTGCACTAGATTCTACATGGGACCAGGCCCTGTCTTGCAGGTTGAGTGCCAGGAACCCACAGGCAAGACCCCCAGAGAGGCCCAAGAAACTCCACCAGCCTTGTGTGAGTAGATGCATACCTGGGCCGTGGTGCTGAGTCCTCCCCACTTCTGAGTCCACTGTCTATCTGGTGGATCCCACTCCATCCCCCAGCCTACTGGGGCACAGGTGTACTTCACACAGCTTCTGATGGAGATGAGGAAGAAAATCCAAAAGGGAAACCCAAACAGTCCAAAATATTCAAGCAAACACATAAAACACTGTCCACCAAACCTTCCCTTACAGCTAAAATAGAGCAACACTAATTTATTGATTTGTCTCCCCAGTTTCTCTGCTCCACTTCTGTGGAAGTGGTAATGAACAAAAGAGGGCTAGGAAAGGGGAAAGCAGGGAAAACAGTAGGTGTCAGATAAGATAAGAGTGCAGAAATCACCCCCTAAAGGAAACTCCTCAGGGAGCACAATTAGTTTATCTTCCGCCTTCTTTTGATGTTCTACCAAATGGCTCTTCATGCTTTCACCAGCATTTGAAGAAGACTTGCTTCTGAGAAAGGAAGGAATCACCATCTGTGGACAGCTTAGCTGTTGTCCCTGAAAAGTGTCAACTCTGCAAAGCAGGTGTTATTATTCCTGTTTTACAGATGAGGAAACAGCCTCAGAAAGGTTCAAGAACGTGTCTGAGGCCACTCAACGTGTCAGGAGCAATCAGAATTCAAACTCAGATCTGACTGACTCAGTTATTCAATACTGTTTTTTACCTATAGGTAATTTACAAGAATAAATTTGATTTGCTGTGGGTTTGGGACATTCTTCACCATCTTTCTCACCCTCGGTTTAAAACATTGTTTAGTGGACATTTACAATTTTTAAAAAGTCTTTTGCTTTTAAAAATAAATTTTGTGAAGCACATCAAGAGGCATTCCTCACTTTATAAGAACAAAAAATCAGGTAGGGGTGTTTATTTAGATACATAGCTATATCTCCTAATGTCCTCCAAGAACAGGAATCCTCTAGAAATTTGTTCTAAATCCTTCGTTCTTCTCCTGATAGTATTCTAGGAGAAGTGTGATCTTTGAAGTCAGACGTGGTTAAGATCTTGGCTCCACTGCTTAATAACTATGTGAGACATTGAACAAATCACTTGCCCACTCTGAACCTCACCATCCTTGTGTGTAAATTTAGTGCCTCATACAGTTTGTTATGAGGATTAAATAAAATGACATCTTTATGGTGCCTGGAATATACATGAAAATCCTTAATCCCTTCCTGTTTTCTCCCTTCCACACAATTCTACCCTCCCTGGAAAATGTCACCACTTCCATGAGCCCACAACCTCAAAACAAGGATGACATATCTCTTTATTTGTTTTTCCATGAATTTGAGCTCGCTCTTCACTCAATCCTGCTTTACTCTGTGCCTAAATGTGTTTAAGGTGCATTCCCTTAAGTTCTATTTGAATTACATAATCTTGGGTAGCAGAAAATAAAAGCATATGTCAGCCTTATGTAAGGGGATTCCCCCTTGCAGAAATTGTTTGCATCGCCAAGGGACGCACAAAAGTATACGGTTCAGGAAATAAGCATGCTTGGCTTAAAATAGAAAATGAGTCATATAATTCTGCATCAAACAGTGAAGTTTAATTTGGGAATTGATTAAAACCTGCTTGACTAAGTCATATAAAGAAGTTGGGTCACTGAGATGCAACAATACTGAAATTAGGTCAATTAATAACCTTATAGTGGCATTGAAGTGTTCAAGTGAAAGGAACAATTGCACATCTCTCACTTTAAATCAAAAACTAGAAATAATTAAGCTTAGGAGGAAGGTACATCGAAAGCTAAGACAGGCCAAAAGCAAGGGCTTTTATACCAAACAGACAAGTTGTGAATGGACAGGAAAAGTTCTTGAAGAAAATTAAAGTTGTTACTCCGGTGAACACATGAATGACAAGAAAGTAAAACAGACTTATTGTTGATAGAGAGAAAGTTTTAGTAGTCTGGCTAGGTCAAATCAGCCACAACAATCCTTTAAGCCAAATCCTAATCTCCAGCACGGCCCTAACTCTCTTCAATTCTATGAAGGATGAGAGGGGAGAGGAAACTGCAGAAGAAATCTTTGAAGCTAGAAGAGGTTGGTTCATGAGGCTTAAGGAAAGAAGCCATCTTCATAACATAAAAGTCAAGGTGAAGCAGCAAGTGCTGATGTGAAAGCTGCAGCCAGTAATCCAGAAGATCTAGCTAAGACAATTCATACAGGTACTACACTGAACAACAGATTTTCAATGTAGATGGAACAGTTTTCTATTGGAAGAAGATGCCATCTAGTACTTTCATAGCTAGAGAGGAAATGTCAATGCCTGGCTTCAAAGTTTCAAAGGCTAGGCTGACCCTCTTGTTAGGGGTTGGTGAAGCTGGTGACTTTAAGTTGGAGCCAATGTTCATTTACCATTCTGAAAATCCTAGGGCCCTTAAGAGTTATGCTAAATCTACTCTTTCTGTGCTCTATGAATGGAAAAAAAAAAGCCTGGATGACAACACATCTGTTTACAGCAGGGTTTACTGAAGATTTTAAGCCCACTGTTGAGACTTACTGCTTAGGGGAAAAAAAAAAGATTCCTTTCAAAATATTACTGCTGATTGACAATGCACCTGCTCACCTAAGAGCTCTGATGAAGATATAAAAGATTAATATTGCTTTCATGCCTGCTAACACAACATTTGTTCTGCAGTCCATAAACCAAAGAGTAATTTCAAATTTCAAGTCTTATCATTTAAGAAATACATTTTGTGAGGCTATCACTGCCATAGTGATTCCTCTGATGGATCTGGGCAAAGTAAATCAAAAACCTTCTGGAAAGGATTGACCATTCTAGATGCCATTAAGAACATTCTTGATTAATAAGAAGAGGTCAAAATAACATTAACAGGAGTTTGGAATAAGTTCATTCCAGCTTTCATGGATGACTTTGAGGGGTTCAAGACTTCAGTGGAGGAAGTAACTGTAGTTGTGTTTGAATTAGCAAGAGAACTAGAATCTGAAGTAGACCCTAAGAATATGACCAAATTGCTGCAATCTCATGATAAAACTTGAATGGATGAGCTTTGCTTCTTATGTTTGAACAAAGAAAATAGTTTGAGATAGAATCTTCTCCTGGTGAAGATTATGTGAACATTATTGAAATGACAACAAAGCATTTAGAATATTATATAAACTTAGTTAATGCAGCAGAGGGGTTTGAGAAGATTGACTGCAATTTTGAAAGAAGTTCTACTATGGATGAAATGCTATCAAACAGCATTGCACACTACAGAAAACTATTTTGAGAAAGAGTCAATCTATGTGGCAAACTTCATTGCTGTTCTGTTTCAAGAAATTAACACAGCCTCCCCAACCTTCAGCAAGCAGCAACCTGATGACTCAGCAGCTACCAACATCGAGGCAAGACCCTCTACCATCAAGATGATCATGACTTGCTGAAGGCTCAGATGATCATTAGCATTTCTTAGCAATAAAGTGTTTTTTAATTCAGATATTTACATTGCTTTTTAGACATAATGCTATTGCACACTTAATAGAGTACAGTATAGTGTAAACATAACTTTTATATGCACTGGAAAGCCAAAAATTTTGTGTGACTCACATTATTGCAATATTTGCTTTATTGCAATGGTCTGTAACTGAACCCACAGTATCTCCAAAATATACCTGTATTTGAAAATAATGTCTTTCTTAGTTGTTTATTGCAATGTTCTACAAATGTTATTAAGCAGGATTTGTTAATTAAGCTTTCTAATCTTTTAATTTTAATTTTTTATTATACTTTAAGTTTTAGGGTACATGTGCACAACGTGCAGGTTAGTTACATATGTATACATGTGCCATGTTGCTGTGCTGCACCCGTTAACTCATCATTTAACATTAGGTATATCTCCTAATGTTATCCCTCCCCCCTCCCTCCACCAAACAACAGGCCCCAGTGTGTGATGGTCCCCTTTCTGTGTCCATGTGTTCTCATTGTTCAATTCCCACCTATGAGTGAAAACATGTGGTGTTTGGTTTTTTGTCCTTGTCATAGTTTGCTGAGAATGATGGTTTCCAGCTTCATCCATGTCCCTACAAAAGACATGAACTCATCCTTTTTTATGGCTGCATAGTATTCCATGGTGTATATATGCCACATTTTCTTAATCCAGTCTATCATTGTTGGACATTTCAGTTGGTTCCAAGTCTTTGCTATTGTGAATAGTGCCGCAGTAAACATGTGTGCATGTGTCTTTATAGCTGCATGATTTATAATCCTTTGGGTATATACCCAGTAATGGGATGGCTGAGTCAAATGGTATTTCTAATTCTAGATCCTTGAGGAATCGCCACACTGACTTCCACAATGGTTGAACTAGTTTACAGTCCCAGCAACAGTGTAAAAGTGTTCCTATTTCTCCACATCCTCTCCAGCACCTGTTGTTTCCTGACTTTTTAATGATTGCCATTCTAACTGGTGTGGGATGGTATCTCATTGTGGTCTTGATTTGCATTTCCCTGATGGCCAGTGATGATGAGCACTTTTTCATGTGTCTGTTGGCTGCATAAATGTCTTCTTTTGAGAAGTGTCTGTTCATACCATTCGCCCACTTTTTGATGGGGTTGTTTGTTTTTTTCTTGTAAATTTGTTTGAGTTCATTGTAGATTCTGGATATTAGCCCTTCGTCAGATGAGTAGATTGCAAAAATTTTCTCCCCTTCTGTAGGTTGCCTGTTCACTCTGATGGTAGTTTCCTTTGCTGTGCAGAAGCTCTTTAGTTTAATTAGATCCCATTTGTCAATTTTGGGTTTTGTTGCCATTGCTTTTGGTGTTTTAGACATGAAGTCCTTGCACATGCCTATGTCCTGAATGGTATTGCCTAGGTTTTCTTCTAGGGTTTTTATGGTTTTAGGTCTAACATTTAAGTCTTTAATCCATCTTGAATTAATTTTTGTCTAAGGTGTAAGGAAGGGATCCAGTTTTAGCTTTCTACATATGGCTAGCCAGTTTTCCCAGCACCATTTATTAAATAGGGAATCCTTTCCCCATTTCTTCTTTTTGTCAAGTTTGTCAAAGATCAGATAGCTGTAGATATGCGGCATTATTTCTGAGGGCTCTGTTCTGTTCCACTGGTCTATATCTCTGTTTTGGTATCAGTACCATGCTGTTTTGGTTACAGTAGCCTTGCAGTATAGTTTGAAGTCAGGTAGCGTGATGCCTCCAGCTTTCTTCTTTTGGCTTAGGATTGACTTGGCAATGCAGGCTCTTTTTTGGTTCCATATGAACTTTAAAGCAGTTTTTTCCAATTCTGTGAAAAAAGTCATTGGTAGCTTGATGGGGATGGCATTGAATCTATAATTACCTTGGGCAGTATGGTCATTTTCATGATATTGATTCTTCCTACCCATGAGCATGGAATGTTCTTCCATTTCTTTGTATCCTCTTTTATTTCATTGAGCAGTGGTTTCTAGTTCTCCTTAAGGAGGTCCTTCACATCCCTTGTAAATTGGATTCCTAGGTATTTTATTCTCTTTGAAGCAATTGTGAATGGGAGTTCACTCATGATTTGGCTCTCTGTTTGTCTGTTATTGGTGTATAAGAATGCTTGTGATTTTTACACATTGATTTTGTATCCTGAGACTTTGCTGAAGTTGCTTATCAGCTTAAGGAGATTTTGGGCTGAGACAATGGGGTTTTCTAGATAAACAATCATGTCATCTGCAAACAGGGACAATTTGACTTCCTCTTTTCCTAATTGAATACCCTTTATTTCCTTCTCCTGACTGATTGCCCTGGGCAGAACTTCCAACACTATGTTGAATAGGAGTGGTGAGAGAGGGCATCCCTGTCTTGTGCCAGTTTTCAAAGGGAATGCTTCCAGTTTTTGCCCAGTCAGTATGATACTGGCTGTGGGTTTGTCATAGATAGCTCTAATTATTTTGAGATATGTCCCATCAATACCTAATTTATTGAGAGTTTTTAGCATGAAGGGTTGTTGAATTTTGTCAAAGGCCTTTTCTGCATCTATTGAGATAATCATATAGTTTTTGTCATAGGTTCTGTTTATATGCTGGATTACATTTATTGATTTGTGTATATTGAACCAGCCTTGCATCCCAGGGATGAAGCCCACTTGATCATGGTGGATAAGTTTTTCCTGTGCTGCTGGATTCGGTTTGCCAGTATCTTATTGAGGATTTTTGCATCGATGTTCATCAGGGATATTGGTCTAAAATTCTCTTTTTTTGTTGTATCTCTGCCAGGCTTTGGTATCAGGATGATGCTGGCCTCATAAAATGAGTTAGGGAGGATTCCTTCTTTTTATATTGATTGGAATAGTTTCAGAAGGAATGGTACCAGCTCCTCCTTGTACCTTTGGTAGAATCCAGCTGTGAATCCATCTGGTCCTGGACTCTTTTTGATTGGTAAGCTATTAATTATTGCCTCAATTTCAGAGCCTGTTATTGGTCTATTCAGAGATTCAACTTCTTCCTGGTTTAGTCTTGGGAGGGTGTATGTGTCGAGGAATTTATCCATTTCTTCTAGATTTTCTAGTTTATTTGCGTAGAGGTGTTTATAGTATTCTCTTATGGTAGTTTGTATTTCTGTGGGATTGGTGGTGATATCCCCTTTACCATTTTTTATTGCGTCTATTTGATTATTCTCTCTTTTCTTCTTTATTAGTCTTGCTAGCAGTCTATCAATTTTGTTGATCCTTTCAAAAAACCAGCTCCTGCATTCACTGATTTTTTGAAGGGATTTTTATGTCTCTATTTCTTTCAGTTCTACTCTGATCTTAGTTATTTCTTGCCTTCTGCTAGCTTTTGAATGTGTTTGCTCTTGCTTTTCTAGTTCTTTTAATTGTGATGTTAGGGTGTCAATTTTGGATCTTTCCTGCTTTCTCTTGTGGGCATTTAGTGCTATAAATTTCCCTGTACACACTGCTTTGAATATGTCCCAGAGATTCTGGTATGTTGTGTCTTTGTTCTCATTGGTTTCAAAGAACATCTTTATTTCTGCCTTCATTTCATTATACACCCAGTAGTCATTCAGGAGCAGGTTGTTTAGTTTCCATGTAGTTGAGTGGTTTTGAGTGAGTTTCTTAATCCTGATTTCTAGTTTGATTGCACTGTGGTCTGAGAGACAGTTTGTTATAATTTCTGTTCTTTTACATTTGCTGAGGAGTGCTTTACTTCCAACTATGTGATCAATTTTGGAATAGGTGTGGTGTGGTGCTGAGAAGACTGTATATTCTGTTGATTTGGGGTGGAGAGTTCTGCAGATGTCTATCAGGTCTGCTTGGGGCAGAGCTGAGTTCAATTCCTGGATATCCTTGTTAACTTTCTGTCTGGTTGATCTGTCTAATGTTGACAGTGGGGTGCTAAAGTCTCCTATTATTATTGTGTGGGAGTCTAAGTCTCTTTGTATGTCTCTAAGGACTTGCTTTATGAATCTGGATGCTCCTGTATTGGGTGCATATATATTTAGGATAGTTAGCTCTTGTTGTTGAATTGATCCCTTTACCATTATGTAATGATCTTCTTTGTCTCTTTTGATCTTTGTTGGTTTAAAGTCTGTTTTATCAGAGACTAGGATTGCAACCCCTGCTTCTTTTTGTTTTCCATTTGTTTGATAGATCTTCCTCTATCCCTTTATTTTGAGCCTATGTGTGTCTCTGCACGTGAGATGGGTTTCCTGAATACAGCACACTGATTGGTCTTGACTCTTTAACCAATTTGCCAGTCTGTGTCTTTTAATTGGAGCATTTAGCCCATTTACATTTAAGGTTAATATTGTTATGTGTGAATTTGATCCTGTCATTATGATGTTAGCTGGTTATTTTGCTCATTAGTTGATGCAGTTTCTTCCTAGCATTGACGGTCTTTACAATTTGGCATGTTTTTGCAGTGGTGGGTGCCAGTTGTTCCTTTCCATGTTTAGTGCTTCCTTCAGGAGCTCTTGTAGGGGAAGCCTAGTGGTGACAAAATCTCTCAGCATTTGCTTGTCTGTAAAGTATTTTATTTCTCCTTCACTTATGAAGCTTCATTTGGCTGGACATGGAATTCTGGCTTGAAAATTCTTTTCTTTAAGAATGTTGAATATTGGACCCCACTCTCTTCTGGCTTGCAGAGTTTCTGCTGAGAGATCAGCTGATAGTCTGATGGGCTTCCCTTTGTGGGTAACCCAACCTTTCTCTCTGGCTGCCCTTAACATTTTTTCCTTCATTTCAACTTTGGTGAATCTGAAAATTATGTGTCTTGGAGTTGCTCTTCTCGAGGAGTATCTTTGTGGCATTCTCTGTATTTCCTGAATTTGAATGTTGGCCTGCCTTGCTAGATTGGGGAAGTTCTCCTGGATAATATCCTGCAGAGTGTTTTCCAACTTAGTTCCATTCTCCCTGTCACTTTCAGGTACACCAGTCAGATGTAGATTTGGTCTTTTCACATAGTGCCATATTTCTTGGAGACTTTGTTAGTTTCTTTTTATTCTTTTCTCTCTAAACTTCTCTTCTCGCTTCAGTTCATTCATTTGATCTTCCATCACTGATACCCTTTCTTCCAGTTGATCGAATTGGCTACTGAGGCTTGTGTGTTCATCACATAGTTCTCATGCGGTGGTTTTCAGCTCCATCAGGTCCTTTAAGGACTTCTCTGCATCGGTTATTCTAGTTAGCCATTTGTCTAATCCTTTTTCAAGGTTTTTAACTTCTTTGCCATGGGTTCGAACTTCCTCCTTTAGCTCAGAGTAGTTTGATCATCTGAAGCCTTCTTCTCTCAACTCATCAAAGTCGTTCTCCATCCAGCTTTGTTCCATTGCTGGTGAGGAGCTGTGTTCCTTTGGAGGAGGAGAGGTGCTCTGATTTTTAGAGTTTCCAGTTTTTCTGCTCTGTTTTCTTCCCCATCTTTGTGGTTTTATCTACCTTTGGTCTTTGATGACGGTGAAGTACAGATGGGGTTTTGGTGTGGATGTCCTTTCTGTTTGTTAGTTTTCCTTCTAATAGTCAAGACCCTCAGCTGCAGGTCTGTTGGAGTTTGCTAGAGGTCCACTCCAGATGCTGTTTGCCTGGGTATCACCAGCGGAGGCTGCAGAATAGTGGTTATTGGTGAACAGCAAATGTTGCTGTCTGATTGTTCCTCTGGAAGTTTTGTCTCAGAGGAGTACCCAGCCGTGTGTGGTGTCAGTCTGCCCCTACTGGGGGATGCCTCCCAGTTAGGCTACTCGGGGGTCAGGGACCCACTTGAGGAGGCAGTCTGTCCATTCTCAGATCTCCAGCTGCATGCTGGGAGAACCACTACCCTCTTCAAAGCTGTCAGACAGGGACATTTAAGTCTGCAGAGGTTTCTGCTGCCTTTTGTTTGGCTATGCCCTGTCCCCAGAGATGGAGTCTACAGAGGCAGGCAGGCCTCCTTGAGCTGTGGTGGGCACCACCCAGTTCGAGCTTCCCAGCTGGTTTGTTTACCTACTCAAGCCTCGGCAATGGCTGCTGCCCCTCCCCCAGCCTCGCTGCCGCCTTGCAGTTTGATTTCAGACTGCTGTGCTAGTAATGAGCGAGGCTCCATGGGCATAGGACCCTCCGAGCCACACACGGGATATAATCTCCTGGTGTGCCATTTGCTAAGACCATTGGAAAAGCACAGTATTAGTGTGGGAGTGACCCGATTTTCCAGCTGCCGTCTGTCACCCCTTTCTTTGACTAGGAAAGGGAATTCCCTGACCCCTTGCACTTCCTGGGTGAGGCAATGCCTCGCCCTGCTTCAGTTCATGCTTGGTGCACTGCCCTCACTGTCCTGCACCCATTTTCTGACACTCCCCAGTGAGATGAACCCGGTACCTCAGTTGGAAATGCAGAAATCACCCATCTTCCATGTCGCTCACGCTGGGAGCTGTAGACTGGAGCTGTTCCTATTCGGCCATCTGGCCAGTATCTAAAAAATACTCTCTAATCTTTTAATTCTTAGTTTTTTGTCATCTTGTTCTATATTTACTATGCAACATGTGTTGTCTCCCTTTATGACAATTGATTAGTCTAACTGATTAATATCTAGTATATATGTTTTAGAAACACTGCAACTCAACAAGACACACAACTGCATTAAAAAGTAAGTGAACTATTTCAGTAAACATTTCCCCAAGGAAGATACACAAATGGCCTGTAAGCACATAAAAAGGCACTCAAATACACCAATTATTTTAAAAATGCAAATCAAAACTACAATGAGATACTACTTCACATGAATTAGGATGTCTATTGTTTTAAAAAAAAAGTGGAAAATAGTTAAGTATTGGTGAGAATGTGAAGAAATTGGAACACTTGCGCCCTACTGATGAGAATGTAAAATGATAAAGTCACTGCACAATACAGTATAGTGGTTACCAAAAAAATTAAACATTAAATTATCATATGATCCAGAAATTCCACCCCTAAGTATATATTCAAAAGAAATGAAACCAGAGACTTGAACAGATATTTGTACACCAATGTTCATAGCAGCATTATTCACAATACCCAAAAATGGAAACAACTCAAATGTCTATCAATGAATGAACAGATAAACAAAATGTGTCATATACATACAAAGCAATATAGTTCAGCCTAAAAAAGAATAAAATTCTGATACATGCTACAATACAAATGAACCTTAAAAACGTTTTGCTAAGTGAAATAAGCCAGGCATGAAAGGAAAAATAGTATATGATGTCACTTAAATGAATTTCCTAGAATACTTGACTCATAGAGACAGAAAGTAGAATAGTAGTTACTGGCTAGGCATAGTTGCTCGCGCCCATAATCCCAACACTTTGGGAGGCTAAGCTGGGCAGATTGCTTGAGCCCACGAATTCAAGACCAGCCTGGACAACGTGAAGAAACCCTGTCTCTACAAAAAAAACAAAAAAAACAAAAAATTAGCCAGGCATGGGGGCACATGCCTGTAGTTCTAGTTACCTGGGAGGCTGAGGCAGAACAATCACTTAAGCCTGGGAAGGTCAAGGCTGCAGTGAACCATGATTACACCACTACACTCCAGCCTGAGTAACAAGGTAAGACCTTGTCTAAAAGCCGAGGCGGGCGGATCACAAGGTCAGGAGATTGAGACCATCCTGGCTAACACGGTGAAACCCCATCTCTACTAAAAATACAAAAAATTAGCTGGGCGCGGTGGTGGGTGCCTGTAGTCCCAGCTACTCAGGAGGCTGAGGCAGGAGAATGGCATGAACCCAGGAGGCGGAGCTTGCAGTGAACAGAGATCGCACCACTGCACTCCTGCCTGGGCGACAGAGCAAGACTCCATCTCAGAAAAAAAAAAAAAAAAATAGAACAGTAGTTACCAGGCATTGGAGGCAGTAGGAAATGAGGAGTGGCCTTATGTCTTATGGGTACAGACTTTTACTTTGAGATGATGAAAAAATTTCCAAATATGAATAGAGATGATGGTTGCACAACAATGTGAATGTTCTTAATGCCACTGAATTGTACATTTGAAAACAATTAAAATGATAAGTTTTATGTTACATGCACTTTACAAGAATTAAAACAAAGTATAATTTTAAAAAAAAAAAGTAGAGTCAAAGAAAATGAAATTCTCAGTAAAGGCACATTGTCCTTGGGTAAAAATGTGGTGGGAATGCTGGTCTCGCTTCTGTGGAGCAGAGGATTGTTTGCACTCTAAGAGGGCTGAGCCCCTAACAAGGGTGGGACTGCGGCTGGATACATGCAACTTGAGCAAAAAAAAAAAAGGCTTTGAGACCCCATTAAAACATAACTTCCCCCCAAACTGGCCAAAAATGAGGAATCTGGCAGCTTGCAGACTATAATCCATCAGGTCACTACATCGCCACCATGCTAACTATACCACTTTCCCAAACCTTGGGAACCCCTAAATTGAGCCAAGATTAGGAAATTAGGAAGAGTAGTGATTGGAAGTATTTCTACTGCTCTCTTTTTACCTGCACTACATAAATAAACAGGCTTTTTTCCTCTTCTCAGCTGAAGTCAGGTGGACCAGGCTGTCAATGGGAGCACATCTGAGACTGCGTGTAACTTAAGCCAACCTCAAGGTTGTTCCCCATCCTCTCCTGCACCAACTAAGCCCCTGTCAGTGGGCATCTCTGACTGTATGTCAAAGGCTGCTAAGCCTATCCCTCAAAGTGCAAACAAAGAAAAGGCTAGGAAAAGCCAACATCAAGAACAAGAAAAATGCCACTTTGGGAACCAGGGAGACCTGAGTTCAAGTCTCATTCTTGGAACCTCCTGGCTTGTAATCTTAGGCAAGTCACTTTGCCTTACAGTGATGAACTGTCCCTATTTCCCTGGACAAAGGGAATTCCCAGAATGCAGAAAAGCCCTAGGAAAACCAGGTTGCAATCAGCCTGCTGAATTTCTCTCAGTTTGCATTTGTCATCTGTAAACATGTAAGAAGACTTAACATGGATGGGGCTTGTGAAGACTAGAGGCCTTTTTAGTGCAGAAACACTCTGTAAATCCTAATTACTCTATCCTAGAGGCTCTTCTTCTTTTTTTTTTTAAATCAATTATGAGAGAAAGGAAAATAAGAAAGGAAAGCAAGAGAGATGGTGGAAGAAAGGAGGAATGGTGGGGAAAAGAGAGGGCAGAGGCACAGCCAACACCACCACCACAGAGTCCATCATTGTTAGGCCCTTTGAAACCCTGCAGGAATGTGGCATGGGCATTATGAGGATTTGTGAGGCTCATGGCAGAGTGACAGAATGAAAATGGATCATTCTCTGGATACTCAGCTCAGAAATCACCAGAAGCGATGCTCAGGGCTCTGTCTTTTCTGTGGCCTTTTCATCCTGCTCCCTAAATACTGAGAGGCTTCCCACTCTCCAGTGCCTGCTCCAGAGAATTGGCAGGAAGGCAAGTGCTGCATCCTGTCGGTTTTGCCAAACCTCCTGGAGTGGGAACCATTACAATGACACATCTAAGTCCAGGTGTCCTTGCAGATGACATCCACACAGCACGTTCTTGCTCCCTGCCCGTACCTGACAGGCATAAGTTTTTGCTGTAACTGCTTAATCTCCAGGCACTGTCAAGTGGGGATTTCAGCTGCTTCCTTTTGAAAGAGACTTAATTGTTGCTGCTACCTGAGTGTCAAGTGCATCTCCCTGAGCTGAAGGGATATGGGGGAAACTGCACTTGTTCAAACATAAAACAGGTTCCAGGCAAGTGAGGTGTCTCAACAGGGTCTCGGCAGTCAGAAAGGCAGTTTTTATAGTCCCCTCCAAGGGATGAAGTGGGCCCCCAACTTGGGTTCTGGATGCCAGGAATTTCAAGGAAAATGCTAGCAGGGATCTGGGGAAGATTACCAGAGACCAGAAGTCAAGAAACCTGAGTTCCAGTTCTGCCTCCATTTCCTACATGGCTATGTAACCTTGAATGAGTCACTGAAATCTCTGCAAAGGTGTGTCATCTATAAAATTAAGATAAGAGGTGGCAGCCAAGATGACCGAATAGGAACAGCTCTGGTCTACAGCTCCCAGCGTGAGTGACGCAGAAGACGGGTGATTTCTGCATTTCCATCTGAGGTACCGGGTTCATCTCACTAGGGAGTGCCAGACAGTGGGCGCAGGGCAGTGGGTGAAGCACACCATGTGTGACCCGAAGCAGGGCGAGGCATTGCCTCACTCGGGAAGCACAAGGGGTCAGGGAGTTCCCTTTCCTAGTCAAAGAAAGGGGTGACAGATGGCACCTGGCAAATCAGGTCACTCCCACCCTAATACTGTGCTTTTCCAATGGGCTTAAAAAACGGTGCACCAGGAGATTATATCCCGCACGTGGCTCAGAGGGTCCTACACCCACGGAGTCTCACTGACTGCTAGCACAGCAGTCTGAGATCAAACTGCAAGGCGGCAGCGAGGCTGGGGGAGGGGCGCCCACCATTGCCCAGGCTTGCTTAGGTAAACAAAGCAGCAAGAAGCTTGAACTGGGTGGAGCCCACCACAGCTCAAGGAGGCCGGCCTGCCTCTGTAGGCTCCACCTCTGGGGGCAGGGCACAGACAAACAAAAAGACAGCAGTAACCTCTGCAGGCTTAAATGTCCCTATCTGACAGCGTTGAAGAGAGCAGTGGTTCTCCCAGCATGCAGCTGGAATCCGCCCGCTCCTATTCAACATAGTGTTGGAAGTTCTGGCCAGGGCAATCAGGCAGGAGAAGGAAATAAAGGGTATTCAATTAGGAAAAGAGGAAGTCAAATTGTCCCTGTTTGCAAATGACGTGATTATATATTTAGAAAACTCCATCGTCTCAGCCCAAAATCTCCTTAAGCTGATAAGCAACTTCAGCAAAGTCTCAGGATACAAAGTCAATGTGCAAAAATCACAAGCATTCTGATACACCAATAACAGACAAACAGAGAGCCAAATCATGAGTGAACTCCCATTCACAATTGCTTCAAAGAGAATAAAATACCTAGGAATCCAATTTACAAGGGATGTGAAGGACCTCTTCAAGGAGAAACACAAACCACTGCTCAATGAAATAAAAGAGGATACAAAGAAATGGAAGAACATTCCATGCTCATGGGTAGGAAGAATCAATATCATGAAAATGGCCATACTGCCCAAGGTAATTTACAGATTCAATGCCATCCCCATCAAGCTACCAATGACTTTCTTCACAGAATTGGAAAAAACTACTTTAAAGTTCATATGGATCAAAAAAGAGCCTGCATCGCCAAGGCAATCCTAAGCCAAAAGAAGAAAGCTGGAGGCATCACGCTACCTGACTTCAAACTATACTTCAAGGCTACAGTAACCAAAACAGCATGGTACTGGTACCAAAACAGAGATATAGATCAATGGAACAGAACAGAGCCCTCAGAAATTATGCCACTTATCTACAACTATCTGATCTTTGACAAACCTGACAAAAACAAGCAATGGGGGAAGGATTCCCTATTTAATAAATGGTGCTGGGAAAACTGGCTAGCCATATGGAGAAAGCTGAAACTGGATCCCTTCCTTACACCTTAGACAAAAATTAATTCAAGATGGATTAAAGACTTAAATATGAGACCTAAAACCATAAAAACCCTAGAAGAAAACCTAGGCAATACCATTCAGGACATAGGCATGGGCAAGGACTTCATGTCTAAAACACCAAAAGCAATGGCAACAAAAGCCAAAATTGACAAATAGGATCTAATTAAACTAAAGAGCTTCTGCACAGCAAAACAAACTACCAACAGAGTGAACAAGAAACCCAAAAATGGGAGAAAATTTTCGCAACCTACTCATCTGACAAAGGGCTAATATCCAGAATCTACAATGAACTCAAACAAATTTACAAGAAAAAAAACAAACAACCCCATCAAAAAGTGGGTGAAGTATATGAACAGACACTTCTCAAAAGAAGACATTTATGCAGCCAAAAAACACATGAAAAAATGCTCACCATCACTGGCCATCAGAGAAAAGCAAATCAAAACCACAATGAGATACCATCTCACACCAGTTAGAATGGCAATCATTAAAAAGTCAGGAAACAACAGGTGCTGGAGAGGATGTGGAGAAATAGGAACACTTTTACACTGTTGCTGGGACTGTAAACTAGTTCAACCATTGTGGAAATCAGTGTGGTGATTCCTCAGGGATCTAGAACTAGAAATACCATTTGACCCAGCCATCCCATTACTGGGTATATACCCAAAGGACTATAAATCATGCTGCTATAAAGACACATGCATACGTATGTTTATTGCGGCACTATTCACAGTAGCAAAGACTTCGAACCAACCCAAATGTCCAACAGTGATAGACTGGATTAAGAAAATGTGACACATATACATCATGGAATACTATGCAGCCACAAAAAATGATGAGTTCATGTCCTTTGTAGGGACATGGATGAAATTGGAAATCATCATTCTCAGTAAACTATGGCAAGGACAAAAAACCAAACACCGCATGTTCTCACTCATAGGTGGGAATTGAACAATGAGAACACATGGACACAGGAAGGGGAACATCACACTCTGGGGACTGTTGTGGGGTTGGAGGAGGGGGGAGGGATAGCATTAGGAGATATACCTAATGCTAAATGACGAGTTAATGGCTGCAGCACACCAGCATGGCACATGTATACATATGTAACTAACCTGCACATTGTGCACATGTACCCTAAAACTTAAAGTATAATAATAATAAAATAAAAATAAATAAATAATAAAAAAATAAATAAATAAAATTAAATTAAGATAAGGGTACAAATCCCCATCCTGTGTATGGTGCAGGCTTCTTAGGGGGAAGAAAGAGTATTAAAACAGCTTATAGACACTAACATGGTTCTGAAAACATTAAGGTAAGCAAAAATTGGAAGCAATCCGGTAAGAGAAGAATACATAAGAGAAGGATGAATTGTGGTATATTCATATAATGAATACTATACAGAAATTTTGAAAGAACTGCTGTAACATAAAACTACATGGATAAATTTTATAGACAAAATAATGAATCATAGAAAGCCAGATACAAAAAATGACATATTTTATTATTCCATTTACATGAAGTTCAAGAACAAGAAAACTAATCTGTGGAGATAGATATCAGAATACTGGTTATGCAGGGTAGAGGTAAGAATTGACTGGGACAAGGCACAAGAGAACCTTCTGGGGTGTTGGAAATGTTCTATTTCTTGATCTAGGTAGTAGATACATGGACATTTACATGTGTAAAAATATATAGTTGTATATTTAATATCTGGGCACTATGGTGTAATACCTCAGTTTAAAAGAAAACTATAATTTAATACAATCCCATTTGTTTATTTTTGCTTTTTTTGCCTGTGTTTTTGAGGTCTTAATCATAAAATCCTTTCCCAAACCAATGTCCTGAAGCATTTTCCCTATGTTTTCTTCTATCAGCTTTATGTTCTTGGGTCTTACATTTAGGTCTTCAATTCATTTCAAGTTTACTTTTGCAGAGGGTGAGAGGTGGGAATCTAGTTTCAGTCTTCTGCATATGGATATCCAGTTTTCCCAGCACCATTTGTTGGAGAGCCTGTCCTTTTCTCAATGAGTGTCCTTGGCACCTTTTTCAAAAAATCAGTTGGCTGTAGACATGTAAATTAATTTCTGACTTCTCTGTTCTGTTTCATTGGTTTATGTGTCTGTTTTTATGCTGGTACCATGCTGTTCTGGTTACTATAGCTTTGTGGTGCATTGTGAAGTCGGGTAGTATAATTCCTCCAGCTTTGTTCTTTTTGCTCAGGATTGCTTTGGCTATTCAGGGTCGTTGTGGTTTCATACAAATTTTAGAATTTTTTTTTCTATTTCTGTGAAGAATGTCATTGGTATTTTGACAGGGATTGCACTGAACCTGTAGGTTGCTTTAGGTCGTATGCTCATTTTAACAATATTAATTCTTCCAATCTATGAGCATGGGATGTCTTTCCATTTGTTTGTATTCTCCTCAATTTATTTCACTTATGTTTTATAGTTTTTCTTGTAGAGGTTTTACATCTCCTGATTAAACTAACTTCTAGGTGTTTTTTGTTTGTTTTTTGTTTGTTTGGTTTGGTTTGGTTTTTGTAGCTATTGTAAATGCATTGTCTTGCTGATTTCTTTTTCAGCTAATTCATTCTTCAGATATAGAAATATTACTGATTTTTGTATATTGATTTTCTATCTTGCAACTTCACTGTATTAGTTTATCAATTCTAAACTTTTTTTGGTCTTTACAATGGACTACTATTCAGCCATTAAAAAGAATCAAATTCTATCATTCACGGCAACATGATTGGAACTGGAAGACATTATGTTAAGTGAAATGAGCCAGGAACAGAAAGTTAAACACCACATGTTCTCACTCAAATGCAGAAGCTAAAAAAAGTTGATTTCATAGAAGTAAAAAGTAGAACAGAGTACACTAGAGGCTGGGAAGGGTAGAGGAAACACAGGGATATGAAGAGATTTGCTAAGGAATACAAAACTACAGCTAGATAAGGAGGAATCAATTCCAGTGTTCTATACCTCTGTAGGATGACTATAGTTAAAAATAATGTATTATACAGTTTCAAATAGCTAGAAAAAGGTTACTGAATGTTTCCAACACAAATAAATGATCCATGTTTGATGTGATGGATAAGCTAATTACCCTGATCTGATCACTATACATTACATGTATTAAAACATCACTACGGGAGGTTCCAAGATGGCCAAATAGGAATACCTCCAGTCTACAGCTCCCAACATGAGCAACGCAGAAGACGGGTGATTTCTGCATTTCCAACTGAGGTACCAGGTTCATCTC
The DNA here is from genome assembly GCF_000001405.40 of Homo sapiens. Lineage (NCBI taxonomy): Eukaryota > Metazoa > Chordata > Mammalia > Primates > Hominidae > Homo > Homo sapiens. Next base: position 34,085,737 of record NC_000003.12, on the reverse strand, counting down.
ACTGGGGTTTCTCAGACAATGGGTGCAGCCCACGGAGCATGAGCCAAAGCAGGGCGGGACATCGCCTCACCCAGGAAGTGCAAGGGGTCAGGGAATTCCCTTTCATAGCCAAAGGAAGTCATGACAGATGGTACCTGGAAAATCGGGAAACTCCCACCCTAATACTGTGCCTTTCCAACGGTCTTAGCAAATGGCACACCAGGAGATTATATCCTGTGCATGGCTTGCAGGGTCCCATACCCATGGAGCCCCACTCACTGCTAGCATAGCAGTCTGAGATCGAACTGCAAGGTGGCAGCAAGGCTGAGGGAGGGTTGTCTGCCATTGCTGAGGCTTGAGTAGGTAACCAAAGTAGCTGGGAAGCTCAAACTGCATGGAGCCCACCACAGCTCAAGGACACCTGCCTGCCTCTGTAGACTTCACCTCTGGGGGCAGGGCATAGCTGAAAAAAGGCAGCAGAAACTTCTACAGACTTAAACGTTCCTGTCTGACAGCTTTGAAGAGAGTAGTTGTTCTCCCAGCATGGAGTTTGAGATCTGAGAATGGACAGACTTCCTCCTCAAGTGGGTCCCTGACCCCTGAGTAGCCTAACTGAGAGACACCTCCCAGTAGGGGCCGACTGACACCTCATACAGCTGGCTGCCCCTCTGAGACGAAGCTTCCAAAGGAAGGATCAGGCAGCAACATTTGCAATTCTGCAATATTTGCTATACTGCAGCCTCTGCTGGTGATACCCAGGCAAACAGGGTCTGGAGTGGACCTCCAGCCAATTCCAACAGACCTGCAGCTGAGGGTCCTGACTGTTAGAAAGAAAAATAACAAACAGAAAGGACATCCACACCAAATACCCATCTGTATGTCACCATCATCGAAGACCAAAGGTAGATAAAACCACAAAGATGGGGAGAAACCAGAGCAGAAAAGCTGAAAATTCTAAAAATCAGAGTGCCTCTTCTCCTCCAAAGGAACACAGGTCCTCACCAGCAACAGAACAAAGCTGGATGGATAATGACTGACGAATTCAGAGAAGAAGGCTTCAAATGATTGGTAATAACAAACTTCTCTGAGCTAAAGGAGTATGTTCGAACCCATTGCAAAGAAGCTAAAAACCTTGAAAAAAGATTAGACGAACAGCTAACTAAATAAACAGTGTAGAGAAGACCTTAAATGGCCTGATGGAGCTGAAAACCACGGCAACAGAACTACATGATGCATGCATAAGCTTCAGTAGCCAATTTGATCAAGTGGAAGAAAGGGTATCAGTGATGGAAGATCGAATTAATGAAATGAAGCGAGAGGAGAAGTTTAGAGAAAAAAGAGTAAAAAGAAACTAACAAAGCCTCCAAGAAATATGTGACTATGTGAAAAGACCAAATCTATATCTGATTGGTGCACCTGAAAGTGACAGGGAGAATGGAACTAAGTTGGAAAACACTCTGCAGGATATTATCCAGGAGAACTTCCCCAACCTTGCAAGGCAGGCCAACATTCAAATTCAGAAAATACAGAGAACACCACAAAGATAGACCTCGAGAAGAGCAACTCCAAGACACATAATTGTCAGATTCACCAAAGTTAAAATGAACGAAAAAATGTTAAGGGCAGCCAGAGAGAAAGGTACGGTTACCCACAAAGGGAAGCCCATCAGACTAACAGCGGATGTCTCGGCAGAAATTCTGCAAGCCAGAAGAAAGTGGGGGCCAATATTCAACATTCTTAAAGAAAAGAATTTTCAACCCAGAAATTCATATCCAGCCAAACTAAGCTTCATAAGTGAAGCAGAAATAAAATCCTTTACAGACAAACAAATGCTGAGAGATTTTGTCACCACCAGGCCTGCCTTAAAAGAGCTCCCGCAGGAAGCATTAAACATGGAAAGGAACAACTGGTACCCGCCACTGCAAAAACATGCCAAATTGTAAAGACCGTCAATGCTAGGAAGAAACTGAATTAACTAACAAGTAAAATAACCAGCTAACATCATAATGACAGGATCAAATTCACACATAACAATATTAACCTTAAATGTAAATGGGCTAAATGCTCCAATTAAAAGACACAGACTGGCAAATTGGTTAAAGAGTCAAGACCAATCAGTGTGCTGTATTCAGGAAACCCATCTCACGTGCAGAGACACACATAGGCTCAAAATAAAGGGATAGAGGAAGATCTATCAAACAAATGGAAAACAAAAAGAAGCAGGGGTTGCAATCCTAGTCTCTGATAAAACAGACTTTAAACCAACAAAGATCAAAAGAGACAAAGAAGACCATTACATAATGGTAAAGGGATCAATTCAACAACAAGAGCTAACTATCCTAAATATATATGCACCCAATACAGGAGCATCCAGATTCATAAAGCAAGTCCTTAGAGACATACAAAGAGACTTAGACTCCCACACAATAATAATAGGAGACTTTAACACCCCACTGTCAACATTAGACAGATCAATGAGACAGAAGGTGAACAAGGATATCCAGGAATTGAACTCAGCTCTACACCAAGCGGACCTAATAGACATCTACAGAGCTCTCCACCCCAAATCAACAGAATATACATTCTTCTCAGCACTACATCACACTTATTCCAAAATTGACCACATAGTTGGAAGTAAAGCACTCCTCAGCAAATGTAAAAGAACAGAAATTATAACAAACTGTCTCTCAGACCACAGTGCAATCAAACTAGAACTCAGGATTAAGAAGCTCACTCAAAACCACTCAACAACATGGAAACTGAACAACATGCTCCTGAATGACTACTGGGTATATAATGAAATGAAGGCAGAAATAAAGATGTTCTTTGAAACCAATGAGAACAAAGACACAACATACCAGAATCTCTGGGACACATTTAAAGCAGTGTGTACAGGGAAATTTATAGCACTAAATGCCCACAAGAGAAAGCAGGAAAGATCTAAAATTGACACCCTAACATCACAATTATAAGAACTAGAGAAGCAAGAGCAAACAAACTGAAAATCTAGCAGAAGGCAAGAAATAACAAAGATCAGAGCAGAACTGAAGGAAATAGACACACAAAAAACCCTTCAAAAAATCAATGAATCTAAGAGCTTGTTTTTTGAAAAAATCAACAAAATTGATAGAGTGCTAGCAAGACTAATAAAGAAGAAAAGAGAGAAGAATCAAATAGACTCAATAAAAAAAATGATAAAGGGGATATCACCACTGATCCCACAGAAATACAAACTACCATCAGAGAATACTATAAACACCTCTATGCAAATAAACTAGAAAATCTAGAAGAAATGGAAAAATTCCTCGACACATACACCCTCCCAAGACTAAACCAGGTAGAAGTTGAATCCCTGAATAGACCAATAACAGGCTCTGAAATTGAGGCAATAATTAATAGCCTACCAATGAAAAAAAGTCCAGGACCAGACGGATTCACAGCCAAATTCTTCCAGAGGTACAAAGAGGAGCTGGTACCATTCCTTCTGAAACAATTCCAATCAATAGAAAAAGAGGGAATCCTCCCTAACTCATTTTATGAGGCCAGCATCATCCTGATACCAAAGCCTGGCAGAGACACAACAAAAAAAGAGAATTTTAGACCAATATCCCTGATGAACATCGATGCAAAAATCCTCAATAAAATACTGGCAAACCAAACACAGCAGCACATCAAAAAGTGTATCCACCACGATCGAGTTGGCTTCATCCCTGGGATGCAAGGCTGGTTCAACATACACAAATCAATAAATGTAATCCAGCATATAAACAGAACCAAACACAAAAATCACATGATTATCTCAAATAGATGCAGAAAAGGCCTTCAACAAAATTTCAACAGTCCTTCATGCTAACAACTCTCAATAAATTTGGTATTGACGGGACGTATCTCAAAATAATAAGTTATTTATGACAGACCCACAGCCAATATCATACTGAATGGGCAAAAACTGGAAGCATTCCCTTTGAAAACTGGCACAAGACAGGGATGCCCTCTCTCACCACTCCTATTCAACATAGTGTTGGAAGTTCTGGCCAGGGAAATCAAGCAGGAGAAAGAAATAAAGAGTATTCAATTAGGAAAAGAGGAAGTCAAATTGTCCCTGTTTGCAGATGATATGATTGTATATTTAGAAAACACCATCGCCTCAGCCCAAAATCTCCTTAAGCTGATAAGCAACTTCAGCAAAGTCTCAGGATACAAAATCAATGTGCAAAAATCACAAGCATTCTTATACACCAATAACAGACAGAGAGTCAAATCATGAGTGAGCTCCCATTCACAATTGTTTCAAAGAGAATAAAATACCTAGGAATCCAACTTACAAGGGATGTGAAGGAACTCTTCAAGGAGAACTAGAAACCACTGCTCAAGGAAATAAAAGAGGACACAAACGAATGGAAGAACATTCCATGCTCATGGATAGGAAGAATCAATATCATGAAAATGGCCATACTGCCCAAAGTAATTTATAGATTCAATGCCATCCCCATCAAGCTACCAAAGACTTTCTTCACAGAATTGAAAAAAAATACTTTAAAGTTCATATGGAACCAAAAAAGAGCCTGCATTGCCAAGACAATCCTAAGCCAAAAGAACAAAGCTGGAGGCATCACGCTACCTGACTTCAAACTATACTACAAGGCTACTGTAACCAAAACAGCATGGTACTGATACCAAAACAGAGATATAGACCAGTGGAACAGAACAGAGCCCTCAGAAACAATACCACACATCTACAACCATCTGATCTTTGACAAACCTGACAAAAATAAGAAATGGGGAAAGGATTCCCTATTTAATAAATGGTGCTGGGAAAACTGGCTAGGCATATGGAGAAAGCTGAAACTGGATCCCTTCCTTACACCTTAGACAAAAATTAATTCAAGATGGATTAAAGACTTAAATGTTAGACCTAAACCCATAAAAACCCTAGAAGAAAACCTAGGCAATACCATTCAGGACATAGGCATGGGCAAGGACTTCATGTCTAAAACACCAAAAGCAATGGCGACAAAAGCCAAAATTGACAAATGGGATCTAATTAAACTAAAGAGCTTCTGCACAGCAAAACAAACTACCATCAGAGTGAACAGGCAACCTACAGAATGGGAGAAAATTTTTACAATCTACCCTTCTGACAAAGGGCTAATATCCAGAATCTACAAGTAACTTAAACAAATTTACAAGAAAAAAACAAACAACCCCATCAAAAAGTGGACAAAGGATATGAACAGACACTTCTCAAAAGAAGACATTTATGCAGCCAACAGGCACATGAAAAAATGCTCATCATCACTGGCCATCAGAGAAATGCAAATCAAAACCACAATGAGATACCATCTCACACCAGTTAGAATGGCAATCATTAAAAAGTCAGGAAACAACGTGCTGGAGAGGATGTGGAGAAACAGGAACACTTTTACACTGTTGGTGGGACTGTAAACTAGTTCGACCATTGTGGAAGACAGTGTGGTGATTCCTCAACGATCTAGAACTAGAAATACCATTTGACCCAGCCATCCCATTACTTGGTATATACCCAAAGGATTATAAATCATGCTGCTATAAAGACACATGCACATGTATGTTTATTGTGGCACTATTCACAATAGCAAAGACTTAGAACCAACCCAAATGTCCATCAATGATAGATTGAATTAAGAAAATGTGACACATATACATCATGGAATACTATGCAGCCATAAAAAAGGATGAGTACATGTCCTTTGCAGGGACATGGATGAAGCTGGAAACCATCATTCTGAGCAAACTATCACAAGGACAGAAAACCAAACACCACGTGTTCTCCCTCATAGGTGGGAATTGAACAATGAGAACACTTGGACACAGGGTAGGGAACATCACACACCGGGGCCTGTCGTGGGGTAGAGGGAGGGGGAAGGGATAGCATTAGGAGATATACCTAATGTAAATGACGAGTTAACGGGTGCAGCACACCAACATGGCACATGTATACGTATGTAACAAACCTGCACATTGTGCACATGTACCCTAGAACTTAAAGTATAGTAATAAAAAAAAGAAATGAAAAAAAGAGTGAAACTGTCTCAAAAAATAATAAAAAATAAAAAAATTTTAATAAAAAAGAAAGAAAATGCATGTGTGTGCTAACAGCCCTAGTGTGAGTGTAAAATACAGCTATATTTTCATATATTAATGGATTATTGATAGCTAATCTGGTGCAAGTGGACTGGAAATTGGAGACAACTTGAATGGTGAGGGGAGATGGAATAGAAGTGTATGGTCTACGGGCTGGTAGAGGCGGAGGAGGTATGAAGGAAGAGCAAGACATGAAAAAATTGACTAATCTGGAAACCAGCAAATCCAAATCATTCATGAAAGAAACAGGTTATTGTTTTCCTGGGCTAAAAATAGGCAGAAATCGTTCTTTTTATGCTCCCCTCATCTCAAAGTCCTTTGCCTTTCACATACGGTTTTGCCAAATGGTGCCCATGCCTGGGTCACAGAGGTAGAAAGTTTTGTTCTGAGACCTTCATAAGCTTAATGTTCCTTATTAATTTACACTGCCTCATAGACTCTCCTATGTCCTATGAGGTTTGAGAGCTACCAGAAGGGCCATCTTATCCAACCCACAATCAGATGCTCCAATCCTCCTTCCCCAGTATAAGGTCCCCAGCATAAGGCTATCTCTCTCCAGAGATGACCTGCTGTTTTTAGACAGCTTCCATTCTAAGTCTCTGCCTAGCTCCACAACCACTTCCCTTTCCACCACCCCCCTCCCCAGTCACAGTGAAGCCAGAGGCTGGCTTGGTGGGGGTGGCTGAGGCCGGGTGCCACCTTTTAGAACTTTATAATTCACTTGCTCCAGGGCTTTCTTATTATAGTGTTAAACGTATGACTTTAAATAACTTATTGTCAATTTGCCTCTTTTTGGGAAATATGCTCAAATGGGCTACCATTCCCCCAGCTCTCCCCCACACCACCCACCACAGATATCTCAGACCCCAGGGACAGAAGGACTTTGCCTTCCCACCAAAGCATGTTAATGCCTTCTCAATCACTACAATAACTGTGCATGCACTCTGACACTCCAAGTCATGCTCTTACTCCACTCACTGGCAGGTGAGCATCGAGCCTTCCTACTCTTCCACAGGGGAGAGGGAGAATCCACTGCATTCCAACAAAGGAGCAGCTCCAAACCCACGCAGCATTTCCCTTTCCTCCCCCAGATTCTCTTACCTTACCCAAAGAATTCTAATGCCCCAGCCTGATTTTTACCTTTGAATTGTGTCACCATTGAGTGTTTTATAGAATGGCCCACAGAAAAAAAATAAACATGATGCCCTAGATATGGGAAAAAAAACCATCACTACATAGTCCAGGAATATGTACAAATGTTAGATGTCAATTAAAAATAAAATTAAATAGATAAAAATTAAAAAGGAAAGAAAAGTATAAAAGACTAAACAGACAACCGGAATCACTATGCTGGGCTGACTTGCAGTTAGGAAGTTTGTTCTATGCTGATTCGTCCTTCTCTATGACCTCAACAATTCTTGATAATTAAAGTGCAAAATATACAGCATTTCAAAACAGGAGGCAGTGCCATCTACGATTTAACAGCAAAACGCACACGTGCATTCACACGCAAATACAAAAGACACTGCCAGCCCTTGGCTACTAACAGAGACGAAAATCTCTAAATGATCTACTGCCAGGCTTGATCATGCTGATTTGTTTCTGATCCGAGCGGAAGGAAAGCAGAGACTCTGCAGTAAGATTGAAAGTACTGCTCGGTTTGACAGAGGGAAATATGATTAGAATGCACTGAGGCAGAAATAATGACTCGCCTCTCCCCAGGACCAGCCCGCCCTCCTGCCTGTACCCACAACAAGCCTTGCATTGCTAACGGCAGGGTGTTAGGAGGCTGGTACCATCTCAAATCCATCCTGGCTCATCATACAATCAGATAATATAAAACCTGAAAAGCCCAAATGCTTCCAGAAGAATGGCACATGCAGGCATGCAGCACAAACATCCCCATGCCTCCAGTAACGGCAAGGAATTTTCTCATTAGGTCAGGTTCCCTAGAAGAAAAGCCTGGGAGAGAGATCCAGATGTGTGTGTAGTTTATTCAGAGGACGCTCTTGGAATAAACCCATAGGGAGTAAGGAAAGCAGAGAGGTCAATGGAAGGAAGTATGTCTGTGGTGTCTGAGGCAAGCTCCATCCTGATCCCACAGAAAGTCCTGGAGCATGAATTGTACCACAGTCAATCACTCACTGCAGACTGTTCCCTAGTAGGGTGGATGGTGGTCATGTTCTTTTTATCTACCAAGCAAAGTAGCTATATCAGCATAGAGTAGTTCTCCAAAAAAGGGAGCAGCGTTAGCCATTAAGAGCCAACACTTACAGCAGATGGGGAAACTGGATACCTGTCCAGTCAAGGGTATCTGAGCTGGGCATCAGCAGAACTTAAATTCCACGGGTGTGCTGACAACTCCAAGTTCAGATCTCTAGCCAGAGCTCTCCCCTGAACTCTAGACTCATCTATCCAATTGTCTGCTCAACATCTCCAGATAAAGTCTAATTCTCAAACTGTATTTGTCCTAACTGAGCTCCTAATATTTGTTCCAAATCCATTTCCGTCTGCATTCTTCCCATTGTCCATAGATGGTTAATTCTACTCTTTCAGCTGCTCTGCCAAGATGTCTCTCTGTCACTGCCTCCTCAGTCCATCAGCAAATCCTGTTAGATCTACCTTCAAAATATAATCCGAAATTGAACTGCTTCTCATTATTCCCACCATCACCATCCCTAGTCCAGGCCACCATTGCATCTTGCCTGGAATATTACAATAGCCTCCTAACTGGTCTTCTGATTTAATCTTTGTTCACCTAAGGTCTGTTCCCAAAACAGCTGCCAGAGTGATCCTATTAAGGAAATTGAACAGTATCACTCCACTGCACAAAACCCTTTAAAGGCCTCCATCTCCTGCAGAGAAAAGCCAAAATTCTCACTCTGACCCGGCAGGCCCTGTGTGATCTGGTGCCTTACTTCTCCAGAGCTCCGGCTAGAGATTTGAACTTGGAGTTGTCAGCACACAGGTGGAATTTAAATTCTGCTGGTGCCCAGCTCAGACGCCCTTCACTGGACAGGTATCCAGTTTCCCCAGCTGCTGTTGAGTGTTGACTCTTAGTGGCTCACAACTATTCCCTTTTCTGGAGAACTGCTCTATGCTGATATAGCCACTTTCCCTGCTAGATAAAAGAACCTCCCATCTTACTGCCCTCCACTCAGTTCACCCACTCCAGCTGCCCTGCCCTCTCTCTGTTCCTCAAACACACAAGGGATAGTGCCCCTCCAGGGTTTTGCACTTGCCAGTTCTTCCCCTACCGTGGAATGCTCTGTCACCAGCCTCCTGACTCCCTCACTTCCTTCAGATTGTCTTTAAAAATCACCTTCTATGAGGAGCGCCTCTGCCTGGCCATCACCCTGTCTGGGAAGTGAGGAGCGCCTCTGCCCAGCCACCCACCGTCTAGGAAGTGAGGAGTTCCTCTGCCCGGCCACCCACTGTATGGGAAGTGAGGAACACCTCTGCCTGGCCGCCCCACTGTCTGGGAAGTGAGGAGTGCCTCTGCTTGGCCACTGCCCCATCTGGGAAGTGAGGAGCGCCTCTGCCCGGCCGCTATGCAACCCTCCAAGTGTGAAGTGACAGCCTTGTGTGTGATCTTTCTGCCCTCCTCAAGTTTGCATTTTTGACATTAAAGTTTACTTTTTAATTAATTAATTAAATAAAAATCACCTTCACAGCAATGATTTCCCTTGTCACCCCAGGCCCTCCCCTGCCCAGCATTCCATATCCCCCTGTCCTGATTTAACAATTTTATCTTTAGTACTTTTCACTAGCTAAAATATTATATATTATATATACTTATATTCTTGCTTATCATGTGTATCTCCCAGTAGAATATAAGCTGTATGAGAGTGGGGATCTTTGAGTTCTTTTTCCTCCCATTACTATAATCCTAGTGCCTAGAACAGTGCCTGGCACAAAGAAGGCACTCAATAAATGTTGGCTGAAAAAAGTATGAATGAGTTAATATATAAATATATTTATACATACATATGTATAATATTTGGATAAGCTATCAGTGAATTTATGAATGTTTCTTGTCTTCTTAGTTTAACTGTCTCTTTTAGAATTTTTCTAAATTGTCTGCAATCCACTGTTATTACATATATAAGTTCTATGTTTGTTTACTAAATCTTTTAAAGCCTCCCTTTCCAAAAGTCCTCACCTTCTGAGACTTTCATTGGTTAGCCAGAAAATTCTACTCCCAAAACAGTCCCTGTGCCCTACCAAATAGCAGATTAGTCTGTTTTACCCTAAGCTCTAGGGAATTCCAAATCCTCTGCACCCCTTCAGCCTCCTTAGTCCTGAGATGCCTATAGACTAGATTGCCAGATAAAACACAAGACGCCCAGTTAAATTGAAATTTCAGATGAACAAAAAGTAATTATTTGGTGTAAGAATATCCCAAATATAGCGTAGGACATAATTATACTAAAAAAATTTTTCGTTGTTTATCCGAAATTCGCATATAACTGGGTATCTTGTATTTTATTTGTTCAATCTGGCAAGTCTACTGTGGACTAAACTCTCTCCTTGGAGCAAGCCAAGAAAAGTCTCTTTAGGCCGGGCGCAGTGGCTCACGCCTATAATCCCAACAGAGTGAGACTCCATCTTAAAAAAAAAAAAAAAAAGAAAAGTCTCTTTGTACTCCATTACTCAAGGGAACAGTGAGGGGCTACAGGCTCCTGCTGCTCCTTTCTTCACCCCCAGAAACGCACAGTATATCTCAGAAGGCTACAGGCTTTGCTCACTTGGACAACATGCTCACATTCTTGCATGTAGACTTTATTCTTTTGCCTAGACTCTTCTTTCCACTCATCTCTACTTCCCACCTCCCATCACCTTTTAGCTTCAGCATGTCCTGCAAGACTCATTGTCTCTCTGTGGAAACCTTCCCTGGAAAACACACACACACACACACACACACACACACACACACACACACACACACACAGAGAGAGAAAGAGAGAAAGAGAGACTGAGTTAAATTCTTCCCTTCACGTGTGAAAACAACCATCCTAGCAATTACTACCCTCAGATGGAAAGCGTCTGTAGATGCACCTGTCTTCCCCACCAGGCACCAAATCCTTGGAGTAGGACTGTGTTTGTTCATCACTCTATTTCCAACATTCTATCTAGTACATAGCTTTCAAAAGGTATTTGATAAATAAGTAAATGAATGAATGCACAATAACTTTTCAGAGAAAGAAATTTCCAAATCTTTGGGAAGCAATCAAGGACAGATTTGGACTAGTAGGGAAGGGAGGAATGCTTACATGTACTGGCTCTAGAAGTCTCTCTCCCTCAGGACAAGTCAGTGACCTTTCAATCAGAAAGAACATAACTTGCTAAGCATTCAAACAGATCCTCACATTGCAACTACCCAGGGTCTAGCAAACCACCTGGCAGATGGCCTAGGACTTGGGTTAATTGTCCATGGCCAATCAGGTGTGGACCTGAGACCACACAACCAACCCTGGCCACACCTATTTGCTAGCAGCTTTGCCAAGGCCCTCCAGTACTGGTCTTGAACTACATGTGGTTTTTCTTCCTCTATTTCACAGGTTCCACAATGCACACTACTAATTTTAGTTTAACTTAATGCTCATTAAATTAGGAGCCAAATCCAGCTCTTCACTCAGCCTCCTCTCAACTCCCAGCCCTAGAGGATGCCGCTTTGTTGGATGATAACCCGGATCTCCCTCCTAATTGCTGCATGAGTCCTAAGCACCTGTTCTTTATGCATTTCGTGAGACATTCTCCAATTAAAGCCTAGGAGACTGATGAAAAACAAAGCCCATCTTCAAGTAGAGAATTATACATTCAACAGCAATAGCAATACTAGGTCACAGGATGGGTCATTAAATCACTGAATATACACCTCCAGTGCAAAAAAAAAAAAAAAAAAGACACTCTTCTGAAACATTTATGGCTGAGATTTAAAACTACTGGAATTGAGACATTCAGAGGTAAGGGTCTCAGAACAGCTTTCCGCCTGGCTCTGAGGCCTCAGCTGAGAGCCAGGGAAAGTAGTTTTCATCACTCTCTAGGTAATACCCAGGAAAGAAATTTGTCTTAAGATGCTAGAGCAATCTGTGTGGCTTCAAGGTGAGGCTAGCAAAGAACATTTCAATGAGTATATTTACTTCCTCTTCTAAACTTTGAATAATAATTGTAATCTGAAGAGAAGAGGAAAGGCCTACTTAGCAGCAAAACAAAACTTTTGTCTTCTTTTGTGTCTTCACTGTGTTTGCAATGTGGCATCAGTAAAATGGCCTTAATGCTCAGCATGGCTCCCATTCAAATTGAGACAGCAATTCTGCACTCTCATTAGGTGAAAAGTTGGCCCCCTAGATTAAGCTACATGACATCCATATTTCTAGTCATCATTTCCCTATCACCACAACCACCTGGCAGTGCTCTACCATCCCTTTTGCCTTGGCACAGTGTGCTTTTGTCTTTTCACTAGCTAACACATGTAAGTACAAAATTTATTTGCTTTAAGATGCAGGACAAGAGAAGGTAAATTCAAGCAATACCATTGATGGCTAGATATCTGGCAAAGCCCTCCAGGGCTAGAGTGTGCCAAAGACAGACAAGCTTCTGTAGGAGGAAACAAAAGGAACTTCAGACCTCTGACTGTAAGCCAAAAGCTTCTGCTGCCCCACAGTAATCCCACCTGATATGCATGGATGAACCAGGGCTAAAATTAGTGTGAAAATGACAAAGAAACCAACAAAAGAGGAGTGTTTCATTTTCTTACCCAGGTCTTGTTCAGAATATGCAATGGGAGAGCCTGGTTGGGAGCAGTCCAAGCCCTGGCTCCCCACACTGGTTGGTCATGAGGACACCAGTAAAGCTCCTAAGGACCTTTGGTTGTATGAGTCCTTCCTTTTCTCTTCTCCATATGACTTTTAAGACCCCAAAAAGTCACAGATACTAAATAGGGTTGCGGTACCACTCATCCTTATTTGTGGATCTTGGGAGGAAGATCTTTCAAGCCATTTCCTGCCTTAAAATTGGAGATCTCTAGCCATTCTTGAATACTCCAAACCAGACACAGGTCAAGTGCCTACTCATGGAAGCTTCCTTTTCCAGTGAGAGCAAAATGGAAGACTGGTGTAATGAGCTGAGCAATGTAAACCTCCACAAATGACTCAACCCTGGAAAGCCAAAGACAATTCAGGCAGAGGCTTTTTTTTTCACCCCCAGTCCAATTAACCATAAAATTACTTCAAATCTCCATTTCACTTTCTACTCAGATATGTGCTCTTTTTGCTCAAGGTTTCAGGGAGGGAGGGTCAGTTTTCTCACATTATTAGGCTGTGCCCTTTGGACGTCAGAATTTCCAGAGGTGAGAAATGACAACTGTTCCCTTATCCTCAAATAATCCCTGCATCCCACATTTCTTCCTCATACTCAGCAGAGTACAAGACATGCAATTTGCTCCTTCAGTCAACCAGGAAAATATTCTGTGGCTGCCTAGAAAGTGGGGCATGGGGAGGTGATATTCATCGAGCACTAACAAAATGCCAATCACCGTGCTGGTACCTTTACTCCTTTACCTTACTAAATCTCACAACAATGCCAAAAAATAAGACTTATTGCCCCACTTTACAGATGAGAAAATTGTATTCGAGTGTCCCATCTCCCTCCCACTGACAGCGGTGGAACTGGATGGTGGTCTGAAGCAGCCAGTGCTGGGGGTGAAGAGACCTCCTCCTGGATGGCTTACAAATTGTACTGTGATTTCCAAAACTCACTTAAACTCCCTGTTGGAGCTATTAATATTATCAGTTCTCCTAAATTGGAATAATTTTGTCTGTTCATCCTCTCCCCCTTTCCTGTTTCCTTGTCCTGTGGTGCTGCTGAATTAGATAATGTCTACAAAGCTCTCTGAGTTCCTTGAAGGGAAGTTTTGATAAACACAAGTTATTAACCTTCATAGCACCTAGAGTTTTGAATGAAGAAGTTATAAAAATTATCATAAAGTCCTGCTGGGGCTTGATAATGAACAGAAGATTTACTAAATCTTCAAACACTTCCTTTTCTTCCCAAGAGCAAAGGTGAATCCTTCCAGCTAGAATAGGCTCTATTTCCAATGCTAGTCCCTGGCTCTTCTGTCTTCTGATGTAAGGGAAGGTCAAATGCCTCTTTCCAGAGCCTTCTGCAGTGGCTTCATGGAAATTCTGAACAGCAGGTGCCTGAGGCTTCTGAACAATGCAGCCACATCATTCTCTGGCTTTCATTCCCCAGGTGCAGCTGAAACGATAATGTGACAATGCCTGCCAGGAAAGAAGATGCCACTGCTGAGAAGTCAAGACCCAGAAATTCAGTATTCAAGAGGAGTCTCATTCCTCACCACCCTGGCTCTCCTCATACAGACAGTGTGATTATCGTGGGTCACAGAAAGACCTAGTTTTGTCCACCAAAGCAATACAGGCAAGTGTAAATCCAGCTGTGCCTCTCCTGAGGCTGTGCTGTGAGTGCAAGAGGGGAAGAGAAGGGAAGGGGAGAGCTAATGGAGATGCTCCACTGCCTAGGCTGGGTCTGGATTACTCAAATGCTGAGCCAGAAGCAGAAATGGAAGAGAAGGGTATGACTCAATGGCAAAGTCATCTCGCGATCGACGACCTCTACCACATTCCTTGCCTTAACCTTCAACTTTGCTTTGGGTTCACATTGTGCCAACACAGACAGTGGTTATTGGACATCTCCATACCCAGCCCAGTGCTCAGCAAGCCCAGTAATCAGGTACCAGTGGTGGCCACAGAAGAACCTGGCTACCTCCCCTGCCTTCTAGGTTCTGTCAAGCAGCTGCAAAAATCAACTGAAGGTGGGGGTGTGAAGGAGGGCACCTATCACCACATCAGACTAGATGGGTCTGACCTCCCAGCACTAACTGCCAAAAACCTTGTTTGTATAGAACCTGTCTGCCCTTTGGGAAGAATGGCAAAGTGCAATTTTTGAGACTAGTAGGTGAATTCCAGAACACCAGAATGGAGAATCCTGAGAAAACAGAAAGAACAAAGATGCTTCCTGCCTGTGGAAAACAAGAAACTTCTCTGGAGAAAGAGGAGGTCTGAACTGAGGAGGCTGCACTCTTTTCTGAAGCATTTGTTTGAGGTTGGCAGAGCTGACCACTTTTGAGAGCAATGTTTGTAAATGCCCCCAACCGCCTCTCAGAGCAACTTGGCCTACATTCCTTGAGAGAGAGGAAGCTATAAAAAATATCTAAGCTGGTCATGGTGGTTTACACCTGTAATCCCAGAGCTTTTGGAGGCCAAGGTGGGAGAATCACTTGAGCTCAGTGAAACCCCTTCTCTACAAAATATACAAAAATCAGCCAGGCAAGGTGTGTGCCTATGGTCCCAGCTACTCAGGAGGCTGAGGCAGGACTATTGCTTGAATCCAGAAGGCAGAGGTTGCAGTGAGCCAAGACTGCACCACTGCACTCCAGCCAGGACACTCGAGTGAGACCCTGTTTCAAAAAAAATTCTAAAGATCTAAGTCTTTCCCTTTGGGAGCTACAAAACTTAAGGGAAGCAAATCCTTTGCCAATTAGATACCAACTAGACCTCCCATAGTTTCCTAAATGGGGTCCCCAGGCCCTGTCACAGAGATTTTCCCATAGAGTGGCTATAGGAAAGCTTTATTAGTCTCCAACAAAAATGCAGGTGCTTTAGAGGTAGAAGGAAATTGGGAGAGCCTAGCCATTTTACCTGAGAAGGCTGCACAGTCAAAGATCATTGTTGCTAACCTTATGTTCTGCTAACATGGGTTGTGCTATGTGACTTCAAACACAAACAACTTATTTTCACTACGTTTATGATTATTATTCATCCTTGCCTAGGCATGCTAAATTCTAAGAATTTTGGAATCACACAGATGTGATTTCAGTGCTTATCTGGCCTTTAGCAAGGTGATTTGCCTCAGTTTCTTCATCCATAAAATGAGGGGTAGTAATAGCACCTATTTATAGGGACATTGTGAAGTTTGGCTTTGTTAATTACACATAAACACCCCAACACAGTGCCTGACACATGGCAAGCACTCAATAAAGGGTAGTAGCTCTAATTAGTGACCAAGCAATAAGTGAGACAATACTAACAGGATGAAAGAAACCTGGAGGTGGAAGAGAGATGGAAAGCTGAGACTTTCCTTCTCTGGGTGAGGAGGGCAGCCCTTTAAGGTAGAAAAAAAGGATGACCCAAAGTCACAAAATATACCAGCCTAGCTATGTGGAAGATGAGCCAGGCCAGGACAGAGAGGGTTAAGAAGGAGAAGAGGCAAGGCTGCCTTGCAAAAAGACCTTGAACTTCAGGCAGAAGGCTTGGACCAGCTACAGTGGGTCATGGGAGGCCCCTGCTGGTGTCCAGGCTTTGGACCACCTGTATTCGCCAATGGACAATGATGCACAGCCTGGGATAGAAGGGCTCACTTCTGTGGCACCACCCCTCCATCCTCTCTTTGGCCCTCCTCACAGCAGATGGAGCCCTTAGAACACTGCCTACCTGAGCTACAACTCATCCAGGCACAGGAGGACCCCAGGAGGCTGTGAGAGTCCAAAGCCGCAAGGTCTGCTCCTAGCAGAAGTCTCACACATCTGAAGACCCTCAAGTTGCAGTTTGTTCCAAAAAGGCTTGCCAAAATGCCTTTTCTGAAACACCAGCCCAGAGAGTGGGCCTATGCACTTCTTCATTAACTACACAGGGTACCTTGAAACCCCCACTCCTGGAAAAGAAGCCCATTTTTCTCAACCTCCAATAAAGAAAACCTTCACATATTCAGAGAAATGTCCTGCAGATGAGGGCGCTCAGGAGGGGGCCGCCTTGATTAAAGCAGGTTGTTCTGCCAAGAAGTCTTGAATATGCTCTCTTAGTTTGGGGCTGTTAGTGCAGCACGGAGGCAGCAGGCGACATGAATTGCCTTTTATCTAATTGGAAAACTCCCACCGAGTTTAGAAGTACTCATTTAGACAGGCAGATCAATAAAAGAAATGGGAAGCGGAAGGCCGTGGAGATGTTATGGAGACAAGCTGGTCCTCTATACATCTGCTTAATAAAGATTAACTCATCTTGGTTGTAGTAGAAACCCAGAACACCCTCTTGGCTCCAGGTTGTAAGCAGGTTCCATTTGTTTTTAATGTGCAGACATTTCTCAGGAGGGATGGGAGAGAGACCCTTCCTTTGTCTTCTCTTTATCTGGATTCAAGCGCTCCAGTGGGAGGGAGGGCAAAGGAGGGAAGAGGGGCCTTAGAAATAGACTGTTTCTAGCATCTTCCCAAAATGATATTCCTTTGACCCAGACAAAAGTGAAAGGGAACAAAACGTAGTGATCCACAGAAAAAGGGCAGAAAATGGGAGAGAGGCACCTGAGGAAAGATGTAATTCTCCCTTGTCATGTCATATCATTTTACTGTGTATAAGTCACATTACACAATAGCAAACATTTCACGAGCTCCTGTTTTAAAAACTCCATCGAAATCCTTTTTTCTCCCTATCTCTCTTGTTCATCATTGAGTTAGGGGCTCTAAAATCTTTTCCATATTCCCACATCACGACCCTCATAAGCTTTATCCATCCTTGTCCTTGCCATTGTCCCAGCTCTCTCCCAACCCCGCATTCTACACACAGGAGGCTTAAACAGCTGAGCCCATCTCTCATTTCAAACATAAGCTTTTGTTCCAGGCCACAGCATCAAAGCTGATTCCCTTCAAAAGAAAAATACCCTCTGTGGCTATAGGTCCAGAAATAGAAGTGGTGTGTGCCTGTGTGTGTGGGTGTGCCTACGTGTGCATGTACGTGAGGCAGGCTGAGGGGGGTTCATTTACACTGGAGAAATTTTGAGAAACCTGGGAACCCTGTGTTTGACTTCTGTGTCCCTTCTTTGAGTCCTGAAGAAATTCCTCTCTTGGCAAGGGCTGCAGGA
Organism: Homo sapiens; assembly: GCF_000001405.40. NCBI lineage: Eukaryota > Metazoa > Chordata > Mammalia > Primates > Hominidae > Homo > Homo sapiens. Next base: position 34,067,707 of record NC_000003.12, on the reverse strand, counting down.
GGGAAACTGCTGGCACTCAGCTTTAATAAAGGCCTTTTCTCTTGAACAGTACTATGGCGAAGGCACAGACTCATACCTGGGCCATGGGTCGGTTGCCATGGAAATGACTGCAGAATCACAAATAAGACAGTATTATGTTTTCTCAGCAGGGCCAGATACAAGCTAGAAACTAGAGGGAGAAAAAGGAAGAGGAGGAAGAAACAGAGTCAGAGGCAGCACCAGAAAGAGAGAGACGGCAAGAAAAACAATAGAAATACCTTGTATAAATAGAGGGCCAGAAAGGAAACACAAATAAAAGAATTGGGTATTGTTTGGAAGAAAGCAAATTTCAGACCGTGTGAGATGAGAGAAGGGAACAAAGTGTTGTTTTCTTTGAGGCACTTCCTTCATTTTCAAAGAGGGAAGGAGGGAAACCCATTCCAAAGGGACTCCTGCGCACCTCCCAGCCTTCTACTGGCTTTTTTCTCTCCTATCTTATTGGGTAATGGTGCCAAAAGCCTGTGGTGGAAGGGTTGGGAATGGGAAGAATACAGAGTGGTGCAGGAAGCAAGAAAGGGTAGGAGGCAAGCCAAGCCCCAGGATGCAGAAAGGCTGTGCTCTGATTCTCAGCAGAAACTTGTAGCCTTTTGGTCCCTGGCTCCCTAGCAAGTTTTATGCCAAACTTTTGCCCTTCTAAAAGCCATAAGCCCTTGAGGATCACTGGAACTGCTCTCAGCACCCTTATTAATATTTTTCTCCCGAGTTGAATGTGGCTGGAGTACGAGTGGCCACATTGTCTTCCTAAGATCTTTTTGTTGTTGTTGTTCATTCAAAGCTTCATTGGTTTCTTTATTGCAGAAAAAAAGTCTGATAACCAAGACCTAGATTGAGACTTCAGAAACAAATACAAAGTACAAAGCTTATTTCAGCTAAACTATGAGGCTTTACATACAGTAAAGAATACTAAAGTTCTGCCCTTTCCATACCATGTTTTTAATGGATGTGTATATGTAGATTTCAATGTGCTCAATGCTTTGGAACAACACATAAAAGTTTCCTGTGATCTCCCAATCCATTATCAAGATAATCAGATATTCAAAATTGTTACAGATTTCACTTAATTTCTCTGAGCCTCATTCCTCTTATAGTGGCCACTACAACTACCTCTGCCTTAGCCTAGAATCTAGACAAACTGAGCAGCTTCCTGTGTAAGATGGTTTGAGTCACACTGCAAGACTTACCAACCTGAACTTTTCTCCCCCATCAATTAACATCAGAGCCTAGAACCCCACATTCCTGTTACCCTTTTCTGTCTTCAAAAGACTTATCTATTCAAAAAAAGATTTTAGGGCACGATACCCTCGTTTTTTAGTCTGAATATGTTTTCAGGTTAGCTAAGGAATAGGACTTGGGATGAATAAACTCCAATGCACACAGTTGGAAACGGGGTATTCACATCTGTCTCCTTGATGATGAGAAACACTTGATATAGAATCCAAATGTGTGATTCATTGGCCAGGCACTTTGGGGTCACCACAGGTGCTTGAGGGAAAGAAGACAAGAAAACACTCGAGATGAATGCACACTGTTATTGCCACAAGTTTTCTGCCTTTAACCCCTCCTGTCTAAAAACACTGTTCCAGTAAGTTGAGCTTGACCACCTGTCCCCTTGTCACTCAAAGGGCTGCTTCTGTGCCCTGGATGCAGGCCCTTGGTTGGTCTATCTCTTAATCTTCAACCACTAGCTAATCTTAACCCTGGAAGAAAAAATCAAGGGAATGATACTATTTCTCCCTAACTTATAAAGCTGCTCACTCCTGGGCCTTCCCAAGATGGACACAGTCCCCATGGAGGAGCAGCCCCAGACCTCCTCACAGCATTATTAGCATGAAAGCACCAAGAGTTACCAAACAGGAGAAAGAGGTTGAGGCTCATTGCTCCTCTCTCTAAAGATTCCCTGATGTGGCAAAATGGCTCCAAACTACCCATGGCCCTAACCTGAATCTGTACTTCTTTTCCTCCAGTATGGAGTGGGAAATGGAGGGGTGAGCCCTGAGCTAACTCAAGAGGCCAACTGCAGAGTCAGGGGAAGCATCCTGGGCAGTCAGCGGGCAGCCCGCCTAACCAAGGTCTCCCTAGGTCCCTGGAGTGATGGGAGAATAGAGAAACCACTTTTCTCATTGGGACTAATAATAATTTGGTTAACCAAAAACTTGTCTAAAGCAGAGAATCATAAAAATAAAAGTAGTGCATAATACCCTAGTATAACATAAACATGCTGTATTTCTGCTAACATTTTATAGAGGGTCAAGGTATTTTCTTTGGATATTATAACATTGATAAAAATTCTTCATCATCTTTCTTCAAAAACCACTTTCATAATCCATCTGCAATTTCCCACTTCCATTTCTTTAAAACAAATGGAAAATGTAAGGACATTTATGAAGCAATCTGAGTGCAAAAGCCTCCCATATTCTTTTATTTTTCCACAGTTATAGTTGTCTCACCCACACCTAATTCAACAGCAATTTTTAGCAACTCACACTTATTTGAGTCTTTTCAAAGCATGCAATTTTGTTTTCATAGAAACAGCTCTCTTTTTATACTTGATGTTCATTGGTTTATGTAATATTTAATTAAATTACACAATTACATCAGTTAATCTAGTGAATTGGTTTAGTGGAGGTTGATTAAGAGAGATTCAACTGCTATTTTTTTCTCTGACAGCAAGCTCTCAACGTTAAGAAGATTACCTGGAATTAAACTTTAAGACAAATCACATTTTAAATATCAAAGTCAATTATCATAGATTGAGAACTGTTTGTGCAAAAATTAAGAAAATAGTGTTTTGAGATACAAAAACAAAGGATAGAAGGTAAAACTTCTGGCATGACTGAAGGAGAAAGTCACCAAATCCTCTTCCTGAAAACAACTCAAAAACTGGACAGTATCACCAAAATAGCCATTCAGGACCCTGGAAATTGAGCAAAGGCTTACAACAAACTCAGAAGAATGTATTCATGAAAAACCATTGACTTTAAATAAGAACAGAAATTTGTAGTGTATTTGTCTGGGGTTGTTCCCATCAGCCTCCCCTCGTGGTCCCAAATTAAGTTAGCACAGTAGTTCTAACAGAACTACTTGGGACAGCTTGTGAATAACCAACAGCTTCATCGCCAGAAAAGGATGACTTGACTTGGAGCTAAAGGTAAACACCTGATACCCACTGAATGAGAAGTACCAATTTCAATGATGAGCAAACAGGGAAGGTCAGCCATTACAATAGTCTGTGGTTACCATCCTATTAGGGGCAAGCATCAGACCAGAAGACTAGCCAGAAATTCAATAGGAAAATACAATAAATGAGACACTCATAAAGATACCTGATAAGTTTTCCACATAGTGTTGGTTAACCTGGAGCTGGCATGTATGTGCAAACGAAATCAGAGAAAGCCTTATGAAAAGTTAAAGCCAGGGCAGAGTTTAAAACTGCCTAAACTTTGAATGCACTCTTGAAACCACAGATCCATCAGCATTGGGTGGAAGCCTTACTGGCTAAAGATGTATAAATGCAACTTCCAGAAAATCACTGGGTGGCCAGTAAGCTATGCAGACACAAGGACAAGCCCTAGGAAGCCAGACTTTAAAATTAAAAATAAGAAATAGGCCAGGCGTGGTGGCTCAAGCCTGTAATCCTAGCACTTTGGGAGGCTGAGGCAGTGGATCATCTAAGGTCAGGAGTTCAAGACCAGCCTGGCCAACATGGTGAAACCCCGTCTCTACTAAAATACAAAAATTAGCCAGGCGTGGTGGCGCATGCCTGTAATCCTAGCTACTCGGCAGGCTGAGATGTGAGAATCGCTTGCACCAAAAGGCAGAGGTTGCAGTGATCAGAGATTGCGCTACTGCACTCCAGACTGAATAACAGTGAGTCTCACTCTCAAATAAATAAATAAGAAATATATTTTGTTCAAGTGAGCAAAAACATCATCTGCCAAATACTACAACACAGACAGATTTTATAGAAAGGTTACTAAACAAATAGAAACCCCAAGGAAGAAGAAAATCATAATTCTGATTCTATAGCAAATCAGAATATTTGCTACAATATTTTACCTGAAATTTCTAGTTTTAACCAAAAAAAAGAGACATAAAAATAAATAGAAAACTACGACTTACATCAGGAGAAAAGTAGGCAATAAAAATTGTCTCTAAGTGTCCCCAGATGTTGGATTTTGCAAATAAAAATTACAAACTATTGTTATAAGTATGTTCAAAGAATAAAAAGAAAGTATGTTTAAAGAATTAAAGAAAAACATAACAACAATTGCCTAAAACTAGAGAATCTCAAAAGATAGAAAATATAAACAAGAACCAAACAAAAATTCTGGAAGTAAAAAGATAATAACAAATAAAAAAGTTCACCAGAGGGCTAAACAGCAGATTTTAAGTGAAAGAAGAAAGAATAAACGAGCTTAAAGAAAAATCCATTGAAATTATTCAACTTGAGGGAGAGAATAAAGACTGAGGAAAAATTGACAAACCTCAGAGATGACAGGACGTCATCAAGCACACCAGCATAGATGTGATGAGAGTCCCTTTGGAAGAAAAACAAATAAAAAGGGCAAAAAAGCACTTCTGATAAAATAATGTTCAGAACTTCCCAAATTCAACTTAAAACAACCTACAGATCCAAGAAGTTCAATGAATGTCAAGTAGAATAAAAATAATGAGATTCATTGCTACATTATAGTCAAACTGTCAAAATTCAAAGACAAAATGTTGAAAGTAGCAATGTAAAAACTAATTTAATTTTATATTTAAATTTCTGAAAAAAAAACTTATCCTTCAAAAGAAACAAGTAAAATAGAGATTAATGACTTATTTTTTAAAAAAGAAAAATAAACACCAAGAAAATTTATTACAACCAGATGTTCCCTACAAGAATTACCTTGGGTAGTCTTTAGACTGAGAAATACCAGATAATGAACTGAAATCCACAGGAAGAAATAAAGACTACCAGAACTGGTAAATATCTGGGAAAAATAAAAGATGCTATAAATATATTATTTTATCTTTTTTCTCTTCTTTAAAAGATAGGCTATATAAAGTAATAAGCAGGTTACTATATTGATGTGATACATATGACAATACTAGCACAAATGATAGGACAGGAAAGGAGTTATAGTGAAGTAATTTCCAAAATTTATTATATTTAGTATTAATCTGAAACAGATTACAATAAATTAAAATAGATATTATAATCCTTAGAGCAACCATTAAGAAAATAATTCAAAAATTATAGAAAAGGATCAATTAAATTGGTATGCTAAGAAATATGTATTAACCCAAAAGAAGGTAGTAAAGGAGGAATGAGGAGAAAAAATGTGATATACATAGAAAAATGTGATATACATAGAAAATGTAGCAAAATGGCAGACATAAATCCAGCCATACCAATAATGTCACTAAATGTGAATAGACTAAACAACAACACTTCAAAGGCAGAGATTATCAGACAAGATAAATAAGTAAGATCAAACTCTTCTGTCTACAAGAAACACACTTTATATTCAAAGACACAGCAGGTTGAAAGTAAAAGGTTGGGAAAATAAATAAATGTCATGCATAAAATAATCATAAGAGAGCAAGAGTGGCTATATTTTAAAAAATAAAATAGAGTTACACAAAAAAATATTATTAGAGACAACAAAAAATATTTTATAATGATAGAAGGGTCAATACATCAAGAAGACATAACAATTATAAGTGCATCCACAGCTAATAACAGAACCCTAAAATACGTAAAGCAAAAACTAACAGAATAGAAAAGAGAAATAGAAAACTTCAAAATAAGAGTCAGAACTATCAATGTCTCACTCTTAATCATTGATAAGGCAACTCAATAGTAAGTAAAGATAAAGACAAATTAAACAATTTTATCAACCAATCTAACCTCACTGACATTTACAGAATACATCATTTAATGACAGCATAATATATACTTCTTTCAAGTATACCTGACACATTTCCCAACACAAATCACATGCTGGGTCATGAAACAAATCTCAATAAAATTTTAATTTAAAATTAATATCATCCAAAGTACAATTCTGAATACAACAGAATTAAAGTAGAAATCAAAAAAAGAAAGAAATCTGAGAAATCCCCAAATATTTGGAAATTAAACAACATGCTTTTCTTTTTTCAAATTAATATCTTTTTAAATTTTGGTTTTTTTACTCATACTAAGTTCTGAGATACATGTGCAGAACCTGCAGGTTTGTTACATAGGTATACATGTGCCATGGTGGTTTGCTTCACCCATCAACCCCTCATCTACATGAGGTATTTCTCCTAATGGTACTCCTCCCCTAGCCCCCCATCCCCTGACAAGCTCCAATGTGTAATGTTTCCCTCCCTGTGTCCATGTGTTTTCAGTGTTCAACTCCCACTTATGAGTGAGAACATGCAGTGTTTGCTTTTCTGTTTCTGTGTAAGTTTGCTGAGAATGATGGTTGCCAGCTTCCTCCATGTCCCTGCAAAGGACATGGACTCATCTTTTTTATGGCTGCATAGTATTCCATGGTGTATATGTGCCACATTTTCTTTATCTAGTCTATCATTGATGGGCATTTGGGTTGGTTCCAAGTCTTTGCTATTGTGAGTAGTGCTGCAATAAGCATACGTGTGCATGTGTCTTTATAGTAGAATGATTTATAATCCTTTGGGTTTATACCCAGTAATGGGATTGCTGGGTCAAATGGTATTTCTGGTTCTAGATCATTGAGGAATTGCCACACTGTCTCCCACAATGGTTGAACAAATTTACCCTCCCACCAACAGTGTAAAAGCGTTTCTATTTCTCCATATCCTCTCCAGCATCTGTTGTTTCCTGACTTTCTTTTCTTTGGCTCACTGCAACCTCCACCTCCTGGGTTCAAGCAATTCTCCCACCTCAGCCTCCTGAATAGCTACAGGCGCGTGCCACCACACCTGGCTAATTTTTTATATTTTTAGTAGAGATGGGGTTTCACCATGTTAGCCAGGATAGTCTCAATCTCCTGACCTCATGATCCACCCATGTAGGCCTCCCAAAGTCCTGGGATTACAGGTGGAAGCCACCACGCCCGGCCTGTTTCCTGACTTTTTAATGATCACCATTCTAACTGGTGTAAGATGGTATCTCATTGTGGTTTTGATTTGCATTTCTCTAATGACCTCTGATGATGAGCTTTTTTTCATATGTTTGTTGGCTGCATAAATGTCTTCTTTTGAGAAGTGTCTGTTCATATCCCTTGACCACTTTTTGATGGGGTTTTTTTTTGTTTCTTTTTCTTGCAAGTTTATTTAAGTTCCTTGTACATTCTGGATATTAGCCCTTTGTCAGATGGATAAATTGCAAAACTTTTCTCCTATTCCGTAAGTTGCCTGTTGACTCTGATGATAGCTTCTTTTGCTGTGCAGAAACTCTTTAGTTTAATTAGATCCCATTTGTCAATTTTGGCTTTTGTTGCCGTTGCTTTTGGTGTTTTAGTCATGAAGTCTTTGCCCATGCCTATGACCTGAATGGTATGGCCTAGGTTTTCTTCTAGGGATTTGATGGTTTTAGGTCTTACGTTTAAGTCTTTATCCATCTTGAGTTGATTTTTGTATAAGGTGTAAGGGGTCCAGTTTCATTTTTCTGCATATGGCTAGCCAGTTTTCCCAGCACCATTTATTAAATAGGGAATCCTTTTCCCATTGCTTGTTTTTGTCAGGTTAGTCAAGATCAGATGGTTGTAGATGTGGAGTGTTATTTCTGAGGCCTCTATTCTATTCCATTGGTCTACATATCCATTTTGGTAACATATCATGCTGTTTTGGTTACTGTAGTCTTGTAGCATAGTTTGAAGTCAGGTAGCATGATGTCTTCAGCTTTGTTCTTTTTGCTTAGGATTGATTTGGCTATATGGGCTCTTTTCTGGTTCCATATGAAATTTAAAGTAGTTTTTTCTAATTCTATGTAGGAAGTCAATGGTAGCTTGATGGAGATAGCATTGAATCTATAAATTACCTTGAGCAGTATGTCCATTTTCACAATATTGATTCTTCCTATCCATGAGCATGGAATGTTTTTCAATTTGTTTGTGTCCTCTCTGATTTCCTTGAGTAGTAGTTTGTAGTTCTCCTTGAAGAGGTCCTTCACATCCCCTGCAAGTTGGATTCCTTAAGTATTTAATCTCTTTGTAGCAATTGTGAATGGGAGTTCACTCATGATTTGGCTCTCTGTTTGTCTGTTATTTGTGTATAGGAATGCTTGTGATTTTTGCACATTGATTTTGTATCCTGAGACTTTGCTGAAGTGGCTTATCAGCTTAAGGAGATTTTGGGCTGAGATGATGGGGTTTTCTAAATATACAATCATGTCATCTGGAAACAGAGATAATTTGACTTCCTCTCTTCGTACTTGAATACCGTTTATTTCTTTCTCTTGCCTGATTGCCCTGGCCAGAACTTCCTACGTTGAATAGGAGTGGTGAGAGAGGGCATCCTTGTCTCGTGCCGGTTTTCAAAGGGAATGCTTCCAGCTTTTGCCCATTCAGTATGATATTGCCTGTGGGTTTGTCATAAATAGCTCTTATTATTTTGAGGTATGTTCCATCATACCTAACTTATTGAGAGTTTTTAGCATGAAGGGATGTCCAATTTTATCAAAGACCTTTTTTGCATCTATTGAGATAATCATGTGGTTTTTGTCATTGGTTCTGTTTATGTGATGGATTACATTTATTGATTTGGGTAAAACAACATATTTTTCTTAACGAAATATATGGATCAAAGAATAGATCAAAGGGGAAATTAGAAAATATTTTGAATTGAAAGAAAATGAAAATATAATCCATCAAAATTTTTGGGATGCAGCTAAAACTACATTCTATATCAGAATACCTACATGGGAAAAGAAAAAGTTATCAAATCAATAACATAGATTTCTACCTTATAAAATTAGAAAAAGAACAAACTTAAACCAAAGCAAGCAAAAGAAAGGAAATAATAAAGATTAGAATGAAAAATCAATGAAATAGAAAACAGAAAAACAATAGAGGACTCAAACCAAAACTGATTCTTTAAAATGATCAATAAAATTGACCAACCTCTCAGCTAGAACAAACAAGAAAAAAAAGGGAGATGACACAAGTTACCAAAATAAATGAAAGAGATAATATCATTATTAACCCTAGGGAAAATAAAAGGAGTATAAGGCAATATTATAAACAACTTTTTGCAAACAAATTGGACAATTTAGATGAAATGAGCAGATTCTTAGAAAGACGCAAATTACCAAACTTAGAAAGAAATGGAAAATCCAAATAGACCTATACCAAGTGAAGAAATTGAAGTAGTAATTTTAAGTCTTACCACAAGGAAACCCCCAGATGGTTTCACTGGTGAGTTCTATTAAATGTTTAAAGAACAAATAATATCAATCCTTCATCAATTATTTCAGGAAATAACAGAAGAGGGAACACGTCAGTTCATTCATTATATAAGTATTTCTGTGATACCAAAGCAAGACAAAAACATCACAAGAAAATTGTATATCAATATCCCTCAGGAACATAGACACAAAAAATTTTAACAAAATGTTATAAATCCAAGTCCAGTAGCATATAAAAGAATTACACACCATGGCCAAGTGGGATTTATATATGGAATGCAAGATTGGTTGAACACCCAAAAAACAATTAATGTAATGTAACCTATTAATAAAATAAAAACAAAAATATAATCAGTTCATCAACTGCAGAAAAAGCATTTGACAAAATCCAATACCCATTCATAATTTATTTTTAATTTTTCAAAACTCCAAAAAATTCAGCATAGAAGGGAACTTCCTCAAACTGAGAAAGTACATCATGGAAAAGCTATAGCCAACATGCTTAACACTAAAGACAGAATGCTTCCCCCAAAGGTTGAGAACAAGGCAAGCATGTCCACCCTTGCCACTGCTATACAACATTGCATTAGAGGTTCTAGCCAGTGAAATATGGAAAATAAAGAAAGAAATGGAGCTAGGAAGGGAAGGAGGAAGGTGTGAATCAGGTTCATTAATAACAATTCCCAAGAAAGGACTCCCACTGCATGGAAGCAGCAAAAATCATCACTATGCCAATCACCAAAAATAGGAGTCCAAACACTTATGCCCACTTCATCCTGGGCTGAAGTGTTACCAATGCCTGAGTCCAGTGAGGCAGAACACACTAACACTCAACAAGTTGTATGAAGTGGATTTATAAGTTACAGAGAGGTAATGTGGGACAAACCAAGGAGAGGATGCACGGTGAGCCAATCCCCCAAGACTCACGAAAGCTGCCTGGGGTGGATGGAGTCTTGACTGTGCAAGCTCCACCTGCACCACAGCTGAGGGATCCTGAAACGCAGCCAGCCCTGGGTTATACACCTCAGGGGCCACATGACACACTGGGAAAAGCTTGCTCAACAATTTCAGTCATTAGGGAAATGGAAATTGAAAACACAACTAAATACCACTACACATCCGCTAGAATTTCTACACTCAAAAAGAGAAACAATACCAAGTGTTGTTGAAGATGTAGAAAGACTGGAACTTTCTTATGTTGTTGGTGGAGATGTGAATTGGTACAGCCTGTTTGAAAATGAGTTTGCCAGTTTCTTGAAATGTTAAACATAAACTTACTAAGTGACTCAGCAATTTCACTCCTAGGAAACTACTCAAGAGAAATGAAAACACATTTTCACACAAAGGCTTATACACAAATGTTTATTACCAAACTATCAATTCATCCTACAACATGGATAAACTTTAAAATCATTGTACTAAGTGAGAGAAGCCCAACACAAAAGGCAATATATGTTTCCATTTATACTAAATGTCCAGAAAAGACAAATTTATAGAGACAAACACACCAGATAAGTGATTGCCTGAGGCTGGTGTCGGGAGGAGGAACTGACTGCAAACTAACAGGAAGGAATATTTTAGGCTGAAAATGTTCTAAAATTGGTCTATGTTGATGGTTTCACAAACTCTATAAATTTACTAAAAAGCACTGAATTTAAACTTATAACAGGTGATTTTTGTGGTATGCAAATTATACCTTAATAAACTACTTCAAAAATAAGACATTATTCTATTCTTAAGATGTCTCCCCAACTAATGGTATGTGAGAAAAGGAATAGCAATAAGCAAGACCACTATAAATTCCACAGCAGTGATATAACAAGGTGATCTGTGAACAAAAGAGATGGGGGTCAGGAAGCAAGAAGAGGTAGATTAGAAAGGCTTTACCAAAAAAAACATGGTGTTTGAACTGATACTTAAACTGGTTCTTAAGCTGGGTGCGGTGGTGCATGACTGTCGTACCAGCTACTTGGGAGGCTGAAGCAGGAGGATTGCTTAAGCCCAGGAGTTCAAGGCCAACCTGGGCAACATAGCAAGACCTCATCTCTTAAATAAATAAATTACATCAAGCTAGAGTAGGGTTTATCCCAGAAGTAATGGGACCTCATTAATAGACTGAAAGGGAAAGAATAATATACAATTGCCTCAGTTGATGCAGGAAAAGAATTTGATAATGTTCAGCAACTATTTATGGAAAAATAAATCTTTTAGCAAATCATAGAAGAGAAGAGAATTAGGAATATAAGGAAATGGATTTTTTCTAAGATTGGAGAAAGTGAAAACCACAAGTATGTGCACTATCTCCATATTGTTTAGCACAGTATTGGAAGTCTTAAAAAATAGTTCTAGAAGTTAAGGGAGGACAAAAAGGAAGAGATGTTATGATTTTTAAAAAAGAGATAGGAGACTATTTGTGGATGATACAATCCCCAATATAGAAATGCAACAAACAATTAGAACTAATACAGTTAAGCAAAGTTGTTGGATGCAAGATCAACTTACAAAAGTCAAAAGTCATTCTTTCAAACTCAGTAACCAACTAGAAAATATAATAAAAATAATATTACCTTCATAACAGCAATAGAAAAGCTTAAAGTATCCAGAGAGTTTAACTAACAATTTACTATGCAGAAAAATTTTTTAAGTTTAATAAAGTACAAAGAAAATAGAGGCACAGAATGAAGTTGCATCCCATGGTCTTGAATAGGATTACATTGTAGGCATGTAAATTCTTTACCAAATGATCTACAAATTATATGTATTTACAATTATTGTATTGCAGAGGCAATCACTATGAAAATTCCACCTGATCTTTTAGGCACTTAATGATCTTGATCACCTCTATAAACAAATAGAGGTCCACCAAAGGAAAAAAGATTGGGAATTTACAAAAGCTATAATTACAAAATACAGTTTAATTTTAGAGAAAATGCGAACAAATAGAAATAGAGCAAAATATTTCAGGAAAGAAAAAAATATATATATATATATATATATGATTCAATAAAGGTGGCACCATAAATTAGGGGGGAAAGGATAGATTGTTTAGGAGAAAGTATTAGAAAAATAACTCATTACATTTAGAAATAAAACTGGGACTCTAACACCATATGCAAAGGTGGATTCCATTTGGATAAGTACCTAAATGAAAGATACAATTATAAATTATAATTATAAATCATAAATTTAGTAAATGAAAATGTAGTAGAATATCTTTCTCACCTAAAGATAGATAAGGCCTGCTTAAATAAAACCCCAAGTATGCAAACTGCAAGGCAAAAAAATCTCCATATATTTGATTACTTAAAAAGTAATGCTTTCTGGTCAATAAAAAATACTGTGCATAAAGTTAAAAGATAACAGATCAAGAGAAAAAATTTGCACTGTTCAAAATGAATAAGGAGCTAATATATAAAATACACAGGGGACATTTGCAAAGAAAAAGCAATCCTAGTAGAAGAATGGACAAAAATATGAATAGAAGGTGTATACAAAAGATAACTCAAAACACTGCCACAAACTCAGTCATCAAAGAATATAATTACAACAATATTGAAATATCATTTTACCTCAGTTAAAACTGGTAAAAATTATAAATCTGAATAAATTCTCACAAAGGTCCATAATTCTTTGCAGTGGCAGGGAGTTAGAGCAGTTTCGGAGTCCATTACCTCCCAACTGAATAAGCAAAAGGAAGGGAAGCATTCCATGAAGTAAAATGTAGTATTAGCAACGACAGATTGAATGTAACACAGCAACATAGATGGATCTTTTAAAAATGGGCTTAGTGAAAAAAGGAACAGAATGAGATCTATTCCCAAGTACCATTCACATAAACTTAAAGTACAAGCACATAAAACAAACAGGAATACAAGGAATAGAGAGTTTAACAACAGACAAAAGGATGTATTGTAAAACCCTAGAGTAGTTTCTTATAGAGAGGGAATAGAAATAGAAAATTTAAATTAAACAGAATACAATAAGTTAAATAAGTAAATGAATGAATAAATGAGAGAGGAAAAAGCGAGAGAGAATATCTTCAAATAATCAAATTATTCCCTACTTTCCCTTCCCATTAAGTGACCCCAGGGTCCATTGACGATTTCCAGGAAAATTTTTTAAATATTTCAAGTTATTAAATTATGGATTTTGTGTGTGTGGTAAGGTGTCACTAAATAACAAAATATACACCCTTACTTGAAACTCAATTTCAGCTCCATGAGAAAAGGAATGATGTGAGTCCCTATGGTCATCAATGTAATATGGAGGACACTTTGAGTTAGCTCTGATGAACTCTACAAACTTTGCAAGAAAATTAAAATGAAACCAACACTTTCTTTTCTCATAAGTTTGTTATCCTTGGTTATTTTTTTCCGACTATTTTTATTCCTGTACATACTTTCAAACTCTAGACCTAGATTTTTTTTATAACTTGACTGCAAGTCAGAGAGATACACACATACTCCTACAGTGAGCCTCCCTTGGAATATGCAAAAAGATTAAACAGATTGTGAAATAAAAAACCCATGTGTGCCAAAGACGTGGGTGTATTCACTTCTTAATTCTGCATAACAAACACAATTTTGTATAAGACACAATTTCAGTGGGGGAAAAATACAAATGAGAACTTTAAGATACTCAGTAAATTCTCATTCGTTTACTAATAAGTGAGTATTTCTTACGCTTTCTGTTGCCTAAAAGAGGATGATTTCAACTTTCTTTGTAGTGTGTGTTGGTAAAGAAGAGAATATAGTCTAACCATATATGTTAGAAGCTTTGTCACCAAGAGTGGACATCCAGACAGCACAAGGTCAAAGGCAAAGTTCAGGCCAGCCCACTCTGAGAGTTCCCCAAAAGCCAAGGTTGCAGGCTTGAAGTCTCTGATCAGCTCTTCCCACTTGTGGCCCGCCCGGATCTGGCACCTTCTCTGTCCACTTCCACAGGCATCCCTGCAGAAAACTACTACCACCAGATAGCTGCCCACCAACATAGGTTCCCCAGGCTGCGGACAGATCTCTGTTGATTTCCTCACAAGCCTACCAGCCTCTTGGTAGCATTAATCTGCAACTGTTGATAATTCACCTATGGTAAAGAAAAAGTGTACTCTTTTGTGAGTTCTGATAACTTACTAAGAATGTTCTAAAATGCAAAGTAGCCAGGCAAATATTTAAGAAGCATACTCATTTATAAGCAGATTAAGAACATCCATTCGAATTCAAAAAGTAAATGTATGCATGTCAAATGAGTCCTAGGTAATCATTAAAGGAAGCCTGGTAGCTCTTTATCACCTACTGTAAATGCTTGCATTTTCAGAGCATTGACCAAGGTGGGCCCTTCCCATAGCCCTCTGCACTAGGTTACTTATTCCACTGCATGGGCACCAAGGGTGGCTTAACTAACCAGCCTGGTGGGTAGAGAGCCTTCTCCAAGTCTCCCTCATAGACATTCTCTGCAGTCTTATATTTGCCAACTTCATAGAGTATTCTTGTGTGGTTGAAGCTCTCGGGAGTTTCCTTGGACCTCAGGAAAGCTGCCAGCTCAAAAAGAATAAAGGTTGAATACGCAACCTAGATGCATGTTTTATTTAAATTCCAGTGTTCTGCTCAAAGGCCTTCTGGCTCCCCTAGGCCCACCAGGGAAAATATAAACAAATCCATGGGCAGCCATGCCCTGGGCCACTTCATCCATGTTACTACCCGTTTCACAGCTTCCACAACAAGCCTTTGGGGACAAGAAGAACTTACAAGGAAATTTTTAAAAACAGATTTTTTATATTTCTCAGACGTCATTGCAACTCTCATTTCAAATATTTTCTAAGAAGACTAATTTCCTTCATTCAGTAATTATAAAAAGACTGAACCCTCAAGTTTACAGAACTCCCAGGTGGAAGACATGCTTGGAGACAAACAAGGCGGGGCCTATCTGCCCCACCACTAGACTCCTCCCCTGCTGTCACAAAGACCACTGGCCTTTCAACCCAGGCCTTCATTCACCTGCCTCTCTTGGAATAACACTGCACTTGAATAGTTTCATTATTTAGAAAAGCATACATGGACATAATGCAAAATTGCAGAAAGAAAAGCCACTGATACTTATCTAGCAATAACCATTATTGATATAATGTTAATAATGATTGATTTAATAAATACCATTAATATATTCATATTTCATCCCATATGCATATGCACATTTCATATACTGCATTTTATAGAAAACCTACTGTGTTTTGTGTCCTGCTTCATTTTATGTCAATATTATTTTCTAAGCATTGTTCATATTATTCAATATTCTTCAGAATCACAGGTTTTAATAGCCAAGAAAAATTTATTCTATGGATATACTATAATATTTAACCTCATTTCATGACACAAACTATATGTGAGGTACAGATTTAAATAAATAAATAAGAATCACTCACACTGCCAAAACCAAGTTAACATATTGATGTTGGCCTCTCTAGATTTTTTAAGGGCATATAAATACAAATAAACAGAAATGAATTTGATTTCTACTATGTCACTTATTTTGTCTCTGATTTTTAATTAATAAAGAATATATACAAATATTTTTCAATTCTAATGAATATTTCTGTGTTACTTTAATTGATTATTACATTTCATTGAATGGATTTACCATGATTTTCTCATTTAGAAATTTAGGTTGTTTCAATTACTAGACATTACTAACAATGCTTCATCTTTATGCATAGATCTTTATACACTTGCCCAATTAGTTTATTAGTAAAAATTCCTAGAAGTGTGAGTATTAAAGAATACGGTTTGTTAAGATTTTTGACTCATATTCACAAATTGTCCTTTCAAAAAGTTACTCTCAGACCCGCCATCAACAATGTTTAAGAGTATTAATATTCCTACATCTTAAAAAACCATTGACATTATCATTGCTTTCAAATTTTTCCTATTTGATAGCCTAAATAAAGTATTTCATTATTGGAATTGATGTTTGTTTGATTACCACAAAGACTGACTTTTTCCGTGCCTTTCTTATTATTAAAATTATCCAATTTGTTTTAGGTTGTTCATCTTTTCTTGTTGACTTGTAGGTCTCTTTTTTATTAAAGATATTAATATCCAGTATTGTACATGTTTTAAGTATTTTCTCCAAATTGTCATTTGTTCACTAATCTTTTATGGGTTTTCTTATGTTCCCATAATAAAAAAATAAATCTAAAGTCTTTTGGTTCTGGAAACATGGCAGACTGAGGTAACACAATATTCCTCTACCTCCCATCAATACAACCAAATAAAAATTACAGATCAAAAGAAAAATTAAATACACAGTTTTTATTAAAATAAAGAAATGAAAATTTCTTTGGTGCCAAAAAAAAGAGGCAGGATAAAGCCATAGGCCAATGTCATGACACTCCAGAGTCATATCAGACTGAAAAGAAGTCCTAAGGAGCTGGGTCTTAATACATGCAGAGGAAGGGGAAATGTGGCTTTGGGTCCGCAGAAGATGAGAATCAAAAACAAAAATCACAGACTAAAACCAGGCCATGGAAAAGCTAATATCTTGTAAAAGAGAAGACTAGGAAAAAAAACACACCCACTGGCTCAGAAAAACAAGATGGCTTGTCCCTTTCTGGAACTCTGAGAAGAATTTGTTAAAGTCTCCCACAAAAAAAACAAAGACCAAAACCTTATACTACACAGGAATGTGGCATTCAAATTTATGCAGCAGAAATCCCCAAGTACAGAAATAAACAACAACAAATTTTGTTTTAATCCTAAGTAAGAAAAAGAACCTCTAGGACACCTGGCTAAATCAAATGAAATCCCACACTCTAGGAACTCTTTCACAGCCCAGCATTTGTGAGACTCCCCAAGGAAAAAAGAAAAAAATGATAAGAAAAAGCTCTGCTGAAAATGTGCTCAAAATCCAAAATTCCAAACCACACTTACAGTGACCCAGTGTAGAGAACAAACAGGCTATAATATAACTTGTGATAAATAATAGTCTTAAAAGACTCAAATGATAATCTTCAAAATGATTACATATATATAAAGGAAGAATTCAAGTCATAAGGAAAGAATAGACAACTGTGAAAAAAGAATTGGCAAGTGAACTTTTAGAAATTAAAAGATTTTGATTAGTCATTAAAACTGAAATTTCACCGCACAAGGTAAGTAACAAATTAAACATAACTGAATAGTTAATTGAAGAAGAGAGATGGATAATTAACAAAGAGGTCAAAAATGTCAAATAGAACTTTTACAAAAGAGAGAAGCAAATAATATTCCAAGAGAGAATAGATGAGACACTACGAGAATTAATGAAAGATATGAATTCTGAGTTGAAGAATAATGAGCTCTGAAAATGATACACTTTTAAAATCTTATCCCTAGGCACATACAATAAAATCAAAGTCAAAAAGAAACACCATAAAAGGGATCTGAGAAAAAAATAGATGATCTACAAGACCAATAATTAAACTGACAGCAGACTCTTACCAGTGACAACAGAAGCCAGGACACAATAGATTAATATCTTTAAAGGATTAAGAGAAAATAAATAATTGTCCTAATATTCTATATATTGCTAATACTTGACCCAAGGAGCATGTGGAAATATTCATTTTCAAACGAAGTGTGAGGAAGTGAAGACTCATTATAACAGAAACATCTACTAAAGAAAATGATGCATTTGAAAAAAACACTGAACCCTAAAGGCAAGAATCGGATATAGAAAACAGGGGTAGGCAAGGAAAATGGTAACTATGTGAGTAAAGTTATGTAAGCATTGAATGAGTAGATAAAATTAATAACAACATTAATGACTTATAGAAGATTTAAAACTGATAGAAACAATAGAAACAAAGTAGTGTAAAAGAGAAACATGGGCCAGACATGGTGGATCATGCCTGTAATCCCAGCACTTTGAGAGCCTGAGGTTGGAGGATCACTTGAGACCAGGAGTTGAAGACCAGCCTGGGCAATGGAGCAAAACACCTATCTCTACAAAAAATAAAAACAAAAAAATTAGGCCAGGTGCAGTGGCTCACGCCTGTAATCCCAGCACTTTGGGAGGCCAAGGCAAGATCACATGAGCCCCGGAGTTCAAGACCAGCCTAGGTAACATGGTGAAACCTCGTCTCTACAAAAACTAAAAAAATTAGCTGGGCATGGTGGCACATGCCTGTAGTCCCAGCTATTCATGAGGCTGAGGTGAGACAATCACTTGAGCCAGGAAGGTGAAGGCTTCAATGAGCTGTGATCATATCACTGTACTCCAGCCTGGGTGACAGAGTGAGACCCTGTATCTAAATAAATAAATAAAATATAAATGAAATAAATAAATAAATTAGCCAAGCGTGGTTGCATGCATCTGTAGCTCTAGCTACTCGGGAGGCTAAGGTGGGAGGATCACTTGAGCTAAGGAGTTCAAGGCTACATACAGTGAGCTCTGATCGCACCACTGCACTCCAGCCTGGGTGAGAGCGAGACCCTGACTCAAAAAAAAATGGTTATGGGAAAAGGAGAAATCTATATAGCGGTATTAAAATGTCCTAAAATCCTTAATTTGTTCAGAATATGGTTATTGTTGTTGTTGTTGTTCCTATTTCAATCAACTATGCATGTTAAAAAATAAACTGTAACCCATAAAATAATAGGAGCAGAATGAATACATTTCGAAAACAGCAGAAGCTAAAAAGGGCAATAAATAACATTGTATTCATGTAAGAGACAGTAGGAAAGAAAAGAACAGAAAAAAGCTATAGTAGGCTGGGCGCGGTGGCACACGCCTGTAATCCCAGCACTTTGGGAGGCCGAGGCAGGCAGATCACGAGGTCAGGAGATTGAGACCACGGTGAAACCCTGTCTCTACTAAAAATACAAAAAATTAGCCAGGCGCGGTGGCAGGCGCCTGTAGTTCCAGCTACTCAGGAGGCTGAGGCAGGAGAATGGCGTGAAACTGGAAGGCAGAGTTTGCAGTGAGCTGAGATCGCGCCACTGCACTCCAGCCTGGGCGACAGAGCCAGACTCTGCCTCAAAAAAAAAAAAAAAAAAAAAAAGGAAAAAGGTATAGTATATAGAAAACATAAAATAATATGTTAGATATAAATTCCAATATATTCATAATTATACAAATTAATTGGATTTACTGTATTCATTTAAAAAAACAGAAATTTTTGGATTGGATATTTATAGATCTTGCTATATTCTATTTACCAGAGACTTATCTGAAATATAACAACATATAAAGCTTAGAAGTATATGGATGGAAAAATATATGCTGGGCATAGCCAACTAAGGGGTACAGGGAGGCTGGTATAGCAACATGAATATTAGAAAAGGAAAACTAAACAAAAAATACAAACATAGAAGTAGAGATAAACATCTATATCTATCTTCGTCCATTTGGCCTGCTATAAAAAATACCTTAGACTGGGCAATTTATAAATAGCAAAAAATTATTGCTCACAGTTCTGGAGGCTGCCAAGTCCAAAATCAAGGTGCCAGCACATTTGGTATCTAGTGAGGGCCTGTTCCTGATAAATGGTGGCTTCTATATGTCCTCACATGGCAGAAGAGCCAAGGGGCTCCCTCAAGCCTCTTTTAAAAGGGCACTATCTCATTCATGAAAATAGAGCCCTGATGGCCTCCCAAAGGCTCCACATCATAATACCAATACATTAAGGATTTGATTGCAACATGCGAATTTTGGAGAGTCACAAACATTCAGACTATAGTAATATCTATATAGATGTCAAAAACATCATATTTATAGATATATACTCATTATATAGGGATAAAAGGAGCAATTTGCCAGACACTGTTGTGCCAGTATGTTATTATTATTATTTGCAAACTGCTCCTTTTATCCCTATGTAATGAGTATATATCTATAATCTATAGTCTGAATGTTTTGTGACTCTCCATATCATTATGAGAATTAAGTGATTTCATACATATAAAAAGACACTGCCAGACACTGTTGTAAGTGCCTTTTTATATGTATTAAATAACTTAATTCTCACAATGATATTCAGGGTGCAGCCCATTTCACAGATGAGAATCCTGAATTACAGACAGTAAGTGACTTTCCCAAGGTTCAACATTTGTAAACGGCACAGCCACAATGCAGACCCAGCCAGTCTGCCTTCACTGTATAAACTCTGCAGTTTTTTCTAAAACCTCAGCTTCAAAATTTATGAAGCACACTTTTACAGAATTACAAAGAAAAATTAGCAAATCCACAATCATAATAGAAATTTTAATATGCATGTCTCAGTACCTAATTAAGCAAATAAAAAATTAGTGAAGATATAGAACACAATTAAAATACTTGATCTAATGGCTCTATATAAAACACTATTCCCAACAATTAGAGACTACACACTTTATTCAAGCAACATGAAACATTTACAAAAATAGATCACATAAAAGGTTGCAAAGCAATTTGCTATAAATCCCAGAGAATGAAAAGTATAGAGGCCATGATCTCTGACTACAGTGTAATTAAATTAGAAATCAATAACAGAAAGATAACCCTAAATAACCCACATATTTGGACATTTTAAAACACTCTTTTAAGTACATTATGGGTCAAAGAACAAATCAGGATGTATATAATAAAATCTTGAGGAAAAAATAATGATAAAAATAATACATATCAAAAGCCGTAGAAGATAATTAAAGTAGTATATAAAGGAAATTTTATATTGCTAAATGTGTGTATTAGAAAAGAATGAAAATTTAAAATTAATGAGTGTCATTGTACAAATAATGATAGACATAAAACACCTCAAGAAATTATAAAGAAAAGAGAAAATGATAAAGTAAAAGCAACTAATGAAATAGAAAAAACTCCATTAAGTTGTTGTTTCTGGAAGGTTTTTAAAAATTAGTCCTGAGGAAAAGGAGTGCAAATCACACTAAAAACACAGAACTGGGAAATCTAGGTCTTCATTTGCTACTGTGTGATCTTGGGCAGGGCTCTTAAACTCTCTGGGCAGCAGTTTGCTCATCTACAAGGTCAGTCAGTCAGTTAGATCAACTCAGAAACTTAGCAGTTCCTATACTCTGTGTTCCCCTTTCAGAGACAATTTACTAAGAAGAGTATGTACATGGAATTGTAAAGCATCTCACAGCTAAAACGTCATTTTATAGGAGAAATATCCTTTGTGCTTTACGCGATACATTTACCATATAACCAGGAAGTGAGGAGAAATATCCAAAGTGTAGCTCCTCCCTGCACCAGCCAAGACTGGGCTAGGAAAGTGCTAGAAAAGTCTCAGCTGATCAAAAAAAAAAGTCCTTTATTCAAAAGCCGCTCCCTGCGGAATACATAACTAACAACTGTAGAGGTTCTAAGACTATTGAATGCCATGTGAGTCTGAAGCCCCAAATATATGGCAAGTTGAAGACATACACAAATCCCTGGAAAGAATAGACATGGAAAAATATTTAAACAAATGAACTAAGATGAAAATGCAAGGTGATGCATAAAAAGAAGTGCTAATCCAGGGTTTGGGATAAACCAGTTTAATAATGACTCAATTCACTTAAAGACAAAAAAAAACAACAACAGTTGGACTAAATGCCTAAAAGCCTAAGTCTTTAAATTAGATTAAATCATGATTGACAATGATAGATATTCTGCCTTACCAGAGTAATAGACTTCACCCTTTCTCATGTGCCTATAAGTATTAAGGCAGGAAAGGACCATAAAAATCGCAGGTAGTGTAATTCTTATGGCCTCTCTGCCTAGAGAATGACAGGTTGAATACAGTCAAGAATTTGAGAAAAAAGATATTTACAGTGACTGGTTCCTTAAGAAATGTGCTCTCAGCGGGGCGCGGTGGCTCATGCTTGTAATCCCAGAACTTTGGGAGGCCGAGGCGGGTGGAAATCGAGGTCAGGAGTTCGTGACCAGCCTGGCCAAGATGGTGAAACCTCGTCTCTACTAAAAATACAAAAATTAGCTGGGCATGGTGGCGCATGCCTGTAATCCCAGCTACTCAGGAGGCTGAGGCAGGAGAATCACCTAAACCCAGGAGGCGGAGGTTGCAGTGAGCCGAAATCACACCATTGCACTCCAGCCTGGGCGACAGAGTGAGACTCCATCTCAGGAAAAAAAAAAAGAGAGAAGTGTGCTCTCATTAAAAAGAGTACCCCACTGGTTTGTGATGGGTCCTATTTCTAAAGGGATGAGGGATAAGATGCGCTAATACCACTCATGTCAGTTTATATAACTAAGTTACCCAGCGCCCCCACTTATGCAGATAGGTATACAGGGGTGTAAAAAGCTCCGAAAACGTGAATACTAAACTCATAAAGTAATAATAACAAGCATCAAAAATGTAGCAATCTATACAGATGCAAAATTAGGCTTCCTGCCCCTTTCAAAAACATGAGAAAGCTTATGTCAACCTAAAAAACCTCAGCTAATAAAGTACTTCCCCTGCTTGACTTAAACATGTGCGTCTTTCCAAAGCAGACCACTCTCCAGCTGTCAATATTAACCCTGCAGAATTAGAGAAGCCAAGTTCCTTGTACCCTTAATGCCACTTTCCCTGTGTCAGCTCTCCCTTCATTATGGGTGAACTAAAGTTATAATGGAACATTTGGGGTAGCTCCAGAAGAATAAATCTGACAAACAATTTTAGTTTCCTGTCTCAGACCAGAGCCAGAGAGTCAGAAAAATTCTCTCGGGGGAGGAAAGCTGTGTAATTGTTTTTGAGATACTGTAGCAACCCCCCTGAGATTTAACTGTTTAAAAGAAGGTCTCCGACAGGCCTTGGCCATGCTGAGATCTCATGAGCACTCCACCTACACAACTCATTTGAAATATTAAGCAGGGACCAAAGCCTTTGGCATGCCAGCCACAATACACAGCCCTTTCCAGGAGCCCCAGAACCAGCTGCTTCTTGGTGACATGAATCTTGGCTGAGGGAGCAGAGGTCTCTCTTCTGTGTCCCCTTTTCTCGTATGAACTTGTCTCTCTCAATGCCTGCCAGCTTTGCCAGTTCACCAAGAGAAGGGGTCCTTATACCCATGTTAATTCATGTTCTCTGCAACTCTGCCAAGCCAGCCAGAGAAAGCAAGATCCATGATTTCCTCAGTCAAGTGAGGAAGAAGAGGACAGGAAGAACCTTTAAACCTTTACCTTTTTTCTTCAGTAAATGTCCGCAGCCCTTCGTTTGCCTTCAATTCCCTCACTATCCTTTCAAAATGCTGGAAAGTAACTTGAAATCATTTTTACAAGGCTCAGATTCTTATTCCAAGAAAAAATGTTAAGTGTGAAAACACAAAGGAAGAATGCTTCTTTGTACCTCTGTTGCCTCCCTGAGGTCTCACCCTGCCGAGGTCTCACCCTGCCTCAATCTCTCTGCACCTCTTTTATTTCCAGATGTGTGCTGGGCAGCCAGAACAGCTTCAAATTCCAGAGTCATGTACTTTTTAAATATCCATCTTAAAGGGCACCACTGCCAATGGTTCAGTCGCATTGCAGAGATTTAATTACCTAAATGAAGTACACTCAAAGAAATGCGTTTTGAGCTTTCTTTCTTGCCACAACTCCACTTCAATTTGTATTTTTTCCCCTTCTAATTGAAATTAATGTCCCTTGCTGCTCTGTGTTACAAAACACCTGGATGAGGTTATTATTCTGGAAAGGTAATTATAAAATTAGAAGGCTAACCACGATGCGGATTTCCTAAATCATAGGTGGCAATGGTGCTGAATGCTGACTAAAGGGAAGATATTCACAAATGCAGGCTAAATTCTCTTGCAAAGAAACATCACAGACCTAGCAATGCCCCAAATCAGGTGATGCCTAAAGGCTTCTATTGTCAAAGAGGATGAGGGAGAGGTTATGATACACCATCCTGATCTCTTGAGAGGAAAGAACTTATTCCCCCAGCGACTTGCAGTGCTCCTGGCAGATAACCCCCAGCTGTCAGCCCCCTGTAGGAACTGCCTTGCCCAAGGTCTCACTTGCTCCTCTGAGAAGCTTGCTCCATTGCTTGATTTACCTGGGGCCTTCTTATTCCAACTTAGGACCACTCTGAAGAGCCATCCCAGCATCAGAGCTCCCTATAGAGTCATCCTGAGGAATTCATTGAAACTGTATCACAGCCCAACTTTACCCTCTGCCTAATTCTGTCTCTTTCCTAATCCCTTCCATAGTTGTGGATCTCAAGAGCACTTTCTAAAAAGCTTCCTGCACATTGCCAGTTTCAGAGTCAGCTTCCCAGGGAACTCACTCTACAACAGAAGAAAGAGTGAGTTAGATTTTAAAAATTGATATGGCATTCACTGAGTCTTCAAACTAAGTGAACATTAACCCTCTTATTTCATTGCTAAGAGTAGTTTTAGACCTTTTAGTAGCAGCCCAATGTCCTAAAGTCCAAGAAAAAAACAGATGACAGCCCAGGGAGGTAATCAGAGAAAGGAAAGTTAATTGGCAGTATGCATCAATAGCCTCAAGAAGTTCACATTTTTTGACCCAATAAATGGCATTTTTATTCATGGTTATATACCATCTCATTACCAAAATCACTGGAGGTGGCTTACAAAAGTAGTTACAATTCAGCAGAACAAACTACATAAAGAAGCAATGTATGGAAAAATAAAGACAATAGAAAACCCAGAGCTAAGGCAAGTCCAAAGAGTGGCTATAAGGCCTCTAGGGGCCCCAACGCCCATGTGGGCAATTCAAATAAAAACAGTACTAGACCAGACAGAAAACATATTGAAATTATTGAATTTAAATTTTTTTTAATTAAAATTTGAAATGTTATTGGAATTAAAATAACCTTTTTTCTAGATTTCCTGATAGCAAAATGTTCCATTGGCATATTGAAGATGAAAAAGTAAAGCAATAAATGATTGGGGCACCTGATAGGTATTTGAACTGCCTTTTGGGTAATCCAAACTGCTGAGGTTTTATGCCTTTGCTGAGAATCAACTTATAACTTGGTTTTGAGAAGGAATCTAGGTTGTTAAACAACATGGTATATAATCAGTAAAAACAAAATAGTGGCTTAGAAGAAGTGAAGCTGCTCCTGGGCCGTGGCCTGAGAATAGGCCTCGTGCAGGGCCGGCGTGGCATTGGAATGCTACTGAGAGCCTGAGAACACACACCTGTCATGCCGGTTCCCAAAGCATCTCCCCCAGGAGGCCGAGAGCAGCCTTCCAAACACAAGGCAGAAAAAAATCATTTTTAAGGGTGTAGAACAAGTTGGCCCAAGCGCTGATGGTTCAGCTAGATCCAAGGATAAAATGGAGAAGACCCAAAGGAGTGAAAGGCCCACATGCCTGCCTCAATCAGCACAGGCTGTTGTAACAAAATACCAAAGACTGGGAGGCTTTAACAGCAGATATTTATTTCTCAAAGTCCTGAAAGTAGGAAGTCCAAGATCAAGGCACCAGCAGATTCCGTGTCTGAGAGGGCCCACTTTCTGGTTCATAGATGGAGCCATCTAGCTGTGTCCTCACATGGTGGAAGGGCAAATGAGCTCCCTTAGGCTTCTTTTATAAGGGCATCAATCCCATTTATGAGAGCTCTACCCTCATGGCTTAATCACCTCCCAAAAGGCCCTACCTCCTAATATCATCACATTGGGGGTTAGGATCTCAACATAAGAATTTCAGGGAACACAGTCAGAGCATAGCAATGGCCCTCAAGAGAGGAATGATAAGTAAGTAAAGTACCTCCACACAATGACTAGCAGTCAAGAATAGTCAATAACAAATACTAATTACTAAGTATGCTATAATATTTAGTAAAAAATTTTTAAGATAAAAATTGCATTTGCTGTAGAGATATCTGTGTTGTTGTTTTTGTTTTGTTTTGTTTTGTTTTCTTGAGACGGAGTTTCACTCTTGTCGCCCAGGCTAGAGTGCAATGGTGCCATCTCGGCACAACCTCCACCTCCCAGGTTCAAGCAATTCTCCTGCCTCAGCCTCCTGAAGCTGGGATTACAAGCATGTGCCACCATGCCCAGCTATTTTTGTATTTTTTTTAGTAGAGACGGGGATTCTCCATGTTGATCAGGCTGGTCTCAAACTCCCGACCTCAGGTGATCCGCCCGCCTCAGCCTCCCAAAGTGCTGGGATTACAGGCATGAGTGACTGCACCTGGCCTTGTGTTTTAAAAATTAACAAAAACCCATGCACATAAAAAAGACAAGGATATATATTAAAGTAATCACAATGTTTGGTAACAATAATCATACTATTGGTGTTTCTATTTCTGTATTTTAACACATTTTTACATTGTCTTTCATAAACTTTTATTATTAAAATATTTATATAATAAATTTGAAAGAAAACTTAACAAGATGTGGAGAATATTCAAGGGCCTGATGACAGATTCATTGTATTTCCTAAGTGGCATCGAAATTTGAGTAGTCCAAGAATATGGGATCTACTGGTTGATTAAGGTCAGCCCTGATGCCACCCACCACAATGAATGAACTCACACTCAAAGGAGAGCTGACATAATCAATTACTACATGATGGATCCTCCTTCCCTTGGGGGTTGATTCAAACTTGCTGGTACCTGAGGCTCATTTTATTTTCTAAGTCAATGTCTAAATTGAACCCACTGCTACATTTTAGTCTCTGTCTTCAGAGAAAAAAAAAAGTTGAAGAAGTAACTGTAGAAGAAAAAAATAATAATGAAAAGGGCAAGTCTCATTTTCCCTGTGTGAAATCTCACAGCAACTTCACAGTACTGCCTCTAATCTTCCCTGGGGACCTCCAACCAGGCAAGAAGTCCTTGTCCCTAAAGAAAAGTAACTGCCTCCCAGCTATGGAGATATATTTTCAAAATCAAAATTTAGAACCTATGAGTTTGACTGTTGGGACGGAGTATTAGAAGTTGGAGCTGTTCTGAACAGCCAGGACCTTTGAGCCACAGCAAATGGCCCTTCTTTTTCTGGTGATGAAAGTGCTGCTGCACTGCACTCTATCCTGAGAAACCCAGTCACTGTATTTCCCAAAGCTCTTTCCAACATAAATGAACAAAATAGTTTTTAATTACTTCTAGGTATGAGACAGCGAGTAGAGTTTAGATGCCAAAATGGTAGAACTTCTGAACTATTTTAATGGTCTAGGTGGATGATGAAACAGAATTTTTAAAACTACAGCTGTTTAAGGAGATCCTGGATGAAAGAGTCATAATAGTCACAGGTCTTGGGCAGTGCCAGGTGCTATGAAGGGAGAAAGAAGGAAAAAACTAAGAAACTCCAGAGATTTTTCTCTTTTTGTTAGAGAGAAAGAGACAAGGTCTCACTCTACTGCCCAGGCTGGAGTGCAGTGACACAATCACGGCTTACTGCAGCC
This sequence comes from Homo sapiens, assembly GCF_000001405.40. NCBI lineage: Eukaryota > Metazoa > Chordata > Mammalia > Primates > Hominidae > Homo > Homo sapiens. Next base: position 34,039,993 of record NC_000003.12, on the reverse strand, counting down.
TTGAACTCCTTGGGCTCAAGGGATCCTCTCCTGCCTCAGCATCCCAAGTAACTGGGACTACAGGCAAATCCCATCATGCTCAGCTGATTTTTAATTTTTGGTAGGGATGGGGTCTTGCTATGTTCCCCAGACTGGTCTCAAACTCCTGGCCTCAAGTGATCTTCCTGTCTCAGCCTCCCAAAGTGCTGGGATTACAGGCATGAGCCACTGTGCCCGGCCCAGAGATTCTTGAAATGCCTCATTAGGGATGAGTTTCTGAGGCCATATGTATGTTGTGAGAAGTATTTGTTTCACAGGCCTCTGCTTTTCACACCAAGGTCCTCCTACAAAAAAGCTATTCAAAAACAATCCTCTCCTAACCACTGCCTGAGAAGCCAGCATTGGCATTTGTCCCTTTGACTCAAGGCTTGACTCTCCTGATGTAGATCCCATATATGGAGTACTGTCTTAAGCTGTCACCAGCCCCTTTTGTATAAATTCTGGATGCTTCTGATTCACATTTTGTGAGAGGAAAAGAGGAAGCTGGATGAGGACACTGACTTTCTGAGAGCATTGCAGAGAGAGAATCACAGGAGAGATACAAAGCATCCTGTGGTAGGCAGGTCCTGGGCCAAAGCCCAGCTGTCCACTCTTCCCCCATTATTAGCAGGGAAAGGATGGCTGGCCTGCATTGGTGACCCATCTCTTCCAAGACCCATGCTGCTTATTTCAAGCTCCAGAACATCTACCTCTGGGGAAAAGTAAATAGAGGAGAGCTAAGAAAAACCTCAGACAATAATGTTGGAGTGGGTCAGCGAAGGTGAAGAGGCCCCCCTCCAAAGGACTGAGCTGAGTAGGACCAGACAGTAGGACCACAGGCTCTCCTGAAGTTCTATGATCATAGGCCCACATTCTCTCAGTCAAGAATGAGGACCCATGTAAACCAAACTGCAAGCTCTAAGAAGACAGGCATTGACCACTTTATCCCCAGCACAGGGCTCTGTACTGAGTAGCAGACATTGTTGGATGAAAGAATAAACCCCGTTGGTCTTCAGGGTTCATTATGGTTTCCCTGTGGTCCCTGCACACCTTCTGGAAGCTACTGCTGTTGAAGACAATACATGATCTTTGCAGAAAATTAACCTGCTTCTCGCCCTACCCTCCCAAGGAGACACTAAGTCTTTTTTTTTGGGATCACAAAAACTCAGCCACAATAATGTGAAATTACAGGAACAGGCTGACAACACAGACCCCGCCCCAAGCCTCAGCTGTAGAACACGTCTCTTTCCCTCCACACCACCATCCCACATACATCTCCAGCATGGGATCTGTGCCTTGAGAACATAGAGGTAGCCCCAATGAAGCCCACCTCTCAAGGTTGCCCTAGAAATGCCCTCCAGTCTCTGGTCTCCTGCTGTCTTGGGGCTCATCCCTGCACCACCAACCAGCCCCCTACCTATGCTCTGCAAAGTTTACTCAACAAAACTTTGCCTTTTCTGTATTTCCCCAATTTTCCATAATAAGCTTGCACTGGTTTTATAATGGGAAAAGCCCACTCTATTTTAATTTGTTCAAAATAAATTCAAGTTTTCTAAGGTGAAAGAGAAACTCTGCTCCAGCCTTACTGCTCATGGCTGCGAATCTAGGGAGTTTATTTTGGCACTATAAACACCCACTCCAGAGTCCCATATGGCCTGTGCATAAGCAAAGACATTCTACTTTTGTAAAGAACCATACAGTTTCACTCTGCACTTCAAATAGGAATATAACTTGTCAGTTTTTTTGAGAAAAAAAAAATATCCAAGATCCATGGAACTAACTCTTCGTTTCTCTCATGCTTCCTTCCTAGGATATGGAAATCATTTTTGGGGGAATTAGTTAATGATTATCTACACTACCTCAGTCTTCCCCCACAGAGCCACCTGGACAAATTCAGCCTATGGTTTAATCTGAATCTTCCCTTCTGCACCGTCTCCCTTGATGCCCCTCCATTCTTATACTCACCCAACAAAGGGAGAGTGCTGACTGTCTGCCAGGCACTAGGCTAGGTTCTGATGATACTGCGAGGAATAAAGAAACCGAAAACCTGTATGCCCTGATGAAGCCCACGTTGGAAACTAAGGGAACTCCCCAGGGTCCTATCCTCAGGGATATTCAAACAGGGCAGCAGGCAGCTAGTCAAGACCTGGGTCTGGGCCAGGCACAGTGTCTCATGCCTGTAATCCTAGCACTTTGGGAGGCCAAGGTGGGTGGATTGCCTGAGCTCAGGAGTTTGAGACCAGCCTGGGAAACATGGTGAGACCCCTTCTCTACAAAAAATTAGCTGGGCGTGGTGGCACATGCCTGTAATCCCAGCTACTTGGAAGGCTGAGGCATGAGAATCCCTTGAACCCGCAAGGCGGAGGTTACAGTGAGCCAAGATCGTACCTCTGCACTCCAGCCTGGGTGACTAAGCAAGACTCTGTCTCCAAAAACATAAATAAATAAATAAATAAATAAAAAAAACCTGTCTAGCTTAGGGAGACCATAAGAATCCTCTCCTGAAATGCTGAGTCTGCAGAAAAGGAATTCCAGGGCCAGCAGTTCCTACCAGGTTGGTGTCGGGGATTGCGGGCCTTGCACACAGTGCCGGGCTACCCTCTGGGCCAGCCAAGCCCCGGCTTAACACTCCCACAAAGCGAGGGCACCAGAACTTTGTTTTATGAAAAAACTCAGGATTCCTTTCTCTCTTTTTTGTTTTCTTTTTCTTTTTTTTCTTTTTCCTCTTTTTTTTTTTTTTGAGACAAGGCCTCACTCTGTTGCCCAGGCTGGAGTGCAGTGGCATGCCATCTTGCACAGCTAATTTTGGGGTTTGTTTGTTTGTGTTTGTAGAGATGGGGTTTTACTACATTGCCCAGGCTAGTCTTGAACTCCTGGGCTCGTGATCCTTCCACCTCAGCCTCCAAAACTGCTGGGATTACAGGCGTGAGCCACTGTGGTTGGCCACACAATTCCTATTTCAAAAAAAGCATCAAAGCAACGTGGGAAAAATTAAGACCTTCCTCCATTTCATAACACTAACTTGATGATTTAGGGTTGTTTTGTTTTTTGGTTTTTGATTTTTGTTTTGCTTTTTGAGATGGAGTTTTGCTCTTGTTGCCTAGGCTGGAGTGCAATGACGCAATCATGGCTCACCGCAAACTCTGCCTCTCAGGTTCAAGCAATTCTCCTGTCTCAGCCTCCCAAGTAGCTGGGATTACAGGCATGTGCCACCACGCCCAACTAATTTTGTACTTTTAGGAGAAATGGGGTTTCTCCATGTTGGTCAGCCTGGTCTTGTACTCTCAACCTCAGGTGATCCACCCACCTCAGCCTCCCAAAGTGCTGGGATTACAGGCATAAGCCACCTCGTCCGGCTGGGTTTTTTGGGGGTTTTTTTTTTAATCTTTTTAATAAATTACATATGGGCAGGGGAAGAACCACAAATGTGTCAGTTCTTAGGGTTCCCAAAACTACTTCTGATTGTGGCCTTGGCTCCATATCACCCTGGGTAGGTGTCCCCCACTACTCTTAAATATACAGTTGATGCTCCCAGCCACTGATACCAAAAATGTAACCCTTCCCTTTCCCCTCCTCCAAGTCCCCTCCCAGCTTAAGCTTTGCCCTCAGCCTGGAATGGGAGGCTGTGTGTCTACTGGCCCGAAATGAGGATTGTAAACTCTTCTTCCTCTCACATCCCTCCTCTGAGGAGTTTATATCCTGGTTGTTTCCATCTGCATACAAATCTTAAACAAATAGTTTGCCTAGAATAAATTTGACCTTTAAAATATGAACATGCCCACACATTTTCTCTCAGTCTCTCAGCCTCACCCCCCTTCCTCCTCCAAACAACTTTCTCTCCTTCTCCTCGTCCTTCTGTCCTTCACACATGCATGTGTCCTCACTTGACACCACCCCCATGCCTGAGATGTCCCACTGGGAAAACAAGCTATCATATGGCCTTGTTGCCCTCCTCCTGCCCGCCTGCAGCTACTCTCCAGTTTCTCTCCTGTCTTTCCGTGGTTGAGCTTCTCAAGCCTGTGAGCAGCCTTCCCACTCACTTCTTGTCTCCTGCATACTGGCCGCCCACCTCTAACACAGCACTGAGAACAAGGCAGTGGCTGTCTCTGTAAGAGGTCAGCAATGGTCTCTTGGTCATTGACTCACAGCACCTTTACTTAATCCCTAATCTCTCTCCAATGACCCTGATACTACCTCTGATAATGACAATGGCTACCATTCATTGAGCTCTTAAGATGTTTCAGATGCTATGCTAAGCCCGTTGTGCTCATTGTCTTATTTAATCTTCACCCTATGAAATGGCCATTAAAGGGGCCACCGAAGAGGGACACTCCATTGAGAGGTGGGGTCTATCTCCTCCCTTCCATCTAGAACTGCTTTGTGTAAATGCAACTGTGCCAGCTTCCAAACCCTGGCCTTAAAAACAGACAGCCTCTACTTCCAGTCTCCTGGCACACTCACTCTCAGAACTCAGAGCTGCCATGATGGAGAGAACACATAGAGAGACTGCACAGACAGCCCTGAGACTTCAGGCAGAGAGATGCCCAGCCAGCCCCAGCCCCTCAGGTCACCAAGCAGAGGCCCCAGACTTCCAGATGCACAGCAAATTGTTCCCACCTGGACTGCCCAAATTGCAAAATCACAAGTACAACAAATGAGTGTTGGCCTTTTAAGACATTTCATTGTGGGTAGTTTGTTATGCAGCAATAGATAACAGACCATAGGGATGATGCTTATTATTATCCTTATTTCACAGCTGAGAAAATGGAGTCTCCAAGAGGCTAATTAAGTTAGTCGCCCAAGGTCATGGAACTAGTCCTCTCAACTGCTCAACTCCCCACTTTGGATCTCTCTCTTCTTGCTAGTGTGCTGCACTGTCGGATGGTGCAGGTGATACAGATTAAGCAAGATAGTTGCATGCAAAGTATCTGGCACCATGTCTGGCACATGATAAGCAACAAACAAAAGGTTTGCAAACATTGTCCTTACCCTTCTTGATTGTATACTTTCCCTTGGCAACCTGATTCTAGCTTACAATGCCAGCTCTCACAACTCTGCAGACCACTGTCAGGTAGCTAGCTACCTCCAGTCTCAACCTCACTGACTCCCAGCCCTTTATTGCCAGCTACCTACAGAACAGACCCTCTGAGGGTGGTCACTTCTCAGTGCACAGACTGCAAACTGAAGGCTTCAACACCCAACATAATTCAGACTGGAGCCCTCCTAGCTGGCCCATTTCTCTTAGTGGCAATACCAATCTTCTCATTTCCATGGATGAAAAGAAATCACTTTGACCTCTTTCCTCTTACTGAGCCCTGACATCCAACCACCAGGTCCCTTTTGTATGTTCCTTTGCAAAGACTCTGTCCCTCCCTGTCTCTCCGCTTCATGGATACCAAACTGCTCAGCCCATCTTCACCCACAACCACACCCTTCGGCATTGTGCCTAGGTCTCCACTCTTGTCTCTCTCCCTAGCCTAAAACCAGCGCTTACACTTTACCATACAACTAGTCTTACTAAAAGATAAGATTCTTACTTTGTCACTGTCCTCAAATATCCCTAGGGCACATATCTATTAATATGGGTTCAAGTTCAAAATCCTAAGCTTGGACCTAAAGTGACTCCAATATCATACCTCATCTATCCACTTTAGCCCCTGCTGCTCCTCAGAATGCCCTCCTATGCAATCCCTCACTCTTTGCCAAGGTACCCTCTCCCACCAATACAAGGACAGTGGTAAGGAAGGGGTACAAGCGGGGTTAGAGCCTGACATCCAAGAAACCTGTCTACCTCCCCTGTGAGGCCTGCAACCACTTTGGGCCTCCTGATCAACCCATCCTAAGAACTTGGGGAATGTTTAGTGCCTAGAATCGCTCATTTTGCTACTCGGCTTACACTGTCTCGCACCATTAATCACCTGGGCCACACGCAGTTGTCTTATCTCTTTAGGCAGACCACGACTCATTGCTTTCTCAACGTACTATCAGCATCTTGAATGAAAGAACTATATGCAGACAGCAGGTGCTCAATGTCAAGTGAAATGAAAATGAAATAGCCCATTTCTAGTCTTGCCCTTACCCTATTCTTTCTTGTTTAGCCAATGGATGCATATACATTGGATCCAGACATGGAAAATTGCACTGAAAAATTTATCAACTGTTTTGTTGAAGGTATTAGTTTGAGAATGAAGGATATTTTGAAAAGAAGCTTGGTGTAGGTGTTCTTTAAACCACTTTATGATCCCTAAGTTTAAGTAGTTACCACTGTGAACCAAAATGCACCAGCAGGCACAGATAACAGCAACTGAGGGAACTTCAGTAAGCTGTGTTGTAGGTAAGAATCCTCAAAGGCAGTTTTGGCCAGATGACTTATTTCCAAAAATGTGCTTGGCATCCAAGAGCTCATTAAAAGCAGTCAGATAAAAATTAATAATGGGGGCTAGGCGCAGTGGCTCACGCCTGTAATCCCAGCACTTTGGGAGGCCGAGGCGGGTGGATCACGAGGTCAGGAGATAGAGACCATCCTGGCTAACATGGTGAAACCCTGTCTCTACTAAAAACACAAAAAAATTAGCCAGGTATGGTGGTGGGCACCTGTAGTCCCAGCTACTCGGGAGGCTGAGGCAGGATAATGGCGTGAACCCGAGAGATGGAGCTTGCAGTGAGCAGAGATGGCACCACTGCACTCTAGCCTGGGCGACAGAGCGAGACTACGCCTCAAAAAAAAAAAATTAATAATGGGTTATTCAACATAAGAAAATAAACATTTTTCATCTGATTAGGCCTCCCGGCAAAAGGGACAAGTGAAGTTCCAGCAAAGGCTAGGAAGTCAGAAGAAGCAGAACATAACTCTAGGCTAAAGAAGAAGTTGCCAGCATCACAACATATTATAGGTGTTCAATAAATTATAAATGATTGATGGGCTGATTGATTGACTGCTTTCCTAAATTGATGTCAAGAACCGAATTTATGAGTAGTAGCTAAGAGGTTCCGAAACAAAGAATTTTTTTCATGAAAACTGAGGATGACCATTACATACCAGATAGTACTGCAGGACCATTCTGTTCTCAGGATATGAATTTTTAGGTATTTGTGGAAGCCCACTCACCCAAAAGGGAGTGGGCTTGTGTTTCAAAGTATAGCCCTCTGGGCCTATACTAAAGACAAAAAGACTCTCTTTCAAACCGTGACTGTCAAATCTGGCTTACTGATATTTGCTTTGAATTTGTATGTTATTTCTGAAATACCGTCTCTCACAGGACACAGAATATGCTGCAAAGAATTTGCTTCATGCCAAGACATAGTGCCTCCACGCAGAAACCCTGAGAAACAAAAGAATGAGAACCTTGTCTCTGGGGTCAATAAATCTAAGCTTTGTTGGCACCAAATGGGACACTCCAGTGATTCTCAAGGTGAGTGTGGTCCCCAGTGCAGCAGGAGCAACACCTCTTACCTACGTGGTTGGTCCCAGTAATCTGTGTTTTAAAAAGCCCTTGAGGTGACTCTGATGCACTTAAAGTTTGAGAACCACTGGTAAAGCTAAGTCATAACAAGCCAATTGGAAACCTACACATTCTTTCTAGTTACACGTCTCCACACTCCTCTCCCTCCCTAGCACGCCAAAAAAAAATCCTTCCCTGAGGTCTCAGAACACCATGGAGAAAAACTACACTTAATCTTCTCATCAGATTACCTCTCTCATTTTTATCTTTGCTGTGGTCACAGGACCTTTGCACAAGCTGCTCTTCTCCCTGAACTTCTTCCTCCTTCACCACCCTACTCCACAGCTACCTTTGCCTAGCTAACTCCTACTTAAACATTACATCTTCTCTCAAGCTTTATGTCTTGGTCACTGTTTATCTACAGTGCCTAGCACAGAGGACTATCCTGGAGCTCTTCATCTACAGTGCCTAGCACAGAGGACTATCCTGGAGCTGTCTCAGAGGAGCTTGCACAAGTTAATTGCTAGCATCTCTTCCCAACTCTACTTTCAATGTCACAATGTTGATAGCTTGAAATCAACCATGAGTATTTACACCACAGAAATTGGCAAATGGTTCCAGTCAGGGCTATTTTATTTGTAAAGATGGTTGTTAAACAATTATAACACAACAGTGCCAGCCCAGTACCTGTCACATCATGGGTGCTCCATAATGACTGAATGAATGAGTAGAAAATAGAATGAATGCATAACTAATGAATGAGGAATATCCTTCCAAGGCAAGAGTAACACCTCCAAGCAACTTTATTTTCATTGGTGTTTCAATGCACTTGTCTCTCTTCAGGGCAACCATTTTCATCAAAAGATCAAACTGTCAAAATTCCAAGTCCTCAATTTCATGCACAAATACAATATGTTAAATAACACCCCAGGGGAAACACAGTTTCCTGGCAACCTTTTGGAATAGACATTCTAGATTGTTTTTAATAGTCCTTTGGATGCTGAGGATGTTTTGTGGGGTAAAATACTGTAAGATTTCCAGTAAATAAAGCAAATGTGTGGGGTGGCCTGCTGAGGGCTTCCTGGCAGTATTAGGTCCACACTGTTCTATCACTGCTTCACTCCTTATGCCTCTCAGATTCTTTCTGTGTAATTGGATATTTCTGATTTACTTCTTAATATGTATAGTCCTCTAGGGTTACTGGAAAACAAGTCCAGGTTTTACACTGTAACACCTTCACCACATATCTTATTTATGCTATGGTGGACTTTTGAGCACTTTGCTATAAATTACACTTCTAGGCCTAGTCAGCAGGGATTGCAGACTTGAAGAAAAAAAGTAAAACTGAATAACATAAATGGAGACTTGCATGCACATTATTGTTGCCTCTTTAACCAGTCGTACTTTTCTGTTCTCAGAAAGTGATAAATCAAGCAGCCAAAAAAGTTAGTAAAATATACAGAAGATACAGATATAGAAATACTATAGCTATGGGCCGGGTGCAGTGGCTCATGCTTGTAATCCCAGCACTTTGGGAGGCCAAGGTGGGCAGATCACTTGAGGCCAGGAGTTCAAGACCAGCCTGGCCAACGTGGAGAAACCCTGTCTCTTCTAAACATACAAAAATTAGCCAGGCTTGGTGGCAGGTGCCTGTAGTCCCAGCTACTCAGGAAACTGAGGCAGGAGAATCGCTTGATCCCAGGAGGCGGAGGCTGCAGCAAGCCAAGATCACGCCACTGCACTCCAGCCTGGGCGACAGAGTGAGACTCCGTCTCAAAAAAAAAGAAAAAGAAAAAAGAAATACCATAGCCATGGATATAGATATATAGAAAACTTAAACAATAATATTTTTCAATTGATCAAATGGATACAAGACACTGGTCACAAAACCTAGAGAACACACATTTCTTTCAATCTCAGATGAAAATCTTTTAGAAGATAACATAAATATCTCTGTTACTTTGCAATATGAAAAGACATCTTAAATAAGACATTAAAAAGTCAGAACAGAAAGGAAAAAATTAATATGTATAAGCAACATCAAAATTCAAATTTTTATGTCAAAAGACCTCACAAAGTAGAAAATGAAATTAAAATACTTGGCCATACAAAAATGTACAAATTTCATAAATCAAAAAATTCCATAAATACAATTTAGATAATAGTTGAAGCTGATAGATTCATGAGGTTCATTGTAGTATTCTATTTAATGTCTGTTCTTTATTTCCCATAACAAAATGATTTTTTATACAGCATATAGAAAATTAAAGGGAAAATGAAAAATATCGTTATATATGAGAGAAATGATTCATAATATGAGTTCTTAAATTTCAACTTTTAAAAGATGTCTGTCAATTAAAAGATGAACAAATAATATGAACTAGCAACTTAATGTGCAATAAACACATGAAAAAATTTCCTATAACTAATAATCAAAAAAATTCAATTTAAAATAAGATCCTAGGTTTGACTTATCAAATACATTTTTTAGAAGATAACACTCTTCATTCTGAGTCTGGGAAGAAGGCCATCCCCATCTCTGCTTAGCATTAAACTAGAAATTTTAATTAGCTCACTAAGAATAAAAGGCATAAATATTAGAAGGAAAGAAATAACATCATTATTGTATACATAAAAAATTCAAAATAATCTATAAACTTTAGAATTAGTAAATGAATTTAGCAAGATTACTAAAGATCAATACTGAAAAATTAATTACATTTATTAATGCCAGTAACAAACAATTGGAAAATAACATTTTTAAAGAAAACCATTTGCAATAACACCAGAAAACATTAAGTATCTAGGAATAAATCTAAAGAAGTATGAAAGTTTTAACAGAAAAGTCCAAACTATCATTGAGATAAATTTAAGAAGGCCTAAATAAATGGAGATATATTCCATGTTCATAGATGTGAATTTTTAATATTGTAAACAGCCTAATCTTCCCACAAATAATTTGTGGTTTAACACAATCCTTATGAAAAATCTCATTAGAAGTGTGTGTGTGTGTGTATGTGTGTGTGTGTGTGTGTGTGTTTGGGTGGGTGGGTGTATGTATGTAAAATTGACAAACTGATTCTAAAATTTATTTGAAAAGACAAAAGCCAAAAAAGACAAGACAGCTTGAAAAAAAACAAAGATGGGGAACTTATATACTAGATTCAGATGTATAGTAAATCTACAGTAATGGAGACAGAGTGGTATTTGTGTAATGATAGAAAAATAGGAAAATGGATCAAAATAAGTAATCTGGAAACATACAACAATAAATAGTCTAGAAACAGATTTATGACAAAACTGTTGGACAGCAGTGGGAAAAAGACATCTTAATATATAGTGCTAGGTCAAATGGATATCCATGTGGGGGAGAAAATAAATCTTGACCCCTACTATAGGCAAAATTAATTCCAGGTGGATTAAAGATCTAAATGTAAAATGTCAAACAATAGATGCATCCATATATGCCTATACTGGCCTCCCTGGGTTATATGTTCTCCTTCCATTTATTTTCCACACAGCTGACCAACTGATCATCTTTAATCACAAATGGGATTATCTTGGGCTATGTTCAACAGTTCCCCAGTGCTCTCAAAGACCAAAATATTTGGCATGGGCTGTGAGGCTGTATGCAACCTGGCCTCCAGCCTCATCTGCCAGTATTCCTCTCTGCTCACTCACACTGTGGCCATCCTGACTTCTCTCAGTCCCTCAAATATACACAATTCTTTTCTTCCTCAGGATCTTTGCACCTCCTGTTTCCTATGCCATCCATCCTCCTCTACTCTTCATCTAGCAGATTCATTTTCTTCCTTTAGATGCCAACTAAAATACCACTTGCACAAAGAGATATTTCCTGACTACCCAATCTAAAACAGGAAATCATATTATACTGTTTTATAGCTTCCTATAAAATAGCTTTCTATTTTCTTTGATTGTCTTTGAGTGTTCATTTGTTTCATACCTGGGTTCCTCAGTAGACTGTTAGCATAATGAAGGCAAGGAATAGGTCCCTTTTTATCCCAATTGCATCCCCAGTGCCTAGCATAGTGCCAGTCTTGACCTACATGCTCAGGAAATATGTGTCAGTTGAGTGAATGGTTACATCATTCTTACTCTGAATGAGATAAAAGGCAGAATTAGTTGCAACTCAATTTAGCCATGAGTGACAGAAATCAGATTAATGTCTCAAACAAAAAGGATGTTCATTTCCCTGTCATATAAAAAAAATCCAAAAGTAGGCAGATGCCCAACCTCTGAATCTTACAACCATAAATATTTATTTCTGACTACATGGTAGTAGGTGGGTGGATATAACTCTGCTCCATGTGTTTTCTTCTTCCAGCACCCAGGCTGAAGGATCAACTCTGCTTTGGGACATGCTGTTCTTGTGACACAGAGAAAGAACAAGAGGGTCGGGAAAATGTGCAGTGGCTTTTACAGCTTTTGACTGGGTGTGGCATATGTCACTTTTGCTTACATCTCATTGGCCAAAAACAAGTCACATGGCTAAGCCTAAAAATAGAGTGAGATATTCTATGGAGAGGCATCACTAATTACATGGCAATGATAAGAATGAATGATTCTCCTATAGGAAAGAAGGGGTAAATATTATAATTAAGAACACTAGCCACAGAAAGTTTTACAAAGGCATCAGGGATGCAAGATCTTTAAACTTGCTACTGATGGCACCTGCAGCACATGGTTTCTGTCCTATTTTTAAGATGACTGCACTATTCCCAGCCAGCACATCTGCATTCCAGCTAGCAGGAATTAGTGGGAGAAAAAAGAGCATTCCCTCTCCCTTCTATTTACATCCCATTGGCCAGAGCTTAGTCATATAGACAGCCATGAAAGATTGGTCTTTATCGCAGGAAGCCATATATCCAGCTAAAAACTAAGGATTGCAGAACTAAGGAAGGTGGAACAACTGGTATCTCTGCCACAGAATCCATTCCAAATCTCGTGGTTTGTGAGGAAAATGGCCATCCATCTAACTGTGCCACCAGAAAGATGCCCAACCCAGGAAACCAAACAAATCACCTGTACTCACAAATTTAATAGGCATTTAATAATAAACACCTATTGTGTGCTAACAACTCATAATAATTACAGAATCAGAAATAAACCCTTCTCTCAAGAAGCTCACTTGCTGTGATCCTATGTGCATCAGTTAGTAATTACTGTGTAACAACCCCCACACACACAAAATTTAGTGGTTTAAAACAAAAAGGTTTTATTATTGTTCATGAGTTTACAGGTTAGATGAGTGGGTCTGCCTACCTGAGCCAAGCTTGGCTGATCTCAGCTCTCATACATCTGCAGTCAGCTGCAAATGAAAGCTTTATTGATTTTTGGTGGCCTTCTCTGGGACATTCAGACTGATGTGGTTCTGGTTCACATTATCTTTTATCCTCCAGCAAGCTAGCTTGGGCTTCATCACATTGACAAAGGATAGAGACCCAAGAGAGATAGATGACTGCAAAGACCTCTCGAGGCCTCAGCTCAGAACATGCAATCATCACTTCCATCAAATTCTACTGGCAAAGCAAGTCACAAAGCCAGTCCAAATTTATAGGTGGGGAAATGGACTTCACCTCCTGACAAGAGAAGATGCAAAGTCACTTTGAAAAAGGTATTAATGGCCAGGAGCGGTGGCTCATGCCTGTAATCCCAGCACTTTGGGAGGCTGAGGTGGGTGGATCACCTGAAGTCGGGAGTTTGAGACCAGCCTGACCAACATGGAGAAACCCCGTCTCTACTAAAAATACAAAAATTAGCCAGGTGTGGTGACACATGTCTGTAATCCCAGCTACTCTGGAGGCTTAGGCAGGAGAATCGCTTGAACCTGGGAGGCAGAGGTTGCAGTGAGTCGAGATCACATCATTGCACTCCAGCCTGGGCAACAAGAGTGAAACTCCATCTCAAAAAAAAAAGGTATTAATGCAGAGAGGGGTGGATAATAAGGAGCATTTTTGCAATATACCATAGTACCATATTTTCTCATTTTAAATGTCCTCTACCATAATGATGTAACAGAATCAAAAAGCTTGTCTGCCCCTCTGGGTACCAGCCCAACAACTGTTTTTGGTTTTGGTTTTTAATTTTTTCTGTTCTATACACAAAAGTTATTAGAATTCTCAGGAGACTTCTAGAATAACAACAAAAAAACTGGGAATCATTGTTGAGTGTAGCCTGACCTCTTATGCAGGAACAAAATACACTGGACTGTAGCTAATGATTTCTTTTGGAAGTCACTTAGATAGCTCAACTAAAGCTATAATGTTCCACCAAGGAACAGTTTTCAAGTTCGTACATTTTATGCATGCTTATTAAACATATTTTATTCATGTACATATATATATAAGTAACCATATTCAGTACAACAGCACAAATATATAATCAATATAAAAGCCAAAAAAAATCAACAGAAAATCAATATTTTGTGCTTGGCCAAAATAACCATTGATAAGGTCCTGGAATAAAGAAGAATGCTTGGGTTCGAGATACGCTTTATTACTACAAAAATACCATTGAAGTTGGCATCCATAGGAAAATATCCATGCCAGTTCCAAGGCTGGAATAATTATTTTTCCAAAGAAAGTATGCCTAAACAGTAAGATTAGCAAGCCCAGCACAATACCAATATACACATTCTAGAGAAAACTCTTTACCCTGCTTCATTCTGGATCACGTCATCATCATTTTTGATAAATACTCCATTTAATGTAAAAGAAAAAGACAGTGGATAATTTTTTTTGAGACCAGGTCTTGCTCTGTGGCCCAGTGTAGTGGCCTGATCACAGGTCACTGCGATCACAGGCTCAAGTGATCCTCCATCCTCAGCCTCCTGAGTAGTTGCTGGGACCACAGGCGCAAGCCACCGCACCCAGATAATTTTTAAAAGTTTTTATTGTAGAGATAAGGTCTCCTTACATTGCCTAGGCTATAAATTTTAAATCTGGAAGAGATGAGGTCTGCTTAGAGAAGTGATTGGCTTCTAAACACAAGCAGTATTAAGAGGACACCTTCTAGAAGGAATAAACTAACCCAGAAGAAGTAGCGAGAATAATAGTATTTACAGGACAACCTCCAAAGCAATGCCCAAAGTACCCAAAATCAGGGATCAATTTACAAGTTTTGGGAAAGACTTTAAAGTAATCTACATTAGCCAGAACTAGGTACTTGCTTGGATTCCTTCTACTAGACTTCTTGACCCAGAGTGGAGTATTCACTGCCTCCTGGGTCAATCCTTCTTTGCAAGCATGAATTGAAATTATGGTGTGGTGGATTAATTGCAATAAATGTCCAGTTTTTTCATAGATTCCTTTCTTGGTGCCCTGCCATACTGATTCTGGGCTTAGCCATGTGACTTCTTTCAGCAGATGGAACAGAAGCAATTGTGACTCCAGCAGAGACTTGAAGAGCACTTGCACATTGAAGAGTGTTCTCTTACTGCTCTTGGATCCTGTCACCATGTGAACAAGCCCAGGCTAGCCTACTAGAGAATGAAAGACACACCACCAGTGACCCCCCACTTTCCCCAGTATGCAAGTGAGGTCATACAGAACCAGAACCAGCCAGGCCCCAGCTGACCCATCAGCTAACCACAGACACATGAGCAAACCCCGTTAAGCCCAGGCTAGGCCAGAAGAACCATCCCCATAAAACTGAGCTAAATAAATGGCTGTTACTTTAAACCAATACATTTTGGAGTGGTCTGTTATGCAGCAAGGGCTAACTGATACAGATAGCTAAGTTGTGTCAGATGCTATCCATGAAGGGACACCCAGCACTCCACTGCCTATGCAACTGGACAGAGCCCCACTTGGCCACGTGTTGTGGCGAAAGAGCACTGGATGGTTTCTTCACAAGCCCAGTGTGATTGGGCAACTGCTTTCAGGCACAGGCTGTTCATCTGTGCTCCCTGGAGGTGGAACTGGACCAAGGGGTCATTTTAACATTTTTAGCCACACCAAGGATCTCCAGGATGCATCTTCATGTCCTCCACACTGACTGGGGCTGACAGCAGTCTTTTTTAGTTTCTTAGATAACTCTGTCTTCCAACCATCCCCAGCTTGCAAGCTTGAGAGATGGAGTGGCTCTGACTGGATTAATTAGGGTGTGGGTGCCAGCTCAAGGGCAAGGATACTAAGTCAATCGCCAAACAAAGAGAACAATAAAGAGTCAAGATGGAATTGAAGCTGGATAGATGGAGCGCAGGGGTGGGGAAAGGAGGCTTGGCAAACAGGGCTCAATTCAGGCAGGCTCTGAAATGGGTAAGGGTATAGCTTAAAGCCTTCAGCTAAAGAGCATGTTAACCACGGCTTCTTAGCCAGGACTAGTTTTAGAGGATGTCATTCTAACAGCTGGTGCACTTGGCAAAGATGGAATCTTGGAGCAAAGGAGTGACCCACTGGTGGCAGGAAGATGCCTGGGAAATCCACCATCACTGAGGGGGCTAAGTGGAGGCAAAAACCTGAGGGTTGTGTTGAGCCAGCAGGGACCAAATACAGTCTTCAAAGAAGCAACCTGAGTCAGAGCTTGCTAGACACCCCAAGTAGGAGGAAGCTTCTCTTGTGTACCTGGTGAATGAGATAGAGCCCTGCAGCCACACTCAGCATGAACATGGAGCTTCCTGCAGGGGTTAGCAGATGTGCATGCAGATCCCACTATGCTCTAAACCCCAGGTCCACTAAAGACCCCCATAAGAAGTTACTATGGCCAAAGACAATTGACCAGGGGCTACAGTCAGTCCAGGTCCTCTGCCTGGCTGCCTCGAGGACATCCTTGACACCCACGAAGGCACACCCAAATTCCCAGGCAGGCCTGCCCTAAACCTCCACTGTGATGGCTTTCCTTAGAGTACCACAGGCCAAAGGTCAAACTTCGGCAGCTCCTATTCAAGTTATTTCACATCTTTGAACCTCTGTTTTTTAATCTTAAAGATGGGGTACATGATACCTACCTTTCAGCATTGTTGCAAGATTTATTAATTCCTGAGATAATTTGAAGTGGCAGTTATGAAGACCAAAGGGGATGATTGTGCCTTACATATTTTTCTGCACATAGTAGACACAAAATGTTTATGCTTTCCTTCTACCCACTTTTCTTACTGTGGGGGCTGAAGGACTTAAACCTTCTCTATTAACATGTTGACACTACTGACTGATCCAATTATCAGAGAGGTTAACAACATAGATTCTAAGGACAGATAGCTTTTTTTTTCAAACCCTAGCACCACCATTAAATTAGGTAGTTGGCCTTGGAAAAACTACTTAATCTCCCCCTTAGCTTTCTCACCTGTAAAATCAACTTAATGATAGTTTCTACATTTTGAAGAGTTAATGAGTTAAACACCACACAGCAATATTCACACTAGCAGGCATATGGTAAGGGAACATTTTATAAAAGTTTATTATGCCTTTTCATTGCTGTTATCATTCTCACTTTTATTATTTTACTTATTAGCAGGCTCATGAAGAGATAAAGTATAGAATGAGCAACGAAGAAAAGGTGAAAGAGGAAAGGGAAGACATATACCCAAGCTATGCTTCCTTTACCATCATTCCCCAGGACTGCTGTAAAGGCAACAGTGAGCTTCTGGGCACAGGCCCATGGTCTCTACTGGCCTGAGACTGATAGGTAGCTACAATCCCCCAGACCAGTGACCTCAAATCCTGCTTGGAGAACAAGACATGGAACTATTTCAATCACATCACTCTCCTGCTTAAAACCCTCTGATTGCTGCTCATTACAATTAGGATAAGATCCACACTCCTAACCCTAGCCCATTACCCTGCTTTATTTTCTTCACTGACCTTATCTACCATCTAAAATTATCTTATTAATTTGTTTTTCCATTTAAGATCTTTCTCTGCCCACTAGAATGCAAGTTCCATGAGCCACAGATCTTCATGCCTTATTCACAGCTGTATTGTAGCACCTAGAATAGAGTTATTTATAGTAGGCAGTCAATACATAAATGTTGAATGAATGAATGGATGTATATTAATTAATATAAACAGTAATCTAATCTCAACTCTGAAAATTTAGAGTTTACAGAAAGTTTTCTGTGTTACCTCAAAGAATATAATATTTCATTTTACTTAATGAATGTTTGCTGCATGAATGATTCAATAAAGAAATGAATTTGCATGTCTACACAAAAGGGGAAATTGTCTGAGACTAGAAAAGCTAACATCTGAATGACTTATTATGCCAGGTACTCAGTTTCCTTCCCTCTGTAATAAAAAATCTAAGAATTTCTGGCCAGGATGACCAACTCAGTGGTGGTCAGATCCGTGGCCTCGGCAAATGGTACTAAATGAAAACCAGAGAGCTGAGTCCTGGTTCAAGATAGGCCACCATTTGGCCTTGAAACCTTGGGCAAGTTGCATCTCCTGTGATTCCCATTTCTCCTCTTAGAACTAGGGTATTTGAACTAGATTGTTTCCAAATTCCCTTCCGTCACTTAAAAAAAACAAACACCACCACCAACAAAAACCTAATGATTCCAGCGACTCATAAAATCCCATACCTTGATTGAAAGCCACTCACTGTTCCCTAAAGGAAGCCCACACTCAGCAGCCCCTCCCGTAGCTGGAGTCTTGGAGCCCCAGCCTCACTGCCTAATATTGCAGCAGGGGCTCCCCAGATGTGCAGAGCCTGCCCTTCAGAAGTACAGGTCCTGTCATCGGAGTCGCATCACCTCAAAATATACTTATGTGTTTGTTTGGCTTTGTATTTCCTTTGTGTGACTCTAAATAGCACTTAAAAGAAATAGAACCTAACTCGATGACAAAGTTTTCTTTCTCTCTAGTGGAGTAAGGCTGTCTGCCTGTTTTTCAGCTGACCCAGAAGTGCTAATTTTGCTGATTTTCTACTGTAACTGCCTCCTCATTTACTACACAGTGGAGGTCTGATTCCTTCCTACTGAGACAAGTAGTTTTGCCTGCTCCTTTGGGCTTTTAGTATTCTTCCAAATTATTCTGATTGATATAGACCTCCATCCATGCTAATTATGCATAGCTTCTCCTATAAAGTGTGGTTTCCGTGGCAACAGCAAGGGGGAAACAGGTGTGCGGAAAGCTGTGATATATTAAATGACAGTTACTCTCTGCCTCTCCTATGCAGATTGCTTTTCTCTGCGTTTATTTATAGCAGGCAGTAATTAATCTGTGTGAATCTCATTGCTGCGGGGTGGGGGTGGGAAAAGAGATGCAGAATGATTAACAAGAGTCCTAATTATCTTCATACCTTTGAATTTGAGAATTTCATCACCATCAGATAATTCCGAAGTTGAATTGTTGAACTTTCACTTGTACAGAGATGCCATTGCATACAATTCAAAGCTACCATCTGCAAAAGGAAGCATTTTTCTAACTGCTGTAGTGCTGACATGGGCACCTGCGTCATGGCATTTTGTGGAGGGTTCCAAAAGTGGACCCCGGGGCACTTGCAAATGATCTGTCAAGGTATAAAATTAGAGCAGGCCAGTGACCCAGACCCCAGGGACAGCTGATCCCTACATAGTTTGCAGTAGAACTGCTACCACAAAGCGGAGGAAAATCAGGGCAGCATCACTTGAGGCTGGCCTCATGCAGGGCCCAGAATCCTGCTGAACAGGAAAAATATTCAGGCAGACAGCAGATCTGGGCTCCAACCAGTGCCAACATTGACTTTCTGTGTAACAGATCATTTTGCTTCTCTGAGCCTCAATTTCTCTATCTATAAAATGATGGCATTAAACCAGAAAATCTCTCAGGTTTTCTCTAGCTCCCAGATGGTGTGAACTATATGTCAGATTGAGATAAGGTGTTGCTGCAATAACAGATAAGCTCAAAAGTTTAGTGACTTAAAATAACAAAGCTTTATTTCTCACTCCCACTTCATGTCCATCATGGGTCTCCTGGGGGTTCCTCCAGATCATTATCTCACTCTAGGACCACCATTGATGGAATAGCCACTATCTGAAAGAATGTTCCTGGGTAGGGGGTGATGGAGCAATCTCATACCAGCAATTAATTTATTGGCCAAAACTGATCACATAACCTTGCTTAACCACAAGGATGGAAGTACAATCCTGCCATGTGCCAAGAAGGCAGACAGCTGGAAATATTTGATGAGCCACATTAATTGCTATTGTGTAGACTTTAGTATCAGGGCTGAGAAACTCTCTGTGTGCTGTATGTGGACCACTGGAGTAACAATGACAACTTTGAAAACCACATATAAAGATGGGGGTGGAGGAAACTGAAAGAATATATCAGTCATTGGAACAGTGTGCTGGGATGATAGATTTATGAGTGTTTTCTGTTTCTTTCTTCTATTTTCCAAATTTGTGACAATATTATTTGATTTTGCATGTAATTAAAAGATTAATTCATTTTAACTCAATATATGTGTATTGAAGGTCCATTTAATATGGGCACTGTGCTAGTCACCATAAAAAATACAAAATGATAAAGTCAGGTTCACCAATGACTATCTTCAACAATGTGAGTGTGTGGTGCTGGTGAAAGAGTGGAGAAAAGTTAAAATGCTGAAATAAACAGCCATGGATGAGGGTTTAGACAGTGGGAAAAGAATGGTGGAAATGCTACTGAGGTGAACTGAGGGAAGAAACATTGAAAATGACCACTTGAGGAAGAAATAACAGAAACAATGACTTCCAGGAGGAGAAGGTGATTTCAGAACAAAGATGACAGCCTTGGTTTGGATCATATTGATGCATAAAGACAAGAGGGAAACTCTGGGACTGGAGTCCATGTTAGTGTTGGATATGTGGATATGCTGATGTGTGAATCACCTGTTCATGAATAGTACATGAATCTGTGGAGGTGCATAGGTTCCCAAGGGAGAAGAGAAAAGAGAAGAGGAAAATTCTCAGATCGTTTGAATCTCTGACTGTGGTGTTTTGTTGTTACGGTGGTGGTTCTACGTTTCTTTTTTTATTTCTAAAATGACTTGGAAAAACTAATAAAGAACACTATAAAAATGAAAACAAAAGGAGAAAATAAGGAACCAATACACGTACCCTCCAAAAAGGAAACCTAACTTCAAAGTTAGCCTGCCTTGTGCTAGGAAGGAAAGGAAAGGAAAGAAAAGGAGGGGAGGGGAGAGGAGGGGAGGGGAGAGGGAGAAAATAAAATTCATGAATAGTTTTAGCAGAGTTTTAGCACAGAAAGGGGAAACACTGAAAAAATATATATCCTTCTCAGTGGATTTCCCAAACACCACAAGAAACATCAAAAATTATTAAATTCCCAATTACTGCCATACGTACATATGTTTTTCACAGCTGGAAAACAAAGTTGAAAATCAACCAGGACAAGTGAGCAGAATATAGATGCACTTGAAGACTTTACCAACCCCCAAAGGGGTCGAGCAATTCAAAAGTTAAGGTAACAAGAGAAGATTTCCCATGGGGAAATGCCTGCCTCAGAGTGTAAGACAGAAATGTTGGTCTGCCATTACTCAGAGCTCCCTCAACAAAACAGTGGTCCAGTAAGCCAGGCTCAAAGCTGACCTGAACAGCAAGCAAGGTACCAGTGTCTTTTAAACAAGATAACCCTTTATTGCCAAAACTGGCTGGAATTAACAACTGTCACTCCCAAAATCACTGATAGACACACAGAAAAACTCACAAGAATCATTCATTTTTTTCTATCTATGGCTCTAGTGCCTAGAATAGAACAGGGTTAATAAAGGTTTTTGGAACCTTAGGACAAAAAAATTGAGCTTCTAACAGTCCAAGTGTTTTGTCTAAGGCCAAGCAACTGGTAAGTTTTGATTCCTTGTCCACGGTTTTCTCTACTTTCTTGGCCTGCCCATCCTCCTAGCTAATGTCACACACAGAACATCACATGCCCAAAACACCACATTATATTAACCACTTGTTTTCCTTGAGGATCCCAGGATGAAAATTAGCTCAGTGTAGATGGCTTGCAGTAATTCTCCTCTCTCCTTCCTTCACAATGTTATTTTGCAGCTCCTCCCATTCGGTTGTCCTTGTGACTTGCTTTGATCAATGGAATATGACAGAAGAGGCATTGAGACTGAGCCTCAAGAGATCTGAGCTGCTTCCACATGCTCTCTTGGAAACCCATGCCCACCATGTGAACAAGCACAGGTTAGCCTAAATGCCTACCACTCCCTCCAAATTCACAGTCTTTCCAGAGTCAGACACGTTAAATGACTTGCCCAAAGGCACACAGCAAGTGTAAAGGCAAAACTCAGTATAGAAAGCTTAGCTTAGCCAGGCATGGTGGTGTGTACCTGTAGTCCCAGCTACTTGGGAGTCTAAGGCAGGAGGATTGCTTGAGCCCAGGAGTTCAAGGATGAAATCAGCTGTGATCATTCATGCCACTGCACTCCAGCCTGGGTAAGAAAATGGAAGGAAGGAAAGGAAGGAAGGGAAGGGAAGGGAAGGGAAGGGAAGGGAAGGGAAGGGAAGGGAAGGGAAGGGAAGGGAAGGGAAGGGAAGGGAAAGGAAGGGAAGGGAAGGGAAGGGAGGAAAGGAGGAAGGGAGGAAGAGAGGAAGGGAGGAAGGGGAAGGAGGGAGTGAGGGATTCCACTTTAATGCTTCTTCCACTACAACCTGTAAAAATGTCATTTAATTAGGTTAAACAAAGGGTATTGGATGAATGAATGAAGCCCAAAACTGAAGACTTTCACAATGAAATCTCTGCTCTACACTTGCCACCCAAGTTCCAGGCCCACATTTCTGATAGTTTACTGGATATGACCACTGTAATTACCCTCCATTCCTCAAATCCAAGTTACATCTTATATCCAAAACGAAGCACCAGATTACGTTGTTGTTTTTGTTGCTTTCCATTTTCCTTTATTTCCTGTAGTGTATGGTGCCAGAAAGACCAGGGTTCAAATCCCAACTCAGCCACTTAATTGGCTGTTGTAACATTCCTAAGACAAGGACAAAATTTACCGTATAAAAATACAAATCTCTTTGACCTGAACTGCCCTACAATTAATTTGCTGCCTAAAAATAGCTTTTCCCAAAAAAAAAAAAAAAAAAAAAAAAAGGAGGAGGTGTTAACCTAACCAACATCTCTGGAGAAACAGCCAAAGCAACTTTACAGAGGCAGTTCCTAAAAATGTATCTGCAAGTCACAGGATGTGGCTTTTTCAGATGTGACATGCCACAGGAAAAGCGCTGAGAGCTGTTGTGTTTCTGCAACTTATTATACGTGTTTAATTAGAATTTGTCTGTCAAGAAGCAGCTTAAGCAGCAGTTATCAAAAGGGCATAAATATCTTGGCATCAACCCTTCTGCCCCAGAATTTAAATAGAACCAAAAAAAAAAGGCACAGGAAAAGGCAAGGATGCTTTGGCTACCTTGTCATATGAGCTGGTGAGGTGAGTGACCAGCTACCAAGCTCACAAACCAGCCCAGAACTGAGGCATGCTGGCACATGTCTGCCTGGGAAGCTTCACCCCCTCTCTGCCCACTAGGTGATTCGTTTAATGTTTCATTTTATTGGCTCCTGTCTTTCCTTAAAATGTGAAATACCTTAAAATGTAAATTTCCTTTTATTTCCTGGAGTACGTATGGCGTCCTCTCTGGGCCAAGAAAATGCACAGATGACAACAACAGATGATCCTTTGCCTACAGTGACAACTTTTTACCTTTGGTAGCTATGGCAGCCATAAGGCCAGGTATGGTTGAGGCTGTATGGTCATGCTACTGCTTAAACAGGGAAGTGGATCTTCTTTGTCCCACAGCCCCCTTTGCGGGGGCTAATAACACCTTGCTTTTTAGCAACTTAGCAAAAGCTACCACTTTACTGGGTTTGTAGAGCTGTACCCTAAAGACCAAGTTTAAATATTAGATTAATGCACAAATAATTGCGGTGTTTGCCATTGCTTTCAATGGCAAAACCGCAATAACTGTTGCACCAACCTAATAAGAAGCCTGGAACATTCTAGGGAGGAAGCAGCCAAGATCCCCAACCCTGGCTCCTCCAGATTTAAAGATAAGGCAGTTTATTAGGATGTCTTCAGGGACTCCAACCAAGGCCCACAACAGGGCAGGTCAATGAAACCTGAGACAAAATTTCCTCTGAAAAGGGAGAAGCCAGTCTAGCTCAAGAGCCAGGGTGTCCCTAGGTACACACTGGTCCCAGCCGTTAGGTCCAATACTGGACCTCCCCACACAGAGCCAAACTCATTCGTTTGCTCATTGTCGATGGATGCCTTTGTGCTACAAAGAGGGGGGTTGGGTAGTCACGACAGAGACCATATGGACTGCAAAGCCTAAAATATTTACTATCTGGCCCTTTCCAGGAAAAATGTGTTGACTCCTGATTTAGGGAATGGCTGGCTAAAGCTATGATATGACCAGGAAGTCTGTAACTTTGGAGCTGGATCCTGGAGTACCCTTAGGCACACACTGGTATCTGAACTCACAGCTGGTGAGTGGACAAGCTGAGACTCAAACCCATGTCCTTGGGATTCCAAGTCTGTAAACCAAATGAATATAAACTACCTTTCAGCAGGAAAACACTGAGTTCAAATGACTGCTACCAACCTAGGCTTGCATTCCAGGCCTTCCTCCTGGGCAGAGCCACAGGGTGTCATCCTGTCTAAAGAGTTTGCTCTTAGAACCCCCTTGAACCACCTCCTAGCTTCCCAGTCAATGAAGCCTCTTTGGGGACGGGAATGGAATTCAAATATGTTACAATAATTTCACAAGATAAACCACAACCAAGACAGTTGGCCACTTATTGATGTATTGCTTTGAAGCTCCAAACTCACCCTTCAATGCCTGCTCTGCCATAATGAACTGGACTCGCAGCATTTCTCCTTTATGGTAAGCACAATGTCAAGGTTTGTCAGTAGAGGGCGATGGCAGGACATTGCAGAAGGAAGGGGCTTCTCTTTTTGATTCCGCTTGCTGTTTTGCTTTTTCTAGCTTCAGCTGCATGTTCTGTCAGCAGAACATGTGGATGGGGACATTGTCCGGGGGTGCTCTGCCCCAGCTGCGCACCCAAAGCAGGCTTCTCCAGAAATCTTGCAGCCTTGGCCCAGGCTCAGTAACCACTTTGCTGCAGCCCTCCAGTCAGTCACTGCATAGTCTGGGCCTTGTTCCTGTAGTGGCATCCCCACGAAGCCCTGCTGCACACCTCCCAACCTCAGCTTACCTGTGCCGCCTAAGGTTGTTGCTGTTTGCCCAGTTATGTAGACTAGCTCTGGCCACTGCAACCAAGCAAACGTCATTATCCAGGACCCTGCAATTGAAGATCTTCTTCTATGAGATCTGAATACTAACCTTCACACTTGTCTTTCCCTGGGTATGTTTTGGTGTTCTTTTTCCATCTTTGGATACACTATCTTATCATAGCTTAATAATTCTTTATATTAAATTTCCCCAGTATTGAAGTCACTGAATACAGTGATTGAAGGCAGACTAATTCAGTGAGGAAAGTCAGCCAGTGACAGGGATGTGCTGCTGCTCTCCTGAAATCACTCTAAGAGACCAAATGTTTACATATTTGAATGCCCCTCAGAATGGGCAGATATGTGCTATTAAAATCCATTTGTTGATGAATGAATGAATGAACACATAAACAAACTCAACTATAGCCGAGAAATAAATTGTAATAAGGGATTAAATGGGCAACCTATAAAAAATAGGATGGTCTGACACAGAAACTCAGGAAGTTTTCTTGATACCACAGAACACTCTACACAATATCTCAAGCCTGTTTCTAAAAATCTATGTTTTCTCTAAGTGTATATAATCTACGCCTGTCCCTATTAGAATGTCTATTTCAATCCTCTTCAAATTCTGCTCCTTTATGTCACCATAGCAACCCACATCCCTTAATAAACAATCAAGAGATTTTATTAAGAGAATTATACATGGAAAGCTTGATTTTTTTCTAATATTCTTATGTTTCCATTATGAAAATCTGGCATTTCATAATGTACACCTCCACAAATTAGGCCATCCAAAAGTCCACTGTTTGGGTGCTGGAATATACAGCTTCAATCCAATTGCTACTTCCCCCAACATCCAGCAACTATACCTCGAAAGTCTCAAATACATGAATGCGGCACAGCAAATAAGGAAAATGTGCCCTTGCCACACGCTCATTATAATCCCCAGAGGCCATTATCATAAAAGCCTCCTTCCAGGTTTTAGATAGAGAAGTGTGATGTCAAGTGAGAGCAAACGCCTCTGCCATGCATAGAGCTGGCGTCAGCTAACCAGCCAAATTTCCCATATGTGTAAAATTTTCACATTGATAACAAGTATTTTAATTTTCTCTCCTTGAAATAAAGAAAACTGGTATTTGTTAGGCTCTTACTTGATCATAGGCAATGTGCTTGGTGTTTTACATGATTACTTCTAATCCTCAAATAGTTCTTCAAGATGCTAGATAGTATTATCCCCATCTTATCCGTGGTAAAACAGAGACTCAGAGAGATTACATGGATTAAAACTCTCCTGTTGAATGACAAATCCAGACAGTTCTGAAAGTTTGTTTTGTCTCCCATTTTTAGTGACTTAGCAAACAGCAAGGTCAACAGGTCTGAGTTATCTCAACAAAAGTGTAGGTGGATAACAACCCAATTGCTGGGCTCCAAGGCTCCTTCTTCCTGAGGATACCAAGAAGCCTCCATTGCTGTGTAGCTGCATAGATATTCTTCCTGCCCCAAACCTATAAATACAAGGAGCCTGATGGAGGTGGATCTCCTCTTTTCTGGAAATTTGGTCACAGGGCTGCACATCCCTAGACCTGGCCCAAACTATAGGAATATGAGAGTTCAGAGAATTGCTTGTACTCTGCTACTTAAGAATTTTCCCCCAATAAACGCTATTTTATTTCTGCACCAGTGGTGTTAGTAGTGTGTGATAATGACATCTTTTCTTAATATTTCCTGAGCTCCTAGGATTGGAACACAGATTTTCTGACCTTTAAGCTCATCTTCCTTCCACAATGCTGTGTGTGTGTGTGTGTGTGTGTGTGTGTGTGTGTGTGTGTGTTTGCAATCCCTACCACTTGCATCTCTTTGTTCTAAATAAGCCAAGCGATGGCATCCTTCAAGCCTTCCACTCAATTACGGGTTGGAAACAGGATAGAAGGGGACAACTGTATCCATTGTTTTTACTGCTGCCCTTGAGGGCTCTCTCTTGCAAGTTTTCTGTCTTCGTTCTGCAATCCATTCCTTGACTAGTATTTTTATTAATGCATTCTACCATTAAAATCTATTTTAATGGGCAAAATATTTACACAGATACTTCACAGAAATAAAAGATATATAAATGGTCAATAAGCATAAGTACAAGTGCTCAGCATCAATATTCATCAGAAAAATGAAAGTTAAATTGAGATACTAGTAGACACCCTCAAGAAGGGCTAAGATTTTAAAAGACTGAAAACATTAAGTGTTAGAAAGAACTATTTGATGGTTTCTGATAAAGTCGAACATACACCAGCCTATTCTATGACTTAGCAATCCTATTTCTAGGTATTTACTCAAAAGAAATGAAAACATATGTCTACAAAATATGTATACAAGAATAGGTACAGCAGCTTTATTCATAATAGCCAAAGTTTGAAAACAAACCAGGTATCCATTGACAGGAGAATGAATAAACAAATTTTGGTCTAGTCATACAATGGGATAATACTCAGCAATAAAAAGGAACAAATCACTGATATCCACAACACCACATATAAATGTCACAGGTATTTTTCTGAGCAAAAGAGCCAGATACAAAAGAGTATGTGCCATTTGACTTCTACATGAAATTCTAGAACTGAGGAAACTGATCCATGGCATCACAAGTCAGAACAGCAGTTACCTTGAAGGGTTATTGATCGGGAAGGTGCACAAGGGAATCTTCTGGGGTGGTGAAAATGTTCCATGTTGTCATATGCATGGTGCTGACTTAGAGTATACATTTGTAAAATTTCATCAAGCTGGACACTTAACACATTTTACTTTAAAAATTATACTTCAATAAAAAATAAAAAACAATAACATATAAGTAAACATGCAAGTGTAAATTACGGGAAAGTTTATGAAGAGCAGGTAATAAAAGAAAGCCCAGAGCAAGAGATGAGACAGGAGCCTAGGTCTTCTGAAACACTCTTTCTCCCTGTAGGCCACGCTTCCTCTGCAACAGAAAGTAGTGCTTTCTCACCACACAAAGCAAGGCAAACTTTTTCCCCTAATGGAGTCCAGAGTCCCTGCTCAGCAAGCTATGTGGAATTTGGGGTGTTTGTTTGGACAGTGAATCATAGCTCATGGGGATGAGAGTCCTTCAGCAGCTCAGGATTTAAATAATGATGTGTCAACATCTGCCTCCGATGACTCAGATTTAATCTTAACAGTGACCCTGTAAGCTTGCAGGATTATTAGAGCCAGCCACACAGACACAAAGAATATTAAAGTTGTTTGTCAAAAACCTCTCTGCTTCTGTCAAGAAAAACTTCCAGAAAAGAGGAATACACATGCTCAAAACAGAAGAACCTCCAACTGGAAATGGAAGGAATAAGGTGCCATTTATGCCTACTTTGCCAAGAATGATGAGTTGGAAGGAGTAAACTTCTGGTGTTTGCAGCTTTAAAGGAACTCCAAATTTCTTATGTTGTTTAAGGAGTCATCATATTGCAATGCTTTCAGATTAAAATTGTATGCCTCTTGGATACTTTCTTATCTTCTTTACCTTATGCTGAAGTCAAAAATTCTAAGTGATTGCCCCAAATCTTACTGGACTTGGTGACTAGGAATCTGACTTCTTGTCCTGGTTCTGTCATTACTAGTATAGCCACATCAGCTTCTCTGAGTCTCAGTTTTCTCATCTGTGAAATAGAAGTATTAAGAGTTTGCTATTAAAGAAGTAGTCTAGAAATTACAGACAGGCCTGGCACATGCACTAAGTACTCAGCACTCCTGAGCTGTAGCTGAAGCCTCCACACTATGCAGTCCCACGCAGGCTTTGCCCTGTCCCATCTCAAAAGTAGACCCAGAATGTATCAAACACAAATGCCAAAGGGAACTAGCCTCACCAGGGATGTGGAACTGACCAGCAGGTGTCTCACAGAGCTTCAGTGGGTTCTTTTGATTGACAACATATGCCTGACAGCATACTTAGGACCAAACAATGCTACAAAGCACTTTCAATGGACTGGCTCATTGTGGCCTCCCCGCATCTTTAGGAGGCCTTATAAGGCCCTATAATAGATTTAAAAGCTGAATGAAGTTCAAAGTGTTATGTGAACACACAGCTAAAAGATGACTGAGTCAAGGTTTGAACACCAGACCTCCTGGGCTGGAAAAGTCTGTGGCTTTTCGCAATTCAATACAATTAGCAAGTCCTTGGGAAAAAGATATACAAAACCCAGAAGAGGAAAAAAGTAACTATTTCGTTTTCTATTGCTGGGTAACCAAGTAGCCTCAAAACTTAGTGTGTTCACACAACATTTATTTTATTTTTCCACAATTCAGTGGGTTGGGATTTCCAGATTTCAACTGGGAATCTGGGAAGCCAGGGCTGGAAAATCCACTTCCAAGATGGCTTCTTCACTCATGTTTAGTATACCTTTTTGCTCCTTGGCCTTTCTTTCCCTCCACATGGCATATCATCTGGTGGTCTCAGGATAGTCATACTTCTTTCTTATATGGCAGCTGGCTCCAAGAGGCAGGAAGCAGAAATTACCAGGCTGGCTAAGGGCTACACCCCAGAACTGGCACAGGGTCACTGTGCTATTGGTCAAAGCAGTCTGGAGTCAACTCAGCGTCAAGGAGATGAAGAAAATTATCTCTTGAGAAAGGCATGGCAAGGTCATATTGAAGATGCACACGTGAAGGCCGGGCACGGTGGCTCACGCCTGTAATCCCAGCACTTTGGGAGGCCGAGGCAGGCGGATCACAAGGTCAGGAGATCAAGACCATCCTGGCTAACATGGTGAAACCCCATCTCTACTAAAAATACAAAAAATTAGCCGGGCATGGTGGCGGGCACCTGTGGTCCCAGCTACTCAGGAGGCTGAGGCAGGAGAATGGCATGAACCCGGGAGGGAGCTTGCAGTGAGCCAAGATCACGCCACTGCACTCCAGCCTGGGCGACAGAGCAAGACTCTGTCTCAAAAAAAAAGAAAAAAGGATGATGCACACGTGAGATGGAGGATGCTATTGTGGCCATTTTTGGAAAAACTAATCTGCCACAAATCCCCTAAGGGTTCTGTATTTGCAAAAGTGAGAACCAAGGACCACATTACTGCTATAACCCAATAACAGCAATAAATTCAGTGCTTTACTGATTATAAAATACTTTTTATGAGGCATGTGTCATTAAATGCTCATAAAACCCTGTGACATCAGCATTATTTATAGGGGAAGAGAGAAGAAGTGGTTTGTCTAAAAACCTGTAGACAGAAAGTAGTCAGTGTCTTTGGGGCTTCTATGCTTGCTCTGTCTGGTGTGATAACACTGTGAGGGGTAGACATGAGAATGAGGTCTTAGAGGCCTTCTATTTCTTACTACAGGGTGTTTGGGAAGAGAGCTGGGTGTTCGCCTCTTGTATTTAAATCATTTTGCTACAGAAATATTATTGTAAAACCAATCATGTATATGGCTCTTTCTACCTTACCTCTGCCATAAAATGTCAGAACCCTGTCCCAGCAGGTATAGGGCTTAGGTTTCTAGGTTAGGACTGGAGCCACTGGGAATATAATAAAACCACTTCAATCAATGAGAATAAGAGTCCCAACTGAGGCTGCAATTCACTATTTGCACCGCTGGTTTTGGTTTTCCCACAACACAGTTTTGAAGGGCCTCACTAATCCCTTGAGTCTTCTTTGTGATAAGGAAGAATGACCAGAACGGGAGTAAGACATTAACTTGAGATTTTATGTTCCCTTCCAGGAAGCCACCCCCTCTTGAGTGCATTTCCATAGCTCCAGGATGAACATATTCATGAAACTTGAGCCAATGAAGGAAAGATACCCATGTGGATTGGACCAATATGCAAACTTCAAACTGTGTCATTATATTTTTATTTTATGAACCTCCTTGCTTAACATCTCATCCCACCCAGATTATAACCTGCACAAAAGCAAAGGGAATTTGTTGTTCTCTCTTGTTCATCCCTGCATTCCTTATACCTAGAACAGAGATAAGCAAATATTAGGTATTCTATGAATGTTTATTGAACAAATAAATGAATGCAATGACTCAGCTCCTACCATATCTATGCTAGATGGATATGAACTATATTTGTCTTATGTATTGCTGTATCCCAGCTGGTGCATAGTAGATGCTCAATAAATGTCTGATGAATGAATAAGGAAAGGAGGAAGGGAGAGAGAGAAAGAGGGAGGGAATAATGAAGGAAAGAAGAAGGAAGGAAGGAAGGGAGGGAGGGAGGGAGGGAGGGAGGGAGGGAGGGAGGGAGGGAGGGAGGGAGGGAGGGAGGGAAAGAAAAAGGATCTTGGACTAAGAAGCAAGTGTTGCCCCCACCTGTGCAGTGATAAGGTTTTGCTGAAGTCATGTACTCTCCTTCTTGAATTTCCCAGGTTTTTAGAAGCCCAGCAGCCACCCTCACTCTGAACAAGCTGCCTATTTGTTATGCTGAGTAAAAGCATGATCACAGCAACAAAGAAATATCATTACAGAGAATTTAGTCTCATTTGCAAAATTTTGCAGCAAGGACAAATATAACCAATGAAACAATTTGAAGCAGAAGTTTGTGAGTTTCAAATAAAATGTGGTTTTAAGAAAAAGCCATGAAACAATTAGACTTTAATCACTACATCTCTGCCTCTCTGTTCCTCCCCAGAGTTTCATCTTATTCCTCTCTCTCCTCTGCCCTCCTCAATGCTTACTCCAACCCCCAACAAGTCCAGTGAACCCTGAGGATTTTTCCCCTCATAATCCATCTCAGAGCTGTCTCTCCTTGCCATTTCTATAGAATCACTGCAGCCCATCCATGTTACGCACCTCCCACCTTTGCTAGCTGCCTCCTGGGGGAAGATGCAATGATCTAGTTAAAGCTTCCTGCTGTGCTTAACACAGGACAGGGCATTCTGTGCAATGAAGCCTGTTCTAAGTGAGTCACCATTCCCCTGAGACCCTCCCCCAGGTCTGAGAAAGCTGATGCTGACTGAGCTCTGAGCAGCTAGCTCATCCCCCTTCCTACACAGAGGTAAAGCCACCAAGCCAACAGACAGTGGGTATTCACTGGCAGGGTGCTAAGTGATCAGGGTGGATAGGCCCATGTGAAGCAGCCCAGTGAGGGACACTACCCAGCACTTGGAGAGCTTCTGGTAGGCTTGCAATTCTAGATATTGAACATCTGTCTTGGTGAGTACATTTTACATCTACTCAAGTCATTCTCCAAGTTTCAGAGGTAGAAAGAAGCCAGGTGAGCAATGCTATGTGTCTTTACTAGCTTAGGCCAAAAACCATTAGAGTTCCTGTCATCAATGCCCAGGCTGGTGCTTCCCGAGGAGGCTAGGAAGTCATTCCTGATGAAGGCAGTTGCTGGTAGACTCACACTCAAACTGGGGCCTAAAATGTCTGAGGGGAAGCAACAGCAGAATGGACCCAACTGGCCTAGTCATTCACCCATACACACAGTTATTGAGGTCTACTCAGTCCTAGAGCATACAGAAGGCCCTAGACACACAACGAGGAACAAGAAAGTCTAGATCATGTCTTCATAGTCTAGGGCAGGGAGTACAAAAATAAACATACAAATTGGGCACAGGAATCCCAGGAGAAACCAGCAGGGCCACCTGCCTTGATGTTAGGAGGTCAGGAAACCTTCCTGGAGTGAGAAACATGCCGATCTACCTGGTTTGGAAATTGACCACTGCTCCCCATGTAACAGAAGAATTTATGGGGTAAAGACTGAGGTCCAACTGTGCACCCTGGAGCCAGGAGTTACTTTACAAGCACGTGCTCTGCTCTCCTAAGACATGGTGGCAGGCCAATGCAGGGACACAGAACAAAGCGTTGACCCCAGCTCTGCCACTCACTGGCTTTGTGGTCCTGGGCAAGTCATTTCAGCTCTCTTGGTCTCCTTTACCCCATTTGTTCAACCTGGGGCATTGCAGCATGAGCCCTGCAGGTCTCCCCTGCCACAGAATTCAGGCATCCTAGGACCATTGCCAACTACCAAAATGAGGCTGGCTTTTTCACAGCTGAGTCTCCCTGCCCCCAGATCACAGGTTGTAGCTGCTCTGGAGAGGAAGAAAGTCATTCTCACCTTCCTTTCCAAACCCCACAACATTCCAACAGCAAGGCAAGGGAGTAAAAAAGGACAATTACAGAGCCTCTACCATGTCCTGGGGGTTTTACCCGCATGATAGCTCATTTCATCTTGACCACAATCCCGAAAGGTAGGCATCATTTCCCCCATTTTACAGACAAGGAAACTAAGGCTTAGAGAGGCTGACAGACATATCCAGAAATACAGAACTTGGAAGTGGCAGAGCCTAAACTGAAATCAGGATGTTGAGGCTCTAAAGTGACCTATACCACCTACCCCCTGCAATTCTGAGGCATAACACAAAACCCTAAAGCAGGGGCTCAGTCAGCTACAGACAGAAACAGAGAACCAAGAGCAACATAGTGATGGTTGCTAAGGGTCACCATGCTATAGAGGATACAAACCCTCAGGTTCTCCTGGACAATAGACTGTGCGCCTGTCAAAGCCCCTGCAAGCCTCCACCTACCCCACTTTTAAACTCCAGCACTGGTGGAGGAAACTTGCTTACTCCTTCTGTAGTCCTCAGCTTACATGAGTCTGGCAGAGGCTCTGGACAGAGCCTCCAATTTCCTTTCTAACATTTGGACTCCCCTGTGCTTGCTCTGTAAAGACACCAAGGCTTTCTTTTAATTTCTTGACCTCCGAGAGAGAAAAATAACACTCATTTCAAAACCTGATGATCCTACTTCTCTTTCAGTTACTGAGAAAATTTCTGAGGTGTGCCCACTTTCCGTGTTCAAAAAAGAAAGAAATGTAAAGGTCTTGGGCTCTGCCACGGGTTCAAATCATTTCCTGCCAGATCGTCTTGTCTAAGCTGGTTAATTGAGAGGAAGGCAAAGTGTTCAGTGTTCCCTTTCCCTACTAGACCAAAAGCTATAGAGGCACCAGCTTTGATACTTCCAGCTTCCCTGGGGCCCAGAACACAGAGCTCCATGCGTGTTTATGGATTCAACCAAACATCCTTCCTACAGAAGGTCACACGAAATAAGCGTAACAGGGTATGAAAAACAGAAGTTTACCCTCAGGTACCTTCCAAAGGAGGTGGCAGAACACCTCTGTCATTTAAAAAGAAAATGGCTCCTCCTCAAAAATGACAAGACTGTCAAATCCACTTACAAGGGCTGGTAGTTCACTAGTTGGAATGGAATTTTTGAGAATTCCTTTAGAGAGAGCTGTGCTATGACTTACTGAGGTATGTCCTCCCCTGTTTGGGGTCACAGTGGACTTCTGACTCCTCCTTGAATAATCCCAAGACTAACAGCTGACAGCCAAGCTAGAGGAGAGGAGGTTGGGTAGCAGGGCTTACATTCCCAGAAATGCCAGGGTACTGTCAGCACATCACCATATTCCTTGGATTCCTTTTACCATTTTTGCCCGTTTATTTCCCAGCCTCTATGTGCTTTTGCTTCTAACAGCCTGCATCTGCAACTCTCTTTGGAGGGTTGCGTTCGAGTTGAAGTTGCTTTCCCTTCAGGAGGAAATTGCTGAAAGCCCCTGGGAATTTGGATCCCTGCATATTCCACTCCCATTATTACGCCTAGCCAGTGCCTCATGGGATAGGTGGAGGCACGTGAAAGCCCAGCTTCTTTGCCTTAAATCAGGACAAACGCTGAGGTGTGATTTACACTCCAGAGTGCCCTTCGTAATCCACTCAATCTCCATGGGATTTTGCCTGAAACCACACCCTTACTTGGCTTCCCATCCTTCCCCATCCACATTTCCCCACCACTTTGCACCCAACCTAACACAGGATGTCTGCAGAACCCAAGAGAAGGAGTCAGAAAGAATGCTAGCCAGGCTGCACCAGTGCCCATCAAGTAAAAATGCTACTGTGCTCCTCACCTCTTCTCCATTCTTTAAACCCTAGACCAGCAGAAACTGTGATTAACAAGTTGGGGGTAGGAAGGGTAGGCACTGAAGTCACAGGAGACAAGAAGAAACCATCCACATTCCTTTTCCTTCCTTCTCCTCAGCAGCGCTTAGCTGGCAGAACAGAAAATGCAAAATGGGGGATGTATCACACTAAACCGAGTTCAAAGTTTTGACTCCTCCATAGGAAGTGGACATTGAATTACTAACCCCAGAGGACCTTGTACTACCCAGAGTAACTGAAGAAGTCATTAAGCCCACTTGAACTGTCAACCAAGGCTAGAGGAAGGACTGCTTCTACCAAATATATTTAGCAAAACAGTGAGAACCAAAAAACATTTAATTGTTTTGTGATTATACTCCACAATGCATGCTGACTCAACACAGCTGTTTTATAAGAAAGATCCTCATGGTCATGAGGCTCAACTTTGGAAGTGGAAGCCATATTTTAGTACGTAATACTTATATTCCCAGCCTCTACACTGATTCTATAATCAGACTCCCCAAAAAGAGGTCCACACATTAGCTAACCACTGACTTCCCCACATCCCAGCCAGTGAACACATAATACAATCTGGGTTTGGTTTGCCATAATCCACTCATCTCTATTGAGTATCCAGACTTCTCTCCCATATACCCTCCTCCAGCCACACCACACTACCCTCCAACACCCCTTTAGCTCCCCTGCCAGTAAGCTTTTTCTCTTGCTGTTCTCCTACCTCCCTCTCCTGATGTCACACCCAGCCTGCCAGGGTTTCTGATCAAGCTCCACAAGGCCTTCTTGGAGGTCCTGGTCAGCATCGAGTCACAGCACATGCCACTTCATTGACAGTTGAAGAGGCTCCCCTCGGTTCTTCTGGAGATGAGGAAGTGGACAGCTGGCAGGGTGAAGAGCACTGGGGCAAGGCTGTCAGTAATCCCATGTTGTGTCAGGTTGATTGCATTAATAGCCCCAATTCCTCACCCCTTCCTGTATCCCACCCTTTGCCATGTGCATTCTGCCCCCTGCCCCTTCCCAAATGTGAGCTCAATCATATGACTTTCTTTGGCCATTTGAATAAGCAAAAGTAAGGATGTGCCACTTCTCAGCCTAGGCCTCGGGATGCCTTGCAGATGTCCCTCTCATTCTCACACTTCTGCAATATCCTAGGAAGGACACACCCATACTAACCAACTGGATGATGGAATGGTGGGGCAGAGTTCAGTCTCTCCAGCCATCCCTTCCAAGGTCAGCCTACCTCTGCCAATAGCCAGCTGACCCCCAAACATGAGATCACAACCAGCTGAGATCAAAGAAGCCACCCAGCTGAGCCAGGTCTAAATCACCAACCTGCAGCCTCTTAGACTAAATAAATGCAAATTGTTTTAAGCCACTGAGTCTGAGGTTGTTTTGTTACATGGCATTATTGTGTAGGTATCAATTATTCCAGGATTTACTGTGTGGCCCATCAAGAACCCCACTGCCTTACCCCCACCAAGCTTGTCACATTCTCCCTGTGACAGGAGACGGGGCTGGCCTCTACCTTTCCCACAAATAGGAGCCCCTGGAGGGTAGAGATCCACTTGAGACATTTGTGTATCCTCCACAGTTTTTGCCCAATAAGCACTAAAGTGCCATCTGCTGCCTCGGAGGAGAGTGTTGGTGTCTCACAGACTGCGATGAGTGTGGAGAATAATAGAAGTGCTTACTTTTACTGACCCCTGAGTAGTTAACAACTATGAACAACACACTAGAGAAAAGGGAGGAGGAGTCATAGGCAGAGAGAAATTAAAATGGAAATTTAAAAGGGAAATTTTTTTCCCTTTTATTGGCAGCATAATTAGCCAGAGGAGCCCCAACTGATGCTGTTATGACTACTCTGATATGAAACTGAAATAGAATGGAGAAGAATCAGATGAAAAACAACAACACTTAGCATTTATATGACTTCTTTACATGCAGCACTTTTTGTTCCTTTTGTACCTCACAAACATTAACTAATTAATTGCCATAGCACCCCAGAGTAGACAGTGGGTTTTCCTGTCTATTTTACAAGGAACAAAAATAAGCACTAAGCAAGGTAGAAGGAAGTTCTAAGCACCAGGTACTCTTTTCAGGTCTTTTGCATCCTGTCACGACCCTGAGGGCTCACATTTTTTTACATCTTTGAACCCAGAGTTCCAGAAATTCCTATTAATAGACTTAAAATATTAGTATATTTAAGCTGGAAAGGATATTAGGGAAGTGATGATCCAAATCTCTCATTTACAGATGCTGAAAAGAGGCTTATTTCAGCCACGGATTGTCTAAGGTCTCAAAACAATTCAGGGAAGAAGCAAGATCTGTTTTGCTCAGCCTAAGTCAACTCACACACCCTCAAATCCTGGAAGATACAGTCATTAATGTTAGACCCACAAATGGCTTGTCCCGAACCTGTATTTACAAATGATTTTGTGAGTACCAGTCATCCACTCATCAAAGCTTTATTGAGCCATAGGATTCTTGATGCACTAGAGATTTAGGAATGAATAAGGCTTGTGCCAAAACAAGTGAAGCAGGGAGTTAGTTCTGTCAATAAATAGAACACAAAGAAGCTCTGTCCCAGTGGAATCACAAGAGTCCATGGCCTGAGGCACTTTGGTATTTCTCAGTCCTCTTGTCCTGAGCACATAGTAGGTGCTTGTATTAGTCTATTCTCACACTGCTTTGAAGAAATACCCGAGACTGAGTAATTCATAAAAGAAAGAGGTTTAATTGACTCACAGTTCCGCATAGCTGGGGAGGCCTCAGGAAACTTACAATCATGGTGGAAGGCAAAGGAAAAGCAGGCACCTTCTTCACAGGGTGGCAGGACAGAAGGAGTGCAAGCTGAGGAAATGCCAGATGCTTATAAACCCATCAGATCTTGTGAGAACTTACTATCACAAGAACAGCATGGGGGAAACCAACCCCCATGATCCAATTACCTACACCTGTTCCCACCTTTGACACATGGGGATTACAGTTCGAGGTCAGATTTGGGTGGGGACACAGAACCAAACCATATCAGTGGTCAATAAATATATGGCGACTAATCCAATTTGGTATATTCCAGAGCTAGTTCAGAAGCAGCCTGAAGTGATTCAGGATACAGAAAGCTCCCAAGGACTAGAATCTAAACCCAAGGGAAGATATCAGAACCCAATCTTTTGGTTCATTCTGCCTTTCTTCTATTTATTAAACAAACATATGTGGTATATCAACCATGACTCAGGGACTGTAATAGGCACAGGTATTACAAAATCATTCTTTATCTATGTTTTATCCACTAAAATCAAACAAAGCATCAGAGATTTGTTTGGATAAGAAATTTCCAAGATGGAGAATGGAGTTGGTAGAAATTTGATCCAGCTCCTTCATACCCACCATATAATTTACTAATAACAGTGAACACAGAACTAGGCTGGAATCAAGATACCAGGTGCTTGTTGTGATTGCTGCAACCTACTTCCCTCATGATTGACTTCATCCCAGGATTATAATTTCTTCCTAATCATCATAATCATCACATCAACATCATCATGTCATCAATAGCCACCACCACCACAAATATCCCAGCCGGTGTAATGATATAGGACAGTCTTCCCTAATTCTCAGTAATGGAACTGGGAATTGAGGGGGAAAGATGAGAACTGCTGAGAATGGAATAAAATAAAGGGAGAATGAGAAAAGCTTCCAGGTGACAGAAGAAACAATATGTGCAAAACCTAACACATAATAGGCATTTAAGACTACATTATTTGTGTAGCTAACGACCAAGCTACCAATTTTTTGTAAATTTGATAACATTTTTGTAATTTCTGGAAGGCCCTGTCAGTCAAATGTGAGCAGAAGGCCTCACTACTCACAGTGTTCTAGGGAAAAAATGGGCCATTCTTTCCCAAGTTATTTGGCTTTTGGTCATCCCCTTTCTTCTCTGCTTGAACTCAGGTATTATCAGCTGTACCTGGCAGGAAAAAAAAAGTTCTACCAACAGGCAGAATTGCCTGTGTGAGTGACATAAGGGGAGCTAGGGAAACTTCCTTGCCCGAGAGAAAACTCACTCAACCAGTGCCTTGATTGCTGAAATCCCACTGTCAGCCGGCTTCAATTCTTTGTCATCTCGACTCCCAGCTATTACAATTGACAAATGCCATTCATTAAGCCTCTTCTGACCTTTGCTCCTTCATTCAGAGGTTCTTTGAAAGGCCTTTTATGACAAGGTCTCTGCTAAGCTCTTTAGCTACACCCCTCACCTCCACACACTCTGACCTCATTCTCCAACATATCCAACTCCTTGGACAGCCCTGAATCCAGGATGGAGTTTAGACCTCCAGGGCTTTGTGCAAGCTGGTCTCTCTGCCCAGAAAGCTTTAAACTAACCAGACTCTCCAGACTTTACCTTGGCCCCAACACAGCAAAGAGCATCTTCCTCCTTAATACCATGTCTATTAACATGTCTGTGTGCCCTATAAAACTGTGGTCTCTGAATCCCAGCGATTAGCCAAGGGACTTGCACATGGAGATGCTTAACACATTTGAATTTCATTTTTAAATTAAATGCTATTATAAAAACAAGGTTTAAGATTAAGAAATTGAGTAGTAACAGAAGACACCTATAGGCATTGACAAAAGAAGAAAAAGAACACAAGGGGCGACCAGAAGTTCCTTGAAGACTCATTTTTCTCCTTCTCAACTTACCCTGAAGTATCAGTTACATAAGATGAATGACACATGGTCTCTCAGATTCCCCAGACCCTCATTTGACTGTTTGATGGGCACACTCACTCATCCAGCACCTTGCAGCTGCAGAGCCTAAAGTTTTTGCAGCTCCCAAAGTGGCTTTCCTTAGAGACAGAGAGAGA
The DNA here is from genome assembly GCF_000001405.40 of Homo sapiens. Lineage (NCBI taxonomy): Eukaryota > Metazoa > Chordata > Mammalia > Primates > Hominidae > Homo > Homo sapiens. The sequence goes on along the minus strand of NC_000003.12, from coordinate 34,000,549 downwards.
TGTCCACCTGAGGAGGTTGTGACTAACCACCTACTACTCATTCCAGGAAGTAATCACAGTGTGTCTCTGAGAGGCTGAATTATCCTAGGCCTTGCCAGCTTCTCCATAACTCAGAAGCCTAATAGGTAGGGAAGGGTGTCAGGCTGTGTGTGTGCCTGGATTCCCAAGCAGTTGCCAGATAACACCAAAATCTCTCTCTTACATATCACCTTTTCACCAGCTTTCTGTGTCTCTGTCACATCTTTCCTTTCTCCTCATTAACCTCTCTTTCGTTCCCCAACACCCAAAGTGATTCTGTCAGCACTGAATACATCAAAATGGCATTTAAAGGAAATTAAACAGTCAGCCTTTCCCAGTACCTGTTTAGTTCAAACACAGAGTTCTGATTTCCTGCTGATGGAAATAATTACTCGACTTTAAGATCTCCTGGGTTTTTTCCTCTCTCCAAGAGGGGAACAGCAAAATTGTCTTCCACTGTGCCATTCTGGAGAAGGGAGAAGAAATTCGTCATACAATTCATTTAAAATAAACTTTTTTAAAGCATATATAATGAAAAAACAAGGCTGAAGACTCTCAATTCAGCTGATTGTTACCTGGTTTTCACAGGTGGCTCATCAAATCTCCCCAGGTCAGGATTTAGTCAGCAACCTTGACTTGAGGATGTGGGGGGAGGGCATAGAGACCAGGATTACCAAGGCAGGGGACCCGTGACACTCAGGAATGTCGCATTTGTCTCCTCTGTGCCAAGGATGGTGCCAGACTCTGGGGCTGAGAGGGATAATGAGGTGGGCAGGGCCAGGCTCTGCCCTCAAGGAGCTCTGCCTCGTGGAGGAGACAGGCAGGTAAAGAGTCAATGACAATGGGGTGATAATGGGATGGCCAAAGGACTGACAGGAGGTAAAGGATGGGGGTGGCCAGCTCAAGCTGAATGGCCCAGAAAAGCCCTCACACCAGAAGGAAAGGTAAAATCAGTTTTGAGGGACATCCCCTTCAGGGACAGGAGCTATTATGGATGTGTGGTGCCCTATCATGATTTTTTATCTTTTTATTCTTTCCATGCTAGTGTATCTATGCCCCTGCCACAGTGTATATTGCCTGCTAATGGCTCACTGCTGCACCTTCTCCAGAGAACTGCTCTGAACCAAAGGACCTGCCTTGTCCAGGTGGTTACAATCCTTACCTCCCCAACCAGGGACAATTGCAACTGGTGACTGACAGAGGGATAAAAAAAAATACTGCCCCCTGGCCGGACACGGTGGCTTACGCCTGTAATCCCAGCACTTTGGGAGGCCAAGATGGGCAGATCACCTGAGGTCAGGAGTTCAAGACCAGCCTGGCCAACATGGAGAAACCCCACCTCTACTAAAAATACAAAAATTAGCCAGGTGTGGTGGTGGACACGTGTAATCTCAGCTACTGGGGAGGCTGAGGCAGAAGAATTGCTGGAATCTGGGAGGCAGAGGTTGCAGTGAGCCAAGATCATGCCATTGCACTCCAGCCCAGGCCAACAACAGGAAAACACCGTCTAAAAAAAAAAAAAAATGCGGCCCTCTTGCCTCAAAATGAGATCCCTTCTAGAGTGTAATTCACAGCTCCCCATGGGATGAGGGTGATAAAGATTTAGCTGGGACCCCACCCATTCTTAGCTCCTCCCAATGCCCCACCCTGCTTCCCTCACTCCTCTTCTTCTACAAGATTCCTCCTCCCCACCGCCACCTCCACCCTGGCTGAAATAAATGGACAAGTATCCCTGTCTCTGGGAAATCACACTTAAGCCAGCATTCCTGATGCAAAACAAACTCTTGCTCTAGGTTCTGGGCTATTGGCTATAGAATAAGCTGGGCTTTCCTGGCAGGGTGTGGATAAGAGTAGCCCCAAAACATATGAGTCCTATACCCTCCCGGCCTATGGCAACCACCCTAACCCTCTGCTCTGAACCACTCTCTCTGGGTGAGACTCAGTCTCCCCTCTTGCAGTTTCTACTTACAACAATGCATGCAACATTCATTCACCAGGGTAATCATGAAAACACAGGCCTGACAATGTGACTCAGAAACGTCAAAGCTCCCCATCACCAAGGGAATCAAGTCCACACTGCTCATCCTGGCACTCAAGTCTTTTCATGATTTGCCCCACTCCCATGCTCCCAGCTCTCCTACCCCACCACACTTCCTTGCACACCCTGGTTAAACAGAGCAACTCTCCATAAAAGTGGCCTGAACTCTCTCCCTTCCACATCTTGCTCTCCTGCCTCACCATCTCCTGTCTGGAATGTCACACCTCCTCCACAACTCTTCCTACAGCCACACAGTAGCAGTGAATCTTTTTCTACCCATGTCCATTCACATGCTGCCTGCCTGTTCCCCTGTGGGAGCACTTCACACAGTCTGTGTAGTATTCCAGCTTTCTGCATGAGGCCCTGTCTCCCTCCTGAACATGTCCCCTCAGTGGAAAATCATATATGTTTGTGGATGGAACTCAGGTAAGCCACATTTTGTACTTTTCTCCAGGAGACAAGAAGGCAAGGAAACTTTCTAATGTTTATTGAGCACTTACTATATACCAGATACATTATCTCTTAACATTTTGTGCATGCCATACAACTTACATACAATAATGTCCACAGATTTTATATGTGCCATTCAATGATTTTTACATGTCTACACCCATGTAGCTGACTCAGATCAAGACAAAGAACATTTCAACACCTCAACAAGTTTCCTTGTGTCTTTTCTCAGTTTATATGCTTTTCCTAGAGTTACCACTGCTCTGATTTCTATCATCAAAGATTCATTTTGCCTATTCTTGAGTTTCACATCAATGAAATATAAGCAGAATCATATAAATGGAATTTCACATAAATGGAATGAACTTTTTTGTCCAGCTTTTTTTTTTTTTTTTTTTTTTTGACGGAGTCTCACTCTGTCGCCCGGGCTGGAGTGCAGTGGCACAATCTCAGCTCACTGCAAGCTCCGCCTCCCGGGTTCACGCCATTCTCCTGCCTCAGCCTCCCAAGCAGCTGGGACTACAGGCACCCACCACCACACCCAGCTAATTTTTTGTATTTTCAGTAGAGATGGGGTTTCACCGTGTTAGCCAGGATGGTCTTGATCTCCTGACCTCACGATCTGCCCACCTCAGCCTCCCAAAGTGCTGGGATTACAGGTGTAAGCCACCGTGCGTGCCCAGCCTTGTCTAGCTCTTTTACTCATCATATCTGTGAAACTCATCCATGCATATATCAGTAGTTTGTTGCTGAATAGTATTCCATCATATATTAGGTTGGTACAAAAGTAATTGCAGTTTTTGATGTTAAAAGTAATAGTATTCCATCACAATAGGTTTGTTTAATCAGTCTTCTTTGGATGATCATTTGAGATTTTTCTCATTTATTTGATATTATGAATAGTGCTATGAATATTCTTCTATGTCTCCTGGTAAACATGAACTTTAACTTCTTTTGGGTATATGCTCAGAAATGAAGTTGCCGGGTGATATGGCTTGGCTCTGTGTTCCCAGCCAAATCTCACCTTGAATTGTAATAATCCCCATGTGTCAAGGGCAGGACCAGGTGGAGATAACTGAATCATGGGAGAGGTTTCCCCCAAACTGTTCTCATGATAGTGAGTGAGTTCTCATGGGATCTGATGGTTTTATAAGGGGCTTCCCCCTTCACCTGGCACTCATTCTCTCTCCTGCCACCCTGTGAAGAGGTGCCTTCTGCCATGATTGTTAAGTTTCCTGAGGCCTTCCCAGCCATGCAGAACTGTGAGTCAATTAAACCTCTTTCCTTTGTAAATTACCCAGTCTTGGGAAGTTCCTTACAGCAGCGTGAGACCAGACTAATACAGTAAATTGGTACCAGGATTGGGGGGTGCTGCTATAAGGATATCTGAAAACATGGAAGCAACTTTGGAACTTGGTGACAGGCAGAGGTCGGAACAGTTTGAAGGGCTCAGAAGAAGACAGGAAAATGTTGGAAGGTTTGGAACTTCCTAGAGACTTGGTGAATGGCTTTGACCAAAATGCTGATAGTGATATGGACAATGAAGTCCAGCCTGGGGTGGTCTCGGATGGAGATGAGGAACTTGTTGGGAATTGGAGCAAAGGTGACTCTTGTTATGCTTTAGCAAAGAGACTGGCAGCATTTTGCCCCTTCCCTAGACATCTGTGGAACTTTGAACTTGACAGAGATGATTTAGGGTGTCTGGCAGAAGAAATTTCTAAGCAACAAAGTGTTCAAGAGGAAGCAGAGCATAAAAGTTTGGAAAATTTGCAGCCTGACTATGCAATAGAAAAGAAAAACCCATTTTCTGGGGAGAAATTCAAGCCTGCTGCAGAAATTTGCATAACTAATGAGGAACTGAATGCTAATCACCAAGACAATGGGGAAAATGTCTCCAGAGCATGTCAGAGAACTTCATGGCAGCCCTCTCCTCACAGGCCAAGAGACCAAAGAGGGAAAAGTGGTTTCCTGGGCCAGGCCCAGGGACCCCCTGTTCTGTGCAGCCTCAGGACATGGTGCCCTGCATCCCAGCTGCTTCAGCTCCAGCTGTGGCCAAAAGGGGCCAAGGGACAGCTCTGGTCATAGCTTCAGAAGGTGTGAGCCCCAAACCTTGGCAGTTTACATGTGGTGTTGAGCCTGTGGGTGCACAGAAGGCAAGAATTGAGGTTTGGGAACCTCCAACTATATTTCAGAGGATGTATGGAAATGCTTGGATGTTCAGGCAGAAGTTTGCTGCAGGGGTGGAGCCCTCATGGAGAACTTCTGCTAGGGCAGTGCAGAAGGGAAATGTGGGCTTGGAGCCCCCACACAGAGTCCCCACTGAGGTACTGCCTAGTGGAGCTGTGAGAAGAGGGCCACCATCCTACAGACCCCAGAATAGTAGGTTCACTGACAGTTTGCACTGTGCACCTGGAAAAGCTGTAATCGCTCAATACCAGCCTGTGAAAGCAGCTGGGAGGGGGGCTGTACCCTGCAAAGCCACAGTGCTGGAACTGCTCAAGGCCATGGGAACCCACCTCTTGCATTAGTGTGACCTGGATGTGAGACAGGGAGTCAAAAGAGATCATTTTGGAACTTTAAGGTTTAATGACTGCCCTATTGGATTTCAGACTTGCATGGGGCCTGTAGCCCCTTTGTTTTGGCCGATTTCTCCCATTTGGAATGGATGTATTTTCCTAATGCCTGTACCTCCATTGTATCTTGGAAGTAACTAACTTGCTTTTGATTTTACAGGCTCATAGGTGGAAGGGACTTGCCTTGTCTCAGATGGGACTTTGGACTTGGACTTTTGGGTTAATGCTGGAATGAGTTAAGACTTTAGGGGACTGTTGGAAGGGCATGATTTTGTTTTCAAATGTGAGGACATGAGATTTGGGAGTGGCCAGGGACAGAATGATATGGTTTGGCTATGTGTCCCAACCCAAATCTTACCTTGAATTTGTAATAATCCCCATGTGTCAAGGGTGGGACCAGATGGAGATAATTGAATCTTGGGGGTGGTTTCCTTCATACTGTTCTCATGATTGTGAGTTCTCACAAGATCTGATGGTTTTATAAGGGTTTTCCCCCTTCACTCAGCACTCATTATCTCTTCTGCAACCCTGTATAGGTGTCTTCTGCCATGATTGCAAGTTTCCTGAGGCTTCCCCAGCCATGTGGACACGTGAGTCAATTAAACCTCTTTCCTTTATAAATTACCCAGTCTTGGGCAGTTCCTTATAGCAGTGTGAGAATGGACTAATACACTGGGTCATGGGGTATGCATAATTTCAGCTTCAGTAGAGCCTGCCAAACAAGTTTCCAAAGGCTTTGTTCAAATTTACACTTCCAACCAGCAGCACAAGAGTTGTAATTACTTAACTTCCTTGCTGACACTTGATATTGTCAATCTTTAATTTTATCCATTTTGGTGGGTATGCTGTGGTATCTCATTGTGGTTTTAATTTACACTTCCCTGATGACTAATGAACTTAAGCAGTTATTGATACGTTTATTGGCCATTTGAAGATATTCCCTTGTGAAGTTGTCAGACATTTACATACAAGGGGATCTCACTTAACCTTGATTCTAGCCCTGAATGGCAGTGTTGTTATCCCAATTTTACAGACATTGAAGCTCCAAAAAGCTAAGTAACTTGCCCAAGGTCATGTAGCCAGTAGAGCTGGGGCTTGAACATTTAGCTGCCTGGCTCTAAAGCCTGGGGGTTTTTTTCTACAATAAGGTCAGGCTCTTCTAGAAAAATATGCCTGTTGAGCCTCCGTTTCCTCATCTGCAATATGGGGGCAGTAATAGTAACTACCTCATGCAATCATTGTGAAGATTAATTGAAACAAAGCACAGTGCACAGCACACACTAAGAGCTCAGTACATAACATGCCACACTTCCTTCCTATTGCCTTCTCCTAGCTTGGCACTACCAAGAGGAACATTTTCCTTTTCTTCTCTGTGAAAAGTATCAAAAAATTTTTTATAAAAAGGAAGGGAGTATAGGAATCCTGTCTGCTTGCTTTTGATTTTGCTTCTCATGACACCCCAAGCAAAGATGCCCCTAGAGCTACATCTTCCAAAAACCTGTTGGAGACGAAGCATGCATGCTGTAATGTTAAGGTGCCAGGAGAGGAAGTGGACACCCTAGGTCCAAATACATTGAGTCTGTCATCATGTAACTATCTGGAGATCAACTCAGCTGCCCAACCATTGACCTCACTAGTTTCCAGATAATTCCCAAGTACTCAAGTTCATTAGTCATCAGGGAAGTGTAAATTAAAGCCACAATGAGCTATTACTTTATACCCACCAGAATGGATACAATTTAAAAGATTGACAATATCAAGGGTTAGGTCTCTGTTTTCTCCTCTCTGGTGGCCCTTCAGATACACTTTAGCTGCAGATTTCAAAGAATGGGAACAAGTTATTGATTCCTTGTTATTAAAAACCAGAATGAGGAGTCACAGACACTCAGTTCAGTAACATCCCCAGTAAATCTGAGACAAAAGACTGAATCATTGAAGGAATCTAACATTATTAAATAAATCTCTAATGGCTTCAGTTGGGCAAGTTCAAAAATAATTATTCTGGAATTCTAAGAATCAGTATGGTCTCTCATGTGTTTCCTGCTATTTTTTCCCCTGAGTTAACAAGACTTACCAAACTCTTCTAAGACACAAATCCCCAGCCCCTTATGAGGCACCCAAGGCTGTAATGGGAACAACCTTGTCACCTGACAGCAACTTAGCAAATGTGAGATCATTTCTACCTGTGCAGCCAGACACAACCTAGAAATAAACAGTTTTATATGATAAGTCCAAATTTTTATTTATGCAATGAAACAAAAAAAAATAACGTTTAAAAGTAAACAAAACAAAGAGCTGAGTAGGAGAATATCGTAAGGGAAACTGACTTTAGGTAAAGTGGATGGAAATACTTTACTGAAGAAATTACATTTAAGCTGAGACTTAAGAGAACACAAGTAACCAGTTAAGTCACAAGGAATGGGGAAGGGTATCTGAAAGTAAGCAGTTTGTTCAAGAAGCTAAAAGACCAGTGCAGCTAGACTGAGGAGCACACACAATTAGGCTGATGAAAATGGCAGGGGTCAGATCATGCCAGGTCTTATAAGTCATGAAAAGAAGTCTGGATTTTATTTTAAAGACAAAAACCGATTGACGAATTTAAAGCAAGAAGAGCAATGTAGTCAACACTGTGTATTTTTACAAGAGCATTCTGCCTGCTGGGTGGAAGAGAGCAATAATGGAAGTAGAGCGAGAATGAAGGCAGAGCCAGCTGGGAGTCTGCTGCAATAATGCAGGCAAGAAATGTTAGTGATGCAGGTCAAGAAGATGATATTGGACAGAGAGGAAAGAGAGGACTCCAGTTATATTTTGCAGATTGACTCAATAAAATTTCCTAATGGATTAGAAACAGGAAGTGAAGGGAAGAGGGAAATCAAGGATGATGCTTTGGTTTTTGGCTTGAGTAGTTGGGTGGATGTCGGTTCTGTGAACCGAGAAAGAGCAAACTGAGGGAAGGGAGCAGGGCAGGTGAAGGGCAGATCAAGACATCTGCTTTGGGCAGGTTAAATCTAAGATATCTAAGAAACATTCAGCTGCAGATGGCAGGTGAGCAGTTGGATATGTGATTCTGCAATACAGACAGAGAGATCTCGGCTGGGCTGGAAATATAAATCTGAGGTAACACTAGCATAAAAACAACATTTAGACATATGGGAATGGATGACATCAAGAAAAAGAATAGAGAGAGGAGATGACACCCCAAACTAAACTGAGAAGAACCCCGATATTTTGTGGTCTGGTCAAGAGGAAAGATAAAGGAAACTTTTAAAAGACAAAGAGGAACAACATCAGGAGGGGGGTATGCCAGAAGCTACTATAATCTGGTTTCTACCACCACTGCTCCACTGAAAACAACCTGCCAAAGTCACCTATGGCCTCCATATAGCCAAATCCCAGGAAAACTTTTAGTCTTCATCAACAACAAAGAAGACTTCAGTCCCAGCTTCCTGAAACACACTCCCTTCTTGGCTTCCATTATGTTTTCAGCTGAAATTAACAACCACCTCAACCAAACAAAATGTATTATCTTGTATAACAGGAAGCATCTCCAGAGGTAGATCAGCCTTCAGAGCTGGCTGATTCATCAGCTTAATGTCTTCAGGGACACAAGCTCTGTCTGCCTCTCGGCTTTGCTATCTATGCTATCAGGAACCTCTGAGAGAAAGGGATAAAGGAGAGAAAAGAAGCAAAGGGTTTCTTGTTCAAAAAGAAGTTAGAGCCCTTGGATCCCTCCCCAATTTCATCTAACCTGGAGACTATATCCACCCTCACCCAACTCTGGATGTTTATACTTTAGAGCAACAGTTCTCAAATTTTTAGTCTCAGGCCTATTTTACAGTCTTCAGAATCACTGAGGACCCCAAAGAGCTTTAGTTTATGATGATTACAAATACTGATATTTGTCATAGGATAAATTAAAACTGAAGTATTTAAAATATTCATTTATTAATTCACTTCAAAAATAAAAATAATAAACCCATTCCACATTAACATAAATATTTTCTGAAAAACAACTTTATTTTCCAAATCAGAAAAACTTTAGCTAGAAGAGTGGCATTATTTTATATTTTTCAAATCTCATTAATAACTGGCTTAATAGAAGATAGCCAATCTACTGTCTGCTTCTGCATTCAATCTCTTATGATATCACACATCATGTAGCCTCTGAAAAACTTCACTGTACACACCTGAATGAGAATGGAAGGGGCAAATACAGTCTTGGTGTTATTATAAAAACAGCTATCATCTTGCTGACCCCCTGAAAAAGTCTCAGGGACCCCCTAGGGGTCCACAAACCATACATTAAGAATCAATCCTCCAAAGAGGATAAAAGTGGAAATCTCTGGATTGGAGAAACCAGAAACAATTGAGGGACAAACTTACTGTACCAAAAACATGAGCATTAACTAAAAAGCCTTCATTAAATGTGGAAATTCAATCTCTTCTCCCTTTCCCAGACTCCAGCCCACCTTACATTCCAGGGTACTGTCAGTCAAGCTGAATCCTTCAACCAGCGGACCTAAACCCCTTCTCAAGATTCTAGCCAGTCTAATAGAGAAGGTCTAAAGATACTGCCATCAGGATTTCCCCAGTGAAATGGTACAATCTTCAAACTATGGTGAAACCCATGAATGGCAACATAGAACTTCAAATGAGCTTTTTTTCTCTTTCTTTTTGTTACAACTTAATTGTGGTATAATTGATATACAATAAACTGCACATATTTAAAGTGTACAATGTAATGAGTTCTCACAGATGTATATACTCATTAAGCTTTTACCAAAATCAAGACAATGAACATTTCTATCACTCCTAATAGTTTCCTCAGGCCCTTTTGGAATCCATTTCTTCCTCCTCCCCTGACATTGGACAACTGCTAATCTGTTTTCTAACACTATGGATTAGTTTGCTTTTTCTAGAATTTTATATAAATAGAATCCTACAGTATGTACTCTTTTGGTGGTCAGGGAGCATCTGGCTGCTTTCATTCACCAATTTCTCAAAAGAGAAACAATTTTTAAAATCTTGGAACTGCTGAAAAACAATCTGGGGCATATAATCTGTGATTCAGAAATGGGGAAAGGAGGGAATCTGTGGAAAGCAGGTACCACTTGGGAGAGATTCCCAAGCAGGCAGAGTAAGCAAGTCTATTATAAGGGATTCCATATTCCCCAAAATATTCCCCTCATATGATCTGAATTTTTTTAATGAGCTTTTTGATGCTCTTCTTAATTATCAGCAGATGATCAAGTTAACAAGATACCTTGTGAGGAAAGCTTGTAACATGAATAATAAAAAAGACAACAAACATGCAGGGGAAAAATTAGAGAAAGTAGAGACTATGCAAGAAGATAAACTCTTTTAAAAACTATCATTAATATCTTCAGAGAAAATACTATATGTATTAAAAAGAAAAGAATGTATTTTAAAATATTCAAAGAAGAAAAACAGAGCCCTTTGGAAATTAATAATACAACAGAAATGAAAACCCCAATAGAAGTCTTGGAAAGTGAAGTTGAGAAAACCTCCCAGAAATTACAGCAATGGACAAACAGAGGGAAAAGAGTGGGGACGGGGCCAAGATGGCCAACTAGAAGCAGCAGCGATCATAGGCTCCATTTGAAAAGAACTATAATACCATGTGAATCCTGCACCAACAACCAAAGTATCCAGGTTCTCATCAGAACTGACTAGGTGGCTGGCATGATCCACGGAGAAGAAGGAAGAGCAGTGTGGTGCAGCAGCCCACCTGAGAGCCACTTGGGGCAAAGGAGCCCCCACCCCCCCAGCCAAGGGAGGCAGTGAGTGAGCATGCTACCCAGCTGGGGAAACAGTGCTTTTTCCACAAAACTGTGCAACCCACGAATCAGAAGATCCCACTCGCAAACCCACGCCACCGGGGCCTTGGGTCCCAACCCCAAAGCCATGCAGATTCTCAACAGCCACTCAGCTAGAATCTGCTTAAGCCTGCTGAGTTCCCAGGGGAAGGGGCGACCAGCACCACAGCTGCAGCTACCTGTTCTCTAAGCCCTTTGAGCTCCTTTGTGGGAGGGGCAGCAGCCAGCACTGAGACTCAGAACTGCCTAACACACTAAGCTCCCTGGGTGGGGGAAGGGCGGCATCCATCTCTATAGTTCCAGGCCACACTTTTCCCCTGCTGGAGCCAGGGAAGCTGGACTGCTTAGTCCCAAGAGATGTCCCCCACAGCCCAACACACCACTGTGCAGACTGTAGCCAGAGCACCTCTTCAGGCCTGACCCGGACCCATCCTTCCTCACTGGGCAGGGCCTCCCTGCAAGAACTCCAACTCTAGCCAGAGGCTCAGGGACAGAACCCTCATCTCCCTGGGCCTGAGCCCCTAGAGGGAGGGGTGGCTGCAGTCTCTGCGGACCAGTAGACTTAGCCTTTCCTCCTGGTAGTTCTGAGGAATCCGGGCAGCCCAGATGAGTGGGCTCCCCCGCCCAACAAAGCACACCCTCTCCAAGGACAGTCAAAGTGCTTCATTAAACAAGTCCTCTTCCCCATGCCACCCAACTGGCTGAGACCCTCCAACAGGAGTTGTCAGACACCCTACACAGGAGTGATCCTACTGGCATTAGGTTGGTGCCTCTCGAGGTCAGAGATCCCAGAAGAAGAAGCAGGCACCCATCTTTGCTGCTTTCCAGCCTCCTTGAGTGACATTTCCAGGCACAGGAGCCAACCAGATGAATAGGGCCCGAAATGAACCCCCAGCAAACCACAGCAGCCCTATAGAAGAAGGACCTGACCATTGAAAGAAAAACAAACAGAAAGCAACAACAGCATCAACAACAAAAAAAGTCCCCACAAAAACTCCAACCAAGGGTCAGAAGCCTCAAAGATCAAAACTAGACAAACTCATGAAGATGAGAAAGAATCAATTAAAAAATGCTGAAGACCCAAAGTGCCTCTTCTCCTCCAAATGATCGCAATGCCTCTCCAGCAAGGGCACAGAACTGGATGGAGGATGAGATGGACAGATTGACAGAAGCAGGCTTCAGAAGATGGGTAATAAAAAAACTCTGCTGAGCTAAAGGAGCATGTTCTAACCCAATGCAAAGAATCTGAGAACGTTAATAAAAGGTTACAGGAGCTGCTACTTAGAGTAACCAGTTTAGAGAGGAACACAAATGACCTGATGGAGGTGAAAAACACAGCACGAGAACTTTGTGAAGCATACATAAGTATCAACAGTCGAATTGACCAAGTGAAAGAAAGGATATCAGAGTTTGAAGACAACCTTGCTGAAATAAGGCATGCAGATAAGATTAGAGAAAAAAGAATGAAAAGGAATGACAAAGCCTCCAAGAAATATGAGACTATGTAAAAAGATCAAACCTATGATTGATAGGAGTACCTGAAGAAGATGGGGAGAATGGAAAAAAGCTGGAAAACACACTTCAAGATGTTATCCAAGAAAACTTCTCCCACCTAGCAAGAGAGGCCAACATGCAAATTCAGGAAATACAGAGAACACCACTAAGAGACTCCATGAGAAGATTAACCCCAGGACACATAATCCCCAGATTCACCAAGGTCAAAATGATGAGAAAAAATGTTAAGGGAAGCCAGAGAGAAAGGCCAGGTCACCTGCAAAGGGAAGCCCACCAGACTAATAGCAAATATCTTAGCAGAAACCCTACAAGCCCAAGCCAGAAGAGATTGGGGGCCAATATTCAACATTCTTTTTTTTTTTTCTTTGAGATGGAGTCTCGCTCTGTCGCCCAGGCTGGAGTGCAGTGGCGCAATCTCGGCTCACTGCAAGCTCCGCCTCCTGGGTTCATGCCATTCTCCTGCCTCAGCCTCTCCAAGTAGCTGGGACTACAGGCACCCGCCACCATGCCCGGCTAATTTTTTGTATTTTTAGGAGAGACAGGGTTTCACCATGGTCTCAATCTCCTGACCTCGTGATCCGCCCACCTCGGCCTCCCAAAGTGCTGGGATTACAAGCGTGAGCCACTGCGCCCGGCTTCAACATTCTTAATGAAAAGAATTTTCTACCCAGAATTTCACATCCAGCCAAACTAAGCTTCATAGGCAAAGGAGAAATAAAATCGTTTCCAGACAAGCAAATGCTGAGGGATTTCATCATCACCAGGCCTGCTTTGAAAGAGCTCCTGAAGGAAGCACTAAATATGGAAAGGAAAACCCAATGCCAGCCACCGCAAAAACACACCAAAATATAAAGATCAATGACACTATGAAGAAGCTTCATCAACTAGTGTGTAGATAGCATCATGATGACAGGATCAAATTCACACATAACAATACTAACCTTAAATGTACATGGGCTAAATGCCCCAATTAAAAGACACAGGCAAATTGGATAAAGAGTCAAGACCCACCAGTGTGCTGTATTCAGGAGACCCATCTCATGTGCAAAGACACACATAGGCTCAAAATAAAGGGATGGAGGAAAATTTACCAAGCAAATGGAAAGCAAAAAAAAAGCAGAAGTTGCAATCCTAGTGTCTGACAAAACAAACTTTAAACCAACAAAGATCAAAAAAGACAAAGGAGGGCATTACATAATGGTAAAGGGATCAATTCAACAAGAAGAGCTAACTATCCTAAATATATATGCACCCACTACAGGAGCACCTGGATTCATAAAATGAGTTCTTAGAGACCTACAAAGAGACTTAGACTCCCACACAATAATAGTGGGAGACTTTTAACACCACACTGTCAATATTAGATCAGCAAGACAGAAAATTAACAAGGACATTCAGGACTTGAACTCAGCTCTGGGTCAACTGGCCCTAATAGACATTTACACAACTCTCCACCCCAAATCAACAGAATATACATTTTTCTCAGTGCCACATGGCACTTAATCTAAAATGGATCAAAGAATTGGAAGTAAAACACTCTTCAGCAAATGTAAAAGAACTGAAATCATAACAACAGTCTCTCAGACCACAGTGCCATCAAATTAGAACTCAGGATAAAGAAACTCACTCAAAACCACACAATTACAAGGAAATTGAACAGCCTGCTTCTGAATGACTCCTGGGTAAATAATGAAAATAAGGGAGAAATCAAGAAGTTCTTTGAAACCAATGACAACAAAGAGACAACATACCACAATCTCTGAGACACAGCTAAAGTAGTGTTAAGAGGGAAATTTATACCACTAAATGCCCACATCAGAAAGCTAGAAAAATCTCAAATCAACACCCTTTTATCACAAGTTAAAAGAGCTAGAGAAGCAAGAGCAAACTAATCCAAAAGCTAGCAGAAGACAAGAAATAACTAAGATCAGAGCAGAATTGAAGATAGAGACATGAAAAACCCTCCAAAACATCAATGAATCCAGGAGCTGGTTTTTTGAAAAAATTAACAAATAGATCGATCACCAGCTAGACTAATGAAGAAAAGAGAGAAGGATCAAATAGACACAATAAAAAAAATGATAAAGGGGATATCACCACTGACCCCACAGAAATACAAACTGCCATCAGAAAATACTATAAACAACTCTATGCAAATAAACTAGAAAATCTAAAAGAAATGAATAAATTCCTGGACACATACACCTCCCAAGACTACACCAGGAAGAAGTTGAATCCCTCAATAGACCAATAACAAGTTCTGATATTGAGGCAGTAATTAATAGCCTACCAACCACAAAAGTCCAGGGCCAGACAGATTGACAGCTGAATTCTACCAGAGGTACAAAGAAGAGCTGATACCATTCTTTCTGAAACTATTCCAAATAATTGAAAAGGAGGGACTCCTCCCTAACTCATTTTATGAAGCCAGCATCATCCTGATACCAAAACCTGGAAGAAACACAACAAAAAAAGAAAACTCCAGGCCAATATATCTGATGAACATCCATGTGAAAATCCTCAATAAAATACTGGCAAACTGAATCCAGCAGCATCTCAAAAAACTTATCCACCATGATCAAGTCAGCTTCATCCCTGGGATGCAGGACTGGTTCAACATACACAAATCAATAAACATAACCCATCACATAAACAGAATCAAAGACAAGAACTACATGATTATCTCAATAGGTGCAGAAAAGGACTTCAATAAAATTCAGCATCCTTCATGCTAAAAACTCTCGATAAACTAAGTATTAATGGAACATATCTCAAAATAATAAGAGCTATTTATGACAAACCCACAGGCAATATCATACTGAATGGGCAAAAGCTGGAAGCATTCCCTTTGAAAACCGGCACAAGACAAGGATGCCCTCTCTCACCACTGCTATTCAACATAGTACTGGAAGTTCTGGCCAGGGCAACCAGGTAAGAGAAAGAAGTAAAGGGTATTCAAATAGAAAGAGAGGAAGTCAAATTGTCTCTGTTTGCGGAGGATTCTATATTTAGAAAGCTCCATCGTCTCAGCCCAAAAACTTCTTAAGCTGATAAGCAACTTCAGCAAAGTTTCAGGATACAAAATCAATATTCAAAAATCACAAGCATTCCTTTACACCAACAATAAACAAGCAGACAGCCAAATCATAAATGAACTTCCATTCACAATTGCTACAAAGAGAAGAAAATATGAGGAATACAGCAAACAAGGGATGTGAAGGACCTCTTCAAGGAAAACTACAAAACCACTGCTCAAAGAAATAAGAGATATCACAAACAAATGGAAAAACATTCCATGCTCATGGATAGGAAGAATCAACACCGTGAAAATGGCCATACTGCCCAAAGT
Source organism: Homo sapiens (assembly GCF_000001405.40). Lineage (NCBI taxonomy): Eukaryota > Metazoa > Chordata > Mammalia > Primates > Hominidae > Homo > Homo sapiens. The sequence continues at coordinate 33,984,769 of NC_000003.12, read as the reverse complement.
AATTTATAGATTCAATGCTATTCCCATCAAACTACCATTGATATTCCTCATAGAATTAGAGAAAAATACTTTGCATTTCATATGAAATCAAAGAAGACCCCATATAACCAAGACAATCCTAAGCAAAAAGAACAAAGCTGGAGGCATCATGCTACCTGACTTCAAACTACACTACAAGGCTACAGTAACCAAAACAGTGTGATACTGGTACCAAAACAGACATACAGACCAACAGAACAGAACAGAGCCCTCAGAAATAATACCACACATATACAACCATCTGATCTTCTACAAACCTGACAAAAACAAACAATGGGGAAAGGATCTCCTATTCAATAAATGGTGCTGGGAAAACTGGCTAGCCATATGCAGAAAACTGAAGCTGGACCCCTTCCTTACATCTTACACAAAAATTAACTCCAGATGAATTAAAGACTTACTTGCAAAACCCAAAACCATAAAAATCCTTAGAAGAAAACCTAGGCAATACCATTCAGGACATAGGCATGGGCAAAGTCTTCATGACAAAAATGCCAAAAGCAATTGCAACAAAAGACAAAATTGACAAATGGGATCTAACTAAACTAAAGATCTTCTGCACAGCAAAAGGAACTATCATCAGAGTGAGCAGGCAACCTACCGAATGGGGGAAAATTTTTGCAATCTACCCATCTGACAAATGTCTAATATCCAGAATCTACAAGGAACTCAAACACATTTACATGAAAAAAAACCCCACCAAAAAGTGGGCAAGGTATATGAACAGACACTTCACAAAAGAAGATATTTATGCGGCCAAAAAACATGAAAAAAAGCTCAACATCACTGATTATTAGAGAATTGCAAATCAAAGCCACAATGAGATACCATCTCACGCCAGTCAGAGTGGCGATTATTAAAAAGTCAAGAAACAACAGATGCCGGCGAGGCTGTGGAGAAATAGGAATGCTTTTACACTCTTGGTGGGAATGTAAATTAGTTCAACCATTGTGGAAGACACTATGGCAATTCCTCAAGGATCTAGAACCAGAAATACCGTTTGACCCAGCAATCTCATTACTGGGTATATACCCAAAGGAATACAAATCATTCCATTATAAAGACACATGTACACATATTTTTTTTCTATACTTTAAGTTCTGGGATACATGTGCTGAACATGAAGGTTTGTTACATAGCTATACATGTGCCATGGTGGTTTGCTGCACCCATCAACCCATCATCTAGGTTTTAAGCCCCACATGCATTAGGTATTTCTCCTAATGCTATCTCTCCCACTGCCCCCACCCCCTGACAGGCCCCTGTGTGTGATGTTCTCCTCCCTGTGTCCATGTGTTCTCATTGTTCAACTGCCACTTATGAGTGAGAACACGAAGTGTTTGGTTTTCTGTTCCTGTGTTAGTTTGCTGAGAATGATGGTTTCCAGCTTCATCCATGTCCATGCAAAGGACATGAACTCATTCTTTTTTATGGCTGCATGGTATTCCATGGTGTATATGTGCCACATTTTCTTTATCCAGTCTATCATTGATAACCATTTGGGTTGGGTTGTAACAATAGCAAAGACTTGGAACCAACCCAAATACTCATCAATGATAGACTGGATAAAGAAAATGTGGGACATATACACCATGGAATACTATATAGCCATAAAAAAGGATGAGTTCATGTCCTTTGCAGGGACATGGAGGAAGCTGGAAACCATCATTCTCAGCAAACTTACACAGGAACAGAAAACCAAGCACTGCATGTTCTCACTCATAAGTGGGAGAACACATGGACACAGGGAGGGGAACATCACACACGGGGGCCTGTCTGGGGATGGGGAGCAAAGGGAGGGAAGTTAGAGGACAGGTCAGTAGGTGTAGCAAACCACCATGGCACACGTATACCTATGTAACAAACCTGCATGTTCTGCACATGTATCCCAGAACTTAAAGTAAAATTTTAAAAAAAGAAATAAAGAGAAAAGATAAGAATGACTCCAAACAGCAGGCACTCTGGAAAGAGAGAACAAAGAACATGGTGGAAAGAAATCATCAATAAAATAATTCAAGGAACTAGCCAGGCACTGAAAGATTCGAGTTTCCAAATTGAAAGGTTCACAAAGTACTCAGCACACAAGAAAACAACTGACCCACACTATGACCCATCATTTAAAAATTGCAGGACTTGGGAAGTAAAGAGAAGAAGTTATACATTCCTGAGCAGGAAAAAAATGCTTCCTGTATACAAAGCATCAAGGATCCAAATAACATTGAACTTCTCAAAAGCACTACCAGACGCTGGAAATCAATGTGCAATGTCATCAGAATTGTGAGGGGAAATAATTTCCAATCAAGAATTTTATATCCAAAGTTATAATTAAGTGTGAAGATAAGGACATTTTCTGTCATATAACACTCTCAGTAAAATATCTATCGTTTCTCAGTAGGATGTGTTCCGCAAAAACAAAAGAGTAGGCCAAGAAAGAGGAAGGCAAGAAAACCCAGAAATGAAAGACATTCTCAGGGTGATAGTGAAGAGAGATCCCAAGACACAACTGTGCAACAATCCTGGAGAACAATGAGCTCAGTGTGGAGCAGGTCAGAAGATATTTCTATGTATATTTCTATATGTATTACATACATATATTACTATGTATGTAAACAGATGTATGGAAAGTAGAATAGAAAGATATATACAAAAAATACACAAAATGGAAGCATATGGGAGGTAGGAAAATTAGATTGAAAATTGGGGATAAAGAGGAAAAATACATTTAAAAATTAAAAAGGGCAGCCATTAGACCAACAATGACATGGTGTCATAAACTGAGAATAATCAACTCAATTTTCTGCACATGAGATACAAACAACCAAATCAACAAAGGCACACATATCTACCTCATAAACTCATCTCTTCCAGTACCACTCTCTCTCACTTACTACTCCCCAGACATGCAGGCCAACTTTCTATTCCTTGAATTCCATGTTCATTACCACCCCCAAAGCCTTTGGACTTCCCATTTCTTCCTGAATTTTTCCTCCCATTGCTGTTTGCATGGTCAACACCTTTTCATCTCTCAAGTCTCAACTCAACATTTTACCACCTCAGAAAAGATTTTCCTTGCCCCGCTATGCAAATTCATCCCTCCAACCCTCTTGTTCCCTATCCACAAGAGCCTGCTTATTCCTTTAATAGCAACTATCAAAATGAAATTTTCATATATTTATTTGCATATTGTTTGCACTTCTCCACTCTAATAATGTAAACTCTATGAGAGCAGAAATCATATCTATTCCATTGCTCCTGTAGCCCTTGGATCTAGAACAGTGCCTGGTACGTTTTCAGTGTTCCATCATTTATTTGGTAATTTAACTGGTCATTGAAAATCAGGCCAGAAACAAAGAGGTCATGGTGTTGAAGTCATCAGTGTGGATGCTAAAAACACTGAGAATGATGGCAGTGTTTAGGAAGTGTTTAGAAGAATAAGAAAGTAACCAAGTACTGAATTCTCCTGTGAATAAGGGGGAGAGATGAGGCAGTCAGTGGACCATACACGAAAGAGTAGAAAAGAATAGCATTACCAGATGTTATAAGCTTGAAAGGGGCAGATTTTGTGGGCTGTAAGGTAAATGCCTGTTTCAAAGCATCAGTGGGGAGCAAAGAGGACACTTATTTCACCTCCTGGCTCTTAGGTAGGTACTGTGTTGGAGACGAAACAGCCTCCATTTGAGACAACCAAGGGAATACCAAGTTCCAATTGGAGAAAGGAAACAGAAAAATTCAGAGACGAGGTTAGAGATGAGTTTCCTGGTGACACTTCACTTTCGGAGGGCATAATGGAAGGTGTGGGTTAGATTAGAACAGCAGTTCCCAATCAGGGGCAATATTGCCCCCCAAATTTGGAAAGGCCTGGAAACATTTTGGTTGTCATAGCTGAGGGCATATTACCAGCACCCAGTGAGTGGAAGTCAGGGATGCTACTAAACATGCACAGGACAGCCTCCCATAACAAAGAGTTAACCAGCCCAAAATGCCAATAGTGCTGGAAACCTTGGGTTAAGAAATCCCGGAATAAGGGAGGAATAGAACCACAGAGTATAAAAGTACAGTTGAGGATAGAATGCCAGAGAGACTCAGGCACTTGACAGTCACTGAGGCAAACTCAGCTGGATGGCATGTTGAGATTAGTTCTAACAGATTCTAACAGGGACTAATAGAATGGGAATAGGAAATCACACCTGTTGAACTCTGGAATTTAACATATAATGGAATGGTAGCTCCATCTAGCGTAAGGGAGATGCTGGGCAGCAGCTCCACAAGACCAGTCCAGTATAACGGAATGCATGGTTGGCATCTCATGGATGTTTGGCTTGGCCAAGATCCCAGGATGCTCCAGGTCTGCAAGCTTGAGTCTCATCTTCTGGGGTATGAGACATCCTTGGAAAACATTAACTTTTAGAGTGCATTGGGCCGTCTTATGTGCCACATTGTTCACTGTTATTTTCTTCAATTACTTCTCTTAACAAAAACGACAAGACAGGAAGGTCTGGGTAAGCTCCATTTTAATGTGACTTTTCTTCAAGGTGCCTATCAGTTAATCAGGAGAAGGATAAGGAAACGTGAAACAAGAGAGACAATATTTATGAAACTCGTATATACAAGGTATTGTTCCAGGTACATAATAGCAAACCCCTGTAAAGGAGGGGTTTGGAAACCCATTGTAGAGATGAGCAACCTGAGGCTGCAGAAATCGTGAGTTTTGTAGAACTCACAACTAGCATAAATTTAAAGTCAAAATTATAACCCAGGCCATTGTAACTTTAAAGCCTTTGGGATTTCTACCCTGATATCCAGCTCTAAGAATCATACTTCACATGTACAGACAAACTAAATAGTGGATGGATGGATGGATGAATGGATGGATAGATAAACACACAGTTGATGCACAAAGCATCTATATGGCTCATTCACATTTTCCCCCCTACCTTGTCCCCTGATTATGGTTTTTTGTTTACTCTGCTTTGTTTTGGCTCAGTTTCTTGAAAATATGATCAACTTTTGATTACCCATGATAAAAAAAAGGGACAGATAATAGAAATAATTGAAAATAGAAGACAATCCAGAAGTAATTTCTATTTAGTCTGGGGAATTTGTTCATGCCCTTTTAAACAGAAGATTTACAAGACTAATTATATTTTACCTTGGCATATATTAAAATTCTTTTTCATTTCTTAAACACATACCAACTGGTGGTGGGTGAGGTAAAGCTAGGCACAAGTTGGATGGCAGGAAAAGGCAAGCTGGGACATAATACTTCAGAGCAGAATAATCACAGGATTTATTACCTTCAAGTGAGTAATGAAAAGTTTATTTATAATCCCAAAAAGAGTTATTTAAATTTAATAAGAAATAATAAGAGATATTTTTCAGAATCTCTTTAGAAAGATTTTGACTCACCTGGTTCCTTAACAGTAAATCCCATGCAATCTTTGAGTGAGCACATGGGATTCTGAAAGAAATCAAGTTGGCTTAAGTTGTTTCCATGGGTTCTCCGCTCATCCTGGCTCAAGCCAACCCCCTAGTGACTCTACTCCCTCCCCCCAAAAAAATGTAAGTCAAAATCCTACAGCTTTTCTACCAGATAGGCCAGCAGATGCAGTAAGATCCTGGGAGGTAAAGGCTTGAAGAGTTTTCTCTTTGTGGACAAACTCTCTGGTGGCTCTGCAGGGGCCCTCAGGGACACTTAAGCAATACTGTAAATGAGGTGCAATTGTGGAACTGAGATGCTGAAAAACAGACAATTTCACCATCAAGTGCTGAAGAATTATGGTTCCCTGGGAAAGCAGCAAGGCTTATCCTCTAGAGAAGGGCAGAAGAGGATCATCTGGATTCTGAGGCTCTTGTGAAGTCCAGTGGGAAGCATGGTAATTGCTCTATTGCCCACACTGCCCCAGGGAACTTTTACCATTCCTTTCCCAGCACCTCTGCTCAGGACACTGAAATTTCCACATCATATCATCACAGCTAGGCCAAGCATCCATGACTTTCCATCAGAACCAGGGAGTGAGGAAAGGAGCTAGTCCCATATGGAGTCTGCTTAGGCCCAGGCACAGTGTTTGGATGCTTGACTTCACACTTACATTCCCGGGTGGTACCTGCCCAGCCCAAGAGCCTGACCATAGTGAAGATTTGCTGAGCATCTCTTATAATTCTGGGTTTTGGCTTTGCAGAGTTAATTTCTTCTTTTTATAGTGGTTGCTTTTAACATGCTTGCATAGCAGGAATGAGCTGACCAAACCTAGAGCAAATATGAGATTATTTTTATCTCCCCTTTCTTCTTGGAGGTAAGATGTGATCTAAAACACTCACTAATTCACTTGCTATCATGATAATGGGAGAAAAAAAATCTTGCCAGGGCCAAGGCAGACAAAGATAAACACTCCAACAGAAAAAGGAGGCCAGGCACGGTGGCTCACCCCTATAATCCCAGCACTTTGGGAGGCCGAGGCAGGCAGACCACTTGAGCTCAGAAGTTCAAGACCAGCCTGGTCAACCAGGTGAAACCCCGTCTCTACTGAAAATACAAAAATTAGCCAGGCATGGTGCATGCACCTGTAATCTTAGCTACTTGGGAGCCTGAGGCAGGGGAATCACTTGAACCCAGGAGGCTGAGGTTGCAGTGAGCCAAGATGACACCACTGCACTTCAGCCTGGGAGACAAAGCGAGACTCCATCTCAAAAAAAAAAAGAAAAAGGAAAAGGTTTGGGAGTCTGAAAACACCACCTGTAGGTGGGCATGAGTGGAGAGGAAAAGAGACTATAGTGTGCCCGAGGATATTCTATCTGAATGAACATGCACCCATTCCTAATTACATTTTTAATCTGTTGATCAAACATTAATTATTTTAGATTGAAAATGAATCAGGGTGTACACCACTGTGGGAGCTGTTCCTGCTGCATTCCAAACCTCTGGGGACAGCAGCTGCCTCCTACCCATCACCTCCAAGTGTTCTTGATGGCAAGACAACAGCTTCTGTCACCCAGTGACACAGCCATGTATTAGCAGGAGAGGTGCTCCAGTGAAAGAAAAAATGATGGACAAAGATTAGGCTAGCCCAGCCTGGAAGTCAGACTGCAGGTCCTGGTCATGGCATCACCCATTTTGCACCTATCTCTCAAGTCCTCTATTTCACTAAATCACTCATTTTTCCCCAAGATGGGAGAAAGTACGCATCTCCATAGTCCTGCTTTGTTTGGTTCCTACTTTCTTCAAGTTTACTCTTCTCTATCCAGACTTCTCTCAAGCTTCCCTGTTCCTCATCATCCAACCTCACACAACAATATAGCACATCCAGATATGATTGTGCAATAAAAGAGGCAGTACAATGGGAATCTCCTCATTCTAACTCTGCAGGGAACCAACGTGGAGAAGGCATGAGGGTGCATAGAACTCAGAGTTTGGAGTCATAAACCTGCATTAGATTCTCCCATTTTCTGAGAGGCTTTATTTATGGCTTTCATGAACCTCTGAAAAAAAATGTCTGAAAAATCTCCCATACCAACTTCTCTAAGCCTTGTTTTCCTTTTATAAGCTGTGAATAATAATGCCCATGAGTAGGTGACATTCCATGGGCATCTGAAAGGCTGGGCTAAATTATAAAACCAATACATAATGGATGAGGTCACTTGTGCAAATGGCATCTGAGACAAAATGTTTTTCGTGCCATCTGCAACAAGAGCAATGAACTGGCTTTATTTGTATCCATGGCATTAATCAGGACAGCAACAACATCAACAACAACAAAAAAAGTGTCCATCAGAAGGGGGAGAGAGCTCTACTTTGACCCCATAATAGAGAGACTCAGAGGCAACAGTTGACAGTGCATATCCCAAGAAAGGGAGGCCCCAGCCCTTAGAGTTCACCGGCCCAGTGTGCTGCCCAACTATTTGCCTAATGTCATTAAACACTGGGACTTTGGTCCATTCTCACTGGGCCAGCTTATGACGATTTGATTGCCATGCCCCTTCTCCTCACAGGGAGAAGGGGTGCTGGTCAAATGACAGGTCTGTCCAGTCTTCTTGACAATATCACTTCAGAGGTCATCGAAGGCACAAATAAGACCCCATGAGAAAGTACTTCATAAACTGCCCAGTGTTGTGAATTCTCAAGTGCTGAGTTTCATTGTGACACTATAATGCCATTTATTTATCAGCCATGATAATTGCGTCCACCTAACCTATTCCCACAGGAGCCCAACAACCTCAGTGAATCCTGAAAGTGGAGAGATACAAAAGAAAGTTGTTGAGTTAAGGGCCAGATGCAAAAACAACCCTCCTCTCTTTGTCCCTACTCCTTGCTTGCCCACTCTTTCTTAATCCATTCTTCCACAGACACAGAATAATTTCTTTGTCTCCAGTTCAGCTAGTTCTTTGTTTGCTGCCTTTAATCCCTACTATGGTCTGAATGCTGATGTCCCCCACAAAATTCATAAGTTGATGGTTTTAGATGTGAGGCCTTGGGGAGGTGATTAGGTCATGGGAGCACAGCCTTCATGATTGGGATTGCTGTCCTTACAAAAGAGGTCTGAAAGAGATCCCTTGCCCCTTTCGTCGTGTAAGAACACAGTCAGAAGGCACAGTCTGTGAGTCTGAAAGCAGGTCCTCACCAGACACCAAATCTGCCTTGATCTTGGACTTCCCAGCCTCCAGAACTGTAAGAAACCAATATCTGTTGTTTATAAGATACACAGTTTGTGGTATTTTGTTATAGCAGCATAAACAGACTAAGACAATCTTATTTGTCTTTAAGAAAGAGAAGTCAGATTTAAAAGCATGCCAGCTGCTAGCTACTAATTCCACCTTCCTAACACTATTGTAATATTCCTCTCAAGTTTGTAGCAGTTTCCTTTACAACTCCATAATCTCTCATCCTGGGTGTTGGCATTCTAATTTCTTGGATATCCTTTTGAAGTTCTCAGTAGTAATGAAGTCTGCTTTTTACTACAGTCATGTCCTGCATAATGACATTTCAGTGAACAACAGACTGCATATACAACGGTGGTCCACAAGATTTATAATTGAGCTAAAAAATTCCTATTGCCTAGTGATTCATAGGCATTGCGACATTGTAGCACAACACACTGCTGACCTGTTTGTGGTGATGCTGGTGTCAACGAACTTAATTGTGTTGCCGGTTGTATAAAAGTATAGCACATGCAATTATGTACAGTACATAATACTTGATGATGATAATAAATAACTGTGTTACTGGTTTATGTGTTTACTATACTATGCTTCTTATTTAGAGTATACTCCTTATCCTTATTTTTTTTTAAGTTAACCGTAAAACAACCTCTGTGAAACAAGGCAGGTCATTCTGGAGTTATTCCAGAAGCAGGATTGTTATCACAGGAGATGACAGATCCTTGCATGTTATTGCCACTGAAGACCTTCCATTGGAACAAGATTAGGAAGTGGGATACAGTGATATTGATGACCTGACCCTGTGGAGGCCTAAGCTAATGTGTGTTTGTGTCTTAGTTTTTAGCAAAAAAAGCTTAAAATGTAAAAAATAAAAAAGTTTTTAAATAGGAAAAAGCTTATAGAACAAGAATATACAGAAAATTTTTGTATAGCTGTACAATGTGTTTATATTGTAAACTGTTATTACAAAACAGTTTAAAAGTTTAAAAAAGTAAAAAGCTTATAAAGTAAACAAGTTATAGTAAGCAAAGATTAATTTATTATTGAAGAAAAAAATTTTAATAAATTTAGTGTAGCTTAAGTGTAGAGTGTTTATAAGGTCTAAGTAGTGTACAGTAATGCCTTAGGGTCACCTTCATCCACCACTCACTCCCTGACTCACCCAGAGCAACTTCCAGTCCTACAAGTTCCATTCATGGCAAAGTGACCCATACAGATGTACCGTTTTTTCTTTTTTTTTTTTTTTTTTTTTTTTTTTTTGAGACGGAGTCTCGCTCTGTCCCCCAGGTCGGACTGCGGACTGCAGTGGCGCAATCTCGGCTCACTGCAAGCTCCGCTTCCCGGGTTCACGCCATTCTCCTGCCTCAGCCTCCCGAGTAGCTGGGACTACAGGCGCCCGCCACCGCGCCCGGCTAATTTTTTGTATTTTTAGTAGAGACGGGGTTTCACCTTGTTAGCCAGGATGGTCTCGATCTCCTGACCTCATGATCCACCCACCTCGGCCTCCCAAAGTGCTGGGATTACAGGCGTGAGCCACCGCGCCCGGCCCGTTTTTTCTTTTATACCATATTTTTACTGTACCTTTTCTGTGTTTAGATATTCTTTTTTTTTTTTTTTTTTTTTGAGAAGAGTCTCACTCTGTCACCCAGGTTGGAGTGCAGTGGCACGATCTCGGCTCACTGCAACCTCCGCCTCCCTGGTTCAAGCAATTCTCCTGACTCAGCCTCCTGAGTAGCTGGGACTACAGGCGTGTGCCACCACGCCCGGCTAATTTTTTGTATTTTTAGTAGAGACAGGGTTTCACCATGTTAGCCAGGGTGGTCTCGATGTCCTGACCTCATAACCCACCTGCCTGTGCCTCCCAAAGTTCTGAGATTACAGGGGTGAGCCACTGTGCCCATCCTGTGTTTGGATATTCTTAGACACACAAATACTTACCACTGTTTTATAATCACCTAGAGTATTTAGTACAATAATATGCTGTATAGGCTTGTAGCCTAGGAGCAACTGGCTACACCATATAGCCTAGGTGTGTAGTAGGCTACACCATCTAGCTTTGTGTAAGTATACCTTATGATGTTTGCAGAATGACAAATTTGCCTGATGTTGCATTGCTTGGAACTTATCTCCATCATTAAGTGACAGGTGACTATACATGAGAAAAAATTACAAAACCACATCTCCTCTCTTGAGTCCTGCACCTAAAATTCAGAGTTCTCCTCACTGATTAAATATAATTCAGCCCTATTTAACCACATGGTAATTTATGTATTATTTAGACTGGGTCAAGGCCTAGGACCAGAGTTTGGGCAAAAGTAGTTGCAGTGGGACCCAAGTCTGCATTCATTCGTTCATTCATTTATTTTGCAGTTACTCAATACCTACTAGGTTCTTGTGTCACAGAGTCAGTGCTGAGCTCTGAGGATGGAGAAATAAGGACGTTGTCTCTTGCCCTAACCAGGGCTCAAATCCTGCCTCTGCCACTTGCTAATTATTTAACCCTTTTGAGATGAAATTGAAATGAAAACATTATCCATTGACTAGAATTTTTGTAAGGACTGCATGAAATACTATATGGGAAAGGTCTTAACAGTGTGTCTGTTACATAGTACATACTCAGTAATTGTTAACCGTATATATTGTTTGTGGTTGGCAGCTTCTGACATGACTCTAAATTATCTCCAACTCTTGGTATTCACGCCTTTATAGAGCCTCTCCCCTTTACAATGTGCTGGTCATTCCATTGGTTGCTTCTAACCACTAGAAGCAGCAAAGGTAATGAGATGTCACTTCCCTGATTAGGTTACAAAAGACAGCTTTCTAACTTGCTGATTCTCTCTCTCTCTCTCTCTCTCTCTCTCTCTCTCTCTCTCTCTCTCTCTCTCTCTCTGTCCCACTCGCTCTTGCTGTCTCTCTCCCTCTCTCTCTCCACCCACTCCCCTTCATGCGTGATTTGATGAGAGGGCCACTTGGCAAGAAATTGAAGGTGACTTCTGGCCAACAGCCAACAAGGAGCTGAGGCCCTCAGCTTAACAGTCCAGGAGGAACCGAATTCTACCAGCGGCCACATGAGTGAGCTTGGAAACAGTTTCTGCTCCAGGTGAACCTTGAGATGACTGCAGCCTCCGCTGACACCTTGACTGCAGTCTTGTAAGAGAAGGAACCCTGAAGCAGAGAACCCAGCTAAGCTGTGCTCAGATTCCCGACCCACAGAATCCAAGAAATAATACCTAATGCTTGGGATAACTTGTTATGCAGCAAGAGATAATTAATACACTGTTGTTACTAAAATTTTTACTGTTTTTGAGGGACAAGGAGCAAAGAATGTGTGGCAGGAGTAACAAGAAGGAATATAGACAATGAGGTACATTGGCAGCCAGATCATCAAGAGCTAAGAATGCCATGTTAAACATTTAAAGCTTCTCTTCAGGAAAATGGGAAGTCATCAAATGTTCTTTAAGCAGAGTAGAGAATCAATTTCTTCTTAAACAGCAAGACAAATATGGAGACTTAAAGAAAACATCTTTCAAGAAAAGGAGCCAAAATGACTTCTTGAACCAGTATGTCATCTAGGATATAAAATTGGAAAACTTCCAAAAAATTGAGATCTCTTATTTTTCACCCCTTTGGCTGTTAGGTAAATCAGTTTGGGATTCATATCACCAAGTTTAATGGTGAAGAAAATAAAAGAAAGTGAAGTTACTGAAATAAACAATTTCATTAAGTTCAAAATCAGTGAGTTCAAAATCAATTAAATTTGTAATACCCTTATTGAGGACACAAAGTAGCAAATTAATAGCAGTGAAAATGAGTTTTTAGGAATACAAAAGGAGTGAGACTTTTATAAATAACTTTTGACATTACAATTTCCTAAATCAATAAAGAGACATCTGTTTTTTTATTTGCACATCTTTGTTTAAATCCTAAATCAAGACTTTACACATCCTTCCCTTGGACAAGTTCTACAAATTAGTTTGAAAGTGACCCAGTTTTTGCACATAAGCCATAATATCCATGTGTCCAGGTCTTATTATTACAGTAGAAGTGGACTGGGATATGGTCTTTTATACAATCTATAAAGTAAATAAAAGGAAAGAATATCTCTGAGTATTTACAAAAAGGTTCAAAAGTGAAGGCAGTAGGGAATGAGGAATTTGGCGTGGAAGAATGACTACTAACTTGGAATCCACATGACAAATCCTAGTCTTTACTATTGGAAGAGCCTGTAACAGTTGTGCACATTGTTTCTTTGGCCAGTATTTATTGAGCACCTGCTATATGTGGCAGGCACTGTGCTACACCCTAGACATCCACCTACTTGATACTGACAATGGAAATCTATAGAACTCCTTGAAGGCAGGAGTAGGCTTAGTATAGAAAGAAACTTTCCATGAGAAGTCACCAAAGTGCTGGTCTGAGCCTACTCATTAATTTGCTAAATTGTTATGTAGTTCACCTCTCCAGAGTTCCAGGTTCTTCGTGAGAAGAATGAAGGAGTTGTACTCCATTATCTTAACAATTGCCTCCCCTCTAAAAGATTCAGAATCAACAGCCCTCTGAATGCCCAGATTTAGATCATTCTCAAACTTGCAAGAGAATACTACAGCAGAGAGCTCATGACTGAAAAGAGGCTCTATCTTACCCTCTTGACAGTCTCCTTCAGGAAACAAGAGTCCCCAGCATCTCCAGGACATGCTGAATGTGTTCTATCACCAATGTTTGGCATTGTCCAAGTAATATCATGGGATCCTCACTTAGTACAGCTGCTGATGGAAAAAGTATTTAGAAGCAGAGGACCTAGAGCTAGAAAAGCAGCCACTTCCTCTTTATTCTACAGATGGCTCAAGTGTGGTCCAGAGAGGGTCTTCAACCTGCGCCAGGTCACAAGGGGCTTCTATCTCCAGTTTCTGCCATCCTATCAGGATAGAGCTGGTCTTGAGCTAAAGCATCTCTCTAAATATTGCCACATCTGGTGACTACAGTTCTAATTCCTTCAAACCATGTCACTATCCCAGAACCATGGAATGCCTGGGATCCCCAACCTACCTCTGACTCTCCAATTTCACACACACAAAAAAAGTCAAGTCCAAGAGACTCAAGTGATGACATGCTTAGCAAGAGATCCAAAACTAGAACTCAGTTCAGCTTTCAGCCCAAGCCTCATTCTCCTCTCCAAACCCTATCCTACTTGCTTATTCCATAGTCATCTCCTGAGCATCCACTGTATGCCCAGTATTATGCCTAGTGCTATTATAACAAGAACTCAAACCGAGACACTGAGCTGAAGACTCTCCTACTGATGAGGTTCCAAGATGGCTGAATAGGAACAGCTCCAGTCTACAGCTCCCAGCATGAGTGACACAGAAGACAGGTGATTTCTGCATTTCCAAATGAAGTACCAGGTTCATCTCAATGGAGCTTGTCAGACAGTGGGTACATCCCACAGAGCATGAGCCGAAGCAGGGCAGGGCATCACCTCACCAGGGAAGTGCAAGGGGTCGAGGAATTCCCTTTCCTAGCCAACGGAAGCCATGACAGACAATACCTGGAAAATGGGGACACTCCCACCCTAACACTGCACTTTTCCAATGGTCTTAGCAAACGGCACACCAGGAGATTATATCCCATGCCTGGTTTGGAGGGTCCCATGCCCACAGAGCCTCGCTCACTGCTAGCACAGCAGTCTGAGATCGAACTGCAAGGCAGCAGCGAGGCTGGGGGAGCAAGCTCAAACTGGGTGGAGCCTAGCGCAGCTCAAGGAGGCCTGCCTGCCTGCCTCTATAGACTCCACCTCTGGGGGCAGGGCATAGCTGAACAAAAGGCAGCAGAAACTTCTGCAGATTTAAACATCCCTGTCTGACAGCTTTGAAGAGAGTAGTGGTTCCCCCAGCATGGAGTTTGAGATCTGAGAATAGACAGACTGCCTCCTCAAGTGGGTCCCTGATCCCTGAGTAGCCTAACTGGGAGGCACCTCCCAGTAGGGGCTGACTGACATCTCATATGGCTGGGTGCCCCTCTCAGATGAAGCTTCCAGAGGAAGGATCAGGCAGCAACATTTGCCATTCTGCAATATTTGCTGTTTTACAGCCTCCACTGGAGATACCCAGGCAAACAGGGTCTGGAGTGGACCTCCAGCAAACTCCAACAGACCTGCAGCTAAGGGTCCTGACTGTTAGAAAGAAAACTAACAAACGGAAAGGACATCCAAACCAAAACCCCATCTGGACGTCACCATCATCAAAGACCAAAGGTAGATAAAACCAGAAAGATGGGGAGAAAACAGAGCAGAAAAGCTGAAAATTCTAAAAATCAGAGCGCCTCTTCTCCTCCAAAGGAATGCAGCTGCTCGTCAGCAACAGAACAAAGCTGGACGGATAATGACTTTGACGAATTCAGAGAAGAAGGCTTCAAACGATCAGTA
Organism: Homo sapiens; assembly: GCF_000001405.40. Classification (NCBI taxonomy): domain Eukaryota; kingdom Metazoa; phylum Chordata; class Mammalia; order Primates; family Hominidae; genus Homo; species Homo sapiens. Next base: position 33,969,657 of record NC_000003.12, on the reverse strand, counting down.
ATAAGAAACTTCTCCGAGTTAAAGGAGGATGTCCGAACCCATCACAAAGGAGCTAAAAACCTTGAAAAAAGATTAGACAAATGGCTAACTAGAATAAACAGTGTAGAGAAGAACTTAAATGACCTGATGGAGCTGAAAACCATGGCTCAAGAACTACATGATGCATGCACAAGCTTCAGTAGCCAATTCAATCAAGTGGAAGAAATGGTATCAGTGATTGAAGATCAAATGAATGAAATGAAGTGAGAAGAGAAGTTTAAAGAAAAAAGAGTAAAAAGAAACGAACAAAGCCTCCAAGAAATATGCGACTATGTGAAAAGACCAAATCTACATCTGATTGGTGTACCTGAAAGTGACAGGGAGAATGGAACCAAGTTGGAAAACACTCTTCAGGATATTGTCCAGGAGAACTTCCCCAACCTAGCAAGGCAGGCCAATATTCAGATTCAGGAAATACGGAGAATGCCACAAAGATAATCCTTGAGAAGAGCAACTCCAAGACACATAATTGTCAAATGCACCAAAGTTGAAATGAAGGAAAAAATGTTAAAGGCAGCCAGAGAGAAAGGTCGGGTTACCCACAAAGGGAAGCCCATCAGACTAACAGCTGATCTCTTGGTAGAAACTCTACAAGCCAGAAGAGAGTGGGCGCCAATATTCAACATTCTTAAAGAAAAGAATTTTCAACCCAGAATTTCATATCCAGCCAAACTAAGCTTCAGAAGTGAAGGAGAAATAAAATCCTTTACAAACAAGCAAATGCTGAGAGATTTTGTCACCACCAGGCCTGCCTTAAAAGAGCTCCTGAAGGAAGCACTAAACATGGAAAGGAACAACCTGTACCAGCCACTGCAAAAACATGCCAAATTGTAAAGACCATCGATGCTAGGAAGAAACTGCATCAACTAACAAGCAAAATAACCAACGAACATCATAAAGATAGGATCTAATTCACACATGACAATACTAACCTTAAATGTAAATGGGCTAAATGCTCCAATTAAAAGACACAGACTGGCAAATTGAATAAAGAGTCAAGACCCATCAGTGTTCTGTATTCAGGAGACCCTTCTCACATGCAGAGACACATATAGGCTCAAAATAAAGGGATGGAAGACGATCCACCAAGCTAATGGGAAAACAAAAAAAAGCAGGGGTTGCAATCCTACTCTAATAAAACAGACTTTAAACCAACAAAGATCAAAAGAGACAAAGAAGACCATTACATAATGGTAAAGGGATCAATTCAACAACAAGAGCTAACTACCCTAAATAGATATGCACCCAATACAGAAGCACCCAGATTCATAAAGCAAGTCCTTAGAGACCTACAAAGAGACTTAGACTCCCACACAATAATAATGGGAGACTTTAACACCCCACTGTCAACATTAGACAGATCAATGAGACAGAAACTTAAAAAGGATATCCAGGAATTGAACTCAGCTCTGCAACAAGCAGACCTAATAGACATCTACAGAATGCTCCACCCCAAATCAACAGAATATACATTCTTCTCAGCACTACATCGCACTTATTCCAAAATTGACCAAATAGTTCAAAGTAAAGCACTCCTCAGCAAATGTAAAAGAACCGAAATTATAACAAACTGTCTCTCAGACTGCAGTGCAATCAAACTAGAACTCAGGATTAAGAAACTCACTCAGAACCACTCAACTACATGGAAACTGAACAACCTGCTCCTGAATGACTACTGGGTAAATAACGAAATGAAGGCAGAAATAGAGATGTTCTTTGAAACCAATGAGAACAAAGACACAACATACCAGAATCCCTGGGACACATTTAAAGCAGTGTGTAGAAGGAAATTTACAGCACTAAATGCCCACAAGAGAAAGCAGGAAAGATCTAAAATTGACACTCTAACATCACAATTAAAAGAACTAGAGAAGCAAGAGCAAACACATTCAAAAACTAGCAGAAGGCAAGAAATAACAAAGATCAGAGCAGAACTGAAGGAGATAGACACACAAAAACCCTTCAAAAAATCAATGAATGCAGGAGCTGGTTTTTTGAAAAGATCAACAAAATTGATAGACCGCTAGCAAGACTAATAAAGAAGAAAAGAGAGAAGAATCAAATAGACGCAATAAAAAATGATAAAGGGAATATCACCACCGATCCCACAGAAACACAGACTACCATCAGAGAATACTATAAACATCTCTATGCAAATAAACTAGAAAATCTAGAAGAAATGGATAAATTCCTGGACACATACACCCTCCCAAGACTAAACCAGAAAGAAGTTGAATCCCTGAATAGACCAATAACAGGCTCTGAAATTGAGGCAATAATTAATAGCCTACCAACCAAAAAAAGTCCAGGACCAGATGGATTCACAGTCAAATTCTACCAGAGGTACAAAGAGGAGGTGGTACCATTCCTTTTGAAACTATTCCAATCAATAGAAAAAGAGGGAATCCTCTCTAACTCATTTTATGAGGCCAGCATCATCCTGATACCAAAGCCTGGCAGAGACACAACAAAAAAAGAGAATTTTAGACCAATATCCCTGATGAACATTGATGCAAAAATCCTCAATAAAATACTGGCAAACCGAATCTAGCAGCACATCAAAAAGCTTATCCACCATGATCAAGTTGTCTTCATCCCTAGGATGCAAGGCTGGTTCAACATAACGCAATCAATAAGCGTAACCCATCATATAAACAGAGCCAAAGACAAAAACCACATGATTACTCAATAGATGCAGAAAAGGCCTTCGACAAAATTCAACAGCTCTTCATGCTAAAAACTCTCAATAAATTAGATATTGATGGGACATATCTCAAAATAATAAGAGCTATTTATGACAAACCCACAGCCAATATACTGAATGGGCAAAAACTGGAAGCATTCCCTTTGAAAACTGGCACAAGACAAGGATGCCCTCTCTCACCACTCCTATTCAACATAGTGTTGGAAGTTCTGGACAGGGCAATCAGGCAAGAGAAAGAAATAAACGGTATTCAATTAGGAAAAGGGGAAGTCAAATTGTCCCCGTTTGCAAATGACGTGATTATATATTTAGAAAACTCCATCGTCTTAGCCCAAAATCTCCTTAAGCTGATAAGCAACTTCAGCAAAGTCTCAGGATACAAAGTCAATGTGCAAAAATCACAAGCATTCCTATACACCAATAACAGACAAACAGAGAGCCAAATCATGAGTGAACTCCCATTCACAATTGCTTCAAAGAGAATAAAATACCTAGGAATCCAACTTACAAGGGATGTGAAGGACCTCTTCAAGGAGAACTACAAACTACTGCTCAACCAAATAAAAGAGGACACAAACAAGTGGAGGAACATTCCATGCTCATGGATAGGAAGAATCAATATCATGAAAATGGCCATACTGCCCAAGGTAATTTATAGATTCAATGCCATCCCCATCAAGCTACCAATGACTTTCTTCACAGAATTGGGAAATACTACTTTAAAGTTCATATGGAACCAAAAAAGAGACCTCATTGCCAAGACAATCCTAAGCCAAAAGAAGAAAGCTGGAGGCATCATGCTACCTGACTTCAAACTATACTACAAGGCTACAGTACAGGATAGTACTGTTAACAATACAGAGATATAGACCAATGGGACAGAACAGAGCCCTCAGAAATAACACCACACATCTACAACCATCTGATCTTTGACAAACCCGACAAAAACAAGCAATGGGGAAAGGATTCCCTATTTAATAAATGGTGCTGAGAAAACTGGCTAGCCATATGTAGAAAGCTGAAACTGGATGCCTTCCTTACACCTTATACAAAAATTAATTCAAGATGGATTAAAGATTTAAATGTTAGACCTAAAACCATAAAAACCCTAGAAGAAAACCTAGGCAATACCATTCAGGATATATGCATGGGCAAGGTCTTCATGACTAAAACACCAAAAGCAATGGCAACAGAAGCCAAAATTGACAAATGGGATCTAATTAAACTAAAGAGCTTCTACACAGCAAAACAAACTACCATCAGAGTGAACAGGCAACCTACAGAATGGGAGAAAATTTTTACAATGTGCCCATCTGACAAAGGGCTAATATCCAGAATCTACAAATAACTTAAACAAATTTACAAGAAAAAAATCAAACAACCCCATCAAAAAGTGGGCAAAGGATATGAACAGACACTTCTCAAAAGAAGACATTTATGCAGCCAACAGACACATGAAAAAATGCTCAACATCACTGGCCATCAGAGAAATGCAAATCAAAACTACAATGACATACCATCTTACACCAGTTAGAATAGCGATCATTAAAAGGTCAGGAAACAACAGGTGCTGGAGAGGATGTGGAGAAATAGGAACACTTTTACACTGTTGGTGGGACTGTAAACTAGTTCAACCATTGTGGAAGACAGTGTGGCGATTCCTCAAGGATCTAGAACTGCAAATACCATTTGACCCAGCCATCCCATTACTGGGTATATACCCAAAGGACTATAAATCATGCTGCTATAAAGACACATGCACACGTATGTTTATTGCGGCACTATTCACAATAGCAAAGACTTGGAACCAACCCAAATGTCCATCAATGATAGACTGGATTAAGAAAATGTAGCAATACATGCCATGGAATACTATGCAGCCATAAAAAATGATGAGTTCATGTCCTTTGTAGGGACATGGATGAAGCTGGAAACCATCATTCTCAGCAAACTGTCACAAGGACAGAAAACCAAACACCGCATGTTCTCACTCATAGGTGGGAATGGAACAATGAGAACACTTGGACACAGGGTGGGGAACATCACACACCAGGGCCTGTCGTAGGATTGGGGGACGGGGAAGGGATAGCATTAGGAGATATACCTAAGGTAAATGGTGAGTTAATGGGTGCAGCACACCAACATGGCACATGTATACATATGTAACAAACCTGCACGTTGTGTACATGTACCCTAGAACTTAAAGTATAATAATTAAAAAAAAAAAAAAAAAAAAGACTCTCCTACTTACAACTGAGCTGGCCAGGCAGAACCCAGCCTGAGCAAGACCAACTCCAAAAAAGTCCCAGTAGAAAACCTGAACAGAGAAAGGGACGACAACAACCAAAAAAAGCATAACCTATCTATTCCTTTAATATCCCAGATAATTCTTTCCAAAAGTTGAGGATCCCTTACTCCAGTTTTCACCATCCTCCTTTTGGGTATTTTTCACAGCAGCAGGTCAAATCTAATCTTTGCAGATTCCTTCAAGGAAAGTAGTGGGAAAGGAGAGTGATATTAGCATATGAGCTACAATTAATTAAACTGACTCAGTGTATAACACACGTTAATAAATCAGAGCACACGAGGGGAGGTAAAAAATAAGCACATGGTCTAAATACACTTCATTTCAGGGAAGCAAAGGGACAGTCACAGAAGGTTCATCTTCAAAAGGGCCTGGTTCTCTAACTGGACAAGGGGAGCACTGGCCTTTATGATTTGCCTGACTGACAGCAGTCACTCGTGCACCTTCTCCATTCCAGTCTTCTTTGTCCTTTCGAAAGCTTTCTGGCATTTGAGAGCCATCATTCAGCCTCACTGGGTCAGCATTAGCTGTAGCATGTGTGAGAAGGGAACTTTCTTGCAAAGGTGAACAAGAACTTGGTTGCTGAAAAATCATTTGTCCACTGCATGGTAAGAGTTCCTTATCACCCACCTATTCCCACCTCAGAAATTACTGAAGTGGGACAGAATATACTCAGTGACTTCAAGAGGATCCTTTTGAAAACATGAATATGGTAATTTTTAAATGTCTGCAAATACTTTGATACTACTCCCTTGAGAAGGTGAAGGCTAATTCTCCTCTGATTGAAAGCAGACTACACTTGGGGTTTCCCTTCTAATGAACAGAACAAGGCAGAAGTGATGCTATGTGACTTCTAAAGGTAGGTCATAAAAAGGATAGCTTCTACCTGACTCTCCTCTCTTGGCTTCCTTGCTCTGGGACAAACCAACTGCCATGTCATAGGACAATCAGCAGCCTGTGCAGAAGCTCAAATGGGGAGGATGTGACCACTCACCAACAGCCAGCACCAGCCTGTCAGCCATGTGAGTGAGCCACCTTGGAAGCAGGCCCTCCTGACCCATTCAAATCTTCTCATGACTTCCACCCCAGATGACATCTTGACAGCTATGCTATGAGTACCTTGATCCAGAACTACCCAACTTGGACACTCTTCAATTCCTGACCCATAAAATATATAGAAGATAATAAATATTTATTGTTGTTCTGAGCCACAAAACTTTAGGATAACTTGTTACACAGCAATAGATAATTAATACAATAGATGAGCCTGATTCACTATTACTTAGGATGATCTCACACCTAAGATGAGAAGAGGGTCAGAAAAGGTTGGGTATAGAATACGAGAATAGAAAGGAAGAAGGACAAAAACAGGGAAGGAAGGAAAGAAGAGATGGTAAAAGGGAAGAAAGCATTCCTCTCTTCCCATTCTGTCCTTCATTTATCTTTTTCTTCTCTGAATTTCTGCCCCTCCCTTACCAATGTGCTCTTTCTTGTTCCCATCTCAGCACTTGGACAACTGTTTTCTTAAGGCAAGAATAAGAGCTCATATTTCTTCTAAGTTGCTTGTAATATCTGGTACTGTGTCCCACAAGAAGTGAACAAAGACCAGTGCATAAAACTGGCAGTCCAGTTGTGACTCAGTATCAGAAGGAACATTCTATTAGAATTTGGCAAGAAAGTTTATGGTGGACATGAAGTTTCAGATGGAGGCTGAGCCACAAACAATGTTTTGTGTGCTGAGGTTGCAAAATGGTTTCTTCGAGATGGTAGTAGATTGTTACAGTTCCTTTGATGGCCTCAGTGAACCAACCTCCCAGTATTCATGTCTTTGTTTAGTCCCCTACCATATTGTCTCTGAACTTGGCCATGTGACTATCTTTGTCCAATGAGACATTAGCAGACATGATGCAAATGGAGGCTTGATATATACTTGCACGTTAAGGCTTGTTCACTTGGAACACTCCTCCTTGGAACCCAGCTACCATGCTTGGAGGAAGCCCAAGCAGCCATATGGAAAGGCCCACATGGATGAACACAAAGGCCCTCAGCCAACAACCCAGCTGAGCTCTCAATCAGCAGGAAGCACCATTTCTCAGCCATATGAGTCAGGGCATTTTGCACCTACTCGCCATCTCAAGAGTCTAGCTGACACCACATGAAGCAAGAGACCTGTGTAGTCAGCCCACAGAGTCACGAGAGAAAATAAATTGTGGTAAAATTGTGGTTGTTGTTACCCACTAAGTTTTAGGGTAGTGGGTTACACAGCAACAGATAACCAAAGCAAAGTTCAATTCCAAATCTGGGGTAGGGCTATTTCTCAGGCCACACAACTTTCTCAGCTGTGGTTCAAAAGGGGCTTAGAACCAGTATGTCTATTTACAAAATCTGAGTCCTTTCCACCAATGCCTCTGAAATCATAAGTCAGTAGACATAAAAGAACTCTGCAAACTCCAAAGTGTCTTACAGAAGTTCTCGCTGGTATAGATGGTGATATAGTTTGGATATTTGTCCCTGCCCAAATCTCACGTTGAATTGTAATCCCCAATACTGGAGGTGGGGCCTAGTGGGAGGTGTTTGGGTCTTGGGAGCAGATCCTTCATGGCTTGGTGCTGTTCTTGTGATAGTGAATTGTCACAAGATCTGGTTGTTTACAAGTGTTTAGCATCTCCCCACTCCCCCTTGCTCCTGCTTTCACCATGTGACGTGCCTGTCCCTGCTTCACCTTCCGCCATGAATAAAAGCTTCCTGACGCCTTCCAGAAGCCCAGCGGATGCTGGCGCCATGCTTGTATGGCCTGCAGATCTTACACTTTTCTTTATAAATTACCCAGTCCCAGATATTTCTTTATAGCAGTGAGAGAACAGCCTAACACGGATGTCAAGGGCTGTTTTTGTTTTCCCTCTATTTCCACCTTTAATATTAACTTATTGCCTTGTGTTTCCTTCTGTTTCTCCACTTTCTTAAAAGATCTCTCATCTTCCTAGTGCACCTTCGAACATCACTGGAACCAAAAGGCATGGCTGACCCCTGATATAGCCTGTCTTCTTTCACAGACATGAATTCTGGATTCAAGGCATAACTATACAGCCTTGGAAAAGTTATGCTGTGGGCCATCTGCAGTGTGGAAATCAGAGTGTGTCTCACTGTGCTCCTGAGAGGACCCAGCAAGAAAAAGGACACAAAACCTTTATTTACCCAGAATAGAGCCTAGAATTGCTGGGAAGAAAGTCTCTCTCTTTTTCCCCTGCTCCCCTTTTAGCTGCTCATCTGTAGGGTACTCTCTTGTATTCTAGTGCCCGGACCAATGACAAGACCTCAGTTAACTCATATGTTCCTCCCTGGAACCAGGGAACTCTAGATGAAGTGATACATGAAGTTCTTTGGGGAAATTGAGATATTTGAACTATCCTGAACCCTCCTGTTTTCCAGAGAAAATAATTTTATCCATTTTCTATGACCCCAGAACACAAGTAAACAGAACTCTTCTTTCACTCAAAGATAGAGGACATTTTGTGAAATAAAAAAACAATAATGGGAGAGGAAGAAAGAGAGAGATGCAACTAATAAGAAATCTATTCACAACAATCTATATTATGAATATATATGTATATTTATATCTCAGCAGGCCCTGTGGAGTTACAGATGAGCTAATTAAAATGCTTATGCTTTTAGAAATGATGTTTATTGAAATCACTTTATAACCATTCAAACTGAGGTTTGTTTTCAGCTATAATGCAATGCTACCTGAAATATTCTGACCTAAATTATTTATGTGCCTAAAAATAGATTGCCTTCCCCCATTACTGACTTTGTAGATATATCTCAGGATGTGGAAATTTTGGTGAGCTTTTATAACTCCTACAGGCTTTTCCTGCATCTTCTGTGCCTATTAAGATGGGGACTGAACATACTGGTAGAGTAAGAAGTCTATGAAGGGTCAAGGGGTGGAAATAACCCCCTGGGAAAGGCTGAGTCTGTTAGATGCTCCTAAATACAGGACTGTCAGTAACACATTTGGGACCTAGATAAATAGTGGTTCTGACCGGGATCAGGTCATGACCCTACTTCTTCTAGATCTGTTAGGCTTCTAGATCTGTTGAGGGAGAGAATGTGACTACAAAAAAAAAAATAGCACTAGGAGGTTTTTGGGAGGCGATGGGGCTGTTCTGAATCCTGTTGTGGTGATGATTACCTGGCTCTCCATGTGCTAAAATGTTTAGAATTGTACACCAAATGATCAATTTTAGCGGATCACGAGGGCAGGAGATCAAGACCATCCTGTCTAACATGGCGAAACCCTGTCTTTACTAAAAATACAAAAAATTAGCCGGGCATGATGGCGTGTGCCTGTAGTCCCAGCTACTTGGGAGGCTGAGGCAGGAGAATCGCTAGAACCCAGGAGGCAGAGGTTGCAGTGAGCTGAGATCATGCTACTGCACTCCAGCCTGGGCGACAGAGCAAGACTCTGTCTCAGTAAAAAATAAATAAATAAATAAATAAATAAATAAATAAATAAAATTTAAAAAAAACTTAAGGTTCAAAACATAAATAACAGTAGGTTCAGTAAATAATAATTCTACCTCCAAATTGTATCTTGAATCAGTCCACTTTTCTCCATGTCCATTACAGGCAGCCTCTCTCTCCTGGATTTTTGCAGATACCTCCTAAATAGCATTCCTACTTGCATGTTTGCCCCGATCATCCATGTCACATCCAGGCTTCCAACTTTCAAAGACTTCCCAGTGTGCTTTGGGTTAAACCCAACACGCTTCACTGCCTGCAGGGCTCTACATGATCTGGACTCTGTTTCCCTGTGCAATCTCATCTACCCGCAATCCCTCTGAGCTCACTGCCTTCCTTCAAATCGCCAAACTCATTCTGGTCACAAGGCTCTCACACATGCTGTTTCCTACACCTGGGATGTTCTTCCTGCTTCCTCCTCCTCCCTCTCCTTACTTGAGTAACTCATCTTCATCCTTTGGGTCTCAGCTTCAATGTCACATTTCCCCAGGCCAGTCACCTAAATTAACTTCACCCGTATTATTTTCTCATCATGTCCTATTCTTTGCCTTTATAGCACTTACTTCAGCTTGCAATCAGACTAAGTGTTTGATGGCTGGCTCTCCGTCTCTGTGCCGTAATCTTTACACCAAGCAAGGCTGTGTGTCAGTTGTGTCCTGGAGCAAGTTCACAAGGGTGGCAGGCGCCTGTAGTCCCAGCTACTCGGGAGGCTGAGGCAGGAGAATGGCATGAATCCGGGAGGCGGAGCTTGCAGTGAGCCGAGATCGCGCCACTGCACGCCAGCCTGGGCGACAGAGAGAAACCCCATTTCAAAAAAAAAAAAAGAGAGAAAGAGAGCTCATTGGATGCATTTATTCCTAATTCTGCATTCAGTGAGGTCAGTGGCTTGAAATCAGCCATGGTAGGAGTACTTACACCACAGACATTGGCCAATGCTACAAATGAGGGCTTTTCTTTTATGGAAAGCTGGTTTACCAGCACACCACTGTTCACTTTCAGCTGTGTTCCCAGTGCTTCACATGGAGCCTGGAATATTGACAATTATCTGTAAATATTTGGTCACTTGACAGTTCTTGTTATTGATGTTGGTTTCTTATAGCAATCCTCTGATACAAGAGGGGAGGGTTCCAATCCTTTACAGATGATGAAGTTAAAGCTCACGGAAGTTGCCCAGCTTGCCCCAAGCCATGCAGCCAGTTAGAGAGAGATAAGTGCTCTATCTTAGGTGCTCTGATTCCCTGCCCAGTGGTCCTTGAATTGCACCCTACCAAAATAGATGCATGCATAAGTTGGGAATGTGTAAAGTAAATAGTCCTGGGAATTCCTGAAGCAAGTTTTGAGGAAGAAGCAGAATTCTCAAACCCAGCTCACAGAGATGGAGATTAGCTAATTATCTTGATTCTCCATTCCTCCATAGAAAGGAATCTCCAAGCTATGCCTAAAAGCCAGAGTACAACACAAGAAATAGAAACTACTTCAGTATTTCAAACTGAAAGATATTTAATATACTATGTTTTAGGTGCTTTCAAAACATTTAAAGGTCACCAGTGTACGTACGTAAACATACACATACATATACATATATAGTCATCCCTCAGGATCCATGGGGGATTTGTTCCAGAACTTCCTTTGGATACCAAAATCCACAGATGCTCAAGTCTCCCATATAAAATGGCTTAGTATTTGCATATAACCTACACACTTATAATACCTAATACAATGTAAATGTTATGTAAATAGTTGCTAAACTGTATAGCCTAGGGAATAATAACAAGAAAAATATCTGTTCATGTTCAGTACAGATGTGATTTTTTTTTCCAATATTTTTGAACTGAGGTTGGTTGAATACATGGATGCAGAACTCACAGATGTAGAGGGCAAAATGTATACATATAATAGTGTGTGTATACACACACATACACAAGGAAGAAAATATAGTAGAGACAGATGATTGATAGATAGATAGATAGATGATAGGTAGATGATAAACAGGCAGATAGATAGATGATAGATGATAGATAGATGATAGATAGATAGATTCATATTCATATATGTTTTTTCTTCCTTTCACTGGTACATGTATGTTTAATGTATTGGCTAAACTCTGGGTCCAAAGAAAGGACACCCTAGGTTACAGACATACTCTGCCCTGCCCCTGTCCCATAGCAGCAATGCTATTTCTCCTAGATAAATTGGGTCAATCTATCTGCCCAATCACTGGAAGTTGGAAGGAAGGGTAAAGCCAACCCGCCCTCTCCAGCCTAGCTATGTAGTGGTGAAGATAGAGGTCGAGGCCTAGAAATACATCCTCTGCCTCAAAATACCTCCCCTATTACCCTCATGTCTATAATTCCACCATTCGGAAACAGCTTCTTTTTTTAAAGTCTGTCTTTGTTCATAAACTTTCTATACAGAAACAGCTTCTAAAAAGGAGCTGTTCTGTTGCCACAGGAATCCTTTACCTGAAAATTAAAACTGAAAAATGGGCAGGTCAAAAACTCAGAAATGACTTCACATTATTAAACAAGAGGAGAGAGGTGCAGCTGGGTGCCCCTTGAGGCAGATGCCCATGAGTGGAATAATAGATGTCAAGAGTATGTGAGGGAAGGAGAGAAATCCTACCTTTTATTTCCCTGGAGAGAGCAGCTCAGAAGCCTGGAATTAAAGGTGACAAGCCCAGGTGTCAGATGGCAGATTAGCTTTGTTCGAGGGATCCAGCAGGACTAAGGGATTTACACAGAGTGCCAGTCTGCGGGCAGTGGCTGGTACCAAATGCCCGCTAGAGCTTTTGCTATCTTAAAAGCAGACTCCAGGGAGAAACCTGCGGCTGGAAGCCCGAACACCAATAATGACCACAATCATAGATTATTGTGGGCTGGGTCCTCAGTGAGTGAGCTGCTCTTGTTTGGAAAGCTTAGAATTCATACAGAGTTTGATCAGAAACTCCAATTCCACTGGTCTAAGACACTTCTCAAACTAGTCTTGATAACCTAGGAAGTGTGTTCCCTGTTTAAGACTTTGTTTGGCAGGTGCAATTTCCTGACAACTGTTAGTATGGGAAAGGTGACAGTCCTGGTCAAGTGAGCCATACATCAGAAACAGAACACTTGCACCAACAGCTTAACTGTCCCCCTCGGTCTCTGGTCCAACCGTTCTACCGATGGAAAACAGAAACTGTTCTGCCGGTCATGAGAAGAGAAACCTCACAGCTCCTACAAAGCCTTCCTATTTGGCAAACCCAGATGGCCCAGGTTCTGCTTAACTCTCTGCCCTAAGTCAACTCTGTGACTTTAGATTCATGACCTCACCTCTGGGATTAAAAAGTATAAAGTGAAAAGCAGAGGATACTTGATTCCCGATACCCAGCTACCTTTACATTTCCATAATTCTGTTTGACTAAAGTGTCTCCACTTCTACTCCTTAGGCCCCTCCCCCAAAGCATATTCAACTATTCTCTCTTTTAGAAATGCAAATCTGACGCTTTAAGTAACACAACATAGGAGGAGACTTATACTCAAATCTGGTTTGCTTCTTACTTTGGCAAAGTCAATATGAGAAACAATCCATGGCAGCAAATTAGGCCACTACTTAATGGCCTGGAATTCCAATTAAAGGAAGGAGCCATAACAGGCTTTATGAGGCTTCCTGACAGTGGGGAGGAGTGTCTGACCTAATCTTGGATCCCAGAAAGGCCACCTTAAGAGGAAAAGCAATTGCCCATCAGATTTGCCATGGGTGAAAGGAAGCCATAAACTACAGGGAGACTGGGCTCGTTAAAATGGTAATGCTCCTGTCTCCACCATGAAAGCACTCCCTGGACACCTCCGGAAATGAAATTTGGAACAATCAGAGAACCAAGCATTTCCTCCCCTCACCCAATTTAATTATTCTCATTTTATGTATCTATGTGCAATGAGGCCCCTCTAAACCCGGACTCATCACTCCTGAGCATTTGCCACACTTCACAGACACCTGCAGAAAAACAGAAAACCTAGCATCTCAACTATAGGTTATTAGATAGGAATGTCAGGGTGGCATCAACAGATTTAATTCTTACTGACACAGTCTCAAAATTCATTTGAAACTCCCTGAAACACTAGCCACCTCAAGAAAACCATACAGGGTGTGTGTAGGGGAGATAGTGGAGGGTCAGGGGAAGGTATGGAATCAGGCATAAAAAGAAAGCACAGGATTAGGCAATAAATGTAAATCAGAGAACCTGTAATATCTACATTTATCATATTCCCCCCAATAACCCCATCATCTAATCAATATCCAAGGCCAGGATTGTGACAGTTATCCCTGGCTTCTTCAAATCTATCATTCATTCACTCATTCAACAAGGATTTACAGATCGCCGGTGATGTGCCAGGCACTGTGCTGAGTACCGGGGATACAGCAGTGTATGCTCCCATCTGTTCTATCACATGTCCCATCAACATCTGTCTTAGACTGGGTACTATAGAATCAGTTTCTGAGATAAGTAATGGTATGCAGCTGTTTTACTGGGAGACCTCTCAGGAGCTACACCTGTAAGGGAGTGAGGACAATGCTGACCCATAATGCAATTGCAACTGAGGCCTCAGCTGATCCTATGGGGGGCTCTGGAGCTCTCATGGCCCTTCAATGTTGCCTGAGATTGAGGCCTTTGTTTCTCCACATCAGCAAGTCACTGGTCATGGGCAGGTTCACAGGAAGGGGCATAACCTTGGGCAAGGAAGATCTCTGTCACTAAAGCCAAGTCCCAGAGAAGGACACAGCTGTGAACCATGAACACCAGATATTCCCAGCAGCTGCATCAGCCTAAAGAGGGGGTCTGAGGGGAACACCACAATTATCTACTGCTATACCCCCTGCCAACCTCAGCATAGTCCCTGTTGGTCTTTAGGACATCTTGCTGCAGACCACTCACTCTTCTGCCTTCACTGTGGTGCCCTCTCATGGTGACCTTCTAGTCTTGTACTTGAAGTATCAGAAACACTTCAGTTATCTTTGGGAAAATATTTGAGATCTCAGCTGTGGAGGTCTTCGGGTGTATTCGAGAGGACTTTAAAATCTCTAAAAGAATGTTTTCCTCTGTTCGTTTCAATGGTATTAACATTTTTTAATACAATTATATTCTGAATCATCTGGATTTCCACTCTAAAACCAAGTACTAAACTGACATTTTACTGCCCACATTTGCATCTGTTAATAACCACATGGCACCAGGTAGTACTATTTTAATTTCTCCAGGTTAACGAAAGAAAGTCCGGAAATAAACGCTGAATAGATAATGGGCTTGGGCCAAATGAAGGTTGAAGTACTTCATGTCACTGCCCAAATTAAGGTTTCACAGTATTTGAATAGACAACAATGGCGAAGAGTTGAGTCATCTCTGACATGCAGTACAAGTCAAACTCAAAACAATCTGTCCAATAGCAGGATCATTGTCATATTGAGCGTGACAATTTGATTTCTCCAAAACAACGTGATCTGACACATTGAATTAATTTTTTTATTTTATTTTGTTTAGTTTTACAGTTTTATTTGTATTAAATTTGTAAATTGTCTTTGGTTTCATAGTTGCATAGCTGCTATAAATGTAACGACATTAAACCAGGTTTTATAGCTGTAAATATTTAGGTAAAATCACAATGCAATCATTTAAGTTAACACTGGGAGATTTTGAGGATTTTTGGCCAAAAGATAAAGTTGGAGGGTGTCATAAATTGCTTAAGTGGAAAAAGCAGATCTAAATAAACTCCTTTGCACAGCTTCTGTGGCCCCTCATGATCTGGTCCTCACCCACCTGCCCCAATCTCTTTCTCCTCACAAGGCTTCCAGCAGACTAGAAGAGTGAGAAAATTGTTATGTGATATCTAAACTGGCTGTAATGACTTTTACCTTCCAGTGGAAAAGCAGCCTGCATTATTTGTAAAATAAGAAATTAGGCATTTGCTCTACTCTATCCCACTTATAAAAGCTAAGGCTGGAGGGAAAATGGAACGACTGAAATTTCAATGCCTTTCCTGTGTCTTTCTGTTCTTCTGCAAAGTGAAGCCCAAAGCATCCAGCCCATTTGGCTGACCTCAGTAGGCTGTGTTTCTATAACAGGTCTCTTAGCCAAGGGGAGGGTTGATGATGCAGTAACAAAGGGAATTAGACCAAATAACAACCTAGATGTTGGGTTTTTAAACTGCCAGAGGAAGGATAGCAGACAAGGCCTGTGAAAGGTGTTGAGTTGGAACAAAGACCCTTTAGAACCAACACCCTCTAAATGCTGCAGGCACAGTGGGAAGGGAAAAAAGCCCACTAGGGCATAGAACAAGAAAACTTGTTTCTGCTCAGACTCAGGGTGAAAAGAGTGTCCTGTTAGGTATCAAAGCTGCAGAGATTGTGCTTTGCATAGTTTGAGAGGCTAGATTTTTACTACCCACATTTGTGAGAATATCCAGAGAAATCATTTGAAGAACTGTCCCTGAGCCAGTGGTCCCCTAGGTATCTTCAAAAACAAAAGCAAAGCCAGTCTAGGGGATATTTCCATGGCTCAAACCCCTTGAGATTCTCACAGCATCAACCAGCCCTGATGGAGCTATGCTTAGATAAAAGAATGAAAACACATGTGAAAAAACTCACCATAAGCACAAGTGTCATAAATATGATGACCCAACATCCTCGTTTGCACAGGAGAGTCTGGTTTATACCTGCTATAGATCAATTAAAATCTATCAATTATTTTTCATGTCCCTTTGCACTATAAAAATGTCTCTGCTTGGATGAAAAATGATATATATAGTTACCTTAATTATAAGGAATAACTAAGAATATTCTATATGTCAAAAGAAAACAATTCATAAGGAACATTTAATCTCAAACCAGTATTACATAACAACATAGCCTCAAAATACATAACGCAAAAACAATTACAAGGAGGACTGGATAAATCCAATCAGGTAGAAGACTTTTACATATGTCTCTTGGTAATGTATAGATTTAGCAGACTGAAAATTAGTGAAGATAAATAAGGTTTAAACAATACTTGATATACACATACAGAACCCTACGTCCAATCATTACAGGCTATATATCCATTTGAAACACACATGAAACATATATAAAAATTGACCACAAATATAAGTAGATACAAATGTATAGTTATACAAGCATAACCTTAACAAATACCAAAGAATCACTATCTTACAAATTATTTCTGATATCAGTACAATAAAATTAGAAAGCATAAACCAAAGGCAGAAAAAAAAACTTCAGGAAATTTGAAAACACACTAGTAAGTAACACTACTGGTAAAAAAAACTCATACCACAAATTATAAAATATTTAGAAGTGAACAATGAAAATATTACATAACAATATCAATGGTTTTCAACCAAAATAGTAGGTAGAGACACAATTACAGCCATGAATATATCTATCAAAAGGCAGAGCGGCTTAACTCAAAGCTCCGTTATCCCTATATATGGTTCCATGACACATTATTGAGGCCTTACACACTACATTCAAATTTTCTGTTTGCTATGTGCCTCCCCTACCAAAGCGTAAAGGACTTGAGATCCAAAATTCATATTTTCATGCTTGTTTTCCAATACATACTCCAGTTACTAGCACATAGTTGACACTCAGTATTTGTAAATGGAATAATAACATTCTAAAGAAAAACAGATACCCTAAAAAATAACAAACTCTAGCAAACAATACATGATAAGAAATGTATTATCAATATGCAGTAAAATACTCAATAGAAGTAATACCATTACGTTAAAAACAAGACTCAATGTCTTTCTTCTTTCAATGCCTTGTCTCCCTTTAAAGCCACTTAATGGGAATTTGCTCCTCTGCAGTGGGGATGGAGGGGAACTAAGAGGCTGACTGATGTTCAAAAACAACTCTTTCTTGTTTGGGATGCTTTTATGGGTTCCAAGGAAACTTTCTCATAAAACACTTGATTGCCCCCGCCTTAGTGCAAGCCATACCTCTTCTGCCCTTAGTTGCTTATAACTCCTTCCTCAGGCCCTGGGCATCTGGCAGTCTGTCCATGTCCTACCCATGGTTTCACTGCCCATCTGTGAGCCCATTCATCCCCTCGAGTGAAATCCAAAATACCTCCAGGCCAGCTCCCAAGTGAAGGTCCACAATTCCTAGAAAAATCATGCACCTTGAATTACCACTGACATCGAGTAGAAAGGTTGCTGTTTGCCAACACCACCATCCTTCTTCACTCCCATGCCAGACAGGGTGTTCCATCCAGTTCTCTTCTGTGGACCTTATCAGGCATGAGACAGTCACCAGTCCACTAGAGTCCCTAAACTCCAGGGAACACAAATCAAGGCCCCAATGGGTCTCTAAATTATGTCTCACCAGATATAACCACCCTCTTCCTTGCCCCATGCAGACGTAATGAGAAAGTTACAGAGCAATCCACCACCTTTCTTTAAAGATATTCTCTCTCCCTCTTAGCCTTTTCAAACTCAATCATGTTTAATCTCAATTTGAGGGTTGATTAAGGGTCACAAAGCTGCTTCCCCCTGACCTCTTTCACCACCTTGCGTAGAAGGTCTAGCACTCCATTTTAGAAACTGAGGGGAAGAATCTATTCTTTTGTGATTACATTTTTACAGCCTCCACTGAAACAAAGATAGAAGAGTCCTATTTTAACACCCTGTTAACAGAAGTGTAAATTCTATAAAACCTGGGTATAAATTGAGTAACAGAAGGCTGTCCTCTAAAATTAAATAGCAGATGATTTCAGAAGGTTTAAGATCCCTTTCTTTAATTCAAGATAAGAATTCTGTTTCTATGAGGACATGAGACCCTGCCACAAACAGTCAGCATAAGGACTCCATAACATCATCTGGAAAGAGAAAATTATCCTAAAATGATGGTGGAGTGAGAGAAGGAAAGGGGATCATTTGAGCAGAAGGTAATTTCCTGCTAGGCTGAGAAGGAGGCGACAAATATGGCATATAAGCAACAAGAGCTCAACACACAAGCAGCACTTTTACTCACAAAGTGGCTTCTAACGATGCACAAAACAGAGTAGAAGGGGATTTATGGCTGAATTTGGGATGACAGGAAGCAAAATAGGTTTGGAGAAATATGTTCACAACAGCCCTAAAGAAATGAGTCTTAACAACAGATGTTTCTCTGCACAATAAATAAAATAAAATAAAGAAATTGAACTTCATACGATCTTTAATACACAACTACACCCATTGGGATAAACAAGACCCCTGACTTTACTGGAATATTCATTTGAGCTTCAAACATATTCATTAACTTTCCACAGTTCTTAGGGAGCATTCAGGTTCTTGTTTTTTGAGAGAACAAAAGTCTATGCAGTCAGATTCTAAATGTCAGAAGTTTACAACAAGACTAAAGGACATTTAATTCTATTTTTCTATTTCTGATTTTTTTAATCCATTGATGTTATAAGGAACAACTTCTTTTCACTAAGAAGACATTTCTATTCCCTATTTCTTTGTGTTTCCAAGAAGAGACAAAAGTCTTTTAAATTTGATTGTGGGCCCTTTATCAAAGAATCAGATCAACTAGAAGGAATCTGAGAATTACAGCCCAACTCTCATCATTCTGTAGATGAGAAAACCAAAACTCAGATGAGGCAAGTGATTTATCCAGGGACATAGCTTATGTGTTTGCAGTGTTTTCTGGAAAGAAAGGCATGATTCAGAAACTCCATCTCAACATGTTCCCATGATGGCAGCAGCAACAGAAAGGGAGACGCAGAGTGCTATAATGGCTGTGAAAATGTGTGCCTGGAAGTGGCACCTATCCCCTCACAGTTCAATAGTCGAAAGCAATCACATGCCTATGTCAACTTCAGTGGGAGTGTGGAAGTTCCCTTTTACCATGCACTCCTCTTTGTGGGCCCCCTGTAGTAAAGGGAATGTGAATTACACCTCACTATTTCCCTGTGTGGTAGTAAATGCTGCTATCAGGAGGGCTCAAAATCTTTTCCAGCCTTAAGCCAACAGTCTCTCCCTTTATAAAGTCCTCCACTCATTCTCCTAGGCCCAATTCAAATCCACTTGTCAAAACTTCTTCCTTGCTACATGCAACCCAAAGTAATTTCTCAAGTCTCAAAATTCCTAGCCGGTGTACATGCCGTGGGCACTTTCATTAAGCAGTTTCCACAGCCTTCCTCATTTTTGTGTTTTTCTCATTGCCCAATTAAACAACAGACTCAGAGCAAGATACCCTTTCATGCTTGAGAAATCCATCCAGTGAACCAGGACAGTGTAGAATGCCCAAAGTAGATGTCATTCCTTAGAAATATCCAATTCACATCTAATGCAGACAACCATAGATTTCAGACTAAAGCTTCAAGTAAGTGTATTATGCACAAAATTAGTAGTCATCAAGACCAGAGAGGTTGCAATTGACCTTAAGGTTACATTTAAACTGAACTTCAGGACCACACTACAGCCCCCTCACTCTGAGAACAAATAACTCCCTGCAAGGTCTTTGTAACAGCTTGAGTTGGACCTGTTTAAGTTACATTTCCTAAAAGCAGGGACTGAGACAAGGATTTGTGTCCAAGTGATTTATTGAGGGAGTGCTCTCAGAAGAAATCTATAAAGGAGTAAGAGAACAGGACAGAGGTGAGACAGAAACTACACAAGGATAAGACTTTCAGGTGAAGTCTTGCCTCAACCTGATCTCATAGGGAGCTCTGGAGCATAAATTGCACCTTGGATCTGTCCTGTTTTGCTGTAAGAGAGCAGGGTTTTGTAAATCTCCTCCCATCCAGCCACAACAAGCAGTGATGACTACGTGTTGCTCTGGCATTAATCATGAAAGTGGGTGTAATTCTCAGATATCCCCAGGTAAGGTGGCTGCAGTCACCTGAGAGCAGTACTCAAAAGAAGGCAGCTACTGTAAGCCATTAGCCACAGCACCCACAGCACCTGGACATGAGTAAATCAGACTGGTAAAGTGGAGGCTAGGGAATCTGAAAAGGGCACCATCATCATTTGCTATGTCCCAAAAACCAGACTGTGCACAGAGATGGTCTTAACATTATCTTTCACCTCCAAAGGTACCCAAGGATGAGTAAGTGACCCAGTCATGGGCTGACAAGAGCACGTGCAACAGCTTCTCTCTCCCATAAAGAGATACTTAATAAGCATGTTCATTATTAAGAGAATCATGAATTTGAAATCACTGTGCCAGACAGACTCTCATCTCTGCTCTTCGTCATATCCAGGTAACTACACCTGGCTAAGGTCATTCTGACCCTAATATGCCATCCTAATTGCTAGGATGACTACAGAGGGCTTTTGATGGGAAATTCAGCGAAAAGTGGGATGAATTTTGCGTTTCGGCAGCCACAAAGGATTAGTTTCCATGGAAGGGCTGCTCTGAGGGATGATGTTTTGAGAGAATGCCTTGAATTGATACCTCAAAGGACTTCTTTCGAAGGGATGATTTATACATCTCAAGACAAAGAGGATTTATATTAAAGAAAATGGATTCCTTTTCTGAACTGTTTTGAGGAAGATGGATAGCTTCCTGTAAAGTGCAGTTCTGTGTCTGTGAGCTGAGTGTTTCCAGAAAATTACTAAGGTAATGCTGTCCCTGGGACCCACCACATCGTCCCTGTCACCACCCACACATGTGTGTGTGTGCGTATGTGTGTGTTTGTGTAAGAGGTGTGTGTGTGAGGCCACAGAAACTGTTTCCTAACCAGACTACCCCTACTAGACAACTCTCCAGAGAAAAATCTGTGTTATCCTAACTATACATGCTTAGAAGTTAATAATAATCATGATGAGGGAAATTTTCAGCTTTTTAAGTAGTGTAGTTATCGTTGCTGCTGTTGTTATTTGCATATTTGCCTACCCAATTTCTCCTACAAAAGTGCTACTCTTGTCTACTAAAAAGTTCATTATAAGGACAGTTCTTCACATTTTACATAACTCTAATGGATGCCCACATAATCTTCATGCCAGCTTTCATGTACATGTGATGAAGAAAATTCAACAGAATCTGAGATTTGTCAAAATGTGGGTAAGGTAAAGGCTTATCATTGCTAATCAGGCTTCAGCTCCCTCCCTGACCACTGGGGTGACTAGAAGTTATCAGAGAAGAAACAAGTGGAGTCATATAGTTAGTGAAAACTTCCCTTGAAAGATGAGAACAACTTCCATAAAGCAATCTGGAAAACTGTCTGAGGAGTCTTGCAAACACCAGGCTGTGGCACCAGCCTTCAGAAACCAAAAACTAAAACTGCCTTTTATTGACAAATTGACTACTAATCTCTCAATTTCATTTCATCCTTGAAGCAACTCGTACCCAGTACCGTACTGATTGGGGGTTGGGGAGCAGGGAGACTCTGACTTGCAGTGTTTGCTGACTTTTGCGGTGTAAATGCTCCCATTATGGCCAGTTGCAAACTACTGATGTGATGTCACCAAACAAGTAGTTGTGAAGAGATACACATGATTAGCTCTCACAAGGCAGAATAAGCTGGCTCTAAATGAGCACACTGAGAGGCACAAAAAGGTGGAAGTTTGAGCTGACATGCTGTGCAAAAACACCTCTTTCTACTTTTGTGTCCTCCACCTGCAGATCTGTAGATCACAAAAAGGAATACTGGCAAGTTCCTGGCCCTGAGTGCAAAAAAGTTGCATCACTCCAAGTGCGAGGCTTTGTAAGACACATTGCTAAGTCAATCTTTGTCCAACACAGGAAAAAGCTGCTTGAATACAGGACCTATGTGTTATCCAATTCTGTGTCACCCAAATGCCTAGCACAATGTTTTACTCATGGTGGTCAGTTATGGATCATTACTGAGAGAACAGTTTGAGATGATGAAAAAGTTCTAGAAATGGATAGTGATGATGGCTGCACAACAGTGTGAATGTACTTAATGCCACTGAATTGTACACTTAAAATAGCTAAAATGGTAAATTTTATGTTATGTATTCTTTACCACAATAAATAATAATAATAATAAGTGTGTTTCTTGGAGCTGGACTTGAGCCCTCCCAAGTCCTCTTCCATTATAGCCGAAGGCTTCATATAGTGAATATGCTTCCCTAAGATTCTGTAAGCACCAATCACATATTAAATACTTAACAAAGATTACTTCTCTTCCCCAGAGATTATTTATTGACACACTTTCTTCACTCTGTTTTATGATAGAGAACAGACAATTGTTTTTCCACATAATTATGTCTGCTACCCCAGTTACATATCAAAATACAGAAATATTCTTTAAAAATCACTTTTGAAAACTTTTGTCCATCACTATTTTGTTTCAAGACTGCAGTCTGTGGATTAAGAAAATGTGGCACATATACACCATGGAATACTATGCAGCCATAAAAAAGGATGAGTTCATGTCCTTTGTAGGGACATGGATGAAGCTGGAAACCATCATTCTCAGCAAACTATCACAAGGACAAAAAACCAAATACTGCATGTTCTCACTCATAGGTGGGAACTGAACAATGAGAACACGTGGACACAAGGGGAACATCACACACCGGGGCCTGTTACGGGGTGGGGGAAGGGGGGAGGGACAGCATTGGGAGATATATCTAATGTTAAATGCTGAGTTAATGGGTGCAGCACACCAACATGGCACATGTATACATATGTAACAAACCTGCACGTTGTGCACATGTACCCTAAAACTTAAAGTATAAAAAAAAAAAAAAAAGACTGCAGTCTGAGCTGTAACTGCACCATCCAAGGCCTCTATGAATCTCTTCCTGTGGGATTCTTAGTGGACCAGTAGAACCTTTTAATGATTCCCAAGCAAAGGGGACAGGGACGCATTATCATATCATCACAGGAGCAAAGTCAAAAAACAAAGGTGTCTTTCATAAGAGACCCTTTAAGCAGGAAACAATCCATCTGGGGTTAAACCAAAAAGAGAATGTTTTCTTTTTAGTTTGCAATATTCCCAATGTAGTTTTGTTTGTTTGGGGGCTTAGTTTGTTTTTAAATATCATGATCATTTATCATATTCAATATCTGTTGAAATAGCCACCTTCAATCAAAATAGCAATTCTAGCAACATCTAGTCTAACTAAAGTAACTTTTTCAAAGAAAAATCCAATCCAACCTAGTGTCAAATACTTTGCTATACTGTTATATTCAATTATTCTGGTTTTTCTCCACCTCTATCTTGTGTGTTACCAAAAATCCAAATATATTAAATTTATTTTTTCCTTTCATCCACCAATTCTATAATTCCATCAGTGGGAAGCTATCGGGGGGTTTTTTGGCATGATGCTTTGTTTACAGACCTGAACTGTTTATTGCTCATGATTCTATTATCCTCTGTATTATCGTCCGACTACAGATTTCTTTTCTCCTGGTACTTACTCCATTATTTTACCAGAAAATTAAAATCTCTTCCAACAGATATCCATTTTCAGTTTTCAATATCTTTCCCATTTTTCAAAACCTGTCATTACATCTACCATGATTCCATCTTTCAATATCTTCATTTCATAAATGCTTCTGCCATGATTGCTGGAGTTGATGACCCAGACCCAGAAAAACTGAACTAGGCCCAGAGACAGTGTACTCAGAGGGCATGCAACATACAGAGACACCAGCTGGGGCAGCTAAAGGAGTGCTGGCATCCCACCTCCTGACCCTCAGGCTGCACAGCTCCCAGCTCCAACAAACATCCCTTCCTAATATATTTATTTCTTTTCAATAGTTTTCCCTTGAGGGGGAAGAGAAAAAAACTTACAAGGACTCTGTTTTTCATGGGCTTTGAAGTCAGACAGACCTGGGTTCCAATCTCTGCTCCATCACTTACTAGCTAAGTAACCTCTGGTAAATTGCTAGACCTCTCAAAACGTCAATCTCACCTGCAAAATAAGGATAGTACCATCATCTCTTTGGGATTGTTATGGGATTATATAAGCAAGTCTATGTAAAAGCCATTAGAACATAAGAGGTACTTAAAATTTCCTTCCCTTAACCCCATTCCATCTTCTGCTCCCTCAACTACACACACCTCCACCTCATCCCAATACCCCACCCCAAGGCAGTAAAGAATCATTCTAGCAACCTCCAGGTAACCTCTATTTAGCCACCACCTCTTCTGTCTGTTGCCTCTCAAACAATAACTCAATGAGACCTGAAACTTCACTGAACACCGGAAATTTCGCAGTGACTTCATTGGTGGCAGAACATGGCTGTAATCTAGGATAGTAGAGGGGGAAAGTGGTCCAAGGACCTCCCTAAAAGGCTCTTGCTTTATTTTCCCAATTTTGAGTTCCCTAATCTGTTTATTTTGATCCTTAAGCCGTCACTGTAGAATCTCCCTGCATGAGTGAATCCTACCTGTTTGAGTCTTATTTTTAGTTTGTTTTGTTAGTTCCAGAATTTTCAGTACCTTGATTCCTTATTAAAAATACCTTCTCTTCCTCCTCGATTCTGCTCACCATCTTTAAATAAATACAACCAGAAATGTTTCTTTACCACAATGAACTCCAATTAGTTCTGCAGTAACAATGATTTTTTTTAAGCGCTATGATTATTCCCACATTTCCAATTGTCTCTTTCCTATCTTTTGCAATAAAGTTCAGAGGACTTCCCCTAGGACTGATTTTTCCTCACTTTTGGAGCATACATTTGCTGTCTTTATTGCTTGTTATTTATAATCCTCTTCTGCTTTCCTAAGAATTGAGCAACAAAGTTACTGTGGGAAGTCTTCTGGCCATTAAATATCCTAAAATATATTCAAGCAGACCTGCGAACTGTGATTTGACAAAGAGATCTTAATAGTTATAGTAAGAAACTAATTGAGGAGGGCAGCCTAATTTACTAAATTAGGCAAATGTCACAGGACTAATCCCATCTTGGAAATAATTACACCCTCATTTCCTAACACCAAATGAGCACTTACTATGTCTAGGCATTCTGCTTCACAGTTTACATGCACCTCTCACTCTATCCTCACAAACATATTATGATCTAACTGTTGTTGTTGTTGTTGTTGTTGTTGTTGTTATCACATCAATTTTACAGATAAGGAAACTAAAGCTTTAAAAGGCAAAGTAACTTGCCCAGTGTCACAAGGCTAACAAGTGATGGGCCCAGGATTCAAATCCAGACCAATCTGACTCCAAAACTCAAGCAGTCTATCCCATTGCTTTTATGTGTGCCCAAATAACCTGGCCTTTTCATAATGAGATTCGGGAATCTCATGCAAATCTTTGTGACATGGTGTACTAACAAGTAGAAGTCTCTCACTTGTAAAGAAAAGAATACCTTCTGATTCGTTTGTTAGGTGTAAGAGTCTACAAAGTAACAGTAGAGGCCCAGAAGTGAATTATAGACTGCCCCTCAGAAGAGAGTGATTGAATTATGAAATGTGGATATGGATTTGAAGTGTTGAAAGCAGTGCAAAGATCTAACAGAGGACACTTCAGCAGCAGAATTGAGGAAATTCTTTTCATTACTTTTTAAAATATTCCCCCAACCAAAAAAAAAAAGAAAAGAAAGAAAAAAACCTGTTGGTTTGATATCCAGACCAAATGAAATGCTAAATGGAAAAATGTGATTAATTTTTCCCCAGGCTATATAAAGTCCAATGGCAAAGAACCCAACTTTTTGCTGAATACACAATATTTTTTTATTTATCTGAGGTGAAAGTGGGGTCCAGAGGCTATTGCAAGACTGGCAGCTATGTCCATTCTACACCAGGAATTCCTGAGGACAAGGAAAGAGGGTATGAACAGAGTCACAAACAGCATGTGACCCACAAAGGTGGCTCACAGCCTTTTGGGAAATCCTTGTTCAAGCTGTCATCAGTGACATGGAAATGAAGGAGCAATATCAACTTTATATGTATCTTTTTCTCTGTCTCTCCAAACCAAATTTATATTGGAAATGGTAGTAAATATAGGACACATGTCTCCTTGCCCATCCTGCAATAAAGTTTCTGCTTTGTAATAAAGCTCCTAAAGTGTTCTTTATGGAAAATTCCCTTTTTCTGCTGCTTTTATTCTGTCTTCATAATCTCAGTGGTGACATGTTATGAAAGGGCTGTTTGTGCTGCTAATAAAAGCATTGCTTCTCCAGTGTTTGAGTGGCTACAGTTGTCTCCAGGCTGCTGGCAGGTTAATGCGGCACAGTTCCAACACAGCCTTGAAAAATAACAATAATGTGATTTGGGTCTAGTGTCATTAAACTTGATTAGCTGGGTGAGCTCATGAAAATCCATAATTAACTAGAAAAACAAGAAGACAGATGTTTTTGCCAGGAAATTGAGAGAACCTGGTCCTCAGTTAGACTTCTTTTCTTCCTATCTAAGGGCCTAGGCAACTCCATACCTCTCTTCCTACTCATCTGCAACTAACAATATCCCCAAATATGACTCATCTCTTATCTAATCGCACCACTTTTCATGAGAAGGTAGGAGAAAAGGAAATGCAATTCTCTTAGGTGCATTGAACCTCATCAGACAAGTTGGTAAATGTCTTGAAATACGTCACCATTAGTCCAGCCCAGCTCAGCCCCTCACTCTCCCACTCTGAGGTCTCCTGGGCCCAGCGGTTCTCAACTAGCAGAGATTTTGCCCCTCTGGTGGACATTTAACAATGTCTAGAGACATATTGGGTTGTTACAATGGAGAGCATGCTACTGGCATCTAGTGGGTAGAAGCCACGAATGCTGCTAAACATCCTACAATGCACAGGACAACTGCCACAGCAAAGAATTGTCTGACCCAAAATATCTATAGTGCTGATGTTGAGAAAACCTGCCAGAGCCAAAGACAAGCCCAGAATGGGGACATACTCCAATGTAGACCAGCTACGTCCCATCTCTGGGGAGTTAGATCCTCCGATCTCCAGGTCAGCACTGATTTGCACATATTGGTGATTCTGAGGGACAATAAACAGAAGGAACTAATATGCAGCAGCCCCACAGAGGTTCACTCAGCCCCTGAAAGAGTCATCACTTCAGGAAAGCCAGCCCCAGCTCAAGAAAGCGTGCTTAACAGGAGAACCACTCCTTAATGTCAGTATATGGTATAGAGGCTGTGACCTCCTTTATTACACTCTGCTCAACTCCTGGGGAAGGTGGTTTTGTCACAATCTTTCTCTAGATTCTCATTTTCAGTTTATGCCCTTAAAGTGCAGGGCAAGGGCAAGAAACCACAGACTGAGTAATGGAAGAACAGGTTCACTCACAGATTTTGTTCAACTTGGTACAAGTAACCTTTGAAACTTTGATTTCCCCAGGTGCTAAAATAAGGTTGCTTATAATATTTCTGTCTCACAGGGATAATTTAAAGAAGTAAGATGAGAAAGACATTCCAAAACTCCTATTAATATATTTGGTTGAACCACATGAAACTGCCATTTTTGTAGGACAAAATTGGTTCACTATTGGCATTTCATTTGGCTCAACTTAATACTGTGGATATTTGGAGAATACTAACTACAGCTTTTACACTTATCTAAACACTTTCAATTCTATCCCATCTGAATTCTCAATCATCCTGTGAGAAAGGCATTAATTTCCATTAATATGCTTATTTTGTAAATAGGGAATCTGAGGCTGGAGGAGTTTCAATAAGTAGCTCAGTGCAACACAGCTAATGTAGACAGAGGACTCAAATGCTAAACTTAAGACTTCAGAACCTGAATTCTTTCTACAGGCTACTCAGCCTTATACAAGTAAAACATGCTCATATCTACTATTTGATGAGACAATTACTCTGTACAAAAAAAAAATGTTTACAACTGAGTTTGGAATTAAAGTCAAGGTGAGAGTTGGCTTTATTCTCACCTAAGAACGTTTGCCAGAAGGGAAGACAAGTCTAGTCCAGGCTCACACAAAAGCTGCATTAATTCAGAAGGAAACGAGTCCCTAGGTTGATAGGAAAAGACCTCTGTGACTGGCAACAGCATCCTCACTTCCTCAACTCCCACCCCTGGGCCTGATGTACTCCCCTGTCTCTCAAGCCTGCAGATGCACAAACATGTTCTTAATGAGCTTCGGTGTCAAAAAGCAAGCGTCATGGGAGCAGGGCCCAAGTTCCTGATCAATGCAAGCAATATTTAGCTTCCCTCGGCCCTGCTGGTCTCCCTCACCCGTTCAGCAATTCTGCAGTGTTATTTTTAGTGTGTTAAGTTAATAGGGATCCCTGGAGTGATGTGGAAAGAGCCAAGTCACTGGAGGAACTCTACTAAATTTGTAACTGGAAAGAGGCCTGCAGCTACAGGGCTTCATGAAGGAGCCCACCCAGGAGTGAGATGAACAATGCACCATTGTTTCATATTTTAACAGAGGAATAATATTAAGGCTGCTGGGTGCCTGGGTAGGAAGAAGGGACTCCAGCACAATTCTTCTTCTGCCTCGATGATTTTTTTAAAAATTACACAATAAAATAAGAATAATGAAAGTATTTGGGGAGGAAAATAAACCAGTAAGTTTTTGTTGCATTAAAATATATGTTAGGAAATAAAAATCATTCATTCTTAACTGATGTCAAACCTTCGGTTTTATGTTTAAATAACCTCTACCCTAACACTCCTTCTGAAAAGCTGTCAGTGTAATTAGAAATGTAACAAAGGACATACAGACTTACCCAGGAAAGAAAATTATGACAGGCTTGATCAAAATTACCCTATAAATATCACGTTATTGTTTTAACTACCACGTTTTAGTTCTAGGGTCATGAAAATGAGTCACATGCTACCCAAACTAGGCATAGAGATGAAATTTGATTCATTCCTTTTATGTCATCCACATGTACAGATGTGCTCACTAAGAGACTCACCCCGTGATTAATGCATACAAGGTCTCTGGTGGGCGTGGTCCATAAGTGTGAAAGTCATACCACAAGGAAACCTGAAGGAATAAAAGTAAAACTTTTCCGCCACCTTTTGCAGCTAACCCACAAACCTTCAAGGTGCAATTTCCCCAGCCACAGAGATAGCAAAGGATCAAGTAACTCACAACCAAGGAAAATGCAACTGGTGCACCTGACTGCTCGATGTTGTACATTGTTCTGGCTTTTTATTTCATGATAACTTAGAAGGTGATGGGTTTTCACCAAATTCGAAATCTACACCAAGGAGCACAAAAGATGTGACAGGAAAAGAAAGAGAAAGAAAAAATATGTTTAAATCTTCCTTCTGGGAACAATAGTTTGGCTAATGAACATTTACAAATGATGATTTTTTTCCAAATGATGATCATTTTTGATGTTGTTCATTGAACTTCACTATGACGATTGAAGCTACAAAGCAAAATGTCTTATGAAGGGGAGAAAATGACTTAATTTTATCGTAAAACAAAATGAAGAAAGCATCCATACAATTTACTAGATTGTTTCATATAAACATGAATCATTTTACCTTGTTTCTGAATAAGGACACTCTCATAGATCACTTCTTCTAGAAGTGGAAATCAGAGGCTCTGAAATCTGTTCATTGATACAAGATTTGATTTTGACTGACTTGCCAGAGGAAAACATGATATTTTTGTCTCTCTGGGTCCAGGGGAAAAGGCTAGACTCTCTTTCATAAAGGCTTTTGTTTAAAATAGTAAATACTGTTAACTAAATTAAGATGATTAAATGAAATAATTAAGAGTTTCCAGAACCACTGGCCCAAAATATTAAGAACATCTAAGAGGTCAATCCAGGTAATATATTTTTTAAACAGTATTTTCCAGATTTGTCGTGATGCCACAG
Source organism: Homo sapiens (assembly GCF_000001405.40). Classification (NCBI taxonomy): domain Eukaryota; kingdom Metazoa; phylum Chordata; class Mammalia; order Primates; family Hominidae; genus Homo; species Homo sapiens. The sequence continues at coordinate 33,939,390 of NC_000003.12, read as the reverse complement.
AGATTCACTCTCAATCTACTCAATTCCTGTTTGTTATGGGGAATTTGGAGACCTAGAAGGAAGAGGAGGCAGGAAATGTCCCAGAATGCATTTGTCCCATACATTCAGCCTCTCCACCTCAGGTCGGGCAGCTACTGTCCCTACTGGCTGCCCTGAGGAGCACTGACTGACAAGGTAGGGAGGAGAGAGGACATGGGGATGGGATGGGTAAGAACATTCCGAGGGGCAGAAAGATCATCAAGGCAGACTGAGGCGGTCTTGCCTAAGCCTGCTCAGCAATAACAGGGGGATAGAATTTGTCACCAATATGCCACCACTATGATTTGAATGTGTGTCCCCTCCCAAACTCATGTTGAAATTTAATTGCCATTATAACAGTATTCAGAGGTGAGGCCTTTAAGAGCTGATTAGGCCAGGAGGGTTCTACCCTTATGAATGGGTTAATGCCATTATCATAGGAGTGGATTCATTATTGTTGGAGTGCATGCCTTATAAAAGGACAAGCTCAGCCCCCTTTATCTCTTTCTTTCTCCCACCCTTCCTCTCCATCTCCTGCTCTCTCTCTTCCTCTCTCTTTCTTTGCTCTTCTGCCATGAGATGCCTTCTACCACATTATGACACAACAAGCAGACCCTTGCTAGATGCTGGAAACTCAACCTTGAACTTCCCAGCCTCTAGAATGTTGAGCCAATAAATTTCTTTCATTATAAATTATCCAGTCTGTGGCATTCTGTTATAAAAGCACAAAACAGACCAAGACAGCCACCATTAGTGTGCAGATCCTTCACATTTTGCCTTTACCAACACAGGACATTCAGCTATTTTCCAAGTGTCATTAAGGGCTGCTGTCAATCTGTCCTACCGAGGAAGCGCTGGTTTTGCCAACAGACTGCCTACACTATCTGTTTCAAACACAAATTGGTATTTTGGTTATAATGTCTAATGAAAACCAAGCATCAGTTTTCTTAAACCAGTCATTATCTCATTAATGTCTCATCAGAAACCATATTAGAAGCCCTACATCTGATGAGCACTATTTTTTACAGGGAAAACTCAGAGATTGCCATTACCCCTGAGTACCCAGTGCAGTTCTTGTGCCCACTAAAGCCATCCAAAAAGAGAAAAGCCTGAGAATCACTGTTCTGGGCTTTTTTCTAGCTTCTTGGTTTCCACTATCCCAGCACGTCAGTGGAATAACCTGTTCTTAAAATCCACCAGCAGAGATTTCAAACCTTCTGGGTTTCATTCATATAATGAGATGGTCCTTTTTAACAGATGACTTGAATTCCCCTGACTGCAATTTAAACTTATTCCCTCTTGTCCTCTCCTACTTCAGATCTGAACCACAAAACTGGAGAATACAAATTCAACTGACCAAACTATTTTCTGACCTTCAGCATTTCATTTTCACATTTCTGTCTGAGTCTCAAAACCAACTGAGGGGGGCTAGGGGAGAGAAGCAACCATTAGATTAATAAGATTCACAGGGAAATAATGATTACCTAATTTAGCAGTGAAGAGAGAATGGGAACAACCTTCAAATGTCATCATCGGAGGCAGTGTTGAAATGCCTCCTTTTTCTGACACAATTCTGTCAATTAGCTGAGCATGGCAATTACCTTTCTTTTCTCTTTTTTTATTTGCAAAGAACCAAAACTTTCTAAGGATGATAAATGACTCCCTGGAAAATTCTATGCTGGTTCTGCTAAATTTGCACTTTCCATATTCTAAGGGTTTAGATGGACTTTTTTTCCCCAGTTATGTCTCATAACCAATGGGGTGAGCAGCTAAAAAAGAAAATCCTGTGTAGAATTCAGAGCTGCAGACCTTAAAAGAAATCAAGCACACTCAGATCTGCCCAAATGACCAGTGAATGAATACATCCCTCAGTGTAATTAGTACAGTCAAGGATGTTGTTAGCCAAATGATGAAGTAAATTTCATTTTAATTGTTTTGAATTCTATCCCTATTGCCCTAAAAAGAAGAAAAGAAAATGTATTCAGATTATGACCTTTGAGAATTCTGGACTCATTAGCATTTCATACAACACAGCACTGAATTAAAGCAAGAAAATGGATCTGCAATGTTCCCTTAACTGCAGTGTGTATATCATTAATGGCACATAATTAAGGAGGTGTCAGTGTTGGTCCCAGTCTCTGTTGACAATGGCTCACAAACAGCATTTTCAGTCCAATGTAATAGCCAGCTAACAGTGGCTAAACCTGTTCATTAAAAAAATACAAAGGAGACCTAATTTTGCTCCAGTGCTAGGACAGGGGACAAAAGAAATGGGGGGAGTAGGCAATGATGCATATCCTGAACCAGGTTTCTGAAGTTTCTGTAGCCTTGAGGGCTCCCCACAGCTATCGAAGTGAAAGAGCAGGAAAGAGGTGAGGAAAACCAGGCACAGATACAGGCCATGGAAGGGATGGTGAAGGAAAAAATTAGAAAGAAGGGAGGTGGGGAGTGGGAGAGCCATCAGTACTCACCCTCTGCAGCCATTTGGGCAAAGGGGCCTAAGACATCTCTTTAGGAGACTCTTCCCAGAGGAGCCCAGCAATAGCCAGGGTCCCCCATTTTAATCTGTCTGAAGAGGTCTGCTTCAGTTCTCTTGCAGTATCACAAGCCACTCAAACTTAGTGACTTAACACAACAAGGTATTATTTTTCTCAGTTTTGTGGGTTGGTTGGGTTCTGCTCCTTGTGGAATAGCTGTGGTCACTTGTGTGGCTGCATTAAGGTAGGAGCTCTGCAGGGGCTGGAACTTTCAAGATGGCCTCTCATCCTTTAGGGCATCTCTCCTTGAGGCTTCTCATCATCCAGTGATCCATCTGAGCTTCTTTATAACATGGCAGCAAGCTTCTGAGAGACAGTTCCAAGAAGATAAGCCCCAGTGGGCAAGTGCTTATCTAGCCTCTGTTTGCTTTATGTTTACCAGGGTCCCATTGGCCAAAGCAAGTCATGTGGCCAAGCCTAGAGCCAGTGTAGGTGGGGGCTATCCAAGGGCATGAATAAATACCAAGATCAGTGGTTCACTGGAGAGCACCCATCTTGTTACTACAAGGGCACAGGACTTGCTAGAATCAAAGCCATCTTCAGAGGCGTCACTTCTTATTTCCATTGGAGCTGGTGGAAGACACCTAACACAGCAGTGCTGCAGAAACCGTCAGGGATGAAAGATCTCCTCCCAGCCCCGAACCCTTGCACCTCCCCCACTCCACACACACACACAGTCCTCCAGTGTTCCTTTATTCTATGAATGGTGCCATGATCTGTTCCATCACACATGTCCAGAGCCTGAGAGCCCCCCTTGATACTGTCCTCTCCCCTCACCTCCTGACTCCAATCCATTTCCAAATCCTGTCCACTTTTAATCCCCAAATCTGTCTTGAATCTTGCCACCTCTCAGGATCTTCAGGCATCCCTCCAGACAAATGCAGTAACCTCCTAATTGGTCACCCCAAGGCATTTACCACACTGCAACCAGAGCGAACTTTGCAAAACATAAATTAGATTATGTAATGCCCTCCTGCCTCTCTTCCACTCTTAATTCTTTCAAAGTCTTCCCATCACTCTTAAGATAAAGACCAGGGTCCTTTCCTAGCCCACAAGACCCTGGATGCTCTGGCTTCCTCCCGCCCCTCAGTCACTCCCTTGGCTCTCAGCTCTCCAGCCACATCAGCCTTCCTCACTTTCTCAAACACACCCACACTCCTTTCCACCACAAGGCTTTTACAGACTCTGCCTGGTCAACTCTGATGCCACAATCAAATCTCAAATATCACTTGCTCAGGAAATCTTTACCGGGTCTCCCAAACCAAGTGAACTCTCCTTCCCTCAAACCCAGTCATTCTTCACATCTATGTGTATCAGTTACTAGAATATAAGCCCATGAGTGCAGGAACTGGCTTTGTTTTAGGTTTCCTAGCATGAGATAATGTTAACAATAAATATTTATTGAGCACTTACTAGTTGCCAAGTACTATTGCATGTTGGGGATACAGCAGTAAAGAAGACGAAGTCCTTACCCACATGGAGCTTATGGTCTGGTTGGGGAAGCAGGTGACAAAAAAACAAATACACCTACATACTCTGTAATGTCTCCTAGTGGTAAGTTCTAGGAAGAAGATTAAAGTGGAGTAAGGAGGTAGAGAGTGAGAGGAGAAGATGCAATTTTAGATAAGATGTCCAGAATAGGCCGGGCGCGGTGGCTCACGCCTGTAATCCCAGCACTTTGGGAGGCCGAGGCGGGTGGATCACGAGGTCAGGAGATCGAGACCATCCCGGCTAAAAACGGTGAAACCCCGTCTCTACTAAAAATACAAAAAATTAGCCGGGCGTAGTGGCGGGCGCCTGTAGTCCCAGCTACTTGGGAGGCTGAGGCAGGAGAATGGCGTGAACCCGGGAGGCGGAGCTTGCAGTGAGCGGAGATCCCGCCACTGCACTCCAGCCTGGGCGACAGAGCGAGACTCCGTCTCAAAAAAAAAAAAAAAAAAAAGATGTCCAGAATAGGTCTCTCTGAAGAGGTGACATTTGAGCTAAGACCTAAGTAAATATGCAAACGAGTCATGGAACCATATAGGGAAGAATGTTGTAGGCAGTGGGGATGGCAAGTACAAGGGTCCTGAGGACCAAGTATATTCAACATGTACAGCAAGCAGTCAGTAGGCCAGTCCAAGTAGAGACTGGTTAAAAATGAAACTGGAGAAGTAGCCAGGAACATTGTAAGCCATGACAAGTGTATCATTTCCCTAGGGCTGCATAATTGCACCACAAACTACATGGCTTAAAACAAGAGACATTTATTCTTTTATAGTTCTGAAGGCCAAAAATCCAAAATCAAAGTGTTGGCAGAGTTGGTTTTTTCCTGGGGACTCAGAAGGATAATCTGTTCATTCAAAATTCATGTCCTTCCCTGAACAATGGAATACTGCTCATCAATAAAACAGGACAAGCCAGTGACATATGCAACAACATGGATGATTCCCACAGATCCCATGGATCATTCCCACAGATGATTCCCATGATGTTGAATGAAAGAAGCTAGACCCAAAAAAGTACATACTGTATGATACCATTTCTAGGAAGCACAAGACCAGGCAAAACAGATTTGTGAGAAAAGCCTCCTAGCTTCTGGCGGTTGTAAGCAATCCTTGGTGCCCTGGCCTACAGATGTATAGATTGGTGCAAAAGTAATTGTGGTTTTTGCCACCTCTTTTTTTTTTTTTTTTTTTTTTTGAGACAGTCTCACTCTGTCGCGCAGGCTGTAGTGCAGTGTTGCAATCTCGGCTCACCGCAACCTCTGCCTCCCAGGTTCAAGCAATTCTCTGCCTCAGCCTCCCAAGTAACTGGGATTACAGGCGCCTGCCACCACACCCGGCTAATTTTTGTATTTTTAGTAGAGACAGGGTTTTGCCATTTTGGCCAGGCTAGTCTTAACCTCCTGACCTCGTGATCCACCCACCTCGTGATCCACCCACCTCATCCTCCCACAGTGCTGGAATTACAGGCATGAGCCTCCGTGCCCAGCCGGTTTTTGCCACTTTTAATGGCAAAAAACACAATTACTTTCACAGCAACCTAATATCACTCCAATCTCTGGCTCTGGTGTCACATGGCGGTCTTTCTACTGTTTGTGTGTCACTCTGTGTCTCTTTTCTTCTTATAAGGACGCCAGTCATATTGGGTTAAGGGCCCACCCTACTCCAGTATGACCTCATCTGAACTGTACTAATTATATCTGCAATGACTCTATTTCCAAATAGTTCACATTCTGAGCTTCAGGGAAGAACATGAATTTTGGAGGGACACTATTCAACTCAGTAACATGAGGAGTTGGGGTTTTATTCTAAGTGTTGATAGCAATGAATGAATAAATGAGCAAACAGACAAATGCAGGAGTAAATGATCAACTAGGTGAAATAAGCAGCCATCACTTGCCGAGGGCACCAGATGGGCCTTTGTAAGTCACCAGTGGACACTGCTCTGTGAAGGGAAAAGGCTTTTGCCTCTGGCCCCTCTTTCTGACTGGCTATTCAAATAGTGTTTTTCAAAACTTTGCAGAAGGCATAAAGATATCGCTCAAAGTTTAAAAAAAAAAAAAAAAACAAACAAACAAACAATGCTCACAGCAATGAGCTTCCAGATTCCACACAGGGAGATTTTCAGAGCACACAATATTTCTGACAGGTGGCCACCCCCCTTGTCTCTTGCACCCCCAAACCCAGTTCTTCCAGACTATTGTGTATATATATATACACACACACATAATTAGGCCTGAATTTGGGTCTACCCAACATAATGACAAGTGCCCAAAGAAGGCCAATCTTATTTCCCTGCTCAGCCCTCATTATAAGTCTCAGCTGATGGGCTGCTGAGTCCTGACACTGCACATTTATTTAGAATTGCAAACACCTGTGTACTAGAAAACCAGGCCAGCAGAAAGTCTTGCCTCCTCCTCCCCACCCCCTTCCCCAACAGCCTCTATCTTCAGGGGCAGCCTGTCCTCCTGCCACCCCTGAGGCCCGAAGCCAGAAGTCACAGTGATGCATGCACCTAATGAAGGCAAACCTCACCCACATAAGAACCTGAGACAGCCTCATTAAGCTTCCCTGGCAGTGCAGTCCCATTCCATGCTAAGGTGCTATCCCACCAGGGGTTAAAGAAATAATTATTGTGGGGCTGGGAGACTTCGTAAATAGCATTCGCCTAAGGAGGAAGCAGGTTTCCTGAGCCCAGCTGAGAAATACAATTAAGCTGTAATATTTTGTCAGGGCTTTTTCCTCCTCCTTACTGTTTATCAGTGTTAAGAGACAATTTATACTTTGCAATTCTCTGGGATGGTGAGTGTACCTCACAGCAGGCAGGTAAGATTAAACTGTCTATCACAAGGCGCTGGCCTTCCATGTTGCTACATACACATAGCCGGGGAGATGAGAGCCTTGAGCACTAGAGGTCTTCTGACTTGAAACTTCAGTGGCTGAGAGCAGGGCACATCATTGCCTCCTCTGCCTAAACTATTGCCCAGAAGCTGGAATCAGGACCAATAGGAAAATTCAGAATTTCTCTTACACAATGGGAAGCCTACAGTCCTCTCTTCAACACAGAGATGTCTTGTAGCTTTACTCCCAAGGGTCGCTGCTTCCCCAGTGAGTCGAAAATGGGGTCCATTAGGAACCTCCCTTCCTGCAAGATAATCTATGACTAAGCTGAAGGCACCATGATTAATTCATTTCTTCACACAACTCATGTAATGAATACATTCAAATGAGGTAATGCATCTCAGAGGGGACACATTTAGCCTGTCTTGAAGTCCAATCACCCTTGGATTTCTCTGTTATAGTTTCCTCACCCTGAATAACTGAAAATCTTTTGACTCTCTTTATCTGTGTTTCATCCACTTTGAATGTGTATGTCCACAAACAGACTTGTACATGAATGTTCACTGCAGTGTTACTCAAAATAGCCAAAAACTAGAAACAATTCAAATGCCCAGGAGAAGGGATAAACAAACTGTGGCATAGTTATACAATGGAATACTGCTCACCAAAAATTAGAACAAGCCAGTGACACATGCAACAACATGGATGATTCCCACAGACATGATGTGGAGTGAAAGAAACTGGACCCAAAAAGTACAAACTGTATGACACCATTGCTATGAAACACAAGATCAGGCAAAACTGATTTATGGTGACAAGGCAGAATAGTGGTTTTCACCAGAGGGGGAATTGACTGGAAGGACATTTTCTAGGATGATGAAAATATTCTATGTCTTGATGGCCCAGTTGTCACATGGGTGTATATTCTTGTAAAAAAAAGCCACCAAATGTACATTTAAGATTTATTCATTTTACTATATGTAAATTAAACCTCAATAAAGAACTTCTAAAATTTACTCATGATGTCATTTAACTTGAATTGTATCCTCCCCTCCAACCTACTAGACTGTCCAAAGCCTCTAGCAGTCTGCTCAAAATAAACTTTTGCCAGCACTTTGGGACTGTTGGCTTCTCCACCAGGCTGTAAACTCCCAGCTCACCATGGGGTCCTTAGATGTTTGCTGGATAGATGAATGGGTGGATGGATGGATAGGTGAATGGATACATCATTCCCTCCACCTTACAGAAAGAGGGAAACCTATCCCACAATGCTTAATTCCTCACCCAGACGAAGGGCTGAATCTGTGCTCATTCAATCATCCACCCTCACCTGGGCCCCCAGGTGCCAACAACACATAGCAAGGTAATGACCAGTTAGGGTCAGACTACATGACCAGATGAAAGACTTAATTTAACGGTCCCACAGGTGATGAAACAATAACTTAGGCTGTATCAGTGGTCCATTCATCTGAGCTACTAGAAAACCATATTTATAAACTACAATGAAAAAAGTACTAATTTGGATAACCCATATTAATCCAAAAATGACTTATATATGTATCTTGAAAATTGTCACTGTTGTCTAATGGTTTAGTTCAAGATTTTCTTACTGGAAGAATGGCTACAATGAGCAGGAAGTACATCAAATTAGCTAGGAAGATGGCAGGGCGGAGAAAACACTTTTATGGGCAACTAAAGTCTGAGAATCTATTTCCAGTACAAATGCAATTAGTCTTTGGATCTCTGTTATCAGGGGCATCTTGTTTAGACTAAAACCGTCCATGTCAGGATCCATTTCTCTGCTTTGTACCAGAGTTTGGAGTCTTTATCCTTTTAACTCAATGTATACACAGGAATTTTCCTTGGAGGACCAAGAAAAAAATCTTGGCTATAAAATGCATTCTCAATTCCTTTACAGAGAGAGAGAGAGATTCCTCAGACTTCAAGGAAAGGTACACAGGGGAGAGCAGCAGCACCACCTTGCTTGAAAGGGGGATTCTTTCAGCCTTCTGGGGTAGAATAGATGCAAAGGTTTGAGCAGAAGCAAAGGTTACAGGTGTAAAAATGTTAAAAAGTGTATAGCTAAATGTTGAGAGTGCTGAGGTAATATTAGGCATTGATTTTTTTAAAGATAAATGCTAAACCAAACTTGCCACACATGTCTCTCTACATACTGAGTCTGTGATATCTGAGTTACAACTAGTTAGGCTTTCATAAACAAGGATGATGTTGTTCTTCTAAACCAACAGAGCATGCAACTGTAATGGATTATACAGCCTCCAGAAACCTGATCCTGGATGAGCCACCGCCTGTATTTTACAAAGCTTACTCTACACAGGGTGCTATCCTCAAGCAGCCAGGAGCCCACAGCCTACAGGTACCAAAGTTAATCAGGTGGCTATTTGTAGCAATCCCCCATAGACAAAGGTAAGTGTGTGCATGCACACACACACATATGTACACACACATTCACTCACTCATGCACATGCACACACATGCATGCGCACACACACACACACCCATCCCACCCTGCCAGCATCCCATCACCAGGTGCCAGAAAAACCCCAACTGTATAGCAGGTCCCCCTGGTCTGAATATACCACAGAGAATATAAGACTTCTGAAACTTGTATCCCACAGCTCCAATCTGTAAACTCAGTTTTCAGAAGCCTTTCTTCCCTGCACCTTGAGAAGCCCCATGTCACGTTTGTCTGACCATACACTGGGGCTGTCAGTGGGAGGGTAGCCACCAATGGCATGGGCCTCCCCACACTCCTTTTTCAGTGTTTCACAAGCCTCTGACAAAAGCAGCTGCAGAATGCCTGTGTAGCATATTTTCACACTGTCTCCCTAAGAAAATTCCACTGTCTCTCTCATTTATCATATTCGCATAAGGGGCATGGGGATGTGATCCACAACTTGTGGCTAATGCAACCACATCTTTGCCTGCACAAGCTGGAGACAGGAAGAGACAGAGCCAAATTGAAGTTTGAGGGCAGCCAATCTGGTCGGAGAAGGCTCTGAGAAGAAGTACTCACCTCTGGAATGAAAAAAGAATCAGGAGACCATGAGAAAACTGACCCCTATAGAGCAGGGAACCTAGGAAAGAAAAAGAAACATGTGTCCACCATGGTGTCAGGCAATCTACACCCTCGAGTTTAATCCCAGCTTCCATCCTGTCCAAGGACCAGCTGAGGCTTCAAAAAAGGGGTGGTGGCAGGAGCTGCTTCAGATCATGGGCCCTGAAGCTCTCAATTGTGGCACTCACTCACTGAGTAACACAGCTCTGGGCCTCAACACTTTATAAATGGGCCTCAGTTTGTCCATCTATAAGGTACAGATTAGGATTAAATGGCTAATGTATATAAGGCCCAGGGCATCATGTCTGGCACATAACAAGTACTCAAAATTACATTAGAGATTAACACAAAGATAAATAAGAATCTCAACAAGATCTGGAGGGCTGCTCTTAGTCCAGAACCACCACTGCTAAGGTTGTTTCCGGACAGAAGGCATCATTCCACTTGTGGCTCTTTCGTTATCACCTCCCCTGGACAGCCTGGGGGACCCTCTTCAGTCTCCGGATGTTCCTTGGGCCATTGTTATCACTATCCATTTTTCCTTCTGGTGACAGGAAGAGGAACAGAAAGGAAAGAGCAATGGGAGGGATTGCTATGTCCACCCTACTTTGTGCCATGATGGCCTCGTCACTCAGAGGCACCCACAGGCCTGGCATTTAGGGCCCAAGACTCGCTCTCCTTCCCAGAGAAAGCCCCAACTGCAGGCCTGTCCTGAGTCATTGGGTGAGTTCCCCAGCAATGTTCTCTGTCCCCCACCACCACCATAAGCCCATTCTTGGGGTTCCTTGTGCACGTACAGCCCAGGAAACTGGATGCCTCCATGGTCGAGACACCTGGTGATCTCCAGGCCCTTGGTCAACATCTTTTGAAGAAATTGATTATATTTTAAGTCAAGATGGAAATGAAGGAGCCAAGAAATCCCCCAGTCCTCTTTCTCCTGCACGAGGTTTCTACCTAAGAAAAAACCTCTTGTTCTTAGCCTGAGAAGACACAGTGGTGGAACCTGAAAGTTTATGAGACTAAAGAGACTTAAACAAGATGAAAAACAGGAGAAAGAGAAATAGCTGCACCAGTGTATGTGTGGGAGGAAGCTGAGTCCAGGGTGGGAATTAGAAGCCTGGATAGTGATGGTGAAAAGTGAGGGGCAGCAGGGAGGGAAGAAGTCTTGGGGCCCAGAGTAGGGTGAGGAAGGAAGACACAAGATAAACATTGAGAGGATAAAAGACCAGCCCAAGCTCCTGAATCTCTACCTCACATTCATCATCTCGAAAATAGGATGCCTGCCATCCCCACTCTAATCTTGACAGGAAGCACTTCATAAATATGCTATTCTATAGAGGTGTTTGTTGTCATACGAATGCCACCTTTTGCCAGGCCTCCCTGTCAACTTGCTCCTTTCGTCGTGAACTGCAGCTAATTGAATAAAATAAGAGTGGTTTCATACCCCAGAGCAAAAACACTGAGCATCCTCAGTGTTTAGGAGTGATGGCACACCTTCAGGTTTCCATTCCGAAAAATATATATATATTTTTACCAAATGTCTGTGAAAGGCAGATGACCTAAAATGGAAAAACGCTTACGGCAGAGATTAAGAGGGAATAAAGGAGAGAAAGGGACGAGTGAAACAGCTTCTACATCCCAGTTTCTTCCAGTTACGTTCGGAAGGTTGAAACATCCCCCAAATGCTCAGCTCACTCACTTCTCAGAATCCATGTGCTTACCCTCTGTACATTCCAGGGAATGACACTCCATGCAGAGGATGCCAGAAGGTGCTAGAAGACACTGGAACGTGCAGGTAGCCCTTGTTGACTGCACAGCAGCAAGAGATTTTGAAGGACCCTCAAGCTTTTCTCTCCCCATCTTTATGATCCCATTTACTGAACCACCCCACTGAACCTCCAGCTGCACAAGCCTTGTCTGCATCTTTATCCTCAGAGCCTGTCACGGGAAATACACATCAAGCTCAGGAAGTTCTCATGCACTTTTCTGGAACAGGAGGGCCTAGATACTCAATTTCATACACACTGATAGGTCACTGATGTAACAGGCATGGTTATCTGGTTGACCTGGAAACTCATAGTTCCTCTCCATGTTATAAATACTGAAGCACTTCAAACAGCAGAGACAGTGAAAAACCAAGAAAGCTAAAAAGATAGCAAATAAGGGGGGAAGGGTGGAAGAAAAACATAACAGTCTGGAGGCATTTGGTGCAAACTTGAGTGCAGTTCCTCAAAATATCCCCTAAGTGAAGCCACAGAGACGGTGCTGCAGCTCAGAACAAGAGGAGCCGCATCATCTTCATGCAGCAAATGATGTACTCAGCATACTCAGAATTCCTCATGCCTATCTCAAAATCCTTCTCAAAAATGAATCTTTTTCCATTTCTTTGCATCTATTAATAATGACTTCATTTTCAAAGGGAAAAAAAGTGCTACCACAGCACAGTACAATAAAACACCCTCATTTTTAAGAGATGAAAAGTCCTAAACTTCAATTCTCCAGAAAGAGCCTGTGAATGCCCAAGGTAAACCCGGTATTAAAATTCAGCTAGGAAAGTCTCTCTCAAACTCTATGTGTTCTTACTTAACATAGAATTTCAACACCTTTCCAGACTGGATTACAGAAGACAAACTATGGGAAGTTCTGGTAAAGGCAAGGATACAGATAGGAGAAATACACTGAAGGGTAATATCTACTACCACACATACTACATAAGTACTGTTCATAATGATGACCTTAGGTCCGCATAGAAAAGGTGAACTTACATAATCTATGGAAGAGGAGGGGAGTGGGAAATATAGATGGAATAAGGTTGGTCAAAGTTGGCTATGAATTGTTGAGGCTGGCTGTTGGGTACATGGGGTTTATCACATGACGCTCTCACTTTTGTATATGCTTGAAATTTTTCATAATTATAAAAAGATATTTCAAGGCTGAATTGATTTTAGGGCACTCTGCTTTAAAAGGGTAGAAATCACATCATACATTTTGAAACTATTTATTTCAAAAACAATCCCACTAAAATATGAAGGCACTTTAAAGGATATACTCCAAAAATACACATTTATCTAAAAATAACTCATTTCTCGGCAGTAATTTCTTTATGTGGGGAGAGGGGCTGTGTCTATGTGGATCCTCTCTCTCCCTCTCCTTCCCTCTCTCTCTGCCAGGGCCCAAGTCTATTCTTTCTGCACTGATAATCTCCTCCACACAAACCAGCCAGCTCTGAAACATGCAGCCCAATGCACTGGTAGCCATAGGAGATGAAGATGCTGGGCTTTTTGCCAGATCTTGCATCAGGAAAGATGCCTTCCCGAACTGAAGGGCACAAGTACCTGGAATCAGGATTTCTATCTGCCACTGACTGACTAGGTAGGCTGGTGAGGGCCAAGCTAGATTCAGGTTCTCAGATTTGGGGTTGGCACACATGCATCATCACTACCCTACTCCTGGAGCCTGAGGGGTTTCACCTACCCACTTCACGTTGGCCATTAGGGAAAATTGGTGCTGCAGAGCAATGCACTCTCAGACCAACACTAAATTGAGTTTGCAGGAAACATAAGCAGTCAAGTCTGAGCAGAATCTAATCATTCATTCCAAAGCAGGTTAATTTGTTCTTTATATGTTCACATCAACAATGTCGCAATGATTTGGGCTCAACATCCCGGGATTGTGGAAGGCAGCCAGCCTTGGTATTCCAGGGGGTGTGCTTTGAAGCTGCAAATTATTTGCTCTTTGTGAATACTTAGAGCTACTGGCCTTCCCTATGTGCTCCTGTCAAGAACCATTTGAGGGGGACCTTGGTAGTGATTCTTGAGGAAACAATGCACCAAAGTGGGTAACTCTTATGGACAGTCACTTAAGGCAATAGTGGCCATCCACTTCTTTTATATCAGTCCCCATCTCATGGAGTGGCACCATCAGCAATCTGAAAACAAACCTGGACACTCACCCAGATGCTACCTTCTCCACTACCCCACATCCAATACAGTCCATTTTAATTCCTAAATATCTCTCACACCCATCCCAACTCTCCGTTTCCACTGCCAATGCCCTCATCTGCTCTAATTTCCTTCAGCTTACTGAGAAAAACGTTCAAAATGAGGCCAAGGAAGGGAGGAAGCACCTCTGCACCCCAGGAAGGAAGATGCTCCGTTCCTGCAGGTAAAATGTGGTATCATTGAATGTCAAATCCTCCCTGTGTCTCAGCATCTGACTCAACCCATCATCCAGAAGTGGAGCCAGTCAGGCCCAGCACCCAGGAGGGAGATTTGCTTGAAGGGTTATCCCTGAGAACCACTCAAGGTAGGAAGCAGAAAATCAAAAGCTCCATCCCAAGGAGAATGAGAAGGTGGTTGAGGAACCCAGTCACGAATCTGGCATGAGGCTGCTGGGGTAAAAAGCTAATGGTTGCATCTTCCAACAAGGCAGGCTGGCTCCATGTGAAGCTCATTCTAACTCTTGAGGTACTCAGAGAGGTAGCCTGTTGACCCAACCAAAAGCATTTTGTTCATGGTGTTTTCCAAAACTGGGCTTCACAGTCTTTAGCTGGAACATGCCATCTCCATTTCATCCAATGCCCCACCATACCTGACAGCATGAAACATTTCTGCAACCTTCTGAACCCTCGACACATTTAATTTTTTACTCCCATAATTTGAGCCTAACTGTCAACAGAAAGGCCCAGGGGAGCACTTTTCTTCCTGATCCAGTGGTTTCTAGAAAAGGAGGAAGGTAGGGTCTGGCCCAGGACCTCATGCCAAAAACAAAAAGTAAGGCAAGTCAAATGTCCTTCAGGTATTCACAGGCCAATAGACCCAAAGAGAAAAGCAAACAGCCCTCAAAGTCAAACTAATGAGAAGTAGAGTGTACAGCAAACTTCCAAGACCAGGCGGCATGGGAGTGGCGGTGGTCAGGGCTATCACCCAGCTGAGGGGCTGGCTCATGTGTCAGCCTCCCTTGGTGCCAGCCACACAAATGGTTCGTTTGAGGAACCCCTACAGAGGTCTTCAAATGGATGGCTGCAGTCTCTTCCATAGTCCCTGCTCCTGCCTGTGCCTTCTCGCCAAGAGCAGAACATCCCTGGGTGAAAGAACAGTTGAAAGATCAAGGCTGCAGGTGTCCCTTCCCCTGTGCTTGCCCCAGAGAAGACTCTACTACCACTGGCCCTCAAGGGGATAGGAGGCCTCTGTCAAGTCCTCCCCATCCCAAGTGGAGTTCCTCATGTCCAGTAAGGTCCTGGCACTTCCATCTCCTGCCTTTTAAAGAATGTGGTTCAACCTGGCCGGGCATGGTGGCTCATGCCTGTAATCCTAGCACTTTGGGAGGCCGAGGCGGGTGGATCACCTGAGGTCAAGAGTTCGAGACCAGCCTGGCCAACACGGTAAAACCCTGTCTCTACTAAAAGTACAAAAATTAGCCAACTTGGTGGCAGGTGCCTGTAATTCCAGCTACTCAGGAGGCTGAGGCATGAGAATCACTTGAACCTGAGAGGCGGAGCTTGCAGTGAGCCGGGATCTCACCATTCCACTCTAGCCTGGGTGACAGGAGTGAAATTCTGTATCAAAAAATAAAATAAAGAATGTAGTTCAATCCAGCTATTTTTTTTTTTTACTTTTGAAACCCTTTATAGAAATCTATATTATCCAGAATCCCAAGTGGAAGGAGCCAATTTCTGGGTGGTTCTGGAGGTGGTAGTATCCCTCCCAGACAGAAGAGATCCTCTCCAGGAAGCCCAGAGGAACCATCATAGACTTGAACACAAAAAGGAAAATTCTCATGTGTAGATAAAGAAATTGAAACCCAGATAAGTTAAATGACTTTCACAAGGTCATGCATCTGTTTTACAATAGGCTAGAACTAGAAAGTACATTTTCTTATAGGAATATGTATGGCGCTGTCTCACCAGACATCATGTTCTCTTCCTAACTTTGAATAGCAAGCACCCTCACCTCTCAAGGAGGGACCTAGTTTTGCATCATAGAAATTGCCTGAAACTGAAATATAAATATGAGTCTAACTAATGATAGAATTCTTATCCTTAGGTGAATAACATTCTGTTAAGAATGTTAAAAGGATGGGAAAACTATTTGGCAACTTATAGAAGATCCTCATATGTCATCATACTTTCCAAGTAAAGTTATTTCCAAAAATATCTACCTGTAACTTCAATTGAATACAATATGCATAGATAAAATCATAAAGATTTATGTCAGCTACTTGAATTAGCATAAGTCCCCGGCCTGAAAGAAATTAAACAAGTTTTTTTTTAATGTAGTGTCTTGAAAGTGTTTGAGTTAAAAAAAAAAAAAAAAAGATACACTCTCATACACTGTGACAGACTATATGAAAAAATAGTCAAAAATTCTTTGCTATGTGACTTCACAACTTCTCCCATCAAAAGGTAGAGTCTATTTACCCACACTTTGAATCTGGACTCATCATGAGATTTGCTTTCACCAATGAGATGTTAACAATAAGTACAAGATAACTGGAGGCTAGAAAAGCAATTGTACCCTGGGACTTGCCCTCTCTCTTACTGCTCAAGGAACCATGCAAACACAACCACCATGTAAATGGGTCCAGCTAACCTCCTGGAGGATGAGAGTCCATATGGAGGAGAGCGGAAGTGTCCCAGCTGACAGCCAGCCAACCACCAGCCCATGCAAGTGAGGTCATCCTGGACTGGTCACAAGCCAATCCACTAACTGCCCACAGACTCAGTGAAAGCCCATCTGGAAGGCCATCATTCCAGCCATGCCAGGTCAGGAGAACCATGGCAACCCACAGAATCAAGAGCCACCAAGTGTTGAAGTGGCTTGTTATGCAGCAAAAGCTACCTGATTCATTTTCCAGCATGGCAGATACCTTCATATTATCAAAGTCCAATGACATCAGAAATCTCTTTCATTTTGTTAAGGAAAAGAAAAAATATTATGGAGTGGGCCAGCAGAGATTTCAACCTGGGACTGATAATTATTTCTCTGAGTTTTCTTCCACACCAGCCCAAGAAGCCCCGTGGTGAAAGGCCTCCCATTTGTTTTTATTTCTTTGCTGATAACCACCACTTCACTGTGGTTGAAACTTCAGTGTGGGTATCAGAAATCAATAATCAATACCAAGACTCATCTAATGTCCACCAAGGATTCCAAATGATGAAAGAAACCAACAGAGATTAAGTTACATGGTACCCACAGATTGGTCTCTTTAATTTCACCAACCATGTTCATTGTGATCCTGTCACTGAGCAGTATGGGATTGGATCTTCTCTGAGTTTCAAATCCTAGATGAGTTGTACATGTCAAGCAATGGCTGCTCTTTTCACCTGCTGGTATCATTCACTCCTGCATTCACTTTTTTATTTGCCCATTTGTTCATTCATTGCTATCACACACTTAGAATAAAACTTGAAGTCCTCATTTTGGCTTACAGGGTTAATAGCTACATCATATCTCAACACTCAGTTCACCCTGACCTCCTAGCTGCTCAAGTCACACACATAAAACATCCTTTGTCCTCAGGGCTTCTGTACTTGCTAAGGCAATTCATCAGCTCCATGTAGTCTCTCATCCTCCAGAAGCCTAGCCTGGGCCTGCCTACACGGTAGTAGGTAGCTCAGCAAGTTTCTGAGAAAAAGAAAGCAAGCGCATAAGACCTAGGATGGGAACTGGCACTTAGTCACTGCTGCCACATTCCACTGAACAGAGCTGGTCACAGGGCCAGCCCAGATTCAAGGGATGGGGAAGCAGACTCCACTTCTTGACAGAAGCAGCTTCAAAGTCACAGAGAAAAGAGGGATAGGTAGTGGAAGGAGAGAAACTTTGACCATTTTTGCTATCCATCATATTGACATAGGCCTACAAAAAGGCCTAAGAGAACCATCCCAGGGGTGGGAGCTGGGCTTTTTACTTTTTAAATTTTTTATTGGTCTGTAAGAGTTGTATATATTGGGTGGGTACATGTGATATTTTGATACATGTATACAATGTGTCATGATCAAATCAGGGTAACTGGGATATCCATCACCTCGAACATTCGTCTTTTTTCTTTATATGCTTTCTTATCTCTGTTGGATTTTGAACCCATTAAACGATAAATAGACAAATTTTAACTAAATTGTTTTGAACTTTTTTATTCTTAATGTCTAGTAAGGAAGGAGATGGAAACTTTTAGCTAAAGAAAACATGGGGCTTTGGGCAGGGCACGGTGGCTCAGGCCTGTAATCCCAGCACTTTGGGAGGCCAAGGCGGGCGGATCACCTGAGGTCAGGAGTTTTCGAGACCAGCCTGGCCAACACAGAGAAACCCCGTCTCTACTGAAAATATAAAAATTAGCCGGCATGGTGGCAGAAGTCTGTAATCCCAGCTACTCAGGAGGCTGAGGTGGGAGAATTGCTTGAACCTGGGAGGCAGAGGTTGGAGTGAGCCAAGATCGTACCACTGCACTCCAGCCAGGGTGACAGCGAGACTCCGTCTCCCAAAAAAAAAAAAAAGAAAGAAAGGAAGGAAGGAAGGAAGGAAGGAAGGAAGGAAGGAAGGAAGGAAGGAAGGAAGGAAGGAAATATGGGGCTTTACCATTTAAGATGAATAACCACATGTTGGCTGGGTCACATATCTCATTTGTCAACTTCTTTGCGTTTCGGTTCTTTCTAAAGTTCTACCTGTCCTTAAAGTGTGAGATAGCTGAAGTGTCAGTCCAGAGGGGCAGTATAATGTGATGTTACACCCAAGACCTCCAAGTCACACCTACAAGGGTTTGAGTTTGAGTTATGCCATTTCCTGTCTGTGGAATCTCAGGCAACCCATCCATCCTATTTCAGTTACAGTTTCCGCCTCTGTAAAATGGAGATAACATTTATCCTGTAAGATTTGGGTAAGGATTAGAGAAAATATATACGGAATACCTAGAGAAGTATCTGGCACATAAGAGATGCAACAAATGGTAAGTATTATTTAGAAAGTAGAAATTTGCATTTTCTTTCCACAAACCATTTCCTATATTACTTTTAAAAATAAACCCTTTCAGATCAGACAGCTAGCTAGTGCCCCCACAGGAAGCCTGTTAGTCAACTCTTGAAAAAGGCATGAAAATCTGCTTATTGTTTTTGATTTTCAAAACCCAGGTCTACTTAAGGTAAACAATGCTGGTGTTAATCATTGTCACTCAGAAAGCAAACCTATCCCCTAATCCATTAAATATACCATCAAAAGACACTGGGCATTTTTTACAGATATAAATGAGTCAGGTCTCCAGGCACCCAGAGGCTGGGACCAGCACAGAGACGAGTAGGGTTTGGAGAAAATTAGACTCTAATTCAGAATTTAGGTGGCTAATAAGAAAACAGTATGATGCTATATGCTCTGGAAGGTCTCCTATAAACTCCAGAGAAATAAGGCTCAGGTCTATAAGATGCCTCCTGGGATTTGAGCCTATAACTGGGATGGATCAAGTGGATTATCAAAATTTTAACTAGGCTGATTGCATTCTTGCCAGCTTAAGCACAAAGGCACATCTCTGGAAGGGTAGGGCTCCACCCTGGCTAAGAGCTCAGAAACAGAAAACTTGTGGTACCCAGCCAGTGGGGGTCAACACCGTCCTGGAAGCTAAGATGTGAGGCAGCTGTTCGGGGTGCCTGCTGGGTGGCTAAAGACTAAAGACATTTGCTTTCCAAAGACAAGCTCCAGCTCACGCTCATTCACACATACAGATTTATTACCCAAACACTGTCTGAGAAGCAAAATTTTATGTCTTTGACAAAGAAAGAGCATTCTGAACTAAGAATTTACAACAATCAAGAAACAACAAAAAGATACAGTCCTTTGCATCCAAACAGTGCAGCAGTCTGAGAAATGATCATGGCTGCGTTCCTTGAGGGCATTCATCAGAATGACAATGAGAAACTGGAAACTTCCACAGTGGAAGGGCCAGGGCTGGCACAAGTGTGATGAGGGCTGAAGTGCTCATCCAGACTGCTGGCTGTTCTCGCCTCCTAGCTAGCCTGCCCTGTGATTCACCCCTGTATCCTCTCCCTCCTCCATCCCATTCCTCCAACATCAAAAGCTAACCCTGAGGAATGATCGAATTAATCCAGGGACTATCAAACGTTTTTCTGTTAAATGCCAAATAGTAACAATTGGAGGCCTCACAGGCCACATGGTCTCTGTTGCCAACTACTGAATTCTGCCACTATAATGCAAAATTAGCCATAGACAAAACGTAAATAAGTGGCCATAGATGTGTTCTGATAAAACTTTATTTATGGATACAAAAATCTGAATTCCATATAATTTTGGTGTATCATGAAATCTTTTGCTTTTTTTTCCAACCATTTAGAAATGTAAAAATTATTCTTAGCTCACAGGTCACACAGATTCAGGCTGGCAGGCAGAATTTGGCCTTGGGGCTATAGCCTGCCAACTCCTGATCTAATCAATTCACACAATCTGAGGAGTAAATGACTACTGAGGTTGAAAGTGTCACCTTTCCCAGGGTTATATGCATGTAAGGGCTCAACAGAATCCATTCTTTCAGTAAGTAGTTACTAAGCACCTTCTAAGGGCCAAGCAACAAACTAGACACTGGTGATATACCAGGTGACCAAAAAAAGGCCTGGTCCCCAAGTTCCTGGAGCGGATGGGTTAGCAGGGAACTTCTCTGATTATATGATGTGAAGACATAGCTGGGCACTGGGGAGAGGATATCTTAAAATGACCACAAGGCTCCCTGGACACAGAATCCACACCACTGAGCCCAAAGTGGACCTTGGACAAACCCAATGGCTAAGCCAGCCACAACACAGCCCTGCCATTCTAGACAGTTTCTTCAGGCTCTAGAATTTCCTGAGGAAGCCACAACTGCTTTCTCCCTGCAATGCTGTTAGATGATAGGCCTTAACTGTGTGTATCTTGGAAAGACTCGTGCTTTTTGTTTTGTGGTTAGGGTGCAGTGCAGGGGTGAGGGGACCGGGCAAGGGAAAGAATTGAATGATATTAAAGCTCAAATCACAGAGTTGTGATGGGATT
Source organism: Homo sapiens (assembly GCF_000001405.40). Taxonomy (NCBI): domain Eukaryota; kingdom Metazoa; phylum Chordata; class Mammalia; order Primates; family Hominidae; genus Homo; species Homo sapiens. Next base: position 33,918,410 of record NC_000003.12, on the reverse strand, counting down.
AACATCTGTTCCTAGGCAAATTTACCAATGATAATTCAGAACTTCACATTTTCTGGGCAACAAGACTCATTTACACAGAGCATTTGAAAATTCTGTTGTTCTGTCTCCCTAGCCTGTGAAGAGCATGCAGAACGCAATCTGCACTTGCTTATTTTGTATCTAAGCAACTGTCAGATTCCATATCTACTAATAAGAAAGGGTATAATTATACCCTGATACTTTAATTAGTAGCAGATGCCTGTGTTTGTGAATAAAATGTAAGATTTTTAGAGGTCCGGAAGCTCAATTATATGCAAACTTCAAGTGCCTGATGTTTAGGCCCCTAATTCTTCCTGTTGGTCAGCACAGACACAGAAGCCCAAACAGTAGCCTTTACCAGATTTCACAATAGTGAGGAGGGCTGGGGGTCTATTTACCTGAGATATTCATATCATTGCATACCACTGTGTAATAGATGCAGCCATTCACTAGCAATTTTCCAGAAAAGATGGTAACATCTTTATTTTTAATTCACCATTTCTTTCTACCTACAAAACCTACTCAAGTAATACACCCTAAAAGAAAAGAAATAGAACTTGGAGAATGAGGGCAGCCCACTGTAAATTGTGGTTGGGTTGCAGTTTGGACAGCATCTTCCTGGGTGTATTTTTGAGTTTATCTATCGCAGAAGGTGTATTTCCTCAAGCAAAAAAAAAAAAGAAAGAAAGAAAGAAAAGAAAAAAAAGCCTTTAAGTGTACTAGCTTGGTTTTTTCCCCCTCTTAGAAGTTAAAGCAAGTTCCCATAAATTAAAAAATAAATAAATTTGCTTCCTCAGGTCTAAAAGCACTATGTCTTGTATCAAGGCCTTTGGGGAAGGACAAAAGTGATCAAACATGTCCTTGGAATCACTAATATTGCTGCTTACTCATTTCCACCCGGTAAATGCAAAGCCCTCAAGGTTTAAAATATCATCAGAATTAAAAAAAAAAAATGAAGAAAGGAAGGAAAGAGGGAAGGCAGGGAGAGAGGGAAGGAGGGAGGGAGGGAGAGAAGAAAGAAGGAATGAATCCTTCCATAGTCTATGCCTGTGTTCATCACTCACCAGCAGGCCAGCCAGGTGACCTGGGCTTACAAGTTGAATCATAAGCTAGATGGATAAGCTGATCACTAATCCATATACTAATAGGTACTGTGTCTCATACTCTTCGTTATAACCTAGATCTCCAGCACAGGGATTGGCCCAGAGTGGGCACTTGCCTATGTTTTGCTGAAATAAACCAAATGGAATTCTCTGGGCCTCAGTTTTCCCATCTGAACAAGGCAAGAGAGAGACAGAATAATTTCTAGCATCCATCCTATAATTCTGAACCCTATTACCTATAGGCTTGTAGACTTCTGCACTGGTCAGCTGTCCAGCCAAGCCTAAATTCAGCTTAGAGAAAGAGAATAACTTGCAAAAGTCCAGATCCTGAACTTAAACACTGAAATCTCTAAGAATAATGTGTCTCTACCCACCTGTCATGACTCCAAGATATTTCAGGCAGCACTCTCACCAACAAGTCAAGAAAACATGGCTTTTTCTTCAACGACTGTCCAACAAAATTCTTCAACTTTTGGCTCCACTGACCAAATGAGAGGGTCCTACCGGAACCAACCACCATAGAATAAAAGAGGCCAGCTCTATAAGGTGACCCTACAATTTGGGGAATTTCACAAAACTTCCCTTTGCCTTGTTTTCTTAGAAGCCAAGTCCCTCAAGTCCAAAGATGGACTCCAGCCTCTCCAATATGAGTGCAACAGGGCTCCACCCTACAAGTTAGTCCCAGGGAATCTGTGGAGGGTGAAGAAAAGAGAAATTTAGGAGCCAGGATAATTCTGCTTTTTTTTTTCCACCCCAGATTCAGCCAAACAGCTGGACACAAGAGGACTGTGATCCAAGCACTTCACCTCCAAGTCTTTAAGAGGCATGAGGGTGTTACCCACGAGCACCGGGGCAGCATGTGGGCATATCATGCCAGCACAGGGCGTGGTGGGAAAGGATGTGCTCATTCCCTCAGGCCAGCTTTCACTAACCAATGTTGCAGAATGCCTGCCACTGCCTCCCTGACCTCAGGGAGTAGATTAGGAACTTTTGACCCATGCTTAATTCCCTCAGCTTCACCATACCAGCTGCTGACATCCCTCCCCTGTGGGGAGACTGGTGTGTTTAACATAGCTAGAGGCAAAAAAGAAGCAATCACTCTTGCCCAAATCTCTCACTCCACAAAAAAACCTTCCCAGACTTGCTGGTGAAGTCTCAGTTTCTTTAATATTATCCCAACAATCTCCCTTCACAACCCAACTGTGCTCAAGCGCACTTCCTCCCCCGGCACCTTGCCTTTATCATTTTGTCTTGCCCCTTGACAGTGACAGAGCTATGCCTGCTTCCCGCTCGTGCCTGGCCATCCATTGCCATCTAGCGTTTGCACACTGGCAGATCTGCCTAACTCAGAGAGCTGCTGAGAGTATTTCTTTGGGCTATTTTGTTCATTGCCCTGGAAACAGATACTAAAACTGGGTTTGGCTTTCCCCATCCCTTGCAGGGAAATCGTTGTTTCTGACAACAGGGACACACCAGCATGGGACTTCTAGGTATTGCATCTGCCCCAGCCCCCATTCTGAAAGAAGCCCTTGAACTAGCTTTTGTATAGCAAAAACACCTCTAGAGCTTCTCAAATGGTACACTGGACCAAGGAGGACCTTGTTAAAATGCAGATTCTGATCTAGCAGGCCTGGGGTGGGTGGATCCAGGAGTCTGCAGTTCTAATAAGCTTCCAGGCAGTGTCCATGCTGCTGGACAAGAGGCTGTGCTTGAAACACAAAGAGCTAAAGGAGAAACAGAGACTCGTCAACACTTAATTAGCAGCTAAGTACTCAAAAAGAGCCTCAGTTCTGTCTTTAAATAGCACAGTGGCCCCTACACAGTGCACAGGACAACCCTGTTGCAGACAGCTTGGAGTGTGCAGGAAGCCTGCAGCCGTAGTGGGCAGCAGAGGGGAGTGTTTTAAGTACTTGCACCTGGAGCTTAAAATCCGACTCCACCACTTACAATGTAGTCTCATCCTCAGTTTTCTTCTTAATAAAATGGGGACAATAATGACCAACTGACCGAGATAATACACATGGAACAATTTAGCCCTGTGGCTGGCACTGAGTGGCTCACTATTACTATGATTCACTGTTAGGAAACCACCAAGTCCCCCGTTGCACTGCCCTTGACTGTCACTTTGTTCTACGAGAGATGATGAGTATGAGAATAGACAGGGGCTTCTCGAGGCCACAACAGCAGACCCTTATATTAAAAAAAGCTGGGAGATGGAGAGGAGAGATGTGAGGAGCAGACGAGGTAATAACTGCTGCTGCCTTTTGATTTCTGCTGAAGCCTCTGGGACCTGCCTCCTCAGTCGTAAATTGTTCTCCAAGGGAATGCAACAACTGATAACCCATGGGGGGGTGGGGTGCGGCGGCTGTCCTCCAGCCTTGCTCGCACACCTCCTCCCCCGCCCCTCTACTTGATGGCCACAGCTTTTATTTTTGCAAGACCTTCCTTGCTTCTACCCACTGGGCAGGAGAAGTGGGTAGTCAAGTCCCAGCTCTGGGGGCTTTGGGCCCTGAGGTGACACCATGAAGAGTGGGTGTCGCCCAGGACAGTGGTGGGTGATAGGCAATCCTGCTCAGTTCTCAGGCTGAGGCCCCAAGGAGCTGACAGTGTGAGGAGTCAGGGAGGACAGAGCTTGTTTTCTTTATTCAAGTCATCTTGCCCAAACTAACCTGTATTAAAACTCCCACATAAAGGAATAAAGATTATAAACTTTTTTAACAAAGTTCATTCCTAGTTCCAGCTTCCTCAATCTGATAGCTAGAAAGAGTTGTCTGCCTGCTAAATCCCTTTGTTATTTGAACCCATAATCAGCCTGAGAAGCAGCCATGATCTAAAGCTTTAGAAGCACTGAGAGGAGAATACATTAGCATTGTTCTGATTAATTCTTCCCAAGGCCTTTTCCATTGTATTTTTCTTTTTCTTTTGTTTTCGAGACAAGGTCTGTCACCCAGGCTGGAGTGCAGTGGCACGATCATGGCTCACTGCAACCTCAAACTCTTGGGCTCAAGTGATCCTCCCCCATTGGCTTCCTGCCATTCTGTTTTTCTATATTTGAATAGCAATTCTATAGAAAATGATTTTTTTTAAGGTAGTAAACCTTTGCAGGGCTGGCAGTACTTTATAACACATCTCCAGGAAAGCCTTGGAACTAATGACTTCAGAGTTACAGATGGGAAGACTGGGGCAAGTTTTTGAAAGAACTGGAGCCAGAACATCCAGCTGAGGTAATCTCAGGGTAGGCCAGTCTCATCTCACTTCAAGAGGATGCCAGTGGAGTAGTCTCCTAGTGATGGTCTTTTGAGACACCTTGAGCTTCCCCCTCCCTTTCCTCCATATCTGCTGTCCTTGTTTTGAACCTGAACTATGTTCCTACTGACTATAAGGCAGCTTCCTCCATCCTTTCCACCATGGACAACTTTCTGCTAAAAACACTGCACTGAAGGACACTGCCATTTGTCCTTCCAGAAGTGGCCCCATTCTGAGGCTTCAGGGGCAAGAGAAAGCTCAAGCCCCATGCAACGAAGGGCTAGGTCAGGAGGGCCTGCTGTCCACCTTGCAGGCCTTCTGGTGAAAGGAGAAGACAAGAGGTCCAGGTGGTATACTCTTTCCCACCTGTAGGAGGTCACCTGTAGGAGGTCAGTGGGGTGGTGTGGAGAGAGAGATGTAGGGAGTGGGAGGAGAAGAGGTCATAGAGGCCAAAGACCAGATCCTCCAGGGCCTGGTGGGCCAGAGTAGGGACTCCTGAACATGCCAGGCACACCCTCCCTCCGGGTCTTTGCACTTGTGTTTTCTGCTCTGAAAGCTCTTCCCACAGAAATCCATATAACTCACTCTTTCACTTCCAAAAATCTCCTTCTCAGTGAGGCCTTTCCTGACTACCCACCAACACTTTGCATGCACCTTTCCTCCTTTATGTTTTTCTTTCTGGTATTTATCATTACCTACCATACTGCATATTTTACTTCTTTGTCTTATTTATTGTCTGTCTCCCCTATTTGAATAAAAGCTCCATGAGGGCAGGGGCTATTGAATCCTGAGTGCCCAGAACAGTGCCCATCACATAGTAAGATGTTCAATGAATTTGTGTGGAATGAATGAATGAATGAGTGAACCTGGGTTCATTATCGAACCTAAACCCTCAAATAATATCAAGTAGTTACGGAGCATTAACTACAGGCAAAACCCTGTGCTGGGTGCTATGAATTCAATGAACAATAATGCATTGTCCCTGTTACAAAATGCACACCGTTTTACCTGGAAGACAAGTCATAAATGTCAGGAAAGTTAAATAATAAAAAAGGACTTAACCTTTTGTGACCTATCAGTATTTTATGGTCTCTCTAAGACAAAGTCTTTATGGTTTAGGAGGCTGAGCTTCTGGTTTTATAAATTAGTGATTCCCTACTCATTGAAGAGTCCCTTATCCTCACAAAATGACAAAAACCTCTTAATATGTACATGGGGCAGTTTTACAGATATGATAAAGCTAGTACATCAGTCAAGGTGCCAAAACAGAGAAGTAATACACAAAATTTCAGTGTGTTACAAGCTCAATAAGAATTTAAAATCATCATTAAATAAATACCATGAGCAGGTATGTTTAACGTTACCATGTAAACCCCAGAGAATATTATTACCAAGGGAGTCAGGGGCAGTAGAAGTCACTTACGATGGCTTAAAGCAGGACAGGTCAGCGGGGAAGTCAGTTCTAGCCAGAGTCTCAGTTGACCAAGCCAATTTGAATGTTGCCTGTGGGGAGACCCACAACATAAATGGAGACATTTCCCAGAGACAGAGGAACTCCTCTGACCCATTAAAAACATGACCAAACCCCAGAACACTATGCTCTCGGAATTTCCTTCTCAGAAGCTCCCCCTCTCCCTCAGGGGTGTCTCGATGAAGCACCCTGAGGGCTTCAATCCACTTAGAGCACCTATGCCATGCTTAGTTTCAAGGATAGTGGTCTTCATTTCCCAAGAGATTTCCCTTTTGTCCTAGTCTAAGGAATGCTGAGCCTCGGGGTGACTTTTAGGACTAACAGTTCATGCCTGGTGGAGCAGGCCTGTCTTCTCATCCACAACTTCACTTACTGTCTTTCATTCATAAGTACCTCTCACTTTCACTACCAGGTTCAGTGAGTTGCTACTTGGTGAGGCTTTGTTGTGTTGGAAGTCTCTAGATGTGAGTAGGTGTCATGCTCAGGAGAGAGGGAAAGACAATTATCTGTTGAAATGTACAACCACCAAAATAGTAAGGTGGTGAGTCACTGAAAAATGTCAACCATGAAGATTATGATAGTGATATCATCACATTCAAAGAGGAAGAATGAGGGAGAAAAGAGGAAATACTCTCAAATTCATATTCTCCTTTAAAAAAAATAAGAGCTGGAATATGAAATGGGGGTGAAAGCAAGAAATTGTTCTCAGCAATAAAGATCATTCAGCAGAACATGACAGCCTCCTCACTCTTCCAGCCCTCAACCTACCCGCCCCTGGAAAGTGGGTCCTTGCTGCCTAAAGGAAATTCTTGAGATTCATCCAGCAAACATTTTCTGAGCACCTACTGTGTGCTGGGCTCTGTATTAGGATGAATCAAGTGAGCATCTAACACAAAGGAGTTCAGTCTTTGCAAGGTACTCTGAAGTCTGGTTTCCAATTCCTACTCACAAACTCATCTCGACCGTTTTTATTTTAAGCCTGTCTGAGAAGGAGCTGCCATCTAAAAATCAATCTTACTCAACTCAGCTTCCAAAGAGAGCAGTTTCATTCGCCCCTTGCAAGAGTCTATTATATCCTGTACATGACAACACAGAGCCAAGAGGGGAGGAGGATGCTCCTTTAAAGTCTAACAACAGAAAATCTATGTGCAGAGGTCACCCTGCGGAAGTGTAGATTCCATCTTGATCTACCTGCCTTCTACTTAGGGGGTCGATACAGCAAGACAAAAACTGTGGCCACACCGTGCAGCTTTGTGGAGCCAAGGAGGGTCCTCTCCCAAGAAGAATTAGATGTCTAAGTTACTGCCCTCTCTTGGGAATAGTTTTAACATCCAGCTGATTCCCTTATTAATTAATTAGTTAAATAAAAATTTGATACATTTTCATTCTATGTTTGTAGGAGAACAATGTTCTTTACTTTTTGAAAATTATGTTTTGATAAATCCAATAGCATTAGATAGCATATAGTTTCCAGTTTGGGTTTGAACTGATTCACTTGAAGGTTTAGGAATAGTGTTTAGTTGGGGACGGGGCAGTGGTGAGGCAGCTGAAATCTTTGGTTGGGAAGAGGAGCTGTTAATTTGATTGTAGTAGCTACCCATTATAGTTTGGGGTTCACTCCTTAGGCCCTACTGAGATCCTTTTATTTATGATCTTTTTTTATTCGTTCCTACCCTGCAAATATCTCAATTCATCCTCTTTCACAAAGAAAAATTATTATAAGGTCCTGCCCCCTTTTGACAGAGAAGAAAAGAAAAATAATATTGTTTCCTGCTTGGAGATATATCAGAAAAGCCTGCAAGACAAAATTAAATCCAAAATCAATCAGAACCTCAAAGAGAAGAGCCAGATTGCAGGGTTTAGCCCTGCAGAGAGCCCCACCACTCCTCTGGGGAAAAGGGACTTGGAATAGAGGAGCTGCAAAGCCCAGGGAACCCCCCAGGTGACCCCACCCCTGCCTCTGAAGGGTGCCCTGAGCTGCCCTTTCAGTCCCAGGGCCTTCTCTTCATGATGATGATAATTTTCTTAAACTTGCTCTGATTCCTGATTTCTAATGTGTTTTCTTCATCTTTTCTCACCACGTTTTCCTCAACAGTGATGTCAGTGATGAAAAGTAAAGAGTTGAGAACATGCTTATTTTAAATAAGCTGAGGATAGTCTTCGTGGGTTGTCAAAGAATGGCAATTAGCAGCTAAGCATTGTGCCCTTCCTCTGTCATTTTCCTTAACTTGGTAAGAAATAAGTTAGGTTGATTTGGGATTTTCTTTTTTTCATTTTAAATTGCAAGTAGCGGAAGCCTAAAATGTCACAAATACAAAAATAACATCTCTTTACACTTTGCAGCTTAAAAGTGTTTCACAGGGAGAACTATATGTTCTGTTTCTCTACATTTGTTTGGCTTACATCATTCTTTCCCTTCCATGTCTTGTTGATAAAAATCACTGGTTTCTTTCCTATCCCTTAATTTTTGCTTGCTTTCTGATCTTCTGCAGCATTTTTCCTTTCTCAACTTCCCTCTTTCCTGTGGGCTCTAAACCTGCCTATCAGAGTCTCCCAGCAGCCAAGTCTCCCCAGCAGCCCCATCTCCAGCCCAACTTTTGGTCCAGGAATGCCCACCCTCTTATACACAGGATCCAGTTTCCTTAGGTGATGGACTCTTCCTACCTGCTCCCAGACCTCTCTCATCATTCTCTATGTGATGATCTGTGGTTCAGTAGTTGGAGCTGAGGCTCAGGTGAATGGAGACCTGGGCCTAGCTCCAATGCTATCATTTATCAACTGGATGATAGGAGCAAATCACTCATTGCCTCGTCTACGTGATGTGAGTGATGATAGCCGCAGCATCTCAGGGCTGCTGTGGGGACCAATGAGATGATTTATGAGAAGGCACATCAAAGAGTCTAAAAAGCACTAAACAGATGCTAACTCTGGTTTTCTTTTGCCAAATGCATGGCCATGGTTTCTCTCACTCGGAAATTTCCTGCGAGGTTTTCCTAAGGCAATCCAGCAGAACACCTACCCTAGAGTAAGAAAGATGACTCTGGCTGAGAACTGGAGAACTGGAGTCCTGGCTTCTGAGCAGTTGTGTGGCCCTGACCAAGTATTGAGCCTTCCAGGGCCTCTGCTTCCTTATCCATGAAGTAGGAATAACAAATACCTCCCCAATCTTTCTCAGAAGTTATCAGGAGGAGTAAATTAACATTTTTTATAACCATCAATTTTATAGAAATGAAAGGCATTATTATTTCTTCATTTAGAGAAGAGGGGGCAGTCCTTGGCTTCTATTCGAAACTTTTTCTCATAACCTCCTGTCCCTCCTTATAGGAAAACTGGACTCTTAGATGATTTCCCCTAAGAAAGCTCATTCATTCGTTCATTTATTCAATCCATCAACAAAAATTTTCTGAGCACCTGCAATGTCTCTCTGCCAAGCAGTAGGCCTTAAAATTGAGTAAAACAGTCCCTGCTATCTAGAAGGTCACAGGTGAGCGGGAGATTCAAACGCCCAGGTGAGACAGGAAATGTAATGGAGTGGGACAGGGAGCTTCAGGAACACAGGGGAAGCGCAGCCATCTCCATCAAGGCGACGGGGAAACCTGCGCCCCTGTCCTTGGTTGATGGAGGCATGAGGCCAGTGACCTTCCCTCTCTGGGCTCAGGGGCTCCTCGCACGAAAAATGCAGAGGTTGAAGTAGACATTCTCTAGGACTCATACATGAATCTACCATGTCCTGTTATTCAAAATCCTATTACCAAAGGAAAAAAATGAAGATTAAAAAAAAAAAAGATTCTAAGCCTCAGGAGGTCTACATGCTCTAATCAAATTGAGATGCCACACACAAATTTCCTTCCACCATACCTCTCTCTCTCTCTCCCTCTCTCTCTCTCTCCCTCTCTCTCTCTGTCTCTCTCTCTCTACACACACACACACACACACACACACACACGCACCCTTACCATTCACTCTGAGGGGACTTGGCACATAATTCACAACCAGTCAGCCTTCCATCCATCTCCCACTCTTTTGGTCATGGCTGAAAAATATTGCAAGGGTCTTCTGGATGCAGCTGGAATAAATTCAGGTTGTAGCCTAGCCCGGCATAAAGCTGCTGAAGTTAATATGGAGGATATCACAGCTTCGGGAGGTGGTTCAGGACTTTGAGCTATTTATAGTCGTTGCAATAGGCAGAGCTGTTGCTTTACAGTTTCCATTAACCCCTCAGAGGTTTGAGCCATTAGATTAATTTCCCAGTTCCCTGAGGAATGCTGACCTTTATTAACCCCATTAGACCATTTTCTTTTGGGGTTCAATTCTCTGCATATGAAAAACACTCAACATCTTCATAGGCCTATTCAATTTACTTTGTACTTCTTATGCCAGAAAAGTGAAAAAGAGTTTCCAAATTGTAAAAATCCAAAGCACCCTTCCCCAAACACCTTTCAGGGCAAACAAATTCAACATTTGAGGTTGGTGGAAAAGTGGGGAGAAGGGGACATAATTAGAAGAAATAATGCATGACCCATGTATAAGCATGGTATTTTATATACATACATAAATGATAATATGCATGACTTTGTAAGTATTTAATCAAACTGTTTTAAAAAACTGTATACTGGCTGGGCGCAGTGGTTCAAGCCTGTAATCCCAGCACTTTGGGAGGCTGAGGCGGGTAGATCACCTGAGGTCAGGAGTTTGAGACCAACCTGATCAACATGGCGAAACCCCGTCACTACTAAAAATACAAAAATTAGCCAGGCTTGGTGGTGGGTGCCTGTAATCCCAGCTATTCGGGAGGCTGAGGCAGGAAAATCACTTGAACCTGGGAAGCAGAGGCTGCAGCAAGCCAAGATAGAGCCACTGTACTCCAGCCTAGGTGACAAAGTGAGACTCCATCTCAAAAAAGAAAAAAAAAAAAAAAACTATATACATGACCTGATTTTAGTCTGCAGCTCTGCCACCAACTATTGCCATGACCTTGAGCACAGCTTTCTACCTCTTTGGGCATAAGTTACCTTTTGTGTAAGATAAGAGAGTTGGAGGCCGGGCACGGTGGCTCATGTCTGTAATCCCAGCACTTTGGGAGGCCGAGGCGGGCGGATCACAAGGTCAGGAGATCGAGACTATCATGGCTAACACGGTGAAACCCTGTCTCTACTAAAAATATAAAAAATTAGCCAGGCGTGGTGGCGGGCGCCTGTAGTTCCAGCTACTCAGGAGACTGAGGCAGGAGAATGGCGTGAACCCGGGAGGCGGAGCTTGCAGTGAGCCAATATAGCGCCACTGCAGTCCAGCCTGGGCGAAAGAGCGAGACTCTGTCTAAAAAAAAAAAAAAAAAAAAAAAGGGATAAGAGAGTTGGATTAAATCAGTCATTTTCAAAATTTCTTTCTTTCTTCACATTATATTGTAGGGAATCTCAGTATATAAAAAAGATGCTCCAATATACAAGGAAGATGCTCCCACAGGCCCAATGGGCCTGAATCCCACCTGCCTGTCCTCTCTTATCCCCATCTTGGTTCCCCCAAGGCATCTCAGATACCCTTAGGGATCCCTGGAGCACAGACTGAAACTGCTTGAACTGAGTTTTAAATCCTCACCAAATCCCAAGTTTCATATTCTCATTGCCAAGTTCAGCCATCATCATCCCAATCACCATCTTAGGATGCTGTGCTGTTTTAAACGGTTCAAATATATAATGGAAAAATGTCTAGGACAAAAAATTATAATGATCATTTCACTTGGGGTAACGACATATGACCCAATTCTTCCACCACACAGCACTGGAGCACGGGGAAGCAAGAAGCAACAGAAGTGACCCCACTTCACAGGGGGCTACAGTAAAGTGTGAGGATTGGACAAATGGCTCAAGATCACCCAGGAAGATGCTGGATAAGTGATAATTCAGATCTCCACAATAGAGCATTCCTCGCACACATGGGTCCACCCATTGCCCACCTGCAGCTGTCCCTAGAAAAGGATGCAAAGATGCAGGTGAATCTTCAGGGGAAGTCGTCAGCCACTGGGCAGCATTCAGCTCTGAGTATGAGTAGCTCCAGCAACCATGGGCAAAGCCTCCAAAAGTCTTGGAATTCCTAATCCCTGCAAAGACTCTACAGCTTCCATAGTCCTCAGTCAAAAACTCAATTTAAGAAAGTATCTGCAGGCTTCATTGCCTGTTCCATTAGGCAGACAATCTCCTGCTGGACCTAATGAGGAAAGCTAGCAACTTGTCTCTTCCTTCAACAGATATTGAATGCTTATCATGTGCCCTGAAATGCACCAGGAATTAAGCAATAAATAAGACAAATTATTCCTGCAATGTCACTAAATCCAACAGACATTTATCAGTCTTTATTTTATGGAACTTTTCAGCATTCGACACAACTGACCACCCCCTTCTTGGATCACTTGCTTCCTGTGGCTTCTACAGATGAACTCTGGTTTTTCACCTACCCCTTGCATCTTTCTGCTTCTCCTGTGCAGCTTTATCCTTCTCTGCTTGATGGGAGACTCCATGCTAGCATTGTAGGTGCTCTCTTCCTCTCACTTTAGACCAGGAGTTTTAACTTAGGGTTGAGGGACAGTAAACATAAATGTGAAAATGTCTACTTTGGTATTTTCATTCACCTCTTCCTGAAATTTAGCAATTCCTTTGATTATGAATGCAGGCAACAAACTCCAGCAGTATTAGCAGTACCTGTGACTTTCTCTCCAATAATGATGCCAGGTGTCTTCATCCTACACAACAGTTGTAGAGGTCTCAAAATATACACCCATCACTGCTTTGAAATTATAGTAATTATAAGAACTGCTACTGTTTATTGGCATTTAAGGAGTTAATAAAATAAAGAAGCATATATACCTTCACATCACAAATTTATTTTTAATATTTGATAACTATATTTCAATGCAATTAGTTTCCACTGTTATCCTATGCATTTCATTTTGTACATTTTAAAACATTGGGCTGGGTGCGGTGGCTCATGCCTGTAATCCCAGCACTTTAGGGGGTGAGGCGGGGCGGATCACAAGGTCAGGAGATAGAGACCATCCTGGCTAACATGGCGAAACCCCATCTCTACTAAAAATACAAAAAATTAGCCGGGTGTGGTGGCACATGCCTGTAGTCCCAGCTACTCGGGAGGCTGAGGCAGGAGAATCGCTTGAACCCGGGAGGTGGAGGTTGCAGTGAGCCGCGATCAAGCCACCGCGTTCCAGCCTGGGTGACAAAGTGAGACGCGGTCTCAAAAACACACACACACAATGGCTGCCAAATGAGTCCAAGGCACCAAAAAAAATGGTGAGTCACTTCCCAGGGGATCTTATTTATGACTGTGGCTTCAGCTGTCACCAACTCACTTACAAGTGTCTTCAGCTTACACCTGTCCTCTGAACTCCAAACCTCTAACTGCCTGCACAAGATCAACCTTTGAATATCTCAAAGTTATTTCAAACTCAACATGTTCAAAGTTAAATTCATGATAGCCCCTTCCCAAACTCCTCACCTAGTGGAGAGGGCTCTGTGTGATCGAGTCCTGCCACCCTCCCCAGCCCCATGCTGTACAGGCAACTCCTTACTCTCTGCCCTCCAGCCTCTCCTTTCAGTCCTTTATATCCCACATTCTGCCTCCCACCAGGGTATGGTTACAGCTGTCTCACCACACCCTTCCCTTACCCTCAGCCTTTGCCTAGTAACATTTACTCTCCATATCTCAGCACTCAGCAAAGCCTTCCCTGGCCTCCTAACTGTATCAAATTGCCGCATTAGAGAGGCGTACAATGCCATGCACCCCCTCTTTTGTAGAACTTACCTCTACTGCAATTTTACTTTTGTTTGGTAGTTAGTTCTTAATGTTGGTCTCCCTATGTGATTATAAATTCCTTGAGGGCAGGAACAGGGTCTATTTGTATCACCACTACATCCCCAGCACCTTAGCACAATGACTAGCACATAACTGGTGTCTTAGTCCATTTTATGTTGCTATAAAAGAACATGTGAGACTGGGTAATTTATAAAGAAAAGAGGTTTATTTGGTTCACACTTCTGCAGGCTGTACGAGAAGCATGGCACCAGCATCTCATGTCAGAAGACAAAAGAGGAGTCACCTGTGCAGAGATCACATGACAAAAGGAAGCAAGGTGGAGGTGAGGAGATGCCAGGTCTTTTAATAACCAGTTCTCTTGGGAACTAATACAGAATTCATTCACCCCCAAGGAAGGGCATTAATCTATTCATGAGGGATCTGCCTCCACAACCCAAACACTTCCCACTAGGCCCCATCTCCCAACACTACCACACTGAGGATGGTGTTGAATGTTGAAATTTGTTGGGGACAAAAAAATCACACCCAAACAATAGCAACTGGCATTCAATAAACATCTGTTAAATAGATGACAAAATTAATTAATTAATTAACTAGTTACAGTCCATGGAGTACAGGAAAAGATAGATATTAAACCAACATTCAAAATAATTATTATTTCATTCCAATGGTCATAAGTGCTACCAAGAAAAGAAAGATGTGCCGTGAGAACTTATAACTGCAGAACCTCATCTAGGTCGTCCAGATTAATCAATAAAGATTTCCCCCAAAGAAAGAACATTTGAGCTGAGACCTGAGAGATGAGAAGCCACTGAAGAGACCAAGGAGGAGTAAATAGAACAGCCTCTGCCCCCATCAGATCTTGACACTCTAGTTGGAGAAAAAGATGGAATTCAAGGAAACTGGACCCCAACTGGAATAATGAGGAGACACTGGGGTTGACCTTTCAAAGCAGCCTCCCCAAAAGCAATGGGGGCCTTTCCAGTTGGAGCCTTTCCCGACTCCATGGCTGCCGTGCTTAATACTCCATGGTTCTGTATGTGGCAAACAAGGCCCTTCAAGGGCTGGGGCCTAAATGCCTACCTCCCTAGACTTAACTTCCCTCACTCTGACCTTCCACCTTCTGCCACAGCAGGAAAGGACAATGGTTACAAGCATAGGCTCCACCTTAAGGCTGCCTGGGGGCAAATCTTAGCCCCACCAGCTATGAGCTATCTTTCTGGGCGTCACTTAACCGTTCCCTGGTTTCCTCATCTGCAAAGTAGAGAGAAAATTGTACAGACCTGAATGTTGTGAGAATTAACTAAAATAATGTTTAGCACAGTGCTTGGCACTCAGTAAGTGTGCAGAAAGCATTAACTGCAATCATTAGATTCTGGCTATTATTATCATTATCATTATTATGGACTTTGAAGTCCAACAAACCTGATCCACTCCTTATTAGCCACTTATGAACGTAAATTTCAGATAAGTCATTCAACCTCCCTGTGCCCCAGTTCCTGAACTATGAAATGAGATAATGACACTTCTTACTTCTTAGGCATAGTGTGAGGACACAAGAGACAAGGCAGAGAAAACAGAACATTCCCTGGCACTTGGTAAATGAGCAATACATTTTAGCCAGGAGTCGCAAAGCAGTGTGGTGGTTGTCAAAATATGTCATGCTATTTGGCACCACTGTGACTTTCCTGTTTAAAATGCCCTTGTCCATCCACCAAGCATCCATTCATCATGGGAAACCTGCCTACACCCCTCTTCCCTAGAAGCTTCCCTGATACACATAGTAGCCCAGCCACCCTCTCCTGGGTACAGCTGCTATCAAGGGCACAAGATCTCTAATCCTTCTAACGTTGCCCATATCTCTTTGTGTTAAGGGTAACTGCTTACACATCTGATCTCCAAGAGTTTCCCAGACACCTCTGGACCCCCAGAGCCCAGCACAGGGCCTGGAACACAGCAGAGCTCAGTAAATGTTTGTAACACTGAACCTACTCGGCAACAGGGCACCTTTGACTCATAGTAAGGCTACAGCTGCAGAGTACAAAGCTCTGTGGACACATGGGTCCCTGAGAAAGGTGGGGAGACACTGAGACCTCAGAAGGCAGTCCCTGTGCCCTTGACTTCTTCCCTCAACTCCACCCTCTCACTTTTCTCAGCCTTCCTTGTACTCCTACCCAGAAGGGAAAATGGAAGCCCTGAAGAAGTAAGAGGCTCTGCAGGTAAGGACATGCCATCGGGACTTTTCTGCTAAGTGGCCTGAGTTTGCAGGTTTCCTGAGGGCCTAGCCCAATCCTTAATGAGTTGGCAAGAAAAGATTTCTCATCCCAGCTTGCTGCTCCAGCCTGAGTCAAAAAAATGCTAAATGACATCTTTCTGTTCCAAAAGGAAGGAGGGTCACACTGAGTCTGTCACGTTAGATAACACACCAGCAGGCTGGGACTTGTGTGAACCTGGATGCACCTTCCTGTCTCCTACTCTCCTGGTAATTGGCCAGGGCTCTCCACGCAAGCCCTTTTCCCTGTACTAATGGCCTCACAGCCTGGCACCACCAACTGCTTTGTGCACTTTACCCAGTGCTGCCTGCAAATGCTCTCAGGGCTCTCCTCGGTCATTAATTCAAAGTTCCTCATGTCCAAAAAGACTCTGGGTGGTAGGCCTGAACACCAGAAGCCACCTAAGTGTCCTATCAACTGTCTCCATCAGGACTGTTGTGTGTGGGTGGGAGGGACAGGCTTGGTGGGAAAGGACAGAAAGATGTTCTCTATTTTTCTTTAAAAATCTAACACAAAATGAAACTTCTCACTCATTTATTTATTCATGTTTTAAAAATGTATTGAGCCGGGCACTGGGGCTCACGCCTGTAATCCCAGCATTTTGGGAGGCCAAGGCAGGTGGATGACTTGAGGTCAGGAGTTCAAGACTAGCCTGGCCAACATGGTGAAACCCCGTCTCTACTAAAAATACAAAAATTAGCCAGGCGTGATGGTGGGTGCCTGTAATCCCAGCTACTTGGGAGGCTGAGGCAGGAGAATCACTTGAACCCAGGAGGGGTAGTTTGCAGTGAGCCGAGATCATGCCACTGCACTCCAGGTTAGGTAGCAGAGCAAGACTTTGTCTCAAAAAATAAATAAATAAATAAACAAACAAATAAATAAAAATGTATTGAACACCCACTACATGCCAAGTTCCATACCCATACTAGGCGCTAGGCTCACAGGAGGCAAAGCAGACATGGTCCCTGTTGTCTCTTGTGGGGTTTACACACTGGTGATGGAGCCGGATTTGAATCGAGGGATGTTGGAAGCAAAAGCTTAATTATGCTCTGTGATAGCTGTTACAATATCCAGAGTGATGGCGTTGGGGCCTGCACTACAGGACAAGAGGCCCAGACTGGGTGTGAGGCTGGGGTTTTGCAGAGGGCTTGCTCCTTGAAGATTCAACAGATGGAATGCATCTGATGCAGAAGCAGGAAGTAATAATGCCTGACAAAGACGGAGGGGAATGGGGAAGGACAGAATTAGGAGCATTTTACGGGAAACGGTATGTGTAAAGTCCCCGTGCTGAGAAAGAGCAGAGCCCAGGGAAGACAGTGATAGGCTCAAGTTGAGTCTGGAGAGACAGATAAGGCCAGATGGCGCCTGGAGAGCAGTAGTTGTTATTACATGAAGACAACTGTAAATATAAAAATGACTATAGGATCTAGTCACTGCCACTGTCGTCATAACACCTTTGCATTCTAGCATGAGCCTTTGATATTGTCACACAAAGGCAGAGGAATATGGCAGTTTCAGATAGAAGTGCAGAGTCAGCGGGGGCCATGCTTTGGGCGTATGCACATGTGCATGATTAGCAGCCTTCCTCCCTCACATACCTCACTCAGCTAGTAGGGAAACTGAGAGCTCTGAGGCTGGTTGTAGGCCAATAGCTGGGAAAGGACCTAGAAGGAGAGCCATCCAGGTTCTGAAGAGTCACCCCTGCTGTGGAACCCACCAATGGGCCCTCCAAGTGTAAGAACAGGGCATGTGAGTGCAGAGGTGGCTCATCAGAACCTGCCTGATCACAACTCCAGGGAAATCAGGCCCCAGGAAGCAGGACTCCAATAAGCAGGACTCCAACCCACCTAATCACAACTCCAGGGAAATCAGGCCCCAGGAGGCAGGACTCAGGAGAGGACACCAAGTGATCTGCAAAACTCAAGTCTCATGGAAGCCAGGTACAACCCTAGAGAGTGTCATCTCCATAAATTTTGCCCCTGCAAGTAGAAGTGGCATGAATGATAATCACAAAAATTGGGAGGAAAAAAGCAACCATGAATATAGATAAATTCTCATTGTTAAGGGCTTCTTTTAATAGAAATGAATAGAAAGATTTCATCCATTCATTCCCTCATTCATTCATTTTTTCAGCTAATATTCATTGGGTATTTACAATATTGGGGTCACTAGCATTATACTGGCATTGTGGAATTAAAATTAAATCATACAGCAATAAAAACATGCAAACTGTTGATACATAGAAGAACATGAATGAATTTCATAGACATGATGAGTTAAGGAAGCCAGATACAAAAGAGAACATGCTGTATGCTTCTACTTATAGGAAATTCAAGAACAGGCAAAACTAGTCCATGATGATGGAAGTCAAAACAGTGGAGATAAGAGAAGTTATTGACTAGGAAGGGTCACAAGAGAAACTCCCAGGGAGCTGGAAATGTTCTACATCTTTGATATGGGTGGTGATTCCACAGGTGTATCTATAAAAAAGTTTATCAAACTGTGCACTTAAGATTAATGTACTTTGCACATTTTATGTATGTTATGTGTCAATAAAAAAGAAAAAATAAGTTAAATTAGATTCAAGTTCAGACCTCAAATCTGATCACGTCCTGCCCATCTTAAAAAGAGACATCTGGTCACTCCTAGTCTTTAAACTAGAACCCACACTCCACATCCAAGGTGTTTGACTGTCAAGCTTCATTTCACTCCATCCCACTCCCTGTGCTCCAACAGCCCTGAATACTTCATCACACCTGAACATATTGGGTCTTTCTCTCATGTCTTCTCACAAGTTTTTTGGTTTTTGTTGTTGTTGTTGTTGTTGTTGTTGTTTGAGATGGAGTCTCACTGTGTTGCCCAGGCTGGAGTGCAGTGGCACAATCTTGGCTCACTGCAGCCTCCGCCTCCCAGGTTCAAACAATTCTCCCGCCTCAGCCTCCTGAATAGCTAAGATTACATGTGCACGCCACCACGCCCGGCTAATTTTTGTATCTTTAGTAGAAATGGGGTTTCACCATGTTGGCCAGGCTGGTCTCAAACTCCTGACCTCAAGTGATCCGCCCACCTCGGCCTCCCAAAGTGCTGAGATTACAGGCATGAGCCACCGTACCCGGCCATCTTCTCACATGTTTTTCCTTCCCTTGTCTTATCTGCCTAGCAGAATATCTTCATATATTCACTCACCAAATATTTATTGAGCACTGATTGGATTTCTGTCAGGCACTCTTAATCTTGCTTCAAGACTCAACTCGTTCATCAACACCTCATAGCAGCATCTCCCAGGTCTCTGAGCCCCAACACGTTGTAGAATCATCCATGACACTCATTCCCATGTCACAGATCTGTTTCCATAAAAAGCCTCTCCCTTCCAGACTGGGAAATCCTGTAGCACAGCACTAGGCCCCTCCCACCCTGTGACTTCAGTACCTGGTAGTGAAAGAGTGCTCACTCTGTGTATGAGGAAGGAGTGACTGGTCACAGGAGGCTTGAGCCAGCAGAGAATAGAAGACAGACATAGAAGCCTATAACACAAGGCTGAAAGTGACAGATTCCACACAGGTCCTAAGAAAGGGCTCCTGGACACCACAGGATGGAGAGGCCACAGAGACTAAAAGGTGCCATCCCCACATCCTAGACACTGTGCAAACTCAAGATTATAACAGGCCTTAGCTCCAGTGAGAGGCGCACCCCTTTCATGCCTAGAAGAATTACAGCTGTACAGACAGAGCAGAGCAGAGCATGGATGCACCAAAAACAAAGAAACAAAAATGAGCCAATCCTCCTTATAAATATCATTGCAAAAACTCTTAAATATTAGCAAACAGAATCCAGAAACAAATTTAAAAATTAATACTACCTGGCCAAGTGGAGTTTATTCCAGGAAAGCAAAGATGGTTCAATATTAAGTAATCTATTAAAATAATTCAAAAAATAGTTTAACCACCTCCAGAGATGTTCAAAAAGCATCTAACAAAACTATATATCTTCTTGAGGACAATTTCATTTAATAAAAATAGGACTATTTCAGAGACCTGTAGAAACTGTTAGGTGTTTCCAATATGCATCCTTTCCTTGCATAGTAATTAAGTACCTGAATACTATGTGGACACTTGGCTGCCTAGAATAAAAATGGTATTCTCCTAGCTAAGTGTAACCATGTAACTAACTTCTAGACAATGGGATATAGGCAGAAATGGCATGCACAACTTCCTGGACATATACTTAAAAGAGGAGAGAATGTCCATTTTAGTCCCTTCCCTCCTTCCTGCTGGTGGGAAAGTGGCACAGCTCCTGGTGCTGGAGCAGCCATCTTGGACCACAAGTGGAAACTGAACATTGAAGAGAGCAGAACAACAATGAACCTTAATGTAAACAGAATTTGGTATGCACAGGTAGGAAGCTTCAAGTTACAAAGCCTAAAAAGTGATATTATCCAGTACAATTAGGGAGACAGCAGACGGCAAAGACGTAGACATGGGTACTTGTCTAAGCTGCACATTTTTGCACATTCTTACATCTCTGAAAGTGATCTGCATCCTAAAGCTAAGAGCATCTGACAATTGTCATAGGCCTTTTTTTTATATGTTAACATTTTTGAGTAAGATGTGTCTAACAATTACTAACATCTTACATGAAATACAGTACCACAGGCTGATAATCTGGTGACTCTTACTCCATACAAAGCTCATGGGTGAGTTAAACCCTCACAGGTGGTATCTTGAAGACAACCTGCCAAAGGAGGCTGAAGCATTAGGAGAAAATCTTAGTTTTGGTGGGCATTAGCTGCTTTTTTGTTTTCTTTCATGCAACTCTACAAGACAGATGACCTCAGTCTAGAGCCAGCCCATCAGAAACAGAGATGGAAGGGAAAATAATTTTGCTAAGAGAGGTACTTTCTGTCTGTGGCTGAAAACCTAAGTTGACTGATAGTGCAGTATTTTTATGGCCATGAGCAATAAAAGACAAGGAAGAAAGTTCCCTTGGGCAGAGGCAGGGACACCAGTAGATAATGAACAGGGCATTTTTCCCAGAGAACAGAAACAGGAGATCCAAGTAGCCCCACCATGAAATGTGTTCTACAGCCAGAAAAGGGAATCTTTGCCATTAGAGCTCACTGTAATCTCTGCCATGGACCAACGTCTACAGCATTTCCCATTTTCCCTTTTGAGCATGGGAGTTTCTGTTGTGATTATCCTGTGTCCACTGAGTGACTGTATGTCAGCTGTGTTGTGACTAAATAACTTTTCTTTTAGTTTAAAGACCACCAGACCAAGACAGTGGCTCACACCTATAATCTTAGAGTTTTGGAAGGCCAAGGCAGGAGGATTGCTTGAGGCCAAGAGTTCGAGACCAGCCTGTACAACACAGTGAGACCCTGTCTGTACAAAAAAAAAATGTAAAAATTAGCCAGGCATGGTGGTGTGCCTGTAGTCCTAACTACTTGGGAGGCTGAGGCAGGAGGATCACTGGAGCCCAGGAGTATGAGGCTCCAGTGAGCCATGATCACACCACTGCACTCTGACCTAGGTGACAGACCAAGACCCTGTCTCTAAAATAATAATAATAATAATAATAAACCAAAGGAAGCCTATTTGGACTTCATGGGCAGAACTGGCCTTTGGTCAGAGGCAGGACCTAAATGGAACTCCCCTTGGGGCAGGAATTATTATGTTCCACATAGAAAAAAAAGCAGATACTTAGCTACCGTAAGCAGTTGGTTGTAGCAGACACTGCTAATGACAGATGCTTTGTTGATGTGATAGATATATGTATCTCAGTCTTTAAACCAGCCTCATATTTAATGGGAAAACACAAGACGCACTCTCATTAAAGTCAAGAAAAAGAGAAGAATGTCCACCATTGCCCTTATTATTTAACATAATTCTGGAAATTCTATCCAATGAAGTCAACAATAGATGGAAATATAAAGTACAAAAAAAATTAAAAGTGAAGACAAAGATAGGAGTACTTGTTACTGATATGATTATTAACCAATAAAAGTCCAAGAGAATAAGATGAAAATCTATTGTAAACAATAAAACATTTTGTAGGTTAGAGGGATAGAAAATTAATATGGAGAGCTTAATAGCCAGTTAGAAGGTAACATAGAGGAAAACATCTCATTTGTAATAACCAAAAATGATAAAATACATAGAAATAAACTTAAGATGTGCAAAATCTGTGTGAAGAAAAGTTTAAATTACCCCTAAAGGATGTATAAAAAAAAGACCTGTACTAATAAGAAGGTATACCATATTCTTAAATAGAAAAATCCTTTACATGGGCAAAGAAAGCTTTTCAACAAACATCTCATTTTAAAAAGCAATTTGAGACATTATGATATGTTACCATATTATAGTAATTAAAATAATAGGGCAGGACACATGAAAGAATAAATACATGAAAGGAACAGAATGTAAAGCCCACAAAGAGGCCCATGTGAGTCTGCATAAATAGATAAACACATCACATATGGTCAGGGTTACACTTTAAGTCAGTAAGAAATGGTTTTTTTTTTTCAACAAAATAATGTTTGGAAAACTAAATAACTGATAGCAAGGCCACCACATTACAAATATTTTTTCCTAATTTGTTGGGGTTTTTTTACTTTCCATATGGTGTTTTTTGCAACTCAGGTGTTTTTTTTAATTTCCATTTTTGTTTTATGTAGTCAAATGCATCAATCTCATTTACTATGATATCTGGGTTTGTATAGTTCTTAGAAAAGTCTTGCCCATTTTGAGATTAAAATAATTCTATTTTCTACTAATATTTTATGACTTTACTTTTTAAATGCCCAAATCTTTGATCTACCTGGAACTTATTTTAGTGAAAAATGTGAGGTAAGACCAAGTTTATTTCTTCTAGTGTGACTTCACAGATAACCAAGCTGTGTTCAGTAAGAAAAGAAATCCCTTCTCTGGTTCCAGGTTCTTGCCCCGGAACCAGATGACTTTACCATTCTTGGCATTAGAAAAGTACTTACTGCAAGGAGTCAAACAGCCTGCACTGGATGGGGCCCCTGTCTTCAGCACCAACCCTACACAATGAAATGTGTACCTGTCAGTGACCCTGCATTGCCTCCAACAAGAACAGGCTGAAGGAATTTGGGACCCTGCCCTGCTTTTCACTGCCATCTCACTGTGGCTTGCTCTCTAACCTCATTATCTGGGATGAAATACCTTGTGGTTCCTGAAATTCACTGCTCACCACATTCCTTGACTAACTCATTTTTCAAAACTAAACTTTGCCATTAGTACTGGAAGCCTTGCTTTACACAAGACACAGACACACACACACACACACACACACACACACACACACTAAACTACACTTTCCTTACCCACACCCGTCCCTCTGGGTAGTCCCTCCCTTTGCTCCCAAACCCCTTCACACACACTATGACCAAAACAGAAACCACATTCCACATTGTGCTGTTCACTGCTGTGTATCTTCCCTTCTAGACTCCAAACAAATATATCTGCTGCTTATGCTGTCTCTTCAGTTAGTGCAGAGGGGTGCTGAATAAATGGTTCCTGAATGACTAAAGGTCTTCTAAACCTGTTCCATTAGTAAGTATTTTTCTAATGCCAGGAATGGCAGTCTTCAAGAAGAATATGATGTTCATGAAACTGCTATACATAATGTCGAAAAATGCAAATTATAAATGCTTAATTTGCAACAGAGCCAATAGTCAGCCAGCCACCCTGGTATGCGACAGCATGGCAGATTTTTTTGCAAAAATAGCCCAAATTATTCTCCTCCCTATATCAACACCTCTTTTCAATGTGACTTTGCACATCCTTCCATCCAGAAGCAGAATCTGTGTCTGTCGTTTGGGTCTGACCCTGGGACTAGCTTTGGCCAATGAAGTATGGCAGAAGAGACATTTTTGCCAGTTTCGAGCACAGGCCTCGGGGATCCTTGCATGTTTTTGCTTGTTTTCTTGGAACTCTGTCCTACCATAAGAAAAGCCTAAGCTGGCCTTCTGGTGGATGAAATACCTGTGGCGAGTTATCCCCATCACTCCAATTGACCTTGCAAGATCCAGAAGCAGATTGCCTAACTGATCAGCAGCAGACCACAGACACATGATTGATGCTAGTCAAGGCCATAAGAATCACCTAGCTGATGCCAGCACAAATTGCCAACCCACAGTTTCACCCCAGGGATGCAGGGATAGTTTAACACATGCAAGTCAATAAATGTGATACATCACATAAACAGAATTAAAAACAAAAACCAAATAATCACCTCAATAAATACAGAAAAGTATTCAATAAAATCCAACATCCCATTATGATTTTTTTAAAAAAACCCTCAACAAACTAGGCATAGAAGGGACTTACCTCAAAATAGTAAAAGTCATATATGACAAACCCACAGCCAACATCATACTGAATGGGGAAATTTTGAAAGCATACCCCAACAACTGGGACAAGACAAGGATGCCCACTTTCACCACTTCTATTCAACATATACTGAAAGTCTTAGCCAGAGCAATTAAACAAGAGAAAGAAATAAAGGACATCCAAATTGCAAGAGAGGAAGTCAGACTATCACTCTTCCCCAGTGATATGGTCATATACCTAGAAAACCCTAAGGACCCCGCCAAAAGACTCCCAGATTTGATAGATGAATTCAGTAAAGTCTCAGGTTATAAAATCAGTGCGCACAAATCAGTAGCACTGCTATACACCAACAACAAACAAGTTGAGAATGAAATCAAGAACTCAATCCCTTTTACAACAGCTGCAAAATAAAACAAAATACCTAGGAATATACTTAACCAAAGAGGTGAAATATCTCTACAAGGAGAACAACAAAATACTGCTAAAATAAATCATGGATGGCACAAACAAATGAAAACACACCCCATGCTCACGGATTAGAAGAATCAATACCATGAAAATGATCATACTGCCCAAAGCAATCTACAGATTCAATGCAATTCCTATCAAAATACCAACATCGTTTTTCACAGAATTAGAAAAAAAAATCCTAAAAATCATATAAAACCAAAAAAGAGCCCAAGTAGCCAAAGAAATCATAAGCATGAAGAACAAATCTGAAGGCATCACATTACTGGAATTCAAATTATACTACAAGGCTGTAGTCACCAAAAGAGCATGGTACTGGTACAAAAAGTAGACACATAGGCCAGTGGAACAGAATCGAGAACCCAGAAATAAAGCCAAATACTTTACAACCAACTGATCTTTGACAAAGCACACAAAATCATAAATTGGGGAAAGGACACTCTGTTTAATAAATAGCACTGGTGATTCTAATGCCCCTTCCAAAGATGAAAAAGTTTGGGTATTAATGGAAAGAAAGAGAAATAGTAGCTAAGAGTAAAGAAATAAATAAGTGGGTTATTAATTGAGGAAAATTCAATATTACATTAACGACCCAAGAGTCTCAGAGCAAAAGATGACATTGTCTCTTAGCTCATTATTCCAGATACCTGTAAGGGTGAAGCTGTATATTTACCAAGGCCACTCCTGCTTTTGGAACCTGAAAAGATTGTGAGGAAACCTACAAATGTGAGTGGCCTCATCCTGGGAGACATTCATACAATATGATAGACTGAACTAGTTATTAATGATTGTGTATACAGAGATAGATAGATAGATAGATAGATAGATAGATAGATAATAGATAGATAGATAGATGTAAAGGATCCGTGGTTAAAAATCAGGAGTGGCCTGTGGTGTTATGATATATATTGATTTTCATCCACAGTTCTGGCTCATAACTCCCATAACCCTTGTTGCAGTCTTTTGTTATAATGCTGGGTGTGTTAGGCCTCTGACCTTCTCCCGCCCTCCTTTCACCTGCCCCAAGGTAGGACTCTAATGTTCTCCACCTTTCTGATTGTGGATGTTTAGACTCTCCCATGAGAGGGTCGCACACTATCCCCTGGGGCAAAGGAATACTGATGTAATGAAGCTTCCATAAAAACTCAAGAGGACTCAAGAGGGTTCAGTGAGCTTCTGGAGAGCGAACATAAGGAAGTTCCTGGAGCAGGGCCCACCCAAGGAGAGCATGGAAGCTCCAAATCCCTTCCCCTATACTTCATCCTATGCTTCTCTTCATCTGTATCCTTTGCAATATCTTTTATAATAAAATGGTAAATTAAATAAATTAATAAATGGTGCTGGGAAAACGGGCCAGCCACATGTAGAAGATGAAACTGGATGCCTATCTCTCACCTTACCCAAAAATCAACTCAAGATGGAGCAAAGAACTATTTAAATCAAAGACCTGAAACCACAAAAATTCCAGAAGATAACCTAGGAAAAACTCTTCTGGGCATTGGCCTAGGCAAAAAATTAATGACTAGGACCCTAAAAGCAAATGCAACTAAAACAAAACTAAATAAATGGCACCTAATTAAACTAAAAAGCCTCTGTACAGCAAAAGGAATAATCAGAGTAAACAGACAACCCACAGAATGGGAGAAAATATTTGCAAACTATGCACTCGACAAAGGACTAATACCAAGAATCTACTAGGAACTCAAACAAATCAGCAAGAAAAAAATGAATAATCCCATCGAAAAGTGGGCAAATGACATGAATAGGCGTTTCTCAAAGGAAGATCAGGGAAATGCAAATTAAAACCACAGAGAGATACCACCTTACTCCTGCAAGAATGGCCATTACTAAAATGAAAAAAAAAAACAATAGACGTTGGTATGGGTGTGGTAAAAAGGGAACACTCACATACTGCTGGTGAGAATGTAAATTAGTAAAACCTGTATGCAAAACAGTATGAAGATTCCTTAAATAACTAAAAGTAGAACTACCATTCAATCTAGCAATCCCACTACTGGGTATCTATGCAAAGGAAAAGAAGTCATTATGTCAAAAAGACACTTGCATGTGTATGTTTATTGCAGCCAACTCACAGTCGCAAAGAAATCAATCAGTGTAAGTGACCATCGAACAATGATAAAGAAAATGTGATATACATACACACCATGGAAAACTACTCAGCTATAAAAAAGCACAAAATAATGTCTTTTGCAGCAACTTGGATAGAGCTGGGGACCATTATTTTTTCTTCTTTCCTGGCCCACTGGCTACAAAGGAGAGGAGGCCATTATTTTCAGTGAAGTAACTCAAGAATGGAAAACCAAATACCATACGCTCTCACTTATAAGTGGGAACTAAGCTATGAGTATGTGAAGACATACAGAGTGAGATAATGGACTTTGGAGACTCAGAAGAGAGAGGGTGGGGCACAGTGAGGGATAAATAAACTACACATTGGGTACAATGTTCACTACTCAGGCGAAGGGTGCACTAAAATCTCAGACTTCACCGCTATGTAATTCATCTGTGTAACAAAAAACCACTTACACCCCAAAAGCTATTGAAATTTTAAAAACTATATTAATTTTTAAAAATTACAAACCCACAGAATTATGGGCTAAATGGATTGTTTCTTTTAAGTCACTCTGTTTTAGAATGGTTTGTTACACAGCCAAAACTAACTTATAAAACCGGTTATTAAATTGTTGCAGGGGCCAGGCACAGGGGCTCGAACCTGTTCCAGCACTTTGGGAGGTCAAGGCGGGAGGATGGCTTGAGCCCAGGAGTTTGAGACCAGCCTGGACAACATGGTGAGACCCTGTCTCTATAAAATAGATAAATAGATGAAAATGAATTGTGGCAGGAAGATCGCTTGAGGCAGGAGTTTGAGACCAGCTTGAGCAACCTAGCAAGACTCCCACCTCTACAAAAAAAGAATTTTAATTAAGAAAATAGTTACATTTCTTCCATATCAGTTAGTAAATATTCCCTACCCAACCTCCCAACCACCAACAATCTACCCTACAATCCAGCAACAAATGAATTAATGTCAGGTCCTACAGAGACCTCCAGGACATACTCTGTTTCTATAGCCTAGAGTGTTCTGATTGATCAATATGAATATCAGTTGTTAAATATTTTTGAAATTACCACTGGTCAAAGGAGCATGACTAAGCCAATTATGATATCTCAAAATATATAGTTACTAAAAATAACTATATGAACTGTATGTTTATAAAATCATGCTATAAAATAATATTAAATGGAAAAGAACAGATTACAATCAACTGATATGCATTCATTATAATAACACTAAATGCCTATGTGCACATTGACAAAGATGAGAATTGAAATTGTAGTACCAAAAGCTTGGTGGGGTTTTTTTCTCTGTACTGATTTTATTTTAGTGCACAAGAGAAAACAACTATAATTTTTCCAAGTAGAATGTATTTAGAAACTTTTCTTCCTGGAATTGGGAATCTCAGAGCAAAGCCCTAATCTTGAATATAATGCATTAAGAAAAAGTGTTTAGCTTCCTATAGGCAATATGTCCTAAATGCCCATTTAAATTTCTATTTTTAAAGGCTAAAAATTTGCAACATGAAAACAAAATCAATGTGCTCTAGAATCAATCATACTCATTTAGGCTAATATTTATTCATCTGTAAATAACTTTGCTTAATAAACTCCTATTCCCCAACCCAACATGGAAAGAAACCCTGTTTTTGCCAAGTCAGCTCCCAGATTTTTGTGATGCAAAAGTTATAAGATGAGTATGGCAGACATTGCTAGCTTCTTACACAATATCCATTCTTCCCTTATCTATTCAGGGCCTTATTTCCAAGGCTCCCTTGTAGCTAGCAATGGCCATGTGACCGTCTCTGGCCAATGAGTGTAGGGAGAATTCTACCGGCTGGGGCTTCCAGAAAATCAATTGTTTTTCTGATGTAAAGAGACCATTCAGCAGGCACATATCTTTTGCTTTTGGCCATTCCCCCTCTTCTAACCTGGAATGTAAGCATGACGCCCAAAGGTGCAGCAGCCATCTGTGAGATGAAGCAAACCATCCACCCTAACTGGCAGAGCAGAAAACCAGGAAGAGCTTCTGGCACAGCTGTGGAGCATCTGCCTATGGACTTCTTGTCTGGGGAGAGATTATAAATCTCTTACTTATTTTAGCCACTGTAATGAGGTTTCTGTAACATACTGCCAGACACAACACTGGCAGATAAAAGAGGGGAGATGAGTCCTGAGAGACAGGAAGAAGGTAGGGAGGATATGCGCAGAGAGGCCAGGTCAATCTCTTTAATAAAGAACTAGATGAGGAAGGAAGAAGCAAGAGAAAAATCAGCTCTGGATTGTGGTTACAGGAGCAGCTTGGGTGCTGGCACAAGAGACCATCCGGAGGAGCTGAGGAGTAGAGGCAAGGGTCCTTGAAAAGTGGAACTGTGGCTGGTGACTCTTATCCCCTCGAAGTTCAACAGAGTCATGCAGCAAATGGAATTCCTTCTCAAGTACTTCTGGCTGCTGAATTTTGTTTTGTTTTTGTATATGGAGAACTCTGCAGAGACTGAGCCATGTGGAGGCCCAGGGTTCACTAGGGTTATAGAAGAACTAATCTGGGAAAGTTATAGATGACAAGGACAAGTGTTGCTGTAGTGAAAAGGGCAGAAACAAGGAAGCAAGGGATGTGAGTTCAAGTCCTCATTCTTTCACAATCTGCTGTGAAGCATTAAGCAAGCACTTTGTCGCATCTTGCTTCAGGTGCCCTTTTGTAAAAGCAGAGAGGCAGACCAAATGTACCCTAAGAACCCTGTCAGCTCTGTGACTATAGTATTCCAAAAGCTACTGTAAGGGCAGGACATCTGGACTCCTAGAAGGATATCCCTTCCTCATGTAGCTTTTCTTCTTGTCTTTGATGGCACTATATTGGGTGCATGAGGGTGGGGTTTGCAAGGAAAAAGAGGTCCAATTCATTAACCGATATTCCAATTCAATAAACATCTGCTGATCACCCGCTCTGAGTTGAGCACTCAGATTAATATGGCCAGAGGATTCCATCTAAGCTCCTTAGCAAGCCCCAGAGGCCCCCACCATAGGGCCCTGTCTGACTCCTTGGGCTTACACCCCCTGGTTCTCACCCACGTCCTTACTTCTGGTGTCCCTCAGCCTACTGGGATACTCGGTACCTCCCCAGGCCTACTCCAGATATGCCTTCTTGCCTCATATGCCCATCCCTTTTTGACCTTCCGATCTGGGAAACTCCTACTCATCCTTCAGTGCCCAGAGGTGGAGGGGTGATGGGGAAGCAGCCTTGAGAGTTTTCAGCTGGTAGCTGGCCTCATCTCTACCTGCTAGACTGTGTTGTCCCCTGATGAACACAAAATCTTTCAGAGAATATCAGTAGCAGTTGAGAACTTCAGAAAGAC
Source organism: Homo sapiens (assembly GCF_000001405.40). Classification (NCBI taxonomy): domain Eukaryota; kingdom Metazoa; phylum Chordata; class Mammalia; order Primates; family Hominidae; genus Homo; species Homo sapiens. The sequence goes on along the minus strand of NC_000003.12, from coordinate 33,888,227 downwards.
TTCAGAAAGAACTTCAGGAGCAGATGGCTGCTCCATGATCAGACCTGAACAGAGGTAAAAACAAAGACCCTGTGCAATCACAAGAGTGACCAAACCTCCCTCTCCCTAGGCTAACATGAGATGCTGCTGCTTCTTTTCCAGTGATACCTCTAACCCCAGTATTAGTACACTAGTACTAGTGTAAGATGCTCACTCACCAAATTGCCCCACTTTCTGACAGCACCAATCCAGAACAGAGCCCAGCTTCATTGTACTCTTCCCCAAATCACCAAACACATGACCAAATCCTCCAGTAAGCCCCACTAACTCCCTCTTATCCACACATCCACGGTTCTCTGTGGCATTCACTCTCTTTTGGTGTAGCAAATTATGACTGCAGGTGTTTCCCTGGTGGCCTTTGGCAGGTGGCCATTGACAATCTTTTCCACTCTGATCTTCAATCCAGCAGAGCAAAACTTCTCTCTCATGTATTCCTGTGTTACCTGTGCACACTTCCAGCTTCCTTGAATCCTTTTTGGAACAACACTCTGTTACAACACTTCTCACTCCATATTGCATTTCCTGGTATCCATGTCTGTCTACATCTCTCCCCTGTGACTGTTTATTCACCAATGACAGGGTCCCTGTCTTCCTTATCACTTCCTTCCAGCACCTAGCCCAGGGTCCGGCACAGAGTAGGTCCCCAGGATGTCTTTGTTGAATAAATGCCCCAAGACTCCACACAAAGCAGCATGGGTGGACTCTGAGAATCTCAATTCAAAGCACCAATTGGTTCATAACTCTCTTTCCTTCACAGCTCACATCTCATGTGGAACCACAGGAGGAGGATATTAGAAAGTTGCTCTTCATCAGCACTTCATGCGGCTTCTCATTTCTGCCTCGTGTGCTGTTCTTAAATTTGCAAAGTTGTCATCACTGTTGATTATCCAGTGTGGCCACCTCCGTGACTTCAACATCCCCTGACAGTGCTAGGCCCGTTTATTGAAAGCAGAGGACTGCAACTGCAGGCAAATAACAGGAACACGAGCTAATGAGTTGGTAACACCAAGATCCTTCACGAGAGGGAAGAAAGGAAGAGTCCTAGGGTTTAAATCACCTCCATAAAACATCCACAAACAGGACTCTGTGAGGCTGTCAGGAGCCTATGGTTTCTGTTTAACATGCACAATTAGCATTTTTAGGAAGCAGCCTTTTGGGGATAAGTATGTCCTGAAGTGTACCCTTTTATTCCTTTTTCAGTTAAAACACATCTGCTTAAAGGCAACCTGCACTTGCCCTGGCCCATGCACCAACAGTGCACCATCCCTGGCTCCCCTCCCATCCCATCTTCAAAGGTGCTATGGAAGAAACTGCAGCTGCTTTCACTAAGGAAAATGTGATTTTTCTCAGTTTTACCAAATGTGAAGCAAATATTTTTTAAGTGGTCAAAAATAACAGAAGTTTTTTTGTTTTGTTTTGTTTTTTCTCTCCAAAATGGCTCCCTTGGATGACAAGGGTTGTACAGACCCCATTCACTGAAGCTTCAAATGAAAACTTTACGTCCACTCCCGTGTCCTCACTCTGCAGCCCCCACTCCTGGTACCTCGCTCACGTCAGTAAAGAATTAGGGTCATGGACAAATACACAGGAACAAGGCGCCCAGTGGGCTCTCTGAAAAAAGAAAAGAAACAGCTCTCTTTTTTCATAGTTGAGGGGAGGTTTAAATATAACAAAATGACCTTTTTTTCCAACAAAAATTAATTCTACCAGCCACAGGAAGGGTTGTAAACGAGATGTCACTTCTCAATGGTTTAAGAAACATGTAACCTGGAGAATCACCTCAATTTTGTCACCTATAAAGCAAGGTTCTGTTACCTGACCCCAGCATCAAAAAGTTGTTATAAGAAATATTTGTACAATATCTTTAAAGTGCCTGTGGTTTCTCAAAGAAAAAAAATGGAGTATGAGGCAAGACTATAAAATCAAGTGTGGGCATGTCCATAAATAAATGAAACAAGTTCTGAGACCACAAGCAGAAATTGATCTTGCAGCTTAGAATTCCAGCACACCCAGGACTGACCCAGGCGGAGGAAGCACCAGGGCCCTCTGGGAGAATAGCCAGGAGTCCTGCAGAGCTAGAATCAGGCACAAACCTAGTTCTTGAAGTTGGCACTACCATGGTGGTCACAGCAAGGATGGCCTCCAAGGAGTCAGAGAGAAGCGCTGCTCCTCCTATCTTGTCACCACTGCCAGAGCCTGCCACCACCAACTGCTGCCCCTACGGCTCCATCACCACCACCAACCAACTATTCCATCATCATTTTCCAACCTACACTACCAACAGCTACCTCCTCATCACTCCACCAACCCTTCATTATCATTCCATCAACAACACCAACACTACCTGTCCATCACTCCACCACCATCACAAACAGCCACCCCAACCGACCTACCACTCCACCAACACCAACCACCCCACCGTACCAACTATGCACCACCCCCAGTCCACATCATTCCACCAACACCACCTGACCATCACTCCATCACCCACTCCACCACCTCACGTCACCCCACCAATGATGACTACCCACGACCACCAGTACACATCATTCCACCAACACCACCATTACCCCAGAAACAACCACAGCACCAACAACTACCTCACTACAACCACCCAGGCATCATCACACCACCCGACCTTCACCCAACCATCACTCCACCACCGTGGTACCACCACAGTCCCACTGCCACTGATCAACTACCTCCACCATCACCCCCACCACCGTACCACCCAGGTTCATCCATTCCCATCCCATCCTCACCCCACTACCCTAGCATGTTGAGGAAACAGGTTCCAGAAGCATGAGACCACTGGTCTAGACTGTCTAGAAGATTCACACAACTCTTGAAATTTGTCATCAGAGAATGTTTAGCAAGTTGTCTAGGACAATAACAGTAATAATAATAGCTCATAATTTTGAGTAATTGCTAATGTGCCGGGGACCATTCTTAGTGCTTTTCATGCATTAACTCATAATAACTTTATGCAGAAAGTACCATTATGGTCCCTACTCTAAAGATGGGAAACTAAAGACAGAGACACTAAGGAACTTGTTTAAAGTCTTGCAGCCATAAGTCATATCTGGGACTTAGCCCAGGCCATCCAGCTCCAGGGCCCATGCTCTGCACCAACTTGTCACACTGTCATCTCACAAAATAAATCCTGGCACTTTAATGAAGAGCAGTTATTAAGTTCACCAGGTTATTGGCAGCACCAGTGCCATAAAGTGAGGCAGGATGCACCAGCAGCCCATGCTCTTGGCTACTATTTGTCTGTCCCATGCACACCATATGCTTAAGGAACAAAGCTGTGATCCTCAGTAACAATGGCCAGGCACGGTGCTAACTGTGTATACTATCTGTTTCCTTACTTCTCACCACAATCTCCTGAGGTAAAAGAATTCCCGTTTTATGTATGAGGAAACTGCGGCTCAGAGAAGATCAACAACTTGCTGGTCACACGGTAGACACACCTGAAAGGACCGTATTCAGAGGGGTTGTATTTACCCAACACGTGCCAAGCATCCTGTGAGCTCTAGGGATCCACAGCACTTACGGCTGGTTCTCTCCTGGCCCCAGCATTTAGGATGGAGCCTGTAAAGCCCTGCTTTCAACAGTGAGTTGTTCAATGTTGCTCATAACTAACATTGGGGGACAAAAAAAACAGGCAACAATCCCTAAAGGCCAGAGAGGCAGACAGTGTAACAAATGTTAATTTTGGAGTCACAAGTAGGTTTGAACTCAGAACTGTGTTCTGTGGCCGCGACTGCGCCCACGTGGACATCTGCTGCATTTACTCCAGCCTGACCTACTTCAGGGCAAGTGAGGGACTGCAGAGCTACTCCTCCGTAGGATGCTGACTTGTGAAAGTGGCTGCCGCCCTTTGCAATTAGACACTCTAAGACCTCAATTCTGTGCACTTAAATATATACGGTGACCTAAGTGCTGATGTGGCCAAACGACAAGGGAACGTGTGAAATTGTTCCCATTAAAATCAGCCCTAGGGGCAACCACTGCATAACCAAGTGGAAGGCCTGGCCAGGTCCTCGGGTTTTTATTATAGGATCACAGCCTCTCTCCACCTCTAAAGCTCTCATTTCCCTCCCTCCCACGCCAACCCTGCCTCTGCCCCCTTCCCACACATACACACAAACAACACATTCTTCTAACAGCCACTGTATTCGTGGAAAACCTTCAGCTGTGTTTCTAACCTGAAGAAGGAACTGTTCCTATGAGAATAAAAAAGGAGGTATCGTCTCTGCTCTACAAGGTTTCAGGGGGCAGGGGGAAGACAGCAAACAAGCTGGGGCACTAAACTTGGCATTCTCATCTAGTGCCTGGGAGACTCACTTTTTCATATCACGTCTTCCTGGGTTCATGAGACAGGGATGCTTCAGCTCTTGGCGGGGTATCCGCTACAGAGCCTCATCACAGCACCCCAATTACACTGCTAACAGTAAAGAAGAAAATTCGAACCAATTTTAGAACGAGTTAAGAGGAAATAAGAAAAATCCCAGCTATGATCTTTCTAAACATAAGTTGTGAAATAGTTCCCTCTTGTGGCTAAACTGGGAATTGCCACTTTATCCTTCCAGTTCTCCAATGTCTAGAAGTTTATCAATTTTTTAGTGTCAGAAGAAGCCTATGGACTTCTTCCGAAATTCATAATTACAAAGAAAACTAATTGCATTTCAATTAATTTATCCAATTATGAAACAAGTGGGGGCTATGCAGATAGATGTTCTTTTTTAACACAGTAAATAACAAGACCTAGTGGCAGGTCTAATTACCATAAATTCATGATATGCTCCTTTATGATGGGCATAAATGACATTTTGAGAAATCAGTGGCAGCTGTAACAATATGTGAAAAGCTGAGATTTCTAGAAATAAAGTCTCAGTTTCTGGTAATACTACAAAGGTTGGTTTGTTGCTATTTATAACTGAAGGAAATTCTAAATTTCAAAAGTTAAGCTCTAATCTCCCATTCTAGTTCATTGAGCTGTTGAAGCCTCGGCCTCCCAAAGTGCTGGGATTACAGGTGTGAGCCACCATGCCTGGCCCTCTAGTTCACTGATCCTTTGAATTCTGTTCCTGGGCCCCTTGGGCTTGGTGAAACCCAGCTGTTCTAATCTAGCTTAATTTATTCATTGAGCAGTCTCTCTACACGAGGCGAAGTTACCACTTTCGTAGTATTTCCGGGGAAAAATCCTCCAAGGTGTGTGAGAACTAGGAAATCTGAATTAAATGGTCAACCCAAAACATTGTATCCAGCTGAAGCAAATCCAAAAAAGTCAGGAGCACCAGCTTCTGTCCTGTCTTGGCTGAACATCCCCCTGTTGAAGTGAATTTCAGCAAAATAAAGTGTAGAGAGGACTGGGGGCAGAGGAGGGCCAATAAACCCAGCAAAGTCTCCACAAGCGTGGGGTGGTGGGGGCAGGTTTGCCTGTACTAGGAATAATTAAAACAGCCAAGTGTCTGAGCACCTACCAGGGCCAGTCTGTTCAGCTTTCTACCACTCTCAAGAAGGGATTATTACTCTCATTTCAACAGTGAGGCAATGGAGGCTTAGATGCAAAAGTCTTGCCCAGAGTCATACGGCTGCTTGGTGGTGAGGCCACCACTGCCTCCCAGAAGACCCCATGGGTCCCCACGGCTTGGGGAGAAAAGCCAGTCCACAGGGAGGCTCCCTGTTGTATCCGTGCCTCTGGGAGAGGCAGCGAGTAGGCAAGACTGAAGGTCAGTTGAAGGCCCCACAGCCACAGATAGTGACTCCCACAGCACAGCACCCATGGCCCACAAAGGACGCCCTGGATGGAGCACCCAGACCCCTCTCTATAAGCCTCTAATCTGCCAAGGAATTCCGCATCAAGTCCAAATGTACTCCTTCTCCCTGCTGAGCTATCTAACCCTCATCTGACCACTGCTCTCCTGTGCTTACAATTTCTTGAGGCTTTTTACATTTAATTGAGGTCTCCTGCCTGCTGCCCCTTCTCACCTCTGAACCCCTCAACACATGCCTCTTTGTCTGAAATGCTCCACTGCCCAGCCGGCACAAGCACCACCTTCCCCACTCCACATGAAAGCACACACAGAGAGGGCAGCAGTCTCCCCTAGGAAGGAGCACCAGTGGTGTACTACCAACTACTCTTAGGCCCACCCTGGATTCCTGCCCCCAAGCACTCCTCAGCCATTAACATCAACTGCAAGATTTCTTGATGGCTGAACACCCTGTGAAATGTCCCATGTCTCCCCACATGTCCCAGTGGCCTTGTCAGGACCAATCCCCAAGGACGGTATGCCTGGCTAACCTCACCGTGCCCCCCACCGGTAGGCCCCCGCCTCCCACAAAGGGCAGAGGGTAGACCCTCACTCTTGGGACCCAGAATCAAAAGCCCATTTCCCAGGAGTTTGGGAGGGTCCTTCAGGATAATTAGCTTTGGTGACATGTCAGCATGTGCTGGCCTGAACAGCAAGGCCTGGGTGCGAGCCACCAAAATCAGCTTTTCTCTTTGACTGGTTTCCGTCACCCGTTAGTACCCAGCCTTTACAGCGTCTGTGGTTGGGAGCAGGTGTGAGGGTGAGGGTCTGTCAGATAGAGCTTGGAATGGGATATGCCACTCAGGTTTGTCCACACCGGTTCTGAAGACACAGCCCTGGCTTGTGAAGTCTAGCACTGAGGACGAGCCCCTGCACCCTGTCCTCACTGGGTAGGTGCAGACACTTTTCGGCAGCCCACTGTGTGCTGGTGATGGTTGCAGCATCAAGAAAGCCTACTCTGGAGCTCTGAGTAGTCAGACTCAGCACTGAACCTTCCTGTGCTCTGAAAGCCCTGGGGCCCGAGGGCCTCACCCTTGTGATGTCACTGAGCTCTGCAGTTTCTCAGCCTCTGATCTGGTGCATCTCAAAAATGGGCCCCAGGGATCAAATAAGCGTCTTCTGACACTAAAAAGTTGATTAACTTCTGGTGCATCTCAGAAATGGGCCCCAGCAAGACTCGAATGCTCTTCTACTGGGGCCAAGTGGGAGCTTCATTCTCCCCAAAACACCCATTGTTTCCAGTGGGTTCATTTCCACCATGACAAAACAGCCTTCCCCACAGGTGGGGCAATGCATTGGCCTAGGCCTTACATGGCATGACCAGGCTGGGCCACTGTAGGAATATTCTTGAATGCCAGGATTCAGGTTCTTCTCTCTCAGTCATAGGGTATTTTGCCTGGGAAATAAGAAAAAAAAAAAAAAAGAAAGAAAGAAAGACGGAAGAATCTCAACACTGTGGAATAAGTGATTTACCTCCTCTCCATTCTGGTGACCCTCACATCTGACCAGTGGGTGAGAGCATTCAGGCTGCTCTTCAAACTCAGCTTCGTCTTCATCCCCTTCCCAACAGCGGCTTCTGAGAGCCTTATTTCTGCTCAGCAAATCTCCAATGGGCGTCATCATCAGACCATGGGGTGCAGTTGTGTGTGATGTAAATATTCTTTGCCATTCCAGAGATGGACCAAATGTGGTGGGTGGATGTGAATTGAAGCCCACCAATCCAGGGACACAAGAAATATTCACTGATTGATTGATTGATTGATTGATTGATTGATTGAATTTGTTTCTGCCTCAGAAGCTCATTCCTCAGGGTGCTGAGAAATTCCGTCTCAGTAATTACTGGTTCCCCACACAAATACCCCAGGGGTTGCCAGGCACTCCCTGGGCTGCTGCCTGGCCTCGCTGTCCCTTCAGATGTGGAAGCTCCACTGCGTTTGAAGCATGATACCTCTGGGAATGCTGTGATCTCCTAAACCAAAACCTCATCCCCTCTGAAATGTTACCACTCCCTTTGACTCCTGCCAGAGACCCCAGCTTCTGCTCCCACCCACCCTCCAACCCAACAAACAATCCCAGGGGCAGGAATATGCAACGGGTTTAGCCACCTGGCTGGAGATGAAAACAGGGACAAATACAAGAGCACTGCCACCCACAAATTCACATCTTAATACAGTATTCACTTGCAAACCTATCCTTCTAGTTCAATATCCTTCTCTTCTGGAATGCAAATTCCCAGGCACAGTTTAATCCCCAGCACCTAGAAGAGTAAGTAGTCTCTCAACATATAGTTTTGAATGACTGGGAAGAAAAAAAAAATGAAGGAATGAGAACAAAAGTCTTTCTACAAAACAAAACTCCATGAAACAGGAGAAACTTTGAAAACTAACATCTAACTGCAGTGAGATCCCAGCTTCATCACAGGCCAGTCCCAGGTACTCAAGCTCCCCTGTGCCTTGTTTCTTCCTCTCCTGTAAAATGAGAGATCAAATCAGTGGCCACCTCACAAGTGGTGCTCAGCTAAAATAAGTTAATGGACTTTAAATTCTTAGAAGAGGACCTGTAACATGACAAGCGCTCTATAAACATTAGCTGTTTTCAGCGGCAGAGGCAAGAGCAGCAGTCAAGAGGAAGCTACACTTGTTGGAGCAGTTCAGATGAGAGGCAACAGGGTGAAAGAAACCTGAGCCCCAGCTCAGCTACTTGGCAGCCATGTGGCCTTGGACAAGTTGCTCAGCTTCTCTACAATGAAGCTGACTCCTCTGTTTTCAATGAATATGAATGAAAAAATACCATTTTCATAGGGTTCATATGAAACTTCAATGAATTACTACTGGCTGGGCATGGTGGCTCATGCCTGTGTGAAAGGAAAATCTTGGAAATCTTGGGGCTCCAAAATTACTAAGCTAAAGGGAAAAGTCAAGCTGGGAACTGCTTAGGGCCAACCTGTCTCCCATTCTATTAAAAGTCAACCTTCTGCTCACTGAGATAAATGCGCATCTGATTGCCTCCTTTGGAGAGGCTAATCGGAAACTCAGAAGAACGCAACCATTTGTCTCTTATCTACCTATGACCTGGAAGCCCCCTCCCGGCTTGAGTCTTCCTACCTTTGCTTCAAGTTGTCCCCCTTTCCAGACCAAACCAATGTTCATCTTATATATGTTAATTGATGTCTCATGTCTCCTTAAAATGTATAAACCGAACTGTGCTCTGACCACTTTGGGCACGTGTCGTCAGAACCTCCTAAAGCTGTGTCACAAGCACATGTCCTCAACCTTGGCAAAATAAACTTTCTAAATTAACTCAGACCTGGCTCATATTTTGGGGGTTCACACCTGTAATCCCAGCACTTTGGGAGGCCAAGGCAGGAGGATCACTTGAGGCCAGGAGTTCAAGATCAGCCTGGGCAAAATAGTTAGACCCCCATCTCTACAAAAACAAAAATTGAAAATTAGCCAGGTGAAGTGGCACACACCTGTATTCCCAGCTACTTGGGAGGCTGAGGTGGGAGGATGTTTTTGAGCCCAGAAGATCGAGGCTGTAGTGAGCTATAATCATGTCACTGCTCTCCAGCCTGGGCAACAGAGTGAGACTGTCTCTGAAAAGTAAAAACAAAATGAATTATTCAAACACTCACCAGTGCTTAGAACTAGCAAGTGCAAATACATAGTTGATGTTGAGCGAGTCACTATTGTAAAGTCAGCCAAGAGAAAGGACCAGTAGACCCAAAGTCAAGCAAGTGAGTTTACTGACCTGCTGGGCTGCTCCTTGACAGGCAGAGGAGGCAGCCCTGAGCTCATACGCTGGGGTGGTTTATGGGGGTTGACTGTGGGGGCTGGTATGGCATACATTCTGCGTAAACACACATCCTAGAGTTGTTTTGCTAAATTCTAACAGCGCTGCATTATTTCTAGCTCAGGTTACGTAACATCTAAAGGAAATGGGGAGGGGGAATCCTTGCAGGAACAGGGGGCTAATTTTCAACTAACAACGATTATATAAAAAAGAGTGGCTACCATGATATCAGTGAAATCAAGCAGCTACTATCTACAGGGGAAAATGTGAGATCAGTAAAGATTGTACCAAATCATAAAATATCATGGCCATATTTGAAAATGTTTTGGAATGCTCAACATCACTAATCATCAGAGAAATACAAATCACAACCACAATGAGATGTCATCTTACCCAGTCAGAATGCTACTATTAAAAAGACAAAAATAACAGGTGTTGGTGAGGATCCGAAGAAAAGGGAACTCTTATACAGTGTTGCTGGGAATGTAGACTAGTACAGCCACTATGGAAAACTGCACAGAGATTTATCAAAAAGCCTAAAATAGGAGAGATGGAGCAAGGTGGCCAAATAGAAGCCTCCAGCCATCATCCCCTCTGCAGGAACACCAAATTGAACAACTATCCACAAAAGAAAGCACTTCACAAGAACCAAAAATCAGTGGTTGGACATATAACAACATTCTCTATAAAAAAAGAGTATATTGAGAAGTAAAACTTAGTGATGATTTTATTAAAAATGTCAGTCCCTAATCATTCTTACAGTATTTTGCTATGTTGAGAATGTAAAAGAAAAAAAGTAAATTGCAAAAAAATTATATCTATAAGCAATTTAAAAATCTTTAGTATTAAAGAGTTAATTCAAAAAAATGGTTTTTAGTTTTTTTTTTTAAACTAAAACTAGAATTGCCACTTGATCCAGTAATTCCTCTATTGAGTATCTACTCAAAGGAAAAAATATCAAAATACCAAAGGGGCACCTGCACCCACAGGTTTATGCAGCACTATCCACAATAGCTAAGGTATGGAATCAACCTAAGCACCTATCAATAGATGAATGGATAAAGTAAAGAAACTGTAGTATATATATACACAGTAGAATGTCATTCAGCCATAAAAAGCAAATACAATTATGTCATTGGTAGCAACACGGATGGAACTGGAGGTCATTATCTTAAGTGAAATAAGCCAGGCACAGAAAGACAGATACCACATGTTCTCACTCAAATGTGGGAACTAAAACATTTGATCACTTGGAGGTAAAGAGTGAAAAACTAGACAACAGAGACTGGGAAGGGTGAGTGGGGGCAAGAAGAAGAAGGGAAGTGGGGTAAAGGGCACAAACGTAGAATAAGATGGAATAAATTCAGTGTTTGATCGCAGAGTAAGGTGGTTATGCTTAACAGAAATGTATTGTTCTTGGGTGATGGGCACCCTGAATATCCTGGCTTGATCACAATGCATTATATACATGTATCAAAATGTCACATGTACCCCATAAGCTTGGACTAACTTTTTAAAATGCATTGGTGACAGTGTGTGGCAGACCAAGTGCTGCAGAAAAAGGAATTGTGAATTAGATTATTTCAAGAAACTTCTCCAATCAAGAAAAAGGTGGAAGATTAAAATAATGGGTAAAAAATAATAGTAGCTAACATTACTAAACATTTATTATGTGCTACACAGATAGAAAACATGTGGAGAGATCTAGTATCTGTAACAATAGAGATTCCAGAAGGCAGTCGAGAGCACATGGAAGAGAAGTGAAAAATCCTCCAAGCTTACTAAAGGCTTGAGTATTTGTATCCAAAGCTCATCTGGACTTCTGGGGTTCTGCTCTGACATGTGAAGAGCTCAGCAACCACCCCTTCATCCTCACAACAAAAAAGAGCTGAACAAACTGAAAATCAACAATTCTTTTTTTAATCCACCAGAGAATTGAGATCACAGGGCAAACAAATAGCCCCAAGACTGGAGAAACAGACAAATACAGAAGCAGGAGCCGAAGCCACTGGAGCCAGGATCTAGGAGGAAAAAAACTGTAATGGACAAACTGCTGGAAGCTGAGTGGGGCCTAGACTGTGTGTTAAAAACTCCTGGGGCCCAGGCCCAGAGGGGCCCCCATGTTTTCATGAGTTTCACCTGCAAAAGCCCTACCAGGGTCTCGTGGTGAAAATTTGGGGGAAATCCCCTGATGCTTCCAGCAGAAGGGGAAAGTAACCATCTGAGCATTCTGTTCTCCACTTGCCCTCAAGGGAAACTATACTGGTTACAATGTAGGGGAAAGGAAATACAGTCCCCACTCTGTGTCCATAGGTTTTGCATCCCTAAATTCAACTAACGTTAGACCAAAAAAAAATTTTTTTAATTGTATCACTACTGAACACGTACAGACTTTCTTTACTTGTCATTATTCCCTAAACAATATAGTAAAACAACTACATAGCATTTACATTGTATTTGGTATTATAAGTAATCTAGAGATAATTTAAAGTATATGGGAAGATGTGCATAGGTTATATGCAAATACTATGCCATTTTATATCAAGGACTTGAGTATCCATGCACTTTGGTATTTGTGAGAAGTCCTGGAATCAAGCACCTACTGATACTGACAGAGACAACTGTACCCAACTCCAGCCCCCTTTAACTAACTTCCTGTCTCACCTAAGGAGTAAAACAAAAGCTGGGAAGCACTTGTGAGGGTCACAGGCCATGGCCACAGGCTCCTTGAAAGATTGAGACCAAATCACAGGATTATAGAACACTTCTACCCTCACACCTCAACACCACATCAATAAGGCTCCTGTGTGACAACAGAGATTACAGCTGAAACAACTGCAAGCCTGAGGCTCTGTTTAAGAAAGAATGTCTAGGGAAAACCAAAAACAACAGGGAAAACAAAAATGAGGACACTGAAGAAAACTGAAATCTCAGACATCTACAGCTATGGTAAGTGATAAACACAGCCAAGTTCTTAGCCAGATAAACATAAACCCTTATCCTAAAGATCTGTTTACCTCAGGTCCTTTTAGCCAATATATCAAATCTGCCTTTCAACAGTAAATTACAAGGCACATTAAAAGGCAAGAAAAACACTCTGAAAAGATAAGCAAACAACAGAACAAGACTTACATATGGAAAAGATTTTGATACTATTTGACTGGGAATTTTAAATAACTATACTTAATATGCTAAGGGTTCCAATGTAAAAGTGGACAGCATGCAAGAACAGATGAGTAATGAAAGCAGACAGCTCGAAACTCTAAGAAAGAAATGAAAGAAAATACTAGAAATCAAAAGCCCTATAATATAAATGAAGAATGCCTTTGATGGGCTCACTGGTAAACTAGATACAGATGAGAAAATATTCAGTGAGCTTGAAGATATGTCAAGAGAAACTTCCCAAACTGAAATGCTAAGAATGAAAAATTGGAACAGAATAGCCAACAACTGTGGGACAATAACATAACATGTAATATATTCACAAAGAGAACACCAGAAGCTGAAGAAAGAAAGGAGAAGAATAAATATTTGAAGTAATAATGGATTAGAATTTTCCAGGATTAATGACAGATACAAAACCACAGATCCAGGAAGCTTGGAGAACACGAATCAGGACAAATACAGAAAAGTCTACACTTTAACAAATCATATTCAAACTTGCAGAAAACCAAAGACAGAGAAAATCTTGAAAGAAAGCAGAGAAAAACCTGCCTTACCTATAGAAAAATAAGGATAAGAATTCCATTAGACTTCACAAACAATGCAAGTAAGAAGAGAAGGGAAATATTTACGGTGTTGAAAGAAAATAATCACCAACCTAGAATTCTGTATTTGGCAAAATTATCCTTCAAAAGTAAAGGAGATGATCATAGACATAAATATAAAACACAAAACTACAAAATTTCCAGAATATAACATAGGATAAAAGCTAGGTAATCTAGGGTTTGACATAGATTTGATATAACACCACAAGCACGAGCCATGAAAGAACTGGTAAGTTTGACTTCATTAAATTAAAAACTTTTGCTCTGTGAAAAAGCTTTTGCTCTACAAACTGGAAGAAAATATTTGCAAAACACATCTGATAAAGGAACTACATTAAAATATACCCCAAAAAAGCATTAAAATTCAATGAGAAAATCCAATTCAAAAATGGATAGAGGTCCTGAACAGATGTCTCACCAAAGATACAAGATGGCATATAAGCATGTGAAAAGATGCTCAACGTCATAAATCATTAAGAAATTGCACATTAAAAATAGTAATATACCACTACACACCTATTAGAATGGCTAAAATCCAAAAATCTGACAATACCAAATGCTAGCGAGGATGTGGAGAAACAGGAACTCTCATTCAGTGCTGGTGGGAATGCAAAATGGTACAGCAACCTTAGAAGACAGTTTGGCAGCTTCTTACAAAGCAAAACATAGTCTTTTATGATCCATGAATTGTGCTTCTAGGTTCTCACCCAAATAAGTTGAAATTTTATGTCCATACAAACCTGCACATTAATGTTTATTCATAAATGCCAAAAACTGGAAGCAACAAGTGTGTCTTTCAAAAGGTAGATGGATAACCAAACTGATATATCCAGTATTCTCATACAATGGAATATTACTCAGCACTAAAAAGAAATGAGCTATGAAACCACAAAAAGGCACAAAGGAAACTTACATGCCAAGAAGGCGGTCTGAAAAGGCTACATATTGTATGATTCTAACTGTATGACATTCTGGAAAAGACAAAACTATACAGACAATAAAACGATCAGTGGTTGTCCAGGTTGGGGAGAAGGGTGAGTAGGTAGAGCACAAGGGATTTTTAGGACAGTGAAACTATTCTATATGAGACTGTGATGGTGAATACATGACATTATGCATTTGGCAAAATCCACAGATGTACAACACAGAAGATGAGCCTTAACATAAATTATGTACTTTAGTTAATAATAATGTGTGAATACTGGGTCATCAATTGTAATCAGTGAGCTACACTAATACAAGATGTTAACAAGAGGAGAAACTGTGAGGGGGTGGGGTAAGCGGGGTATAAGGGAACTCTATGCTTTCTCCTCTATTTTCTTTAAACCTAAAACTGCTCTTAAAAAAATCTGTTTTTTAAAAAAAGTTCATACATTACCAGGTAATTTGAGTAAAGACAGATCTTTGCTGGAGAAAAATTTCAACTCTAATGGTTAAAAGTTTTGTAACACATTACTTACAAGGAAAAAAAGGCAACAGATATCTCTTCCACAGCACTGTGGTCTGTTTCCAAGTGCCTTCCCTTGTGCAGTCGCCTCACTTCCATCTACATTGTATTTCCTTTCTGAAAACCCCAATAGTGATAAAAGACACTGTTATGGAAAGGGAATAACATAAAGACCCTAAAATACGAAACAAGAAATAAGAAAGTGAATCTTCCTTTAGGAACCAAATACTCTTTCATTAAAGGGAATGGTGCAGCCAACGCTGGGCCCACGTGGCCTTTGTGGAGTCACCACCGTGTTGTAAATTCCCACCTTCCTGCTGATGAGAGAAGCTAGAGGATGCAGTATACTCGGTATAACCCAGGGAGCAGAACAAAGAAGTTGCTAATAAACCAAACTGAGTATAATTTATTTCCTGTTGCTACGATAATAAACTACCACAAACTTAGTGGCTTAAAACAACACAAATTTATCTTACAGTTCTGGAAGTCTGAAGTCCAAAATTAGTCTCACAGAACTGACGTCAAGGTGCTGACAGGCCTGTGTAGGCCTTCCTTCTGTAGGATCTAGGGGTGAATCTTCCTTCCCTTTCCCAGGTTCTAGAAGCTGCCCACTTTCTGTGGCTCATGGCCCCATCTTCTTAGCCAGCAGCATTAGGTCAAGTCATTTTCATTCTGCCATCTGTCCTTTTCTCCTTTTTCCATCTCCTCCTTCCACTTTTAGGAAACGGAAATCACACGGATTCAGCCTGATAATCCAAAATCATCTCCCTATTTTCAAATCAGATGATTAGCAATCTTAATTCCCCTTTGCCAAAGAGCCTAACGTATTCACAGGTGCTGGGGAACAGGACACGGACATAGACAGGCCATTATTCTGCCTGACGTTGTCAAAAGGAATTAAATGTGGTTATGCTCTGTTCCCTTTCTAGATATAGCTATTCTCTGTGATTCAATGTTACAAGTTTCTTGCTGAAAAACTACTTAAATATCAGCCTAAAATGCAAATCTTTATAAAAAATTATGATATATACCTTGGATAATTTTGAAAGAACATGAAAGCATAGTGGGATTAGAAATTGGCAGCGATTCAGTACATGTTACTGTTCTTAATAATGTCAAGCGTAGCTGAACTTAGAAATAATTCTCTAGCTAAAAACAGTCTTTGGTCTCTATGAAAGAATAAAACTCCAGTTTTAGATGCAACTATCACAATTCATTGTGTGCCTTCCACAGAGGGTCACAACACACCTGCTTCTGGGAGCTGTTAAGTCTAAATACAATGTGAACCCTGTGCGCCCTGGTAGTGGAGACTGTCTTAAGGAAGAAAACTGGGTCAAGGGACAGGGGCAGGAAGGACACTTACTATCATACACCATTTTCTACCTTTTGAAATTTATACCGTGTATTGCCTATTCAAAAAACATACTACTTTTAAAAAGAACACATTATGCAGCCCAGTCCATTGTGGGAGGCTGATGAAGGCTGAAGGGGCCATTCTTGTGCACCCCTCTTCTTCCAGGGTTCAGTGGAAAAAGAAGACACTGGCCCCTCAGGGAGTTCCTCATCCAGAATCACTGGCACCTGCTGGCAACAGAGAAGCCCACAGGCTGGAGGCAGAGTAAGACTGGTCTAAGAGAGAGGGCAAGACCAAACCTCCTGAATGTTCAAAAGCATCCCAAGAAGGGAACAAGAGAAGAGGACCAGCTATAACCAAGTTATAATAGACCATGTTTACATATTTTATAAATCGAGTAATAAAAAAATGCAAACATTAACAATTATAATCGAGATGTACAATGTAAAAATAATAGTGCATTAGCAATTATGAGCCTAAACCCTGTTTATAAGTTTTCCCTTCCCCATCCCCCTCCTTTTTTTTTTTTTTTCAGACAGAGTTTCATTCTTGTTGCCTAGGCTGGAGTGCAATGGTGCGATCTCAGCTCACTGCAGTCTCCGCTTCCCAGGTTCAAGCGATTCTCCTGCCTCAGCCTCCTGAGTAGCTGGGATTACAGGCGCCCACCACCACACCTGGCTCATTTTTTGTATTTTTAGTAGAGACAGGGTTTCACCATGTTGGCTTAGGCTGGTCTCGAACTCCTGGCCTCAGGTGATCCTCCCACCTCGGCCTCCCAAAGTGCTGGGATTATAGGCGTGAGCCACCGGGCCCAGCCCATCCCCTACTTTTTAAGAAACAACATATGGCTGAGAAGGAAAAAAAGAATATTAATGCTTTCAAAAATTATAGGTAATAAACAATATTTCAAACAACTAGGAAACATAAAAGAACACATAATCCAAGCAATGACAGATATAGAAAATAGAAAGGATAAAATATTTGTATCAGACAAAAATATCAGATCATTTAATTTTACCAAAATTGTTAAACTTCCCTTTTAAATTACTAAAAAAAAAAAAAAGGTTGAGTCAAGTAACTAAATCTAAACATCTAAAACTAAAGCAGGTGCACACATTAGGTTAGAAAACCTGCTAATGCATCCAAAAACAAAACAAGAGTAGTCATATAAAACAGTAGCCGGGTGCAATGGCTCATGCCTATTAGTAATCCTAACACTTTGGGAGGTCGCGGCAGGTGGGTCGCTTGAGCTGAGGAGTTCAAGGCCAGCCTGGGGAACATGGTGAAACCTCCATCTCCACAAAAAAAAAATTAGCTGGGCATGGTGGCAGGTGCTTGTAGTCCCAGTTACTAAAGAGGCTGAGGAGGTTGAATTGACTGAGCCCAGGAGTTTGAGGCTGCAGAGAGCCAAAATAGCACCGCCGCACTCCAACCTGGGCAACAGCGAGAACTCGCCTCAAAAAATAGAATATACTGCAAGATGGAAAAGGGCCACTTCATGTTCACAATAAAGACATACTTGATGAGTGCGAATCATGTGGGCTTCAAAGTGTGTAAAGCTTAAAACAGTTAAAAATATAGGAACACTTAAAAACAATGGTAATAGACTTGAACCTCTTCACCTGTATCACCTGTGTTCATAACTTACGCAACTTTTAAGCAGAAAGGATCGCGGGAGCCACAGAACTGAGAGAAGCCAGGATCCTTTGCACAGCACCAATGAGGAGAAAAGGCAGACAGCTTGGATGTGCCCCAAATTGATAACTTACAAAGGCAAGACCGGTCATTGGGCAGGGACACTGACTGGCAGTAGCCTGTGGTCTGAGGCTCGGTGGCATGAAGCCCTCTGGTTCACAGGCTGTAGTCGGTCTGCTCACAGGGAGTTCCTAAGCCAATCCTGCCCTGTGATAGCAGTAAATACTAAAGCAGGCCAAGCACACAGCTTCTCAGTCATCTTCACTCGGGATGCAGCAGAACCCATCCCCCTTCCCCTCATCAGCTGATGAGTATAGTAATCTTGCTGATCATTTCCAAAAATTAACCTAAAAAGTGGTATTTGAAAAGAATACTCCTAGAGTAAATCACATAAGCAATGAAAAACATGGCCCATCCATGACCGCTAAATTATCAGGTTGCAGGTGTGAAAAAAAAAAAATTTAAACACTATCTTCCTTTTGTAGTCTCATGCATTTAGTCAAAGTGGGTATTTTTTTTACATTTTCCAATTCACCATTTGTCAAAGAAATAATGGAAACTATAAAGCTGAAGAATAAACACTTTAAATAAGAATTCATACTCCAAAGAAGTAAGAATCTTTCAACTTTTATTTCTAGCATACATTCATCTGGACCTTTTTGTTTCTTTACAATGTTCCCCCTAAGATAAATGAATACAATAAAAATATAATCCAACTACCAGCAATGTTTCTAACCAGAAAAGAATCTAAAATCTCTGGTGTGATAATATAGGATTTTTTTAAAAAATATAAACTTCATACCAGAAATAAAGCCTGAATATTCTCTTTCTTTAAAAATATAATTTTTCCTTCTTTGCTCTTCCAAGTAAATCTTAAAATGAACCTGTTCTAGTCTATTTTTAATCTAGCAATTATAACACTACCTAGCAGGGTTTTTTCCTTTATACCTTGTTCTGTACTGTGAATCAACTAATAATTGCAAACGTCTTTAAAAAGTGAGATGCCATTTGGCTGTAGCAAGATTCTTCAAGAGATGCTGAAAATTAAAAAACAAAACACAAAAAATCCCTATTAGCAAACTGAAACCCACTTAACAAATTATCCTGTTTCTGAAATTAGAAAATGTATAAAAGCACTTTTGCAAACTGTAAAGTTCAAATGGAAAACATTTTTTATAATCTGTTTGGACTATAAAGACTGCTGACTGGGACAGAACTTTAGGGACACAAGGCTCTGTGAAATCCATTTTTTTCTGCAACTCCTTAGTTTTGAAGGGGAGGTTTATAAATTGCAAACAAGCTGGGGTATGGATACAGGAATATCTCATAAAGATTGATTGGTTTGTCGTGACATGTGACTGTTTTTCTTAATTGAGAATAAAGACCAAGGGGCACAGGGAGAGTTCTCTTAGATCAATACTTTATACCAGACTGATAAAAATTAGACAGTGTTTTCCCCACTTCTGACTAGTTCCTCTATGCAGAGCTTCATTATTTAAGTACAATCCAGTTTAAAATAGTATTCCAAAGCTCAGCATAAATGGTCTGGGGATGATTTCCTTTCCTTGATTTAGGAAGATAATAAAGCCTAATTATAAATATGGGTACAACACACCTGAATCACAGAGTAGTACCCTTCCAACTCCAAACCAACAGTATGATCCTTAACAGTAATAAAGGGCTGCATTTATTGTGATTGTCTGTGCCCAGACACAGGTGATTAAAAAGAAACCAAAGGATGAGTGAACTGACAAGAGGGAAAGGGTTTGTGTTGCTACATTTAAAAGGTTACACTAACAGAGCCGAGTGAGTCAGGTGTGCTGTGGCAGGATCAGCTGTGGGGGCCTCCTTTCCTAGTTTCTGAATGATCTTCCTGTGGCTCTGTGAGCAGGCCCAGCATGGGGAATGGGCTAAAAGGCTTATACATCTCTTTTGGCCCTCAGATGCACTTACCCTTTTCTTTGGTGCCCTCTTTCCCCAAGAGAATATTCAGGCCAATTTTGCTTTTTTCCTTGTTTCTGCATTAGTAAGACATTATAAACTAGCAACTTGTAATACCTCTAACTCTCACTGTCTTATGTTAGTATAAAGTACCTCAAGTAATAAGAATGTGGAACTTAAATGCCACTTACAGAAGTCAAACAAGCCCATGTCACACTTTGATGAATCCAAAGTATTAAATCTTAGCAACTGATGAAGTAAAAAGCTATTTTTGCTAAGGTTTAACTATTGGACTTTAAACCAACTTTAATATTCCATGAAATCAAAGGTCATTTATATTGAATTAACATGCCTTCATGTTTCCTACACACAACAAAGTTTAAAATATACATATATTTTTAAACCAATTCACTCCCTTTTACAATCATACTTTCATTCGAACATTTAAAATATAAATCCAAACTCAATGAAAACAACAGTGGGACAAGTAACACTATCATTAAAATGAAACAATAATGCAAGAAAAGGTCAGCGTTGAAACTCAGAAAATAAACATAAATAGATTCACTGGAAATCTGCTCATATGCCTAATGTGTTCAGAAATGAACCTCACAAAAAACAGATCCCACTGTGATGTTAGACAACTCATTCCTTTCTCATTTTCTCATTCCATGATGCATGTCTTCACTATTTTTACTGAGGTTTATACAGTGAGTAGATATCCTAATGGCAGAGATTAATATTAAATACATAGCCTATTCCATAATTGGCATATGTTCCCAACCATTGTTTTGTATGCTCCTTGAATTATAAAATACTCCAATCTTTAAGGAAAAAAAATTAAATGGCTTAGATCTATTCATACATATTGGGCATTAAATGTCACTAAGTTAACACAGTAAGGTGGAAAAAGGATGAGAGGGTACAGTAAGTGTTCCCCAAACAATTCCATTACATTATGAAGTATTGCCAATGGCGTATTTATTTTAACCAGGTTATGGGGAAAAAATGCAAGAATTATTACCAGAATTTGCATCAATTTTCTGGAGAAGCTAACAATAAAACATTAAATATACACATTTATTTGTATGTTTATTTGAAGAATCTTTGGTAGCAACTGTTTGTTTCTTCCACATTATAGGACTTTCTAAAATAAATGTCAAAAATCGTTTACTAATCAGCATACGAAAGATAAAGTATGATAATATTCTTTTGATTTCCCTGTAAAACATCCTTGATAATAACTTGTACTATTCATGCACTTAAAAACAGTATCTGTTTAACTTATATACATACAAAATGAGACTAATACCAGAAAAAAAATTAGACAGTAATGAGAATCAATAACAAAACATAACAATGACAACTGTTCTTAAGTAATTTATTTTAAAATTATAAGATTTACAGTGCCTTGATTATGCAAAATAGCATAATGGAAATTAAACCAAATCAATAAACCAAAGAGAAAGAAAACTTAATTTTCTCTAGTATCCATACTTAAACCATCTTTGTAAGTATCTGATGTCCCAACCATGTCTTATGTAGAAAGTATAATCGTTTCAAATGTTTCACTTGCAGGTTTAATTTCTCATTTTCAATTTTTATGAACTGTAATGCAATTTCAAATCCTATTATACCTAGTGTTTATACTGCAACAGCAGCAAATCTCACATGTGTAATCAAATGTGGAACTGGGGCACAGCTTCTAGCTGTAGACAGAAATTATACACTGCATTCAGTCCAGGAGAGTACATTACATTAACCAGAGCGTAGAGTTTAGTACACTTATTGCAGGGTTGGTATTTCTTTCCCTCTGATCTGAATCAGCTGAGCTGCTGAGCAGACATATTACTGCTGTGGATAGTAAGACTGCTGTGGGGGCTGAGGGAAGGGGTATGAAGGCTGCTGGGGTCCCGGGTATGGAGCCTGTCCAGGACTCTGGTGATACACTGGTGGATATGGCATATTATACTGGCCATACGCATAAGGATTATAGCCCATGGGCATGGGCATTTGGCAATACCTGATAGAAGAAAACAGAAAAATCTTGATTGGTAAATCAAATACTAAAAAATAAAACAATAATCATTCTAGAACTACGTTTTTCATGAAAGTCATTTCTATTTTTTAGTCTATTAAAGAACAGTGGAGTGAAAAAAACTGTTTCAAGGCACTTGTCAGAGAAAAGCATTCCTATCCTGTTATTAATTAAAACAAAAGAGTACCAAGTGTTTAATACTATCCAAAAATAAATACTGAAGAAAATAAGATTAAATATTCGAGTATTAAAGAAAGAAAAAAAATGGAGACCCTTCATTTTAACGTGGCAAAACTAGTCATCTAAATACATTCCTCTTCCACAATATTCAATATTCACTGTGATATACATAAATTTACAACTTATAAAGTTCTAATATTTGGCAGACAACATGTACTTACTAAGTAAAATTTAGAGCACATCTTAAAAGGTAGTCAAATGTTTGGATTTTTAAAATTAAGAAATTACCACAGAGATTAACCTTTAAGAAAGTGCAACCCATAATTAGATAAATTTCTATTCAACTGTTTATTAAATGCCAAGTATTCTAAGTATAGGGACGTAAACAAGGCCTTATCAGTTTTGCTATGCTACGCTCAGAAAAGGTACCTGTTTATCACCTAAAGTCCAAGGAAACACCTACTAAACTCTATAATACAGAAAAGATTATTTAATATAAACCCAATATGTAAAATATAAAAACATAAATTTTAAAAGCCTAGGAAATAGCTATCCTATTCATGTAAGTGACCATAACATTATTTTCATTTCTGGATAAGCTGACAGTGTAGCTTATTCATTCATGACACCTCCATTTGGAGAAGGGATGACCCTGTTTTTAACAGGTTAGCCAGAGCCTAGAAACAACATTAGCCAACTTGGGATACACAATGTTGCAGCCTTACCCAGGATATCCTGGATAGGTGGGATAGGGTGGTCCCTGCGCCTGTGGAGGAGGAGCTGAGCCAGGCGTTTGTGATGGAGCTGGCGCAGCAGTCCCAGCCCCCACTGGAGATGGAGCAGTAGCAGAAGGAGCTCGATTTGCTGGAAGCACAGGTGGTGGAGGCCTGGCTGGGGGCTGGGGCTTAGTAGGCTATAAGAAAAAGTCAGCATTGACTATAAAATGTTTCATATTTCTCTCAAATTGCTATTAATTAAAATTAATAAGGACATATGAGAAACTCTAGAATCCAACCAAATATATTTTTAATTCCCATTCTTAAATACCGGCTTATTACTATAGAAATATATCATAGTTGAATAATTTTCCAACCTGTGGAAACTCCATAGCCACTGCTCTTTTCCTGGTGCCTCATATTTAATCATTTACTGCTTCCTCCAGTGGTTGGACATTTGAGGTGGAAGGAAGCAGCACAGGTACTGTTTACTACCATCATCTCCTCCTAGTCCCCAAACTTTACATGAAAAATGTCACACACCAGAAAATTTGTAAAAAATAGTATATAAAATAATCACACATCTACCAATGAAATTCAACAACTATTAACATTTGTCATTTCTGCTTTATCTATAACTACATCCATATATATTTGCAGAATCATTTGAAAGTAAGTTGCAAATTTCATGACACTAGCCCTAAAGACTTCAGCACTCAAGTTCTCATAAGGATATTCTCCTACATAATCACAATACCATTTTCATCCTTAAAAAACTAATGCTATTCCCCAATGTCATCAAATATCCACTCCAAATTCAATTTTCCCCTAATTAACACAAAAAAGCTCATATAGCTATTTTTATAAACCAAAAGCAAATAAAGTTCATATACTGCATTTGATTATAAGGAAACTTTCATCTCTTTTCATCTAGAATATGCCTCTTTTTTAAAAAATCTATGACATTCACTTTTAGAAATGATCAACTCAGTTATTTCATATAAATGTCCCATGTGAAAGATTTGTCCAATTGTTTCCTAATAGCATAATTTAACTTCTTATTTTATCATTTGTTTTATTTGCTATAAACAGAAAGTTTAAGGGCTTGATTACATTCAGGTTAAGCATTTTTTTGTCAAGAATTCTTGAATGATGCTGTGTTCTACATATTGCAAAATATCAGAAGGTTGGTTACCTGATGCAGGTGGTAACCACTAGATCCTTCCTATGTAAATCATGTTTTATCCGTTAGAACAAGTAATCATCGTTAATGTAAAACCTCTGTTTAAAATATTTATTTGCCTACTAACCGGCATGGTTCTTGGCGCTGGAGTTGGAGGAGTTGGTGCATGTCCTCCTGCTGGTGAGGACTGATACGCAGGTGTAGGAATTGAAGGAGCACTAGGTTCTCTGGCAATGCTTTGTTGCAAGTCCCTTATCAAAGACAGAGTGTTAAAAATTAACATGATAGAAAAAAATTAACACACATAAAATATCAGCTTTTCTTTTCTTCATACATGAAACATAGAAAATGGATTCCAAACAATGATGGTATTTTAAAATATACTACATTTCAAATTAGTACAGTGACTATGGAAAACAGTATGGAGGTCCCTCAAAAAACTAAAACTAGATCTACAATATGATCCAACAATCCCACTGCTGGGTATATATCCTAAAGAAAGGATATCCATATACTGAAGAGATATCTGTATTCCCATGTTTATTGCAGCACTTCCAACAGCCAAAATATGAATGCAACCTAAGTGTCCATCAGCAGATAAATGGATATAGTGTAGTATATATACACCATGGAATATTATTCAGCCATAAAAAATATAATGAAATTCTGTCATTTGCAGCAACATGGATGGAACTGGAGGCCATCATGATAAGTGAAATAAGCCAGGCACAGAAAGACAAATATTGCATGTTCTCCTCCATATGTGTGAGCTAAAAACAAGGAGACAGAGTAGAATGATGGTTACTAGAGTCAAGAAAGAGTAGGGGGTGGGGATGAAGAGAGGGTGGATAATAGGTACAAAAATACAGTCAGAGAGAATAAATAAGTTCTAGTGTTTAATAGCAGCATAGGGTGATGATAGTTAATGATAATTTATTGTATATTTCAAAATAGCTAGAAGATTTGGAATGTTCCCAACACAAAG
The DNA here is from genome assembly GCF_000001405.40 of Homo sapiens. Classification (NCBI taxonomy): domain Eukaryota; kingdom Metazoa; phylum Chordata; class Mammalia; order Primates; family Hominidae; genus Homo; species Homo sapiens. The sequence continues at coordinate 33,863,271 of NC_000003.12, read as the reverse complement.
AAATGATAAACGTTTGAGATGAATATCCTAATTGCCTTGATTTGATTATTATGCATTGTATTCATGTATCAAAATATCACATGTGCCCCACAAATATGTGATGAATATCCTAATTACCCTGATTTGATTATTACACATTGTATTCATGATCAAAGTATCACATGTACCCCATAATATGTATAATTATTTATCAATATAACAAAAACTGAAAAAAACAAAATATACTACATTTTTATTCTTGACTAGAATCTAAATCCTCTTTCTTCCTATTGTTTAATAAAATGAAGTTGTATCTTTTTTATATTTCTGAAGACTGGGGGAAAAAGTAAACATTTTCAGAGATCACAGTTACAGCTAGAGTAAGAAACGTGTCAAACTGGGCAAGTAATCCTAAAAGACTGCCCACCCTCTAATAAAAGGTAGTCCCTGGATTTAAAAAACTCCTAACATCATCTATCTAAAAGTTATCAGAAAACTACAGTGACTCATAGTTATGTAGCTAATGTTTTAATCACTATATCAGTGTTTATACAAAATAAAACAGGTGAAAAGGCTAACCTTTTATGCAAACCATTATGCAAATTTCTAGATAAAAACTTCCTGAAGATATTCAAAGAAATGTGGCGTTGAAATATTTTATATTAAAAGATAACACATCACCTGTCACTAAGATAAACTCATGAAAGATATATTGCTGAAAATACTATTACAATTTAGTATTAAATATTAGAAAATTCTGTCTCCTCTAACAGTAAATTGAAATTTATCCCAAAATCACACTAAACAATACCTAAGGTAAAATGCACTCCATGTAATACATGATGTCAATCATCTTTTCACTGCACTGATTAACGTACACAAAGAAGTAAATATGACATGTCCCAAAACATCTGAGACAGTACCTTTTGCCCTGATTTAACAATTAACAGCAAAGCCCCACACTGTCCGCATCCAACCTTCCCTCTCAAGAAGGGCCCCAGTCACTCCAGACATAAAGAAAACTAGTATACATTCATCAAAAAAAAAAAACAAAACTACTTCTTAAGTAAATAACTGCTTATAAAATAAATAAGTTTTTAATCAATATCAAAATTCTAAAAGGCCAGATTTTGAAATATCTAAAATATATACGTATATTATAAAGCTTTAACACAATACCTTTCTTTTCCTTTGATAAACTCTAGGGATGGTTGCAGTAAATAACACATTTATAGAGCAAATGATAATTTCCTAGCCACTTATAAAAGATATAAATCAATGCTATTAAATAAAATCAATAATGTAAAAGAGCAAAAAGATATAAAATAAAATGCCACTAGTACTATGCCCAACAACCTGACAGTAGTATTCAAACCATTAGTCAAAAGAAAGTAAAGCTCAGAGTAAAATATTCATTCTTCTTAAACGCTTTAAACTTCTGATGAAAGATTTCAATGAAAACAGAAATTAAAAAGCAAAGCCTCCAGCTAATAAGTATATAAAAAGGACATATTAGTCATCAGGAAAATGAAAAATTAAAATCATACAATGAGATAATACTACAAACCCAGCAGAATAGCTAAGGGCAAAAATGTGGAGCAACCAGGACTCTCATATATTGCTAGGAGGAATATAAATTAGTACAATCACGTTGGAAAACTATTTGACAATATCAACTGAGCATACACACATATCCTTTGACCTCGATATATACCCAACAGCACTGCATATAACATGCTCACCAAAAGCATGTACTGTCTAATACAGTAACCATTAGCCACACATGACTATCAAACATCTGAAATGTGGCTACTCTGAATTGAGATGTGTTGTAAGTATAAAATACATATTAAGCCGGGCTCGGTGGCTCACGCCTGTAATCCCAGCACTTTGGGAGGCCGAGGCGGGTGGATCAGGAGGTCAGGAGTTCAAGACCAGTCTGGCCAAGATGGTGAAACCCGTCTCTACTAAAAATACAAAAATTAGCTGGGCTTGGTGGTGGGCGCTTGTAATCCCAGCTACTCGGGAGGCTGAGGCAGAGAATTGCTTGAACCCAGGAGGCGGAGGTTGCAGTGAGCCGAGATCGTGCCACTGCACTCCAGCCTGAGCGACAGAGCAAGACTCCATCTCACAAAAAAAAAAAAATACAGATTAGATTTCTAAGACTTAGTGTGAAAAAAAGTAAAATATCTCTCATTTGTAATTTTACATTGATTATATGTTAAAATAATACTTTGGACATACTGGGTTAAATGAAATATTGAAATTAATTTCACCTGTTTTTTTTTTTTTAACTACGGCTACTACAAATTTTACATTTTCAATTGCATATGTCACTGCATAGTACTTCACCATATAGATGTAGTTTTATTTAATTAACCAGAACCAGACATTTGACTTGTTTCCATATTTTTACTGCTACCAGCAATACTGGACAGCAGTGATTTACAACATTCATGCCAGCACTATTTATAAAAGCTCAAAACTGGCAACTACTCAAAATATTCAACAGTAGAATAAATAACTTGTACATTCACATAATAAAATATATGCAGAAATGAGAATAAAAGATCTACAAATACACACAACTATACTGATGAATCTCACAAATATAATGTAGAATAAAAGCCAGTCATGGAAGAGTACATAATATGTGATTCTATTTATATACAATGCAAAAACAGGAGAAAGTAATCTATGTTCTTACAAGTTAGGATAGCGGTTGCCCTGGAAAAGAAAGATAAAGACTGACTGACTGGGTGGATGCATTAACAATGCTTTTAGGGTGCTGAGAATTTTCTGTGTATTGATTTAAGTGCTGGTTGCCTGGGTGTACGCAGTTTGTGAACATTCAACAAGATACACACTTATGTATACTTTTCCGGTATACATTATATCCAGTAAGATTTCAAAGGATTTTGGCCTTCAGTATTAACAACGACTTTAACAAAATAAACTCTCAGATATTCAAAAGCTAATATTATTATATGGCCTACTTTTCCATCTTTCATTCACCTTTCAATCACTGAGCTGAAAATACTTGACAAGTGTAAATAAAATATATACTTGTTTACAACAAACCTGATTTTTAAATTAGATATATGAAATATAAAATATTTTAAATGACGATATTCCAATCTTTCTTCCTTAGAATATCCAGAGCTTCCTTGTGCGTAAACAAGCCAATTTCTATATTTGTTATTTTCTTCCTTTTTACACAAAACATACTCTACACACTGTTCTGTGTCTTTTTACCATAACTATCTTGGAGATCTTTCCATATCAGTAAATTGAAAACACCCTGATTTTTAAAATAGCTGCACAGCATTTCACTATACAAGTATAGCTTTATTTCACCAGCCCTGGTCACTTTGTTTCTACTTTTTTACTGCTATTTGCAATGTAGAAATGAATAAGCTCATAAATATGTCATTTCTAGCATATTCTAATATATCCTCAGAATAGACTCCCAAAAACAGAATGGCTGGATTAAAGGATGTTTGAATTTGCAGTCTTATTATTCTTTACAGCTAAAATGCCCAACACAAGGATTGCACCATTGGGTATTCTCACGGCAATGTATGAAATCTATTTCTCCAACATGTGACAACAAAGCATATTATCAAACTTTCAGATTCTTGCCAATCTGAAAAATATTACTTCAGACTAATTTTAATTTGTATTTTATAATGAATGAGGGTATTCATTTTTTTTCATTTATTTAAGAGCCATTTGTATTTCCTTGTCTGCAAAATTCTGTTTGCGTCTTCTCCTCAGTTTTCTATTGGGTTTTCTTCTCGTTCACTTCTAGGAGTTCTTTTCTAAATAAAGTAAATTAGCCTTTTGCCTGTGAATAAGTTTCAAATATTGGATTCCCAATTTGTCATATCCTGACTCTGTTTATCATATTTCTATGAGAAACTTATTCTTTTCTTTTTTTTTAATGGCTTCTGGATTTTAAGTAGGAGTTATTAGATCCTGCTCATCCCAGCTTTATTACGGAATTCTCCTCCATTCTATTTTACACCTTATATTTCATTTACAAATTTCAAGTTTGGTCCACTCAGAACTTACTCTGGTATAAAGATAACTTTTATTTTCTAAATGGCTGGGCAGTTGTCCACCTCTTCTGGTTGGCTGAAGATCTTTTACACTAAATTCACGTATGTATTTGAATCTATTTCTATTTTCTATTCTGTCTTTGTCTAATCATGTACCAGTACCACTGTGTTTTAATTAAATATGGTATTATATACCTTAATATCTGGTAGAACTAGTATTCCTTCACTACTCTTTTTATTGTTTTCCTGGCTGACCTTGTTTCTTTTTCTACTTGAACTTTAGGATCAACTTGTCTAATTCCAAATGAAAAGCTGCTGATTTTTTTTAATCAAAAGCATGTTTGCATATCAAAAGCATGTTTGCATATCAAAAGCATATGAATGCATGTTTATTTCTTTTGTTTTGTTTTGTTTTTGTTTTTGAGACAGAGTCTCACTCTGTTGCCCAGGCTGGAGTACAGTGGTGCAATCTCAGCTCACTGCAAGCTCCGCCTCCCGGGTTCACGCCATTCTCCTGTCTCAGCCTCTCGAGTAGCTGGGATTACAGGCGCCCGCCACCACGCCCAGCTAGTTTTTTGTATTTTTAGTAGAGACGGGGTTTCACCGTGTTAGCCAGGATGGTCTCGATCTCCTGACCTCGTGATCCGCCCGCCTCAGCCTCCCAAAGTGCTGGGATTTCAGGCGTGAGCCACCGCGCCTGGCCGCATATGTTTATTTCTTTATTTATGTTTGTTATTAGAGATAGGGTCTCACTGTTGCCCAGACTGGAGTACAGTGGCTATTTACGGTACAATCATAGCGCACTACAACCTAGAACTCTAGGGCTCAAACCATCCTCCCACTTCAATCTCCCAAGTAGCTGGGACTAGAAGTGCATGCCATCACGCCCAGTTGATGCATAAGTTAACTTAGAATTGACATCTTTATGAAGTTGAGTCATCCTGTCCAAGAACATGTTTTTTAACTTGCTCAAGCCTTCTTTTTGAAATACTGTTTTCTTCACATAGGTCTCATATATGACAAACTTATATTTTATATTTTATCCTTTTTGTTGCTACTGTAAGTGGGTCTCTTCATCTTATCCTCTATAGGTTTATTTACATGAAAGCCACTGATTTCTACAAATTATTTTTATGATCAACAACTTCAGTAATAATAATTTTATTATTTGCAGAGTTTTGGGGTTCTCTTGGGTTTTCAAGTAGTTGTACAATCATAATGTCTGTAAATAGTGCTAGTTTTACTTCTTCCTTTCCAATTTTTTAATTTCTCTCTCATGTGATTGTCTTGGCTGGTACTGCAGTATAGTATTTAAAAATAGTGCTGACAGTGACATTTGTTGTCTGTTCTTGACTTCAGAGGGAACTGTTTATAGTGCTTCTCCATTAATCACTATACTGAGTTTTGGGCAGAAATATATACACACACATACATATATATATTTTCATGTTACGGAAGCATCTATCTTCTATCTATTCTTATTTTACTGAGTATCAGAACACTCATTTTCTCAAATGCTTCTGCCTCATCTATTAAGACAAACCTGTGATCTTTCCTTTGATGTGAAAATACTGAATACTGAAACTGGAATAAATGCCCCCCTCCCCTTGGTCAATAATTATTTTTTAACGTCCTGGTGACTATTACTGGCAAATACTTTATTTAGGACTTCTGCATCCATATTCATAACTGAAACTGGTCTGTAGACTGTTTTGTATTAATCTTTGTTAGGTTTTTTTATCATTAAGACTAATATGGAGAATACTCATCTTTTTTTAGGCTGGGGGGGTGGCTCACCCCTATAATTCCAATTACCTGAGGTCAGGAGTTCGAGACCAGCCTGGCCAACATGGTGAAACCCTGTCTCTACTAAAAATACAAAAATTAGCCAGGCGTGGTGGTGCACACCTGTAATGCCAGCTACTTAAGAAGCTGAGGCAGAAGAACTGCTTGAACCCGGGAGGCAGAGGTTGCAGTGAGCCAAGACTGCACCACTGCACTCCAGCCTGGGCGACAGAGCAAAACTCCATCTAAAAAAAAATCACCTTTTTTTAAACATTTAGAACCATTTTTAAAACATTCTAATTATTTGCTTTTTATAGGTTTAGTAGAAATATTCTAAAAACAACTAACCTGCTCTTTGTTAGAGGTAGAAGAAAATAACTTCTCTCATGAACATGAGCAGAGAGGTGAATGAACATGAACATGTTCATTCTCTGTTCATGAATATGAACAGAGAGATGAATAAAGATCTAGTTGGCTGAAAGGGTCATCGGTATAAGACTCTTTCAGCTCTTTATATTTATTACTAATGAATATATGGCTTTTTATGTACCCAAAAGACAGTCTGGATATAAAATCTTTAGCATGTATTTACTATATGATATAAAATCTTTAGCTCATATTTACTATCCTTGAGATTACAGCAATCACTCCACTCTCTTCTGGCATACAGAGCTGCCAGCCTAATTTTTTTCACCTTTTTATAAACTGGCTTGACTGTTTTGCCTGACTGCCTAAAGGATTCTGCCATTATCTTTTAAGGCCAATAATTTATATGCCTTGATGCTGACAGTTCTTGTCATTTTCCCCTACCATATGATATCCTCTTTCAACAATCTTCACTTAAGAAAATGTTCTTGAGTATCATTAAATAAGTGTTCTGTTTACAGAACGTTAAATAACTGTTCTATCTGGTTTTTCTTCTGAGAGAAATTCAGTTTTGCCTATATTAGATCTTCTGTGCCCATTTTCTCTCTAATTCTTTCTTGACTTTGGTTTCATTTTAATTTCCTCATTTCTACTCTGTGTTCCTGTGTGTTCTTTAGTGTTTATTCGCCCTTTGTGCTCTTTCCCATGTCACGGTTTTATTCTTCCCTTCTACTTCTTTCCTGAATTCTGACACCTCACATCTTATCACTTCCTGTTTTCTTACCATATTCCTGCAGTTCTGGAATTTCTGCTCAAAGTGTTCCTTAGAGGAGCAGTCCCCAACCTTTTTGGCACCAGGGACCGGTCTCATGGAAGACAATTTTTCCACAGGGGAGCGGAAGATGATTTCAGGATGAAACTGTTCCACCTCAGATCATCAGGCATTAGTCAGAGTCTCATAAGGAATGCACAACCTAGATCCCTTACACGGGCAGTTCACAATAGAGTTTGCGCTCCTATGAGAATCTAATGCTGTGGCTGATCTGACAGGAGGTGGGGCTCAGGCAGTAATACTCGCCCAGCTGCCCGCCTGTCTGCCACCCACCTCCTACTGTGCAGCCCAGTGCCTAACAGGCCACGAACCAGTACCAGTCCAAGGCCCCAGGATTGGGGACCCCGGCCTTAGAATGATTGCCTCCTTACATTTGTTGTTGTTGTTGTTTTTGTTTAGCTCATGGTCAGATGTTTGCTCATAATTTTCACCTATTCTGTGACAATATTATTTTGGTAAATGTTCTTCATCTATGAAGTTTTATTAAATTTTGTTAATGTTTTCCACCTTTTATCAGCACTGTGCTACTCTGTATTGATTACTCAGCAGGAAATGAGTCGTATGTTAACTGGCCCTGCTTTCTCAGCAGCCTCCTTCTGAAAGTGATTTTGCTGGTATTCTCTGAGCTATTCATGCTGTCTCCTCCATGTTCTATAGCTCTAGTTTTATGTAAGGAACCTATTTGCCACTTCAAAATAAATTGCTTGTATTTACTGGCACTTCCTGAGATCTGCCACCTGAACTGTTTTTATCATTTCTGTGACCTCACTGTACTTCCTGCATCTAGAGTTTCTGCTTCTTTTCATCCTTTCATTCCCAGATTATGCAGCTGTTTACTTGTTGCTTTGTAAAATACTCTATCTAGTTCCTTCTTCCATGAGAAGAGGAAAATTGCTATCTCATACTACCAAGTTCATACCAAAAGTCTCTACATGATTTTTTAAAAGAAAATTCTTTAAGTACAATTTGGTACACAAAACAGACTTACTTTAAGAGTTCATCTCTTTCTGTCTTCCGTGCAAAAACTATATCACTGCATTTGTTCTGGAACCTGACCAGGATTTCAGTCAACTCATTGTAAAACTATAAGCAAAGAACAAATACAAGTAAGGAACAAGAACAATTTTTTAATCCAGAGAGTAATGTGATCTAAAGCTAATTTGTCAATGATAGTTAGAGCCGAAGAACTGAGATCTGCATGAGATACATTTATACAATTTACTAGGCCCAACAACTTAATATTAAATATGATCTAAGACTCCTAAAGAAAATAAAAATAATAAAAGCATTTTTACAGAACATTATCATAAAAAATGTAACAAGTTAAAAGATTCATGATCATGAAAACCTTCCTAATTCCTAGAGAAAAGTCAATTGTTTAATAACATTAAACCTATTTAAGTGGAAGGATTAGGTTTTCAAATTCACTACAGAAATGCAAGCATACTTCAGAAACCCTTAAAAGAATTTCTAAAGGCTCTCTGGAGGGTTTTCTCAGCTTACCTATTTAAACAAAGCATTTTAAACCAAATTAAAATGGCATTTTACTATCCTCTCTATTTGGAAGGCTTTGCAGTATTTTCACCCTCTCTTCAGAGGGTTTTACATTTTACCTACTGTATTTATATCAAGGTAACTTTATTCAGTGATTATTATGAAGTTAAGTACCAAAAGGAATTATGCATCTGAAAAAACTTAAAAATCACTGTTCCCTCAAAAACAAATTGGTAAAAAGAAATATAAGCGAATTCCCTAAACTTTTTAAAGGACAAGGCAAGAAAGTACTTACATATTCAGTAAGCCTTCTGACACTTGGGCAGGCCACAAGTCTGTCCTCAGCAAACCACCGCAGAGAACATAAAAGTCATGCCCCTCCGCTTTTCCATCACAAATCAGCTTTGACTACTCCTGCCCCTCAAAATTCATCAAATTAGTCAACTTCCTATCCCTTAAAAAGGTGTCATTGACATCTCTGCTAATTCCTGCTACCTGGAATATTTATACCCCTTTTCTGCCAGTTGAAATATGCAATTCATTCTTCAAAGTTCCCATGAAATGTTGCCACCTTCATTAAGCTTTCTCCCTCCTATAACAAACTTCGCAGCAGCAATGGCATTAAAGCTAAAATTCTAGGCAAAGAGCAATTTGGTTCAACTGGAAATACCACTTAACTTCCAAACTATGCGTTCACATCTGTACTTGCTAGCTATGGTTCCTTTTGCATGTACTTCATACCTTTGTGCCTTCCTTCAAATTAGCTACAAGTTCAACAAAGTTGTCATATGCAGTAGCTAAATTCTTCAAAACTTCTTCTCTTAAGTTAGCTTCATTATTAGATTGTTTCATTTTTGAAAATTCCTGATGTGAGACCTTGTTAAAAGAAAGATTTACATATTTACATTTATTTATAAAATTAATATAGCTCATAACATTTTTATTGATCTTTTCCAATTATGAAAATCATATGTAATTAAATACATATGCAAAATTACTAGAATACCTAGTACACTCTTTTGAAGCCTCATTATGCTTTAAATCTTTCTTAAGTAAAAATTTCAAAAATCCAATAGGAGTCAAAACAACCAATAATGATCACAGATTTCTATTAGTATATAACACTTGTAAAAAATATAACATGAAAATTATTTTACCTTTTGGAGTTATTTTATATCATATATAGATACAATGTTTAGGAGTAGAAATATATGTTTAATTTTGCATATTAACTATTAAAAGGGCAAACTTTCAAGTATTTGTTAGTCCAAACTACCTATCTGTAAACACGAAAACTAACTTCAAACTTCTCAACATATTTACTTTGCATTATTTTTTTAAAAAATGACTGAAGTCTGTATGTATGTTAGCCATACAATTAAAGGTATCAGTAATTCCAACTAATTTCGATTTTCCTCCCATATGGAAAAAAAACCAAAGCTATTAAAAACTTGGAACCATGAAAAATATCTGAAGTATCAAGCACTCCTAAGTAATATGCAACATTTTAGCCATAGAAATGACTTTGTTTCTGCAGGGCATGGTGGCTCACGTCTGTAATCCCAGCACTTTGGGAGGCCAAGGCAGGAGGATCACGAGGTCAGGAGATCGAGACCATCCTGGCTAACATGGTGAAACCCCGTCTCTACTAAAAATACAAAAAATTAGCCAGGCGTGGTGGCGGGCGCCTATAGTCCCAGCTACTCGGGAGGCTGAAGCGGGAGAATGGCGTGAACCCGGGAGGCGGAGCTTGCAGTGAGCCAAGATCGCGCCACTGCACTCCAGCCTGGGCGACAGAGAGAGACTCCATCTCAAAAAAAAAAAAAAAAGAAGTGACTTTGTTTCATAGATAAAACTGATGTGCCAAGTTTAATTTTACAAAATATACATGTATTAAGTTCTACTCTTAACTACAGATATTCTCCAATGTCATTTTCCTAACTGAATATAGGTTTAGTCCAGACATATCTTTTCTGTAATTTTTAAAACACAGATCTTATTAAATATATAAATTTCACCTGAATATTTTTAAGAAGTCCCTCCTGTTTCTTTAGAGATTCTTGGACTTTAGTTGTAAGACCTCCATAGACTCGATCTAGTTCAGTAACAGAAAGAGCTTCTTCATTTATCACACCATCTTGAGCCAGGGCTGTCAAAAACTTGCTTGTCATGTCAAAATTCACAGATTTCAAGTCATTCTCCAGACCCTCTCTTTCCTTCTTTACTTCATCAAGATTTGACAATAAGGATTTTAAGACATTTACAACCTAAACAAAAAAGACACCTTAGTTTAACTGCAAAAAAAAAAAAAAAAAAAGCCAATTTCGAGAAGGAAATAATATATAAAGGTTCATTCGGGCTGAGAGAGAGATGATTTCTCAGAGAGCCAAATATAAATTGAACGTCAGGTTTATATAGATAGACACTGTACCTTCAGTTGACTCATATTAAAACAAAAGCAGCATTAATAACAATAGCCAACATCTACAATTTACTGAACTCTTATGTGTTAGGCACCATGCTAAAACACTTCAGAAATATAATTTCATATATTCCTTACAATACCCCATGGGGTATATATATTTATGACCTCTATTCCAAAGATAGGGATAACGAGTCTCAGAAAAATTAAGTGACATGGTTATACAGCTACTAAGGGGCAGAGGTGAAATTTGAGACCTAAGTCTGACTAGTTCCAAAACCAATCTCTTAGCCACTCTACATTCTACTCCCTCCCAATCATGGCTGTGAAGCAGGGGAAGGTATGATTTTGCTAGGTAAGTAGATATCCTATTTTGCCTAGAGAGACTGAGAGAGATATAGAGAAACAGAGGTGAAGACAGAAATAGAGACAGCTATGAAGCAAGCATGGTAGATGGAGAAAGAAATAGAGAAAGATACAGATATAAGTGTATATACCACATTTATTTTATATACTGGGAGAGGAAAAGGAAAGAGGGTTCTTGTGCCTCTCTTCATACCATTAAGAGTTTTAGGCCAGATGTAGAGGTTCATGCCTGCAATCCCAGCACTTCAGGAGGATCACCTAAGCCTAGGAGTTCGAGATCAGCCTAGGCAACAAAGTGAGACCCCATTTCTACATTGAAAAAAAAAAATTAGTTGGGTGCAATGGTGTGCACCTGCAGTCACAGCTACTCCAAAGGCTGAGGCAGGAGAATTGCTTCAGCCCAGTGGGTCAAGGCTGCAGTGAGCCATGATCATGCCACTGCACTCCAGCCTGGGTGACAGAGAGAAACCCTGTCTCAAAACAAAATACAAAAACAAAACAGAGATTTATCTCTTGTATTCAGTCAAGACACTCTCTGACCTATACCCACCTGATTCATAAATACCCCTTCATATTCATAGTGTTCAAGTGCCTTCTAATGAGCACTTTCAAGCTGCCCCTTTCACTCATCTCTTCATACTTTGCTAAGACCACCAAGAACATCAACCCAATCTCTCTATTCTGCTTGCCCCAATGATGCTCATAGAAAGAAAACTGGGGGAAAGACAAAGGAAGAAGAGGACATCACGAGCCCTGTCTCCACCCCTGTCTTTCTCACTACCAGCAGCAATTCCAATTCCCATGGATTCCCCTACCAACTGCCTGTTTCTAAAAATTCCTATTCTACTCTTTCTTCCACAGTCTTAGTTAGCTCCTTGATAGGAATGTCCAAAGTAACATCCCTTTGTGAAGACCAGAGACTCGAGGTTTCTGCTAAATGTAGGTGAATTTCCTTTTTGGCCTTGTTTACATCCATATCTCCTAAACATCCTAATTTTAAAATGGAAGGAAAGGAAAGGAACAGAAGAGGGAGGGGCGGAAGAGAGGAAGGAAGGGGGAAGGGAAGGAGAAAGGGAGGGAGGGAAAGAAGAGGGTACAGGGGAGAAGGCTGTGGAAAGAGAAAGAAATATGATTCCTAGAGTCTAGAAAGCATCAAACCACAGAAACTCTAAAAGGAAGGAGGAGGAGAAAGAATCATACGTGGGTGGATATGACAAAGTCTGTTTAAAGACCTAGCAGAACTTGATATCAGACGATGTGAATAAAAGTTTCCTTCCAAGTGACTTCCAGGACATATTATTAAATGAGAAAAAAAGGATACAAAAGCATATACAGTATGCTGCAATTTGAGTAAGACAGAAGGAAAATCAGAAAATAAATATACATATACATAATATGTATATATGTATACATATGTATGCATAATTTGGGGTGGGGGTTGTTTGTTGTTGTTCTTGCAAAAAGAAAATCAGTAAGGACAAACCAGAAACTAACGAATATGGTTACTTACAGCAAGTATACAGGAAAGAAGTAGAGGGAAAAGGAATGAGGCTTCTCTGTATGTACCTTTTGAATCATGAACATTTTTTACACACTCAAAAAACGAGATTAAGTTCAAAACTTGAATATGGAAACAAATGGGTCTAACAAAGTGAAACGTAATTACATAAAAAAATGTAATTACATAGAAAATAAAAAACACTTCAACTCTGACTATACTCCCTTAGAGACCATAATGGACTTAGTTACTGTGCAATCAAGGACAGGTTACTACTAAGAAAATTCAATTTTCACAACTGCAAAATGGGCATAATAGTACCTATTTCAGGACTGTTGTGCAGACTGAGATAATCTATATAAAGTGCTCAACATAACTTCTAACAAAGGGTAAGTATTCAATCATATTACTTAGATTAGGAAGAAAAGCTAACCACAACTTCCATGGTATCCAACCAGACTGATACAGAGAGGGTCAAATAGTTAACAAATTCTGTGATATTCAAAAATGCAATAATTCTAACTTTCTGGGGAAAAAAAAATGCCATTTCAAACAACGAATTTATGAACGAACTTGTGGACTACCACACAAAGATAGAGATCCCTTATATTATGAACATCTTTTTAAAAAAATTCATATGCAGTACACTAGTTTAACATATTTCAGATTATAAGGCACTGGCCTCATTTTAACAGAGTAAATGAAGTAGAAAATGAATTAAACTGCTTCCACAAATGAATGACCAAGATAATAAGAAAACCACTGCCTAAATTTTCTTATAAATTCAAATTTGAGGTTTAACATGTTATCAAAGTATATAAATAATTAGAATCCTAGCATATTTATTTCTTATACACAACTCCAGCTACCTTTCAACTGCAATTAAATGTATCCCTTTATTAAGTTAGGCTGCCAGTGATGATCATTCAAACAAATACTTTTGTTTTGGGTACCATTCTAGATGCTATGGACACAACTACTAACAAAAACAGTCTTTTCCTTCATTTGGGGACCAGAGAGGATTAAATAAATATGCAAAGGGGAGGATTAAACAAATACACAAAAATAGAATAATGTGGGTAGACAATGACAAAGATGGAGAAGAGGTGACATCTAAGACTAATGAAAAAGAGGTAACAGCCACGGAAATGGGAAGAAAGCCCTGCACAGAAGGAAACGCAAATGTAAAAGTCCTGTGGCAGGCACAAGCTTGGCAGGATCAAAGGAAAGAAAAAAACGCCACTCTGGCTGAAGCATAGTAAACAAAAGGCAGAACAGGAGATGAGGTCAAACAGAATGGCAGGAATGGCATCACCTAGGTTGTCAATACTTTGTCTTTCAGATCAGGAACTTAAAAACTTTTTTGGTAAAGGACCAAACAGGAAATATTTTTGCCTCAGTAGGCCACAGTCTCTGTTGCAACTCTTTTAACTCTGCTTTGTAGTGTGAAAGACAATGTGTAAATGAATGAGCGCAGCTATGTTTCAACAAAAATGTATTAACACTGAAATCTCAATTTTATATAATGCCCACATATTAAAACATTCTTTTGACTTTTTTTCAGCCATTTAAAAAATGAAGTAGAAAGTAGAGTTTTACATTTTAAAAATGTAAAACTCATTCTTAGCTCACAGAACATACAAAGAGAAGAGGCAGGCTGGATTTGGCCCACAAGCCACAGCTTCCTGACCCCAGTTTTAGATTTAAAATCCTCTGTGGCATTTAACAGCACCAAGTACAATATGAGACAAGAAATGCCCTCAATGGGCCGGGCGCGGTAGCTCACGCCTGTAATCCCAGCACTTTGGGAGGCCAAGGTGGGTGGATCACAAGGTCAAGCGATCGAGACCATCCAGGCCAACATGGTGAAACCCCGTCTCTACTAAAAATACAAAAATTAGCTGGGCACAGTAGCACATGCCTGTAGTCCCAGCTACTCGGGAGGCTGAGACAGGAGAATTGCTTGAACCCAGGAGGCAGAGGTTGCAGTGAGCCAAGATTGCGCCACTGCTCTCCAGCCTGGGTGACAGAGCAAGACTCCGTCTCAAAAAAAAAAAAGAAAGAAAGAAATGCCCTCAACAAAATCTTCTATTTTACTTTTATAACCTTGTCATTTTATTTTCAGAAAAGGCAAATAAGCAACTATGTCTACAGCAACGAACGCAGAAACTTGATACATTTACCCTACACTAAAGGTAACCTAGAGGAGTTTTTTGTCTCTTTATGTTAGGGACCAAGGTACTCAGCACAGTTCTGGAATAGTAGGCCTTCAAAAAACACTTGGTGAGTAAATAAATAAACAAACAGATTCCAGTCATTGTCAATATGTCTATAAACTTTCTGTCATGAGAAATCAGGAGTAAAAGCTGTGTTTGCAGATCCTCCACTAGTCTGTGAATCCAAAAAAGGCACTCCTCTGGGAGGGCACACAGTTTTAAACAATTCTCTTTATGCTCTACCTGTAAGGAGGTAAAGGGTTTTTTTTTTTAAAGGTACCCCCTCCATTACTCCCAGCAGATGTAACACTTTGAGTATAACTGAACATCAACCTTGTGCAAAAAAATACATGTTCCTTCCTCTGGCTAGACTCAGCCCCATATACATTAGGGCCAAGGCTTGGCCAGCCAACCATAGACTGGACTTCAGGCCACAGTACATCATAGGCAACCAATCACAAGCAGTGATCCTAGGTATTTAATACAAAAATCTTTAAATACAAATTACCACTAGTCTGCAAAATTTGTCAGAGTATCTCAATGTCTAAAACCAGATGTCCAAAGAGACTGAAAATAAGTAACCAGACAGTAGGCTTCTTCACAATAAAAGAAAAAACAGCCCTACCATCAAACTTGGACTTTTTAATAAAACATGTACATTTGCATCACTCTAATCAGCAATCAAAAAACTGAGTTTTTATCATAAAAATTCTGGCTAAAATCCGTCATCAACTATTATAACCAGTCTGAAATAGCTTTGATAAACCTGATGCTTGCCTTATTTGATTAAGGCACATGACAAACGAATATACAGAGAGTACTGAAATTTTTGTGGTTACCCCGTCAAGAAAATCTAGCTTCCATAAAATTACTTCGTATTGACTATAAAAGTTCCTTTCTCCTGTGTAACACAAGTAAGGATTAATAAAACTGATATAACTGAATAAAATAGCAATATATCAGTGCATACTAATGCAGATTTTGCTTAGCACAAACCATTTTTGCTTTTCTACTGAAAGCAGAAGA
The DNA here is from genome assembly GCF_000001405.40 of Homo sapiens. Lineage (NCBI taxonomy): Eukaryota > Metazoa > Chordata > Mammalia > Primates > Hominidae > Homo > Homo sapiens. The sequence continues at coordinate 33,847,226 of NC_000003.12, read as the reverse complement.
ATCAAAGGACGAAAGCCACATAATTCTGAGTCATGTACAAGACACCAAAAAGAATACAAAGAAAGTACTAACCAGAAATCTTTTTCTAAAATAAAAAAGGTACCAAAATTTATTGCTGTTCGAAGGGTCTGCAGTTTCTTCTTCAGGTTCGTTGTTCTTCACAAGTTAATCTTCTGACCACCTCCTTTTCTCCCCTATGTCCTCAAAACAATAACTCACATTCCTTGTTCCATTGGGTTCCCCCGTTAGATCCAGGTTCAATGCACATTCAACTATGTAGCCTTCTCTTCCCTTTGAGAGGTGCCCAGTACCTGTGCATTTACTCTACACTAAAGGTAACCCAGAGCAGTTTTTTGTCTCTTTATGTTAGGGACCAAGGTGCTCAGCACTGTTCTGGAATAGTAGGCCTTCAAACACTTAGTGAATAAATAAATAAACAAACAGATTCCAGCCATTCTCAACATGTCTGTAAACCTTCTGTCACAAGAAATCAGGAGTAAAAGCTGTCTTTGCAGATCCTCTGTACCTCGGATAACTCTCTAGACACAGCCACTACTCAGCCCTTCTCCGATCCTACACGTTTACTTTTTCTGCCTATCCACTCTGTTCTCATAATGTGCCAATCTCTTAAGAAGCCTCTGAAGAGAACTACTCCAAAATTACTGAAATTTAAGTACTTCATCTAAATCCTCGTAACATACTTCCTATACTTTCCCTGTGACATTTTTAAACTTCTTCCCTATATTACAGTCATCCTTGTACATGACTAATATTCCACAATGGATCATAAATTGAGGGTAAAGCCTGTGTGTAATTTGTATGTTAATTTTCCAATGTACCTACCATAGTGCCTTACACAGAGCAGATATCCAGTAGGTCTTGGAATAAATACATGAAATATATAAAATGCTTCTATGGAAAGACAAATAAGGAACAAAACTCAAACTTTTCAAAACTTACTATCCCAGGAAATTCACTTTTTTCAAGAAGTTTTCAGCAGTATTTCTTGCCCTTTCGCTTGTTTTCCTGTGCAGAGATTTGGGACCTCTATCTTTTCCTACTAACTTACCCTATCTCCCTGTGATAGGTCATTAAATTATACTTGCACTTTCTCTTCTTTTAGGACTTTCCAAATCAGATGCCCTACTATTCAATTTTCTCTTTCCTGTCATCAGTAGAAATACCATGATGGTGCTATCCATTTATTAACATGCACACCTTGTCAATCTTCCTTTCAAAGGTAGTTCCGGTGAAACAAGGTGGAAAGGAGTATAGAATAATGTAAGAAATAAAGAATTTGTGTATCTGGCTATACCCAGTCCTTTCATTTCAGGAAATTTCTATACTTCCAAGCTTCTCTCTTTTATAAAACCCAAATTAAATACTGTTGACCTATGAAGTATCTAAAATTTAGTTCAAAAAAGGGCATTCAATAAATGGAAGTTACTATTACAGGACAGTTAATATTAGTATAATTATCTATTACACAGTCTATATACTACTTTAAATATAACAACCCCAATTTATTTCTGCATTTTTTTAAAGTTGACAATAAGAAATTGGCAGTTCATTATATAAAATGGCTTGAATGTGGTTTTCTTAAGCAGATGACAACCTACATCAAAGTGTCCTTCTTACCTCACTGCCCTGCATGGTCTTTGCTGGATTAGCAGAAGGGATGGCAGCATTCAGCTCAGGCTCTGGCTTACACAAAAGCACGATGGTGTCACGATGAGACTGGTAACATTCTTTCACTTGTCCATCTGCCTGCACAGCTTTATCTAAAACTGTTCTGAAGTTGGTTCCCTCTGGGAGAAAATAAAAGTTTGCAGAGCACAGAAGTGATTCTAACAGCAACGTTTATCGGCTGGTTATATGTTGAGTTCTAGTCTCCAACTTTACTTATCCTCCCCTTCTATAGACCCCAATTCACTTCATAATAAAAACAGCTCCTGACAGTCTTTGCGTTCTCGTTTTTAGAAAGATGACAAAATCACTTATAAAATCAAAAGCATAGCTATACCTTAAAATACATTTGGTGGTTACTATCTGCCAAATAAAAGTTAATTAATATTAATCTTTTCCTATAACTCATGAATGAAGAAGAAATCATTCTCTCCAAAAACTGGTCCATTTATTTTAAAAGTATTCCTCTGTCAAAAGAGCAATGTGACTTAAAAAAAAAAAAGATTTTTAGAAAAATCTCAATAATATATGAACTTTTTACAAAGATAAATAAAACTAATCTCCAGCCACCATGAAGATAGCATTTATCTCAGCAAGCACAAAATCTTAATAATCAAAGTCTTAAGAAGCATAAATTTGGCCTCAAAATAACTTAAAGCTCATTTTTTTTTTTACCACCCAGGATTCACTACTAAATGAAAAAAATTACAAAGCCATAAATGTAATATGCTCTCATTTATGTTTTTAAAATATGCACAGGGGCCAGGCATGGTGGTTCAAGCCTGTAATCTCATCACTTTGGGAAGTGGAGGCAGGTGGATCACTTGAGCCCAGGAGTTCAAGACAAGCCAGGGCAACATGGTAAAACCTCGTCTCTGCAAAAAATACAAAAATCAGCCGGGCATGGTAGCACATGTCTACAGTGTCAGCTACTCAGGAGGTTGAGGTAGAAGGATTGCCTGAGCCCTGGAGGTTGGGGCTGCAGCGAGCTGTGATCCTGCCACTGCACTCCAGCCTGAGTGACACAGCGAGACCTTGTCTCAAAAAAAATAAATAAAATAAAATATGCACAGAGTTTGGAACAGAAAATGAAAGTTGGAGGATCATTTTAACTTTTCACTTCATACCTTTCTTAAAAATCTGTACTTCTGACAATTGGCAGATTACTTTTGTGAACTTTTTTAATCTTTATACTAAAACTGAGGAAAAACAGTTTCGGTAAAAATGAATTTACAACTGAGCCTAATTTAATCAAGCAAAAACGTGGGTCGAAATTGGGAATTTATTCAAATGAAGGTCATTTATACACATTTTTACCTGCTCTTAAAGGCTTATACAGTTCATTGGATGGTGTCCTTTGCCAACGTTCCTTAAATTTTGCTCTTAAATCATTATCGGTTGCTTCTTCTTCATCCAACAACCTTAATGACTTTAAAAGGAAGCAAAAAGAACCCTGAAATGTCATTTCTGGTATAAAAACTTTAATACATTTAATAAATGTTCATACACAATATAAGTGAGAATTTGGTGAGATGGGAATACTAGGTTAGAATATAAATCGACTTTTTTCTTGCAGACATCTAAGTTATAATGCATTTAACAAAAAGTCTTATAAATTTAAGGGTGAATTAGCTATCACCTTTCTCAGTAAAAAAAAAAAAAAGGAGGAATAAATAAGAGACTATTTACATCCATATATCAATTTAAAGAAAGTTTTAAGATTAAAATAAATAAATAGAAGCCATAAACAAAAGGGGAAAACTGATCAATTACATTAAAAAATATAAAATTTAGACTTTCATTCCAATACAACAAACAGAAAATTATGTTTAATATATTTTTAAATGCCTTTTTAATGCACAGATAAGATGACAGGATAGTAGGGGGCCAGAAACACAAGGAAATACTAATCTACCAGTAGACACAGTGCTAGCACCAACAATGTATGACAATCCCTGATAGCTTAGGACAAAGAATAGCAAACTTGTGTCAAACACCACAGAGTAAATATTTTAGGTTTTGTGGGCCACAGTCTACGGTACATAGAATTCTTCTTTTTTGACAATGCTCTAAAAAAGATAAAAATTATCCTTAACTAGTGAACCATACAAAAAAAGTAGGCCACAAGCTAGCACTGGCCCACCATCCATAGTTCACCAGCTGTGTAGTTCACCATTGACTTGGATTGTGAATTTAGAACATGAAAAGTCAACAAGAAACATAGGTAGGGACAATAAAAGGTGAGAGGTCAGATCAAAAGCACTCTCCACCCTCAAACTGGTATACTTCCAAACAGGTGATTCTCAGTGGATGAATTTTTAAAACAGAAAACTGCCCTACAAAAGAAAACATGCCTGTCTGGACCTTGGCTCTAAAGAAAAAAGAAAAAACAAGAAGTATTATCTGAGATTCCTGATCAAAAGCCTGAACTTGGGACTAGAAACCGCACTATCTGTGTGACACAAAGTCTTAAGATAAATTACTACTATAATTAAAAGATTATAAAAGAAAGGAAAAAACCTCTTAAGTTTGAGGAGGTACCAGGTATATAATGCCTTTTTATGGCAGAAGCAAACACAAATTCTTTCTAGAATTCACCTTAAACCCAGATCTCAATGAATTCCCACAAATAAGTACAGGAAATATGAATGCACAATCAAAACTCACTGAACACTAAATGCAATTCAGTATTCTGTACTGGATCTTGGAACAGAATGAGGAACACTGGTGGAATAACTGGTAAAATCTGAGTAATAATACTGTACCAATGTCAATTTCCTAGTTTTAACAAATGTGCCATGACCGCATAAGATTTTAACTTTCAGGGAAGCTAGGTGAAAAATATACAGGAACTTTCTACACTAAATTTGCAAAGACTCTGTAAATCTGAAACTATTTTTTAAAGTTTTAAAAAACAGTAACAAAAAAACTGAACACAAGAGAAAACAAGCCACCATAAGCAAGAATCAGCAAAAATTACAAATCATAGACTCAAACCCACAAAAACTACAGATATTGGAATTATAAGATAAATAATATAAAACAAATATATTTAATATATTTTAAGAAATTAGGGATAAATTAAAGGGTTTAACCTTCCAGGTTAAGACAAATTAAATTAAAAAGAAAAATCTTGCTACATGCTATGCATAAAATAAATCAATAATTACAAAGACTGAACAGTTTGTATGACAGTTGATTTCTCACAGTATACTAGTTTTACACAGTGGTCATTTGAGTTTCATTAGTGTGTACTTACTTACCCTTAAGATAAGAATGAAACCCATTCTCACTCAACCAGAATTTCTCTTATGCTAAAGAGAAGGCTCTGGGCCACAGTAAATTCACCAAAGTGATGAATACTAACTACACTGTACTAGCATGAGGAAGTCTCCAGTCCCAATCCCTGCTGGACATCAAGGGATCACAGTGTTTATACTTGAAAAGCAAATCTTATAAAACATACCTCATCTAGGATTTCTCTATTTCGTTGCAGTAATTCAGGCAGTTCTTTAATCAACTGATCAACAGTCTGGATGCCTCCCTGTTCAATCACAGATCTGGATTTAGTCAATATAGACTGAGGTACAGTGTCTCCAGACACATCTTCAATTGCTGCTGGAAGATTAAGGGAAGCTAGCACCCTGAAAAAATGAGATACTATGTTATACTGAAGTCTAAAACAATTTAACTCCTCATCAATACTTACTTTATTTAATTTAGTATTCTATAACCAAATCAACAGCAATGGAGTTAGCACCCAGAAAAACTGGATAAGCCCTATCAATTAAAAGCAAAGCAAAGGCCGGGCGCGGTGGCTCACGCGTGTAATCCCAGCACTTTGGGAGGCCGAGGCGGGAGGATCACGAGGTCAGGAGATCGAGACCATCCTGGCTAACATGGTGAAACCCCGTCTCTACTAAAAATACAAAAAATTAGCCGGGCGTGGTGGCGGGCGCCTGTAGTCCCAGCTACTCAGGAGGCTGAGGCAGGAGAATGGCGTGAACCCGGGAGGCGGAGCTTGCAGTGAGCCGAGATCGCGCCACCGCACTCCAGCCTGGGCAACACAGCGAAACTCCGTCTCAAAAAAAAAAAAAAAAAAAAAAAGCAAAGCAAAGATTAACAGAAAAACAAAAAAAATCAGTGATTGATAAAATTAAACCAAAATCATTAAAAAATGAAGCCCACAATTCAGAATTAAAAGCCAAAAAATAGGCTGGTGCAGTGGCTCACACCTGTAATCCCAGCACTTTGGGAGGCCCAGACGGGTGGATCACCTGAGGTCAGGAATTCGAGACCAGCCTGGCCAACATGGTGAAACCCCATCTCTACTAAAAGTACAAAAATTAGTCAGGCGTAGTGGTGAGCACCTATAATCCCAGCTACTTGGGAGGCTGAGGCACAAGAATCACCTGAAGCCGGGAGGCGAAGGTTGCAGTGAGCCAAGATCTCACCACTGCATTCCAGCCTGGGCGACAGAGTGAGACTCCGTCTCGGGGGAAAAAAAAAAAAAAGTCAAAAAATAAGAAAAACTATGACCGCATTAAAATATATTAGGTATCGTCGGCTTACAGTTCAAACTTCTTTCAGTCTAAGTAATTAAAAGTCAAAAATTCTATCCTAAAAAAGCAGTCTTTTATACTTTTGATTGTTACAGCATCTCTAACAAGTCAGAAACAATACACAAAATAGTTATTTTTTTCTTTTTTGCTCTCTTTCAACAGAATCAATAGTTATAATTTCACATCATCTAGGCAAAATGTCAACAGAAAATAGATGATCTAAGTATTCATTACAGAATCTTCATCTGTTCTCAGTTTTGTAGCACAATAACAATTCCTCAGTTATTTCAGTTACATGATGGCGAAGGGAGGTACATATCCCTATCTACTATGTAACGACAAAAAGGCAAATGAAATGATGTAATACAATGAACTCCTCAGAAAATAAGCTCTGTAAAATCTCAGACTGCCTGTTTATCATATGCTAGAGTAAACTTACATTCCTTTCTTGTTAGAGAAAAATGATGGTAAAATCCATGCATTAATCAAAACTAAAAACATGAAAAGGCAAGCCAACTACAAGAGAAATACAGTTGGCCCTTGAACAACACAGATTTGAACTACATGAGTCCGTGTACCTGTGGACTTTCACCTCTTTCACCTCTGCCACCTGTAAGACAGCAAGACCAACCCTCCTTCCGCCTCTTCCTCAGCCTACTCAAACTTGAAATAGACAAGGATGAAGACCTTTATGATGATCCATTTCCATTTAATCATAGTAAATATATTTTCTCTTCCTTATGATTTTCTTAATAGTATTTTTTCTCTAGCTTATTTATTATAAGAATATACTATATAATACATATACAAAGTATGTGTTAATTGACTGTTTATCGGTAAGGCTTCTGGTCAACAGCAGGCTATTAGTAGTTAAGTTTTGGGGACTCAGAAGTTATATGCAGATTTGACTGTGCAGGGGGGTCAGCATCCATAACCCCATGTTGTTCAGGGTCACCTATATTCTCAATTATATGTATCTGACAAAGGACTTGCCTCCAAAATATGTAAAGAAGTCTTTAACTATTAAGAAAAACTCACTTTTAAAAACTGAGAAAAAGATTTCAATAGACACTTTACAGAAAATATATGAATGGCTAGTAAGCACATGAAAAGCTGCTCAGTATCATTAGCAATTAGGAGAATGCAAACTAAATCACAGTGAGATTCTGCTACACACACACTAAAGTAGCTAAAACTAAAAAGACTGACATACCAAGTATTGGTGAGGATGCAGAACAATTGTATTTTCAAACAGTGCAGATAGGATATAAAATGGAACAACCACTTTGGAAAACAACCTGGCAATTTTGTATAAAATTAAATATGCTAACCACACAACCTAACAATTTGTCTCCTAAGTATTTACCCAAGAGAACTAAAATATGTCCACACGAAGATTTATACATGAATGTTCACAGAAACTGAAATGCCCATTAACAGGTGAAAGAGTTAACAAACTGCTCTATAACCATAAAATGGAATACTGCCGTATAACCATAAAATGGAATACTGCCCTATAACCATAAAATGGAATACTGCTCAGCCATAGAAAAGACTGAAACTGATACACATAATATAGATGAATCTCAAAAACAGTAGCTAAGTGAAAAAAAGCAAAACACATTCTAAGTATATACTGTACATACTGTAAGTACTGTATATGCATATGCTAGAATGATTACACGTGTTTTAAATTGTATAAAAAGTAAAACTAAACTTAAGACAGGGAGCAGATCAATAGCGGCCAGGGGCTAAAAGAAGAAGGACTGGGAAAGGGGCATGAGAGAATTTTTTTAGGGTAACAGTAATGTTCTCTAACTTAATCATAGTGCCGGTTACATGGGTACATACATTTATCAAAACTAACTAAATGACCAAGCATGGTGGCTCATGCCCGTAATCCCAGCACTTTGGGAGGTCAAGGCAGGAGGATCGCTTGAGCCCAGGAGTTCAAGACCAGCCTGGGCAACAAAGTGAGATCTTGTCTCTATAAAAATATCAAAAAATTAGCCAGGTGTGGTGGCTTGCACCTGTGGCCTCAGCTACACAGGAGGCTGAGGCAGGAGGATCACCTGAGCCCAGAAGGTTGAGACTGCAGTGAGCCATGTTTAGTGTTTACACCACTGCACTCCAGCCTGGTGACAATAAGACCCTGTCCCAAAAAACAAAAAATATATATATATACATAAATATATATATATACACATACACACACACACACACATATACATATAATAATTGAACTGTGCACTTAGAATAGGTGTATTTTGTGTGTGTAAAATATACCTAAAAATTTTTTAAACCAATGAATTATTTTCTTAGTATTCAGTCCATCAGAAACAAAAATTGGTTCAGAACACTAAATGTACCATGTATCTGAGTTCATTTCTACTTCTCATTTCCAAATAAATACCTCTTAAAATACAAATTTTTAGTCCTCATATCCTCACCTTGTTTCTATAATTTCTTCCAACTATATTTGCTAGAGCTTCATAAATACAGTGTCCAACAAAAATAGTTGTAAGTGTGTGTCTACATTTTCTATTTTATATACTCTTGACATTTAGCTCTAAGCTCAGAAACTAAAATGTTCATAAACTAAAGAACAACCAAACGGAAAACTTTAGGCTCTAAAATTAAGCTCTACCTACCCATTTGCCAAAGTGGTGGCTTCTCTCATCTGAGCAATTGATCTGTTAACCAAATCGGCTTTCCTCTGATTATAGGCAGCCAAAGACTGCTGTACTGACACGGGAACCATCTTCTCAAACAGATCTAAAATTAGGAAGAGAAATTACAACAAAATTTTTAGACAAAAACCCGAACTGTAAAAGTGACTGTTTATATTTTCTTTCCAATATTCACATAGTCTATAAATATTTATTGTCTATTGACATTTAAAGATCAAAACTAAATCACTATTTAAAGCACAATGATAAAGAGAATTTTTAGATCACTACATTCATGGACAACGGCAACAATGAAAAGTTTCTTCTTTGAACTTAATTTTCTTTCTTTTTCAGATGTGTTCATCACTGAGTTTGAGGGATCTTCAGTGACACTGTTCATCTGTTGATTAAACTGAATGAGGGGCCGGGAGCAGTGGCTAAGGCCTGTAATCCCAGCACTTTGGGAGGCCGAGGCAGGTGGCTCACCTGAGGTCAGGAGTTCAAGACCAGTCTGGCCAACTTGGCAAAACCCCATCTCTACTAAAAATACAAAAATTAGCCAGTGTAATGGTAGGAGCCTGTAGTCCCAGCTACTGGGGAGGCTGAGGCAGGAGAATCGTCTGAACCCAGGAGGCGGAGGTTGCAGTGAGCCGAGATTGCACCACTGCACCACAGCCTGGGCAACAGAGCAAGACTCGGTCTCAAAAAAAAAAAAAAAATTGACTGAGTGGGTCACGGCAGCAGGATTCCATTTCTGGCTCCAACACTTCCTAGCTATGTGACCTTGAGGAAATTACTTAACCACTCTGTGCATCAGTATCCTCATCAAATAGGGATAATAACAGTACCCATCTCAGGGCACTTCTGAAAACAAATGAGCTAATATTTGTAAAGTGCTTAAAGAGTGCCTGGCACATGGTAAACACTTTGTGTTTGCTAAATAAACATATAATCACCCTTTCCCAGTAACAGAATATTCTCCTTGGAATCTCAGCTAGAGGCTACCATCTGTTGTATACATCTACAATATAATAACATGTATTTATCTCATACAAATACCACTCCAGAAGTTTACATGTTTAAAGAAATAGGCCGGGCACGGTGGCTCATGCCTGTAATCCAAGCACTTTGGGAGGCTGAGGCAGGTGGATCACCTGAAGTCGGGAGTTCCAGGCCAGCCTGACCAACACGGAGAAACCCCGTCTCTACTAAAAATACAAAACTAGCTGGGCGAGGTGGCAGGCGCCTGTAGTCCCAGCTACTTGGGAGGCTGAGGCAGGAGAATCACTTGAACCCAGGAGGCAGAGGTTGCAGTGAGGGAGACAGCACCATTGCACTCCAGCCTGGGCAACAAGAGCGATACTCCGTCTCAAAAAAAAAAGAAAAGAAAAAAATATATATTTTTGTGGTTTATTTTTATATTTATTTTATTTATTTATTTATTTATTTTTGAGAAAAGATCTCTCTCTGTCACCCAGGCTGGAGTATGGTGGCACGGTCTCAGCTCACTGCAACCTCCACCTCCTGGGCTCAAGCGAGCCTCCCACCTCAGCCTCCAGAGTAGCTAAAGCCACAGGCATGCACCACCATGCCCAGTTAATTTTTTTTTTTTTTTTTGGTAGAGACAGGGTTTTGCCAGTTGCTCAGGCTGGTCTCTAACTCCTGAGCTCAAGCAATCTACCCATCTCAGCCTCCCAAAGTGCTAGGATTACAGGTGTGAGCCACCACATCCAGCCATATTTGTTTATTTTTAATGGCAGCATCTTAAATAACAAAAGTTAACAAAATGACAAGTGCTACAGTCTTAATCAAACACACAGTTTCAAGTCTTCTAACTATTGTATACTTTACATATGCTTTATTATTGTTTACTTTCCATCTTAACATTGCACTGGCACAATATTTATTCTCATATTCATTTTAAACAACATGAATACAAATTATATTCAAAGCATACAACAGCAATTATGTGATTTTTAGCTAGGAAAAACAGAGTAAACTAGAGAAAAATGAGATTAAAGTGTGTCTGAATAACTGACATACCAGTAAATTTCTGACTGATGGGTACATTGACCGGGGTAGATTTCACAAGTGTGGCTTTGCCAATAGGATCTAGATCTTTAAGGTCTGGAACTCGATCATGATAAATGAAGTCATTATCCTTCTTTGCTGCAGCAAGGGCACGATTGATTTTGTCAGAAAAATCCTTCACATTAACATATTCATCATAGCGAGATGCCACTGTTTTAATCAGTTCTGCTGCATGCTAAAAAGAAAAACGTCAACAACAAAAAAAAAAAAGAGGGAGGTGATTTTATTTCTCTTTCCCCACCAAGTATTTAAGCATTGGTTTCAAAAAAAAAATCTTTAATCTGAAGACTTGCATTTCCAGCAATGTGGCTGACAGGGTTACCTGGAAATTCTCCGATCACAAAATACCCGAAAACTGAAGGATAATACATAACAGCTATCTCTATAAACACACAGGCAGATTATCAAGATAATAAAAGAAATCCATGAGCCCATCAGTATAAACTGACATTGAAGAAAGCTGGCTGTTGGGTTCTTTCTTTTTTTCCTTCTTTTTTTTTAGACAGAGTCTCACTCTGTGACGCCCAGGCTGGAGCACAGTGGCGCGATCTCGGCTCACTGTGACCTCCACCTCCCAGGTTCAAGCAATTCTCCCACTTCAGCCTTCCAAGAAGCTGGAATTACAAGCGTGCACCCCCACACCAAGCTAATTTTTGTATGTTTTGGTAGACATCGGGTTTCATCATATTGGCCAGGCCAGTCTCCAACTCCTGATCTTAAGTGATCTGCCCAACTCAGCTTCCCAAAGTGCTGGGATTACAGGCTTGCGCCACTGTGCCCTGTCTGGCTGTTGGGTTATTTCTACATCCAAAGAATTAGCAATTAAAACTTATTAAAGGCCCTCATGGAGAACTGAAACAAGGGTCTGGAAACCACACAACACAGAGAATTGAGATGCACCTCTTTCACTCCTTCACATGAAGGCAGGAACCTCAAACGGCCTAACTCTCAGTGAAAGGGTGGATCTGAAAAAAATTATCCAACAACACAGGAAGTGAACAACATGTCAACATCAATAAGAATTTTTTTTTAAGTTTGGCCTTATAAAAAAATGAACATAAGCCGCATACAAATTTAGGTGGTATTAGATATAGTGACACCATATAAAATAAAAAGCATTATTAGGGATAAATATAATACATAATCTTTTAATATTTGCCAATTTGCCAGAAAGATGTAAAATTTCTTATATTTTGCATGTAATAGTATCTATATAAACAATTATAATGAGAAATTGACACATTTACCCATAATCAAAGTGGAAGATTTTAACATATCTGTCTCAGCAATGGCTGGACCAGATTAAAAAAAAGTGTAAGATTATAGAAGATTTGAGCAACACAATTAACGAGTTTGGTTTACCAGACATAGAGAACACTAGACTCCACAAATAGAGAACACATTATATTCTCAGGCATATAGAAAGCATCTACATCTATAAAATGACCAGATGAAGAGATAAGGCAAGTCTAAAACACCAAAATAACAAGAATACAAAAATGGTTTAATACTAGAAAATCTACTTATATAATTCTCCAAAATAATAAGTTAAAAAATCAAATTTCTCCATAGATGTTGAAAAAGTATTTGATAAAATTCAATATTCTTGATTTTTTAAAATCTTCGTAAAATAGAAATTATAGTTCCTTAACATGATAAAAATCTTAACCTCCAAAGCTGGTATCATGCTTAGAGAAAGATAACCAAAACAAAACAAAAGCTACCCTTCAGTGTAAACTAGGAAACGGGAAATTGCACAAATTTAAATCACTTTTTAAATTTGTAAATCAAATTTGATTTGTAAATGTGGTTGAACCCTCCCCCAAATAGCAAACACTAGTACCAGAACCGTAGGTACGCTATACACAGAGGGGGAAGAAAGGGAAGTGCTAAGGGTGCCACCCTAAGTTAAAATTACTTTAAGCAAATCTGAAAACAACAAAACAGGATGAGAAAACCTTGCCAGGTGACGGTAAAGGCAAAGCCAACTGGCCCCTATCATGCCACCAGGGGACCACAGAAAAAAATGTGATGCTGAGGGGCCTCATCCCAAGAGAGCTGGTGAGAAAAAGAAGTAGACAGATTAACTAAAAAGACAGGGTTGCTAGGGGGAGCAGAAAGAGAGAACAGAAAAGTAGGGAGGGAGAAGAAAGGGCATAAGCACTCAGAAAATGCCAGCAAAATATAAACCCTAAAAGTAGATGCATCAACTTGAAATGCAAAGGCTGTGAGGAATTCAGGGAAGCACAGGTACAGAGGTAGTGGGATTCTTCCTAATCCAGGGTAGGCTTTAAGAGCCAGAGAAGTGGACCTTAGGAGGGAGCCCTTAACACAATGATGCTTGTAAAGCTAACCCCTGCCCATTTCCCTGCACAGGAACCCCCAGCAAAATCAATCTCATTCAAACCTAAGTAACTGAAAAGTCAACTCATCTCTCAATACAAAAAAACCATAAGGAAAAAACTGAAAACAAGCAGTATATCTTTCCAGTAGATAATGAAAGCTCACCAAAGAAATATTGCCGCAAAGCAGATGAAAACAGCATGCTAAAAACTAAACTAAACTAAAACACTTAAGAACACAATGACAGTACCAAAAGAACAGAGGACTGGATGGCCCAAACCAGAGTGAGTGATAGCCAAATAGCAAAAGAATATGAAACAGGAAGTGACAGAACTCACAAAAGTAAAGAAAAATACAAATTTATTTAAGAAAGCAAGACTGAGACATTTATACAAGGAGCAAAAGGGAAAACAGACATCACAGAAATCATAGTAAAAAACATACAGAACAAGAAAAAGTGAAGAAAACAACACAGAAGTTGGGAAGGAGGAGGCTGTTACAAATTAAAGATTTAGAGGGCATATCAATCAAATGCAAAGTGAGGACTTTGTGTGGATCCTGATTTGAACAAACCAAGACCCCTGAGAAAAAAATCAGGGAAAACTAAACTAGATGTGGATAATACTGGATTATGACTATTAACTACTAATTAATATTAATATTAATTTTGCTAGATTGGGATAATGACCCATCTAGCAAAATTTCTTAATTTTTTAAATTTTTGTTTTTTAATTTTTTTAAATCTTTATCTCTTAGAGACACAGGCTAAAAAACTTAAGAATGAAATGATACGTGAGATAGTTGTAAAATACTCCAAAAAAATGAGGAAAGGAGAAATAACTAAAACACAAAATAGCGAAATACTGATAATCACTTAAGTTGGGTAACAGAAGTTCAATGATTCATACTTTTATATATGTTTGACCATCATAGTTACACAACTACACTTTTATATATGTTTTCCATCATAGTTAAACAAAAGAAAATTCATATGAAGAAACACATGCAAGAATAGTCAGGAAAACCCAGAAAATGACAAAATTTAGGAAACAAGCAAGGACAGGCAGAAAAATTCAAAAAATGAGAGATAATACCTATCAGACATTAAAACAGTCTCAAGTATAAATAACTAAAATGATATGGAACTGGAGTATGAACAGATAAACAAGTCAATGAAACAATAAAAGCAGAAATAGATCCCAATATATACCGTGAATCTAATGTGTGATAAAGTCAGAATGTCAGATCAGTGAGGTAAACAAGGCTATTATAAAATAAATGGTTTGGGGACAATGGGCTAGCCATTTGGAAGAAGACTTTAAAAACTGGATCCATATCTAGCACCACACATCAGGATAAATTCCAAGTGGATCAACAATCCAAATATGTAACAAATTACAGACATATTTATATTTTGCTATTGGCAATCCCATTTCTATTAATTTATTTAAGATATACCTGCTGCTATGTACGGGACTGTGCTCCCCAAATTTCGTATTTTGAATCCCTAACTCCTAATGTGATGGTATTTGAACATGGGACCTTTGGAAAATAATGGGGTTTAGATGAGGTCATGAAGGTGGGGCCTCATAGGGGATTAGTTCCCGTACAAGAAGAGACACCAGAGGGCTTCCTCCTGCTGTTCACCATATGAGGACACAGAGAGAAGGCCATCTGTAAATCTCACCAGAATATGACCATACTGGCACCCTGACCTTGGATTTCCAGGCTCCAGAACTATCAGAAAATAAATTTCTGTTGTTTAAACCACCCAGTTTATGGTGTTCTTATGGCAGCCTAAGCTAAGACACCTGCTGAAGTACAAGATAACTTGTGTACGTGATTTTTTACTGTAGCATTGTTTATAACAGTGAAATCTTGGAAACATTCAAGTATCCAGCAACAGGAGACAGCAATAAACTGTGGCTTACACAGTGAAGTACAATGCAGCTCTAAGGATGGTCTCCCTGTTGCTGAATTAAGATGAAGAGATCTTCAGGATACATTGTTATATGAGAAAAGAAGGTACACAACACTGTATATATTAATAGCATACTACCACTTCAGTAAGAATGACAAGTGAGAATGTGCAATGTGTGTGTGTGTGTGTGCTGTCTATGTATATATTTGCTTCTATTTCAAAGAAAGAAAAAAAACAAGAAATTAATGGAAATTAACTATGGGGCAGTAGGAATAATGGATGGAGGGAACAGGATAGAGGGAAAAAGAGGAACAGGAATTGAACTATATAACCTTATATATACCTATTTTCCCAATTTTGAAAAATTTCAAGCCCACAAAATAATTAGCTAGGTTCAACAATTACCATTTTGCCACATTTGCTTTATCTATTCCTTTCCCATACAAACACATAATTAAGTACTATTTTTTCTTTTATTGCAGAACTACATGAAACTGAAGTTAGATGTTATAAGCCCTCATCCCTAAACACATCAGCAAGTATTCTATAATGACAATCTCCTTAATACCTACAACCTAGTACCATAACTAAGAAAACAATACTTGCACAAAATCAGATTTACAATCTTGCTAGGTCCCTCATTAATGAGTCAAATAAATCTTTGACATGTAGTCATTCTATGTGAGTCATGTTTTTATATCTGTGTGTGTGTGTGTGTGTGTTTCTGTATCTTTTTGAAAACTGTATTTCATCATCTTTGAAGATCCACCAAGATGACCAAGAAGATCCATCTTCTGGGGCCACATAAACTGCACTGTTCAAGAAGTGCAACTCATGAGCTGTATTAAGCTCAGGTACAATTTTTCTTGGCCCCAGAAGTGATTGATTCCAAGCAGTTATTTTACCTTTGCTGCCATTTTATCTATTGTTTTGATTTTCCTGATT
Organism: Homo sapiens; assembly: GCF_000001405.40. NCBI lineage: Eukaryota > Metazoa > Chordata > Mammalia > Primates > Hominidae > Homo > Homo sapiens. The sequence continues at coordinate 33,831,009 of NC_000003.12, read as the reverse complement.
GTGATTTTATTTTCATTTCTGGTTTGCACAGGACCAATAAGTTATTTCTCTTTGCTAGTAGCCATAACTAGAAAGTTGGTTTAATAGTGTGACCTCCTAAGATCTCCGTCAGAATCATGGGGTATTATTCTCTACTAAGTGAGAAACTACAGCGAATATGGTTTATTGGTCAACTTCTTGTCTGTTCTGTTTGTCTTCTTGGGAGTGCAAATCAATTAAAAAATATTTCATGCCTACCGGAAAGAATAACTGTCCTCTGAAATATGGATCAGTGAGTGTGTTCTGTGTTAACTTTTTTTTGAGAAGGGGTGTCACTATATTGTCCAGGCTGGCCTCAAACTACTAGCTTCAAACGATCCTCCCACCTCAACCTCCCAAGTAGCTGGACTACAGGCAGGTGCCATCACACCCAACTTCTGTCTTAACTTTAACCTATAACTAAAGCTGTAAAACTAAAGCTGCAAAATCTATGTGTCTATAACTGAGGAAAAGTATTTACCTCCCTCCCATTGTGTGAATCTGAAATAGTTTCCTTTTTCAGGGGTACTTAAAAATGAGATTAAATTTCAAAAGGAGTTCTTTCTCTGACTGATTTATAGAGACTAAATATGGGCTTACTTAAATCTAATAGTCCCAGAAACCAGAAAATAAAGAAACTAAACTTACAATTTAAATATGCTAGCCTTAAAAAAAGAATCCTTCCCACAAATTCCTTGTTCAGAATCATTTTTATATATAAATCTAAGTTACTGTAATCAAAGTGAAGCCCCAGACACATCTGGGTCTGACTTTTTTAAAAAGACTTTCTCTGATTTGGTCACTGTGAGATCCTTTCCCATGAAAAGGCTAATTAATTAATCTGAACCTCCTAAACAACATTTCCATTGTTATGGTCTGAATGTGTCCCCCAAAGTTCATGTGTTCCCAATCCCAAAGTGTTGGGACGTGGGGGCATAATAAGAGGTGATTAGGTCAAGAGGGCTCTGCCCTCATGAATAGATTAATGTCATTATCATGGGAGAGGGTTAGTTACCAAGAGAGGGGCTTCATTGAGCAGTTTGGCTCCCTCTTGCTCTCTCTCACTCACTAGCACTCTCTTGCCTTTCTACCTTTCACCACAGGTAACACAACACAAAGGCCCTCACCAGATGCCAGCACCTTGATATTCGACTTCTCAGCCTTCAGAATTGTGACAAATTTCTGTTCTTTATCAATTACCCAGTCTGTGGTATTCTGCTATAACAGCACAAAATGAACCAAGACATCCATAGTATCTTCTAAAAATCAGTACATATTTAAACTTCCCTAACTCAAATGCCATAAGTCATCTTTCTATCCTCTGTCTACCAATACTCAAAACACAAACAACTCATACAAACAGCTCTTGCTCCTGCTGGCAAGTTGCCTCAGGTGCCATAATGTCACAGCAAGTTTCTGACAACCCCAATGCCAACAGTATGAACACAACTGCATAGAAGGTACTCTGCTGTTCACAAGAGATATATGTGTGTATATATATATATATGCACACACATCTCTCCACTGTCGTCCTCAAGTTGTGGAAGTATATGCCCCAGTTTAGACAAAGACCAGGCCACAAGTTAAACACTACACATACTCCTGGAGCATGGCAATTAATTTAGAATTATTTTTACACTAAAATAAACATGACCAAAAAAGAGAACTGAATGCAAATTCTGCATGAATTTTTCAGATAAAATATGAGACCTCAAAAAACCATGCAGTAAAGTCTAAAGACAAAAACAATCTGGAGATGGCAATTAATTTAGAATTATTTTTACATTAAAATAAACATGGATAAAAAAGAGAATTGAATGCAAATTTTGCATCTATTTTTTAGATAAAATATGAGACCTCAAAAAAACATGCAGTAAAGTCTAAAGATAAAAACAATCACTTGTCCCTGCTGATAGGGGTGATGAACGGGAAAGGTTTTTATGGGCAAACTTGGAAATCTCACTAGGAAAAAAAAGAGAGATCCAAGTTAGTTACTTAAATATTTATTACCAAGAGACTCACCTGTAACCTTGCAATTTCTTCTCCAAATTTCTTCTGCTGTTTTGCCAGGATAGACTGATGGTACTCAGCATTGGCCTGCATGATACAGTGCTTTGCAGCCAAGACAGGGAACACCTCCTGGAAATAAAAATACTGACCAGGGGAGAGTCCAACCACACAAACCACCACAGACAACATGGGATGCAGGAAGAAAAAGGAAAAGAAGACAGAAATTAGAATCACCCCATTAATGGTTTAGAGATTAAGGTTAGTCATTAGGTGTAAACAGAGAAGACGACATGATTTTGTGTGGATTGAAATCTATGAATTAAATTTTTTTTCTTCCAATTGAAGGGGTTTTTTTTAACTGTTAACTGAAGCCAATTTAGGTTTTTACAATTCTCTTTAATTGATCCATGAAGTCAACATTTTGTTTACAAAAAGAAAAGCATGCATTATTAGAAAGAGAAGTAGAATGGACATTCACAGAGGAACACAAAGCACAGAGCTTTAGAAGCTTTCTTATGAGCCCTTACCCAGCCTGTAGAGTTAACTAAACCATCATTACTCACATATACTAATGAAATTGCTCTATAGATTACTGTTTCATCATGTTTTAAAAAAAAGACAGTAAATTTTCACTTAAATTCATATCCTAAGAGAGTTCTTACTGAAGATGATTTTAGCCATATAAAAATGATTTAGTATCATAGATACACTAATATTTCAGTGTCATATACTCAAAAACATATCATAGACAAATGCACTAAGTATATGACCAATGATAATGATAAAGTGTTATTTTGCCTATTTGTTTTGAAAATAATTCCAGTCAAAATTAATTTCAAAAGATCCAAAGACATAAAGCAGGAAAGCAATTATACTAGTGGTGGCTCTTCCAAAACGTCAAAATCTAACCTGTAACCTCACTGCTTTTAGGAAGTATATGATATTAAAAAAATCCAAGGAATTAGGCTAGACAATCACTATCTAAACAAAAAATGTAAGAGAATCAAAAACTGAATTACTACCTTGTGTGCTTTCCTGTCTCCCAGGGAATAATTTCCTACCTTCCTGGATCACTACTTGCAGACTTTTCAGTTTTATAACTAGAATATGAAAATACCTTATGAGCTTTATTAGTAAAAAGGAAAAAATAAAAGACATCTAAATTTCAAACTACACTCATGCCAGTTCTCAAGGTAAGGCTGGAGCAACTTGGTTCTGAAACAGGAGATTTTCAAGGAATACCAGGAATGCTGCAGAGGTAGCTTCCAAGTCTTTGTAGGTGACTTTCTTCTCTCCATGACAGGACTGAACTAATGGCCCAACAGGATGTAACGGAACACTGTGCAGCTGAACATGAGGTCTTTCAGATGAAAAAAACATGAGAGGAGATCCCAAGTCTCTTTTTAAGAGGAAGGCTGTTAATACCCAAGAATCCTGGGCAAATTTCTACTAGGCTCTTGGTGTATCTTAAATCCCCAGGAATCGTCACATTAATTCCTTATTGATCATTTTCTGAGTAATAAGTACTGTTAATGCACTTATGTGCATTTTTACTTCACCCCCAAGTTGTCTGCAATTTTTTAATGTACAAAGATTCCTGAATATGACTTACAAATCAATAAATTCCCCTACCAAAAAAAATCATGTAACAGATACCATATGATGAAACTAATTCCTTGAACATTTCTGAAGGAAGTAGTTGAAACATATATTTCACTCAATCTTTAAGTTTTCTTTATTAATCATTCCAAATTTACTAGTGATTTGCTTTGTCATTAACAAATGATCATCACTGAATAGTCTTTACAATTGTCACTTCAGAAAGGTTTACATTAAAACATTATACTTCCTGTGATATGTGGTTTAAGATGGTTGCTTTCCTTAGCTGTCCATTAGCAGCCCAATTTTTTATCCCTGTTGGCAAAACTGAATTCTAATCAAAGTATCAGATGAATTTGTTAAGTTTTCTTTTCCTTTTTTCTTTATGTCTGTTTTTGCGCTTTAAGGCTCATCTTTAAGAAAACAGGACAATAATTAAAAGTGTGAATCATCAACATGCTCAAGTATACATGCTTGTACCAAATCACCAATGATTCAGAACTACACAATGCCTTGATTTGATAAAAGTATTGAAAACAGATGGTCAACATTTTCCAGAAAGAGTTCTAGCTTGGAAAAACAAGTTTAGTAAAAGGTAAAGACAAAGGCATCCCCTAAACATAAAAGAATTGTTCATGCATCTTAAATTAAAAAAAAAAAAAAACTATTTCTACTATATACTTCAGATAACTCTATTAAAACTTCAAATTTCTTTATAAGTTTCAACTTGCTTCTTATACACAAAAAAGTCTAAATATTTCACATGCAAAGTAAGCAAGTGTTTATAAAAACAATAACTGACCTTGGGGAGAGTATCTTTGTATTGACACTGTTTGAAAGCATCACCAAAATAATCTGCAGCCTGATTAGCCAATTTAGCTATGATGGCATCTTTCATTTTATCTGGAATACAATATGACCATTATAATTAAAATAAATATGAGCTAATCTGACATGTCTCAGTATAAACACTGAGGTCACAAGTTTGTACACGCATCTGAAAACATCTTTCTTGATGAAATCACATTTTCTGCACAAAATTTAGAACAGACAAAATAGATTAGTGGTTGCCAGCAGTGGGGGAAAGGGGAGTGAGGAGTGACTGCTAATGGGTACATGGCTTCTTTCTGGGATGATGGTAATGTTCTAAAATAAGATAGTGGTAATCAAAACTCTATGAATATACTAAAAATCTTATGTTGTATACTTAGAAAGGGTGAACTTGAGTGTATATAAATTCTATCTCAATATAAGCTGTTATTTTAAAAGAAAAAAGTATTCCAATTCCTATTTCTTCCACATGATGACTTATCTCTTATTTTCAGTTTCAGCCCATATTACATATTCAGCCCATTTTCAATCTCTCATGCTAACTTATATGCCTTATAAGAATTATTCTTATTCCCTCATTCCCAGGGCTAGGGACTGTGCCTGGATGACTCCTTCTTGTCATTTAGGTCTACTTTAAAGAGGACCTCCTGAAAGAAAGCCTTCTTGACTAATGAATCTAAAATTAGCCCAGCTTCCCCTATATCCCTATCCCATAACCATACCACCAGCCACTATCATATAATTCTCTTATTTTTTATAGCAATTATTTCTGAAATCTTATAGCAATTATTTATGAAATTATCCTGTCTACTTAATTCTTGCTTATCATCTCTCCCGTCGCCAAAACCTAAGTTGTTTTCTAACTCCGTTTATCTAGAAACTAGAACAGTGACTGGCACAGAGTAAGTATCCAATAAATATTTGCGAATAAATGTCTGACATGTTAAAAACATACATAAATACTATTCCAGAATGGAGTGTTTAAAGACAATTACTAAAGATCTATTTCATGACTTCAAACACAGCCTACATTCTTAAATGTAAATTTGTGCCACAAATTCAGAAAAGGATAGCTGAAAATTTTCCATAATTCATGTATCAAGTTCAAGAAGGACAGCTCGACATTGAACATATTATATTCTAATCACTTTCTTAATTTAAAAGCCTTATCACTTTTTTTCACATGCAACAAAAAGATAAATTGGAGTTACCTCTTGTGGCTTTTAAAAAAAATACTTCTTGAGCCTGTGCCAGCATAATAAGACTGAGGGTCCCAACAGTATCTGGAGATATGTCCACGGTCGGCTCTCGACTTAAGGCAGATAAAACCGTCTCTTTAATATGTAAAAAGGCACCACTAGCAAACTAAAGGGGGGAAAAAGAATTTCTTTATAGGAACTCAGCAAGACTTAATTTCCTACTGTTACATATAAAAGTCATTTCAAATGTTAACTCAGTGAACAGTTAATATATTTAAATTTTTATATTATGCAAAACCAATCTAAAACATCTGACCTACAGACAATAAGGTTATCTTTCTAAAACTCTATAGCGTAACAAGAGATTTAACAAAGATTAAAAGTAAATTACAAGGAAAAACAAAGTAAACTAATGGAACAATCTGATTAAACTATTTTTAGATATACTTCCTCAAAATTAACATGAGAATAGAGGCGGGGATAAACATTAAAATATTTTTAGTACTGCAATGCTCTTGCTTTGGTCCCAAACAAATTCATCTTTCAAATAATTAAACATGCCGTAGTTAGGGGACACCCCAGGTAGTACATACACCTAGTCCTCTGAGGAACAGCATTACTACCCATTGCCAGTGATTTCTGTCTGGCCTTCAGAGCTCACTAGTGAAATGTTCCCCATCAGATTTTTCATCTCAATTATATTTTGTTAATACTAAAATAACTTTGCTTTCATGAAACAAATTATACTAAGAAAAAGAAATAAATCAGTCTGGGATTAAAAGGTGTCATGAGTTGGCCGGGTGCGGTGGCTCACGCCTGTTAATCCCGGCACTTTGGGAGGCTGAGGTGGGCAGATTACCTGAGGTCAGGAGTTCAAGACCAGCCTGGCCAACATGATGAAACCCCGTCTCTACTAAAAATACAAAAATTAGCTGGGCATGATGGCACACACTTGTAATCCCAGCTGCTCGGGAGGCTGAGGCAGGAGAATCACTTGAACCCAGGAGGCGGAGGTTGCAGTGAGCCAAGATCACGCCATTGTACTCCTGCCTGGGCAACAGAGCGAGACTCCATCTCAAAAAAGAAAAAAAAAAAAAGGTGTCATGAGTTAGATAAATAGACAACACAGAGAAAACTCAAAGTCAAATGTATTAAAATGAACAGCATGTTTCTGCAGTCAGTAAGTATTATAACACTAGAGTATCTGCTAGGAATGAACAACTGAACTTGTTCAGTAAACTAGTGAATCAAAGTCTACAACAGCAAAGTGTCTGAGTCTCTCATTTACAGATAAGGAACTGGAGGTACTAGAGAGGTTAAAGAACTTGCCCAACGGCACAAAGCTTCTGGGTGGCAAGCAGCCTAGACAAGGACCTAGGTCTAATACCACCAGTTATCTTTCCATGATACCAGGTGCCCTGCTGTGAACCCTCACAGAATGGAATGTTTCTTTCATAATTCAGAATGACCTTTCTAAAATCTCATATACTAACTAACTGAGTTACAGTTAACCAAAAGCTAAATAAAATTTTACTTCGTTTTCACTACTGTATTTTATTTTATTTATTTTGAGACAGAGTCTTGCTCTTGTCGCCCAGACTAGAGTGCAATGGCACAACCTCAGCTCTCTGCAACCTCCGCCTCCTCGGTTCAAGAGATTCTCCTGCCTCAGCCTCCCGAGTAGCTCAGACTACAGGCGCCCACCATCACACCCAGCTAATTTTTCTATTTTTAGTACAGACAGGGTTTCACCATGTTGGCCAGGCTGGTCTGGAACTCCTGACCTCGTGATCCGCACACCACAGCCTCCCACAGTGCTGGGATTACAGGCGTGAGCCACCACGCCCAGCTCGTTTTCACATTTTAAAATATTTGCCATGTATAGCCTCAAAAAGAAATAGCGTATGCATTATGTTTGTCATCTATGCCCATTCAAAACTGTAAGGCAAGCCACAATTTGGAGCGTGTTGTTTGCTTACGGTATATTTTCCTTTTACTTTCTCAGAACAGCATCACTCACCTCTTCCCTAAACATAAACAACGGGAAAAAGCAGACTACCTCTGAGACAAGCAAATTTCATGGGAGGTTTGGGAGTGAAACAGTGGAAGGACATTTGGAATTACATGAAATTTGGAATCAGAACTATTGAAACCCAAATAGACTGCTTTATTAAGACTTCGGACCTTTAGCCTCCTCGTATGTAAAATCGGAATGACATTATATGACATACATCACAAGGTTTATCTGAGAGTCAAATAATGTACATGAAAACACTTTGTAAATTAGAAAGTAATATAAAATGACAACATGATTATATATATATTATTTAACAGTAATCATTTACTGTTCTTTTAACCAAAACAAAAAAAAGCTGAATAAATAATAAACAACTGCTGGCCGGGCATGGTGGCTCACATCTGTAATCCCAGCACTTTGGGAGGCCGAGGTGGGTGGATCATGATGTCAGGAGATCAAGACCATCCTGGCTAACACAGTGAAACCCCATCTCTACTAAAAATACAAAAAAAATTAGCCAGGCGAGGTGGCGGATGCCTATAGTCCTAGCTATTCAGGAGGCTGAGACAGGAGAATGGCGTGAACCCAGGAGGCGGAGCTTGCAGTGAGCCGAGATTGTGCCACTGCACTCCAGCCTGGGCAACAGAACAAGACTCCGTCTCAAAATAAATAAATAAATAAAATAAAATAAACTGCCACAAAATAACATGCCATATTAGTAAATGATCAGTACGTAAAACAGATTAGGCAACTTATGAACATTATGTGTCTGACCATATTTAAATATGACCTCTCCACAAGTCTCAAAGTTAAAATTTTATTTTCTTGCCAATTTCTTGTCTTTATTTTTGTAACAACAGTGAAATTTCAAGTGTGTCTCACTCTAAGAAAACATATGAAAATAATGTACAAATTTTTTTTAATTAGGTAATTTATTTAAAATGGATTTACCCTAAATGCCTGAGATGAAATCTCAGACATTTCATAATTTCTTCAACCAACAATTATTGAGCCTCTATTATGTGCCAGGCACTGTGCTAGGTGCTCGGTATAAAACAATGAGGAATAACAGACCTGGTCTATAGACAGTTTATCTAAGGGCTTTAACAGTAAGAATAAATTCATTTTAAAAGTGCATTCGTTTTAGAAAACATCTGTTGCGTAAGAAGTATCTATAAACCTAAATGCAAATTATTTTCCACTTAATCCAATTTAGTGTTGACCATTATTGTAGTAACTACTTTTCAGCATACCTGGTAATGTTTAGCAGCGATTTTCAATCCTTCATCATTATCCAGGTTCTGTTCTGCTGCAATTTGGCTAGCTAAGGCTGCACAATTGAACAACACACAGCTCTTTTCATATCCTAAGCTTGCAAGAGCTGTAAAAAATTGAGAAGGAAAAATTCATCAGATTATTTTTTCTAAAGAAAACAAATGTTTCAAAGAGAAATACTATGACCTCTCTCATCCCGCTGACTCTCACAAAAACAAGTTTCCAGACCTGTTTTCTTGCTGTCATATGCTCCCATATTTCAAGCTGCCCTTACAGGCATTTATTTCCACAACAATATTCCCATCACCCAAAACGCTGAAGAACAGTAAGTTATTCTTTCTCTCCTTCCCTTTACTTCCACATTTCTATTACAATCAAATTCAAATGTAAAAGTCATTTTCATGTCATTTCTCTCAGTTTCTTAAATTTGAATAAATTATTTCCATTTTTCTGTCACCTCTCAAAATCACATTGTCCCACCACAATCAAACCAATTCCTCATTACCACAAATCTAAGTCAATGCAATTACCTCCTAGCTGGCCTTATGCTTTACTCCCTCATGCAAATACATTTCTCAAAGGGCTAGCAGGTTAGCTGGGCTAAAACCCAACTCTGATTAAAAAAAAAAAATCTACACACCTCACATCCACTTAGGATAGCTCCTATTAAAAAACAAACAGAAAATAAGCATTGATGAAGATATAGACAAACTGGAACTTTCCTGTACTGTTGGCAGGAACGCAAACTCGTGGTTGGGCATGGTGGCTCACTCCTGTAATCTCAGCACTTTAGTAGGCTGAGGCAGGAGGATCTCTTGAAGCCAAGAGTTTGAGGTCAGCCTGAGCAACACAGCAAGACCCCATCTCAACAAAAAAAAAAAAAATTGTTTTTAAACAGCCAGGTATGGTGGTGCATGTCTATAGTCCTAGCTACTCGGAGGCGGGAGGACCACTAGGGCCCAGGAGTTCAAGGCTGCAGTGAGCTATGATCATGCCACTACACTTCACCCTGAGCGTCAGAGCAAGACCCTGTCTCAAAATAAAAAATAAAAATTAGAAAAAGTACAACTGCTGTGGAAAACAATATGGCAGGTCCTCAAAATATTAAAAATAGAATTGCTATTTTATCCAGCAATTCCACTTTTGAGTATACACCCCCAAAAAAATGAAAGCAGAGTCTCAAAGAGATATACGTATGCCCATGTTCATAGCAGCATTATTCACAAAGCCAAACATGAAAGCAACCCAAGTGTCTGTGATCTGATGAATATATAAACAAAATGTGGTATATACATACAATGGAATATTAGTGAGCCTTGAACAAGAAGGAAATCATATGCTATAACACGGATGAATCTTGAGGACATTAAGCTAAATGAAATGTCAGTCACAAAAAGACAAATATTGTATGATTCCACTTATATGAGTTACCTAGAGTAATCAAATTCATAGAGACAGAAATCAGAATGATGGTTATCAGGGATGGTGGTAGGGGGAGGGGGATTGTTGTTCAATTAGTACAATATTTCAGATTTGCTAGATGAAAAAGTTCTGGAGATGTATTTTACAACAATATGAAATACACCCAACACTAGTGAACTGTATACTTAAAAATGATTAAGATAATAAATTTCATGTTGTGAAATTTTTTTTAAATGCAGTCTACGACTCTACTTGTATGAGGTACCTACAGTTTAATTCAGAGACTGAAAGAATGCTAGTTGCCAAGGGTTGAGGGGGGAGGGAAGAATGGGACATTATAATTGTTTTTTTCTTTTGAGACAGGGTCTCATTCTCTCACCCAGGCTGGAGTGCACTAGTGCAATCACACCCATTGCAGCCTCTACCTCTTGGACTCAATCAATCCTCCTGCCTCAGCCTCCTGAGTAGCTGGGACTACAGGCACAGGCCACCATACCCGGCTAATTTTTGTATCTTTTGTAGAGACAGGGACTCACTATGTTGCCTAGGCTGGTCTTGAACTCGTTGGTTCAAGCAATCCTCCCACCTCGGCCTCCCAAAATGCTGGGATTACAGGCATAAGCCACCGCCCCCAGTCTGTGAAGTTATCATTTACTGGGCAGAGTTTGTTTTGTAAGATGAAAAAGAGTTCTCGAGATGATGTTTGCACAATAATGTAAATGTACTTAATACCACTGAAGTGTACACTTAAAATGGTTAAGAAGGCATATTGTGTATATTGTATCACAATTGAAAAATAACTTTTAAAAAAGAATCTACAATAGCTCCCTATTACTCACAGAATTCAATCAGTTTGGAATTCAAGATCTTGCATAATGTGCAAGGCATTGACCACTAGGCAAAATAAGGCTCCTTACAAAAAACACTGAACAAACCAATCTAGGAGAATCAGAACAACACTACATTTGTATGTTTGTGCCACAGAGTTGTACCATAAAGTAAAGCCCTCCTTGTTACAGTACTTTGGTGGCCTCCTAGGTAATAAAGGCCAGTTTTCAACTTGCTTCCAAACCAGTTCTAGTCTCCTCATTCTAAACTAAAGCAGACATAAACACCAGCTACTCTAACCTACTTTATTAAACATATGGAAAATCCAAAATAACCAGGTTGTGAAAAAAGCCTGCAGCAAAATAAAGGAAGAGCAATGCGAACTGAAAAACTAAGCCCAAAATAAATAAAGACAATTCCAGTCATAAAAGATTATATTCCAAATATCACAATTAGCATTCCTTAAAGAGATTCAAAGACAGTACATCCATAAAAGAAAAGGATTTTTTAAATTAATAAGACAAAGCTCCTAAAAATTAAAAACTTGATTGTTAAATTTTTTTCAAAAGTTTTAAGGGCGGAGGAAGGAAAAAAAATTTTTTTTCAAGTTTTAAAATTAATATCTAGGCAATCTCAGAAAGAACAGAAAGTCAAGAAAAAATATAAAAATTACGAGTGAACAACTCAGAACAACCAACATCTAATAAAGTATTCCAAAGAAAGAGAGACAAAAGAGACAAGAAAATTATCAAAGAAATATAAGAAAACTTCCCAGAGCTTAAGGGAGATATAAGTGTTCAAACTAAAAGGGCCAAAAAGAAATGCCCTACACACGAATAAAATGAAATCCCATTAAGTCTTTTGAGATTTCTAAACATGAAAGATAAAGAGAAGACTGTAAAAATATTCCCAAGAGCAAAGAAACAGATCACTTATAAAATAACAAAAATCAGACTTTTCATCAGTAACACTAGATACTAAAAGGCAAGGGATTGGCCAGGTGCAGTGGCTCACGCCTGTAATCTCAGCACTTTGGGAGGCTGAGGCGGACAGATCACGAGGTCAAGAGAACAAGACCATTCTGGCCAACATGGTGAAACCCTGTCTCTATTAAAAGTACAAAAATTAGCTGGACGTGGTGGCGCACACCTGTAGTCCCAGCTACTCGGAAAGCTGACGCAGGATAATCGCTTGAACCTTGGAGGCGGAGGTTGCAGTGAGCCGAGATCGTGCCACTGCACTCCAGCCTAGCGTCAGAGTGAGACTCCCTATCAAAAAAAAAAAAAAAAAAAAAAAAGCAAGGGATCAATATCTTCAAGTTCTGAATATAATTTTAATTAATTCAATAAATATATACATTAGGCCAGTGTGGCAGGAGAGAGCAAGGAACAAAATTAAATATCAGCCAGGCGTGGTGGCTCACACCTGTAATCCCAGCACTTTGGGAAGGCAAGGTGGGCGGAGCTCTTGAGGTCAGGAGTTCGAGACCAGCCTGGCCAACATGGTGAAACCCCGTCTCTACTAAAAATACAAAAATTCGCCAGGCGTGGTGGTGCATGCTTGTAATCCCAGCTACTCAGGAGGCTGTGGCACGAGAATCACTTGAACCTCAGAGGCAGAGGTTGCAGTAAGCCGAGATCATGCCACTGCCCTCCATCCACCCTGGGCAACAGAGCAAGACTGTTCTCCAAAAAAAAAAAAAAAAAAAAAAAACAAGAATGAAATATATTCCAAACAAGAAATAAAAGTAAACTGTTTATATATTGGATACATATCTCAGTCTATTATGTTGCCCATAAATATTATCATACCAGACTGTAGTCTCTCATTTTATTTTGACAATTTGTCATGTATAAGAGCTTTTATGAGATTTTACATATAAGAGCTATTTTATCTTTTTTTCCTTTATTTTTTTCTATCCATCTAAACTTAAACCAGGTTTTCAAAACAATATTTAATTTTCCTTTTTTTCAAAGATGCCTTTCTAAGTATTTAACTGTATTCTTGTTTCTTACTTGCTCTCTTTTAAGTTTTTCTTTTATCTTTTTTTTTTCTTTTGAGACAAGGTGTCACTCTGTCACCCAGGCTGAAGTACAGTGGCGTGATCATGGCTTATTGCAGCCTCAACCTCCCAGGCTCAAGCAATCCTCTCACCTCAACCCCCTAAACAGCTAGGACTACAGGCACACACCACCATGTCTGGCTAATTTTTTTATTTTTTGTAGAGACAGAGTTTCGTCTGTTCCCCAAGCTGGTCTTGTACTCCTGGGCTCAAGTGATCCACCTGTCTTGGCCTCCCCAAGTACTGGGATTACAGGCACGAGCCACCACTTCCAGCCTCTAAGTTTTTCAAAACGAAAATAACTCATGAAAATAACAGCTTTCTAAAATTCAAACAATTTTTCTAAACTACAAAAAAATAATTAAAAATCACCCAACATCTCATCTTCCAGAGTTAACCAGAATTTATTTTTTGGTATCTCACAAATAACTACATAAACATTCACACACATAACTTTTCACAAAGTGGATACTATACCACACTCGAGTTGCCTGGAGTGCACAACTCGAGGGAGGAGGAATTACTCTGAGTTCTGTATGAGGAGTGTCCCAAGGAGCCCAATTCCGGGGACCCTAGAGTTGTACAATGCAACAACTCTGAACTAAGGCAGGCCTTTTATTCAATATTCCATTGATATAACTTTACATATCAACAAATACATATATGCATTTTTATTCTTAGTATTCCAAAAGTACACAATATTCAAATGAATGAGTAGCCTTTTATTTAACCAAGACATTACTGAAGGACATTTAATTACCAATTTTTGCTACTAGAAATGCCTTGATGAACCACCTCCTGTTTATGATCTAATTTTTTGCTTCCCAGTTCTTCTGGATACTTGAGTTCATCACTCAAGTGTCTCCTAGTTCTCCTGCCATCTGCTCCTTATTCTCAGCCTACCAAATTTCTTAAGTCATAACAATACTAAAAATCCTTTTCTGCACCTTGGCTCCCTCTCAGAATGATGCTCCCTTTGTCCCCAAATCTTTACTGTAGATTTCCTGAAATGAGCAACCCACATTTACTGTTTCCATTCCCTCACCTCCCATTCACCCCTCAATCTGATGCTTATTCAGGATACTCCAAGAGAAACTTCTCTCTGCTAAATCCAGTGACTTCTCCAACCTTACATGACTTGAGTTCTGCCACAATGACTCTGTCAAGGATGTTCCAGCCTGGACCTGGGATGATCATCAGAATCACCTGGAGATATTTTCTTTTTTTTTTTTTTTTTTTTTTTTTAGACAGAATCTTGCTCTGTCACCCAGGCTGGAGTGCAATGGCACAATCTCAGCTCACTGCAACCTCTGCCTCTCAGGTTCAAGTGAGTCTCCTGCCTCAGCCTCCTGAGTAGCTGGGATTACAAGGCGTGCGCCACTATACCTGGCTAATTTTGTATTTTTAGTAGAGACAGGATTTCACCATGTTGGTCAGGATAATCTCAAACTCCTGACCTCGTGATCCACCCACCTCGGCCTCCCAAACTGCTGGGATTACAGGCGTGAGCCACCGCACCCGGCCACCCGGAGATATTTCCAAAGATACTAATTCCAGTGCCCTACTCCAAAACTTTCTCCTATCACATCTGGCACTCTGTATCTTCATCTTTAAAGATAAACCTTTAACATTTTTCCCAGGTAATACTAATACGCAGCCAGGTTTGGGAACCACTGGACCACATCACCTTTGAAACTCTTCTGGCATTCCTTCACATCTCTATTTTACCCTGGTTCCTGTAAGATATGAAAGCTTTTTCTCAACCTCATTCCCAGAACCTCTTCCTCTATTTCCCCTGAATGTTATATTACTTAGCTCTGACTTTGATACTTTTCTCAGTCAATTATCTGCCAGAAGGAATAAATTTATTATCACCTAATAATTGTTCCCGAATGTATATCTTTCTCTTCTGAGCTTTAAATCCTTTATTTCAAAATGCCAGAGAAATGTCTACCCAGACATAACACAGAAAAATCAGAGTCAACCTTTCTACTAAAGAGGAATAAATATCCAACAGGTCAAACCAACTTATTAAATCTCAGAGTCAAGCCTCAACTCTTACTCTTCCTTCTGACTGGTAGTCAGCAAATTCAGTCAACTTCACCTCTGAAAAGTCTGAAATCCCTCTCTTCTGTAACTTGCACACACTAGCTTGTCTAACCTCATCATCTCTCATCAGTCTCCTCACTGGTCTGTTTCTCTCTAGTCCCGGGAGTTAGGCCTTCTAGATTCATATCCCAGCTTCATTAAATCCTAACCATATGACTTCAGAAAATCACGTAATCTTTCTAAACCAGTTTGTTCAACTGGCAATAATAGTGCCTTTTCCTCATTAAGCTATTGGAGAATTCAGTAAGACTATTTATGAAGTCCCTTCCAGAGTACCTGGGTAAAATAAATGCCCAATAAACATGCACTATTATTATATAAGAGGGAAAAGTACAAAGTCAGGAGCATAATATTTGCAACTCTCCACAATCTGCTTTCTAATATCATCACCCTCCATAATCCCCAATTCAACCTATGGTTACAAGCCATAACAATAATTATTATTAAATTAACATTATATATAATATCTACTATAAAATATATATTTCCATTTCCTCACCTATATATAAGTATAAACCTTATATAAGATATATAGATACATGTATGTATATGGTATGCACATACTATATAATACATATTATACATCTATATCTTAGAAGGTATATAGTATATATTATAGCATATCTTAATGTATATGTATACTATAAAAAGGATATACCATAAGGCATATTATACATACTTATATATAATGCATGTGTATATATACATATTTCTTATATATAATATATACATATATGTATATGTGTACATGAATATATATGTATATATGTATATACATATATGTATATGAATAATACATGCATATAGTATACATATTATATATACTATACATACACATAAATGTATATATGTATACAAATATACTATATATGTGTGTATATGTAAGTATATATACATATATGTATATAATACATTATATACTTACATATATACATACATATATATAATACACATTATATACACATATATACATACATGCATATATAATACACATTATATATGCACATATAATACACATTATATGTGCATATATAATACATATATACATATAATATACATGAAATATACATATATACATGAAATATACATATATCACATATACATTACAATGTTATATAATAATATAATTATTCATTGCAGCTAATAAAGCACTGTTCTTAGGACTTTACATGTATTCACTCATTTAATCCACATAAGAATCTAATGGAATAGGCCAGGGGCTCACACCTGTAATCCCAGCACTTTGGGAGGCCGAGATGGGTGGATCACCTGAGGTCGGGAGTTTGAGACCAGCCTGGCCAACATGGTGAAACCCCGTCTCTACTAAAAAAATTACCCAGGTGTGGTGGCGGGTGCTTGTAATCCCAGCTGAGGTAGAAGAATAGGAGAATCACTTGAACCCAGTAGGCAGAGGTTGCAGTGAGCCAAGATCGTGCCACTGCACTCCATCCTGGGCAACAAGAGCAAAACTCTGTCTCAAAAAAAAAAAAAAAAAGAATCCAATGAGAGAAATAGTATTATCTCCATTTCACAGATAAGAAAATTAAGGCACAGAGAGGTTATCTTGCTGGAGCTGGTAGATCAAATGTCCTCACCCTTCTGACCTATGGTTATGATTTTGTATCTGTAATATTATTTTCTACAAATCCATCCTTCAAGGCCTAACTCAAACATTGTCTGCTTTCAAAAGGTAGAATTACTTTCTTCCTCATATATGCTTCCATGAGTTTGTTCATAGGCTATTACATATTACACTTTTAAATGATCAACTATCTTCCCAAAAACTAAGTACATCGGTTTTATTCATTTTTATAACTAGGACAGTGCCTGGCAAGGCATGGGCTCTCTACAAATATTTCAAAATTGCATTAAAAGTTGAAGCTAAAAAGAGAATGAAATGTAAAAAACTTTAGTATTTACAAAGAGTCATTAGGATAACAATTTTAAAAACTAAAAACAATGCAAAGTAGTTAGACCAATTTTCCTATCACTTTTATTAAAAATTACATACCCAGTTTTACAGAGCCTCCAAAAAGTGAACCTTTATCGAAAGCATCCTTCCAGGTAAATGTCAAGCAGATCTGGATAGAATGAAAGAAAACAGAAAATTAGGTAACCTTCCTGAATCTCATTAAATATTAAGTCTTCTTTGAAGAAAAATCCACCATGAAAAAAAGGACAAAAGCTCAAAATATTATCTCCTATAACCACCCAACTTCCTTTCCTTCTCCTTTTAAATTGAAATCTAAAAAAAGTAAAATACTGGCACTGGGATATTTCAAATGGTCATTCTGCCTTGGTAATCATAAACACTATCTTATTCATCTTTATAAACACACAATGACTTCAACGGAACAAAATAAGTAGTAGATCCTTGTCAAATAAGCTAAGTGAAGCAAGGGAAATAAAAGTAAGTACTACAGGTTTCCTAGAAGATGAAATTAAAAACTATTCCATGATGACAAAAGTAGGAGAATGGTTATTTTGGGGAATAGGTTAATATTTTATTTATTTATCTAGGTGGTGGTTATACAGACATATTCACTTTGTAAGATTCAAGCTATACCCGTGATTTGTTCACTTTTCCATATGCTACATGAAAATTAAATGTTTATTAAAAAACTCTCTCTCTGCTCCTGAAATATGTATTATCACATACAAAGATTAGAAAGAAATAAACCTCATTTAAATTATTTATTGCAATCTAATACAAAAATTTCTAAACTCTTGATTAGGGAAATTTTCAAACATACAGAAAAACTAAAGAGAATAAAGAGAATGAACTCCAGTACATCCATCAGCAGCTTTAGTCTTTTGCCCTTCTTGGTTCATCTACCTCCCAATTTGCCCTGCCTCCAGCCACCTACACTTTTTTTCCAGGAATATATTAAAGGAAATCTCAACATATAATTATTTCACCTGTAAAAACTTTAGTACAAGAATGTTTAAAGTACTTTTCTTATAACTATTTTAAAATTTAAAAGTATCACTAATTTTAAAATCTTTATCCAATCTCCAAAATAAAACTATAAGAAATTATCAGCATTTTCAACATCTAGCCTTTAAGGAGAAAATAGTTGACATTCATGTAATTAACATTTAATCAAAACAGCATTTGCAACTTTTACATGCAAATGTAACTTGTGCGAATAATTTTTAAAGCACATAAACTGAGACTAATAATTCCTGAATTGTGCAGTTTCCTTCCTAATTCTGAAAAAGTCAAAGGAAAGGACACAGCAGATTAATCAGTCAACAGATCCTACTGACATAAAATGAAGTCCAAAGAAAAACAAACCATTGCTCTACATGAGCCCCAGAAGTGACTGAAGAATGACATGAACAGAATTCCAGGAGATTCTTTCTTCAGAAGCACATATATTCGCATTAGACAGATCTAAAAGCTCCTATTTTTATAACACTATCTCATAAAACTCTAAAGACAGTGAAGATATTGGCAGAAGGAAATGGGTGCTATTACCATATAATTTTAAGACAGAATTAATGACTTACCTGATTTTCAGAAAATGGGAATTTGGGTTCAATAGAACAAATCTGATCATAATATCTAAAAAATAGAGCAGAATTAATAATTACCAGAGCTAAATATTACATGCATTTATGTAATTACAACTGGTTTAAAATGATACAAAAATTATTCATGCTTACTTTGAGCAGCTATTTTATATGAAAAAAAGTTTTTTAATACGTAAACCAGAAGCTTAAAAAATATATGCAGTGAAAAACTATGAACAAAAAGTCATACCCACCACCACAGAAAAATATTTATCAACTGTTATTGGCTAAAAGCAAACTAACATCTGCTCTGAAAACCAAAATATTTCTTAAAAATACTATTTCTTACTAAAATAAATAAGTTTGTATCCATTAGACAAATTAGTATCTCTGGTAAACTGCCAATTAAAAACAGGTTTACCGACTTTTAAATGTTTTGGGTAAGCCCATCTCTATCTGTCTCCAGCACTGCCACACAGCACATCAAAGCTACCACTGTCTTTCAGCTAGAAATCCAAAAGTTTCCTAGACAACCTCTCCATCTCCTTTCTCATTCTTTCCGACCTGTTTTCTGCATAGCAGCCAGAATGATCACAAAATATAAAGCAGACTTCCCCCCATCAGGGTGAGCTGTCAGTCAGCAAGTCTGGCAGGGAAAGGAGGAGAAAAGGGTCAGGCCAAGCTTTCTAACTGGCCTCTAATCTTTCCTCCTTTCCTTTTTCCCTTATACTTCCCCCACCCCTTCATCAGGGGTATTTTTGTAATGATTATTTCTGGGGGCAAATTTTCAGCAGGAGTGGGCAACATATCTGAGACCAAGCTTTTGGCTGGCATGGCTATGAGTTTGGTTATAAACAGGAAAAACTATCCAATTAAGTAAATACATTGAAGATAATGGAAGCCAAGTTTCCCAAGGTCAGAGATACAAATACCTGAAAGGGCCAGGCACAGCAGATCACGCCTGTAATCCTAGCACTCTGGGAGGCTGAGGCAGGTGGATCACTTGAGCCCAGAGTTCGAGACCAGCCTAGGAAACACAGCAAAACCCTGTCTCTACTAAAAATACAAACATTAGCCAGGCATGGTGGCGCACACCTGTGGTCCCAGCTACTCATGAGGCTGAGGTGGGAGGATCACTTGATCTGGAGGTCATGGCTGCAGTGGGCCAAGACAGCGCCACTGTACTCCAGCCTGGGCAAGAACCTGTCTCAAAAAAAAAAAAAAAAATCCACAAACATGAGAAGGCAGAAGGTTAGAATAACTCCACAGTTTTAAACTGGAACTGGAGATATCAATGTGAACTTTTTTTGTTTGTTTACAGACAGGGTATCATTCTGTTGCCCAGGCTGCAGTACAGTAGCACAATCACAGTACACGGTAACCTTGAACTCCCAGGCTCAAGCAATCTGCCCACTTTAGCCCCTGAGCTGCCAGGACTACAGGTGCATGTCACCACACCCAGCTAGTTTTTAACTCATTTTTTAAAGGTAGCAGAGAGAAATAAAAACAAGTATAAATGTGTAACTATGTATTTCCTAAATGTATATGCTAAGAGGGCCTATAAGCAGTAACACTTCACAGTAGCAATAAGCACACCTACTGCCCAGATAATCTTTTGCATTAAAATGAGCCAAGTGCTCCTTAGAGAAATGGCTGACTCAAGGGCTGAGACTGAAAAAATTCAATATTCAAGTCTAAAACATCTTGCTATGCCAGAAAGTTAAGGAAGTACTCAAAAAATGATGAGGACATGTCAAAAGGGCACAGGAGGTAGCTTTAAGGGGCTCCCAATGGCTAAGCACTGAACCAATCTAAATAAAATAACAGTAAAAAATAAGAGCCCATTGAGGAAAAGACCACCATTCGGAGGTAAATAAACAGGTGAATAGGGAAAACTCTATCCTACGGTACCATAGTCTAGATGAAATTAGAAAAATTACCATTTGGTACCTTTCAGAGTATAATATCTAATTCTGGTAAGATTCATCAATAAATGATAAAATAATGAAAAGTGTGTAATGAAACAGGATATTACATAGTCCCAAAGTATCTCCCCACAAAATATTTACTAATTAGTACAACAAGCTTATTAACTGTAAGGTCAAGAAACCTGGCAAACACCATCTTAACCAAGCGATAAAAATAAACATTACCACTACAGAACAAATCCACATCTTATTTTTCCTGATATGCACTAGAAAGAACACAGCATCACTTCGCTGGTACTCCTATGCAAAAATGCAGAAATCACAAGAAAATGAGACAAGCCTTTATTGAGGAAAATTCTAAAAAGTAATTAGCCTGTACTCTTCAAAAATGTCAAGGTCATGAAAGACGAGAAAAACTGAAGAACTGGTCCAGATTGAAGGAGATTAAAGAGACGTAACAATTAAATGCACTGCATGATTCTAGATTAGATCCTGAACCTGTAAATAATATTAGGAAAATCAGCAATATTTGAATGAATTCTACAGATTAAATGGTAATAATGAATCAATGCCAACTTCCTGACTTTGAAAGTTGTACTATGGTTATACAGGAGAATATCTTTGTACTCAGGAAATAAACTCTGAAGTATTAAGTACTGAAACCCTTTGGTGGATTCCCATTACACTTAAAATTACATCCAAAAATGTTGAAGGTCTTACAGGATATGGCTATCATCCAACTCTCCAGCCTCATCTCAGGATATTCACTATACATTCGAGTCACTAAATTATAGGCTCTCCTTGCTCAGGGCCTTCACTCTTTTTACCACCATTTCTCACTATTGTCTAGGCTGACATTGTTATCAAAGAAAGTTTTCCTCATTCATTCATTCAACAAATATATACTAAGAGCTTACTATGCACCAGTTTTAGGACATTAAGAATTTAGCAGTAAACATCTAAAAATCTGTGCTCTTGTGAAGCTTTTAGAGGGGAAGACAAAAAAGCAAAAATATTATATAGAAGACAGTGGTAAGTGCCATGGAGAATAAAGAGACAAGAGGAATAAAGTGAATATATGAGGAGAGGTAAGAAGGTTGTCGTTTTAAATAACATGGTCATTTGACTACATGAAAAAAAGTTTTAACTCTAAAACAGCATGACCATAAAAGGCATGAAAAAGGTGATGAGGTGAGCCAAGCAGATATCTGAGAATTTCCAATCTAGGGAAAATCAAGTGCCAATACCCTGGGACAAGAGGGTACTTAAGAATGTATCTGGCATGGCAAGGAGACCAATATGATCATAGAGTGAGCAAGGGAGAAAATAGTAAGTGATGAAGTCAAAGAAGTAATGATGCCTTGAGTGCAACTGTAAGACTTCTGAGTTTTACTATATAGTGTAAGAGTGTGAATCATCAAAAGGTTTGGACAAAACAGCAATATGACTTATTTTCATACAGTCACCATGACTGTTGTGTAGAAAACTGACTGCAGGTGTGCACGAGCAGAAGTAGAGAGATCAGTTAGGAAGCTACCGTAGTAATCCAGTCAAGAGATGATGCTAGCACGGATCAATGGAGTCCACGGTGGCAGCAGAAGTGATAAAGTTAATCTAGGCCAGGCGCTGTGGCTCATGCCTGTAATCCCAACACTTTGGGAGGCTGAGGTAGGAGGATCACCTGAGCCTAGGGGTTTGAGACCACCCTGGGCACATAGTGAGACCTCATCTTTACACATACATACACACGTCAGCCAGGTGTGGTGGTGGGCCTACAGTCCCCCAAAGGGACTATGCAGCGGGATAAGGTGGGAGGATCACTTGAGCCCAGGAGGTCAAGGCTGAAGTGAGCTGTGATCCCACCACTGTACTCCAGGATGGGCCATGGCGTGAAATCTTGTCTCAAAAAAATACAGTCAATGTAACCCCTTTTTAAAATTAGTTGCCCCTCCATTTATAATCTCTCAGGTCCCTGAACATTTTCTTCATAGGATTTAACACAATTTGTGATATATTATTGGTGGGATTATGTTTATTGTCTTTTCTCTCAAAGGATTCTAAATTCCATGAAAGCAAAGACTAGATCTATTTGCTCTCTGTTTTGTTGCTAGCCCCAAGCAAATGAATCGGTAAAATGCAAAGTTTTCTTCTATCTCTGAAAAATAAAACCTAAAATTCTGGTTTGTGAATGAACAGGAGCTATCAAAGAACAAGCCCATAAGAAGGGAACAGCAAGTGCTAAAGGTCTGAGGCAACAACGCCTAAAGGTGTGCTTGGCACAGCAAGGAGGCCAATATGGCTATAAAGCCAGGACTGGCAAACTTTTTCTGAACAGTGATATTCTAGACTCTGCTGGGAAAAAGGCTAAATCAAGCATATAATAAGTATGTAACTACTTATATAACAAGAGGAAAAACCCCTGCCCTGCCCTGTACCTTTTTTGCCTAGGTTGGGCCATCCCAAAATTGTGGCACACGGCTGCCCAGGTGCCATCCTGGAGACATTCTCCAAAGAAAAAGTACCTGTCTGATGGAAAGGAGCCATAGGGAGACAGGAGGAGTGACCAACATGGTCAGTTTTACTCTACCCCAATGAGATCAAAATTCTCAGGGAGAGTCTACTGTGGGCACCTGCCCCAGGGGGCCGTAGGTGAGATAATTTGCTGAGTCACCAATTTCCAGACTGAGATTATACCATTTAGTGCCAAGCCAACGCCAAGCAGAATATTTACTCTGGTGTAGGCAGCACCACAGTAAGTCTGGGCAGCAATAAAGCATGGCCACTGGCCAGGGTGACAGGAGCTAGAAGCAAAGGGGAGAATGGAACAGAGGCAAACAGCTAAGCTAGTTCTCCAACACTCACAATGCTAACCCACTGGAGTGGTGCTCACAGGCCATACAAAAACAGGCAGCTGAGCAGGCCTTATTTTGCTGACCCTTGCTATAAAGTAAACAAGGAAGGGAGTAGTAGGAAATGAGGTTACTTCCTCTGCAAATGGGTGAGGAAAAGAAGAATGGCTAAACTGAATGCACTAAAATTTTTATACCCATTCTCTTCACCCCAAAGTTTTTGAGGCCAACTAACAAAACCTGAGCTGTATGGGGGGAACAGGGCATTTATATCCTGTAACTGAATGATTAGAAGCTATGTGATGAAACCCTCAAAGTAAAATGGCTATCTTAGGACAGATTATAGAAGTTGAAATAAAAGTACAACAGGAGGGCAATCACTGGAAATCAACAATGTCTGATCAGCATGGAGAAAACCCCAACAAAATGAGAGAGATCAACAAATGCTTTACAAAAGAAAGCAGCCATTGCTAACTGCAGTTACCATGAGCAAAATCTGTTCCAGGAGATCCAACTACCATAAGCTACTCCTTCAATATAATTCCACAAGGTATTATCCCTCATAGTTCAGCCCAGATCACAAGCATCAAAGTTCTCTAGATAGGGAATCCACAGAAACAAGAGAATCTACCACACCCTTCTCTTTAACATTTAAGTACACTTTACTATAGCAGCAGACTCTAGCCTAGGATGTATCTCTAACAAAGTAGACCTAGGCTGCAAGTTTTGTATAAGTAGGCACAGGGAAAGCCAGTATGCTAAGCCAGGAGTTGGCAAAAACTAGCACATTGTGGAAAATAATGGTGCAAAAAAATTGGTGTCTTCATAGATTCTATTTTAGAAATAAGCGAATTTTTTTAACCAAAACTATAAAATCCCAAATATATTTAAAAGGTATAATGTCACAGTCTTTCAAGTCAGATAGCCCTGAGTTTGAATCCCAACTCTTAGCTATGTGATCATGAAAAAATTATTCAATTTCTCTGAACCTTTCCTAAAGAGTAATAATACCTCCTTTAAGCGTGAGGAATAAATGGTACTGTATATGAAGTGCTTAAAATAGTTCCTGGACACACAGGAGTACATGTATGACAAATGGTAGTTACAGATTACTGTTTTGCAACAATGGAGAAGTACTTATATATGTTCTCCAGTATTTTATAAAACTCAACCACTTTGGCACAAATATATAATAACTCAACTTAAAAATCTCATGGGGAAAAAGAAACTAGGAAATAAATACATTTCTTTGAAATACCACAAATAGGTACAGGACAAATTCCCATTAGAAATTCTAGTTTAGGCTGGGCACGGTGGCACACGCCTGTAATCCCAGCACTTTGGGAGGTCGAGACAGGCGGATCACAAGGTCAGGAGATCGACACCATCCTGGCTAACACGGTGAAACCCCGTCTCTACTAAAAACACAAAAAAATTAGCCGGGCGTAGTGGTGGGCGCCTGTAGTCCCAGCTACATGGTAGGCTGAGGCAGGAGAATGGCGTGAACCTGGGAGGTGGAGCTTGCAGTGAGCCAAGATCGCGCCACTGCACTCTAGCCTGGGCGACCGAGTGAGACTCCATCTCAAAAAACAAAAAAAGAAATTCTAGTTTAAAAAAAAAAAAAAATTGGCCAGGTATGGTGGCTCACACCTGTAATCCCAGCACTTGGGAGGCCAAGACAGGAGGACTGCTTGAGTTCAGGAGTTCAAGACCAGCCTGGACAACACAGCAAGACCTCCTCTCTACTAAAAATTTAATAATTAGCCAGGTATGGTAGTATGCACCCACTTGGGAGGTTGAAGTAGGATTGCTTGAGCCCAGGAGATCGAGGCTGCAGTAGGCTATTGTGGCGCCACTGTACTCCAGCCTGGGCAGCTGAGCAACTGAGCCAAGGCCCTGTCTTAAAAAAACAAAAATGTTAAAATTTTTAAATAAAGATTAAATTCTATATTTAATTTTTAAAAAGGAAAAAAAAATTTTTTTTTTTTTTTTGAGACAGAATCTCACTCTGTCGCCCAGGCTACAGTGCAGTGGTGTGATCTCGGCTCACTGCAACCTCCACCTTCCGGGTTCAAGCAATTCTCTGCCTCAGCCTCCCGAGCAGCTGCGATTACAGGCACCCGCCACCATGACCGGCTAACTTTTTGTATTTTTAGTAGAGACAGTGTTTCACCATTTTGGCCAGGCTAATCTCGAACTCCTGACCTCGTGATCCACCCGCCTCAGCCTCCCAAAGTGCTGGGATTACAGGCATGAGCCACCACACCCGGCCGGAAAAGAATTTTTTAATTTAAGGGGAAGGTGTGGGGATCAAGAACAACCAATCCACATGGCCAAAATAATACTGCAATGCTAATTCACACAACCCTATTCAGCTGCAATCTGTATTTAGGGATGTGCAACTCCAGACCACCAACTAGAGGATGAAACAAGAGAATCAGAAAAGCTGGGCCAGAGATATTGGCTGGAGTTCATAGATTCTTTGTGAACTTTATTTTCACACTTCTTTCTTCACCCAATTTAACACATGAAAAATCATTAATCAAGCACTACTGCAGCAGAGAGTATGGCAAAAAGTAACTAGCTGGGGAATCAAGAGGTCAGGATCTTAGTCCAGTTCTGCCATAAAGATAGCTTTGTGGGCTTAAATCTCCTGTGTAAAGCACCTCAGAAGATTCTTCTTACAGATACACAGAATGATGATAGTCCTGATAAGATTTACTAAACACCAGAAAAGTCAAAACACAGAAAAACAAATCAGATTTTAAATCTTCCCATATGTTTATTCACCTATGTGGAATAAAATTACGGAGCCAAAAAGGTCTGCCAATTACAGATATTCCTTGAGACCAGGGACCAAGTATATCTTTATATCCTCCACATTGTCTCCTACAGTATGGTTCACACAGACTCTCCATTAGTATTTGGTTAACAAATTGTAGCAACGTCATTGTGCTAATATTATCTCAATATTGAGACAGCCAGGTGGGAGGGGGTCCCTGGAGAAATTCCAACCAGCCTGTTCACTAAGGTGGAGCCTTGGGAAATTCCATAGGGAGGAGACTGGCCCCTCCTCTTCCTGTGCGGAACCTGAGATTCAAGCTGCAGGCGGGATGTGCTCTAACTGGGACTCTAGCTTTGTGAGAGTTCCTGTTTCCCCCTTTTCTTCCTTTTCACCCAATAAAACCCTGCTTTACTCACCCTTCAAACCGTTTGCAAGCCTAAATTTTCATGGCCGTGGGACAAGGAAAAGTTCTGCAAAGAGTATGTTCACCACCAAACCAACAACGAGAATCCAAACAACAGTTATGAAGTAAAACAGAACATTTTCTTTACTGATCTATAAAACACTACCATGTAGAAAATATTTCAGAAATTAAAAGAGTATTCCATCAACTTCATTTTACAAATGAAAAAGTCAGTAGGATGCAACCAATACAGACTGAGAAAAAAATACACAGTCCTAAAATATATTAGAAAAACCAAAAAGATGGAAAACTAACCAATCAATACAAAAAGATAGAAAAAAGGAACAAAGAACATTTTTTAAAAAAATGAATGACAAGGGCAGAAAACCAACCAAAAAGCCTTGGTTTTAAACAAAGAAAAGGTGGCTCCAAACCTTTGGCAAATCTGAGGGAGGAAAATCACACATAACACATGCACAACATTAGGAATAAGAAAAAAAATGTTAACTACAGATTATGAGATGACAACACTTTTGGGAGAACTTCCATGTGACAAAAGATAGAATAAACACAGTTGAGAGACAAGAAACAGATTGGAAGATTTTTGCAACATACCTAATGAAAAAAGTATAAATATCCAGAAAATGCTACAACTCCTACAAATTAGTAAGGAAAAAACAACTCAATAGAAAATGGGCAAAAGAAAAGAACAAGCAATCACAGAAAAAGAAACAAAGTGGCCAGTAAACAAAAACTGTTCAACCTCAGTAAAATAAGAGGAATGCAAACTAAAGGTACTATCTCTCACCCATCAGTTTAGCAAAAAGCAATAAATTAAATTATTAATCAGTACGTATTAGCAAGGATATGGAAGAATAAAGTACTCCCATATACCTGCTGATGAGAATGTAAATTGTTACAAGCACTGTGGAGAGCTGAAAATGCAAACAAGTTCCTCTTACAGTTAAACAAATAAATCTGAATAAACATCCTTCTTTGCTCCCCGCCAAAACCCACTAAAACAAGAATTTAAAAATGTAAAAGATGTACATGAACATGGACAAAAAGAACGGGAAATGACACACAGGATATAAGAGGTTTCAACAAAATTTACTAAAAGGTGAAAAGTGAATGAAAAAGAGAAAGCCAAAATCTAACTGGCTAAGAGGGAAGGGAGCCAAAGCAGAAGCCAAATCATGCCAGAGAAGCCAGAAAAGGATCTGAATTAAGAAACATGAGGTACCTCTGAAGGTAGTTCAATGTGAGGCTGGAACGAGAAGGTATGGTTGAAAATCCTTCAAAGAAAACTTCAGGCTCCCAGATCCTCTACTCTGAAGGTAGGTTCACTCTCAAAAAAACGTCAGAGATTGGCCGGGCACAGTGGCTCACGCCTGTAATCCCAGCACTTTGGGAGGCCGAGGCGGGTGGATCACCCGAGGTCAGGAGTTCCAGACCAGCCTGACCAACATGGAGAAAGCCCGTCTCTACCAAAAATACAAAATTAGCCAGGCAGAGTGGTTCATGCCTGTAAATCCCAGCTACTCAGGAGGCTGAGGCAGGAGAATCGTTTGAACCCGAGAGGCGGAGGTTGTGGTGAGCCGAGATCATGCCACTGCACTCCAGCCTGGGTAACAAGAGCAAAACTCCACCTCAAAAAAAAAAAAAAGAAAAAAGAAAAAAATGTCAGAGATATCAAATATAACTAAGGTGGAGATCAAGCACTGCTAAGTGGGGTAGGGAGTGCTAATTGACTACATCATTATCAGTCTATCCTATTCCTTATTAACAAAACTGTGTCCCTTTAGCTGAGTATACAGCTGCTCATAATGAAAATTCCTTTTCCTAGCATCCTATCAGAAGGACACACAAAATGGCCGGTAACATATAGGCAGGGTGTTGTGGAACAGTTGCCAGGAAACACCCTAAAGGGCGAGCCCCGTGCCTTTCTCCATCCTACTACCTGGAACTTGGATATGATTGCAACCTGGACCTGAGAACAATATTCTAGGTTTCAAACAGCAGAAAGCTGAAAGGAATCTGAGCCCCAATTAACTCCACAGAAACACTACACCAGCCCTGGGCTACCAGAACTACCTACCTGCCAACTTTTTACAAAATAAAATCTTAACTCAGATAATTTGGGATCTACCACACAGAAATGAACCTAACCCTAATGCAGGTGTCATACTAAAAATAGATGTACCTGATAGACTGCATACATGATTGTTAAGATCCCCAACCTCCATTCCCCAGGATAAAATTTAGAAAGCTGATAAGCAGACTTTTTCATGGAAGACTAGAAGCTTTCTCTCTAAAGAAACTGATCACCACAAAAGAAATTACACAATGCTGGTAAATGGTATATCTGGAGCTTCAAATAAAATACAAAATAAAAATAAAAAACCAGCAGGGTTCCCATTTGATCACCCTAGGTCACCATTTACCAAGGTCTAATCAATTTTTAGTAAAAGCCACTTTATAAAGGAAGAAGTATCATATAAAAGGGTTTTTTGTTGTTGTTGTTTTGTTTTGTTTTGAGACAGCGTCTCAGTATGTAGTTCAGGCTGGTCTCCAACTCGTGGGCTCTAGTGATCCTTCTGCCTCAGCTGGAATTATGAGTGCATGCTACCACACCCAGAACAAATGAGTTTTTAAGTACTCATTCTCATTATTATAATATGCATAAATGTATATTTTAGGAAATTTTAATAGAACACCTACAAGTTAGTAATAAGAAAACAAGTCTATCACTGGAGCAATATATGGAGCTGCATATCAGGACTTATCAAGCTGGCTTCAATTATTTAGGAATTAGTTTAAACTCTGTTTTTCAAAGTTCATTAGTTTAAAAAGTTCATTAAGTTAAAAAATTAATGTTAAGTTTACACAATTATCCAAACATAATTATTAAAAATAAGATATTCTGCCGGATTTGAATGAACATCACACAACTGATTCACATCTAATTTTACAGCGTATATACCTACAAAACTTTTGTACCTACCTCCATTATAAACTTTAGTAATATCTCCAAGCTTACCCTAACCCCTCTAGAAGCCCAAAAAGTGAAAATACTTAATATTTGTTGAATTAATGTGGCAGGAGGGGATTATACAGAGGTGACTAAAGAAACATGGTTAGTTTCAAAGAGACTATATCTACAACAGGTCCACTACCTAGGAACAGTTCACACATTTAAGTCTGGTAAAAAGAATAAAGGAAGGAACAAATGAATTAAGTTTTAAAGTTGACAGGAGAACCGTATCCAAACCATTATCCACCAACCTCCCATGTCTGTTAGCTTAAAACCCATGCACCAAGTGCTTCTGAAGACCCCAAATCTGAGGGCTGGAACCAAATTTGATATATTCAACAAGATTTTTATCACAGGGCTCATTATACCACAACTATGTTTTCTTAATATTACTAATGGAAAATCCTCACTGAATGCTATTCATGCCTACATAAAAATTACCTTGAAATTGTTTAATTATGTTAATTCTAAAGAATGGCTAAGTATTTCTAGGTTAACTTTAAAAAAAATGCTTATGCTATTAGACTAATGATCCTTGCAGCCCAACAGTTGTAGCTCTAAAATTTGACACCAAGGGGTCTTAATTCCTCTGAGCAATCTATTCAGTACCCCTTCCTTCGGAGAACCAACCCTTCCCCAGTCCGGACTCATCTTGCTTTGATCCATGGGGTAAGGAGAAATTAAACCGGCTGGATGACTCAGATAAGGGCAATTAACTTAGCCCATTTCCCACCATCATAAATGGGTGCAAACAAACCCAGGAGCCTCCCATGGACTTCCACCAGAGCTAAGGAGAAAAGCACTCCCTTCTGTAAGATACTGAGTGTTGCGGACGATTGTTATTACACTACAGCCATCCCTCTCAATACATGAACAAAGCTTTCGAGGGAAGCATCACGGAGGCAAGACGATCTCCAGTGATACCTAAAGCTAAGGAAGGAATATCCCTAGACTTTTCAGTTAGCAGAATAAGTCTTACTTTTTTTTTTTTTTTTTTTTTTTTTTGAGATGGAGTCTCACTCTGTCGCCCAGGCTGGAGTGCAGTGGCGCGATCTCGGCTCACTGCAAGCTCCGTCTCCCAGGTTCACACCATTCTCCTGCCTCAGCCTCCCGAGTAGCTGGGACTACAGGCACCCGCCACCACGCCCGGCTAATTTGTTGTATTTTTAGTAGAGATGGGGTTTCACCGTGCTAGCCAGGATGGTGTCGATCTCCTGACCTCGTGATCCGCCCGCCTCGGCCTCCCAAAGTGCTGGGATTACAGGCGTGAGCCACCGCGCCCGGCAGAATAAGTCTTTTCTTAGCTCAAGCTAGTTTAGCCTGGGTTTCTGCTACTTGGATTGGAATACAATTGTGATTCTCCTGTGAAACAAGTAGAATATACTATACGGAGAAAACGAGATTAACAAGGTATGCAAAAGAAATGTTTAACTATAAAATCGTAAAAAATGTTCTTATAACTATTAAGTATCATGAAAGGAACCCTCATTAAATCAGCATGAGCTAAATAAGCGTTTGCTAAAATAACAAATTTACTCTACTGTGTATATATCTGTTTGTGAACAAACTGCTTTTAAACAACCTACCTTGAACGGTTCAACTATGTAACTAGAGTTTTATTTCAAATAGTTGTAGCTCCTAACTTTCAGAATTCTCCATCTATCATTTGATTATTTTGAACTGAGGAAGACGGTCCATTTCATGTGGACAATGTGATGAGCTGATCAGACATTTGGTCCAGTGTCCCAATTCCCCCACTTCCCCCACTGCCTTCAAGCAACTACTATTATGAAATCAAAATGTGGCCCAAGAAAGACAGTGATGGAAAAATGGGGCGAAAGGGGAAGCTTCAGTTAGAGACCCAAAAAAGTGAAGACTAGTTCTAAGTAAATGTGGCAAAAGAGATCAGTACAGGGCAGACTGCTGCTCCCAGGTATCTGATCCACGGAGCCCTCGCCGACCAAGGGCTAGAGCAGACGTGCAGGCAGGACAAGCGGGCAGTCACAGCGGGCCTGCAGGGCGGGTCCTGCTCACCAGCAAAGAATGCAGACCACACCTACGCGCCTGGTCAGGCCGGGACGGGGCGGCTCCGCCCAGGTTACAGGATTGAAGGAAGGGGGGAGACGGGAAGAGGAGCGGCGAGCGACGGCTGGCAGACAACCTACCCACTCCCAGCCCCGCGCCCACCTCAGGAGCGTCTCGAGCGCGCCCTCGTGCTTGTCCAGCGGACGACCGACTGCGGCGCGGCGCAGCTTGCTGAGCTCCTCCGCCGCGCGGCAGTACTGGGCCTGCTCTTCCCCGCCGCTTGGGTAAGTCTGCTGGATGAACTTCACCAGCGGCTTGGCCAGGTCCACCTCTGAGGTCTTTTTCAGCTGCACCGAGATGAATGTCGCCATGATCAGCGCCTCCGCCGCCGTTCGGGCCAAACAGACCGCGGACAGCTTACGAGGGCCGAGGAGAGAGAGGTACTGGGCTGGCGGACTGGCGGACTGACTGGCTGACAGACTTGCGCTCCGCCTGCGTTCCGGGTCCGGCAACTTCCGGGAGCTCCAGCGCAGGCGCACTGGATGCGGGGTCCTTAAGCTGTCCGCGGTCACGTGAAGGTGTCGCGGCGGCTACGCCCACCTGGACCCAGTTTACCCTGTACTGTGCTGCAAAATATTACTTTCTCCCCATCTGGAATTCTTCCCTTCCTCCTTCCTGCCGCAGTGGTGTACTGAGCACTTTCACGTAAGAGTATTCCTCCACTCGAACAACCCCCCGGAGAAGTACTGGTGTCACTGCCACCTGCGAGAGTTTGCGGCTACCTCCCCAAGAGGCAGTCCCAGGGTTATTGTGACCTATGATGTTTATTCAACTACTGTTGACGGGCTGCTGTGCACAGGGAACCTAGTAGGCAAGACCCCTGCCATCGTGCAGCTTACTGTCAGGTTGACACAGACCTTAAGGTAAACGGAAAAAGTATCAGGAAAAAAACAGGGTGCTTGGGACTTAGGAGATGTTAAGATCGCTTGGAGGACCCTAATTTAAATAAGATAAAGTAGGTTTTCTCCGAGTAGGTTAACTGAAAATGAACCTGTGTCTCTGGTTGCTGTTTTGTAGAAAGAACAAAATTTTAAATAAATTAAAAACGACACCTGTAATTTGAGAAGATGCTTGATATCAGAAGAGGAGAAGAGTGGAGAGGGGTGGAGTGGCAAAGGAGAGCCTCCAAACCAAAAGCCTGCGGCAGAGGCCCTAGGAGGCAAGCACTTAACCATGTTTCAGGACTAGAAACGAAACATGTGACAAGACCTTTAAAAACAAATAGAATGGGATGGAATAAAGTTGGATGAGTAAGCAGGCATCAAATCATTCAGAAACTTGTTGTCCAAGTTGAAGAATTTGTTTAGTATTGTATAATAAATGCAGAGGAAGCTATATACACTTATAATTTACATTTTTTAAAGGCCACGTTGTAGCTCAATCGGATAGTTTGTCTTTTGATGGGATGTAGTATACAGTATCATCATGGTATATTCCAGGCAAAAATATTTAACTTGAATCTGTCAAGCCTTTGCATCTAACACAGTTTATAAAAAATACAACAGATAGATGAACAAACTAAATGATGCCAGAGGAAGTAACTAGACAGATCCAGAAGGTGAAACATTCTGCAGGATAACTGGCCCATCTCTTCAACAATTTGTCATGATAAAAGCAACTGCTTTATGAAAAGAAATTTAAGGGACATAACAGTTTGAATTGGATCCTGGTTTGAACAGACTGTCTATAAAATGCATTTTCAGGACCATTAAAGAAATATGAATGTAGATGGACTGAGTATTGGATAAAATAGAACTGTATTGCCATGGAAAAGATCATTAACTGAAAAGAGCAAGTCACGAAATAGTATGTTACAGCATCTCATTTTGGTTTAAAAATGCACATATATGTATTTATGTACAACTAAAAAAATAGTGGGCTTATACCCTAAGGTGTTAGTATTGGTAATCTTTGGAAGTGGAAATGTGTATTTTTTTCTTTGTGTTTGCCTATCTTTTTCATTGTAACTTTTGCAGCACATAGACTACTTTCATTATAGTAAAAGTTTATTTTACCACAATTTTTTTTTTTTTAGAAAGAGTCTCACTCTGTCACCCAGGCTGGAGTGCAGTGGCACAATCTCAGCCCACTGCAACCTCCACCTCCCAGGTTCAAGCTATTCTCCTGCCTCAGCCTTCTGAGTAGCTGGGACTACAGGTGCACACCACATGCCTGGCTAATTTTTGTATTTTTAATAGAGACTGGATTTCGCGATGTTGGCCCGGCTGGTCTCGAACTCCTGGCCTCAAGTGATCCACCCGCTTTAGCCTCCCAAAGTGCTGGGATTACAGGCGTGAGCCACTGCACCCGGCCTATTTTACCACAATTTATAAAAATTTTTGTTTATTTTAATTAAGCTATTCTATGTTAAAATAAGTAGCCACCCTTGGCTGATGCATAAAGAAAAAATTAGAGGAAGGAAAGAATGGAGGCAAGGAGGCAAATCATGAGACCATTTCAGAAATCAAGACGAAATCAGGAAAGCTAACATTAGCAAGAGTGAACCAAACTGATAATATCTTTGAGTTTAAAACTGAAGAATTTACCAATGAACTGCATAGGAAAGTAAAGAAAAGAGAGTGGTCAAGATAGGTCCTGGTTTTGGGGCCTGAACATCTGAGTGGTTAGTAGAATCATTACCAGTTGATAACCCATGGAAGAGGGTGGGGGATGGGTGGTGTCTTGTAGGTTGGTTGACAGGACTGACCCATTGGGAAGATAACGAAGAAGCAAAGTATATGAAAAGAGGAGAAAGGGTAACCAGAGGAGGGAGGATACAAAGGGAGTGATTAGCCATCAGAAAGATGAGGGACATGACATTTGTTGAGGCAGATGGCGGAGAAAAGAAAGTTAACATAGATGTGGTTAGTTTTGTGGCATTGACCAAAGGAAGATTAAGGTGATACTATCTGATGGCTTGGAATGAAAACCAAACTCCCTGCCACAACATGATGATCTTTCTCTGCAACTTCATATTTTGCCTCTTGTTCCTCATTTGTTACCACTGAGTCACAATGGTCTTTTTAGTTTCTCAAACACACCAAGATCTTTCTTGCCTCATGTGACCTAGAATGTTTTCTCCCTTTCTTCATATCTCAGTTGAAAGGTCTCCTCTCCTCATCATCATACTATCTAAAGTAGATTCCCTCCCTTGTTAACCTCTAGCGCAGCCATTAGTTCCTTCATAACACTTACCCTAACTTGCAAGTATTTTGTTTGTTGATATAATTTTTATCTGACTTCCCCACTAAAATGTAAGCTCCATGAGGGCAAAAATTGTGTGTTTTGTATACTGATGCATCTCTAGCACTTGGTATAGCAGGCATTCAATAAATATCATTAAATAAGTTTCACCCTTGTAAAAAAAAAAAATATATATATATAAAATATATTCTCTACTTCCAAAATAACACACTTTCACCAACAACAAGCACTCCAGCTAATTAGGCAATAGGCCAATAAGCAAAGAATTATGGTATATTAGTCAAGATTGGCTAGCTTATGTTCTGACAATAAACAATTTCAAAATCTCAGTTTCAATTTTAAACTCAAAGATACTAATAAACATTTGTTCTTTGCTCACACAAAGTCTAATATGGAACAGGCTTAGAGTTGTCCTCCAACCAGTGTCTGAGCAATCCAGACCACTTTGATCTTGTAACTCTGCCATCCCAACATGAGATTCCACTTTCACTGCAGAAGAGGAAATCTGTAGCATCATGCAGCAGCTTGTCACTACCTCAGCCCTCCTACTTCCACTTGCATTTCACTAGCTAGAACCTTTCACATGGCTCCACCAAACTGCAATGGGACTGGGAAGGGAGAATCAGATATTAGGGAGCATTTATAATGCCTTCCAAGGGTGTGTTTCACTGCTTCCAAACTTGCTTATGATGATGTTTTTCATTTATGTAATGAAATGCCATATGTTCTTAGTGTGTATTCTCAGCATAACGAGTACATTTGGAGAATATTAAGTCAGTGGACTTTCCTTCTTGAAAATTCCTGGTTCTGGGCCTATCATTAACCCCACTGATTGAACCAGTGGAAATAGTTGCCTCTTCGAATGGAGAGAACCCTGCTGAAGGCAGCTTTGAGTTTCAAAATAG
Source organism: Homo sapiens (assembly GCF_000001405.40). Lineage (NCBI taxonomy): Eukaryota > Metazoa > Chordata > Mammalia > Primates > Hominidae > Homo > Homo sapiens. The sequence continues at coordinate 33,794,930 of NC_000003.12, read as the reverse complement.
TGTGTTTCAAGTCCACATGGAGACGATAGCCTGAAAGTAAGCACTTATGATTTTTGGAGGAGTCTTTGTTATTAAGGAGAAAAGAGGCTTACAGAAGTCAGATTCAGAAGACTGTAGTATTTTTACAATAAATGAGAGTAAACAGTATAAGGATTTGATGTAAGGGAAGTTCCTGCAGTGCAAGAAAGAAAGTCCTTTTGGTGCTGAGCGGAACAGTCTAAGAGAGAAAAGGTGAAGAACAAAAGGAAAATGTAAATGTGGTATTCACACTTCCCTACTCCACACTCAGGATAAACCTAGAGTATGAGGTAGAGGCGGGAATCTAGAGGGGAGGAAGCATAGAATAGGAACACCCAAATAGACTTGATGAAACAAAAAACATCAAGGATGGCTCCCGTGTCACCTGGGAAGACACACTTCATGTAAGGAATGGAAAAAAGGCAATGGTAAGGGACAGGGGCCCTGGATTTTTTACAACATGCGATAGAGAACTATTTGTCTCCTTAATTTATTTAACTTTAAAAAATAATAATGAATGAAAGAAAAATTACCCATTTTTCAAATATGGGTGTGTAAGTTTTTTCCACTTTGTACAAAAAATTTTAAAGAAACGAAAACTGCTGAACACCTTATATTCAGAATTACTCCCTGTATAAGCCCATTCCAATTCCATATACTGCTGATTAAATTTCCATCAGTTGGCAGTTCTCTAATATCAGTTTCACTGCTATTTAACTAACTACTGCCCTTTGCTACCAGTGTCTCTCTTGGATGAGAGTCACTTTACTTGAATAAGATAACTTCTGAGAATAAATCTATGCACTATTTTGGAAGAATTGCTCTATAGAGTAAAAAATAATTCTGGATAATTGAAAGTTATCTTGTGAGTATCTGGACATTAAGGATACATTTCAAGACTCCTGTTTTCACTAAAATCCAATATTTGTTTAAGCACTTCAAGTTAAAGAGGAGCACCTTCCCCTTTCACCCTGACTATCGTTGTTAATTCGTTTTTGAAGCTATATAAGAACGTTTCTTTAATCGGTTTTCCCTTAGGCATACATTAGCTCTCTGTTCAAGACTTAGTAGCAGAGAGTAGTAAGTAAATGGTTATTAGTGGTTCTTCATATAAAACACATTTGAGTTTCTTAGAAGAAAACTATGCATAAAGATTACTTTCAGATATCATGTCTGTAGTTCGTTAATAGAGAAGTTTCTCTGAACGTGTGGAACACTGTAATAAGATAAATAAATTTTTAAAAAGAAAAAGTAAGCATATATACAAAATGTATGTAATTTCATTTGTCTTCACTTATTTAATATTTATAACCATACATTAAATGAAAACCAAATCCTACAAGCTTCATGGTACAAAGTTTTGGTAATACTTGGATGACCAGACTAAGTTATTCAGCAGATATTTTTTGAGCTTATACTGTGTGCCAAACAAAATGTAGTTCAAGAGAATTCTATGACCAATCTATTAATCTATTGTATATATTTACAGAGGTCTTTAATCCACCCTTATATAAGGTAGTTCAGCAAACAGTTCATAGGAGGAGGTCTAGGAAAGCAGTTAAGGAAAGTCCTAAAATGGCAGCTCTGCAGCAAGCAGAAAGTACAACTAGCCCAGAATAAGGAGAGGGTGGAGGGGCGCAGGAGGAAGATCCAATAGAGGGAAAAAAAAGGTTGAAGGGATTAGATAGAATAAAAACCACCAGGGTTCTCGTTGGAAAAATTATTCTTTTCCCTTTGTAATTAACAACTAATTTGTGGGAATATAATTCGAGGCTATTAAACATACTGTTCCACATTAAACTTTCTTCCACTAGTTTTAGCATACTTCGATGATTCTTCCATGAATCTAATATTTCTGTGATGATTGCAAAATGGTAATTTTCTTATCCATTATTCTGCCTATATCTATTAGCTGACATTATTCTAGAAAGAAGAATTTTCTTTTCTCCCTTATTTATTCATTTATATGTTTATACCAGCATGGACCCATAGATTTTTATTTAATTTGGTAGATTATAATCTGTTATTATTATTTATTTTGACGCTCAGATTGTCCAAGATTTGACTGATATGAACACCCTCAAGCTGGCTCCTGTGTTCTTTTTCTTCCAATATTTTCTTTTCTTTTCTTTTCTCTTCTTTTCTTTGTTTTTTTGTTTTGTTTTTTTGAGACAGGGTCTGGCTCTTTTGCCCAGGCTGGAGTGCAGTGGTGCAGTCATGGCTCACTACACCCTCAACCTTCCAGGCCCAGGCTCAAGCAATTATCCTACCTCAGCCTCCCAAGTAGCTAGGACTACAGGTGCACACTACCATGCCCGGCTAATTTATTTGTTTATTTTTTGTAAAGACGGAATATCCCTATGTTGCCGAGGCTGGTCTCAAACTCCTGGACTCCAGGGATTCTCCTGCCTCAACTTCACAATTCATTTTTAAAATTTCAGCCACAGCATAGAGTTTTGCAATAAACACTCACCTACCCACCACCTAGATTCTAACATTAACATTTTACTATGCATGCTTTATCTCACATTTGTCCATCTAATCTTCCCTCTATCCACCCATAAATCTACCTTGCTTTTTGGATCCATTTCATAGTAAGTTGCAGTCATCAGAAAGGAAAAGTAAAATAAGTAAATTTATTGGTAAATAGGCAATTGATGGGAGTCAAAAGATATTTAAATGATATCAATGAATGTCACTTAAAGTTAAAAAATCGAATAGCAGAAGGAGGTAAAGAAAAAAGGAAGTAAAGAAAAAGACTTTTAAAATGACTCACAAAAGAAAACCCAATGTGATAGATTATAAAATTGGCCACAAACTCTTCCTCTCCCTTTATCATGATTTTGCAGTGTGACATTGCAGATCTTCCCACCAGGAAGTGGAGTCTTTTTCTGCACCCTTTAAGTCTAGGTCGTTGATGTGAGCTGCTTTGGCCAATGGGGCATTAGCAGTTGTGATGCAAGCAGACACTTCAGTCATCAGGGTTTGTCCTCTCTTACTGCACTTGCAACCCCGTGACCTCCATGTGTACCGTCTTGCCTGCTGGATTATGAGAGACGTGGTTGAGTCACTCTCCTAGCCCTAACCAACAGTCTGCTAATTGTCAGACATATGAACAAGGCTATCTTAGATCATCCAACAACCAGGCAACACCCTAGATGACCTCAGACACAGAAGCAAGCACCTGAGAGATCAACTGAGCCAATCTAGACCAGAACTGTTAAGCCAACCTACAGAATTATGAGCTAAATAAATGGCTGGTTTTTAAGTTTTGGCATGGTTTGTTATGCAACAGAAGCTAACTGATACACTATCATTATGGTACATGCAAGCAACATACCTAAAACAAAATGATTCAGAAAGGCTAAATAGAAAGGAATAGACAGACATACTAGGTGCTGTGGACTGAATGTGTACCCCCAACAGTCACTTCTTGAAATTCAGTTCCAAATGCGATGGTATTTGGAGGTGGGACCTTTGGAAGGTAATTAGATTGTGAGCACAGAGCCCTCATGAATAGGATTAGTGCCCTTCTAAGAAGAGACGCAACAGCACTTGCTTCCTCTCTCACTCTGCTATGTGAGGATACAGTAAAAAGGTGTCTATATGCAAAGCAGTAAGAGGGCACTCACCAAAACCCAATCATGCTGGTACCCTGCTCTTAGACTTCACATCCTCCATAACCGTAAGAAATAAATGTTGTTGAAGCCACCCAATCTATAACAGCTTGAACTAACTAAAACACCAGACAAATGGAAACAATAGGAGTGCAGGGTCGTTCTTTTGATATCAGACAATTCAGACCAAAAAGGCTTAAATGTAATTAAGGACATTTCATAATGCTAAAGGCTAAAATTATCCAGAAAAAAAAATGTAGCTAAAAGCCACAATAAAGATAAGAGTTTGAAATATCAAACTTTTGTATCAGCTAACCCAAAATATCTGTGTACCAAGTAACACAGCAACCACCATCATAAAAAAGAAACTATGGGATTACATTTCCAAGTAATAATTTCTTATCTTTGGCCAACTCTGTGAGTAGCTAAGGGAATTTTAAAAAGTGTTACTCAGGGATGATCCAAAGAAGATACATTTGGAAGCAAGATAGGTGGATTAAGTCTGTGCTGAATAATAATTTGTCATACCTCATTATAAGAGATGTGGCCATGGCCAGGCGTGGTGGCTCACACCTGTAATCCCAACACTTTGGGAGGCCGAGGAGGGCAGATCTCTTGAAGTCAGGAGTTTGAAACCAGCCTGGCCAACATGGTGAAAACCCAATTCTAATAAAAATACAAAAAAATTAGCCGGGCGTGATGGCAGGCGCCTGTAATCCCAGCTACCGAGGAGGCTGGGGCAGGAGAATCACTTGAACCCGGGAGGCAGAGGTTGCAGTGAGCTGAGATTGTGCACTACTGCCTGGGTGACAAAGCGAGACTCCGTCTCATAAAAAAGAGAGAAAGAGAGAGATGGCCTTGTAAAATTACAGGACAGAAGGACAGATGGGAAAATATGTATCTTCTACCTTGTGGTTAGGCTGTACTCTATGAAAATTAATATTTGTCCTTGGGAGATGGTGATTCAGCAGTCCCCTGCAGCACAGTCAGGAGAGCAAAGAAGTTCATTGATGACTCACAAGAGAAGTGAGTTCCTTCACCTGTCCTTTACTTTTTGGTGAAACCTGGATAAAGTTCCCCACGTTCTCCACCCTAACTTGGAATATAAGAGAACTCCTCTACTCTCACCCAGCACAGTCTCCCCCAGAGTATTATTCTAGCTTACTTGTTATTAAATGGGTAATTTTGCTCTCCAGTGGTCATTTTTGGTTGTCACAACTTGGTGGGAGAGGATGCTACTAGCCTCTAGTGGATAGAAGCTAGAGATGCTTCTAAACATTCTACAATGCACAGGACAGTCTCTCATAGCAAAAATATTATCCAGCCCTAAATGTCACTAGTACTAAGGGTAAAATTCGCTTGAAAAGCATATTACTCAGAACAGGCTCCAAATTTTGAGAAATATACCGCTAGGGGTATAGTCTGATCTATTTGGAAGGGGTGGGTTGTTCAGAGAATGAATAAAGTCTTGCTTTGAAAGGTGAGAAGAAGGAAGCATTGTTGCAGAGATATTGGCTCCTAAGAATAGGGGAGAAAAATAAGGAAGTGGAGTACATCAATGAGGGGTGAACTTCCAGAGGAATTTTCCATTAAACTAAAGAGAAATTTACTGCCATTTTCTTTATTGACCCCACCCTCATTAAAGGCAGAATGAAGGAACAAGACAGCAAAGAATGTGACTGGCCCCATGGAAAGGAAGTTGTATCCTATCCTGGGGACTCTGTCCAGATGTTCCAGGTGGTGACAAACAGCAACATAATATAGTGGTTTATGCAGACTTCTTCACACATGTGAGGAGCAAGCTTGGAAGTTCAAAGGGTTTGATGTAAGTTGCTCTGTCTGGTAGGCATTGTGGTTCTTCTACCTCCAATATACTTTCACCCATTCACCCCTCTCTGAAGTTAGTATCCTCCTGATCTCACCCTGGGTGTCCTCGCCTCTCCCTCTTTGTTCTTTGTCTTAAGCCTTAAGGGATAAGAATGTGGCTCAGGCCTTAGATCATTATCATAATCCCGTCCTCAAGCCCCAGTAGTACAGAAAAAAAAAAAATGACCCAATTCTGACTATAGAGATGTAAAAAGAGGTTTGCCAGAGATAACAGAGAAGGAAGCTTCTTAGCTCTTTTGAGGGAATTTCTGAAAGTTACCCCACTCTCTAGATGTGGCTGAAAAAAAGTATCTCTGTGTATTAGGGTTCTTGCACACAATAGAAATGAACTGTGGATAATTTAAGCAGAAAGCAAATTTATTAAAGGATATCAATGAGTTCATAGACTCTCTGGAAGACCAGAGAATCCGGCTTCAGGGCCACACAACAATTTATCCTATTGTAGAACTGCTCCAAAGAAAACACCACCATTGCTCCCAATGAGCACAAATACCCCACTGGCAAGGGTGCTGGTCCCTAGGGACTTTCACCTGAACTTCTGCAACTGCTGCTTCTGGAGCTAGTACTGCCACTCTTGCCAGGAGGGTTTCTGCATGGTGATTGCATCTTCATGTCACCAGATTTCACAGAGCTGCAAGGGAGACTGGGAAACAATTTCTGATTTTCACATTGAGAAAATAAGGACTTATAAGATGGAGAACTCTCCATAGGAAAGGTTTTCAAGGGTGCCTTGTGGCCATAAAGAAAACATATGTCCACTATACCTTGGGAGTTGTTGTCAGCCATCTTATAACTTTGATAGGGAATTAGTTTGATGTCCCAGAAGCCAGAAAACGGAGTTAGAAAGAAACTAGGTGGACGATGATATCTCTGAGATGCTGAGTCAAACCCCAGGTGAAGTCCACTCTATTTCTGGGATCTCGGTCCATTGCCTAATAAATCCCCTCCATTGTTCAAACATGTTTGAATTGGGTTTTTTCATCGTTGTTCTTTACAAATGACTGCATCCTAATTGATACATTAAACAAACAAAAAATCATTAGAAAACACTCCTAAATTCCTTTTTTTTTTTTTTTTTTTTTTTTGAGACAGAGTCTTGCTCTGTTGCCCAGGCTGGAGTGCAATCAATGGTGCGATCTCAGCTCACTGCAACCTCCGCCTCCTGGGTTCAAGCGATTCTCCTGCCTCAGCCTCCCGGGTAGCTGGGATTACAGGCGCCCACGACCATGCCCGGCTAATTTTTGTATTCTTAGTAGAGATGGGGTTTCACCATGTTGGTCAGGCTGGTCTTGAACTGCTGACCTCATGATCCACCCACTTCAGCCTCCCAAAATGCTGGGATTACAGGCATGAGCCACCGTGCCCAGCAACACTCCTAAATTCTTAATGATGGCATTACTGGATTATAGAATATGTGCATTTTAAATTTGGGTATATGTTATCATAGATTATCTTCCAATTTTTTGCACGATTTTTTATTTCCAGTAACAGTTTTTGATAGTTTTCTTATACCCTCACTGACACTAAATTCTGTCCTACTTTTTAATATTTATTAACCTGTTAGATGAAAAGTAGTGTATCATTGTACTTTTAATCTTTAATGAATGAATTGTGAGTGAAATCAAAACTCAACATTCAAATTGATTAGGTGTACACAGTACATCATGTTTTCTACGTGTTTTTGTCCTTCCATGTTAAGTTCAGGAACAGAGTCCAAAAGATCAATCCTGCTTATAACTGACTTTAAGAAAGATAGAAAACTACTCCAGTCCAAACAGCCCCCAGCCTCTGCTACCTCTGCCCCACAAGGTGTCACTGTTGAGACACAGAATATCTACTACAGCACGACCTTTCGCAGGATGGAGCTATTAAAATTTAAATGCTCTGGGCTGGGCGCGGTGGCTCGTGCCTGTAATCCCAGCACTTTGGGAGGCCAAGGCAGGTAGATCACGCGCTACTCGGAAGGTTGAGGCAGGAGAATCGCTTGACCCCGGGTGGCGGAGGTTGCAATGAGCCGAGATCACATCACTGCCCTCCAGCCTGGCTGACAGAGCGAGACTCTGTCACCAAGAAAAAAAAAATGTAAATGCTCTGACAATCTATGGTTCCAAAGTTACAAACACAAAGGGCTTTTTTCCTAGGACACATGTGTGATGCTAGAGTAAAATTTGTAGGAACTGAGCTAGAAACTTGTTGTTGCTGCCAGGATTGTTAAGTCCAGGTAAGCAGTCCAGGCTCCCCTCTCCATGGCGAATTTCTCCTGTCTTTTGCTGCTGCCACGTCAGGTCAGGGCCATTCCAGTCCAGAGGTGATATAGCAATATTAACCCTCCTAAAGGAAGTGATCAGGGGTCTCAGTAACTGCCTTCCCAGAAGCTTAGTCTTTGGGAAAATTTGCTGACTTTCTCCCAGCAGCCTTTGAACTTCATGTACCAAAGAAAATGATGAAAAGAGCTTCATTGTCAATTCCCACATGTCCAGCTACAACCTTCCCCTGTGTTTCCTTACATCTACCTAATTAAAATGATCCCTCGGTATGTCTCCCAGAACAGAGGGCTATTAGGGGATCTCCACTAACGGAGATGCTTTACTTATTCGAGGCAGTTCAGCCCAGTGGATAAGAATGTCTGGAATCCTGACTTCCAGAGTTTAAATTCTAACTACAATATTTATCAGCTGTGTCACTCACTCTAGGCCGTTCACTCAACGTCTCTAAGCCTCAGTCTTCACACCTAAAGATGATAAAGAATACTACCTACCCCAAAGGGCTATCATGGGAGTTAAATAAAATACATTAAATACCTGACAGGCTGCCCAGAACACAGTAAGTACTCAATGTTAGTTACTGTTGCTTTTTTTTTTTTTTTTTTTTTTTGTAATTTTATCACTATCATTGCTGAAAGCCTCTTTTTTTTTTTTTTTTTTTTTTTTTTTAATAGTAATGGGGTCTTGCTTTTTGCCCAGGCTGGTCTTGAGCTCCTGGACTCAAGTGATTCTCCTGCCTTAGCCTGCCAAAGTGCTGGGATTACAGGTATGAGCCACCATATCTAGCCAAAAGCCCTTCTTTGTATCTCCTCAATGTTTAGAAGTAGAAATAGTTCATCTCTAGAAAGAAAACATTCTATTAATAAATGATGGACAGAGTGCAGAGAGTTTTTTTTCTCACCAAATCTCATTTCACTTCCCCAAGTCAACCTCTTACCAATAACGGCCACTTTTTATATGATAAATTTAATATGATATCTTGCTGTTAAAAAAAAAAGTTTAAATGAAATTAACACATTTATTTGAGTAAAAGAATGATTCATGAATTGGGAAGCACCAAGACCAAAAGAGGTTATGGGCTCTGCTCTGGAAGCACCTACCTATTATAGGCTGAACACAGAAGCAAAGTGAAGAAATTACCTGAATTGCTACAGCTAAGTGTTTGCCTTATTTGGGTATAATCTGATGGGAGACACCTAGTTATATAGCCAATTCACTCAGTGGCTGTTTGTGATTGGTTAGGGCTGTATTTTTGTTTGTCTATTTAAGTCAGTTATAAGAAATACCTCTAAATTAGGCTTTGGGCTGGGCACGGTGGCTCACACCTGTAATCCCAGCACTTTGGGAGGCCGAGGCGGGCAGATCACTTGAGGTCAGAAGTTTGAGACCAGCTAGGCCAACATGGTGAAACCCTGTCTACCAAAAATATAAAAAATTAGCCCGGTGTGGTGGCACGTGCCTGTAATCCCAGCTACTCGGGAGGCTGAGGCAGAAGAATCGCTTAAACCCGGGAGCCAGAGGTTGCAATGAGCTGAGATCATGCCACTGCACTCCAGCCTGGGTGACAGAGTGAGACTCCATCTCATAAAAATACATAAATACATAAATAAACAAATAAATAAATAAATAAGGCTTCAGCTTGCTTATGTAAGGGCTCAGGGTGCAGAGACAACCTCAGGCTAGTGGCCTTCTTATTTGCTTTAAAACTGCTGAAACATCCCATTGCCATGGGAGTGACTTAAGCCAATTGTCTATTTTTGAGTATTTAGGTTGTTTCTACTCTTTTTTTCTTTTCTTTTCTTTTTTAAGAGAGACAGGGTCTCACTCCATCACCCAGGGTGGAATGCAGTGGTGCAATCATAGCTCACTGTAGCATCAAACTCCTGAGCTCAGATGATCCTCCTGCTTCAGCCTCCTGAGTAGCCAGTACTACAGGCAGACACCACCATCCCCAGCTAATTTTTAAACTCTTTGTAGAGATGGGGTCTCGCTATGTTGCCCAGGCTGGTCTTTAACTCCTGGCCTCAAACAATCCTTCTGCTTCAGTCTCCTAAAGCACTGGGGTTACAGATGTGTCACCCCACCTGACCTGTTTCCACTTTCTTGATGTTGTAAACAACATGGCCAAGATGGTAGTTAACTCTTTATGTGCATTTGTCATTCATTATTATTTTGTTGGATTATTCCAACAAAGTACTGATTATTCTAAGTACTGATTTGTTTTTTTTTTTGAAACAAGAGTCTCACTCTGTCACCCAGGGTAGAGTGCAATGGTGCAATCATAGCTCACTGTAGCCTCAAACTCCTGGGCTCAAATGATCCTCCTGCCTCAGCCTCCCAAGCAGCTAGGACTTACAGGCACATCCACCATGCCTAGCTAATTGTTTTATTTTTTGTAGAGACAGGGTCTCACTATGTTGCACAGGCTGGTCTCCAACTCCTGGGCTCAAGTGATCCTCCCACCTCAGTCCCAACGTGCTCGGATTACAGGCCTGAGCCACTGTACCTGGCCTAACATGGACATTTTTTAAAGCTTTTGATCTGGCTTACGGAATTTTGCCTCATCTAGAAGAGATGGTTGACTGCATTTCTAACAACAGTGTATGAAAGTACTGAAACCTAACCAACATTAGCTATTTTGAGTTTTTTTTTTAGTCTTCACCAATTAAAAAGATGAAAAATTGTTCCTCACAGTTTTAATTTGCATTAATTTTATTTCTAGTAAGTCTATGGATTTTTCTATATGTTTCTTGGCTGATTTTTTGTACACTTTTGTACTTTTTTCCTTTTTTTCCCTTTCAGTTCTAGACCTACAGATGTACTCTTTAAAATGGCTATTTTGAATATTTCTTTTGTAGAATTTTTCTTCTAAGAGTGCTTTCTATTATAAGAGTAATAACCCTTTATTTTTCAAGTTGCAAATATTTTCCCCAATTTTTTGCTTGTGTTTTGGTTATATTTATGGAATTTTAAAGCATCAGGTTTCTGACATGTGGAATTTTCTACTCTTATAGGCCCATACATTGTGAAATATCAGAACATTAGAGACAAAGAGATAATGTTCTAAGTGTCTGGAGAGGGAGAAAAAACAGGCCATGTACAAGGAATGATAATAAAAATGACTCTGGGCTTCTCAGCAACATTTGAAGGAAGAAGACAATGGAAGAGTGTCTTCAATGTGATGGAAAATGCCTTCCAACCTAGAAATCCTATAACCAACCAAACTGGCAATGTGAAGATTGACTATAGACACTTGTAACATCTGAACAAAATTAGGCCAGGCGTGGTGGCTCACACCTGTAAACCCAGCACTTTGGGAGGCCAAGGCGGGCAGATCACTTGAGGTCAGGAGTTCGAGACCAGCCTGGCCAACATGGTGAAACCCTGTCTTTACTAAAAATATGAAAATTAGCCAGGTGTGATAGTGGGCACTTGTAATCCCAGCTACCTGGGAGGCTGAGGCAGGAGAATTGCTTGAACCCAGGAGGCAGAGGTTGCAGTGAGCCAAGATCATGCCTCTGCACTCCAGCCTGAGCGACAGAGACTCCGTCTCAAAAAAAAAAAAAAAAAAAAAACTGAAAAAATTATCATTTATATTGATTTTCTTTGCTGCTATAAAAAATTGCTACAAACTTAGTGGCTTAAGACAACACAAATTTATTCTCTTACAGTTCTGGAGATCAGAATTCCTAAATCAAGATGTTAGCAGGACTGTTTCCCTTCCAGCGGCTCTAGAGGAGAATCTATTTCCTTACCTTCCTCGCTGCCAGAGGCTGCTTGCATTCCTTGTCTTGTGGTCCCTTCCTTCCTACATCCATATTTAAAACCAGCACATCTCTCTCTTCTGTCTATCTCTCGCTGTCTCTGTCTGTCTTTCTCTCATGCATACATACACATGCACACATATACCTCCTACTATCCTATTATATAGACCTTCATTACTACCTGTGACCACCCAAATAATCCAGGATAATCTCCCAATTTAAACATTCTTAATGTGATCACATCTTCAAAGTCTCTTTTGCCATTTAAGGCAACATATTCACAAGTTTTAGAGATTAGAATGTGGACATTTTAGGGAACCAGTATTCTGTCTACTACATCACACAATCACATTGCCTGTACTAAGATGAGAGAGTCATCTGAGAAATAAGAAAATACGGAATATAGAAAATAAGAGATTCAACACAGAAAAAGGAAAAGACTCTCCATGCTGGTGGTGAAGTTGTGATATTCAAATGACAACTGCACAGCAGTCCTGATTGGGGCAGTGTGGTATGAGAGAGAGCCATGTCAACCGCTGTCCTTACCATGTTTCTGCCATTGTAACATACTTTTAACTTGATGGATATGCTTCACCAAATAGGGAATAAATCTAAATGTAGAAAGACAGATTAAGGACCCAGAGAATCTAACTAGAACCCATAAGGCTAGATAACAAAAACAAAAACCAACAGAAATAAATGATGTCAAACAGCCCTGAAAGAATCCAGATATTGGAATTATTAAACACAAATAATAAAACAACTATATTTACTATGTTAAAGGACACAAAAATTATGCTTGAAAATTTCAACAGGAAACTGGAAACTATAACAAGCAACAGAGCATGTTTTAAAAAGAATCAGATTGGATTTGACAATGGAAAGAAACCATAAATCAAGTTTAAGATCAGTGAATGGGTTTCCAGCAGATAGCAAACTGGAAGATATATTGAAAATACAATCATAAAACACTGCGACACTGCTGGGAATTATATTCGCATATATGTAATAATGTAAACATTGATTATTGATTTGACCAACTATTGTAATATAACTATATTGAGAATATTAAGGATAGCAGAAGACAGAATGACATTGTAAGACAGATAAATTCTCATCTACTACAATATGAAGCTGATAGATAATAGCTAAAGATAGTATATGCCTATTATTTACAAATTAGGTAGAGGTGTAAATGCCAGAGAGAGCTAAAAGCATAAAAAAATAGTTGTCTCTAGGAAGGAGGGAAGAAAGTAGAGAGGGATGGGGAAGGGAAATGCTGCATTTTATCATAACCTTTTTGGTACTACTTAATCTTTTTAAATATGTATGTATTATTTTAACAAAATAAAATTAAAATTGAAAAATAAAGATTAAAAAAGCTGTAGGACTGGATGAGATCATAAGGTAGACAGCTAAAAAAAAAAAAGCACCAATATATAAGCCTAGGTCCTTCCAATATTTAGAGGTCAGGTAAACGAAGAGGAACCAGCAAAGGAGACAGAGCAGCTGGAACCATAGGAGGAGAACCATAAAAGAATGGTGTCCTGGAGTCCAAAGTATAGAAAATATTTCAAAAAAGAGAGAATGATCAATCACGCAAAGTGCTGTTAGGAAGAATGAAATTTGATTATTAAATTTGCTATCATTAAGGTCAACCTTCAGGAGCAATTTTGGTGGAATGAAAGCCTAATCTAAGTGGGCCCAAGAGAGTATGAGGGTGGAAAGTAAAGATGGCAGGAATAGAAACTCTATGGTAAGGAAAGGAGAATAGAAACCAGTGGGTCAAAAGAGGGTTTTGTCTATGTAAGTGTGAGCCTGTGTGTATGGTTTCAATTTTTGTTTGTTTGTTTGTTTGTTTTGTTTTTTTTGAGACGGAGTCTTGCTCTGTCGCCAGGCTGGAGTGCAGTGGCGCAATCTCAGCTCACTGCAACCTCCGCCTCCCAGGTTCAAGCGATTCCCCTGGCTCAGCCTCCCAAGTAGCTGGGATTACAGGCACATGCCACCACACCCAGCTAAGTTTTTGTATCTTAATAGAGACGGGGTTTCACCATGTTGGCCAAGATGGTCTCGATCTCCTGACCTTGTGATCCAACTGCCTCAGCCTCCCAAAGTGCTGGGATTACAGGTGTGAGCCACCGCGCCTGGCTGGTTTCAAATTTTTAAAAAAATTTTTGGCCAGGCATGGTGGCTCACACCTTTAATCCTAAGACTTTGGGAGGCCAAGGAGGGCGGATCACTTGAGTCCAGGAGTTCTAGACCAGCCTAGACAACATAGTGAGACCTTGTCTTTCCAAAATAATACAAAAATCAGCCAGGTTTGGTGGAATGTGCCTGTAATTCCAGCTCCTCAGGAGGCTGAGGTGGGAGGACTGCCTGACCCTGGAGAGGCAGAGACTGCAGTGAGCTGAGATTGCGCCACTGCGCTCTAGCCGTTTTTTTTTGGTTTGTTTTTGTTTTTCGTTTTTTGTTTTTTGTTTTTTGAGACAGGATCTCTCTCTGTTGCCCAGGCTGAAGTGTAGTGGTGCGATCTTGGCACACTGCAGCCTCCACCTCCCCAGGTTCAGGCGATCCTCCCACCTCAGCCTCCCCAGTAGATGGGTCTACAGGCATGTGTCACCATGCCTAGCTAATTTTGGTAGAGACAGGATTTCACCATGTTGCCCAGGCTGGTCGAATAAAAATATTTGAATGTTGATGAGCATGAACTATTACATTATGGGTCAGAAACATGATTAATATGTATATATTCCTAAAATCTACTGTGTCAGATAGCATCTATCAGCTTCAGTAGCGATAAAGAATAATTGCTAAACAGGTATTATTAAAACCTTAAAGAGACAGCTATCTTACTTATGGCACACAGCAGGCACTCAGTAAACATTTCTTGAATGAATAAATGTTATGCTGGCATTGTATCTGCTTTGCCAATCTAAACTGTATAACTAGTTAACCAAAATTTAAACTGGACTATAAAGCTTCTAAATATCTTAAAAGGTATATATTGCTGCTTATGTTAAAAAGAGCCCCCAAAACATGAACTAAACCAGGAAGGGATATTTGACATAAAACTGGTTTAAGCCATCATTCATGTTGTTTCTAAGAAGTACACTGCCAGATTCATTGAAGAAGAATTGAATTAGGTGATGGCAAGCCAGTTGCAATAATGAATGAAATTTACAGAAAACCTGAGGCAGAGATGTGGTTCAAATGAACCATTTCAACCTGGCCCCAGGTAAGCTCATGAAACTGGCTTGGTCTATCTGTGTGGCCCCTAGATCCCCCCTCACTCCTTCAACCTTTTTTCTAGGCTAACAATCCCTTCCTGTTTTCTCCACTCTCCCCGTAACTTTTCCAAATTATAAAGAACATATGTAGTATGTTGAAATTATCACTAAAGATACTCCTAATTCGTGTATCAAAATAGCCTCAGGGCACATTCCCCAGAAACAGCATACCACCCCTGAGTTTAAATATGTTCTGGTATTTTCTCTGGAGGAAACGGCCATGATTTCTGGCCTTTATTTTCTACTTTTATCCCAAGAGTGTGCTTGCTGAAAGCCCACTTTCCTCCTCAAGTTTTGTACAGGTAGTTAGACAGGACTTGACATGGATCTTGTAGGGAGGCAGTGCAAGGAAGTAAGCTCTTTAACATGTTCAGTAATCACACAACAGCCTTGAATTCAGGGATTATTTGGTATGTAAACACAGCTCCTAAATAACATTCGCCTAGAAAAGAAGATAATCTAATGCGAAATGAATTTCTTTGGCAACTTATTTAGAATCTCCTGTTCCTGCATGATTAGACCTACCCATGATTCTCATTCTGACCAATATTTTACTGCTTCACTGCTAGAGGATAAAAGAATGTCACATTTTTAATTCAGTACATTATATCCAGTATATATCCAGTATATAACTGCTGAGAGGGATTAATGAAGACTTAATAAATCACTGTGTTACAGCATAATACAAGATAGCCCTTTAATATTGTGTATCTGGATCTGACATCTAGAACTGCTGCAGCCATCTTACATCCATGAAGAGAAGAATAAAATAAATTTTTGCTGAACTTTGAGTATGTGCATTCAGATTTGCACACTGTATAACCCAGAGCTCCAGAAGATGGAACCAAAGTAACCACTTTTCAGAAAGCTCATCAGAGTCAGTAGGAAAGCTGCCTGATGATAAATTTGTGCCTCTACTATCTGGATTCAACAAACTGACTTGGGGCATAACAGTCAGCTGTGCCAAACTCTACTGTAACCAACCAACTTTGAGCTGACAATCCAAGGGGTTGTTTAAACCAAGCAATCATTTTTCCTTGTGAAAATGTGTGATTTCTGCTTTTAGAGGTCCCATCCTTGCCTTTGGTTGGAGACACAGGCTTCAGAAATCTGTGCTTCCTTTTATATACCTATAAACGCGTAAATACTCAAGACTTTACACTAAAATTGTATTCAAATTATATCTTTTCAGCTAAAAACTTACTCTGCCCCAGAATTTCTATTTTTCTTTTGTTTGGAACTCAAAACTGATATACCAACGATGGCAAAGCAGAAAGAACCTGGTTCCCTGATGATATCCTTGTTACTAACTAAGAGCGCTCCTACCTCTGGACTTGTTGTTATGTGATATAATAAATTTCTTTTTTGGTTTGGGCCACATTCAGTTGGGTTTTCTCTTATTTGTACCAAAAGTAAAAGAACTGATATACCTTATTTTATTGCTCCATCAAAAAGAGTGTCTCCCACCGCATCACACACTGCTCCTTTATCCTTCTTTATTTCTCTTTATATGATTTAATCACTACCTGAAACTACATTATATATATATTTTTTTGTTTGTTTGTTTGCTTATTTGTTTACTTGTTCATTGTCTATATTGCCCACTAAAATATAAGCTATATAAGGGATGGAGAATCTGCTCCCAAGCTCTCTCATGTGGTTGTTGTTAGCCCTCAGTTCCTAACTGGCTGTTGGCTAGAGGCCCTGTTTCTCACCATGCAGGCCTCTGCATGGGGCTGCTGGACATGTAAGCTGGCTTCCTCAAGTACTAGTGATCCAGGAAAGAGAGAGAGAGAGGGCACCCCAGACAGAAGCCACAGCCTAATCTCAGAAATGACGTACTTATAAAGCTTTGCATTCAGACTCCAGGGTTTGAGTCCTGAGCCCTGCGGGTCACTGAATACTGTTTGCCTCAGTTTATACATACATAAAATGGGAATAATAATATATACTTTTTGTCAAGGACTAAAATAGCTAATATATATTAAAAGCTTTGAATGTTATGATATTTACAGGTGAATTATAGGACATCTGATATTTGCTTTAAATACTCCAGAAAAAGAATGAGCGGGGGGAATGATAGTGATAGATAAATAGGTATAGCAAAATGTTCAAACGTTGATAAATAGTTGAAAGTGGATAATGCACATATGGAAGCTCTTTTTGCTTTTTTCTTCATTTCTTAAGTGTGAAATTCTCCATAATAAAAAGTTACATAATGCTGGACGTGGTAGCTTATGCCTGTAATCCCAGCATTTTGGGAAGCTGAGGCGGGAAGATGACTCGAGGTCAGGAGTTCGAGACCAGCCAGGCCAACATGGTGAAACCCCCTCTCTACTAAAAATACAAAAAAATTCACCCAGCATGGTGGCACATGCCTGTAATCCCAGCTACTCGAGAGGCTAAGGCGGCAGAATCGCTGGAACCCGGGAAGTGGAGGTTGCAGTGAGCTAAGCTCATGCCGCTGCACTCACCTGAGTGACAGAGCGAGACTCCATCTCAAAAAAAAAAAGTTACATAATTGTTTACATAAAGTGTTTATAATAGTACCTGGAACATTAAATAACTCAATAAATATTAGTTATTACTTGTTTTTTCTTTTGAGACAGAGTCGCACTTTGGCCGGAGTGCAGTGGCGTGATCTTGGCTCACTGCAACCTCCGCCTCCTGGGTTCCAGCGATTCTCCTGCCTCAGCCTCCTGAATAGCTGGGATTACAGGCATGCGCCACCATGCCCAACTAATTTTTTGTATTTTTAGTAGAGATGGGTTTCGCCATTTTGGCCAGGCTGGTCTCAAACTCCTGGCCTCAAGTGATCCGCCCACCTCAGCCTCCCAAAGTGCTAGGATTAGACATGTGAGCCACTGCACCCGGCCAGTTATTACTTTTAAAATGCTGGTTAAACAGATTTTTCTTTATTCAAATGCTATAATTTCTTGCCTACTGGGTCTTCATACAAGCATAATTCTTAAATAAGTTAACTTAGGTCTTTACATTACTCATTTAAAAATTATCAGTGCAGGCCAGGCACGATGACTTACGCCTGTAATCCCAGCACTTTGGGAGGCCGAGGCAGGTGGATCGCGAGGTCAGGAGATCGAGACCATCCTGGCTAACACGGTGAGATCCCGTCTCTACTAAAAAAATACAAAAAATAGCTGAGCGTGGTGGCATGCGCCTGTAGTCCCAGCTACTGGGGAGGCTGAGGCGGGAGAATCGCTTGAACCCGGGAGGCGGAGGTTGCAGTGAGCTGAGATTGCACCACTGCACTCCAGCCTGGGCAACAGAGCGAGACTCCGTCTCAAAAAAAAAAAATCATCAATGCCTTCAGCTATAATCATCTTTCTACCAGTGCCCAAGTAATCTTTGCAACTGCAAAAATGCAGATAAAATTTCCTATCTCTTATATATCATATATCCTATGAACCACAAGAGGGAGCCTATGTTCAGAAACACACAAAAAGTAATTAAACTTTTCATGAAAATTTGTAGGAATTTCAGTTAACCCCTCAACAACACAGAGTTAGAGGCGCTTATTCCTGCACAGTGGAAAATCTGCCTATAACTTTTGACTCCCTAAACTTTTAATGACTAATAGCTTACTATTGACTTACTGATAACATAAATGGTTGATTAAAACATATTTCATATAACATGTATTATATACAGTATATAACACATATACTGTATTCTTACAATAAAGTAAGTTAGAGAAAAGAAAATGTTAGTAAAATTATAAGGAAGAGAAAATATATTTACTATTGATTAACTGGAAGTGGATCATCATAAAGGTCTTTATTCTCCTCATCTTCCACTTTGAGTAGCTGAGAAAGAGGAGAAAGAAGAAGGATTGGTCTTGCTCTTCCTGGGGTGGCAGAAATCCACATATAAGTAGAGCTGTGCAGTTCACATTCATGTTTTCCAAGGGTCAACTATACCATTACCAAGAATGGTAGTCCACTGAGCTATTCCTCTGAACAAACGGAAGTATCAGTCCCCAGATAACAGCATTCTCTACTCCTTCCCCCAGCAGAGAGGCCAAAATTGTTTCTAAAGATTCAAGAAAACTTAAACAGAATCTTCCCAGTGTGAGATGGTGGGGTGGGCTATCTTGGTAGGGAGTGATGTTGCGGTAGGGAAGACTGAGGACATACTTTGGTAGGCCTGGCAGAGTGACCTGTGTTTAGCTTTCTTGCAGTGCTTAGGAAAAGAGCCAGATACTATAGAGCCTGTCTCATGGGAACAAAACTCACAACAATATAAAGGAGCACCTAAAGGCATTTCCTTTTTTTTTTTTCCTTTTTTTTTTTTTTGAGACAGGGTCTCAAAAAAATGTTTTTGACGCTATGTTGTCCAGGTTGGTCTCAAACACCTGGACTTAAGCAATCCTCCTGCCTCAGGCTCCCCAGTAGCTGGCGTTATGGGTACATACCACCTCATTCAGTATCCCTAAAAGCATTTCCGAGCAAAATATAACTACTTGTTCTGGTGCCTCAGATTTTCCTGATTAGGATGATTCATTCCTTTAGAAGATGACCATGCTTAAAATGCACTTAATCTCTGGATGAGAAAGAAGACTACTTTTCACTATCCTGGGGCTATTTTTCAGGTTACCCAGGAAGAGCACTGGGAAAGGAATGAATATCAGGGTCACATGAAAAAGGCAGTTCTGGGAAGGTACCAGGCACCTGGATTGGCAAGCTAGAGGAGCTTAACAGACACTACCAACTTCAGACTGTCCCAGAGTCAGTGTGAAAAAGCACATAATAGATAATTCCAAAGACTGAGATTTGCCTAATTTTTATAATCTAGGATTCAGTCACATTTATTTTCAGCTTCGTAAACCATTTTTTGTAGAAGCTTTATGAAATATGCCCAGGGTTGGCAATTTTGAGGCAAACAAATTTTCCACTTTTTTCTTTTCTCCTGATTACTATAATTTTTTTAGTCTTATATAAATACTTCTCTCACAGAATTATGAACTTAAGTGCTCTGTGTAGAATGCAATTTTTCTTCTTTTTTTTTTTTTAAGAAAGAGCCTCACTCTGTCACCCAGTCTGGAGTGCAGTGGTGAGGTCTCGGCTCACTGCAACCTCCACCACCTGGGTTCCAGCAATTCTTGTGCCACAGCCTCCCGAACAGCTGGGACTATAGGCGCACACCACCACGACCAGCTAATATTTTCTTCTTTGTATTTTTAGTACAGACGGGGTTTTGCCATGTTGCCCAGGTTGGTCTCGAACTCCTGGCCTCAAACAATCCACCCGCCTTAGCCTCCTAAAGTTACAGGCATGAGCCACTGCCCCCAGCCTTTTCTCTTAATACATCGAAATTTTACCTATGTGGCCAGGTGTGGTGGCCCATGCCTCTAATCCTAGCACCTTGGAAGGCCGAGGTGGGTGGATCACTTGAGGTCAGGAGTTGGAGCCCAGCATAGCCAACATGGTGAAACCCCATCTCTAGTAAAAATGCAAAAATTAGTCATGCATGGTGGCACTTGCCTGTAATCCCAGCTACACAGGAGGCTGAGACAGGAGAATCGCTTGAACCCAGGAAGCAGAGGATGCAGTGAGCTGAGATCATGCTACTGCACTCTAGCCTGGGCAACAGAGTGAGACTGTCTCAAAAAAATAAAAAAGAAATGTTATCTACCTGTTTATGGATTTGGATCTAACTTTGGTTGTAGTAGAGCCTTTTTAAAAAATATCCAGCATATCAAGATCCAACCATGGTGTACAAATGACACATTTAAGCTTCCCTGCAATGTTAACTTTATATAATGATATCTAATAGACATGTATTAAAAGTAAACTATGTGGGAGTACCAACATGCATAAGATCAGTGGGGTTTCTGAGTCTGATTTTTTATTTGGCTGGGAGGAGGGAAGGTTATAATAATTAATGCAGCTTATGTTAAACCTGGGGATGTTCTATACTCCTACTTTTTAGTTATATCATCCTTAAGGTTGCAGAACAAAATCATAGAGATACCCTAGAGCAGCTAAGTAAAAGGAACTTTTTTCCAGGCAAACACATGCTTTTAGCATACCTGATACTTACTGTGATGGAAACAGAGTTGGTAAGAAATACTGATATCAGCAAGCGCCTCCTTCTCCTCTAATAAAGTGAGGCCAAAAATGGTTTTAGAGACCACTTGAAGAAAGCTTATGTAGGATTCTCCCAGAACAGGGGGGATGGGATGGACTGGCTTAGTAGAGTGATGTCAGTGGATTGGGAAAGTCTGCAAGGCTGAGGGAGGCATAGCATTTGGTGAGTTCAGTGGAGTGATTTGTGCTTAGCTCGTTAAAGCTCCTAGAGGAGTATTAGGCAAGCTTAACCTTGAAGCAGCAAAGCAGCCCTCTACCTAAAAACCTGGAATGGGACAACTGATGAGAGGCCCCAGAATTGGCCATCAGTGTCCCTCTCTGTTGTGACCTGTGCCCTGACCTTGCATCTCTTAAGTTGTCACGGAGGAGGGAGATACCCACATTGCCTTCCTTGTAATGTAGTGTAGTAGGGAAGTTCAGAGGAATTCCAAGGCATGAATCTTGTCTAGTAGTTAAAGAAGACAAGGCCGGGAGGCATAACCACTCATTATTGCAAAGTGAGGGATCTTTTTCTTTAAGATGGAAATAGCTTTACTGATTTTTATGATTATAAATATAACACATGTGCACCGCACTTGATCTTAGCCAAAAGGCAGAGAAGTGATAACACATGTGCACTGCAAAAATGCAAAAAATAAGGAAAGAATGAACTCTATGATTTCAGTGGGATTAGTCCATAAATGCTGTTTGATACCTGATTTTTTCACCAATAGTATATTTTAGACATCTTTCCATGATAATGAATATCATTATGGCCACCGGGTATGTCTTTGTGTGAATGTCAAACTTAATGCTGTCAAAAATTCACACTGCTTACAGTATAGTTTCTAAATGAAGAAATAGTGATACAATAAACAAAGAACTTTGCACATGGATTCAATTATTTTCTTAGGCTATATTTCTAGAATTAAAACTGTTAAGTCAATTATTACATACATTTTTAAAATCTTGATGTATACTACCAAGTTGCCTTCCAGAAATTTAGTACCAATTTGTATCCTTAGCAGCAGACTATTGATAGTATGTATTTTCTACATCCTTATCAATTCCACACATTGTCATTTTTAACTCAACAAATTTTATTCCTTACTCAAAATTTTAAGAAACTTCCAATCCCTAAATACCAATAATATGATACTTTTTTAAAGTTTATGAAAAAATAATAGTAGTCTATCAAATATTCATCAATACACTTTTTTTTTTTTTTTTTGAGGAGACATGGTCTTGCTCTGTCACCCAGGCTGAAGTGCAGTGGTGCAATCATAGCCCACTGCACCCAGCCAAGAAAACTATATTTTTAAATAGTCACTCCTGCTTCCCTCTTCTCCCAATCTCTGGCAACTGCAAATCTACTCTCTTTCTGTATGCAAATCTACTCTCTATCTACTTTTTTAAATTTTAATTTAACCTTATTTATTTTTGAGACAGGGTCTTGCTCTGTCTCCCAGGCTGAATGGAGTCCAGTAGCATAATCATGGCTCACTGCAACCTCAACCTCTCAGGCTCCAGCAATCCTCCCACCTCAGCCTCCTGAGTAGCTGGGACTACAGGCTCACTCTACCCTGCCCAGTTAATTTTTTATTTTTTGTAGAGACGAGTTCTCACTATGTTGCCTGGGCAGGTCTTGAACTCCTGGGCTCAAGCAATCCTCCCACCTCAGCTTCCCAAGCAGGGAGGCTGTGTGTCACCAAGATTAGTGAGATTCTTCTTAGCAAGATCAAAGTTTTGCAAAATGTCATTAGAAAATCTGGACCCAAGATAGGGCTATGGTAGGAGAGAAGATCTTTGCACTCTTGAGGAAAGTTACTTGGATGCTCCGGGTAGCAGTGAACAATCTGTGCCATAAACAGAACCAGCTCTGCTAATTCTTTGCTCAATTTATTTGGTTGGTATTTGAAAATCTCCACATTGGAATTGTGGTGATTATACTGCTATAGATACTCTTCAGTGTGGACAGGTGAGTCCTGCTTGATTAGATTCTGTCATTGCACCAGGATGCTGGGCACACTGTGGTTTCTGTTGGATGTGTTGGCTGCAGACTGGCTCCATGGTGAGCAGTTCTATGAAAACTCAGATGGCCAACAGCCACCAATCAGTTCTAGCTGCAACTTCTATCAGACATTTTTATTATAGCCATCCAAGCACTATGTGAAGTTGTATCTTTGTTTTTGATTCGTGTTTTCCTGGTGACTAATTATGTTGAGCATCTTTTCATGTGCTGATTGACCATTTGTATTTATTTATTTATTTATTTATTTATTTATTTATTGAGACAGTGTCTCACTCTGCTGCCCAGGCTGGAGTGCAGTGGCACATCCATGTCTCACTGCAGCCTTGACCTCCCTGGCTCAAGCGATCCTCCCACCTCAGCCTCCCCAGTAGCTGGGACTACAGGCATGCACCACCATACCCAGCTAATTTTTAAATTTTTTGTAGAGATGAAGTCTCACTATGTTGCCAGGGCTGGTCTCAAACTCCTAGCTCAAGAGATCCTCCCACCTTGGCCTCCCAAAATGCTGGCGTGAGCCATCACCCAGCTCTTGATTCAAGACTTCAACTTTCACTCTGGTCCTCAGTTCACTCCTTGGAATTGAGAACAGGATTCCACGACCTGGCCTTTGTTACTGCCCAGCACTGGACTCAAATTCTGCCAATGACCCCTTGTGTTTCTGGCACTTCTGGCAACTACCTTGCTTCCCCCACCTGCTTCCTGCAACCCCATCCAGACTTTGAGATGCCCCATGTAGGGTTTTCAAATAAAAATACTTACAATGTTTGGAACATACTTACACTAAAAATTAATTATTCATTTGAAATTCAAATGTGATTTGATATCCTGTATTTTTATTTGCTAAATCTGACAACCCTAGCCCCAGAGTTCTGCCAAGAGGATTCGGGGGAGGGGGGAAATGCATTGAAAAAAATTCATGAATACCTTTTATTTTTTTCTTCTCTTTCCTGGTATAGCCATTTTTCAAAGCACTACCTGGGTCTGTATGTCAAATACTTCAGCAGCCAAGCCAATAGTCACAAACTCAGATTTAAACACCTATAATCCTGCCTTCAAGAGAGAAGATATTGTACATTGAATCTGGTAGTGTTTTATTCCACTAGGATTCACCGTCATGTAATGTATTATGTTATAGCAAGCTACATGGTATGGCCATTTAACCACATATATTTACAATGTGCTAATTTATACTGAAAAGCGTATTTTCACAAATTGTTAAAAGTATGAATCTCATATAGTGAGTGTATGTCAAAGTTTTATTTAATTAATGAAGAAACCAGAAGAAAAAGACAGTAGTTTGATGAGAATATGAGAAACTGGAATATATGTGTCAGTGGGAACAGAAATGCTGAAATCAGATTGTTATACAAGATATGAGCTGGGCACATGGCTGATTCCTGTAATCCCAGCACTTTGGGAGGCCAAGGCAGGAGGATAACTTGAGCTCAGGAGTTCAAAACCAGTGTGGGCAACATGACAAAACCCCATCTCTGCAAAAAATACAAAAATTATCCGGACATGGTGGTGCACGCCTGTAGTCCCAGCTACTCAAGAGGCCGAGGTGGGAGGATCACCTGAGCTTCAGAGATCAAGGCTGCAGTGAGCTGAGACTGCACTACTGCACTCCATCCTGGGTGACAGAGTGAGACCCTGTCTCAAAAAAAAAATTAGATATAAAACTGGTTATAAGCTACAAGGCAATAAGGCTGGGCATGGTGGCTCACACCTGTAATCCCAGCACTTTGAGAGGCCACAGTGGTGGATAGTTCACTTGAGGTTAGGAGGTCAAGACCAGTTTGACTAACGTGGGGAAACCCCCTCTCTACTAAAAATACAAAAGTTAGCCAGATGTGGCCGGGCATGGTGGCTCATGCCTGTAATCCCAGCACTTTGGGAGGCCAAGGTGGGCAGATCACAAGGTCAGGAGTTCAAGAACAGCCTGACCAAGATGGTGAAACCCCCGTCTCTACTCAAAATACAAAAAAATTAGCCAGGCGTGGTGGCGGGCACCTGCAATCCCAGCTACTTAGGAGGCTGAGACGGAGAACTGCTTGAACCCCAGAAGCGGAGGTTGCAGTGAGCCAAGATGGTGTCACTGCACTCCAGCCTGGGTGACAAAGCAAGATTCCATCTCAAAAAAAAAAAAAAAATTAGCCAGGTGTGATGGCGGGTGCCTGTAACCCCAGCAACTTGTGAGGCTGAGGCAGGAGAATTGCTTGAACCCAGGAGGTGGAGGCTGCAGTAAGCCAAGATTGCCCCACTGCACTCCAGCCTGGGCAACAGAGCAAGACTCTGTCTCAAAAAAAAAAAAAAAAAGTGACCAGTCAATAAAACTATAACCTTTGGGTTAACTTCTCCACCAGAGAGAAGGAAAAACTGATACCTTACCAGGTTTTACAAGTTAACGTCTATTAATAACTTTCATAAAGTCACATTTCCTGAGCAATATCACCCTCAGGTGGGTCTATTAGAAAATGTCTAATGTGATTTTAGAAGGCCACTTAGTAGAATTATTTTTTTTGCCTTTTGTTCAATTTTTGGAAAATTTTTCCTGTATAACATGTACTACATTTATAACCACATAATTAGACATGGAAAAATAAGGGATAAAGACAAATAATATGCTCGATCTCCCTACCAGTCCATTCTGGGGTGAGCCTGAGATAAGGGATTAAAATATCTACTCGTCTTCAGTTCCTCTAAGCATCCTGGGGACTCAGATCGATGAATATGAGCTCAATGTTTAATGTTGTAGATTTTCCAAACAGAAGGTTACCTAAATGCAAGCCAACTATTAAATGTAGTGCTGGTCCAAAGAAACATAATCTGTTCCAATACCAGTGGAAAAAATGACCAGTTTGGGTCCCAAAAATTGCTAAGGATTTCCAAGGCTAACTTTTACTGTTTTAAATTTTGGCATACATGCTGAATTTAGAATCCATGAAAACCACCAAAAGAGATCCTTCTGTAATATTGATTTTTTAACTGATTTTTTTTTGAGGAGGTAAACACATATTTTATAGATTTCAGAAAATACAGTGAGGTTGTATCAGACACGTATCAGGCACAGATCTCTTTTTCTAATCTGGTCCCTTAGCGGCTCTGAAGGTGAATTGCTAATTGCTCAGAGCTGCCTCCTTTTCTAGAGAATTGTCCCGGCCAATAGGAGCCACCTCTCCTGAAAGGGTACTCCTCCTCCTGCGGGCAGCTCACAGCCAATGACTGACTGAGAAAGGTACAAAAGCCTGGCCCCTTTGTCTCCAGGTAGGACCAACTCGATGGAACTATTCACACTCCAGAGCTCTTCAGGGTTTCAAGTAGAAGCTAGGCTCCAGCTAAAACCACAACCTTGCTTGATTTTTTTTTTTTTTTTTTTTAGACAGAGTCTCGCTCTGTCGCCCAGGCTGGAGTGCGGTGGCATGATCTCGCCTCACTGCAAGCTCCGCCTCCCGGGTTCACGCCATTCTCCTGCCTCAGCCTCCCGAGTAGCTGGGACTACAGGCGCCCGCCACCACGCCCAGCTAATTTTTTGTATTTTTAGTAGAGACGGGGTTTCACTGTGTTAGCCAGGACGGTCTCGATCTCCTGACCTCGTGATCCATCCGCCTCGGCCTCCCAAAGTGCTGGGATTACAGGCCTGAGCCACCGCGCCTGGCCCCTTGCTTGATTTTTGATCCAGGCCCTGTCCTCCTTGCCTCACTCCTCTTAGAAGAGCACAGACTCAACAATCTCTGTCTCAGACTCTAATTATAGGGAAACTGATGTAAGATGAGGACATAGAGTGAAAAGTAATACTCCTTCTTGTGTCTTTCCTTCAGCCACCCAGTTCACTAAGAGGGGATAATCAAGGTTGCCAGTGTCTTGGGTAAACTTCCAGAAATATAAAAATATACACATATAATACATATATGTATAATAACTATATTAAATATGTGGTTTGTGGGTTTATTTTTGTTTTATACACAAATGGTATCATACACTGTCACTATTCTTTCCTTTGCCTTTTTATTTGATACTGTATCTTGGAGACAGCTCCTAACCAGTACATATAGTGCTGTTCCTTTTGTAAAGGCTGTTGAATATTCTTAATATCCAAAGCTATTAAGGTAATTGGTCCCTTAATTATGGACATATAGGTTATGTTATGCTATCAAATAATAGGTCTTATTCATTCTTTCTAACTAGTTTTGTACCCATTACCATCCCCACCTCCCCCTAGCTCCCCACTACCCTTCCTAGCATCTGGTAACCATCCTTCTACACTCTATGTTCATGAGTTCAACTGTTTTGATTTTTAGATCCCACAAATAAGTGAGAACAAGTGATGTTTGTCTTTCTGTGCCTGGCTTATTTCACTTAACATAATGATCTCCAGTTCCATCCATGTTGTTGTAAATGACAGGATCTCATTCTTTTTATGGCTGAATGGTACTCCACTGTGTCTAAGTACCACATTTTCCTTATCCATTCATCTGTTATGGACTCTTAGGTTGCTTCCAAATCTTAGCCATTGTAAACAGTGCTGCAACAAACATGGGAGTGCAGGTATCTCTCTTCAATATACTGATTTCCTTTCTTTGGGGTATAAACCCAGCAGTGGAATTGCAGGATCATATAGTAGCTCATTTTTTAGTTTTTGAGATACCTAAACTGTTTTCCAGTGGTGGTTGTACTAACTTATATTCCCACCAATGATGTCAAGGGTTCTCTTTTCTCTATATCCTTGCCAGCATTTGGTATTGCCTGTCTTTTGGATATAAGTCATTTTAACTAGAGTGAGATGATATCTCATTGTATTTTTTATTTGCATTTCTCTGATGATCAGTGATATTGAGCACCTTTTTGTATACCTGTTTGCCATTTGTGTGTCTTCTTTTGAGAAATGTCTATTAAAATCTTTTGCCCATTTTGATCAGAATATTAGATTTTTTTCCTATAGAGTTGTTTGAGCTCCTTATACATTCAGGTTATTAATTCTTTGTCAGATGGGCAGTTTGCATATATATATGATACTATATATATGCAAACATATGATATGTTTTATAATATAATATATATTATATCATATATGATACATATCATATGTATCATATATGGTATGTCCATTTTTGCTTTGGTTGCCTATACTCATGGGGTACCACTCAAGAAATTTTTGCCCAGATCAATGTCCTGGAGATTTTCCCCAATGTTAGCTTGTAGTAGTTTCATACTTTGAGGTCTTAGATTTAAGCATTTAATCCATTTTTATGTCATTTTGCATATGGCAAGAGATAGGAGTTTAATTTCATCCCTCTGCATATGGATATCCAGTTTTCCCAACACCATTTATTGAAGAGACTGCCTTCCTCAATGTATTTTCTTGGCACCTTTGTCAAAAATGAGTTCACTGTACGTGTTTTGATTTGTTTCTGAGTTCTCTACTCTGTTCCATTGGTCTATGTGTCTGTTTTTATTCCAGTACCATGCTGTTTTGGTTACTATAGCTCTTTTTATTCCTCCAGTTTCATTCTTTTTGCTTAGGATAGCTTTGCTGTTCTGGGTCTTTTGTGGTTCCATATAAATTTTGGGATTTTTTTTTTCTCTTTCTGTGAAGAATGTCACTGGGTATTTTGTTTTTTGTTTTGTTTTTGATGTCACAAATTACATGCTTTTTATTGTGTATCCATTAACATATTTTACAAATTATTTTTTATCTTTTTGTCTTTTTATAAATGATACTTTAAGTTCTGGGATACATGTGCAGAACCTGCAGGTTTGTTACATAGGTATACACGTGCCATGGTAGTTTGCTGCACCCATCAACCCATCATCTACATTAGGTATTTATCCTAATGCTATCCTTCCCCTAGCTTCCCACCCCCCAACAGGCCCCAGTGTGTGATGTTCCCTTCCCTGTGTCCATGTGTTCTGATTGTTCAACTCCCACTTATGAGTGAGAACATGCGGTATTTGGTTTTCTGTTCTTGTGTTAATTTGCTGAGAATGATGGTTTCCAGCTTCATCCACATACCTGCAAAGGACATGAATGCATCCTTTTTTATGGCTGCATAGTATTACATGGTGTATATGTGCCACATTTTCTTTATCTAGTCTATCATTGATGGGCATTTGGGTTGGTTCCAAGTCTTTGCTATTGTGAACAGTGCTGCAGTAAACATATGTGGAATGTCACTTGTATTTTGATAGAGATTGCATTGAATTTATAGATTGCTTTGAGTAGTATGTATATTTTAACAATATTTATTCTTCCAATCTATGAACATTGGAATATTTTTCCATTTTTTGGTGTCCTCTTCAATTTCTTTCAGGCGTGAGCCAAAATGCCCAGCCTGATTATTTTATATGGACTATTATATTCATCATGCCTTGTAAATATTTCTTGGCCACATAAAAAGAAAATGTGTCTCTGTTTGGAGGATATGAAGTTATATAAATTAGAGTTACATAATTATTTATTAGTTATGTCTTAAGATGTTTACATCTGTTTATTAATTAAGCCTTTAGGAAGTTATTAATTAGATGTTACCTTAAGATGCTTAAATCCATGGTGGAATGACACAGAAAAAAACATACTTTAAAAGATGTTTTTCAACAGATTGAAGTCTACTTGAGGTGGGAGGGGGGAGGGGGAAGAGGAGCAGAAATGGTAACTATTGGGTACTGAGCTTAATACCTGGGTGATATAATAATATCTGCAACAAACCCCCATGACATGTGTTTATCTATGTAACAAACCTTCACATATACTCCCAAACCTAAAATAAAAATTTGTTTAAAGATATTTTTAATACTCCCTTGTTGTAGGCTGTTTCTAGTATTGTAGGGACAAGAAAAAATATTGCTGTTTGAAAAATTATAGCCATAATTTTTGTCTTTCGCTTTATAGGTTATTAGGGAAAACAGTACAGTTCTAACAACCTATAAAGCAAAAGACAAAAATAAAGCAAAGAGTGTTAGTTGATACAAAATAATCAACATTTTACAGTATGGATGATTTAGGAGTAATGATGACTGATGATATACAATTTTTATTTTATTTTATTTTATTTTATTTTTTTGAGACAGGGTCTCTCTCTGTCGCCCAGGCTGGAGTGCAGTGGCGTGATCTAGGCTCACTGCAAGCTCTGCCTCCCGGGTTCACACCATCCTCCTGCTTCAGCCTCCCGAGTAGCTGGGACTACAGGTGCCCACCACCACGCACCAGCTAATTTTTTCCATTTTTTAGTAGAGATGAGGTTTCACCGTGTTAGCCAGGATGGTCTCGATCTCCTGACCTTGTGATCTGCCCTCCTCAGCCTCCCAAAGTGCTGGGATTACAGGCGTGAGCCATCACTCCCGGCCTTTATTTTATTTTTTGAAACAGGGTCTCGCTCTGTCACCCAGGCTGGAGAGCAGTGGCACAATCATGGCTCACTGCAGCCTCAAACTCCTGGGCTCAAGCCATCCTCCCCCTCAGCTTCCCAATTAGAAGGGACTACACGTGCACATCAGCATGCCCAGCTAATTTTTTTATTTTTTTGTAGAGACAGGGTCTCACTATGTTGCCCAAGCTGGTCCCAAACTCCTGGCCTCAAGCAATCCTCCCACCTCAGCCTCCCAAAGTGCTGGGGTTACAGGTGTAAGCCACTGCACTTGGCCTTGGTAAACAGTTTTAATGTTTTATTTTTTTCTATAACAATACTCTAATAATATGCTAAAACTTTTGGTAAGCCTGATATATGAGGTGCTGTGGGGGAAACTGAAGCAAGACATCTTTGAACACTTGATGAAGCAGAGGGCTGCAACTACCTGGGGCAGTTATGATATGGGAAATGGTGACTAGCAGGAAAGGGCCAGTTTTGGTGCTGAGAATTGAGACCATAAGGTGGCAAACAGGAAAGGTTGGATTCAAGTGTGGGTTATTCAGAAGTGGACTTGAGATACTGTCTTCTGCAATATATTAGATAGTGCAAAACGTTGAAACAAGAAGTGACAGCCTGCTGATCCATGGGTTGGTACAATCTGGTTTATATCTAGGTTATGCTATGTTGTAAATAATAATAGCTCAATGCTGTATCGAGCACTTACTATGTGCCAGCCATTAGGCTGAACCATATATATATATATATGGCAACCAGAAATGCCAACAGACATAAATAAAAGGGGAAAAATGTCCAAGAAAAGCCTGTTCTTTCTCACCAAGGGAAAGAACAAGAGAAACCTAGCAAGAGAGAAAACTTAGACAATAATTGTCCTACTGTAGTGAAATGCCACAGGAAAAATTGAGGTCCCCATCCCCACCCTTGTAGACTTCCACTCTCACCCAGCTGGCATGAGGTATTCCTCCTCTCCTCCTCCCCCAACACTGTGATGGTGTCAGAGAAGACCAGGTGGGGCACCTAGGATTGTCACCCTAATCATGCAGTAACAAGCCCCTCCATTCTCCACATTTTCGGGGGAGACCACATGAAAAGCTTGAACCTTCACTTCCACTTGGCAGTAACAAGGCGCATCAACCTTCCCCTGACTGGTGCAGTATCAGAGGAAACCTGATAAAACCAAAGACTTAAATAAGATCCAGAGCCTCACAACATAATAACCAAAGTATCCAGGATTGCATTTTAAAAATCATTCATTATTCCAAGAACCAAGAAGATCTTAACTAGAATGAGAAAAGACAATTCACAGATGGCAACACTGAGACGGCACAGACACTTGAACTGTCTGACAAGGATTTTAGAGCAGCCATCATACAATGACTCGATGAGAAATTTTGAACATGCTTGAAACAAATGAAAAGTAGAAAGCTTTGGT
This sequence comes from Homo sapiens, assembly GCF_000001405.40. NCBI lineage: Eukaryota > Metazoa > Chordata > Mammalia > Primates > Hominidae > Homo > Homo sapiens. The sequence continues at coordinate 33,763,182 of NC_000003.12, read as the reverse complement.
GAAGAAACAGAATATGTAAAGAAGAGCCAAATAAAACCTTTAACTGAAAAAAATACAATAAAATATTAAAACTCACAGGATAAGCTCAATAATAGACTAAGGAAGACAAAAGAATAAATCAATTAATCTGAAGTCAGATCAATAAAATGTAACCAACTTCAACAACATGAAGAAAATACACTGAAGAAAAAAATCAATAGAACCTCAGAGACCTGTGGAACCTTAACAAAAACCAATAAATTGTATTATCAGAGAGGAATAAGAGTGTGAGATTGAAAAAGTGTTCAAAAAACTCATGCCTAAAATTTTCCTAAATTTGGCATTAAGACATAAACTTATAAATTTCACAGGCTAATTGAGGCTTAAACAGAAAAAAACAAAGAAATATAACCAAGACACATTATAATCAAACTTCGGAAAACCAAAGACAATGAAAAATTTGAAAGCAATAAGACAGAAATGATTTACCTGTAGGAAAAAAAAACAATTCAAACAACAGATTTCTCATACAAAACCATGCAGGCCAAAAGGAAGTGGGACAAGATTTTTGAAGTGTTTAGAGAACTGTGGGCCAGATGCCGTGGCTCACGCCTGTAATCCCAGGACTCTGGGAGGCCGAGGCAGGTGGATCACTTGAGGTCAGGAGTTCAAGACCAGCCTGTTCAACATGGTGAAACCCAATCTCTACTAAAAATACAAAAATTAGCTGGCCATGGTGGTGCATGCCTGTAATCCCAGCTACTCGGGAGGCTGAGGTAGGAGAATAGCTTGAACCCAGGATGCGGAGGTTGCAGTGAGCCAAGATCGTGCCACTGCACTCCAGCCTGGGCAACAGAGTGAGACCCTGTCGAAAGAAAGAGAAAGAGAGAAAGGAGAGAGAGACAGAGAGAGAGAAAAGGAAGGAAGGAAGGAAGGAAGGAAGGAAGGAAGGAAGGAAGGAAGGAAGGAAGGAAGGAAGGAAGGGAAAGAAAGAAAGAAAGAGAAAGAAAGAAAGGAAAGAGAAAGAAAGAAAGAAAAAGAGAAAGAAAGAAAAAAGAAAGAAAGAAAGAAAGAAAGAAAGAAAGAAAGAAAGAAAGAAAGAAAGAAAGAAAGAAAGAAAGAAAGAAAGGAGGGAGGGAGGGAGGGAAGGAAGGAAGGAAAAGAAAGAAAGAGAGGTAAAAACTGTGAACCCATACTTTTACATATGGGCAAAAATAGTCTTCAGGAATGAAGGTAAAAATCAAGACATTCTGATATTAAGAAAAACTAAAAAATCTGTCACCAGCAGACCAACTCTAAAAGAATGGCTAAAGGAACTCTTTTTTTTCTTTTTTTTTTTTTTTTTTTTTTGAGATGGAGTCTCACTTTGTCGCCCAGGCTGGAGTGCAGTGGCACGATCTCGGCTCACTGCAAGCTCCGCCTCCCGGGTTCACGCCATTCTCCTGCCTCAGCCTCCCGAGTAGCTGGGACTACTGGTGCGTGCCACCACGCCCGCCTAATTTTTGGTATTTTTAGTAGAGACGGGGTTTCACCGTGGTAGTCAGGATGGTCTCCATCTCCTGACCTCGTGATCCGCCTGCCTCAGCCTCCCAAAGTGCTGGGATTACAGGCGTGAGCCACCGCTTCCGGCCTAAAGGAACTCTTTAAACAGAAAAAAACTAGAGAGAATCATGAAACATCAGGAAGGAAAAAGGAACAATGGAAAGTGTAAAAATGTAGATAAATACAACAGACTTCTCTTCTTGAGTTTTCTAAATTATGTTTGATTATTGAAGCAAAAATTATAACATTGGCCAATGTGATTCCCAAAATATGTAGAGGAAACATTTTAGACAATTATATTGTCAATGGGAGTGGGTAAAGGGAATTATAGGGAGGTAACTGTTCTATACTTCACTTAAATTGGTAAAATGTTGACACAAAAAAATAAAACAAAAGGCCGGGCACGGTGGCTCACCTGTAATCCCAGCACTTTGGGAGGCCGAGGCAGGTGGATCACCTGAAGTCGGCAGTTTGGGACCAGTCTGGCCAACATGGTGAAACCTCATCTCTACCAAAAATACAAAAATTAGCCAGGCGCGGTGGCAGGCGCCTGTAATCCCAGCTTCTTGGGAGGCTGAGGCAGGGAGAATCACTTGAACCTGGGAGGCGGAGATTGCAGAGAGCCGAGATTGTGCCATTGCACTCCAGCCTGGGTGACAGAGCGAAACACTGTGTCAAAAAATAAAATAGTTGGCCAGGCACACTGACTCACGCCTGTAATCCCAGCACTTTGGGAGGCCGAGGCGGGTGGATCACGAGGTCAGGAGATCGAGACCATCCTAGCTAACACGGTGAAACCCCGTCTCTACTAAAAATACAAAAAATTAGCTGGGCTTGGTGGCGAGCGCCTGTAGTCCCAGCTACTCGGGAGGCTGAAGCAGGAGAATGGCGTGAACCCGGGAGGCGGAGCTTGCAGTGAGCCGAGATCATGCCACTGCACTCCAGCCTGGGCGACAGAGCAAGACTCCATCTCAAAAAATAAATAAATAAATAAATAAATAAATAAATAAAATAAAAATCCAAAGAATACAAAAAGAAGAAATTGATAAATTATGCTAATCCCATTTATTTAAGTAAACCAAAAATCTTCTTTTGAAATGGAGATGTGAAAGACTTCACATTACTAAATTGCTCAGTATGACGATGATAAAATCTCTTCATACTATAGGCAGACTATTTTAGAAAAATGATTATATTCTATGCCCTAAAGAGCAGTGTATAAATATATGTGTGTGTCTGTGTGTGTGTGACCACGTTCAAGTTTATGGCTCAGCCTGTTTTCATCATTAGCTTTATGAGACTTTAATGCACTCAGCTGACAATATGCAATAGGCACTTATGGGGCGGGCATTCTCCCCACCTTGACTTGAGAGCCCACACAGCTCTGGCAGCCCTGGGAGGTAATAGGGAACTCGGGAGAAAGGACTCTTCTTGGAGAACCCCTACAGTCAAGGAAGCTAATGAGAAGCAGGAGCAGAAGAGTGAGAGTAATTTTGTCCGCATCATGTGAGACAACACCTGGGGAACTATGAGAACAGACAGGGCATATATGAGCAGAGATTAGGTTCTTCAGTGGGTAGGCAGAAGCTCAAAGTCATTGTAATTAGAATACTAAAGAAAATGTAGCTTTTTTTTTTTTTTTGACAGTCTCTCTCTGTCGC